>NC_000012.12:82460128-84960128 GCF_000001405.40 Homo sapiens | reverse complement strand
ACTAAATATTTAAGTTAATATTTTAATTGTAATGCTCAGGGCTATCACTAAGAAAAATCCTAAAATACGGTAAAAGAAACAGGGGTTTTAAATAGCACATGAGAAAATATTAATTTAGTACAAAAGAAAACAGTAATGAAAGAATAGACAAAGAAAAAGACATAAGACATATAGAAACAAATAGCAAAATGCCAGCTGTAAATCCTACTATGTTGGCAATTATAATAAATATAAATGAATTTAATTCTCCTATCAAAAGGCAGAAGTTAGTTGAATGAATTTTTGGTAAAACTACATGATCCACATGTATTCTGTCTACCAGAGACACATGTTAAATTTAAACACACATATAAGTTCAAAATATAAGGATGAAAAAAATATACCATGCAAATAGTAAACAAAACAGAGCTGTAGTGGCTATACTATTAGTATAGAATAAAAGAATGAAAGAAGAGACATTATTACTGTTTTTTTTTTTTTTTTTTTTTTTGAGACGGAGTCTTGCCCAGGCTGGAGTGCAATGGCACAATCTTGGCTCACTGCAACCTCTGCCTCCAGGGTTCAAGCTATTCTCATGTCTCAACCTCCCGAGTAGCTGGGATTACAGGCACCCACCACCAAGCTTGGCTAATTTTTGTATTTTTAGTAGAGATGGGTTTTGCCATGTTTGTCAGGTTGGCCTCAAACTCCTGACCTCAGGTGATCCACCCGCCTTGGCCTCCCAAAGTGCAGGGATTACAGGCGTGAGCCACTGCACCTGGCCCATTATTACTGACCTTATAGAAATACATGAATTATAAGATAATATCATCAACAAGTATATGCCAATGAATGTTAAGGCAAACTTGTTACTGGAGACAAAGAAGAACATTTAAACGAAAAGGTATAAGTTCGTAAGCAAGAAAACAATTATGAACATATATGGACCTAAAGACAGCCCTAGAATATATTTTTTAAAATTGACAGAATTGAAGGGGGAAATTGGCAATTCAATAATAAGTAATAGTGGGAGATATTATTAGCTCACTTTCAGTAATGGATAGAAAAACTAGGTAGAAATCAACATGGAAATGGAAGACTTGATCAACACTATAAATCAATGATAACTAACAGATATCCCTAGAACACATTCTCAAGTGTATATGGCACATTCTCCAGGATAGACCATAAGTTACTCCATAAAACAAACCTCAATATATGTAAAAGGAATAAAATCATACATAGTATGTTTTGTGACCACAATGGAATGAAATTAGAAATTAATAATAAAAGAAAATTTGGGAAATTCAAAACAAGTAGAAATTTAAAAACACATTCCTAAATAACTAATCATTCAAAGAAGAAATAGCAAAAGAAATTAGAAAATACCATGAGATAAATGAAAACAAAGCCACAACATGGATGAATCTATAGGATGCAGGTAAAGCAGTGATTAGAGAGAAATTTATAGTTATAAATGCCTACATTTAAAAAATCTCAAATTTCAAATAATATAAGCTTTCCCCTGAAAAACTGGGAAAAGAAAAACAAATAAAACCCAAAGGAAGCAGGAGAGGCATGATAAAGATTAGAGTGAAAATGAATGAAATTGAGATTGGAAAAACAATAGAGGAAATCAACCAAACTAAAAGTTGGTTTGTTAACAAATCAACAAAATGGCAAAGTTTAGCTAGCCTGACATAAATGAAACCATAAAAGACTCAAATTAGTAAATCAGGAATAAAAGAAGAGGCATTATTACTGATCTTATAGAAATACAAGGATTGTAAGTTAATATTATCAACAACTATATGCCAACAAATATGATAACCTGAATAAAGTGGACAATGCTCTAGAAATAAATAAATTAACAAAACTAATTCAAGAAGA
The DNA here is from genome assembly GCF_000001405.40 of Homo sapiens. Taxonomy (NCBI): domain Eukaryota; kingdom Metazoa; phylum Chordata; class Mammalia; order Primates; family Hominidae; genus Homo; species Homo sapiens. The sequence goes on along the minus strand of NC_000012.12, from coordinate 84,958,259 downwards.
AGTAGAACATTGGAATAGTCTTTTAATAATTGAAGGAATTGAACTGATATTTTAAAAGCTACCTACAATGTAAAGCCCAGTCTCAGCTTCACTGGTAAATTCTACCAAACATTCAAAGAATAATATTTGTCCCTTGCAAACTCTTCCAAAGTATGAAAGAGGAGGAAACATATTCCAATTCATTTTATTAGGCTAGCATTATCTTGATACCAAAATATGATAAACACATCTTGCAAATATCCTCAACAAAATACTGGCAAATCAAATGTTGCAACATACAAAAAGGACGATGTACCATGGTCAAGTAGGATTTATCCCAGAAATGTAAGTTTGAATTAACATCTGAAAATTAATCCATGTAATATACCATACTAATAAGAATAAAAGACAAAAATCACATAGTCATCTCAATATATGTAGGAAAAGCATTTGACAAAATCTCAAACCCTTTCCTGAAAAGAATACTCAACAAACTAGGAACAGTAGGGAATGTCTTCAACCTGACAAACTTCAACCTCAACCTCAAACCTGATAAAGGGCATCTATGATTAATACACAGCTGATATCATACTTAGTGGTAAAAGAAGAAGAAATGCTTCCTCTATGGAAAAAAAAAATCACATTCACCCTTCCATTTCACATTGTACTGGTATCTAGGGTAATGAGGAAGAATAATAAATAAAATACATGCAAATTTTAAAGATAAATAAATAAGCCAGGCGGGGTGGCTCATGCCTGTAATCCCAGTACTTTGGGAGGCAGAGGCAGGCAGATCACGAGGTCAAGAGATTGAGACCATCCTGGCCAACATAGTGAAACACTGTCTCTACTAAAAATACAAAAATTAGCTGGGCATGGTGGCACATGCCTGTAGTCCCAGCTACTCAGGAGGCTGAGGCAGAAGAATCACTTGAACCAAGGAGGCGGAGGTTGCAGTGAGCCAAGAATAAATTAATTAATTAAAAAACCACTATTTGCAGATAACATGATCTTCTATATAGAAAGTCCTCAGAAATCCACAAAATGCTATTAGATCTAATAAGTGAGTTTATCAAAGTGACAGGATGCAAGATCAATATACAAAAATCAATTGCCTTCAAAGCCTGTAGTCCCAGCTACTTGGGAGGCTGAAGTAGGGGAATAGGTTGAGTCCAGGAGTTTGAGTCTGTAGTGTGTTACAATCATGCCTGTGAATAGGCACTGCACTCTAACCTGGGCAATATATCAAATAGTAGTCCACACACACACACACACACACACAGTTTTAGTCTCTACAGAAAAAATCAATTGTAATCAAATAGATATAATTAAAAATCTGATAATTAAATGAATAATTCCATTGAATATTGCATCAAAAAGAATAAAATATTTGGCAATAATTACAAAAGAATGAGTACAAGACTTGTATTCTTTCTAAAAACTACCTAATACAAGAGAAAGATAAAATATACAATCAGAACGATATGATGATACATGTGGGGACTAGAATGTTTGATGCTGCTTCATAGCATGGGGCATATAGACCTTGTTTCAGGAGTATCTAGAGGATATACACCTGTTAAGTAGTCAGATGTAGGAATCCAAATCTCAAAAGGATGGTCAAGCCTAGAGACAGACATCTGTGAAACATTACAATATAAAGTAAGTAGTTGATATGTATGAAAGTGGATGAGGTTGTTCAACAAGCATTTAAGGATAATAAAGAGTAGAACACAGTGGTTAAGAGGAAACAGAGCTGGATGACTCTAAGAGAAAACAAAACAAAGTGTTATTAAGGAGAAAACAGAATTATAGAGTCTAATTTTCTAATGTACGCCAAAGGATTATAAAGTTTAAAAGAGATTATCTTTTGGGTATGTCAAATATTATTGTTCAATAAGAAATTAAAAATGTTCATGACCTTGAAAGATGCACCTGTTGCAAAGTGGTAAGGAGAGAAAGTCAAAGTGCACTAGTTGGTGTATAAACGGAAAATAAATAAGTATATTTAGCTATCCTCAGCCCATCCTGTGTTGTCATCAAATATGGTGGATATCTCTACTATTACAAAAACTTTGTTAGTTTTTGTTTACATGCCTGTGGCCTTTTTAGCAGTTGGGACCATATATTACTTTTTTTGTATCCCCAGTGCTTGGTCCTAACAGGTAACATATTATTGTTTATGTAGGTAAAAACACACATTGAAAGATAACATTTGAAACAGAATTTATCAGATAATCAATTTGGAGAGTTAAGCAGTGGCACATCATATAGAACATTATTTGTCATAAGTTCTTGCAGAATTTCGAATAGGAATGACATGGCCATATTTACATTTTAATAATATCACTCTGGCCAATTTAGGACAGAGGAATATGAAGGGTACACAAGTGGCATCAGGGAAACCACAACATGATTGTACAGCCACTGCAAGAGACACTAAGTAGCTGATCTTAATCCTTGTTAATGTGGGTGACAAAGAAGAAAACTGATAAAGGATAGTTATGAAGTATGTTGTCAAACATTGCAAGTAGACTGGATGTGGAAACTGATGATGAAGAGGAGTCGGGGATGACCCCCAAGTATCTCTGTTCCTGACTGAATGCAAATGGAATAGCATCTAATGAAAAGGAGAATTAAAAAAGGAGAGCTTGCTTTGTTAGGAGCTTGCGGTCAGTTTTGACCTTCTTGAATTGGAAGTATCTGTAGGATATCCTTATTCAGGTGATGAGTAAGAAATGGGGATGAGTCTAAAACTAAAGGAATCATTTAGGTCTCTTCAGCCAGAGCTACATGTTTATAAATAAACTAGTTCAAATGACTCATGTGCAAAGTTACGTTACAGTGGAAAAAAATGTAGAGATTGAAATGTAAAACATATACCCAAGGATCACGGTGCATTTAAATTCTGATTAAGATATTTTAAACCTTTCTGTAACACTAAACATATAAAATCACGGTATGCAAAACCTGGAAATAAAATTTTGAAATACATTTAATGTGTTATCATATGCATCCCTTGTTAAGGCTATGCTACTTCTGAGTTTCTTGCTCTCCGAATTTGAATAGCTTGGAATGATTAATTTGTGAACTAATGAAAAGTGAGAAATATGACCAGGGAGAAAAGGAAGATGATGAAGGAAAGTCTTTTATGAACTTCTGATGATTACTTCATTCATGCTTTAATTAGATGCAATTTCTGGACAATCTTTGTATATAACCTAATTATCTAAGAGAATTAGATGACCATTAGTTTTACAATCTTAATATGTGTACTTATGTCTTATGATTAAATTATTATTGATTCTTGAACATTTTAATGAATAAGCATTAAATTGAATTTTTTCAAATTGCTCGAATTATGAGTTAATATAGCCTATCATTGCCAAATATAATTAGAAGAAATTGAGTTTTAAAAATTAACAAAATAATCTTAAAAATCAGTCATACAGGACTGATTGTAATTATATTTGTTGTTCACATTATCTTCTTATCTCTGGTGCCATAATCTAAGATTAACATAAAAGGGTAAAGAGAAAAAAGAATGAGAGGAAGAGAAGAGTAATATAAGTATAAAAGGTTCACAATGCTTGTCCACAAATCTGAAATCCAAAAACTGAAAGTGGCTTATGACTAATTTAGACAAGACGTGAAGTGAACTGAAGTGAGACTATTTATAGTCTTTATGATACATAGTGTGAATGTGTGTGTATACATGTGTACACAAATACCTGTATATACCTGTGTATCAGTATATCTATTTCCATCTCTCTAGCCAACCATTCATCCACACACTTTTTTTTGTTCCAGAGATTTTTTTTCTTGATAATGTAGTGCTGTCCTAGGCTCTGCTAAGCTTATTTCACAGTATGTAACATGTATACGGCCTTCCTAAAATAATACAAATGCTTATGAAATACTTGCGATCCCAAGCATTTTAGATAAAAATGGTGGGCCTGAACATACTGTTTTCTGGGTAAACATGTACTAACTCTTACGGCAATCATGCTCTTGGCAGCAGTTACTGCTTCATGTAACTAGAAATCCAGAAGTAGACCAGGCTGCAGAGGTGCCCTAAGTATCTCCAACATGCTTCTCTGCAATTCACCACCTTCCTTTCACCAGTTTCATTTTCATTTGATACAAACGAAAGGATACAACATTTTGTAAGGTTCAAAGCCATATTACAACATCTAGAAGAGGTGTCTGAAATTTTTTTGTAGAAGTCCCAGTGAAAATGTATTCTAGGAATCCCAATGAACTTTCATTCATGTGTCAGTGGACAGAATTATATCATATGCTGTGGTAATTCCATAAGCGAATGGGTTAGAGACATGATAAAAATAAACACTGACAAATTCTATAGAAGTTATATTTTGCTGTGATAAATGTAGACAATATATTTTCAGCGGAGGGTACTGAGAAAGCACTGAGACAACTGGGATGTCTAAAACTGACATTTTCCAGTTTTCCTGGTCATGTTGGCAATAGTATTCTGTGTGTTCTTCCAGATTGTGACAAGTCCTAAGAGTGGGCTTAGCAAGGGAGCTACCTTAGCATATCACCCTGAAGCTCTAATACACTTAATTTAAAGTGTTACCATAATTGATTCTAATAACCCATGTCACCTGGATCTAAAATGTGAAATTTAGATGTATTTTCTTAAAATGCAATGGGGACTATCTTTATATGTCTTGGACACATTACAAACTAGTCACTAGATATCACTCATGAAGAGTGCCTCATAGGTTTCATCTGTCTGTGGGTATGCATTCTCTGATGTTGCCAGGAGACACCAGATGCCACTGCCTGACCAGGATCTACAATTCTACATTCCCACGCTTGAATCAAACCTGGTTTCTAAAATATTCGTCGGATAGATAAACGCAATATTGTAATTAGTTTCCACCAATAATTCTCAGTAATGGCTGCACTTTAGAATGACCCTAGAAATAAAAAATACTGGTCAGAGGCTATGAAGTGAGGCCCTAACACCATTAGATTTAAAAAAAAAAACAAAAACCTCTCCTGCTCATTCTAATGTGCCGTCAGTGTTGAGAACGAGAAGCTTAGATTACTCGCAGCACCTAACTGAGCTGAGATGAATTCTACAAACCAATGGGCTAATGTATTGGAAAGTCATAGATAATGGAGATAACCAAAATGTCCAATATAGTAACATTGCTTTAAACAATTCTTTATTTAACAGTATAAGTTTACCCAAATCAATGTTTGAACAAAAATCAACGTAAAATATTTTGTCTCATTTCTTTCTCGTTAATAATTTCTATTAACTTTTGTTTAATTCTATTATTCTTATTAAAAAAACATTTTATGTTCTCTGGGTAGTCTTATACACAGGCATTTATTAGCAGAGTATTAATTTGCTGTAAGACAGCTTATTAGTGGATAAAATAAACCTTTATGAGATTCTATAGAAAAGCCACTCATTTTCCTTTTCTTAAAAAAGTTTTTTCTCATAAATAAAATTTTGGAAAAAAACGATGTTTATACTTTTAGAACTACCTATAATGTCTAATTATGTGCACCTCACAGAATAATTGAATAAATTTTATTTTATTGTAATCAAACATATTTTTTATTTTACATCTTCATAGAAAATTCCCCAGTTGAAATCTCACAAAAAGTGCTTTACAGTTGTGTCTAAACAAAGGATAAAGCAGACATCTGTTAAAATAATATTGTGCAAATTCTATGTTAAGTGAAACGGATAATTGCAAAGTTTTCCTTTTACTGTCTTCAGTTAATTTAGGTAATTTATGTAATTAGAGTAATTTATGTAGACATTTTTTTCAATTGTAATAGAGACAAAAATTATGAAATGCATATCTCAAGAGCACAGTTAAAATAGAAAGAAAAACTCTGGGCCATATCCCAACATCAAATTGAGAAAACAACAAGCTAAACATATTGTACAGAAATAGCATTGAATATCTCAAATCTTAATGCCAGTCTCCATTTAGTCTTTAGGAGTTATGAAATTAACAATTTTTTTTTTATCTGTCAGCTGTGCTTTCTGGCTACAAAAAGAAAGCAATTTCATAGTTGCCAATATAAAAAAATAGAAGATTCTACAGTCTTGAAGAAGTCTAAATAATATAATTATTTTCTTAGAATCATTAAATTAATTGACATTTAATTTTTATTACATTAAGGTGAAATTGTCCTCTTATGAGAGTATTTCCACTGTGTGTGTGTAATTTTTAATTTATCTATACATTATCCCTCTATTCCTTCTTCATCAAATTATTCATCTGTTAGAAACAAAGTGTTTTTCCATTTGGCTTTATATGCACAAATTTAATTGGATAATTATTTAAGCCATGTGAAAAGTCATCAGCCACACAGTTCTCTAAAAAGTGCTAAAACCATTCTTTTAAAGATGCATATCACACACCATAACAATAGAGTCAGAAAGACAATGTTTAATTGTATTTTATAGTTTCAAATAAATTTATATATTTCATGTAAAAATCAAATTATTTTCTACTTCATACCCAATTTTTCATATTCTAAATACACTCAGGGCAATATATAATTTTTGATCACTTGGCATATATCAAAGATTTAAATCCAACTTCCACAAAACATACTTCTTATACATTTCTACTTATAGAAATGCTGTATTATCTGAATTCCAAGAGGAATACGAAAAAAAGTTGCTTTGCATGGATCACTTAAAATTCCATCAAAAATCAAAAATATATAGATATTGCATTCTGACTCCATGATCTAGAAGACAGGAACTCTTTATTTTCATTTTTAACGTTAGCATCCATTATGGTTTTTAGTTACTGCCCCCAAAATGCTTAAGGTAGGAAGAAAAGAAAGGAGAAAGGGAGAGGATGGACAAAGGAAAGGAAGAAGAGAGAGTGAGAGAGAAGAAGGGAAGAAAGGGTAGAAGAGAGGAAGGGAGGAAGGAAAGAAGGAAGAAAGGGAGGGAAGGAGGAGACAAGGAAGACAGGAAGGGAGGGAGAAAAAAAGGAAGTGAGGAAAGGAGGGAGGAAAGAAGGAAGGCAAACAGGCAGATACTTCACATGTGCTCATACTGCCCAGGCCTGCAACAGCATTCACACTCATGTACTTGCCGGAATTCCCTGCATTGCTCAAGATCAGTTTTAAATCTGACTAATTTTATGATTCTTCTTATCATTCGCAAGTTGATGTGACTGCTTTTCCTTTTCTTTTCTTTTTATTATGAAAGGTAAGTTTAATGCATATCCTCCATCTCATGTCTGAGAGATAATTTCTTTAGACAGTTTCTGTATGATTTTCTGTGTGTTTTTTTTTTCTTCAAACTTTTATTTTAGGTTCATGGGTACATGTGCAAGTTTGTTATATAGGTAAATTGCATCTTGTGGGGGTTTGGTATACAGATTATTTCATTACCCAGGTAAGTAAGCATAGTACTCAATGGTTAGTTTTTCCATCCTCACCCTCCTCCCACTCTCCACCCTCAAGTAGGCTCCGCTGTCTGTTGTTCCTATGTCCATGTGTTCTTAATGTTTGTGGACTACTTATAAGTCAGAACATGCAGGATTTGGCTTCCTGTTCCTGTGTTAATTTGCTTAGGATAATGACTTCCAGCTCTATCTGTGTTACTCCAAAGGACATGATCTTCAAAGCGTAGTCTTTTATGGCTGTGTAGTATTCCATGATGCATATGTACCACATTTTCTTTATCAAGTTCACCATTATGGCCATTTAGGTTGATTCCCTGTCTCTGTTATTGTGAATAACGTTGCATTGAACATACATGTGTATGGGTCTTTATGACAGAATTATTTATATTCCGTTGGGTATACACACAATAATGGAATTGCTCGGTCGAATGATAGTTCTAAGTTCTTTAAGAGATCTCCAAACAGCTTTCCACAGTGGCTGAACTAGTTCACGTTCCCACCCGCAGTGTATAAGTGTTCCCTTTTCTCTGCAACCTCACCAGCATCTGTTATTTTTTGACTTAATAATAGCCATTCTGACTGGTGTGAGATGGTATCTCACTCCAATTTTGATTTGTATTTCTCTACTGATTAGCGGTGCTTATTTTTTTTGTATATGCATGTTGCCTGCATGTTTGTCTTTTATTTATTTATTTATTTTTGAGAACTGTCTGTTCATGTCCTTTGCCTATTTTTTAATGGGGTTGTTTTGTTTTTGCTTGTTGGTTTAAGTTCCTTATAGATCCTAGATATTAGACCTTTGTTAAATGCATAGTTTGCAAATATTTTCTCCCATTCTGTCTAAGTTGTCTATTTACTCTGTTGATAGTTTCTTTTGCTGTGCAGAAGCTCTTTAATTAGGTATCATTTGTCAATTTTTATTTTTGTTGCCATTGCTTTTGGCATCTTCATCATGAAATCACTGCCAGTGCCTATGTTCAATATGGTATTTCCTAGATTCTCTTCTAGGGTTTTTACAGTGTTAGGTTTTACATTTAAGTCTTTAGTCCATATTGAGTTGATTTTTGTATATGGTGAAAGGAAGGGGTCCCATGTCAATCTTCTGCATGTGGTTAGCCAGTTATGCCAGTACCATTCACTGAATAGGAAATCATTTCTTCTCTGAGTTTACTTCTGGGTAGATTTCACTCTCAGACAATCTTATTTCTGTGTAGATTCCACTCTCAAGTAATCCGAGCTTACTTCTGTGTAGATTTCACTCACAGGCAAACAGTGATTTCAAGTTATTATGTGCCCAATCATGGAACAGTTGTTCACGTGCAGTGGAATGATCTGTTCTTTTTTCTTTTCTCTCACTTTTTTTTTTTTTTTTGGTTAGCCTGGATTATGTGCTCACCTCTGTGGTGGGGTAGTTAGGGCTCATTATGGTAGCAGGCTCCTGTAATCCTAGCTACTTGGGAGGCTGAGGCGGGAGAATCGCTTGAACCTTGGAGGCAGAGGTTGCAGTGAGCTGAGATCATGCCACTGCATTCCAGCCTGGGTGACAGAGCAAGACTCCATTTAAAACAAAAAACAAACAAACAAAAAAAACTCAACTCTACCAGAAACACATGGTATAAGAAAGGGTGGCTGGGCATGGTGGCTCATGCCTGTAATCCCAACACTTTGGGAGGCCAAGGCAGGTGGATCACTTGAGGTCAGGAGTTCGAGACCACCCTGGCCAACATAGCGAAACCCTGTCTCTACTAAAAATACAAATATTAGCTGGGCGTGGTGGTGTCCGCCTGTAATCTCAGCTACTTGGGAGGCTGAGGCAGGCAAATCGCTTGAACCCGGGAGGCAGAGGCTGCAGTGAGCCTAGACTGTGCCACTGCACTCCAGCCTGGGCGACAGAGTGAGACTCCATCTCAAAAAAAAAAAAAAAAAAAAAAAAAAAAAAGGAGCAGGGGATTACTCTTAAAGGAACTGATGTTGGATAAAGAAAAAATACATATCAGATACAAACTACATATTTCATTCCTTAAAAACAGTGTAGGTCATATACAAACCAATGAATAAATATCAACCAAATAGATGGATAAATAAATGAATGCTTTTCTGTTACTATAAATGATTATTTTGTAATATCAAGCATACACTAAGTTGAAAAAGGGGGCATGTCTTAGCATAATGTAAGTCATACCATGAGAAGGTCTGAGCATTTCAATTTATTTAGAAATCTTCACTTTGTTTCACATAAGTGCCTTATGATAGGATATTGATATTAAACTCATTTTACCCAACTATGGCTTTCTTAATACATTCCAACATTTGACTGAACTTGTAAAAATTTTCCTGGAAGCATGATTTATATTATAAAAGAAATGTGTGGCAGGTTTGTTGGGTTGGGTTATAGCTTAATTAAAAATTTTTAAAAAGAGAGATTATAAAGTGAAAAAAAAGTGTAAGCACAATCTGACAGATACAATATTGCTCCATTAGTTTACATTAAATTTACTGCAGTGATTTTTTTCACCTCCTAAAGTGTCCAATCATTTCAAATATTAATTCACAACATGAATAACATAAACAAAGAAAAATGTTGTATGGGTAGTATCATTTAATTTGGTTTTATATGTACTTGTCTGATCAGTTTGCATTTTTTGACTTTACAAAACATTCTCTAAACACTAACATCCTTAACAATGAACTCTTAACTCAAATTATTAAAGAGAAGTTTGAATTTCAAAATAAAAATAACAATTTGAGTTGTCAATCTTTTGAGATTTTATCAAAAAGAATATTATTCTTTTACAGTGTTTCCAATGCCTAGGGCTACCATCAGCTTCTTGGTTTCTCTTTTCTTTTTTTTTTTTTTTTGAGACAGAGTCTCGCTCTGTTGCCCAGGCTGGAGTCCAGTGGCGCGATCCCGGCTCACTGCAGGCTCCGCCTCCCGGCTTCACACCATTCTCCTGCCTCAGCCTCCAGAGTAGCTGGGACTACAGGCGCCCGCCACCATGCCCGGCTAATTTTTTTTGTATTTTTAGTAGAGACGGGGTTTCACCGTGTTAGCCAGGATGGTCTCGATCTCCTGACCTCGTGATCCGCCCGCCTCGGCCTCCCAAAGTGCTGGGATCACAGGAGTGCGCCATCGCGCACGGCCCATCAGCTTCTGTTTCTAGACACAATGCATTTGAGTGCTGAAAACCTGCAGCACTGTCTTAAGGTGACAACAGTGAATCCATTTACCAATTTTTTGGCTAAAGGTACTAGCTAGGTGGCATTGTTAATAAATCCATTTTTTCATGTATACTGATCTTAGCAACATGTTTGTAGCAATTTTCTCCCTATCTTCTACCCCTGGCGATTGTCAGTCACCGGATTTGTTTTCACCAAACATCATTTAATGAACAACACATTTTCCTAACAGAGTGGAATCTATGTATTTGCAGCAGTGTATATGGAGAATTCTGTTGGGTATATAAGAAGATCAATACATTTTCTTATATGCACCTAAAGGATAGTAACAAGGTTGGATTTCATAATGCCAAGCTTCCTTTATCATATTGTACAGGAAAATAACATCTCCATGTTGCTAGCCTCCTCTTTTAATACTATCTACAGACATTTGCATATAAAATCATACTCTGTGTCCATTTTAAGATAGTAAGAGTGTTGAGAATAAAATCACAAAATTACTTTAGCATCTGGGTCTAACAAGGTTAGGAATATAGATTATGCAAAGATTCCTTTTGAAATGGGTTGATGGGTGATGAGAGTTACAAATGCAAATGTTGGAGACTTTAGAGATTGTGATATTAATACAGCATAGGAAGCAAAAATCACAGAATCCAGATGATGTTTGGTACTATTACATCGCTCAATGAAACTAGCTGAAACTGACTGTGAAAACACAGTCCTCTGTTGTCATTTCCTGCCCCATCTCCACAATCATAAAACAGTACTGTTTTCAATTTCAAGAATCAAGCTGACTACTTTCATTGGTAAAAATATGTGTGAACGTCTGGTGTTCCTTTATCATAACTCCTCTGTGGACTTAAACTTGGTTAAACTCTGGTTACTCTTCAGATTATATAAATCTTTTGCCTTTTAAAGCTAGGTTGGAAGTCATAATTGCCACAAATCTTATTAAAATTTCCAGGGTAAATCAGGGTAGAGTAAACTAACTCAAAATTTATTCTAGAGTGAACTCCCAAGTCTTTATGTTTTGGTGCTGGTTGATATTATTATCTAGCTATTGACTTCGTATATTATTTACCTCATATTCTAAACTAACTTGATTATTTGTATTAAAATTAGCCTAAGATTTAGGAAGATTACATTTTTTTTTCAAATTTTAAAATATGGGTGCATTAAAGAATTCTTCTTTAAAACTTGTCCTCCCCACTCCCATCCCAGACAAATCACTATAATGACTAAGGAAATCTTCTGGCCTAGAAATAAATATTATAATTTAATTCTGTGATTTCACTCATATGACCTGATAAATATAAAAATATTTCTCAGTGGCAGACAAATTATTCTGTTTTTCACAAATGTTTCAAATATTGTCAGCTAGTCAATATAGGACCATTTCTCGAGAGGTCAGGATTCGTAAACCTGCACCAACGTGTTGAGTCAGTGAAATAACAGAAATGTGACACACTGAAATAAGCCAATACACAGAAAGCACTAGGATCAGCTCTTATTATAACATGGCTGGGTTCTTTATATTTTCCTTCTTGCCTGAAACAATAAGAATCTGAGTAATTTAGGTTAATATCAATATGATTTTCTTACGAATAGAAAAATGAATATGTATCTTCTACAGTAACAGATTGTCTTTGCCAGATTGAGTAATCTATCATTTGAAAAATATATGTGTTTCATTAAGTAGCTAGAAGGTACTTCAACTAGAAACAAAGATACATAGTTTCCTGATTTGGAGTTGTGAATGGAAGTTATATAAATGTTAGTAGTTTTAAAATGTGGCTCTGGGCAAAGATATAATGAAAAAATATTAGCTGTCTATGAGTTTAACACAAAGTGATGAATTCATGTAGGCTAGGAGACTAAGGCAAAGTAAATATTTGTTGAGAAGTAAATGGCAAATGTGATGCTTTAAAAAAGTTTCCCATGACATAAACAAAAAATAACAAAAACATATAACGTTCAAATTAAGCTCATTTTAATTGATATTTACTGATCAGCCACTATATACCAATACTATGAGAGATAATGGAAGCATAAATGGATGTTGTATCTCTTATTCTCAGAATGTTTTAGCTAACAAGAAACGGAAAGAAATATGGGAACATTTAAAATGTGATATATAAATGCAAAATAAAAACTTTTAAATGCAATTTCAAGAGTACTAAGTAGGAGTGGGTGACTCTGACCTCAGGGAAAAATTCACATAATTTGGATATAAAAAGTTTTAAAGAATAGGCAGAATTTTCTTAGGGGAAGTTGGAATGGTATTATAGGCATAGAAAATAGCAAACAGCACAAACAACAATTCAGAAGCATGAAAAAGCATAGTTTGTTTTGAGGAAGCTATATGTGGTTCTGCCTTGTTAAATCAAAAGAAGCACAGTTTTTGGAAAGGGGAGAAGTTTGACTTTAGAAAAGCAAGATGTGGAGGCAGAACATGAGAGGTAAAGTTTGAGGCTCAAGTTAGAAAAAGTCATGTAGTAACTGACAAAAAAAGAGCACATTGGAATACTTTGAGCACAGAAAGAAATAATTAGATGTCCATTCCATGTTTATATCACCATGAGAGATTTAGTTTATACATGCATATTTTTGTGTAACTAAGTCAAAGAATTTATTCTACAGTCGAAATCATAGGATGCTCAAAATAGGGAACTGCTTGAGCTAAATTTTAGTGAATATTGGCTATTTAGTTTCAGAGAGGATAAAGTTTTATTTTATTTCTTCTACGGAATTTTTGCTTATATTTTGCTGCCTAGCAAAATTCGCATATTTCACTCTAATTATCTTTTTATCTCTCCTTCTCCTACTAGTTTATACTTTCTTTTTTAAAAAGACAATGTCTTATATTTGCACCCTGTTATAATAATATATTTTCTGAGACGTAAGTTTCAATATCTATTGAATAATTAATGAATCAATGAATCAATAAATGTTCTATAGTCAGCTGTCAATATGTATCAGTGGAACCTCTCACTTCCTGTTTTTCCCTCAAATGCGTGCTCAGAAATTGATGAGCTAGTGTTTCTTCACTCAGTGTCAAAACCCTTTGTTGCTTTGTCATCTATATTCCTACCTTATATTTGCAGGCAATAAAAGCTAACTTTTATAAATTTTAAAATATTTTCATGAAACCACTTGGATTATATATAAAATTACTAATGTTACTAGCATTCTGATATGCTTATTATTATTATTATTGCAGAAGAGAAAGAGGAAGAGCCATAGTTAAAATAGTAATTAATTTCACATAGTTCTGTTTATATCCTTAAGTATGTATCCATGGCCTATGTCCTGGAAGGGAAAAAAAAGAGTGCCAGCACCAATGAAGACAGGAACAAAACAGGTGTGCAGAGGTCTGTTCTCATCAAGGGGGAAAAGCTATTCATTCTCATCCTTCCACAAACCTACATAAGGTGCCCCTCTCAGGCAGTGGTCCAAAGCCCAGGCTTTGATCTGCCTGTTGGAAGATCTGACTAATAATTTATCTAATGTAGCATCACAAGAGATATTCCTTTTTGAATAGCAAATAAGAAAATAATTAGACTTTAACTTTGAAATTTTATATTTAATCAATAATAACAGAGGTGCAATGATAATTTTTCTTTTATTATTTCTTGTTTCTCCTACATACATAGTGGTGTTATTTTAGTTTTTTTCTAGCAAAAGTTCATAATTAGAAATAAAGAAGAAAACTAAATTAAAATCCAAATACAATATAGGTAACTTTCATTATTGTAAAAGTTGACCTTTTATAAAAATCAAACTAGAATTTCCTATACGTTCATATAATCATTTGTTCATTTACCTAACACATTTTTATTAAGTTCCCTCTGCGAGTCCCGCATTACTCTACTGATTTGAAGTATATCAGCAAGCAATCCAAAGACTCTTAGCCTCATGGAGTTAAGGAGAAAAAGTAAACACTGAGCATAACAAATAACTAAATAATTACGGTTCATTAGAATGTAAAAAGTGCTGTGGAAAAACAGTAAATAAAGAAGGTTAAGGAGAATTGAGAATGCCAGGCTAAGGAGTAGTATGCGATTTAAAATAAGATGGTTAGTTGGGCGCGGTGGCTCAGGTTTATAATCCCAACACTTTGGGAGGCCGAGGTGGGTAGATCACTGGAGGTCAGGAGTTCGAGTCCAGCCTGACCAACATGGTAAAACCTTGTCTCTATTAAAAATACAAAAATTAGGCTGGGCGCAGTGGCTCACGCCTGTAATCCCAGCACTTTGGAAGGTCGAGGCGGGCAGATCCCAAGGTTAGGAGTTTGAGACCAGCCTGGCCAATATGGTGAAACACCGTCTCTGCTAAAAATACAACAATTATCCAGGCGTGGTGGCACACACCTGTAGTCTCAGCTGCTCGGGAGGCTGAGGCAGGAGAATCACTTAAACTGGGGAGGCGGAGGTTGCAGTAAGCCGAGATTGTGCCACTGCACTCCAGACTGGGCAACAGAGTGAGACTCCCTCTCAAAGAAAAAAAAAAAAAATTAGCCAGCCCGTGGTGTGCACCTGTAATCCCAGCTACTCAGGAGGTTGAGGCAGGAGAATCGCTTGAACCCTGGGAGGCGGAGTTTGCAGTGACTCAAGATCGGGCCACTGCACTCCAGCCTGGGCAACAGAGGGAGACTCCATCTTGGGGAGAGAACAAACAAACAAAAAACAAACAAACAAACAAAAAACATGGTCAAGGATACTTGAGCAAAGTTAAAGGTGATAACATTTGACTTTGGAGCAAGAATATTGCAGGTAGAGGAAATAGCCACTGCAAAGGCCCTACTAAGGGTAGAGCATGCATGGAGTGTTCAAGAATAGAAAGGAAGCCAATGTGGCAGCAGCTAACTGAGCAAAGAAGATGAGCAAGGGAGAATCGCACATAATAAGCCTGGGTGGTGTGATAAGGAAAGGAGGGGGATCATAGAAGATCTGATAGGTCATTTGATAAATTTGACTTTACTCTGAATGAGATGGGGAGTCACTGCAGCTTTTTAAGCATGGAAGAGACAGAATATACCTTCCATTTTTTAAAGTATAGTTTCATTACATGTGCTACTGCAAATGAAGTATAGAGAGACATGGCAGAATCAGGTTAAACAGTAAGGAGGCTATGAGAATAATGTAGATAAAAGATAAGATGGTGGTTCATATAGGGATGACAGATGGAGAAGGAATGAGAGGTAATTCGTATCTGAATGCGTTTTGAAGTTTACCAATTTTTAAGTTTCATTTAAAATGTTTGATGTGTTCTTGTATTAATTTAGCTAGATATTATGTTCTTAAAATGGCCGTATAATGCTAAATAACTTACTCAAAATGTTGCACTCATTCTTCCTTTTAAGTATATTTGTATTGTCTCTCTTATGAATGGTGAGTGAATTGCTTGAGGACAGGGTGCATATTATATATATCACTTTGCCTTAACTTTACAAGGTACTCAGTAAATATATTAGCATTAAAGATTCTTTTTTAAATTTTTGTGGGTACATGGTAGGAGTATATATTTATGGGATACATGAGATATTTTGGTACAGGTATGAAATGTGTAATAATCACATCATGGAAAATTGGGTATCCATCTCCTCAAGCACTTATCCTTTGTGGTACAAGCAATCCAATTATACTCTTTTAGTTATTTTAAAATGTACAATTAAATTATTATTGACTATAGTCACTCTGTTATGCTCTCGAATATTAGGTCTGAACTCATTCTTTCTGACTATTTTTTTTGGTACCCATTAAGCATCCCTACCTACCCCTCAGCCTCCCGCTATCCTTCTAAGCCTCTGGTAACCACCCTTCAAATCTCTATCTCCATTAGTTCAATTGTTTTGATTTTTAGATCCTAATGATAAGTGAGAACACGCAATGATGGTCTTTCTGTGCCTGACTTATTTCGCTGAATATAATGAGGTTAGTTGCATCCATGTTGTTGCAATGACAGAATCTCATTTCTTTTATGGCTGAATAGTACTCCATTTGTATAAGGACCACATTTCCTTCCTTCCTTCCTTCCTTCCTTGCTTCCTTCCTTCCTTGCTTCCTTCCTTCCTTCCCTCCCTCCCTCTTTCCTTCCTTTTCTTTCCCTCCTTCTTCTTTTCCTTTCCTTTCATTTCCTTTCCCCTTCTCCTTCTCCTTTTCCTTCTTTTTTTTTGAGACTGAGTCTCCCTCTGTTGCCCAGACTGGAGTGCAGTGGCGCAATCTCAGTTCACTGCAACCTCCACCTCCTGGGTTCAAGTGAAGCACCACATTTTCTTTATCCATTTGTCTATTGATGGACACTTATGTTGCTTCCAAATCTTGGCTGTTGTGAACAGTGCTGTAAGATCTATGGGAGTGTAGATATCTCTTCAATATACCGATTTTCTTTGTTTTGGGTACATACCCAGCAGTAGAATTGCTGGATTGTATGGTAGCTCATTTTTTTGTTTTTTTGAGTAATCTCCAAACTGTTCTCTATTCTGTCCCATTGCTCCACGTGTCTATTTTTATGCCAATACAATGCTGTTTTGGTTACTATAACTCTATAGTATAATATGAAGTCAGGTAATGTGATTCCTCCAGTTTTGTTCATTTTGCTCAGGATAGCTTTGTCCATTCTGCGTCTTTTGTGGTTCCATATAAATTTTGGGATTGTAATTTCTATTTCTGTGAAGAATGTCATTGCTATTTTGACAGAGATGGCATTGAATCTGTAGATTGTTTTGGGTGGTATGGACATTTTAACAATGTCAATTATTCCAATCTATGAATGTGGAATATTTTTCTATTTTTTTGTGCCACTTCAATTTCTTTCATCAGTGTTTTATACTTTTTATTAAAGAAATCTTTCACTTCTTGGGCTATGTTAATTCCTAGGTATTTTATTTTATATGTAGCTATTTTAAATGAGATTACTTTTTTGATTAATTTCCAGATTGTTCACTGTTGATATATGGAAATTAAACTAATTCTTGTATGTTGATTTTGTATCCTGCAAATTTACTGCGTTTATCAGTCCTACTAGTTTTCTTGCAGAGACCTTAGGTTTTTCTAAATATAAGATCATAGCATCTGCAAACAAGATAATTTGACTTCTTCTTTTCCAAATCAGATGCCTTTTATTTCTTTTTCTTGTCTGATTGTTGTAGCTAGGACTTCCAGTAATAAGTTGAATAACAGTGATGACAGTGGGCATCCCTATCATGTTCCAGATATTAGGGGATAGGCTTTCAATTTCCTGCCATTCAATATGATACTAGCTGCAGGTCTTTCATATATGGCTTTTATTATGTTGAGGTATGTTCCTTCTGTACACAATTTTTGATGGTTCTTACCATGAAGGGATGTTGAAATTTATCAAATGCTTCAACAGAATCAATTAAAATGATCATATGCTTTTTGTCTTTTATTCTATTGATATGATGTATAACAATGGTTGCTTTCCATATGTTGAACTATCCTTACATCTTTCGGGTAAATCCACTGGTCATGATAAATGATATTTTTAATGTATTGTTAATTACATTTTCTAATATTTGGTTGAGGATTTTTGCATCAATATTAATCAATGATATTAGCCTGCCATTTTCCTTTTTTGTTATGTCTTTGTCTGATTTTTGTATCTTGCTGCTTTTAGGATCCTTTCTTCATCCTTAATCTTTGGGAGTTGGATTATTAAATGCCCTGAGGAAGTCTTCTTTGGGTTAAAGCTACTTGGTTTTCTATAACTTTCGTATACTTGAATGTTGATATCTTTCTCTAGGTTTGGGAAATTCCCTGATATCCATTTGAATACACTGTCTACCCTTATCTCTTTCTCTGTCTCTACTTTAGGGGTAATAACTCTTAGATTTGCCCTTGTGAGGCAATGTTCTAGATATTATAGAAGTGCTCCATTGTTTTTTATCCTTTTTTAATTTGTCTCCTTTGACTGTGTATTTTCAGATAGCCTTTCTTCAAGCTCACTAATTCTTTCTTCTACTTGATCAAGTCTGCTATTAAGATACTTGAAGGAGATGTGGACTGAGGTACCCAAGAGTGGCAATGGCAAGAAGAAGTCCACGCCAATCAAGAAAGACCACTACATCTCCAAGACGTTCCTGCGTGAGGACAGAGACATCGTGGTTCTGAGGAACTCGCTCATCGCCAGCAAGAAGGGGCCACCCCTCCGTCGACGGAACTCATTCCCCTGTCCTATGGAGGCCACTGCCATTGGTGTTGAGAATAATAAAGCACTGCATTAAAAAAAAAAAAAAAGATACTGATGTATTCTTCAGCATGTGACTTGTATGTTTCAGTTCTAGAATTTCTGCTTGATTTTGATTATTGAATCTTTTCATTAAATTTATCTGATAGAATTCTGAATTATTTCTCTGTGTTATCCTGAATTTCTTTGAATTTTCTCAAAACAGCTCTTTTGAATTATCTGTCTGAAAGATCGTATATCTCTGTTCCTCCGGGATTCATTCCTGGTGGCTTATTTATTTCATTTGGTGATTTCACGTTTTCCTGGGTGATACTGATGCTTGTAGATGTTCGTCATTCTCTGGGTGTTGAAGAGTTAGGTATTTATTGTAATCTTTACAATCCAGGCTTGTTTGTGTCTGTCCTTCTTGGGAAGGCTTTCCTTGTATTTGAAGGGGCATAGGTCCCAAGCCTAATAACGCTGTGGTTGTTGCAGACTCATAGATGGGCCACCTTGGTTGTCTTAGATAAGATCTGGAAGAATTCTCTACATAACCAAATAGAGATTCTTGTTCTATTCCCTTACTTTCTCCCGGACAAACAGTCTCCTTCGCTCTGTAATAAGCCACTTGGAACTGGGAGTATGTGACGCAACCAGCCCTGTGGCCACCATCACTGGGACTGTGCTGGGTCAGACCTGAAGCCAGCACACCACTGAGTCTTGCCCAGGACAGTAAGTTATCCCAGTCTCTGGGCTTGTTTAGAGATGCTGGCTGGGAGCCAGGAATTGGAGTTAAAAACTTTAGCAGTTTCCCTGATTTCTATTGTATTGTGGATAAGCTAAGACTCAAACCATAATACAAAGACCTTCTTGCTATTCCCTCCCCTTTACACAAGCAGAGAAGCCTCTCCTGTGGCAACCACCACCACCAGTCCATGGATGTTCTTCCAGGCAACCACTGGTATTCACTTAAAGGCCAAGAGCTCTTCAGTCAGCTTGTGTTGTGTACCGACAGGACTGGGACTCACCCTTCAGGTCAGTGGGCTCCCTTTTGGCCCAGAGCTGGTCCAGAAATGATGTCCAAGAGCCTAGGCCTGGGCTCAGGAACTCCAACACCCTGCTTGTTGCTCTGGCCCATTGTGGCTGAGCTGGTACCTAAAATACAAAACAAAGTCCCTTTAACTTTCCTTTTCTTAAACAGAAGGAGTCTTTCATCACAGCCTCCACAGCTAGGAGTATGCTGGGTTACACCTGAAACCAGTAGATCTCAGAGCCCAAGACCCACAAGTTACTACCTGAGTATCCACTACTGGCTATTCAGGGCACAAGGGCTCTTTAGTCAGCAGGTGATAAATCCTGCCAGGAATGGGTCCTTTTCTTCAAGGCAGCAGACTCCCTTTTGGCCCAGGATGTGTCTAGAAATGTCATCCAGAGCTAGGGTCTGCAATGGAGAATGGAGACCTCACAACTCTACCTTGTGCCCTATCCTACTGTGGCTGAGCTGGTATCCAAGATGCAAGATTTAGTCCTCTTTACTCTTTGATCTCCTTTTCCTAAGCAGAAGGAAGAAGTCACTTTTGTTGCTGCGAGCTGCACTGCCTAGGGTTGGGGGTTAACCACCCAGGCTGGTGTATCCCTAGATCACATGCCATCCTAGACCACTAGCTCTGAGCCCAACCCAGCACTAGGAGTTGCCTAGAAATTGCAGTCCTTGTGTCTTAGATTGCCTTGCATGTTTCCTAGGACCCCAGAGCACTCTGGCTTGTGTTGGCAAGCCTTGCCAAGAAACTCAAGTTCTGACTGCTGGGATGGGCAATTCCCCTCTTGCTATGTCTGGTCTAAAGGCTCCCTCTGTGTGCAGGGGCTGACTGGGCTCAGCATGGTTTTTCTTTCTCCTGTGACAGGGCAGTACTGAGTTCAGTGCAAGGTCTCCCAGTCGCTGTGCTCTCCCTCCCCAAAGTGCATGGATTTTCGCTCCACACCAGAAAGCCACTGCCTGGAGGATGGGAGTGGAGTGTTGTTGGTACATCAAGGCTGTCTCTCCTGCCCCCCTCGATGCCTTTTTCAGAAATATGGTGTTAAAATGGGGTACTTGATTGCTCACCTGATTTTTGGTTCTTGTGATGGCACTTTACTGTGTGCAGATAGTTGCTAAAATTTGATGTTTCAGTGTTGGGGACAAACCACACAGGTTTCTATTCCACCATCTTGCCACTGCTGTAAAGTTTCTTAAGTTAAATAATTTGAGAAAGCTTTTAAAAATTTTTCGATTATGTTTGGCTATTTTGTTTATTATGTGTTCTGTAATGAAAAATATTATGTGACATCTAATGATATGTTTCAGAATATCAGATACTCATGTTTATTTTAATAAAATAATTACAAAGGTTAATTCACTCAATCCTTTCATCAATTATATTATTACTATGGTGAGAGAATGTAATAGTTGTTGTGTTCCTAACAGAAATATGTAATCAAGAAAGAGACACTACCAGTGAAAGAGAAAGGATGAAAAAAGAAAGGAGTGAAAAATTATTTTAAATACAAATCTTTTTTGGAAGGCAATGTGAATGTAAGCCAATAAGATATTCTTGAGAACAATTAATACAGTATTCTTGGGTACTGTTCTTCTCATAAAGATACAAAAAGTAGTGCAACAAATATAATTACATTTGACCTTACAGTTTGTAAAATTTATGTTAAACTTAGCACAAAATGAACAGAAATTTCCAATAACCTCTATAAGTTTAAGTTATGTAGTAAGAAAAAAACAAGTAATATAGCTCCCAAATCTGACAACAAATTGGAAATGAACCCTGTTTTTACCTTCTATAAGTGGCAATATGGATTTTATTTTTGATCTGAGAAAATATATAGGGTCCTAAAGTAAAAAAAATGGACACATGAATATATAAAGTAGAAATTTAATTATTTTAGCTTAATTTTATTTTTAAATTATTTTTATCTAAAGCCCATAACAGTAGTGAAAGTAACTAATCCAATAAATTGGAGAACAAGTCCAGGTGATAGAGAAGCAGAGGATCTTGTTTGCATTATTGTAGTAACCATGCATTGTCTATATTGACTATGTTTACATGTACCTTTAAATTGATATTTGTATTTCAATGTAATTGAAACCAGGGTTTTTCTAGTTTTTTTTTTAACTAGTAAATATAAATGATAGACTGAAGATAATTAGGTCACTGAATAAAATGATTAGAGATAAGTTTTTATAAAACTTCATGTAACACAAGGAGTTCAGTTTAAAAATACTTTGGAAGCATCTGCTCTTTGAAAAGCTGAGTTCATTGGATAATTTTATAATTTTTCTTCTAAAAATCACCTCTAGTAGATTCCACAGAATGAATAATATTATGCAAATCACGAAACTATTTCAGAACATTCTTGTGAATTTTTTTGTTTTTTGTTTTATTTTGGTCTGTCAACAATTCGAATGCAAAAAAAATGAGAAATGTTTTTTAGAGAAAGATATTTTAATCTTTGACTATTTTACTATTGAGTGGAAAATAGGTGAAACCACAGGGACATATTTTAAAACTCTGAACTCTCTCAGGAGTAAGGATAGAAAGACTTTAAAATAAAATCTGAACTACCCGTTGATTTAATTTTATTAAGAAAATGTGCAACGCACATCTATATCTTGTAGCGTGCTGATTCATTAAGCTTACATGATCCTGTCTATAATAATATTTTTACCTGAGAAGAGGTCAATTTAGTTGCAGGGTATCCACCTTTGCCAGGTAAACTTCTCTTGTTACTTCCTATCTTCACTGAGAATGAAAATTGTCTACAAGAGAAACTCTGAGAAATTCAAAACTTGGATTTGTACTTCTTCTCTAATTGCATAAAACATCTTTCATACTTGCAGATATTTTTACATCTATGACAGCCTGTAGTTCTGCTTGCCAACCTGAAACTTGTTTCACAAATTTTTCAGCAGCTGGTATGATAATAAGCCAGTTTTTATGTAAATTAGTAATCTTTCTAATCAATTTTTAACCACAAAATTTAAACTTAAAAATTTTTTGAGTAAAGAATTTTTTTTACAAAAAGATAATAGGCATTATCAAATCTATTTAGCTAGCTTGATACCCATTATACTGTCTCTGATTTTAAGAACTATTTCTATGAAGCAGAAGTTTTCTGATAGAACTGTAACTTTAAAGGTATTAACTGTTTATTGGAAGGTTCATTTTCCTTTTTTTTTTAGCTAATGTTCTTACAAAACGATACATTTTTAGTAATTCAAATATAATGAGGTTGGCATAGTTCTGCACTACCACTTTAAATGCAATATGTTCACATCAATCATTTCTTTATAAAGAAAAAGTACGACAAAATAAAAATGCCATTTTTGATGTTGATGTGAACTATTTCTTTAAATTGGGCCAACTTTTTTTCAAATCAAAAACTTAGCACTGTTAAATATATCCAGTTATTTACAGAGTACAAATTACTTGATTATATTCCATGTAATGACCATTGAGGGTAGAGTATAATATGTATTACTGATTTTCTTTTTGTCCTGTGACTGTAATTATGTGTATATAGACCTACTTTCCCAATTTTATGTCCTGGAATATAGTAATATCCAAGAGAATACAGACAAAAATGCCTCAACCTTTATCGCAAAACAAATAATAAAGTTTATTCTTATATTTATTTTTTATCTTATAGGTATATATTTTTCTCAGCTGGGCACGGTGGTTAATGCCTGTAGTCCCAGTTTGGGAGGCCAAGGTGGACGGATTACCTGAGGTCAGGAGTTCGAGACCAGCCTGGCCAACATGGTGAAACTCCATCTCTACTAAAAATACAAAAATTAGCCAAGCGTGGGGGCACACACCTGTAATCCCAGCTACTCGGGAGGTTGAGGCAGAATTGCTTGAATCCAGGAGTCAGAGGTTGCAGTGAGCTGAGATCACACCGCTGCATTCCAGTCTAGGCAACAGAGTGAGATTCCATCAAAAAAAAAAAAAAAAAAGAATAGATTTTTTTCTAAGTCACAATTGGCCATATCTTTGAATTCAGTTATTTTTATAGTAATCAGGAATAATTTTCAAATTTAAAAATTCAAAGATCAAGAAGACCTACCTAAGATTCAATCTCATGGACACTTCAATTATGCGTATTAACATTGTATGGTCATCAATTTAAACAATGAAATAAATCCTTAATATTGAAAGATGAAGTTTTTAAAAAACAGCATTAATTTGGCTGATTTTTAAAAATCTATATGTACACTTTGTAGACTGGAATGTGCTAGTAATACATAGCTTGCTGCAGAGCAGAATGTGTTAATCTTGAAAACAAAATCAAATAATTATTTTATTATTGACCCTATCATTTGTTTTTCATTTTGTTCCCAAATTCAAGGTCAACTTCCCATCCAAATGTTTCTTTCTCAGATTTCTAAAACCTACATCTAGGCAAGTGCCTAGCACAAATTAGATTTTCCTAAACATATTTATTGAATAAATTAATAAGAATGACAATGATTTCTTTCCTTATTATTCCTGTACTAACAATGCATTATTTAAGATAAATTATGGCAACTTCCTGTTGCCTGATTACTCCTTAAATTTCTAGGGCACTATATTTTCCTGTTACTGATTATTTTTCTCTGTTTTTTTCTCCTAATACTACAGAAACTAAATAGAACCCTAATAGAGGCAAATGACCATCAGAATGAAGTTATTCAGGCCGGGCACTATGGCTCACACCTGTAATCCCAGCACTTTGGGAGGTCGAGGCAGGCGGATCACCTGTGGTCAGGAGTTCAAGACCTGCCTTGCCAATATGGTGAAACCCCACATCTACTAAAAATACAAAAATTATCCACTCATGGTGGCGGGTGCCTGTATTCCCAGCTACATGGGGTGCTGAGGCAGGAGAATCGCTTGAAGCTGGGAGGCGGAGGTTGCAGTGAGCCAAGATCGTGCCACTGCACTACAGCCTGGGCAACAGAGCAAGACTCTGTCAAACAAAACAAAACAAAACAAAAACAGGATGAAGTTACTCAAAGTTCTTTTTTTTTTCTTTCTTTTCTTTTTCTTTTTTTATTATAGTTTAAGTTTTGGGATACATGTGCAGAGCGTGCAGGTTTGTTACATAGGTATACACGTACCATGGTGGTTTGCTGCACCCATCAACCCATCACCTACATTAGGTATTTCTCCTCATGCTATCCCTCCCCAAACCCCCCACCCCCTAACAGCCCCCAGTGTCTGACGTTACCCTCCCTGTGTCCATGTGTTCTCATTGTTCAACTCCCACTTATGAGTGAGAACATGCAGTGTTTGCTTTTCTGCTCCTGTGTTAGTTTGCTGAGAATGATGGCTTCCAGCTTCATCCATGTCCCTGCAAAGGACATGAACTCATCCTTTTTATGGCTGCATAGTATTCCATAGTGGTTTTTTTTGACTTTTTTTTTTTTTATTATACTTTAAGTTTTAGGGTACATGTGTCAAAGTTCTTTCATATTACCTTTGTTGTTCTCTTTCTGTGCTTACTTCCTCTCAGAATTTTTCTTTCCTTTTTTATAGTTTCCTTTCTTTCTTCCTTTCATGACTTATTTCTTAAGATATCAAAGCATGCATACTGCTCTGTACTTATGTTCTCTCGCCCTTAATATAAATCTTTGTTCCTCTAAATATCCAGGCCTGACACTTGATCTAGTATCATATCTAGTGACACTTGATCTAGTGCTCTCATGGACTGTCTAACTGGAGGTCTAATTTTGACCTCAAGTATGTTACTTGTTAGAAGGTAGCATAGTGTACGTGAAAAAGTATTTAGGGTGTTTTTCTTCTAATTCTTCTTTAACTAGCCATGTGACAATAAACAAATTATTTGACCTCCCTGGCCACAGAGTTCTTTTCTAACACAATGTAGAATTTCTTCTACATAATTGCTAAGTTTCCTGAAAACTTTCAGTTGGATCTCAATAATGTCTTTCTTCAAAAATGGTTCCCCATCTGATAATTTTATTTCTATCATTGATGTCCCATTATTTTACTATTCACCTTGAATATTTTGAATTTTTATAACTTTTCCTTTACCTTTTACCCCACTTTTCTGTTATGCCAGTAAAAAATAAATTGCATTTTAAAAAACAAATAGCTTTTTGTCAGTTGGAGAAGGAAAGAAAGTTCAATAGCTTATACAAAGGCAAGGAAAGCAAGGCACATAGTAAATATTTTCTCACATTTAATTTTTTTGAATTAGACATTATATTTGGTCTCTTTGGCTTTATATATTTATTTTTATTTGTTCTTATGTAGTGGAAACTTCACTTTTTTCCATTATGGATTCTTTAGGTCTCCCCAACAAGGTGTGAAATTCTAGCATTGAACAAGGAAAGTGAAACAAATTCATAATATATACACAAGGGAGCTTGTATATATTATGTTCATGAGGAAAATTAAATTAAAGGATAAAAATAAAAACAATTTTTCAGCATAATTTTCATCACATTCAAGACGCTTTTGTAAGCAATAATACCAGCCATTTAGTCCATTCCTAAAGAATTGAAAATTCTGGGAATCTAACAATGTCAATGTAGTTTTTTTCACATTATTAACTGAAGAAAAATGGGTGGCCTTTATAGATTTTTTTAAGATTAGAAACAAAAAGAAGTCAGAAGGAGCCAAATCCAAACAGAAAGATGGATGCCTAATGATTTTTCCATCAAAGCTCTTGCAAAATTGCCCTTCTTTGATGAGACGAATGAGCAGGAGCATTGTCATGGTGGAGAAGGACTCTCTGGTGAAGCTTTCTCAGGTGTTTTTCTGGTAACACTTTGATTAACTTTCTCAAAACCTTCATAAAAAGCGGATGTTATTTTTTCTCTGGCTCATCAGAAAGTCAACAAGCAAAATGCCTTGAACATCCCAAAAAGCTATTGTCATGACTTTTGCTCTTGACTGGCATGGTAGCCATTGCTTTGACTGTGCTTTGTCTTCAGGATCCTACTGGTAAAGCCATGTTTTATCTGCTGCTACAATGCTTTGAAGAAATGCTTCAGGATTTTGGTTTCATTTGTTTAAAATTTTCATGGAAAACTGTGCTCTTATTTGCAGCTGATGTGGGTATAATCGTTTTGGCACTCATCAAGTGGAAAACTTGTTGAACTTAAATTTTCGAGTCAGAGTTGTGTAAGCTAAACCAATGGAGATGTCTGCAGCGCTGGCTATTGTTTCTGCTGTTAATCCTCAATCTTCTTCAATTAGGGCATGAAAAAGCGAACAATTTATTTTCCTTCAAAATTATTGTTGATGGTCTGCCACCATAGAATTCATTTTCAACATCTTCTTGTCTTTTCATAAAATGAGTTTTCCATTTGTAAAGTGCTGATTTCTTTAGGACATTGTCTGCAATGTTTATTTTGGTGCAAAAAAATTGAAATTCATGCATAGATTTTTCATAATGCACATTTTCCATGAACTTTTTAAGAACCTCTTTAGATGTTAGCCACTTTTATAAATGCTTTACATAACTTTTAACACTTACAGCTATCTTGTAAGGTAGGTGCTATTATCTCCATTTTACAGAGAAGAAAGCTGAAACACAAAAATGTTAAGTGAGCTTCCAAAGCTATACAGATAGCACATGGCAGAGTTGAGCTTCGATCCCAATAAAAGAGGCTTCTGAGTCTGTGGTCTTCAGCAGTGTTGTCTGCCTGTCAAGACTGTGTAGATTCAAGGTTAGCAAGACTAACATACTGAAGAGAGCAGCCAAATGTTCAAATAAAATGTCTAGCTGTGTTTGGGATGTTCAAAGTTAGAAATGATAGCTCACAGAGATTACAGCTCAGCGATGAGAGCTGTTTCATAAGTAAAATGTTTGTTGAGACAATGGTAGAAACAGAAAGAATAATTTGAAATGGATCAATATGAGAAATGTTTTATGAAATAGCTGATAGAATTCGCTAATATACTATATAATCATGTGTTGCTTAACAATGGGGATACATTACGAAAAACTTATCATTAGGTGATTTTGTCATTCTGTGAACCTCAAAGAGTGTACTTACACCAACCTAGATGTACCATACTACACATATAATCTCTGTGGTATAGCCTATTGCTCCTAGGCTACAAAACTGTACAGCATGTTACTGTACTGAATATTCCAGGTAATTGTACATAATGGTAAGTTTGTATACCTGAACATATCTAAACATAGGAAAGGTGCTGTAAAAATAGAGTATAAATGATTTTTTAAAGAAAATATATGCTTTTATAGGACAGTTACCATGAATGGAGTTTGCAGTATGGGAAGTTGCTCTGGGATGCATTAGTGAGTGAGTGGTAAATGAATATGAAGGCCTATGACCTTACAGCACACTTTTATACAATTGGCAGCACAGATTTGTTTAAGCCAGCATCACTGAAAACATGAATAATGCATCACATTATGACCCTATGATGGCTATAATGTCATCAGGTGGTAGAAATTTTCTGATTCATTATAATCTTATGGGAAGACCATCATATATTTAATCCATCCTTGACTGAAATGTTGTTATGTGGTATGTAATTGTATATAGAAAAAGATGAAAAGATGGTAGCTCCATGAACTTTAATGTTTTTCTTGATACTTGATTGAGACCTCTAAGGACCTTTCCTTAATCAGAATAAAGTCAACATCCAAGGGCTTATCTGGCATGTAGTATACACACAAAAAAACCAAAACTCTTTTCAGAGGTAATATTTTGGCCAAGTAGGTTTTCAAGCAGGAAATCCTTGCCATGAGCAATATTTGAGACATGTGGATCCACTTTTGAGGTTGGAAAAGAATTCAGTCCAAGCACTATGGGCATAAGAAACAGATCAAGCTCTAGAAAGATAGATTAGACCTTTCTAACATGATATACTGAGGTTGGATTCTAGCACGCACTTTGGAAAAGTGATTCAGAATCCTTTTAAAATGCACATTAATACATTTTAAAAGCTCTGAAATCTATTATATATATATATATATATATATATATATTTTAAATTATTTATTTATTTAGAAAGAGAATCTTGCTCTGTTGCCCAGGCTGAAGTACAGTTGCATGATCTCACTTCACTGTAGCCTTCACCTCCTGGGCTCACGTGATCCTCCTGCCTCAAGCCCCCAAATAGCTGAGACTACAGGCACACATCACCAGGACTGGCTAATTTTTATATTTAGTAGAGTTGGTGTTTTGCCACATTTCTCAGACTGGTCTCAAACTCCTGGGCTCATGAGATCTGCCTATCTTGGCCTCCCAAAGTGCTGGGACTACAGGGGTGAGCCACTGCACTTGGCTTGAAATCCAATTTTAAATCATTGAATATTGTTATTTTCAAAGGAAATATGATCTTCTTGGCTGTATTTCTTTCCTACAACAAACAAAACTATTCTAAGAAATTATCTGACAGATCCTTATAACTGTAACTGGACTATGGCATATCAACTTAGAATTAAAATAGCCCTGTGTTTATTGCAGAACAGTTTAAATAAGTTTTATTTTCTTATGTAAAACCTGGAACACAAACTCTCACAATTAGAAGCTCTTTTACGAGGTACTTGGTATCCTAGCAGAACTGCTGTGTTTCATAAGACGTGTGTCTTCAAAAACACTTTCTGCTTCCAGCTTTCTGGTTTTAACTTGACTATCTTTTAGGTTTCCTGTTCTGGTTAAGGCAATGTTAGCTTCCCAACTCTTCACATTCGGGCTAACAACAGACCCTTATTTTCTTTCAGAAAACTAAATCTAATTAACCACAAGATCTCTTAGATTTCACCTTTTCAGTGATTCTCAAGAGATGTTCTTTCCTTTCCTGAGATTATACCGTCTCAGACCCCTTGCATCTCCTCTTAAACTATTAGAGAGACCACTATAGTGCTTATGTATGCTTAGCAGTTTGGAAATGTTTTCTATTAAGAATGAATGAATAAATGGTTACTCCTTCTCCCCAAAACTGCTATGATTGCCCACTTTTTGTGGCAATAAGTCCCAAATCTTTAGCACTGTGATCAAGCAAATCTCCAGGACACGATTTAATTACCTTTGCAATCTCATCTCTCACTATATCCAAACACATATCTAATTTCTTCTCATGGGCGAAATGTACTCTGACAGGTGTGTACTTTTTTGGTATTATTCCCTTGATCTGAAATATCTTTCTCTAAATTTTCTCCTTGAAAAAAAAATCCTATTCTTCCTGTAAAGTCCCTCTCGACTCTATACATAGTCATTGAGAGCACAAACTTGGAAGATAGACCCATTTTTTAAAAGTTCCACCAGTTTCCTTTAAAGCTAAATATACAACAACTATGGTATGGCACAAGAGTTCTATCCAAGGAATTTACATAAAAGAAATGAACAAAAAAAAGTACACAAAAAGAAATATGCAAGAATATTTGTAGCAAAAGTATTCTAAACATTCCACATTGAAAATATCACAGATATCCATAATTAAGAGTATGAATAATCATTGTATATTTGTATTCATCTGAAAGAATTCTACTCAGCCATAAAAAGAAACGCAAACAACATGGATGAATCAAAAAGCATTATGCTCAGTGAAACTAGCATTAATAAAAGACACTACTCTATTATTTTATTTATACAAAGTTGTAGAGATGTAAAATGTATGTATGTTGGAAAAAGAAAATCTGAAAAGTAGTTGCCTCTGGGTAATGATGTAGGTGTTGACTGGGAAGAGGAAAGAACAAATTTTCTCCAGTGATGACAATGTTTTATATCTTGACAAGTAGTTGGGTTACAGAGTTGTGTCAAGATTCTAAATGATATACTTAAGACTTGTTAACTTTGTCTTATGTAAATTTCATCTCCAAGGGAAAAAAAAGAACTATAAACATATTGAATTCCAGTGAATATGTGCTGAAGTGTTTAGGGAGAAAATGCATTGATGTTTAAAATTTATTTGGAAATGCTTCAATAAAATATGATGGTTTGATGGTTAGGTAGAATGATGAAAAGATGGTCTAATGTGTATAGGAAACTGTTTCTTTACACTCAGTTCCCACCAAAGATGTAAGCTTTCCACATCAACCAATTCTCCAATTTTCTGTGGACTCCAGTTGGGTATCCTACAATTCATTCAATTCTCACACTAACTATCCAAAGTTAGTGCAGACCCCACAGTTTAAAGGCTAAGTCCCACAAGACTTGCTCCCTCTTCAGACACCAGTCACAAGTATTTAGTGCCCAGGGTACTCACTTCTATCTGGCTTGGCTACAAATTGGGCTTCCTACCACCTTCTTCTCATGTTTGAGAATTTGCTATAATAGCCAAAAAAACTCAGGGAAAAATTTAATAATGTTTACAGGCTCGTTGAAAAGGATACTATAAAAGTTACAAATGAACAGCCAGGTGAAGAGGTCCATATCAGGTGAGATCTAGAAGAGTCCCCAGCACAGAAGCTTCTGTCCTGATGGAGTGGGGGTGTGCCCCATGCCAGGTACATGGATGCATCCCCAACCTGGAGGCTGCTGAACTCTATAGTTTAGGAGATTTTATAGGGGTTTCTTCATACAGGCTTGATCAATTATTAACTCAACCTCTAGCCCCTCTCCCTTTCCCAGAAAATAAAGGGTGGGGCTGAAAGTTCCAAGACTCTAATTATGGCTTGGTCTTTCTGGTAACCAGCCCCAACTATGAAGCTATCAGGAGCCCAACAAGAGTTCCCTCATTAGAACAAGAAATCCTTCTGTCAACCAGGAAATGACAAGCAGTTTAGGAGCTTGTGGGGGCAGAGACCAAATATACATCCTCATCATGTCACAATGTGTGATAAACCACATGTAGTAAAATGTTAATGGTAGAATCAAAGTGGTGGGTTATCAGTGTTTGCTAGACAATTCCTTAAACTTTTCTGTACGTTTGAGATTTTTCATAATAAATATTGGAAAAAATGTTAACCACTAGCTTTCGAAATCATATTGTTACTCTAATCTATGATTACTCTCCTGGATGCAAAATGATTGTTTCTCTAAGTCTTTCATTCCATCAACATTTATTAGTTGGCATTTTACTGTAAGAAGCAGCTTTTTTATCCCCCCATAATTATTGATTTATTTATTGTGAGCATGGTCTGGACTTACTCTATTTACTCAGTTATACCACATCACTGTTATTATTAATTTCTAAGCTACTTCTGTTTCCTTTAGATATGTCCCTATCCCGTTTTAATCACTTTTGACACAAGATATTTGCAAGCTCATTTTGTATTGTCTCTGTCCCAGAACTTCACGCAGCCATTCCCTTCAGAAACTTTGATTCTTGTGAATTGAGAATAACATCTGGAAGCCAAGACCAGGCTGCTAGGTATACTCATTGGTAGGTGTGTCTTTGACTTTAGACACTTTCAGTAAAATTTCATGAATTTTATTTTAAAATTGATATATATTATTATTTATAAATATATTTTATTTTTAAATGTATATGTTATATATACAAGTATAAAATTTATAAAATTCTACTGAATTTCCATTCAAATATACAATTTAAATATACATATATATATATATATATACACACACACATACATATATATATATCAGGTTGGAAGTCTTTCAAGCTATTTCCTGTATCCTTTTGAATGTTCCCATCTCTTTTTAATCATTTAAAGCTTAAATTATACCTTTAAGTAATGAACTTATTCTGATACCTGGAATTTTGCTGAGAGAATAGGGGGTTCTTCTTTAAATTTTTTGCCTTCTTTGACTTCTAGCATTGCTTATTTGTATCACTCTTCTCCACCAGTAAAAACTCTGCCTCCTTACAACTTCAGCGTATTTAGATATTATTCAAATCTGTATTGCATTATATGTTTATGATTCAAAAGAAAAGTTTTGAGTAAGACGAACACAGGCAATTAAGTCCTCCTTGGCTCCTCACTGCAATGATCAAAGGGAATTTTAAAGGAGAAATTTCTGAATATAAAGTGAACACTAAAGAAAGATGTTAAAAAACAACTGTGAAGAATTTTAACTAGATATAGCAAATGAAGACATAAAGAGGATTATTTTTCTCCTTGAAAATGTTGTGTCACTTCTAAATAATAAAGATATGCCTTTTTAGAACATCTTAAGTGCACTCTGATTTGTAGAGCAAGGGGTAAAATCTTTAATCAACTATGAGGCAGAGATACCATTTATCTCTTTTCTTTTTCCTGCAGTGGAACTCTATAAATTTGAAAGCAGCTGGACTTCAAACCATAAGCCAATAAGCCAACAAGCCAACAGACAACATACAGTAACTTTCAGAGAAAGCTGAAATAAACGGGCATCTGGGGAAAGTTCCTGACACTGAGTCAGCAACTCTAGGAAACAGGCTGAATACATCATCACTTTGTGACTGGCAAGATCACTTCCTTATTAACAAAGAAAAAAAAAAAGGTAAGAAAGAAGGGAGGGAAGAAAGGAAAATGAATTGAGCATTAATTTAAGGAGTCAGAAATCGAAAAACAAACCAAATCAATAAAAGCAGAAGAACATAACAGAGTTAAAGCCAAATTTAATAAATTTGAAAGTAGGAAAATTGATAAAATATATAAATAAGTTTAAGAGTTGGGTCTTTCACAAAAATAAAATATTCTGAATGTCTTAGCAGTTATGAATATGACCATGTGGTTTTGCTTATATTCTTGCCTCTGCTCTTTGCCTGGACACATAGGCATCTGCTACATGAGCTCCAGAATAAGCCACATTAAGCATGTTTGTTATTCAATAAAGAGGATTAGCAGAGAAATTGATACAAGAAGTTGGTCCTGACATAACACATAACAAATAAGCAAATATCAACAAGAAACTGACACATGTAATATTGGCTCGTGATCAGGTTGTAGATAGATAGTAAACAGTTACTAGAGATGAGAAAAATGGCAACACACATAATGCAATGGTAAAATATTTGGTAAACATGTCACTTGCAATATTTAAAAAACACATAATTGTATCTAATGAACCTGTGGCTCTGGGAAAAGGAGTTTTTAAACAGAATGTTATTAAATGAGCTTTTTGGTATTAGCTGCACTTGATAAGATATCTTCCAAGAAAGAGTTAAGTTCAGGGAAGAATCAGCTCATTTTCAAAATGAGATGAAAGAGAAAAGCAGTTTAGAAATTTCAACACTTGCAGGATTTGGAAATATAAGTTGTTCTCTTCTCTGACTGGTAAAAGTAAAAATGTAATCCCAGTACTTTGGGAGGTCAAGTTGAATGGATCACTGGAGGCCAGGAGTTTGAGACCAGCCTGGCCAACATGGTGAAACCCCGTCTCTACTAAAAATAAAAATAAAAATAAAAATAAAAATAGCCAGGCATGGTGGTGCATACCTATAACCCCAGCCACTCAGGAGGCTTGAGGCACAAGAATCGCTTGAACCCGAGAGGTGAAGGTTGCAGTGAGCCAAGATCGGCCACTGGACTCCAGCCTGGGTGCACAGTAGGTTAAGCAAGCAAACAAGAGGAGGAATGCCCTGGCTTTAAGTTTTTCTCATATAGGGATCTTGTCTATGTAAAGACTAAGCTAAGCTGTGTCCACATGTGGGAGAGCAGGCATTATGACAAATTTATTACTCTATTTATTTAAAGAGAACTAGCCTTGACAGTCTAGTTTGTGACTACATGCAATCATAACTGTTATTATCTGAAGAATATATATTGTTATTGGTTTTGAGAGATCTGGACTTTGCTCTTGTAGGAGTGTGTCCTTGCAGGTATCCTTAGGTTGTTTCTTTTGCTGTAAGCATCTGTGAATATGGGTTGTGATTGGCAAGGAATGTGCTTTGCTAGTCTCAAAATGGAGTTGATTTTAAAATGGCATTACTCTGGCTCTCGTAGGCTCCTGTTGCCCTAACACCATCAGTCTAGTTAGAGAGACTGAGATACTTTAGGCACAAAAACTCTCCATTTCAGATGTGGCCAAAGATAATAATGGAAAGAAAGTGGGAACCCAGGAGTCATGGAGAACAAAAGACAAGTGTGCTACTTCTGGGGAGGAGAACCATAACTTCTAAGTAACATTTCCTTGATCAGGGTAGGAACACTCAACAAAGTTAGCTCAGTGAGACTTAAGAATTGCTATGAACCAATGAATACTCTAAATGGTAGTGCTTATCATAGCTAATCTTGT
This sequence comes from Homo sapiens, assembly GCF_000001405.40. Lineage (NCBI taxonomy): Eukaryota > Metazoa > Chordata > Mammalia > Primates > Hominidae > Homo > Homo sapiens. Next base: position 84,923,336 of record NC_000012.12, on the reverse strand, counting down.
CCCCATTCTGCCATTAAGTATTGGATTTATATTGTGGGGTTTGGTGGCAAGAGTAGAAGGCTGGACAACTTGGCTTTCCCCCCATACTATGTCTCTAGATTAAGAGCAGCCACAAATGTACTTTACTTGCTTTGGACAATGAAAACTGAAAAATGTGAAACATACTACATCTAAACAGAAGCTCTATTTGTAATTGTGTGGTTTGATTTCTCCTCTTGTTCCTCCCTTCCCGCTTATTCCCTAAGAGAATAAGTGTGTCCTGTAGAAAGTTTGCTCCTTCAGGCAAAGTTCCAGAATGAGAAGACACATGGGGCAAAGTGGAGCAGAGCTGAGTAGAGTTGAGCAAACTACAGTTGCAGGAATGTAATGTGAGTGAGTAATAAATGTGTGTTGTGTTGTAAGGAACTCAGATTTTTTGGTAAATAGTGGTGCAGTAAGGCTGTCTGAGACAAGCTGCCATGGACTGATCCATAGTTAGGTAATTAGATCATAAGGGTGGATACCTCGTGAATGGGATTAGTGTCCTTATAAAAGGGATTCTTGAGTTCGTTTTTCTTGTCTTTGCTCTCTGCCATATGAGGACACAGCAAAAAGTCAGCTATCTGCAAACCAGGAAGCAGTCCCTCACCAGACAGTAGACCTGCCAGCATCTTGCTTTTGAACTCCCAACCTCCAGAACTGTGAGAAATAAATGATTGTTATTTAAGCCACCTAGTCTATGGTAATTTGTTACAGCAACCTGAACTAACCTAAACACAAGCTTACAGGAAAAATTGATTTTTTTCAATATAAAATAATATTCTTGAAGTAATGATTTCTGAAAAGATTTCCAAAATGGCTGTGGAGAAAGAAGAAAAAACTAAATAGGCAGATTTTTTTTAGAAGATCTTGGAGAAAATGTGAAAGAATTACCTCCCAAAGACTACCAGGCCAGATGGCTTTACAAGCTAATTTATTTCAATCTTGCAAAGAAGAGATACTTCCAGGAAGATACATCCATGCTATTCGACAATTTGGTAAAACAAAAAATATCTCCAATTCATTTTGTAAAAATCAGCATTGCCATAATAACAACATCTAACAAAAATAACACACACACACACACAAACACACACTCATGAGAAAAAAATTTCTGTTATAGATGGAAATACTTTACTGGATTGGCTGTTGTCAATTTCTTGCTACCGTTACTTTCTTCTAGTGTAGTGGGCAGTGCATTTCAAAGAATCATCTTCCCTGTAGGTTTTTAGAGCTTGACAATAAGATACATTGGCATGTATTTTGGAAGACAGAAATAGAAGCCACAATTTTCAGGAGGTCATACAACCAGCTTGCTACATTGCTTGAAACTAAAGTTGTTGGTAAATATTTGATTCTCTGGCTGTAGCATTCTAGAATTTTACTCTCCTACATTAATTCCTGCCAAATTTTTGAAGTCCTATTTCCTATGTTAAATATCTTATTCCTGTAACATTTATGGTGGCTCTGCTTTGCTGACCAAACCAGGACTAATAAAAATGTTCATACAAGAATGGTTCTACGGGAAGTGACTTTAAGGAAAGGAGTCTGAAAGTGGTTCCAGAATCTGCTTACATTAAAAGGCTTTCCTGCCAGTAGTAAATGAGATTCTGACAATCTCTCTAGTGTTAGGAAAGAGACTACATAGCAGTGGTAAAACTGAGTCTAAGAAATGTCACCGAAGTATTAGTTGGGGGACTAAACTCAAGCTATAGGAGCTACAAATGCAATATTTGAAACCCAAATGTAGATATTTGATCTTGATTTAAACCGCTTCTGCCCCTTACTTTGAAGCCCATGAATGACATAGCCCCTTTTTCACTACGACAAGCTTCCCTCCTTTATTTCTTATTCTCTAACAGTGAGTAACTTTGCCTTTGTTTATTTTTGTGTTCCTCATGCAACAGAGACTAACATAACCATTTTATTAATTTACAATGTTGTCATTGTAATTATTGGACAATTCCCTGTGGAGGATGTTATAATGAGATTTTACTTACGTACCTTCCCTATAAAGTAAAGTTGGGGGCATCACGAAATCTTTTCCAGTGTTTCCAGCTCTCTGGGTGTTGTTCTTTGGCATGTGTTTTTCAGTAAAGATATACTGAGGTTGAGTAGGGAGGGCCACATGGTAGCATATGTGGGTCTGTGAAGAAGTATACATGGGTATTTATTTGATAGCAAGCAAACTGCCTTGCAATTAATAAACCCTAATAGCTTCTGGCTTAGTATTAGCATCTGTTAAGCTAAAGAGGCAACAGGGAATCAGCAAGGTTTAACTGTAGGTTGGGGGGAATTCTAAGCATAGACTTAGACTCTGCCTTAGCAGAGTCTTGTGTCCCAAACTTGGAATGGGAAGAGTGGTACCCCATAGAACCTGAAGGAATAATATGAGCAAAGACAGTGGACATCTTAGTGATTATCTCTGCAGATACATAACCCAATAATCAGATGATACCAACTCTTTTGCCTGGGACCTATAGGAAGTCCCAAAATCCTTGATATAAAAATATAGGAGTGAGGTGGGGGCACAGAGGATGCTTGGAGATTGCAAGGAGGCCCTAAGAATGAATGAGGTATACTTTTTTTTTTCTTTGCAGATAAATTGTATGTGAGTTCAGAGTTAGAAATTAAGTTAATTTATAGAAATAAGAGTTGCAGCTACAGTGGCTCCCCTTACCCACAGTTTTATCAGTTTTAAATTGCACTCCCTTCTGAGTAGTGTGATGAAATCTTGTTCTGTACCACACCATCCTGCCTAGGACATGAATCATTCCTTTGTCCAGATTCTTCATGCTGTAGACACTACCTGCCCATTAGTCACTTAGTATCAGCCTTGGTTATCAGATAGAATATCATGAGATGGCAATGCTTGTGTTCAATTCACCCTTATTTGACTTCATAATGGCCCCAAAGTGCAAGAGTAGTGACGCTAGCAATTTGGATATGCCAGAGGAAAGGAGTAAAGTGCTTTCTTTAAGTAAAATGTGAGGCTGTGAGTAGTGATGCAGGCCTGTAGTCCCAGCTAGCTATTCAGGAGACGGAGGCAGAATAATTGCTTGAGCCCAGGAGTTTGAGGCTACAGTGAGCTATAATTGAACCAAGGCACTCCAGCCTGGGCAACAGAATGAGATTCTGTCTCAGTAATTAAAAAATAAAAATAAAAATATGAAAGCTCTCAATACGAAAAGAAGAAACAATCGTATGCTGAGGTTGCTAAGATTTACATTAAGAATAATTCTTCTATCTGTGTCATTGTGAAAAAAAATAGACTTGTGCTGGTTTTGCCATAGCACTTCAAACTGCAAAAGTTACAGCCACAGTGCATAATAAGTGCTTAGATAAGATGGAAAAGGCATCAAATTTGTGGATAAAAGACCTTAAAAGAAACATGTTCCAACTGTTTGGCAATCCAGTTTGGTACTGTTCGTGATTTCAAGCATCCATGGAAAGTCTTAGAACATATTCTCCCAGGATAAAGGGAGACTACTGTACTGCTGAATGTGGTCTGATAATCCAAGGGCATTTACCTACTGAGGTTCTAGCATATGTCAAATTCAGATTTGGGAGGTGGGGGAGTAAATATTTACTACCCGCATAAAATTACGCATGCCAAATCCCTGTACACCTAGAGAATTCCAAATTCTCTAGGTCTAAAGCCAACTTCCAAATTATTAGACTAGTGACCAAATTATTAGACTAGTCCACCCCTATTATATTGCTTGTGGTGGGGAGGGGGGAAGGATGAGATACAGAAATAACACTGGGGGGTGGCCAGAGTTCACCATTACTCAGGGATGATGCTCTTCATTCATTTGAGTTCTCATGACTCACGATTCCACCAACAGCTGAGAAAGCCAGGCCCAAACATCACCATTTAATTATATGCTAGACCATCAAACTTTTTCTCAATGACTCAAACTCTTCAGTTCCTAGTATCCAAGGTAGCTATACTCCCTGTAGAATGTATTTTCATACATGAAGTGTAGGAGATATTTTATTTGTTCATGTTTTTGAGTGTTTAAAATTTTTTTTCCCTTTTGCTGTTTTTCTGTTAATAGTGCTTTCTTTCATTGGGAGAAGTTTATGCCACTCTGATCATATGGAAAAACGAACTTCATTTCTGAAGCCACCTTGGTTGGCTCAGGTGTAGGAAAGTGACCCAACATAGCCAAAGTCTTCCCTGGGAGGTATAGAAGTCAAAGAAGGAGGAGAAGGAGAATAAGGAGAAGGAGAAGAAGGAGAAGTAGATGGAGAAGGAAGGGAAGGGGAAGACAAAGAAGGAGGAAGAGGAGGAGGAGGAGGAAAAAGAAAAAGAAAGAAAACAAACCAACATCCCACATTTTTTTTTAATCTAAAATTTTTTTAAAAAAACTAAATCTAGGCCAGGCATGGTGGCTCATGCCTGTAATCCCAGCACTTTGGGAGCCTGAGGCGGGAGGATCACCTGAGATCAGGAGTTCGAAACCAGCCTGACCCACATGGTGAAACCCTTTCTCTACTGAAAATACAAAATTAGCCGGGTGTGGTGGCATATGCCCATAATCCCAGCTACTCAGGAGGCTGAGACAGGAGAATTGCTTGAAACCGGGGGGCGAAGGTTGCAGTGAGCTGAAATCGCGCCATTGCACTCCAGCCTGGGCAACAAGAGCAAAAATCCTTTTCAAAACAAACAAACAAATAAAAAACTAAATCCAGTTGGAATAGGATTATGCAATCATATGTGTCTTAAAGGTCTATGCCGCATATTTGAAGATTTGAAATCCACAATTAATAAGCTGGATTTAACAAATAAAACATACATACTCTGGAAAACAACATAGATAATGTAAATGAAAGTGAACAAGTACTAGGCCACAAAGAATGTCTCAACAAATCCAACAGAATTGATATCACAAATATTAAGTTTTATGACTTAAATGTAACTATAAGTAATAAACAGTAAAAAAGTTTAAAATATGCTCATAAATTAAGCAAATAAGAATTGAAATTATGGTTATTATTTTTAGGGCGGCCTCTTCAAGCCAGAATAGGTTCAGAGAGGCTCCTGAAATTATTTTAAATGAACACTTAAAGTATTATATAACCAAAATGTTTAGGTTGCAGCTAAAGCTATGCTTATAAAATAAATTATAACCTTGAAGCAATGTAGAAATTAAAATGTACTATATTTGTTCAAATTCAAAACCTAGGAAAAGACTGAACTCAAAGAAAGTAGGAGAAATATATAAATAACACAAGAAAAGAAATTTACAGAAAATAAAAAATTATAACACCAATAATATCAATAGTTGTTTCTTTGAAAAGACTCATAGATAATGTTTAGCATTTAACAGATTGAAAGAGATATGAAGAAAAGGTTGAAACAAAACCTATGGAGAAGTTCATATATCTATAAATGTAATCTAGGATTTAAAATTCAAAAGAAAATAGTACAAAAATTATTGAAGCACTTTTAAAAATTAGGTGAAATGAACACTTTAAAAGAAATGAATTGCCAACATTTACTCATTTACTCGAGAAGAACTAGTTAACTTGAATAGACCAATAGAAAAACTCAATAAATAATAAAACATATTGCTGGGTACTGTGGTTCACAACTGTAATCTTGGTATATTTAGAGGCCAAGATGGAAGGATTGCTTGAGCACAGGAGTTGAAGACCAACCTGGGCAACATGGTGAGACCCTGTCTCTAGAAAAATAAATATTAGGCCGGGTGCGGTGGCTCACACCTGTAATCCCAGCACTTTGGGAGGCCGAGGCAGGCAGATCATGAGGTCAGGAGTTTGAGACCAGTCTGGGCAATATAGTGAAACCCCGTCTCTACTGAAAATACAAAAAAATTAGTCAGGCATGGTGATGTGTAATCCCAGCTACTCGGGAGGCTGAGGCAGGAGAACTGCATGAACCCGGGAGGCGAAGGTTACAGTGAGCCGAGATCGCGTCACTGCACTCTAGCCTGGGTGACAGAACGAGACTCTGTCTCAAAAAATAATAATAATAAATAATAATAAATAAACATGAAAAAATTAACTGGGCATGGTGGCATGCACCTGTAGTCTCGGCTACCTGGGAAGCTGGGGTGGGAGGTTCACTTGAGCCTGAGAGGTTGAGGCTGCAGTGAGCTGTGACTCCAACACTGCATTCCAGTCTGGATGACAGAGCCAGGCCCTGTCTCAAAAGAAAAAAAAAAAAGCATAAATAAGAAATCTTTATCTTACCACTTTCCTACTTTCCTTGATTTCTCAGGTGAGTAAGAAACAATGTCTATATCATAAAAGGGTATTTGAGAGACTAGAAGTGTAAGCTTTGGATCTCATTTTACAGTGCTAGAATAACCTTATAAGGAGAATATAAATCACTTATCAAATACATTTATGTGTATAGATGAAAAACTCTATAAAAATATGAAAAAATTGGGTCCATCAATTTATATAAAGAAGAATAGTATCTCATAATCAAGTAGGATTTATTCCAGGGATGCAAGCATGGTTCAATAACAGAAAATCTATGAATATGAATTTTATAAAATAAATTAAATTGTAAAAACCATAAGCTTGTCTCTACGGAGTAAGACATATTTGCAATATCTGGGTCTTCTTTCTCTTCCTCAAACATATCAGTTAAATTCTTTTTTTAGGGTCTATTCACTGATCCTACAATCTTTTTAAACTGACTGAAAAGACCCTTTTCACTGACCTCTACCTGGAACTTACTCCTATCTCCTTATATCTACAAGGCTAACTCCTGCAAATCCTTCGTGTCCTTGCACCAGTAAAATCTCAATGAGACCTACCCTGACCACTCTATTTAAAATCTAACTCTACCCTCTTTCCTGGGACCCTCCTCAAAGTCAGGGGAACATAAACACAGGGGTCTTTTCACCATGTACAAGTTCATAGATTGAAATGTATTCAATGAGCAAGTATCACTTTTGTATTCAAATTATATTTTAGAAGTACGTATAAAAATCATGGAGCCTATAGAATCTGTATATACCAATGAGATTGTGCAGCAAATAAAAGGCACCTCATATACTTTATACAAAACAAATACCATTAAATATTTTGGTTTCGGATATTTAAGTAGCTATATAGACTAATGCTGAGCATAGTACCTGACACACATAAAATGTTTTAGAGACATAGTTTGCTATTATATTAAACATTATAATAAAAGGGCAACTTAAAAACTTAGTGGTTATAATCAGTTTACAGAGGTAGGGGGTGCATTTCTCTGTCAAAAAAATGACAGCTTGTGTTGGTATTTTTACTCGCCAGGGCCATTTAGGCTTTATCTTCAAAGTGCAGAAACAGTAAAATTCAATCATTTCCTACATTGTCTTGATTGCTTTACTATCTTAGTCAATTAGTTAAAAAATTGATTTGATTACTTTGACATTTGCCAATTCAGTTAACCCATCCTCTACCCACTGAGAAATCAGAGAACCTACTTTCCTTGCATCTACCTCTCAGTTCTTCATCAGTAGTATGAATAGAACAGAATATTCAGTGGATATTTTGGGCTTGTGCAGACTTTGTTTTCATAAAAATTTGGAGACCATATATCAAATGACATTTGGCATGGAGGACGTTAGAATAAAAAGTTTTATTAAAATGCAAAAAAAAAATCCTCACAATATACTCTACTGCCCATATAGCAATATAAGCAAATGAATTAATGTAATCTTAGGATGTGAATTGATTTCAATGTTTTTCTTTAGTATTGTAGTTTTAAAATCATCTTTTAGTAAATGTTTGAATTATTTTTCTGAACTCTAGTGCTACATCTTTGGAAGTTTTTACATAATATTGTTATTCTAAAGGATTTGGTTTAAGAAATAAGGTAGAAAGGCTTGGTGAGTCAGATTCCTTCTCTCCTCTAGTCAAAGAGAATACTCTTTTCCTTCATGTGATCTTTTATCAAATTTTAAAAATAATAAGTGTAACATTAATTGCTTAAAAGTAGGTATCAATTTCAGAAAGTGATTTAGATAGGGCAGGTTTTTATTTTTACAATATCTAACAGATGCCTTTTGACGGTATGACCTTGGACAATCAAAGCTTCAGTTTCTTTTCTGGCAATGTTTTGTAAAAACTAGACCTACATCACAGGCTTGGTGTAAGAATTAAGAAGTATATATTCATAAAATATAGAAATTATTCTGTACATTGCAAAGACACATAGTTAACATTAATCAATCCTTGTTAATATTATTAAATACAGTGTGGCTGGAAGCACTAGTCTCCCTTAACTTGTAGTTAATTCTTCCAAGTTCTGTTTTTTTCCTTTCTGTGTGCTGCCTCTTCCTCCCACACCAATCCCATGTTGGCCATTTTGCCCTATGGTGACAGAGAAAGAACTCTGTAATCATTACCCTAAAATATATTAGCAATTGAATTTTAAATCTTTGAAGACTCATTGTTGTTAAATTTTAAAAATGAATACATTTTACCTTTGGCTAGGGTTCCCAGACTCTCCTTTTGAGGTCTCTCCATTCTTCATCTATTTATTGTTTTCAAAGTTGCCTACCACTTGTGTTGAGATTCCACCCTTTCCTCCTGTTAAAATAGATAATTTGTTAAAGGGTTACAGGATAGTATAAAAGCACATGAAGTTTGAGGCCAGCATATCTGAATTTATTTCTCCATTCTGTCATTGAACAAGTTTTCTGACTTTTTGCAATTTTTTTTGAGTATCACCTCTCTCTAATCTCTAAATTAGGAAAAATCACCTCATTAATTAGTTGAGAGGATTAAATAAGATATTATTAAGCCCCAGGTACTTAGTGGGAAGCTTAAAACAATAGTTGCTTTCTCCTACTTCTCTTCATTGGCATTGAGACATAAATTAGTATCAGTCATTATGGAGGGCATCGCTCTACAAATATTTTGTGACCTATGCATATGTATTGGAATTAGGTATCAGACACTAGTGAAAAAGCGTGGGAGAGAAATAATTTTCGTACTTCTTGGTACTACCGTAAACGATTTCTGCCAGCATATGGATAACTTTGTTTCCCACAGATAATCCTAATCCTGATCATGGTGGACACAGCTCTCCTTATTTTCCTAAAATTTTCTCAGTTGTTATTGATAATGTTGGTACTGTATTTCAGTTTCTTTATATATCAACATTAAATATTTGCCTGTCACCAAAATGTGAAGTAAAAAGCAAAAAAAGTCCTATAAAAGGTTTATTTTGACTGTTTTTATTTTTTCACGTGGCGCATCTATCAAAGAGCATTTATTTACTCATGGCAGGGGAGGCGTATCAGGGAATCAAATCTAATTTAATTTCTTAACTTTTAATTTTTCAAAGTTGGGATTGGAAGAGAGGCTGAGAAAAAACTCTCTTGGCTGTTTTAAAAGCTAAGGATTAGTAGCAATGTTCTGACCTGAAATTTAGGTCTTGTGATTTCTTTCCAAGAGATTTTTCACTGCATGAAAAACCTGTTTGCAATGGCCTTTTTAATTTAATTCAATCTTAATTGGATACGAACCGTAAAAATCTAAGGGATTGTTAAAAGGCCTAAAAGTGCACAAAAGTAGTTTTTAAGAGTAATATTAATAATCTGGAAGTGAAAAATTAACTTTGCTAAATTACTGAACCTTTCTACCTAGCTTCTAGGTTCATTTTGTATTTCTTTCAAATTTTGAACGTTTCAAGGACGGAAAATTTCATCCTTAGAGCATACGCACTGTTTAGGGGACGGTTCAGCCATTTTCAAAAGGAGGCTAAGCTTTGTGTTCAGAGGTGTATATTTTAGGAATTCTCCACGTGGCTTAATTACGAGCATGCCTTGATTGTTAGCAGAGGTAAGTCAGGCTTCATCTTGTAATGAGACCCCTTGGAAAAAAGTCTGCTGCTGAGGCACCAACACAGGGTGGGTGAGGGCCAGCTTTCTAAAACGGCCTTTCATAACCTGGCGAGAATCACTGAGCGCTATGAGGCCACCGCCTGACGGAGAAGCCAATGCCCAGAGGCTTTTTCTTTCGCAAGAGATGTAAATGGCCGGCTTGGGGGAATAGGTAGGGAAAAGGGTTCTTTGGGTCACCCATTTTTTCTAGTCCCATTACTGACTCTTGGAGAATATTCAGATGGTGCCAGGTAGCACCATGCCTATTATTATTCTCACTGAGACAAAAGTCAGCGGCTGGTAACTGGTGTCCATTCTTTCGCTTGAGTGGGTTGGAGAAAGACGGCATGGCTGGAGGAATTTGTTTTGTTTTGCTTTGGAGCGGGCTTCCTCAGTTGCATCCTGCATCGGGCGGGCACAGCCCCGGGCTCTGGGAAGACGCCGCTCGGCAGCCGCAGTGGCCGCTGCATCAATGGGTTTTGGGGCAGGGAGGTGCGGAGCCCAGCCTGCGCTCCTGGCTACCCCTCCGCGCCCCGCCGCCGCCCACAGCCTACCCTTCTCCTCTGCAGCCGGTAGGCGGCCGTAACACGGGCGGGCCGAGCACGTGGGCGCCTCCGTCACACCCTCACACATACACACACGCGCGCGCGCACACACACATACGCATGTACACGCGCACCCGCACCCGCGCGCCTGTATCCCGTGCTGTTTCCCTGGCAGACACACAGGCGCTCACGAGTCTCTCCTTGCCAGCCTGCAGGGCGGCGACCCCCAAAACCCAGCTCCGGGTCCCAACCTAGGCAAGAAGCTGCTTCTCTGCCAACAGCTCCTCTTCGGCCTCCGTCACAGCCACCTGGACCCTACCCTTTCGCGACTGCTGCTGCTGCTGCCCGGACGTGGAAGCAGCAAGAGGCGCTTGGTCAAGACACACTGACGGTAATGGCAAGCGCCTACGCTAAGGGCACAACTGGGGGTGAGGTGGGGCTCGCCATTAGCCACCCAGGAGCCTGGGCACCAGCACCGGGAACGAATTGATGGATGGATGCCGGGAAGGACTCGCTGCGTCCTGGGGTGGGAGGAGGGAGGGCAGCTCAAAAGCCCTGGGAGGGAGAAGCTGGGCTGGGCGGGCAACCGTCTAACTCTGCATCTCTGTACAATCAGGGTGGGGGGCGACAGGCTGCACATGTAAGGGGAAGCACATGGGTTGAAACGTGCCGCCATCCTTTCTTCCCGTCGTGGAAATTGCCCACAGCATCCCCAGAGACCTACTCGTTTCCAAGCCAAGTCGGGGTTGGTTGAAGGGTGGGGTCCAACACGGGAAAGTCCAAGAGGAAAGTTGGGAGGGTTGGGGCAGAGAGAGACGCGAGGTGAATTGGAAGCTAAACCTCGTGCAGGTGGGCGATGGGGCGGGGAGAGCAGAGAGCTTTATTCCTCATTCGCTTCCGTTCGCTTTAGCAAAGGCAGAAGGCGACTACCGAGGACAGAGTGTTTTCACGTGACCACAGTTCCCCTTTGCTTGAGGTATCCTGTGATAAATGGCCCGAAAGGGGGCCTTTCGCCGTACGAAAGGCACGTGGCTGCTGGAGAAATCACGGCTCCTGTGTTTCTGCGCATCCTGGAATTTGAGAGTGTGGCGGTGAGGGTGGTGCTGCTGGGACTGTAAGAAGATGGGAAGCAGTTAGAAACCCAGATCGTTTCTACCTTTCTTTCACTAGGCTGGTCTGTGTGTGACTGGGAAGAAGACGGTATTGAGTACAGGGAAATCCTTGCACTCTAACGTAGCGCACCAACTGGATACATAAGAATGAATCAAGACGCCCGAGGCGTTCGGGAACAGGCATGACCCACCCAGTGGCACAGGCTGCGGGAACGGGAATTATTTTTCCTGAGCTGAGAAGCAGCCTTTGATGTGCGTTTTAGGAAGCAAAGCCCCCAGGCTCGCGCTCTCCAGCGTCCCGCTTTCCCTTTCCATCCTCCTCCCTAGCTGGGAAAGGCTGGAGTAAGACGGGGCGGGGTCCGGACTCCGGCGCAGTGACGTAAGCAGTGTTTGGGTGCTTATGCAAATAAGTCTGCGACGGTTTCTTCTGGTCTTGCCGTTTTCCCCTCCAGATCTTATAGGTAGACCCAATCTTAGTCTGCACCATCCTTGCGGTTCACTACTTAAGACGTATGGGAGAAATGAAGGATTTGCTTTATATGCTGCTTTGGGGCTCCTCATCGCCCATGCTGTAAAAGCTATTTTCTACCTGTCAATGCCTGATTGCTTTTCTGCTGTGCCAGCAACAAAGTGTTTGTTTTGAGGAATTATTATGTGCAGACACAGCCCCAACAAGCCCCTCACCCACCCAACCTCATTTCTGCAAGATCATTGCTGAAACACAGACCTATTTATGTCTTAGGCGCCCAGTACTGGGCTTGACTTGTACGTTCTTAATAAATACTTAATGATGGACTAAATCTTCTTTGAACAGTGTTAGGTTTTGAAGGGAAGGCGAGGGTTAAAGACACACACACACACACACACACACACGGAAAGAGGGCGGCTCAACAGCAAATTCAGGCTTTCTGTCCAGCATAAATCCTACAGAAGTGGAGGACCAGCCTAATGCCGGAGCCCGCTGCCGCTTACAGGCTGGGGCCATTTATAGGTACGGGCAGAAGGGGTCTGAGCAGTATGGCTTGCTGCTCCGCGGGATATTAATAAGATGCTTCCATGAAGAGGCGGTTCTGGCTCTTGTTCCGGCGCGATGTCGTTCTGTTGTTCAGGGTGTTCCTTGGACCTTTGTCCAGCAAGATATGATAGGGATGTCTCTTTAGTTAGGCCTTTGTCCAACTCGTGGTCAGTTGGTTAGACGGGATGTTTCTCACAGCTCGAACCCCTGTGAAATGTTTCGCTTTCACCAAGGTCTGCAAAATAGCAGGGAGCTTACAACATGGTGCAGTTTGGACTAACAAACAGTATGTATTTTTTTCTCTCATATTAAATTCAAGATATTTGACCATCAAAATCAGGCGATTTTATTTTTATGTGTTGTTGCCTTTTCTATGGAATCATCAATGATCCATGTGTATTTGTTGTGGTAAAACATATCCCAACAAATTTAAAATGGAATTTATTAACCATTTTTCTCTAAATAAAGCTTTCAGTTTGTGTTTTTTTTTAGGATGACAGGAATTAATAGGATTTTTAAAGAAAGATAATCTTTTACTGTTGATAAGCTTTTCTTTTTTCTGATTGCACATTATATAGTTGATTGAAAAATTATTTTATAATTCTAATATAGTTAACTCGAGATGTAGTATTTTAATCGAATTAAGAAAGTTATTTTTATATGTTTCTAGGAGATCAGTACTCTATCACTGAATAAATATGAAATAATGCAGAATCTTAAAACTGGATAACAGTTATGAGAGATGCCAATAATCAGATGAGATGCCTTCCTTGTCACCTACTGAAACATTTAAAATAAGTCAGAATAGTTACTAAACTCTAAAGTCCGTATTCATAGTTACTACCTTACCCAGTGATCATAGTTGAAATTGTAAATATGCTTCTCTTGTCATAAAATATAATTTGTATATGAATAGGTAAGATATTTGCATTCTTTTTAACTCTGGGATTATATCATCTAGGAAATTGAATCATTGACTTAGAATAGCAGACCCAAAAGAGAGCTTGGTGGCTATCAAAAGCTCCTAAAAACTTTTCTTTCACTTCTCAATGGACCTCTCACCTTGTGGAAGAGTATGTTAATTCTTTATTACTACATACATATGCATGATAGGATATATTAGTATATTCTTATGCAGCTGTGCAGAGTAGATTTTGAAATGGTTTCTCAGCAGATAGTATTAATAAAAATCTACAGGCATAGTTGGATGCATGAACAACATTCAAGGTTACATAGCAGGAATCATTAGATTTATTTCTACTTTGCTTATCATACCACTCTTCTGGCTGTCTTTACTAAACAATTTTTGATGTATTTATCTGCTTAAATATTAACTTTGACCAGTAATGATCATCTCTTTTTCTGTGAACAACAAGCCCTAAAAATAAACTGGGATATAGGGCAATTTCAAATGCAGAGTATCACTTGACACAGGGCAGAGCTGTAAGTTGTGTTCAGCCTTGAAGGTCACTTTATTTCCTTGTGATTAATGTGCTAAGGTATCTTTTCACATAAGATGAATTGACTTTTATTTTTAAATAGAATGCATACTTTGGGAACTTTTTCACCTATCAGATTGGCAAAGATCAAAGAGATTATTTGTTATACAGAAGACAGTAGAAGAAAGCGGGCACTCTCATGCATTGCTGGTGGTAGTGCAAATGGACACAATTTTTATCAAGGGCTATTTGGTAATATTTATCAAAATTATAAAAGCTCATACCTTTTGATCAAGCTGTTCCAGTTCTAGGAATTTATTCTACAGATATGGAGATGCAAGATATACAAAATAATTTGTTGGAACATTGTAGTAGCAAATTATCAGTGATGATCTAAATATATGGTATACCATACCAAGGAATATCATACAGTAGTTTTTTAAATGAAGCTATTACATTGAGATCAAGAGTTTTGAAGAATTTATTAGAGTGAAAAACTAAGAGGTAGAATTATGCACATAGTAATAGTTGTGTAAAAAGAAGCAGATTGGGGGCTGGTGGGGAGAAAACACATATTAGCTTGAATATATATAGAGTGTTTAAGTGTGTATACACACATATATATATGCTTGAATATACAGAAAATATTTATTGAAGATTTTGGTTACTTATTGGGAGGTACAGATGGTACAGTATATTCTAGGGAGAAAGGGTAGGAAGATATATATATATATATATATATATATGTTTCTTTACTCTTTGCCCTTTAATATCTTATTACAGTATTTTGTATTCAAAATATAAATATATAAAATATTTTAAAGTAAAGACAGAGGCAAATAAACACCTTTGGTAGAGTTTTATTCATTCATCACATGCCATGGAATTAGTAAGGTACAAAAGTCAATGAGTATTTTGACGACCCCCTGATTTTTGTTGTTGTTTCTGAATTTACAAGAAAGCTTCCTCTTTCAAGAGTTTTAGAAATAAAATTATATTGGAGAAGCATATTTAGTACTTGATTCAATAAAGTTATTTAATTATACTAGCAAAAAAGGCATAATTTTAGGGTATTAAAAAAAGTCTTAATTTTGAGATGGGTGTTGAGTCCCATGTAGTTGGTAAGAAATAACACAGAGAGTTCTTGTGAGCTCTTGACAAATTTCCTGCAAATATAACATTTTGTAATAACTATATTAAACCTTCCTAATCAGAATATTGACATTGATACAGTTAAGTTACAAAAGAGTTCCATTACATAAGGATTAACTGTGTTGGCCTTTTATAACCACAACCACTTCACTCCAGTCCCCAGGCTCTCCTTAACTCCTGGCAATCTCTACTCTGTTCTCCATATTTATTTTTTGGTCATTGCAAGAATATTATATAAATGTAATCATACAGTATTCAATGTATTTGAATTGATGTTTTTTCACTCAGCATAATTTTCTGTAGATTCATCTAAGTCATGTATATTGGTAGTTTTTGCTAAATAGTAGTTAATGGTATGGATGTGCCAGAATTTATAACTATTTACCCATTGAATGACATCTGGATTATTTCTAGTTTAGGGTTAATGTAAATAAAACTGCTATGGACATTCCTGCATAGGCTTTTCTGGAACATAAATTTTCATTTATCTGGGATAAATGAGAACACTTGCTCGGTTATGTGGTAGCAGTGTGTTTAGTTTTTAAATGAACAGTCGAACTTTTCCAGAGTGTTTGTACAATTTTACATTCTCACCAGTAATGAATAAATGATCCATTTTCTCTGCATCCTTGCCAGAATTTGGTTGTCACTATATTTTGGCCATTCTGATAGGAATATAGCAACATCTCATAGTATTTTATATTTGCATTTACCTAATGGCTAATAATATCGAGCCTCAGTTCTTGTGCTTCTTTGTCATTCATATATAATATTCATTGAAATATCTCTACCTGTTTTCTTATTTTATTTATAATGGTCGAGTTTTTTTTTGTTTTTTGTTTTTTTTCGAGACGGAGTCTCCCTCTGTGGCCCAGGCTGGAGTTCAGTGGCGCGATCTCAGCTCACTGCAAGCTCTGCCTCCCTGGTTCACACCATTCTCCTGCCTCAGCCTCCCAAGTAGCTTGGACTACAGGTACCCGCCACCACGCCCGGCTAATTTTTGTATTTTTAGTATAGACAGGGTTTCACCGTGTTAGCCAGGATGGTCTC
Source organism: Homo sapiens (assembly GCF_000001405.40). Taxonomy (NCBI): domain Eukaryota; kingdom Metazoa; phylum Chordata; class Mammalia; order Primates; family Hominidae; genus Homo; species Homo sapiens. The sequence continues at coordinate 84,907,145 of NC_000012.12, read as the reverse complement.
AATCTCCTGACCTCATGATCCACCCGTCTGGGCCTCCCAAAGTGCTGGGATTACAGGCGTGAGCCACCGCGCCTGGCAACGGTCGAGTTTTAAGAGTTCTTTATATATCCTAAACACCAGTCATTTGTGACCTTCAAATATATTCTCCCATTTTTAAGCTTTTTTTTTTCCATCCTCTTAATAGATTCTTTCTCATAGCAAAAGTTTCAAATTTTGGGGCCTAGTTTATCAATTTTTGTGTTTCTGAATCCTGCTTTTGTCATGTCTAAGAGCTCTTTGGTTAACCCTAGATCTCAAAGATTTAATCTGATGACTTGTTTCTTAAAGTTTTATATTTTCCACTTAAGTTTGTAATTCATTTTGAATTAATTTTTGTATAAGATATGAGATTTAGGTTCAGGGTTATACTTTTGCCTAGGGATGTCCAATTATTTCCCGAACAATTTGTTGAAAGAGCTATTTTTTTCTCCATTGAAATTGCTTTGGTACTTTTATCAAAAATTAGTTAGGCATATTGTGTGCACTTCTTTCTGGGTAGCCTCTTCTGTTACATTCATTTTTGTCTATCCTTTCACCAACCTCACATAGACTTCATTACTGTAGCTATATAATAAGTCACAAAATTCGATAGAATCATTCCTCCCACTTCATTCTTCTGTTTAAAATTGTTGTAGCTCCTCTAATTTTTTGCCTGTTCATATAAATTTTGAAATAATCTTCTTTGTAGAAAAATGTCACTGATATTTTGATAGGAATTCATTTAACCATATATCAATTTAGGGAAATTTGACATCTTTCTTATGTTGAGTTTTCTAATCCATGAACATGGCATGTCTTCCCATACATTTAGATCTTCTTTCATTTACTTTATCAGCACTTTGTAGTTTTCAGCAAAAATGTACCATCCAGGTTTTGTTACATTTTCGTGTAATTATGTCAGTTTAATGATTGTAAATGCTATTGCATTTTTAATTTCTGTGTTCACTTGTTTATTGGTAACATATGGAACTGTAAATGATTTGTGTATGTTTACCGTGTATTCTGTGACTTTTTTGGACTATTACTCTAGAAGGTATTTTTGTAGATTCATTAGAATTTATAATATAGACAATCAAAATATCTGCAAAAAAATTGAATACTGTATTATTACATTCATATAACATTCTTGAAATGACCAAAAAATAAGTATGGAGAACAGATTAGAGGTTGCCAGGAGTTAAGGAGAGCCTGGGGACTGGAGCACAGTGGTTGTAGTTAAAAAAGGCCAACACAGGGAATCCTTATGTGATGGAAATCTTTTGTAACTTGGCTGTTCTTCTTTCTTGATTTATGTGACTTATACATAAATTTGTAACTTGACTTTTCTTGTTTCTTGATTTATGTGACTTATACAGTTAGGCTTCTGTGTCCTTAGGTTGTGCATCCACAGATTCAACCAAATGCAGATGTGAATATAGTACTTGTGGGATGCAGGACCCACAGATGAATGTGGGACTTGAGCATCTGAGAATTTTGGTATTTGTGGGAGGTCCTTCAACAATGTCCCTTGGACACTAAGGGCTGACTGTATTTTCTTTTTCTTGCCTTATGCCACTACTTAGAACTTCCAATACTATGTTGAATAAGAGTGTGAGAGTGGACGTTTTTATCTTGCTTCTTATCCTGAAGGAAAAGCATTTAGTCTTTCACCAGTAAATATAATATCAACTGTAAATTTTTTGTAGATGCTGTTGATCAAGTTGAGAAAGTTTCCTTCTGTTCCTAATTTTTGACATTTTTGATCATAAATGGACATTGAATTTTGTCTTTCCTGCATCAGTAGATATAGTCATGTGATTTTTCCTTTAGCCTGTCATTATTGTATATCACATATTGATTTTTGAATATTGAACCAACCTTGAATACTTAGAATAAACCCTACTTGATCATGGAATATAATTCTTTTTATACATCACTGAATTCTGTTTTCTAACACTGTGTAAAGGAATTTTGTGTCTATATTCATTAGGAATATTGATCTGTAGTTTTTTATTTTTTACTATGATCTTTGCCTGGTTTTGGTACCTGAGTAATACTGCTTTCATAAAATGAAATACAAATTATTCTATCATCTTCTATTGCCTGAAGAGATTGTGTAGAATTGATGTTAATTCTTCTTTAAATGTTTGGTGGAATTTTCCAGTGAGATTTCTTTTGTGACAGTTTTAAAATTATGCATTCAACTTATTTATTAGTTATATAGCTATTAAATGTTCTATTTCTTATTGGCTAAGTTGTGGTAGTTTGTGTTTTTTAAGGAACTGATTGGTTACACCTCAGTTACTAAATTTATGTGTGTAGAGTTTTTGTTAGTATTCTCTCATGGTCATTTTGATGTCTGCAGATTTTGCAATGATAATTCCTGTTTCACTTACGATATCCAAGATGCCTTAAGCATGAAATTGACTTTATGCAGCTTTACATATGATTGACTAAATGTGGCTTTGAAAGTTAATACCTATTTCTATTCTAATACCTATGAAATCACTGTGTGTATTTAAAAACCTAAACCACATATCCTCTACATAGATCTAGCCACATTGTGAACAGGTTATTGGACAATATTTTAAATTTCAGTACAGTTTGTATAATTTTAGTTAAATCCAATACATAAGTAATCTTATCCATAGACAAATGTTTCAGATATCTATTGCTACACAACAAACCATTCTACAACATAGTGTCTTAAAATAATGACTTTTTAAAATCATTCTTCTGTGGGGTGGTTGGGCTCATTTGGGTGGTTCATTTGCTCTAATTGGTGTGTTACCTGGCTGTTCAGCTAGGGCTGGAATATCAATACCTTTGTTCTTATGCCTGGAGCTTCACTTCAGATGATGGTTGCTTGAGACTATTTCTCTCTCTCTCTCTCTCTCTCTCTCCCCCTCCGCCCCTCCCCCCTTTCTCTCCCTTTCTCTCCCTCTTTCCATGTGGGGTTTCTAGCAGGAGAAGCAGACGTTTTACATGGTGCCTAGCTTCCAAAAGAGGGAAAGCAGAAACTGCCAAGCTTCTATAGCCTTGGAACTTGCATAGTTTCACTGCTGCTACCTTCTGGTCAAAGCAAACCAAAGTTAACCCAGATTTAAAAGAAGGGAAAACAGCCTACTACAACAAATAACTATAAAAGATCAAACAACATTGTATAAGGATGTATGAACAAATAAAACATATTCAGTGCCTTTAAATTAATATTTTTAGAAAACATAGTATAAATTAGTTTAAATAATAGTATATGCCTCCTAAAGATGTGTCCAGTTCCTACTTCCTGACATCTATAAATGTTACCTAATTTGGAAGAAAAGTCTTTGCAGATATAGTATTGAGATGAAGATATGATTTCGGAAGATCCAGATGGGCCCTACATGCCATGACAAGCATCCTTATAGGAAAGATGGAGAGGGATGTTAGACTGAAGTAGAAGGAAGTAGGCAATCTGACTACAGAAACAGAGAATGGAGTAATGAGGCCACAAATTGAGGAATGCCAGCAGCCACCAGAAACTGGAGAAGGCAAGGTTCATGTTCTCCCCTAGAGCCTCCCGAGAAAATACCACCCTGGTAACGCCTTGATTTTGGTTGACTGTAACTTAATTTGGATTCTTTGGTCTCCGGAAGTATGAAAGAATACATTTCTGTTGTTTTAAGACATTAAATTTGAAGTAATTTTTTTTATTCTCAATGTTTTTTAGGGCATATTAGTATATTTTATTTTATTTTTTGTTATACTTTAAGTTTTAGGGTACATGTGCACAATGTGCAGGTTTGTTACATATGTATACATGTGCCATGTTGGTGTGCTGCACCCATTAACTCGTCACTTACATGAGGTATACCTTACGTTAATAAAACTTTGTCTTAAAAACTTTTTGTCTACTTCAGAAATCTCTAAAAGAATTTTGAAAGATTGTCTATCTTTGATTCACAGAAGTCAACAAAAATATACTCCAATTTATGGAAATTGCTTTATGATTATAATTAATTTTGAAATAATTACGATTTCACAGAAGGGTGCACATGGAGGTGTATGCACCATTTACTCGACTTCCCCACCACTAACATCTTATGTCAGATACGGTACTATATAAAAACCAGCATATTGATGCTGGTATAATCCATAGTATGTCCACGTTTATAGCTCTGTGAAATTTTATAAAATGTATACCTTCTTCTATCCCTTACCACAATGAAGATAGTAACCTGTGTGCCTTACCATATGATTCTCTCCTGCTACTCTTTTATAAGCACACCCATTTACCCTCTCCATCCCTAACTCTTCAAACCATGAATATGTTGTTTATTTCTATAATTATGTTATTTCACAAATGTTATATAAAAATTGTTATATATGTATTTCTTTGAAATTGGCATTTTTATATTGTTTTCACTGAGTATCATTTCCTTTAGGTACATGCAAGTTGTTGCATGTATCAATAGTTCTTTTTTACTGCTGAGTAGTGGTTCATGGTGCGAATGTAGCACAGTTTAACCATTCACCCATTGAAACGCATACTGGATAGTTTCCATTTTTTTTCTATTATAAGTAAAGCTGCTATGGACATTTGTGTACAAGTTTTGTAAGTTTTTTTTTATTTTTCTGTGATATATCTCTGAAATATAGTTGCTGGTTACTATGAGAAGTCTTTATTAGTGTTAAAAGTAACCAAGTTGTTTTTCAGAGTGGCTGTACCATTTTACATTTCCACCAGCAACATGTGATTGATTTAGTTTCTACATGTCCTCACCAATATTTGGTGTTATTAATTTAAAAAACAAAGTTTAGCCATTCTGATAGGTGTGTTATTTGTAGCCCACCTTTTGGGAAAAAAAATATACATTTAATGAAGTATAAATAGTGACTTGGTATTGTTATTTGTAAAAAAAGTTCCCTTCCTTTTGATTGGCTCTGTAATTTTTTATTTGATAGCTCAGTGCAAAAATTTTATGTAAACCAGGATACAATTTGCAAAATACATTTCAATTTATTGAATTCTATATTGTTAAAAATATTTCATATTATTCATCAAGATTATTATTTCAGTATTTCATGAAATCTCTTGATGAAAATATTTTTCCTCTATAATTATACCATAACTATAAACTAATTGGCATACGGTGACAATTTTTCTTGAGCATTACAGTATGGTCCAAATTTTGATTTTATTTGGATGGTCTTTATTTTTGTCCTATATTAGAAAATAGAAAAATGAATTTCATTTGAATCTATAAATAATTAAACATTTCATATTCAAATTAGTTTGTATTTAAATAAAACTTTTTTTTCAGTGAAATTTTAAGTTGTCAAAGACAGGGAGATAATTTACTAGTGTTCTAGTGCTTTATTATAGAATACTAAGCTTGTGACAAATGCCAAAAATTAGCCAGTGCAGATATATATGTTTGAGTCATCCATCATATATGTCAGATGCAGACACCTACCTGCTACTTCAAGTGTTTGCATATTTTCACTGGAAATGTTAATTAAAATTTAATATAATTTCAAAAGAGATTGTAACAATGGCTTGGAAGGTAGAAAATTTTGAAGGATGGAACAAGAATGGCAGAAAGTATTGAGTTAATTTTTTAGTGAACATATTATAGCAAGACTGGTCAAGATAAAAACAAAGAAAAAGACCTATTACCAATATCAGTAATAAAGATAAGATATGATGACGAATTCTATATGTGTTTAAAAAACTGTGGAATATTATAGAACACTTTAGGGCAATGAGTTTGGCACCTTACATAAAATGGACAAATCCTTCAAAAAGATGGCTTACCAAAAGTAAAACAAGAAAAGGAAAATCTTAGTAGCTGTATATCAATGAAATGAATTGAATTTTTAATTTAAAACATTTTCAGAAAGAAAACCCCAAGCCCAGATGGCTTTATTGGCGAGTGCTGCCAAACTTTTAAAGAAGAATGAAACTAATTCTACACATGTACTCTCAGAAAATAAAAGATAAATCATTTCAAAGCTTTCTAAGACACCACCAAAACCAGAGAAGCAAAATACATTATATATATATATACACACACACACATATACGTATACATATATACGTATATGTGTATGCATATATACATGTATATATGTATGTATATATATACATATCTATACACATATATACATGTATATATGTATGTATATATATACATATCTATACACATATATACATGTATATATGTATGTATATATATACATATCTATACACATATATACACCCACTTTCCTATGAATGTAGTTGAAAGAAAATCTATAACAAAATATAGCAGATTTATTTTAGTGATATATTAAAAAGTAATTCATCTTGACCAAGTGAGGTTTATTTCATAAATGAAAGATTGTTTTAAGATAGAAAAGCAACGAATGTGATACTCCATATGAATAGATGAAGAACTGATATGGTTATCTTAATAAAGGCAAAAATAATTTGTCAAAATTTAACACAGTAATTCAAACTAATGACCTCACTGAACTAGGAATATAAAGTAACTTCTCTAAACTAATAAAGGGATCTATGAAAACAATGTCCAATTAACATTGAACGTAGGGGAATATTGACTACAAATAACACCGAGACATAAATGAAGATGTTTGCCTTTAGCATTTCTAGTCAATGTTTTGGTGGATGTCTTAGCCAGTAAAATAAGTCAAGAGAAAGATATAAAAGTAAATAATTATAAAAATGAAAGTTAAATTATCATTATTGACTGATGACATGATTATGTAAGTGGAGGTCCCTCGGGATCTTAGAAAGATGCAAAACTTGATTTAGCATCTTTGTGGGCAGAAACCTATATTAAAAATCAGTTATATTGCATATACTAGCAAAATATAATTGAAACCTAAGAAAAGAATTTGCAATCATACCCCAAACACACATTAATCAGAAATAAATTTAACAAAAGTTGTGCAAGACCAATACACTGAAATCTCTGAAACACTGTTGAGAGAAATTAAAGACATGAAATAAATAAAAAGATACACCAAGTTTATAGCCTGGAAAACTCAATTTGGTAGATATCAGTGTTCCCCAAATAGATCAATGAAATCAATGTAATTCAATTTTAAATCCTAGTAGGCTGGGTTTTTTGTGGTAGAAATTGTCAAGCTGATTTCAAAAATTATGTGGAAATAAAAGAACCTAGAATAGGTGAAACAATCTTGAAAAAGAACACAAAAAGTAAAATGGTTGGGGTTAAGAACCACTGAGTTGGAAATTTATTATCATGATTTTAAAAATTTTGGATCTACTTTTAAGTGCTTCAAAATAGATTTATTTTGAAAAATATATGAAGATAACTAAAGCGATACAAAAAATGAGAGATTGAGAAAGAGGTAAATATAAGTTCAAATTTAAATACTGTAAAGTTCCCAACATATTTGTGTATTTATGTTCATATACATAGATAGATGAATGGAAATATAGCAGTAGTTTTTGATTCATAATTTGTAAGCCATTTGGGGTTCTTTGCAAGCTTTAGAAAGTGATGCTGGATAAGAGGCAAAGAAAAGTAATATTGGCAGTCACAGGAGCTCAAAGAAACAATGGGATGCTTGGCAATGAAATGGAAAAAGGAAAGAATGAAAATAGTTCTGAAAACTAGGAACCAATGTCCATGACTACGGTAGTATTTACAGCCTGGGCATAATGCCTTTGATGGAATTGGATGACATGCCTACTTTTTTATCACTTTGTGCCTCTCCTCAAGATTAAAACTCCAGGGAGGTGGAAACTAAGCAAATGCTGAATTTTTTCAAAGATAGTGGCAGTATTTTTTTTTCCTTTCTACGCATGCCTTTTGCAGTAGGGTTTTTTGTCCCTTCCATCAAAAAGTAAGGTTTATCTCTACTCTTGAATCAGTATGGACTTAGGTTTGAGACTTTCTTTGGTCAATGAGGCATTAGCCAATGTGAAATAGAGAGAGGCTCTAGTAGCACTTGTACATTGGGCTCACCTTTTCTTTTTGGCTACAGTTGGAAATCTGAGCTACAATATGAACAAGTTGCAGCTAGTATTTTGGAGAGATTACTTATAAGCAAACCAAAGTGCTCCAGCTGACAGCCTGACTTTTGCTAGAATGTCAGTTAGACCATATTAGAACACCTTCTTGGAACTGACAGATCACTGCAGTGCAGGACCGAATTCAAGAACAACTGATCATGTAAGCCTAGTTCACACTGCTAATTCAGAGAATCATGAAAGAATTAAATTGTTTTTCAAAGCCACTAAATATAAAGGAGATTTGATGTGCAGCCATGGATAACTGAGACAAACAAAAAGTTGTGTTAAGGAGAAAATTAAACATGCAGCATTGGCTCTGGACCTAACATTGTCCTTAATATTACAGAAGCATCTACAACAAATCAGTTATATTATAGTCTTAGTGTTGTGATAATCATAGTAATAAAAGAGAGAATATATTGAGTCCTCTCAGTGTGCTGACATTGACTTATGTACTTTATCAGTAGATAAGTATATTATTGTTCTCATTTTATAAATGAAGAAACTGAAGCACAGTTTAATAACTTGGCCAGGGTCATAAAATCATAAGTGACAGAGTTACAATTTGAACTCAGATAGTCTCTTTCTAAAATCTATGTATAAATATTTGGGACCAATACATGTCTTTTCACATCAAAACGTATTGATTCTTATAATGTCACATTACAATCAAATAAGAAAGATTATATGAAAACCTGAAGAGCTTGAGGTCATTATCCTCTTTTATATAATAAGTTGTTTTTTGTTTGTTTGTTTGTTTTTTAAGACAGATCTCACTCTGTCACCCAGGCTGGAGTGCAGTGGTACAATCTCAGCTCACTGCAACATCCACCTCCTGGCTCAAGTGATTCTTGTGCCTCAGCCAACCAAGTAGCTGGGACTAAAGGTGCATGCCACCAGGCCTGGCTAATTTTTGTAGTTTTTGGTAGAGATGGGGTTTCACCATGTTGGCCAGGCTGGTCTTGAACTCCTGGCATCAAGTGATCTGCCCATCTCAGCCTCCCAGTGCTGGGATTATAGGCATGAGCCACTGTGCCCAACCAAGTCATATTTACACAGTATCTATTACTTCCTACATGAAAGATGAGCATATTTTCACACTTTTATTTCTTTTTCTCCTCTCATTTCAATTTTTGATTTTTTTTGGTAATTTAATTCACAATTGTCCCCTGCACATAATTTCTATAAAAAGTAAACCATATTTCCTTGTTTAAATTAATGTTCACTTCTATTCTTCAACATGGCTCCTCTTTACTAAGATCTTTTACTTTGTTTTCTCTGTTTGGCTAAATTTTATGATTATGTAGTCTTTCCCTCCATACCCCACTCCTTCATCCCATAGGGCTCATCATTTCTCTTATGCTTAGGAATATTTGCCTGTGGCTTTTATAATCGGAATACAAATTAATTGGGTATAAAATTGGAGATCATATATTTTTCTCTTAGTTTTATTGAAATTAATGAATATTATGAGAAGTGTTTTAATTTCATCTATTAATAGATATTATGAGAAGTGTTTTAATTTGATCTTTCTACTTCTGCTTGAAATCCCTAGGAATTCTTATCTTGGTAATTTATCAGTGTTTACTCTTCTGTATTGTTATTATTTGCAAATACAAGTCTTCAAGCAAAACCTCTGCTTTTCTTTTAGTATTTTGTGTTTTATTAATTGTATTATTGTGTTTGGCTATACCAATTAGAAGTTTGTTGGATTACCTTTAGCTGACTTCAGTTTTCATTAGCTTTCTTCTAAATTACTTTAAGATATTTGTAACTTTTCATTTCTTTTTTGTGAACTTTCTTTACATCTGTCCTCCATGCCTCAGATATAGTTTCAGTAGTGTTTATTCTAGTTTCTGTTGTTTCTTTTTCTTTATTTTATTTTATTTTATTTATTTTATTTGAGACACGGTCTTGCTCCGTCACTCAGGCTGGAATGCAGTGGTATGATCTCTGCAACCGCTGCCTGCAAACTCTGCCTCCCCAGTTCAAATGATTCTCCTGCCCCAGCCTCCTGAGTATCTGGGATTACAGGCACCTGCCACCACACCCAGCTAATTTTTGTATTTTTTTAGGGGAGAGGGAATTTCACCATATTGGCCAGTATGGCCTCGAACTCCTGGCCTCAAGTGATCCACCCGCCTAGTGCTCCCAAAGTGCTGGGTTTACAGGCGTGAGCCACCACACCTGGCCTTCAGTTGCTTCTAATGTGACTTTTAGTCCTCTGATGAATTCTCCCATTTCTTGTGTTCATCCACTTACCTTTTTCTTTCAGTTAATCTTTTAGTTCACTTCCATGAAATTTATTTTAAATAAATGTTTTCTTTGTAACTCTGAAGCACATTGTTTCCTGGTGTATATTTATATTCTGTATATGTCTTTTGCTTATGTTTCTTCCTGTGTCCACTATCACCTCTATCTTTCCATTTCCATACACATATTTTTCATTATTTGGAACTACGCATTTTCAATAGGGAAATTTCTATATTGGAATATTTTTTGACATGGGAAGTAGTGCCATACAAATTGAGTGAGCTGGGGAACTCCACATTTTCAATTTAGATTTATTCTCTGAAAGAGAGGTTGGCAAATGTTTTCAGTGAAGAGTTAGTAAACATTTTAGGCTTTACGGTCCATAACAATAACTCTGTTGTTGTAGCACAAAATCAGCCATAACAAAATGTAAATCTACGGGCATGGATACGTGCCAACACAATCTTTTTTTTTTTTACAAAATACAGATGGTGGGTTGTATTTGGTCCATGAGCAATATTTTATGGGCATGGATACATGCCAATACAATCTTTTTTACAAAATACAGATGGTGGGTTGTATTTGGCCCATGAGCAATATTTTGTTGACTCCTGCTCTATTGTACAGTTGTAGACAGGAGGCTCTTACCAAATAATGATGAGGACAAGTATTACAACTCTTCGGTGCAGATGAAGTGCAGTGAGTGATAGCTTGTTCCTTAGTTGATTGTCTATCACAAGAATGGATGCTGCTAAGTTGGCAGAGATTGTGCTGTTACTTGATACTGATTCCACTACTGTCCATATGACCTATCGAGCACTGATACTTTATCACTCTATCTCTCTTCCTGGACATTTCTCTTCATTTCTTCTTCTATTCTCAGATGTAACAATTGTAATACATTTTTGGCAATTGCCAACCTCTCTTTTGATTTTCTTTTTTGTCTATGTTTATGGACTACATTTATGGACTAAGTTTTTAGGCGGGCTTTTAGAATTTATAAAAATGGTTATCCTTCAAGAAAGTTACTCTTAAAAATGTGAAATTGATCTGGCTTCTAAATTATTGTTGCTATACTTAGTTTTAATAAATCTCTTCAGAAACTAAATTTATCTATTTACTTTTGGCTGTATGAAAACTGTGCACAAGAAGTCAATTCTTATGTTCAGTGGGTGCATGGTCTTAAAGTAAAAATACAAACAAACTGGTCATGGTGGCTCACGCTTGTAATCCTAGCACTTTGGGAGGCCGAGGTGGGTGGATCACGAGGTCAGGAGTTCAAGACCAGCCTGACCAAGAAGGTGAAACCTCGTCTCTACTAAAAATACAAAAATTAGCCGGGCATGGGGACGGGTGCCTGTAATCCCAGCTACCCAAGAGGCTGAGGCAGAGAATTGCTTGAACTCGGGAGGCAGAGGTTGTGGTGAGCCGAGATCATGCCACTGCACTCCAGCCTGGGGGACAGAGTGAGACTCCATCTCAAAAAAAAAAAAAAAAAAAAAAAAAAAATACAAACAAAAATGAAAACATCTAAGTGCAAAATACTTGTTTAGTTATATGATCTTATTCTTTAAACCTTTCGGTTCATTCATTCAACAGACAAGTTTAAACATTGGTAATATGGGGGTGAGTAAGATAAACAATGTCATTCTCAAGGCAATAACTTATTTTCTCCCAGACTTACATGTTATTGTGAATATTTTAATGTTAATTACAATTCTTCCCCTATCTTCCTACAACCACCCCAGACAGACCAAGAAGTGGGACAGGGTAAGAAAAATAGTAAGAAAAGAGAGCTTAGATAATTTTATTTATAATATCATTAAGGATTCATTATAGTTTTTTGCTCATATGAGAAAAGGAGCTTTTAATGCATGCAAATACCCACTTCAACTCCCTTTTTAATAAGTATTTTATTTTATAAAGTTTGGCTAGAGTTGTTATACGATATCTGTAGTATATATTTATTTATATTCAAAGTGTTTATGATATAATATTACATTTAAAATTTGTTTACATTAGATACTGATTTTTTAAAATAGAAAATATGACCTTCAGGTAGTTTGATCAGAATATTTGAGTGTAAACTTTGCCAAAGGATAACTTATGTAAATTGGTGAGGATTATTCACTTGGTGTGTAAAAAACATGCAGTAGTAGCCAAAGGTATTACCTTTTATTTTGATTTTTGTGTGTGTATTTTTTGTCCAAAGAATATAAATGTATAGAAGAGATATAGTATTTTCCGTAAAAATTTGGGGGAGATTCATGGTTCACACTATTTAAAATTTTTTTTCTTTGTAAAATGTTGAGTGTTTTTACTATAATAGTATCTCTAAGCTTGGATACACTCCTTACTTTTCTGTCTGTATGGAAAAAGCAAAAGGAATAAGAAACCAAAGTTTATTGTGGGAACTGAGGTTAAGAGAGGCATAACTATCAGCATTTACACAATTAATAAGTTATAGTGCTAGGACACAACTCCAAATTTGTCAGACTAAAATCCATGCTCTTATCCATATATCACTTGCTACTATGCCAACACATTTTATCTTCAGATAATTTAATAAATGTAAATCTTTTTTCTGGATAATTCATGTCTTACAAATCACAATTTTTTATATGTCAGGTTGTTTTCTTCCAGCAAATACCATCTAGAAATTTGTTTATTTCAGTTTTTCAATGGCTATATTTATTAATGTATTCAACTAATATTTACTGAGCTGTAGGGGAAAATAATATAAATTAAACAGACAAAATGTCAAACCTCATGAATTATTTCCATATCAAAACTTTGTTGGCCTCTGTGAAATAGTCACTGTGATCGCTTCTCGGCCTTTTTGCTAAGATCAAGTGTAGTATCTGTTCTTATCAGTTTAAAATAATCACTGTGGGAAGTTTTACACCTATTCTGGAGATGTGTCTATCACTCAAAATATTTTGGGAATGCATCTCTTTCACAATTTTCTAAACAGTTTTCTCTTAATCTTCACCAAATCCTAAACGAGAAGTGTTTGCTCTTAGGGTATATATTTTAATTTTAAAACAACTAAACATCATCCCAACCTAAAGGCAACAAATTAGTTACATAGTAAGTTAAGTAATTTTTTTTCCACTGGGTTACCCAACACTTTGTCTTGCTCATTAAGATTATAGATTGAAATATGATAGCTGTTTTCTTTGACTTTTAATGTCAATCTAATAGCAGTTCTCTTAATAAATTCTATTTTATTCCAGAAATGAAGGGCGGAATTCTTGGGCTACCATTTCATAAACTTCCTAATTCAGATTTGAAGAGAAGCAGTCATATTTTTCAGTCACATTTTAACATAGTGTCGCTGGACTGTAGACATGTCTTATATATTTACTTGGTCTGTGTCTGAGTGGGGAAAAGGATAGGAGACGTAACATACAAATAAAGAAAGGAAAAAAAAAATCCCAAAGGGATTACAGTGTTTTTCCTGAGCTGTTAAGAGACTGATCACATATATAATGTACATTTTGAGCATTTCTTGTCTCATTTATACTTTTCCTTATGATTGGGTATGACCTCACTCCATTTATGCTCAACTCTAATTTTATCCAACATTCCTGATCTTTCCTGTTGTAATAATGTTGGGTCATTTAAATTCTGCACTACAGAATTGTTATTTGATGTACCTTTCTCTCTATTAAATATAAGATCCTTAAAAACATGCTTTGTACGTTTCATTGATTATTGTATCCCATAAAGCCTCATCACAATAAATATCAAATGGGTTGGGTGAGATCACTTATGCAATATAATCCCAGCACTTTGGGAGGCCAAGGCGGGATCCCTTGAACCCAGAAGTTCGAGATCTGCCTAGGCAACATAGTGAGACTTCATCTCTACAAAGAAAAGAAAAATAAAATTAGCTGGGTGTGGTGGTACACACCTGTAGTCCCAGCTACTTCTGGGACTGAGGCAAGAGGATCTCTGGGAGAGGTACAGGCTGCAGTGAGTCCTGATTTTGCCACAGCACTCCAGCCTGGGTGACAGAGTGGGACCCTGTCTCCAAAAATAAAATAAAATAAACTAGGTTAAATTTTTGAGAAGAACAATTAATATCAAATGAGTGAATGACGAATGTTTGAACAGAAGAGATTATATATGAGACAAATTTACAGCGTTGGTTTGCAATTGTGTTTATAATTCCACAAGGAACAAAATCAGGGATATATAAGAAAATATCTGCTTTAGTCAGGGAGGAAAAAATAAAGAATTAAGAAAAAGAGTCCTAAAAGTTTAGTTACTAATGAACAGAATATTCATTATGCATTGGAGTGTATCTGAGATTTTTGCAAGAAGGAGGATGTTAGCTAAGAAAATTGTATTTGAAGCTCATAAGTGCTTTAAAATTCTTATACTTACGGGAATATTAAGCTCTGAAATGCTAAAGACAGTTACATGTTTTATACTCTGTAGAAAGGGTTTCTATCATAAAAATAAAAAAGAATAATTCTGTATTTAAATTTTTTCATCATTAAATATGATCACATTTCAACTTATAATTTTACAGGTACCTACAGAATACTGGACATACGGATTCAGAATCCATAAGGCTTTATCACCTTGAATCAAGGATTTATTTGATATCATCCTCGGTCTTTACTTCCTATCAAGTAACATTGTTTTGAAAAATAGAGTTAACACATTTGCCATAAGGGAGTTTTTTTTTTTTTTTTTAAATACTTCGCATACTCTCCAATGCCCAAAAATAGCAAGGTGGTAAAAAGAGAATTAGATGATGATGTTACTGAGTCTGTCAAAGACCTTCTTTCCAATGAAGACGCAGCTGATGATGCTTTTAAGACAAGTGAACTAATTGTTGATGGCCAGGAAGAGAAAGATACAGATGTTGAAGAAGGATCTGAAGTCGAAGATGAAAGACCAGCTTGGAACAGTAAACTACAATACATCCTGGCCCAAGTTGGATTTTCTGTAGGTTTAGGAAATGTGTGGCGATTTCCATACCTATGTCAGAAGAATGGGGGCGGTAAGTAATCTTTTTAAGTGATAAATTACTGTAGTAAATTGCAATTGGGTTTCTCAAATAGCTCCTATTATTGCTGTTTCTCATTATTTTTGAAACTTTCAATTTCATTGTAAAGCTAGAGAAACCCACTTCTTTGTGGGAAGTGAGCCCAGATATGTTTTCAGATTACGTTTCCACAGGAGCAGATGGGCTTGCTGTGAATGCTCAGGGATTGCTTAAGGGTAACACATTCTCAACTTCTTTCTCCGGAAGCTTATTAAACAACTCTGAATAACTGAGTGAAACTTTTCTTGCATCGTTTGTGCTTGTAAATTATTCCCTTTGAAGAATAACCTAAAGCTTCTGATATATGACAATACTGGTGAAGGAAAACAGAGAATTTTCTCTCCGTGATTTATTAATTCTTAATTTTAAGTTGCCTCATTCTTCAAAAAATACAAAATGATATGTAACTTAGAATAATTATAATCTTCAAATGCTGATGAGAACATTTAGATCCCAGCAGAAGGAATGTAAACAGATAATACAATGCTAGACATTCTTCATTCTTAGGCATTTTATGCATTTCCTTTCCAGTTCTATGGGGGTATTTTGGAACAATGTTCCATTTCAAAGACAACTTTAAAGAAATTAGCAACCTTAATTTTAAACAAAATTATCTGCAACATCATTGCTATTCTTGCTATTAATATTTACATTTGTACTTATAAAGGCTTACTTAGCAAAATTATCTTAGAAGTCTAGGGAAAAAACTTTACAAAGGGGAAAATTGTTTACATATGATGCTAATTCTATAGTACACCAAAACCAAACTGAATTTAATTTAACTAACATTGGATTGAAATGTTATTATCTATGTATATGAAATATTATTATTTATGTACACGTACATGCTGTTAAAATAAGTGTGGCTGAAAATAAAATATTCCATAAGTCATGCATTTCAGGACACAAAGTATATAAAGAATATTTTGGTATTTGATTCTAGTTTGTGATAATTTTATTGACTGGACAAAAATATGGTTTATTTTTAATGTGGTTGTAATCTACAAACCCTACATCAAATAAAATAATAAAACCCATGCGTATGTAAATTTTTTCCTGGCCACTGAAACATGAAACTCTAAGATGTTATGGTGACAAAATATGTTTAAGATATCTTTTAGTTAATTCAAACAGGCACAAAACAAAAGGTTTGGAAAAAGTAGTCCATTTGGCAAATCTGCCTTAGAGGTAAAGATCGAACGTAGAGTCAGTGACGCACTGTGCATCCCTATACTGAAAATCTCCTTAGCTAGCCAGTAACCTCACACATGAATTATTTATTAAATCAGCTGTAAGCAACTATGTACTATCCTGCTTTTTGTTTCTCACAAATCATTCCATTTGCCAAGACTAGCAGAATATCAATTCTGGTTTTAAGACTTTTTTGCCTTGTAAGTCGTATTGACCACACTATTAAGGAGGATAGCTGATTTGGCTGAAAAGTCAGGTTGACTTCCATTTAGTACAATTTCTGTCTTGCTGGAGAGTGCTAAAAGATTTTATATGTAGTAATTGGTTCTTAGCACAAATGGCTCCTCCTTCTTATTTCCATATATTAAAAAAGTCAAAATATCTTTTCTAGTATTATTTCTTTTCTACTAAATGGAAATACTAGAAAGCAGTAGTGTACATATTATAAAATACCAACCGATTTTTCACTTTAGAATGGTTGTTACAGTACCAAAGATTGTACTCACCATTCAGTATGGCATTGAGTCTTCTAATTGTTGGAGGAATATCTTCTGACTAAACAACCAGAAGATAGTCCTCTGCCTCAGGCTATCAAAATCTTATTCATGAATCACTTAAGCACTTTTTGAGTAATAGAAAAAAAAGGTAATAGAGTCAATATAAAGTTTATTTGCCTAGTGATATTATCCTTTTAAAACACAATGGTTAGGCGAAGTAGGTGGTATAGTATAGAGACTTCCAGATCAGGTTTTGAAGTCAATTTCACTGTTTGAAGCCTGGTTCTTTTACACACTACCCATGTGACCTTTCACAGGCTACCTCATTTGTTCAGGCTTAGTTTCCACCCTGTAAAATAGGGTTAATAATTTTATCTATCTCCAAGGATTCTTATAAGGGATACATTAATAGCTACAGGTAATGTGCTTAGAAATATGGCTGGCAAATAGTACATGTTCAAATATATGTATTTAAAGCGTAACACATTTATTAAATCGTAGTCTTTCATGACATGGGAACTTTCAGAAATGAAGACCCAAAGACTCAGGGAAAACTGTTTTTTTTATTTTTATTTTTATTTTTATTTTTATTTTTATTTTTTTCTGAGACCGAGTCTTGCTCTTTTGCCCAGCCTGGAGTTCAGTGGCGCAATCTCTGTCTGCTCACTGCAAGCTCCGCCTCCCGGGTTCATGCCATTCTCCTGCCTCAGCCTCCGGAGTAGCTGGGACTGCAGGCGCCCGCCACCGCGCCCAGCTAATTTTTTGTATTTTTGGTAGAGACAGGGTTTCACCGTGTTAGCCAGGATGGTCTTGATCTCCTGACCTCATGATCCGTCTGCCTCGGCCTCCCAAAGTGCTGGGACTACAGGCATGAGCCACCGCGCCCAGGCAACTGTTTTTATGCTTAGATTACCTGAAGTATAGGCAGCCATATAGAAATGTGATTGGACAAAAGGGTAGATCTAGTGAGAATAGACTAAAGGAAGCAAACCCAGCAAGTCCTGTCTGTTCAGATTTTTCTTGGCCTCTCTGAGTGGCATTCCTTCCTCCTGGATATGAAACAGGACGTCTCCGGAATGAGGATCTTCAAGGGAGAAGGGAGAAGATGACCTTTCTAGGTTTTGTGGCTTGCTTTGGGGAAGAGGCATTCTAGTTTCTATGACCCACCTTGAGGGGAAGAAATCTTGTGTCTGTGACTTGCTTCAGGGACAAAAAAAGAGTGGGAGACAGGAGTAAAGAAAAAGGCCAGGAAGCCTTGGCTTCCGAGGTCCTTCCAATTTCCTTTAGTTCAAGGTATCCAGCATGCCAACGTGCCACGCTTAAAAGAAAAATTATTTCAATAGATTTTGGAGTAGAAGTGGATTTTTGTTACATAAATGAATTATATAGTGGTGAATTCAGAGATTTTAATGTACCCCTCACCCAAGTAGCATACATTGTACATAATATGTAGTTTTTTAACCGTATCCCCCATCCCAATTTTCCCCTTCTGAATCTCTAAAGTGCATTACATCATACTGTATGCCTTTGCATACTTACAGCCTAACTCCTACTTATAAATGAGAACATAAAGTTTTTGGTTTTCTACTCCTAAGTTATTTCACTTAGAATAATGGCCTCCAGCTCCATTCAATTTAATATGAAGGGCATTATTTTGTTCCTTTTTATGGCTGAGTAGTATTCTGTGGTGCATAATATCACCTTTTCTTTATCCACTCATTAGTCGATGGGCACTTAGGCTGGTTCCACATCTTTGCAATTGTGAATTGTACTGCTGTAAACATATGCATGTAAGTGTCTTTTTTTTGTTTTTGTTTTTGGCTTTTTTTTTTTTTTCGACAAGGTCTCACTCTGTCACCGAGACTGGAGTGCAGTGGTGCGATCTCAGCTCACTGCAACCTCTCCCCATCTCTGGACTCAAGAGTCAGTCTTCCCACCTCAGCCTTCCGAGTAGCTGGGACCACAGGCGCGCAGCCCACGCTCAGCTGTTTTTTTTTTTCCTTTGTTTTTTGTATTTTATTTTATTTTTTTAGTAGAGACGGGGGGCGTCTCACCATGTTGCCCAAGCTGGTCTCGAACTCCTGAACTCAAGCGATCTGCCAGCCTCGGCCTCCCAAAGTGCTGAGATTACAGGCATGAGCCACCGTGCCCAGCCTCAAGTATCTTTTTCATATAATAACTTTTCTTCCTTTGGGTAGATATCTAGGAGTGGGCTTGCTGGATTGAATGTAGATCTACTTTCAGTTCTTTAAGGGTTCTTCATACTGTTTTCTATAGAAGAATTTGAGATAGAAGAAAAGTCTAAGTATCCAACAGCATGTCACCCACACATGACTGGAAAAAAATCCCTAATGAGTTCAGTCATAATTCTTTCTCTCTCTCTTTTTTCTTACTCATTCACATGCGTATAAAAAATCCATTCATAATCTAAGATTTGATGCAGATGTTAAAATTCACTTTCAGTCTTTGGGAAAAACATTCAGGTCAGCAGTTCCTGAATGTTACTAATCATTTTAGAATTAGAATTTTGTTTTCTAAGCTCATGCATCCAATTTTTACATTGTATATGTAGTTTTGTTAGAATCAACTAAGAATGAAAGACTGAAAATCAGTCATAGAAAGGTTCAGATTATGTAGCAACCACTATGTAGGGAAATGCCTGGATATAATCATTATTACAGAGATAAACAGATGCTGAGATAAATAATTTGAAAAAATCCATTATTTCACTGCTTCAGCTGAATACAGTTACTCACTATGTATTTGTGTTCCACTAAATATTCCATTAAGACGATTCGAATAGCTTCAAAAATCTATTCAGTGCCATTAAACATATGATAAATATGTAGGAAATGTATAATAAAAGGCTCTTTATAGAAAATAGGAATTAGTTACCATTGATTGTAAGACCATTACATTTAACAGTATCTAGTTGGACAAAACTGCAGATTAAAAAATTGAATGTAAGAAGTTTAGCTAAGAGGTCATTTAATAATAATTTGCACATGTAGCCTCATGTAGGAACGACCTCCACAGGCTGAGGTGGGAAGATCCCTTGAGCTGGGTAGTTTGAGAATGCAGTGAACAGTGATCACACCACTGTACTTCAGCCTGGGTGACAGAGTGAGAGCCTGTCTCCAAAAGGAAAGAAAGACACAAAGAAATGAGTAAAGGTTTCACATTCATCTTTTTATAATTCAGTTAATAGAATCTTGTATTAACATTGTCAAACTATTTAGGTACCTTTTGAAATCACTAGTCATAGTCATATGTCTTAATTTGTGATTTAACTAAAAAATACTTTTTAAAATATGGAAATTTTATTACAAGGATAATAACATATACATTTTTACAATAGATATTAAATGTTTTAATTTCTTAATGACTCTCACTACCTTTTCTGATAATTTTGGAAAACAAAATCTATTTGTGTACTTCTTTTATGTAGTATTTATGGGAAAAATGACATTTGTCTCTGGTAGAAGTTATGTTGCTGTTTTTTTTTTTTCTTTTTCAGTCTAAGCAGACGTTTCTTCTTCCATGATGTTATTTTATTTGGAAAAAAAAGTCAACGTTAATGCCATAAAATCTCATTCACTCTAATTTTTCTGATTTAGAATGCATTATTTCAATGAGTTTGTATAAATTTTAATAAATGAGTTCATAAACATTGTGTGAATAAGATTTCTAGGAGTTTGTGAAACCTGCCCCAGAAAAGAATGAATTTTAAATAATCAATTATTTTTATGGAAAATGAAACTGTTTTACTCTTTAAATAAAT
The DNA here is from genome assembly GCF_000001405.40 of Homo sapiens. Classification (NCBI taxonomy): domain Eukaryota; kingdom Metazoa; phylum Chordata; class Mammalia; order Primates; family Hominidae; genus Homo; species Homo sapiens. The sequence goes on along the minus strand of NC_000012.12, from coordinate 84,886,317 downwards.
TTAAGCTAAAGCTATTCATTAATATTCTTAATTTTATCCTAATTATTTTATTATCAGAAACTCTTTGTAGAAATCAAATTCAAGTTTCAGAATCTAGAAAGTGCAAAGTAATGAAATTGTGTCTTCTTCAGAGCTCTCCATAATTGCACTATATAGTAATTCAAATATTATCTTTAATGGGATAAACTGAACTAGTGTATTTTCTACTGTATTGAAAATATAATCTATTTTTTGTTGTTGTTTCTTTAGGTGCATATCTTTTACCATATTTAATACTACTTATGGTAATAGGTATTCCCCTTTTTTTCTTGGAACTCTCTGTGGGTCAAAGAATTCGGCGAGGCAGCATTGGTGTATGGAATTACATAAGCCCTAAACTGGGCGGGATTGGATTTGCAAGTTGTGTAGTAAGTTTCCTTTTGTTGGTGTATGCTGTAATCTTTATAGGGTTTCAAATTATATAATTAACATTTAAATGAAACTTTGGAGTGTGTGTTAATAAACAACTCTTTTACTATGTTTTAGAAAACGTTACTGGCATATGGATTAACTATAAATATTAATATAGCTCAATGTTGTTAATGCCTGTTCTAAGTCCTGAGAAAGACATTAACTTTTTAGAAAAGATAATGTGTCCCAAATAAATAATAAAATGAAGAGGATTTTAAAATGTTAAATAAAATTTTATGCATTTGATCTCATTCTTTTAATGGAAGAGGTATGAGAGGTTTAATGGGATATCATTTTATTTTGCAGGTGTGCTATTTTGTAGCTCTCTACTACAACGTCATCATTGGCTGGAGTTTGTTTTATTTTTCTCAGTCTTTTCAGCAACCCCTGCCTTGGGATCAGTGTCCTTTGGTGAAAAATGCTTCACACACTTGTAAGATATGTATAATACAGTGTTTTGGTATTTAAGCATTATAAGAGTGGCAAAGGTACAAGCTTTCAAGATTTTTTTCTTTTTAAAATAATGTAGAAACATCATTCAAAATTATCATTATAACAGACTTTGCTCACATTCAGGATTGACATACTCTTAGAGATAGACTTTTGGGACCATCTAATTTTTTTAGCTCTTTCCAAGTTACTTTACTATGCCCTAAGATATTAGGGTAAAGTATTATAAGCCTTCACTTATTAACTTTGATAATCTTTATTTTGTATGCCCTGATTGATGCCTTACATTTTCATTAAAACTAACAGAAAGGGGACAGAAATAAGAATTTGAATGAAAATAGTTGCTTTTATGTCTTTGGTTCTGTTGTTTCATACTTTTCCCATCATTTTTTTAAATCCCATAATATAATATAAATATTATAAAGAGCAGTCACCTATAGTAGTGATGTCTAGTAAACATAGATTGTAATGCACAGATATAGTTTATATTTTTCAAGTAAACATGTTTAAAGAAAGTAAAAAGAAATAGATGAAATATTTTACTTAATCTATTATATAAAAATACTATTTCAATATATAATTACTCTAAACATTATTAATATAATAATTCACAATAATTTTCTTATACTGAATCTGAAATCTAGTTCAAATTTCACATTTGTAACCCATGTCACTTTAGATTGGCCCCATTTCTAAAGCAACATGTGGCCAGCAGCTAGCATATTTGACAATGCTTACCCAGGGAGTCAATCCCATAATTCCAAGGGTAGTAGGGGTGATAAACCTGATTTGTTTAAATTACTTTGATAAGGGGTTGGGTGCGGTGGCTCACTCCTGTAATCCCAGCACTTTGGGAGGTCGAGGCAGGTAGAGCCCCTGAGGTCAGGAGTTTGAGAACAGTCTGGCCAATGTGGTGAAACAACATCTCTACTAAAAATACAAAAATTAGCTCGGTTTGGTGGCGGGTGTCTATAATCCCAGCTACTTGGGAGGCTGAGGCAGGAGAATCACTTGAATCCGGGAGGCAGAGGTTGCAGTGAGCCGAGATCGCACCATTGCACTCCAGCCTGGGCGACAGAGCAAAACTCGGTCTCAAAAATAAAAATAAAATAAAATAAAAATAAATAAATAAAAATTACTTTGATAAGAGGTTCACATATTCTTACTGCAGGACTGCATAAGAAATATTTAACAGGATACATTTCTGTTTGTTGCACAGTTGAATTTTTATTGTTCATTGTGAATTTACATGCTGCTATACAATGGTAGTACTTTTCTAGGAAGCATTAAGAATTCACTTACAGGTTTATTGGAAAAGAAATTGTCGCATTGCTCTTTATATTCTGAAATAATTGTGTGTTACTTTTCTTTCTACAGTTGTAGAACCAGAATGTGAACAAAGTTCTGCCACCACCTATTACTGGTACAGGGAAGCACTGAATATTTCAAGTTCCATTTCTGAAAGTGGGGGCTTAAACTGGAAGATGACCATCTGCTTGTTGGCTGCCTGGGTCATGGTTTGCTTGGCTATGATCAAAGGCATTCAGTCTTCTGGAAAAGTTAGTATGTTAGAGCCCTTCCTCATTCTGCTAATCACCATTTCTGGATTCATCCCTCTCTCAAATTCTGTTACAGATTTCTGTGGGCAAATCACACATAACACTTCATTCTAGGTAGTTAAATATTAGTGAAAAGTGACACTTCAAAAGTGTGCTTACATTTTTAAAAAGACAAATAAAAACAGTGTTTTATAGTGAAATCTAAGGTTAATTATAATCTTTCCTTATTTCAACAAGATCTTTAAAATTTTTGTGAATACTTAAAAGTCCTTTCTTTTTGCCCTTTATTCAATTAGTCCTAATGTTTCAGTTCTCTAATTACCAATTAGTTAAATTATGGAAATTGGGGAAAGTGGTAAAATGAGTAATTCATTCATTTTGTTTGTTTGATATCATTTGTTTCTCTCTGCTGTAGGTGTTCTAAGGAATAGCTGCATAAGACATTTTGAAATAATGTAATGTGAAGTGTTTCTTAAAGCTCTGAACATCATTAAGTAGTTAATAATAATTCCAACAAGGAATTCAGAGTAATGTAAAAGACTAAATATCATTCCTTCTAAGGCAAATTGAAAATTAGAATGGTTGTGGTTTAAAAAGACATTAAGTGAATTCTAGGTAGCTTGTTTGTTATTATTTTTAAAGGACGCTCTAGGAAAGTAATTGCTATTCACTATTTTGCTTTCGTATTACTTTTTTTTTTTTTTTTTCATTATCACAGCCATTGTTCTAAAGCTCTCCACATCTCTTGGCTGGATCATAGCAAGAATTTACTGTTGGCTCTTCTCTCTGCCGTTTAACTGTCCAGCTGTGCTATTTTCCTTTTCAAAGTATAACTGATTTCAGGCTAACTTATTACCACTCATCATCATATACTAGCAGGAATGGCAATAGTAGTAGTAGTAGCAGCAGCAATAGTAGAAGTAGTCATAATAACAATAATAATAAATGATGATAAAGATGTTTCTGACAAGAATTAGGGTAAGAACAGTAATTGAAGCCAATTATTTATTACAAATGTATTTTGCTTTGGGTACTGTGATAACTACTTTTTATACTTTATCCCATTTAATTATAAAAACCACTCTTGAGAAGTAATTTTTATTTTCAGAACCATTTTACAGATTTAAAATAAACAGGTTTGAGGAATTAGTTTAACTTATCCAAAGTTTCGTGGCTATTAAGTTCTAGTATTTGGAGTCAAATGCAAGTCTGTCTAAATCTAGAGCCCATGTTCTTTAACTGCAACACTATAATGTCTCACCCCGTCCTAGTCCCACCAATTAGTCAACTCTTTTAGGGCAGAAGTCTGTCTAATTCATCTTTGCTTCCTGTTACTTTATATTTAATTAAAAATTTTAGTGACTTTTTAACTTGTAAATTGTAGCTGATTTTACATTTATCTTCCTGAAGGAAACTCTGTATCATTTTGTCTTTTGAATTTGTGAATATACTTGTTAACACATCTAAATATCTTTAAGTCTTTGGCAATGTTATTGTATTATATGACTAAATAACTTCGAATTGTTCAATTGTGTATGTCTTCCACTATGTCAGAGCCACATTCCCGTCACATTATAAATGAAGGAGTGGATTCTTAAATAAGACCTAACCATATTTATATGATTCCTAACATAATATCATTTGGTAGAAAGAAAACCAACTGTGGTCATCCAGAGAAGCTCAAAAACTCTTGTACTCAGGTTCTCTTACTACCACGTTTTGTTTCTGTTTCTTCTTAGTCTGTGTCTTAGCATCACTTAAAGAACTATTCATCCTTTTCTTATCACAGAATCTTGGGGTTGTTCTTCTCATGTCATGTAGTGTAAATTTATATAGAAAATGTAATACAATTTATTTAGTACATACATTTATTATTTTAATGAGAATGCCTCAGGAAAAGACTAGTATTTGGGCAATATTTGAAGAAAGAATTTAACAGGCACTGATGGGGAGAAAGCTAGCTGTAGGTAATGTGAGCAAAGATGTGGAAGCCAAAATTGTCACAATTCCTCAATCTGAAACAATGAGTTAAATATAATAACAATGACTTTATGAGGAATTAAAGGTTAAGCTTTGTGTTTACCTACTAAACAGAAAATGCCTCCAAATAAACAGTGTCACAAGTACAGAAGAGAGAAATATTGTTTAAGGCTAGCACATGGAAAAACAACTTAGAGGATTTAGCAGCTAAAAGAAGAATGAGTCAGCTGGTGATGTGCTTGGTCAAAACACACAGTCATACATGCATATACATATACCCCAAAATGCTAAGTGGAAACTGCATGAATTAAAAGAGGGGTATGATAGGGACATTGTCCTTTGGGCTAGGTAGGCACATATCAGTTGGACCACATCTGCAATACTGGATTTTACTGAAATCTTGTATTTTCCTTTTTATTATGAGAAATTTCAGCTCAGTGATCAAAGTCTTCAAATAGTTAAACCAAAAGAAGAATAGGGCTGCTTTGTGTGGCCATAGAGAGCAAAACTATGATCAAATAGTGGGTATTATGGAGGAGGTTGTGATGGTGGTAAGCCTTCAAAGAAAGAAAGGCCTTTCAAGAATCAAACTTGATAATAATGAAATCAGTTGCCTCAATGGTAGAGAGCTCAGCATCACTGGAGGTGGTCACACAGAGGTAGCATGTGCCCTAGTTACAGAATCTATTAAGGGGATGACTGTCTCAAATATGTAGGACAGAAATGAGAAGCCCCAAGCTTGCTTTTAACTCTAAGGTAGTATTTTCTACTCTGACTACTTTCCTGTTGTTACTACTACTATGCTAAATACTATGCATACATTATCTTGTTTATTCTTTCTATCAGCTAGATAATTTGCATATTTTATCCCCATTTTACTGCAAAGTTGACAAGCTCAGGGAAAATAAATAGTTGGCCAGAATTAAGCAACCAATACATGATAGACAGGGCTAAAACTGGGCTACAGAATTTTCAAAAAGAATGATACATTCTGAAGGTATGTTTATAATAAACATTTTTCATATGTAAAACAATGGTTTTTGTTTTCGATTTTTTAAACACTTTAGTAAAATGAAAATGTTTTATACAATCTTTTGAAAGATAAAATAGTCTCTCTTACTAACGTACTTGCTTTGACAGGCATAATAGTTGTCAAGGCCCGGGGGAGGGGTCTTAAAAATCAGTCAAAGGAGCATGTTTCTTTGTATCATTTCCCAGTTTTAAAAATGTATACTTCTTGGACAATGTGTAATAATCATTCACCCATTCATTATTATTTTGAGCAAATATTTATTAAGCACTTACTATGTTCTAGACACTGATCTAGTTTTGGAAATACAACTAACAAGGTAAACAATGTGCCTGTCCTCATGGAGTTTCCATTTAGTGGCAGAGGCAGCAAACAATAAACAAATTTATAAAATAACTTCAAGTTATAAGACGTAACGCATGGAGAGAAGAAAGTGGTTGGTATAAATACAGTGAATAGGTTGAATTTAACTCATTTTAATAATATTATGCAAGTGGCTGTTTTGGTCTAATAAGATTAGAGCCATATGAGTGAATGCAAATAATTTGTGTTTATAAATGACACAGATATTTAAGTAACCTGCTGACTCCTAAGACACATCTTTTTAAATCATGGAATTTAAAAATGAAATATTTTGTCCTCTTACCTGCTCACAGAGGAATAAAATTGATGTGTTGCCTTCTTAATATCACTTAAATGTTTGAAATATTGACTTATTTTTCTCCATCTTGTAGGCTTGAAATGTTCTTGTAACTTATTAGGAAACTGTGTTAGAGTCTTACTGAATCCAGATCAGTGTCCTTAAGAATTTAAATGTTTGTTGAATTAATAAATGAAAATTGAAATGTCTGGACATATAATTAGAATATAATTTTCAAAATACTGCAGAATAACCATAAGCTTGCAATTTTAGGAATTGTGTGCAGGAAGAAAAACTCAAATTCCTGTAAATCCTCTCTCAATGAACAATATATTTGAATATCTGCTATTTGTCAGGCACTGATGGATATGCAAAGAGTAATAGGCCACAGTCTGTCCTCATGGAACCCACAATTCAATGAATGAATTGTGTACAAGAAGAAAAACTTAAATTCCTATAAGTTTTATCTTAATGTGCAATATGTTTTAGTATTATATTATTGTACAACCATATTGCAACATATTGTAATGATGATTAGAACATACTAAGTGGAGTAACAGAAGCACATACAAAGTGTGTGATAGTGGCCAGGCGGTGGCTCACGCCTGTAATCCCAGCACTTTTGGAGGCCGAGGCGGGTGGATTGCCTGAGCTCACAAGTTTGAGACCAGCCTGGGCAAAACGGTGAAACTCCGTCTCTACTAAAATACAAAAAATTGTCCGGGCATGGTGGCAGGTGCCTGTAATCCCAGCTACTCGGGAGGCTGAGGCAAAATAATCACTTGAACCCGGGAAGCAGTGGTTGCAGTGAGCCGAGATTGCACCACGGCACTCCACCCTGGGCGACAGAGTGAGACTCGGTCTCCAAAAAAAAAGAAAGTGTGTGATAGTGTAGAGTCAGCAATTGCAATTAAACTGGATTTGCAAGAAGGCTTCACGGGGGATGTAAATTTTGGAGTAGGGTTCGATGGTTGAAGAGAAGTTCACCAGCAAGTTCACAGAGAACTGTGTGTAGGCACAGACAACAGCATGTACAAAGCTCAACGACTGCTGAGTATTTCTGTGTGACTTTTGCATACAACTTGTGCAGCTTGTGGAAGACGAAGGATGATATGCAAGTTGACTGATGATATTGGAGGCTCTGTGGACTCTTGTAAAATGATGGGCTGTTAGCTAGCAAACAGTGTGGAACCTTTGAGGATTTTTAATAGTTCAGTGATAGCACCAGATTTCTAGAAAGATCGCTCTGGCAACTGTGAAAAATGGATTTCTGGGATGCAGAGGAAAGCTAACAGAATCTGGAGGCAAGATGAGCAGGAAACTGTTTTCATACTGAAAGGTGTTGTGCTATTGAGAGGTGAAGCAAAGGGACAGATGTGAGATTTCTGTGGTAGAATTAGCTGGGTGTGGTGATCAGTTGGTTTATGGGATTTGAGGAAGTGGGACATACTAAGGGTAGATTAGAGTATTTTAGCCTCGAATAATATGAGTACAGGAAGAATCTTTTCTTAGTACCTAATTAGAAATTATATTAAAAATATAAAGATAAAATATAAAATTAAAACAAAATTAAAAAGCATATTTTATTAGATAAAATCATAATCAGTCTATCTAGACTTTATAATGTATAATCTTCATTTTCACTTTTATATAAGCAGAATTAATGGAAGTCAATTATATTATTTATAAAGCAGTACATTTGAGTTTTGTTTAAAAACATAAAAAGAAGCTATTGTTCAAAAGTGAATCCATGCTTCTGGCTAGCCACAACATTTCTGAAGAAGAATCATAAAGGGGATTACTTTAATTCAAGTGAGATCAAGGCAACTGCCAAATTTAATGAATGCCAAAAGTACGCAGGGAGAATGAAAAAATCCATCCGAAAGCATTCTGATTTTTTAAAAAATCAAAAAATTTGAGTGAAGGATTAATCAAAGGATTAAACCAATTTGAAATTATTAAAAAATTATGTTCATTACAACCAATTAAGTTAAAATATAATTTATTTTTAAAATATTGTGTTCTAAAGTATGCTGGCATTTTATCCATATTTTTTCCTTAAGGTGTGCCATGTGTTTATATATGATTCTTAAGTGGGTAAAACTAGAGAGTGCCCCTTATTGTGTTGCCTTATATTAATGTTGTTTGTAGTTATTATTGAATTCAGTATCTTTTACCTGCCCGGAAGCATCATCTGCTATGGCACTTTTTCCTCCATTGTTCCAATTCTCCTTCCATTCCTTCCTTCCACAGATACATATGATAGAGTTACTATGTCAGCAACTGTGTTAGGTGTGTGAGATATGGTAGTAAACAGAAAATATCTTTACCCTTACTAGCTTATACCCTGTTAGAGGATACAAAAAATAAACACAGAAACACATAAATAAAATTTGAAAAGTGCTAAGTGCTCTAAACAACAACAACAACAAACCTAGGGTAATATCACTGAGGGTTGGCAGGGGGCAGATGGGAGAGAAAGGATAGAAAAAGGCATCACCTTATTTTGGGTGGTCAGGGAAGACCTCAGGGAGAAGATGAAGATGAGACTAAAATAGTAAGGAGGAGCAAGTCATCTGCAAATAAGGAAGAGGTGCTTCTGAAGGAAGGTGCCGCCCTGCATCTTAAGGCTGGCTGAGCTTGGTAGACTCACAGGATAGCAAGGGCCTGAGTGGCCAGAGCTCCATGGGAAGAGTGGTGGCCAGGCAAGCAGGCACTCTAGGGTAAGACTTTGCAGGCCAGAGGGTGGAATCAGCACTTCACTCCAACGACATTAGAAATTCCTGGAGTGTTTTAAGCAGGGTATGACATAAACCAAGGGGCAGCCAGCAATTCAGTTAGGAGAATATTATGGATAGTCCAGAACCATTTCTAGATGTTTGGCTTTACTAATGGGATGGAGGGTGGGGCCATTTTCTGAAATAGAGATGGGTGGGAATAGCTTTGAGGGAAATTCAGAAGTTTCCCTCTGGACCTGAAATATTTTAGAGACCTATTAGGCCTCCAGAGGAAGATGTCAAGGAGGCAGTGAATGTCTGAGTAGCACACTTCCTTTTCTATTATAAATATTTGCTGAACTGTTTAACAGTGAAAATTGCTGAAGCGGAAAGTAAAATCTTTACACGTTTGATTGTTTGGGTTCTGGAAGATACAGCATAGGAACAATACTGCATTGAAAGCTTTACAGAATCACAATGAAAATTTGGTTAAAAGAAAAAGAAATAGGACTTTATTTTGCTACTTAGAACAACAACAAAAAAGTAGGAATTCATTAGGTAGTTAGTGCCTGTTCATTTCTGTCTTAAATATTTCTTGTTTTATGAACTATAAGGAATCAACACTATTGAAGCTACACCATAGCTGATGGATTTTTTCAAAGGAGATAGTGTGTTTTAAATGTAAATTGTATCTCAAATAAAATCTTAAGGCTGAATCACGACTCATAAACCATTCTTAAAAAATGGCTTTAGAAGTTATTAATAGTTTTATTAATCCTGTCATGAAACAGTGACTGTCAAAGTACAGAAACTAACATATAAAATCTTATCTATAAAAAAATGGTCATTGTATCTCACTTATTTTTATTTTTATTTCTTTGCAGATCATATATTTTAGTTCTCTGTTTCCATATGTGGTACTTATTTGCTTCCTCATCAGAGCATTCCTTTTAAATGGTTCAATTGATGGCATTCGCCACATGTTTACCCCTAAGGTATGTACCATATTTCTATTTAAGGCTTATGATCATGAAAGCATTATGTTTATTGTTAAAATATTCTAAGTTATATTTAAGGAATAATTGTTCTAATGTATGTACATTAAACTTTTAAATTATAGTTGTTAACCAGTCTAGGAAAAACCAGCATTTTTTATGTATAATTATAGCCATTTATCTCCATTTTTTATATCCCATTTTGATTTTAGAGTAAGGCTACCACTATTTCAACTTCAAAAATCTCTCTTTTATAATAAATTTATTTCTAAGTTTTATACTGATTAGACTTCAGAATTTTTCAGTCTTCCTTAACTCTTTCCCCTTTATTTTAGTGGTTTTTAACCTTTTTGTGTCATGGATCCCTTTGAAAAAGTGACGAGGATTTTTTTTCCCAAAAAAAAAAATGAACATATTAATTTGCTTAGTGTATCTGGAAGTTGACTGATCATCTAGAATCCATGGACCCTAAAATAAGATTAAGAGCCCTAAAATACTCTCTCAGAGAAAATAAGTGTTTTCTTTTCTTAGTTAATTTTTTTGAGGTTTTGTAGTTTTGTAGCTTCTGGAAGAATATTTATAGTAATCAGCTTGTGAAGTTCTGTAACTTCTATAGATGCATATATATTTTAGGAAAATTCTCATTAGACTCCATCAAGGGCTCAGAACTTATAATCCATCATGCAACTTTGTAGAGCTAAACTCAACGGTGGGCCCACTTAACCTGGTTAATCATAAGTGTGGGCTTAATCATAATTTCTTATACTGCTTTAACAGGGACCACGTTTTTGATTCTCATATATATATATATATATATATATATATATATATATATATATATATATATGGTGCACCCCACTATTAGTTTGCTAATACTATCATAGGCAGACATTAAGATGAAACTGTCTAAAGATACGATTTCAAAATTAGTTTAGAAATTAAAAGTTATCTGAAGGATGAATGTGCAGGCAGCATTGTGCTGTGAGATTTGGGCATAAGGGATTAGCTTCTCTGGAATTCTTTGTCACTCCTGGCGGCTGCCTTGATACTGCGTAAAAGAAGCTGTGTTCTTTGTGTGTGTGGTTCTGAGTTGGTATTCATTCTGTAGTAGCAAAAATGCTGACACTGGTGTCTGGTTTTCTCAGCTACTTCAAAATTCCTGTTTAACATTTAGAGTTCTTGGAACTTCTCTGTGAACAACTAGTTAAGATTTACGAGTTTCAGCCACACTATAATTTAAATCTGCTACAAATGGGCCACACTTAATGACCAAAAATACTTATATGTATAATATTGAAGAAAATGTTTTCTGAGTTCAAGACAACCAAAATTCTGTGTGAATTTCTAGAATATATTCTCTTTCTAAACTGACAATTGCTTGTGACAAAATTCTAAACATTTGATTTAGCTAGATATTTTAGAATTTAAATGCTTATATGTAATAATTCTATATGGCCCCAGTACTGAAAACTGCAGCATGAATTAACATTTCTGACCTAGACTAGGGATCACTATTAAAATGTTAGTTTTCCTTCAGCTAACTTTTCATTGAGTGTTGATAAGACTCTATTACATTTCTGTAGGATGTGATACTCAATATGAGAAGTAATTGTAATTTTTAAAAATTTTACATTGTTTATGTAGGGGAGAAAGTACATAAGCACATCAAATACTTGTGAAACAGTGAGTGGAGATTTAGTTCAGAAACTGGGCTGCTGGTAATGTCTTTAGTTAATAGGTCTTTTCTGCCATCTAGTGGCTAAAGCAGAGATAGACAGTTGAGTGTATTTTAATAGAATATGATGTAGCAATGGTCAGTAAACAATGTGCATATGTTAATTGTTCATAAATTATGAAGATAATCATGATTATGTTTAATAAGCATATTTCATAGATTTTAATAACCAAAATTAGTTGAAGCAATACATCCTATTGTTTGAGAGAATATGGATTTTGGAATCTACCTATGTTCTTATTTCATCTCTACCTCAGAGCTGCTGTGTAAACTTAGGCAAGTTACATAACCTTCCTAAGAATCAGTTAATAGTGGCAACAACTTCGTGGGTTGTTGTGAGTACTAAATGAGTTAAACCATATAAAATGCTTACCGGTGTGTATGCCGCTATAGCTCATCTATGTTATCGGTTACTGAGCATTTTTAGAGTGTGGTAGGCACCGTGGTAAGTGGTACACTTCTTATTATTCTGATCTTTCTGAAGAAGCTGAAACTCAGAGAGGACACGCCATTTGCCATTGTTTGCACTATTTTAAAATTACTAAATGGCAGAATCAGAATCTGAAACTCTCTGTAGAATTCGTGTTCTTAGTCATGTTTGACATTGCTCTCAATAAAGGCAATTTGATTGTAATGGCAAAAAGAGATAAAATGCCAATTTAAACGCTATTATTACTGAAATCAAAAGGAACTGTTTATTAAGATCTGGGCCACACTTGGCTGATCTGAATTGTTTCATTTAAGTTTTGATTATATACAGTGATAATTATCTAAGACATAAAGCACAACTACATGAAATATCTGTTCAATATTTAATATCTGTTCAATGTCAGAACTTTGGATCTGAAAGAGTATCTTATAGACAATATAGGTGAATTTCTTCAATTTTCAAAGAAAAATCTTTTAGCAGACTTTTGAATGAATGAAGAATACATATGTGAATATGCAAAGTACAAATAGTTCAACTCTGCGAAGTTTATAATTGTTTTCTGCTTCGACCATTAGATTAACAGCAGAAAACACAAAACATGGAGTGTTAGTGAAGCAACTATTAACTTTTATTGGTAATTGACCTGTTTTGCTATGGAAAGAAAAAAAGACATAATGGGAAATGATTGAGGATAATTAATTTTTCTTCATATTCTCATTTCATATTTCCTTTGATATTCTTAAAATATTTAAAAACCACCATGTAAGTAGAAAATCCCCATGTACTTAAAATCTCCATGTAAAGGACTGATCAACTTTCTTACTCATAATTATTTGTTTCCTAAAAATAGATGTTTATGCTTAAGAACATATTATTTCCCGATTTAAATAAACTTTGGATGCATAAATATCATTGTATACTCCATAAACAGTAAATTCCATAAAAATTAATTATTCTGAAACATTATTTTGTAGCTGATTCTATTATGTTTATTTTTAAACAGCTTGAAATAATGCTGGAGCCCAAGGTCTGGAGAGAAGCTGCTACTCAAGTGTTCTTTGCCTTAGGTCTGGGATTTGGTGGTGTCATTGCCTTTTCAAGCTACAACAAGAGAGACAACAACTGCCACTTTGATGCTGTCCTGGTGTCCTTCATCAATTTTTTCACTTCTGTCCTGGCAACATTGGTGGTGTTTGCAGTTCTGGGCTTCAAAGCAAATGTCATAAATGAGAAATGCATTACACAGTATGAATATTAATTTCCATTTGCCTTTTTTCTTAGTTTTTATCTTGTTATTTATACTTTTATTGATACATGATAGCTATACATATTTATGAGATACATGTGATAGTTCGACACAAACATACAATGTATAATGGTCAAATCTGGGTAAATGGGATAGTCATCACCTCAAACATTAATCATTTCTTTGTGTTGGGAACATTGCTCATTCATTAGCTTATAATGGCATAGTCGTTCACAAACTATACACCAAAGAACTCTTATGTGCTCATTTGTATGTTGTTTTATTTTTCAGAAATTCAGAGACGATCATGAAATTTTTGAAAATGGGGAACATTAGTCAGGATATTATTCCCCATCATATCAACCTTTCAACTGTTACTGCAGAAGATTATCATTTAGTTTATGACATCATTCAAAAAGTGAAAGAAGAAGAGTTTCCTGCTCTTCATCTCAATTCCTGTAAAATTGAAGAAGAGCTAAATAAAGTTAGTAAGCCATGTTTGAGCAATAAAATAATTATCATTCACTTGAAATATGCATTATCCAGCAGACTCCCTTCAGGAAAAGGGCCTTAAAATGCCCGAAGAAGCTCTTAAAATGCCCGGAGAAGCTCCTGGGCATTATAAGTCCTTCAGAATTTACATTCTTAATTTTAGAGAATATGTTTTCTTAAATGGTAAAGATTTGCTTTATTTTAAAAAGTTATTTCATTGATTGAGCCACAATAATTTAAAATATGAATATAAAGTGATTTTCATCATAGAATGATGATTAGTCTGAAATCTTTCTTGCTATAATTTTCAATACAGAATTAGAATTATGGCTCTCATTTACACATACATGATTGCTTTGATGCATGAATAATATTTAAAATAGAAATTTTAATAGTTGTGTTCCACAAGTCATGATCAAGTTCTTTTTTTTTTTTTTGAGCCGTAGTCTCTCTCTGTCGCCCAGGCCGGGGTGCAGTGGTGCGATCTTGGCTCACTGCATCCTCTGCTTCCCAGGTTCAAGCAATTCTCCTGGTCAGCCTCCCAAGTAGCTGGGATTACAGGCACATACCACCACACCTGGCTAATTTTTGTAATTTTAGTAGAGACGGGAGAAGGCGGTTCACCATTTTGGCCAGGCTGGTCTCGAACACTTGACCTCATGATCTGCCCGCCTTGGCCTCCCAAAGTGCTGTGATTACAGGCCTCAGCCACCGTGCCCAACCGATGAAGTTCTTTTTCTTAGCTATGTTGTATTAAATAAGAAATAGGTCACCATTAATAAATGTCCTTATATTGGCTGCCACTGTCTCCTGTATGTCGAAAAGGAAAATATAATGGAGAAATTAGTCACTAATTATTTGCTTTAAGATAGTTAACTGTACTTGAGACTAACATAAAGAATCATGTGTGGATATTATTCATTAAAAAGTAAAGCCATCATTAATATAAAAACCTTGAATTCCTTAAGGAAATATTTAATTAATTACTAATGTACCGTTCAAAGTTTTTTTTTTTAATTCTCATCTGTCTTTATGAGACAACACAACTTGAAGTTTGGTTATAGGTACAGTTAGTTAGACAAAGTAAGTTGTTATTTTACAACTCAATATTTGTGATATTTATAAAATAAACTCACATTAATATTTGCAAGTAATTCAATTTCTTTCTGCCCAATTGGAGTATCTGTCTTTTTATTCATTTTGTTATTAGTTTTGACTGGAAATTCATTGTGTCTTCTGAATTATGCAAACCAGTATATCAGCCCAACTTTTTTTTTTTTTTTAATCAGGGAGGTAGGAATATCAGAAGTAAAAAAAGGTAAAGATGTAGGTTTTTTAAATTAAAAATTGGCTTTTTATAATCTACTTATTCTGTTCACATCCTTTTATTTTGCATTTGCAGTTTTCTCTTAAATCAAAACAAGTTTATTATTCATAGTGTATATGTATATATATATATAACAACAATTGATTGAGCCACTTTGAGGTAAGGTAAAACCAAATTTTTAAAATCTTTATATATGAGCCAGAAATAGTTGTATATATATATTTGTATTTATATATCTATGATAATATGTCACTATTCATATTCATAAGCTTTAACAAAACCAAAAATATTATGTATTCTTTAATATAGTTTTTCATTCTAGGAGCCTTGTGAAATAGTTAGTATATACAACACAATCGTGTACTCTGTTTATTAATTATAGGCAAAATTTCATTATTTGGATCTGCTTGATCTAATTAAATCCAGGTTCTGAGAATGACAACATGATTTATCAGGTTAAGAGCTGATTTGAGCATGTCTATTTCCAGCAGTCCTGGCCATTATTCAGAGATCTTTCCTCCTCATTGTAACTGACATATAGAGCCATTGTTTAATAATTACTCTGTACTAATGTTGCTATTTTGTGTATTTTGCAGGCTGTTCAGGGGACCGGCTTAGCTTTTATTGCCTTTACAGAAGCGATGACACATTTTCCTGCATCTCCCTTCTGGTCAGTGATGTTTTTCCTCATGCTGGTCAATCTAGGCCTTGGCAGTATGTTTGGAACCATTGAAGGGATTGTCACGCCTATTGTGGACACTTTCAAAGTGAGGAAAGAAATTCTTACTGGTGAGTTTTTTGTATTTGACTTTTCATTGAACAAATCCAGGCCATTTTATTCTTGGTGAAAGATTAGAGATGAAAAGTGGAAAGTCTTATATTTTGAGTTTTATTAATGTCTATTATCACTATTTATTATTGTATACATTGTATAATTTATTTTATTTTATTTTAATTGTATAATTTTTATTGTATGTATAATATAATATGGATGTTTTAATATAAATTATATTTTATCATTTATAATAAATATTTATTGTTATAATTCATTAATAGTAATGCATTATCAAGAATGACTGACACTAGAATAAAGTCATGGACTGTTTGTGTATAATTTTTATACAAGTCAAATAATCATAATTAGAGCAGTTCAGATGTGATATTCCTATCCAAAAAGTGCATAGCTGAAAATGATAAACCTAAATCCCGTTCTCATATACAGCAGCAGTAGTAATTTACTAGTAGTTAATGTCTCCAAGTAGAGAAGAAAATAAAACAATTTATCAATATGGATGGTAGTTAATAGGTCCAATTTACAAGTGATTATTAAAGTACCAGTTTAATGCATCATACTCCCATTTAAGGGCTATAAAGGATATAAAATAAATTATAAGAGATATACAAATATATAAAAAACTCTTCTCCAAAAACAATAACACTAAAATTAAAATCAGATTGCATAGATAAGACTTACAGCATGTAAAATACTGATAGCATAATGGATTTTACATATAAGAATTCAAAAGAGTCTAGGTCATCTAAATATACGATGGAACTGTCAGAGAAAGAGATGAAAGTTGAATTGGAAAGAGGAAGGATCTTCTCAAGGGTCAGAGGATAGCTAGTAAACATACATAAATGAAGATAAAGGCAACAATAAGAAAGCCAACCATACTAGAGTACAGAAACAATACTGGTAAGTGATGTAAAATAAGATTGGATACAAATTTTGTAGAGATGACCATGAATGCTGGGCAGTGGTGTGCAATTCCCCAAGGCTTTTTTTTTTTTTTTTTTTTTTTGAGACGGAGTCTTGCTCTGTCGCCCAGGCTGGAGTGCAGCAGTAGTGCGATCTCAGCTCACTGCAAGCTCCGCCTCCCGGGTTCACGCCATTCTCCTGCCTCAGCCTCCCGAGTAGCTGGGACTACAGGCGCGTGCCAACACGCTTGGCTAATTTTTTGTATTTTTTTTAATAGAGACGGGGTTTCACCGTGTTAGCCAGGATGGTCTCAATCTCCTGACCTCGTGATCCGCCCGCCTTGGCCTCCCAAAGTGCTAGGATTACAGGCGTGAGCCACCGTGCCCAGCTCTTTCTTAGCCATAAAAAATTTACTAATAATATATGTCTAAATAAGTCTCAAATATATACCTTTATCATTTGCTGCTCTGATAATTATGTCTGTATGTGTTTGTGCATGTGCATGTGTGTGCGTGTATAAAACAATTTAATTTCAGCAGTCTGTTAATATTGATAGCTATATATCCACAATTCAGCTGAACAGAAATGAGAAACTGCTTTATATTATTCAAGAAAGTGATTTCCACTTAATATGAAAATCCATATCCTGCCTGACATGCAGGCTAAAGTCATTTTTGTATTCTTATCCTTGCTCGCCATATCCAAACCGTCCCCTCCTGTAGTAAAAGGCTTGCAGGTTAAGGAAAAAGTAACAGTGTAAAGGGAAAATCACACAAAGTAGTATTTTCTAAGACCTTCTGGAAGACTTATTTGGAAAGAGCAAAGGGGAATGTACCCTCTTTCCCACTTCTTGTTTTTTGGGATCATACTGATACTTCAAATCGTAGTCGTGTTTGACCTCAATGAAATATTACCTCATTTTCTTTGGTAGGTGTGTTTACTTCTTTATGCAGTAAGATTTAGGCAAATGAATTACTCATTATCTTTTTCCCTCACATCTCCAGCAAAACTCTTACTGTCTGTACCACTTATAATGCACTTTTTTATATTTGCCTCATACTGGGGTGTAATTAGGAGATAGTGAAAGTGACACAGGCTGTTGAGGCAGACAGATTTGGGTGCAGATCCAAACTCTGCTACTTCCAGCTTGAGAATTTAAGCACATTACTTAACGTTCTTCAGGATCATTTCTCTCATCTGTAAACAAAGTAATACATTGTTCAACTGGGATGTCATAAAAATTAAGTAAGAGAATGCAATATTATTTTATACTGTGATAAGCATTTAAATTTAATATGCAGTAGAATCCAAGTAAATGTTACTTTTCTTATTCTACATTATATGTTTACATATGACATTCATTTCTGTAAGATGTAACTCACAGCACTAGTATAGTACTTAAGAGATGGAGGTAATTTCTTCATGTCACACATACTTGCTGAAATTGTTAGGGAGTGTTCATATGATTGACTCCGTGGATGTCTTTTTTCCTTAGCTGCCATTACTACTCTACTTCTTTCAAGTTTACTCACCTCTGCCGAAATGTGGTTGAGAAATGGAATGCAGTCATCTTTTACCTTTGGAGGCTTCTCTGCTAATGAGCACAAAAGAACAGAGTCTAACAAAAATATGGGAATATTATATGAATTTCAAAAACTTTTCTAAGTAGTAGCTGGTCAGAAATTTATGCATCTGTTTCTTAGCTATTACTGGGGAAACTCTTTTTAGATGATTTTTCTTAGATGTTATGTGGATGATCAGATTGCTCAACTCCATTATAATTTGTTTCCAAACTAATCTGTTCAGGCAAGATAAAGATATAAATGTGGATTGTTGCTGAGGTTAAGTCTGGTCAGATTTTTCCACTTATGCTTGAAAAGTAACCATATTTCAATCAAATATATAATATGTATATTTCATAATAATATAAGCAATATTAGTCTCATTATTAATTCAAAAATCTCATCTATATTTCAACACTGTAGAACATTATTAAATGAATAAATGACCTATAAATATTTGGTGCCTGAAGAAGTCACTTTGCTATTAATTATACGAATAGAGTATGGAAATTTATACTTTTAAATTTTTCTCTAAACTTTGACTCATTTATTATTGTACTTGGTAAATGAGTTTCCACGGGCTCAGGGAGATGAATTACTGTCTTAGAATAAATTTGTATGAATGTTGAGGCTACACCCAGGTAACCTAATTCCTAATAGGTTATATGCCATGTATCAGGAAAGGTATTGCCTGTTTATATGATGGACATGTTATAAAAGTTTTAAAAGTTTGAATATAATAATTTATAATAAAGTTTAAAGGCCTTGTCTCTGAATAGAGTCTCATTTTTTCATTTATTTCTTTTGTCTAGTTATCTGTTGTCTTCTGGCATTTTGTATTGGCCTGATATTTGTGCAACGCTCTGGAAATTACTTTGTTACAATGTTTGATGATTATTCTGCTACACTGCCTCTGCTAATTGTAGTCATTTTGGAGAATATTGCTGTATGCTTTGTTTATGGCATAGATAAGTAAGTATATTTGCTTTTATGTATTCACTTTTAATCTCTAGTTTGAAAACATCAATTATCAATGTTCATTTCATTTAGAAGAGGAAATAAATGAATAGAGGGAACAATTCTTTAAAAAATCAAACCTTTTGCAGGCTCTCACTGATTCAACAGTTTTGGTAAATTACATTTCCCTGTTGGGCAAATAGAATTATATAGGATGTAATAGTATGTAGAATTTTAGATCTTTGATTTGGTCCTGGTTATCAAATAGCTAACTTTCAGGATTTAGTAAGTATTGGCAGAGTTCCAAGAACCTTAGTTTCTTTTGAGTTCTTTATTGTTATCTACATTTCACAGATAAGGAAAATCAAGCTTAGAGAGACACCCTGTGACTTGCCTGTCACCCACCTGGACAGCAGCAGACCTGGGACTCATGTCCATTTCTGTTTAACTCTAAAGCTTATCTCCTAATTATATTGCTAAATTGATTTATAAGAGGAGTGCATGTGTCATAATGCCTTATATAGCAGGACAATATTGGGAAATGATATTTTCCCAGGTCTGAGATGTATATGTCATTTGCTGCACAGAAACATTATTTTTATATAGAGTCATTACTTAAATTCACTATACGCATAAATAATGAATAAATTCACTATTTATTCATAAATTCATATCAAATACACATACTTTTCACACCATTCAGGTACACTGATGTGAAAAGTGTATGTATTTGAAATGATGTGAAGCACCAGAGTTCTCTCAAGGGAAAAAGACCTTTGGAGGATTTGTCCAATACTTTTTATAGTCACTGTCTCTAATCACATACATGGACTGAGAGGTAGTAAGATCACCAAGCTCATTACAGCCCTATGTAAAGTAGTAATGCATGCACCTTAAGTGAAGGCCAGAGTCCTTTTAAGCAGCATAAAGAATATTGTGGGTATTGAATGAGCTTTATAACAAAGCTTAGAGAATGTTTTTTGTGGTTGCCAAAAGCTCCAGGTCAGGAAGCTTAGGAGAACTTACATTTAATAATCATGTACTGTATAATAATAGTAGTAATAGCTCTTAGTGTATAATCCAGCAATCATGCTACTTGGTATTTACCCAAAGGAGTTGAAAACTTATGCCCACTTAAAATTCTGCACGTGGGTGTTTATAGCAACTATATTCATAATTGCCCAAACTTGGAGGCAAACAAGATATCCTTTAGTAGGTAAATGGATAAATTGTCATACATCCAGACAATGAAATATTATTCAATCCATGAAAAGACACAGAGGAAATTTTAATGCACATTACTTAGTGAAAAAAGTCACATATGAAAAGGTTACATATTGTAAGATTCCCCTATATTATAATATGGAAAAGGTAAAACTATGGAAACAGTAAAAACATCAGCAGTTAACAGGGGTTGGGCCAGATCCAGGGATGTATACGCTGAGCACAGAATGTTTAGGGCAGTGAAACTACTCTGTATGACACTGTAATGGTGGACACACGTCATTATACATTTGTCCAAATCCAGAGAATGTACTACACAAACAGTGAATTCCAGTGTAAACTGTGGGCTCTAGGTAATAATGATGTGTTAACTTATGTAGGTTCATCAATTGTAACCAACATTCCACTCTCGTGGGGGTTGCTGATAATGGAGGAGGTTATGCACATATATTGGTAGGAGCTATATGGGAAATCTCTCTACTTTCAGCTCAATTTTGCTGTGAACCTAAAATTGCTCTTAAAAAATAAAGTGTGTAATCAAAAAATACTCCTTGTTAACTAACATGATCCATATCTTACAGATGGGAAACTGCCCCTTCTTTTACAGGAGGATACAATATGTTAGCTGTAGAGCCAGTACTGTAACCTTGACCTTCATTTCAAGGCCAGGTTTCTCTAAGCTTTACTAGGCTACTCAAAACTCATAACCTGTACCATGATGGAATTTGATATTGTTTTTGGACTGATCTGTAAATAAATACATTTGTAATTTAGATTTCCATTTAGACAGTTCGTTATTCATGATAGACTTACTAAAGAATCTCTCTTTTTAATGCTAGTGTTCCTGAATAACACTATTTATAACAACAGAAGAAAAAATACTACTACTAATAGATGCATCTGTCGATTTTGTACCATATGTGAGGTAGTATGCTAAGCATCCATTGTTTATGGTTCTAGTAATAACCCTCAAAGGTGGGTATTATATTATATTTTTGGAAAACACCAAAAATGAAGCTTAGAGAGATTAAGATATACATCAAAAGAACACAGAACTGTGATCTGAAATGAGGTCTCTTGGTCTTCAAAGTTCATATTTTTTCTAAAGGGCAGGTGTAGAATTCTTACATTGAAGATGTCCTTTAAGATTCTGGAGCAACTTGGAAGAAATGAAAAAGGGAAGAGAAACATAGAGATTAAGACTGGGCCAGGTGTGGTGGCTCAAGCCTGTAATCCCAACACTTTGGGAGGTCAAGGTGGGCAGATCACTTGAGGTCAGGAGATCGAGAGCAGTCTGACCAACATGGTGAAACGCCATCTCTACTAAAAATACAAAAATCAGCCGGGCGTGATGGTGGTCGCCTGTAATCCCAGCTACTCGGGAGGCTGAGGCAGGAGAATTGCTTGAACCTGGGAAGATGAGGTTGCAGTGAGTCGAGATTGTGCCACTGTACTCCAGCCTGGGCAACAGGTGAGACTCTGTCTCAAAAAAAAAAAAAAAAAAGAAAGAAAGAATGGACTCAAGAGACATAACAATTCATAACAATTAGTTATTATATGTAGACCTTTTTAGAAATTCGGAATGTAAAAAGAAGAGTTCAGAAAATATAACATTGATTAGGTATATTTGATGATATTAAGGAATTATTATTATGCTTTTAATGCTGTGATATTAAGGAATTATTACTTTTACTAATTATTACTAAAGTAATAGTAAAATTATTAGGAAAAGTAGTAATTAGTAAAATTATTTACTAATAAGTAATTATTACTAAAAGTAATAATTCCTTGATAGAATAGTATTAATAGCATAGTAATAATTCCTTAATATATAATTACTTAATATTTCTTAATAATATTTAAGCAGTAATTACTAAAAGAAATAATTTCTAAATAATTCCTTTTTGTAATTATTACTTGTATTACTAAAAAAGAGACAAGAAATTTTTAATATACTGAAAATATTTTGTTTATAGAATAGAAAGTTATCAGTAGAAGGAGA
The DNA here is from genome assembly GCF_000001405.40 of Homo sapiens. NCBI lineage: Eukaryota > Metazoa > Chordata > Mammalia > Primates > Hominidae > Homo > Homo sapiens. The sequence continues at coordinate 84,863,822 of NC_000012.12, read as the reverse complement.
AATCAGTAATTGGCTTAAGAGAGCTTTCCCTAAATAAAAATTATAGTACTTACCTGGCTTCATTTTACTTTATAGTCATCTTCCAAGAGGAACTTTGATACAGTATAAAATGTCATAGGGTATCAATGGTAAATGTTTGTCAGACCATTAATATAATGCACATTTTTTAAGGTTTAGCAATATTAAATTAAGGAATAATTAAATACTTTCTTTTTATTCAGGTTTATGGAAGACCTAAAAGATATGCTGGGCTTTGCTCCCAGCAGATATTACTACTATATGTGGAAATATATTTCTCCTCTAATGCTATTATCATTGCTAATAGCTAGTGTTGTGAATATGGGATTAAGTCCTCCTGGCTATAACGCATGGATTGAAGATAAGGTAAATACAAAATAAGGGAATTACATTTTTAAAAGATATATAAAAAGCTTTTTTAGAGGGCTTTTTCTTTTGTCTCCATCACAGTATTTTTTGCTGTTTAATGAATGGCATAGCTTTTATGCAAGGATATGAGATTTACGTTTGTGCTCTGCCCCGAGCATATGTGATTTTTTAAATACATTGTGGATGTTTTCAACACATGTGAAGCACTAACCTTGTCCTTATTAAAGCAGATATATCCATCTTAACACTGATGAACCAATAATTATTGGGCCTTTGACTCTAGAAAACATATTAATCAAAACTCTAGAAATATTTTAATATATGAATTTATGAAGTTGTATCCCAGGCCAGGTGCAGTGACTCATACCTATAATCCCAACACTTTTGGAGGCCAAGGCAAAAGCATCACTTGAGGCCAGCAGCTTGAGAGCAGCCTGTGCAACACAGAGAATCCCTGTCTCTACAAAAGATGAAAAAAATTAGCTGGGCATGGTAGCACACGGCTATAGTCCTAGCTACTCGTCAGGCTGAGGCTGAAGGATAGCTTGAGCCTAGGAGTTGAAGGTTAAAGTGAGTTATGATTACCACTGCACTCCAGCCTGTGTGACAAAGCAAGTCACTATCAATCACTCAATCAATCAATAAACAAATAAATAAATAAAAATTGTATCCCAGATTCTATGTAATGATGAAAAATATATATTAGCAAAGTACAATTTAAAATAAGTAAATTTTGAAGTAAAGTTCTGTTATAATTTTTATATTAGCAATAACTATTTCAATTTCTATTCTCAAGCTGAATAATAATGAAATCATTAGGTATATGTCAGCTGTTATAAAATAAAAGTGCTTATTTTCAGAGATACTTCTGACCTTTAACTATCCTATGGTTAATAATTCTAGACTGAGGCATAAACAAATCCGTTCTCTCACCAAAACCCTTGGGGCCAGATGTGCTTCAAAAGTTTGGTTTCCAGATTTTAGAAAGATATATGACACATTTAAGAGGTATCTATTGCTTAGTAACAAACTACCCTGAAATTTAATGGCTAAGAGCGACATTGATTTATTATTTCTTACAGTTCTGTGGCTGAGCTGAGCAGTTCTTCTTCTTTTCTTGCCTGGGCTAACTCAAGCAGTTGCATTCAGCTTGGAGGAGAGCTGGGCTCTCTCTTTAGGTGGTCTTTCACTTATAACGTTTCCAAGCATCATATTCAGGGCAATATTCTAAGAAAGAAGCAGAAATTGGAAGGCCTTTGAGGCCTAGTCTTGGAAGTTGCTGAGTGTCACTTCTACTGCTTTCTATTGGTCAAAGCAAGTCACAAAGCCAGCCCAGATTCTTTGCTTACAAACTTGAAGCAAGTACAATATTTTATGTATGTGCAAAGAAAGATAGATTACTAATAATTATTATTTTCTTCTTTAACAGGCATCTGAAGAATTTCTGAGCTATCCAACATGGGGACTGGTTGTTTGTGTCTCTCTGGTTGTCTTTGCAATACTCCCAGTCCCTGTAGTTTTCATTGTTCGTCGCTTCAACCTTATAGATGATAGTTCTGGTAATTTAGCATCTGTGACCTATAAGAGAGGAAGGGTCCTGAAAGAGCCTGTGAACTTAGAGGGCGATGATACAAGCCTCATTCACGGAAAAATACCGAGCGAGATGCCATCTCCAAATTTTGGTAAAAATATTTATCGAAAACAGAGTGGATCCCCAACTCTGGATACTGCTCCCAATGGACGGTATGGAATAGGGTACTTGATGGCAGATATTATGCCAGATATGCCAGAATCTGATTTGTAGCTGGGGGAAAAGTCAGTGGGTTTTATTTGGTTCATTTTTACCAATGAACATTGGCCCTAGTAGGAGAAGCATTAGGCTTCACTTATCAGAGGGCAATCTCAGGTGTTCCGTGGCTGTGATCTTTAATCCTAACAGTATATGTCAGTTCAACTTGAGCATTCTTTTGGATTCTTTGGTTTACATTTGTGCAGAAAGGATTGCAGACAAATCTTAGGAGGGCTGAGGTACATGTTTGCCAGGATTTTTTTTTAAGTACCTTTGGTGTATTTTCAAATATTTCTATCTCTTAAAAAAATGGTATTACCTCAGTTTCTAATAATTTCTGGGTTTAGTAGTGTTGACAATTAAAAATGGTATACATTAAAATTTATAAGTTTGCCTTCAGGGTAACTTCCAGTGTCACAATGAGCAGTTCTGTAAGTGGGTGCCTCTCAGCACATTTCTATGAATATATTATGTAGATAGGCTGTATTGATTTTGGTAGCATTGACACCTTCTTAGGCAATTAGTTGAAGAAAACTGCAAAATATTTTCTTATGTAATAGCTGTATAGAGCAATAGCAATCAAAGCATGAGAAGGCACTAACGCTGGGATGAAAGATGAGATTCAGAGGTGACTGAGAATCATGTGAGTGATGGCTGTATATTTTGTGTAAAATATATGTGTGAAAATGAACTAAGAGTGAGTTACTCAGCACTCTCAAGAATTATGCAGATTCTGCATTTTTCTTATGCCGTGTGCCTAAAAACCTACTTGATATTTATTGTGGTTTCAAGATTATTCATAGTATATTTATACAATATACTTGCAATGCATTTAAGTACTTAAAGTACTAATTTGAAAACTTGAAGCAAGATGGCATTTTAATTAATATATTTCTGTTTTGCTTCTGTTTTATGCAAATATAAATCATTTTTAAGTGATTGTTAAAATTGTAATGCATTACATTTTAATCTACAAATAAACAAAGTTTAAAAATGATGTTTGTTTTTCACATTGATTTTCTTTGTATCACCTGAACTGGATTGTCTTTCATTTCAGTCAGCACTTAGACATTTCATAATAACTAAACATCACATTCCAAGTGGGATGAATTACATTAATTGAATAGAGTTACCACCGCTTCAGAGTCTAAGGAAAAATAGAGTATTATGGTTCAATGGTGTTCTTATGTAGTCTTATGATTCTTGAAAAAGTACTTACAGCCTCCCAAGAAACCATGTGTACAATTGACTGCTTGCTGATTCAATATTGTCTGCAAAGTATAAAAGACTATGATTTTTAAATAAAACTGTTGTATATATGAAATTGGATAGAGCAGAGGAACCTCACTGAGTGTCCTCTAGTTAAAAATCTTTCATTTATCCTACCACCAGATCAGTTACATTTTTAAAACAATGATGGATATAGCAGCAAAATAAGTGAGGTAATACACATGCCATATCAATTGATTTATTTCAGCCAGTATTCTCGCTCTGCTATAGATAGATGTTAATAAATGGTATCACAGCATTTAAAGTATTAAATCCACTGGTGCATAAATTTTTAGTCTTTTAAAATATATTCATGAATATTGTGTTTGTATCCCTTTAAAATGTTTAATATTTTATAAATAGGCAGTATATGCACATTATACAAAACTAAAAAATTATGACAATTCAGTGTGAAGTAAGTTCTCATCCAACATTTCTCCTGGCCATCCATTCTCCATCTTTAAAGGCAATCACCATTGCCAGTTTCTTCTGTATCCTTCTGGAAATACAATATATTACATAAATGACAGCATTCTATATTCTCTCTTCTATATCTTACCTATTTCTGTGAATAATTTATTTTGGACAGCATTTTATGTATGAATATTCACAAATGTGCTTCCTTATTTCAGAGGCTGAACTAATAAAAATTTTGTTTATTTTTGTGTTGAGGCAATATTTTTATATGGTACCCTAATCTTTAATACTTAACCTGCCAGACTTTAACCGTAACACAATAATGTATTGCCAAATAGCACCATTCTTCTTCTCTCACTCTCTTGCCATGGGGGCTCTTAAAAAAAAAAGTATACATCTAAGGTGTACAACATGCTGTTTTGATGTATATAAATATAGTGAAAGCAAATAAAGTATATATCTAAGGTGTACAATATGCTGTTTTGATATACATAAACATAGTTGCAGTGATTAACTTGTCCATCATCTCCCATAGTTACATTTTCTGGTGGCAAGTGCACCTAAAATGTATTCTTTTAGCAATTTTTTCAATATTCAATGCAATATTATTAACTATTATTTTCATGTTTTACATGAGACCTCTAGAGTTATTCATTCTATGTAACTTTGAATCTTTTGACCTACTTCTCCCCATTTTCACCTTCTTCCCGCTCCTGGTAATCAACTGTTCTACTCTCTGTTTCCATATACTTGATTTTTTTTTTTTTTTTTTTTTTACATTTCTACATATAAGTGAGGTCATGCTATATTTCTTTCTCTGTCTGGCTTACTTCACTTAGCATAATGTCCTCCAAGTTTATCCATGCTTTCACAAATGGTATAATATTCCATTGTGTATATATGTCACAATTTCTTTATTCATTCTTCCATTGCTTGACACTTAAATTGTTTCCATATCTTGGCTATTATGAATAATGCTGCAATGCACGTGGGAGCACAGATCTTTCTATGAAGTGCTGATTTCATTTCCTTTTGATATAATCTACAGTCGGGTACCTGCCTTGCACTAGGAATTATTTCTCCATCCTTCTATTCACTGAGTAATATGAACAATGCAGGAATCTTATTTTTGAATTGAAATAGAATTTAAAACCCTTATTATGGTTTCACTTGGCAGATAAGGAAATCTGGCCAAAGAAGTTAAAGAAAAATGAACAAAGTTCTCTTCTTTTTGCTTCCTTCATGCAGTCAGTTCTTCAGCTGTACACTTATTTATTGATTTATTCACTCAGGTTCTATTAACTAAAATTCTAACTTATTCTAAGTACTTTATACAAGACACCATTATAATTAGAGTATAAATGCTATTCATTTTTTTTTCCATTTTCTCTTCTTTGCCAGTGAGACCTGCTACCTGCCTTTCCCCAGGAAATGTAAGAGTTAATCAACAAATGGTGGTTTGAAATAGCCTTCTCTATACTGTAAAATTTGAGGCTTTCAAATTTGTATTACTTTCCACTACTTCTATAAACCCTGGCCTAAAGTTGCACCTCCAAGTGATGTAGCCAAGATTTGTCTGTCTTCAAACAGAAAGGAGACTAGGGACTGTGACGGGAGGGATAATAAAGTGGAATAAAAGGATGAGGGGGTGGAGCAAGATGGTGGAATAGAAGCCTACACCTTTTATCTTCCTTGCAGGAACACCAAATTTTAACAACTGCATATACACAGAAAAGCACGATCACAAGAACAAGAAAATCAGGTGAACATTCACAATACTGGTTTTAACTTCATATTGCTGAAAGAGGCATTGAAGAGGGTAGGGGACATTCTTGAATTGCTGAAGCCACCTCTTTCCCATTTCCTAACAGAGGGCCTGCTGTGCAGCCTGTGCACTTGGGGAAGGGAAAGCACAGTGACTAAGGGACTTTTACATATAACTCAGTGCTGCCCTGCCACAGAGGAGAGAAAAGCTGTGCTAGGCTGAGTCAGCACCTGTGCACAGAGAGAGCATTTAGACCAAACATATCCGGAAAGAAATCGCCCATCCCAGCAGTCAAAACTTGGGTGTCCCAGCAAGCCTCACCAACATGGGCCAAAGTGCTCTGGGGTCCTAGGTAAACTTGAAAGGCAGTCTAGGACACAAGGACTGCAATTCCTAGGCAATTCCTACTGCTGGGCTGGGACTAGGGTGGACTAGGGTGGCACATGACCTAGGGAAACACCAGCCTGGGTGGTTAAGGGAGTAGTGCTTGTGCCACCACTCCCCCAACCCCAGGCAGTGTGACTTGCAGCAACAAAAATGACTCCTTCCTTTTGCTTGAGGAGAGATCAAACAGTAAGAAGGACTGTATCTTGCATCTTGGATACCAGCTCAGCCACAGTAGGATAGGGCACAGAGTAGAGCTGTGAGGTCCCCATTCCAGACCCTAGCTCCTGGGGGTGACATTTCTAGACACATCCTGGGCCAAAAGGGAGCCTTCTGCCCTGAAGGAAAAGACCCAGTTCTGGCAGGACTTACCACATGCTGACTAAAGAGCCCTTGTGCCTTGAATAACCAGTAGTGATACCCAGGTAGTATGCCATGGGCCTTGGGCTCTGAGATGTACTGGCTTCATATGTGACCCAGCACACTCCCAGCTCTAGTGACAATAGTAAAACACTCCTTCTGTTTAAGGAAATCAGGGAGAAAATAAAGATGACTTTGTCTTGCACCTTAGGTACCAGCTCCGCCACAATGGGCTAGGGCAACAAGCAGGGTCTTGGGGTCTCTGAGCCAAGGACTAGGCTCTTGGACAGCATTTCTGGACCAGCTTTTGGCCAGACGGGAGCCCACTTTTCTGAAGGGTGAGTAAGAGTCCTTGGTCTTTAAGTGAACATCAGTGGTGGTCTGGCAGAGCACCTTATGGGCTGGTGGTAGTGGCCACAGAGAGAGGCTCCTCTGACTGAGGAAAGAGGAGGGAAGAGTGGAGAGAATTTTGTCTTGTGGTTTGAATGCCAGCTTTGCTGCAGAAGAGTAGAACATTGGGTAAATTTTTAAGATTTTTGACTCCAATCCCTGCCTCCCAGACAGCATCTCTGGACCTGTCTGGGACCTGGGAGAACCCAACACCTGAAAAGAAGGACACAAACCTGGTTGGCTTTGCTACCTACCTATTATGGAGCTGTAGGGCCTTGAGTGAACACAGTTGGTAGCCAGGTGGTGGTTACAGAAGGCAATGGGTGAGACATAGTGTTGTGCTGGCTTCAGGTCAAACCCAGCATAGTTCCAGTGGTGGTGACCACAGGGGTACTTGCAATGCCACATTCCCAGTTCCAGGTGGCTCAGTACAAAGAGAGACTCCATTTATTTGACAGAAATTAAGGGAAGAGAACAAGTGTCTCTCCCTGGTAATCCAGAAAATGCTCCCAGATCTTATTCAAGTCACCAAGGGAGTATCTCTATGAATCTCAAAAAAACAAACAAAACAAACAAACACACAAACAAACAAAAAACAGCATTATTGGGCTTCAGGCACAAGTCCTTTTGAATATCTGGAAAGCCTTCTCAAGAAGGACAGGCACAAACAAGCCCAGACTGCAAAGAGTACAATAAATACCTGACTCATCAATGCCCAGAAGCATTGACCATCCACAAGCATCAAGATGATTCAGAAACACATGAGCTCGCTAAATGAACTAAAAGGCACCAGGGACCAGTCCTGGAGAAAAAGAGATATGTGATCATTCATACAGATAATTTTAAATTGTTGTTTTGGGGAAACTCAAAGAAATTGAAGATAACACAAAGAAAAAATTCTGAATTCTATCAGATAAATTTAACAGAGATTGAAATAATTAAAAAGAAGCAGAAATTCTGGAGTTGAAAAGTGCAATTAACATACAGAAAATGCATCAATCTCTTAATAGCAGAACTGATCAAGCAGAAGAAAGAATTAGTGAACTTGAAGACAGGCTATTTGATATACAGTCAGAGGAGACATAAGAAAATAAGAAGAATCAAGCATGTCAATAAGATATAGAAAATAGCCTAAAAGGGCAAATATAAGAGTTATTGCCCTTAAAGAGGAGATAGAGAAAGAGACAGGGATAGAAATTCATTCAAAGGGATAATAATAGAGAACTTCCTAAACCTAGAAATATCAGTTTTCAAATGCAACAAGGTTATAGGACACGAAGCAGATTTAAGCCAAAGAAAACTATTTTGATGCATGTAATAATCAAACTCCCAAAGATCAAGGATAAAGAAAGGCTCCTAAAAGCAGCAGGAGAAAGGAAATAAATAACATATAATGGAATGCCAGTATGTCTGGCAGCAGGCTTTTCAATGGAAAGATTACAGGCCAAAATAGAGTGGCATACCATATTTAAAGTGCTGGAGCCAAAAATAAAATTAGAAAAAAAAAAAAAAAAAAAAAACCTTTACCCTAGTATGGTATATCTGGCAAATATATTCTTCAAGCCTGAAGGAAAAATAAAGGCTTTCCCAAGCAAACAAAAGCTGAGAGATTTCATTCATACCCGACCTCTTCTACAAAAAATGCTAAAGGGAGTTCTTCAATTTGGAAGAAAATAGTGTTAATAAGCAAGAAGATACAAAACTCACGGGTAATAGTAAGCTCATAGAAAAGCATAGAATATTATAACATTGTAATTGGGGTGTGTAAAATACTCATCTTAAGTAGAAAGACTAAATGATGAAATATTAAAAATGAGTACAACAGCTTTTCAGACATAGTACAATAAGATATGAAGAGAAATAAAAACAGTTTTTAAAGTAGGAGATTAAGTTACAGTATAGAGTTTTTATAAGGTTTCTTCTGGGATATTTGTTCATTTATACAATTAGTGTTAAGTTGTCATCATTTTAAAATAATATATTATAAGATAATATTTGCAAGCTTCATGGTGACCTCAAATTGAAAAACATACAATGGATATACAAAAAGCAAAAAAATTAAATCATACCACCAGAGAAAACAATATTCACTAAGAGGAAGACAGGAAGAAAAGAAAAAAGAGAAGACAATGAAACAACTGGAAAAAATTTAGCAAAATGGCAAGAGGAAGTCCTTGCTTGTCAATAATAACATTGATTATAAATGAACTAAATATTCCAATCAAAAGACATAGAGTGGCTGAATGGATGAAAAAACAAGAACAAATAATCTGTCACCTACAAGAAACACACTTCACTTATAAAAATACATGTAGACTGAAAATAAAAGGTGGAAAAAGATATTCCAAATCATTGGAAACAAACAAAAAAAAGAGCAAGAGTAGCTATACTTTTGTCAGACAAAATAGATTTCAATATAAAAACTACAAGAAAATACAAAGAAGGTCATTATTTAATGATAAAGGGGTAAATTCAGTCAGAAGATATAACAATTATAAATACATATGCGACCAACATTGAAGAACCAAGATATATAAAGCAAATATTATTGGATCTAAAGAGAGATAGAAACTCTAATAAAATAATAGCCAGAGACTTCAAGACCCCATTTTTAGCATTGAACAGATCTCCCAGACAGAAAATCAACAAAAAAAATCAGAATTAATCTGCACTACAGACCAAATATAAACCTTATAGATATTTACAGAAAATTTCATGCATCAGCTTCAGAATACACATTCTTCTCCTCAGCACATGAATCATTCTAAAAGATAGATCATACATTAGGTCACAAAACAAGTCTGAAAACATTCAAGAAAATGAAATAATACCAAGCATCGTATCTGGCTACAAGGGAATAATACTAGAGATCAATAACAAAAGAAATTTTGGAAACTATACAAACACATTGAAAGTAAATTATATGGTCCTGAATGACCAGTGAGTCGATGAAGAAATTCAGAAGAAAATTTAAGATTTCTGGAAACAAATGATAATTGAAACACAACATACCAAAACTCATGGGATACAGTGAAAACAATACTAAGAGGAACATGTATAGCTATAAGTGCCTACATCAAAAAAGGAGAATAACTTCAAATAAACAATCTAGTGATGCATCTTAAGTAATTAGAAAAGGAAGAGCAAGCCAAAACTAAAATTAGTGGTAGAAAAACATAATAATAAAGATAAGAGCAGAAGTAAATGCATTTGAAATGAAGAAAATACAAAATATCAACAAAACAAAAAGTTGGCTTTTTGAAAAGATAAACAAAATTGACAAACCTTTAGCCAGACTAACAAAGAAAAAAGGGAGAAGACCCAAATAAATAAAATCAGAGATGAAAAACGTAACCATTACAATTGATACTGCAGAAATTGAAAGGATTGTTAGTGGCTACTATGAGTAATTATATGCCAATAAATTTGAAAATCTAGTAGAAGCAGATAAATTCCCAGACAATACAATCCACCAAGATTGAACCATGAGAAAATACATAACCCAAACAGACCAATAACAAATGATGATATTGAAGCTGCAATGAAACTCACCCAGCAAGGAGAAACCTGGGCCCCAATGGCTTCTCTGCTGAATTCTACCGAACATTTAAAAAAGAAATAATACCAATCCTACTCAAACTATTTCAAAGAATAAGAGAGGGGATACTTAAAAACTAATTCTATGAGACGAGTATTACTCTGATACCAAAACCAGACAAAGACATATCAAAAAAATAAAATGCCAGACCAATATCTCTGATTAATACTCATGCAAAAATCCCCAACAAAATATTAGCAAACAGGACTCAACAATACATTTAAAAGATCATTCGTTATGTCCACGTGGGATTTATTCCTGGGATGCAAGGATGGCTCAACATTTGCAAGTCAATCAATGTGATATATTGTATCAACAGAATGAAGGATAAAAACCATATGATATTTCAATTGATGCTGAAAAAGCATTTGGTAAAATTCAACGTTGCTTCATGATAAAATCCCTTAAAAACTGGATATACAAGGAACATACCTCAACATGATAAAAGCCATATAAGACAGCTCCATAGCTAGTATCATACTGCGTGGGGAAAATCTAAAAGCATTTCCTCTAAGATCTGGAACACGACAAAGATGCCCACTGTCACCACTATTATTCAACATCTCAATCGTACTGGAAGTCCTAGCTACAGCAATCAGACAAGAGAAAAAAATAAAGGGTATCCAAACTGAAAAGAAAAAAGTCAAGTTATCCTTGTTGTAGATGATATGATCTTATATTTGGAATAACCTAAAGACTCCATCAAAAAAACTGTTAGGACTGATAAACGAATTCAGTAAAGTTGCAAGATACAAAATCAACATACAAAATCAGTTCCACAAAAGACCCAGAGTAGCCAACGCTATCCTGAGCAAAAAGAATAAAATCAGAGGAATGATATTACCAAACTTCGAATTATAGTTCAAAGCTATGATAGCCAAAACTCCATGATACTGTCATAAAAATAGAGACATAGACCAGTGGAACAGAATAGAGAATGCAGAAACAAAAGACAGTCAATAGCAAATGTTAGCAAGGATGTGGTGAAAAGGGAACTCTTGTACACTCTTGGTGGGGGTGTAAAATAGTACATCGACTATGGAGAACCTTTAGGAGTTTTCTTGAAAACCTAAAAATAGAGCTACCATATGATCCAGCAATCCTACTGCTGAGTATATGCCTAAAAGAAAGGAAACCAATATATCAAAGATATATCTAGACGCCGATGTTTGTCACAGCAATGGTCAAGATTTGGAAGCAACCTAAGTGCTCATTAATGGATAAATGGTTAAAGAAAATGTGATACTTTTACACAATTGAGTATATCCTGTCATAAAAATGCATAAGAGATCCTGTCATTTGCAACAACATGGATAGAACTGGAGGTCATCTTGTAAAGTGAAATAAACCAGAAACATAAAGACAAACATTGAATGTTTTCACTTATTTGTGAGATCTAAAAATCAAAGTAATGGAAATCATTAAGATAGAGAGTAGAAGGATGGTTACCATAGGTTAGGCAGGGTAGAAGGAGAGTTGGGGAGTGTGGGGGAGGTGGTGATGCTTGATGAGTCAAAAGAAATAGTTATCTAGAATGAGTTAAGACCTACTATTGATAGCACAGGAGGGTGACTATAGTCAATAATAATTTAATTGTACATTTTAAAATAACTAAGAGTATAATTGGATTGTTTGTGACACAAGGATAAATGCTTGAGGGGATGGATACCTCATTTCCATGATTTTATTATAATGCATTGCAGGCTTGTATAAAAATGTCTCATGTATGCCACTGTATTAATCCATTTTCATGCTGCTGATAAAGACATACCCAAGACTGGGCAATTTACAGAAGAAAGAGGTTTAACGGACTTAACACTTTCACGTGGCTGGAGAAGCCTCACAATCATGGTGGAAGGAAAGGAAGAGAAAATCACATCTTATGTGGATGGTGGCAGGCAAAAAGGAGAACTCGTACGGGGACACTCCCATTTTTAAAATCATAGATCTTGTGAGACTCGTTCACTATTGCAAGAATAGTGCAGGAAAGACCTGCCCCCGTAATTCAATCACCTCTCACTGGGTTACCCCCATGACATGTGGGAATTGTTGGCGTTACAATTCAAGATAAGATTTGGGTAGGGACACAGAAAAACCATATCAGCCACAAATATGTACACCTACAATATACCCATAATAATTAAAAATAAAAAATTAAAACATAAAAGAATGAAGGAGAAAATGTACTGAGTAAGGTATTAGAGTCATAATGAGATAGTCTAGTATATTGATACAGTGAGACCTTAGGACATAATTTCATGAAAATATATTTGCATTTTCATGTGTTTGTGTTTATGTGTATTTTTATGCAGAAGTTACTTCTTTTTAACAAATCATCAAATCAGTATGTGTTTCCAGTAAATTCAAGATCAATACATAGTGCTCCTTAACTATAATTATGTTTTCAATCACCTGTACACTTGTTAAAGCTATATTTCTGTGTTAGTCTATTCTCACACTGCTATGTAGAAATACCTGAGACTGGATAATTTATAAAGGAAAGAGGTATAATTACCTCATAGTTCCACAGGGCTGGGAAGGCCTCAGGAAACTTACAATCACGGCAGAAGGGGAAGCAAACACGTCCTTCTTCACATGGCAGCAGGAAAGAGAAGTGCTGAGTGAAGGGGGAAAATCCCTTATAAAACCATCATATCTCATGAGAACTCACTCACTGTCACAAGAACAGCATGAGGGAACCACCCCTGTGACCTAATTATCTCTCATGAGTTCCCTCCCCCAACACATGTGGAATACAATTTGGATTAGAATTCAAGATAAGATTCGGATGGAGACAAAGAGCCAAACCATATCAATTTCCAACCTACTAAATAAAAATTCTTCTGGGGTTGGAAGCAGGACAAGAGTATAGTTTTAAAACTTCACAGTTATTCTAATATATATTCTTGGTTAGGAATTATGGGTGCAAAGAAAATTTAAAAATGACAAGTAAAATATTGATTTTGATATCCTTTGGATGTGGTTTCTCCTTGACTAAAATGCATGTAGAAATTTTATCCGCAATGTGGCAGTATTGGAATATGGGGCCTGATGGGAGACGTTTGGGTCATGGGAGTGGACCACTCATGGATTGCTTGGTGGCTTTCTTGCAGAAGTGAGTTCTCTCTCTCATGAGACTGGATTAGTTCTTATAAGAATGGAATAGTGCCCATGAGATTGGGTTGTTATAAAGGGAAGTTCCTCCTGGTTGATCCCTTTTCACACGTCTTCTTCCCTTTTGACCTTCTACCATGTTGTGACCAGCACAAAAGCCCTCACCAGAAGCCAAGCAGATGCTGGCACCATGCTTCTTGAACTTCCCAGCCTGCAGAACCATGAGCTAATTAAACTCTTTTCTTCATAAATTACCTGGACTTTGGTATTCTGTTATAGCAACACAAAATGAAATAAGACAAATTATTATTGCCTTTTCTCAAACAGAATGAAAATGAAAGTGCTTAGTTGTAAATTTTTGAGCCATAAAGTTTTGACAAAAAGAGAAAACCTTAAAACTCTAGAAAACTATTGGAAATATTAAAACAAAACATTCCATAAGCTATCTATTACTGAGTATAGCATATTTTCACCTTCAAAATTTGGAACTGAAATAAAATGCTTCATATGTTATTTTGCCTCAAATGCTTAACTCCAAAGTTGGCTCATCCTCTAGCTATTATGACATGAAATTCTACCTAAAAGTTTGTCTTAAGAATACCTCTCATGTGGAGGTGAAAAGAAAAAAGGGACTAAACATTATCTTGTCCTAAATTAAATGCCCTTTGGATTTGGTTATTGCTTTAACACACCAAGATCATTTTTAGTACCACCATCAAAACATATGTACACACACTGTCACCACCAAAACCCAAAACACCTGAATTGTTTGAACAGCAAAAACGTGCCATGTGGTGCCTCTGCAATACCATATGTGGTGCTGCATAAATAAAAGAAACCATCTCCTGCAGATGAGTGGTGATATCCCAGCTGCTATTATTTTTCATCAATTGCCTTTTCAGGGTATATTCAGTTGCATAGTAAAGAAGATTAAAAAAAAACTAATTAGTAGAGATTGACATTTGTTTTTCTGAGAATAGAATTTTTTCAGGAACAGTCTAATATACTAGTTCCAAAAATTGGTTGTTTCAGTGTTTTTAAGGAATGTTTCATTATAAAAAGCAAAAAAAAGTAGAACATGAAACCCCAGCACACCTTGACCTGATAATATAGAGTAAATTTTAAAAATTTCAAGCACAATAACAATGTGGCAGCCATTCTATCTGCTCATCACTAGCATTTACACACATTAGTGCAAGGTCAATAGAATTAATAATGCAGACACCTGGCTTATATTTATTCCCTCCAGAGCACTCTCTGTCTCATCGGGGATATGCCTTTTTAAACCTCCATTTTAAAGATTTCAATTTGAGCAAATATTAAAAGGATTAATACTGGAACATATGAGCATTACAATAATGAAATTAATATCTTATAGAACTGAACAATGAAGATTGCCTGTCTGAGCAGAAGGGACCTGGATGTCCGAATCGCTGCTGAACAAATCAAATCAAAGTTTAACTATTCACTCTATACTTTCTAAATCCACTTTTGGAAATAATAATTTGAATTCTTTCTTTCTGTAAGCATTCCTACAAGAGATTTAATCTTTTCAAATTCCTTTTTTCTGAGTTCTTGTATCAAGTAATGAAATGTTGAAATAGACAACCAACCAAACAACCAGCTATTCTAAATATTAATATCTACCCTATTTCTTTCTCTTTCTCTATTTTCCCCTTTCTTTCTTCCTTCCTCTTTCTTTCTTCCTTTCTCTCTCTCTTTCTTTCCCTCCCTCCCTCCATCTTTCTTCCTTTCTTTCTTTCTTTCTTTCTTTCTTTCTTTCTTTCTTTCTTTCTCTCTCTTTCTTTCTTCCTTTCTTTCTTTCCCTCCTTCCATCCATCCCTCTTTCTTTCTTTCTTTTTCTTTCTTTCTTTGCTTTCTTTCTTTTCTTTCTTTCCTTCTCTCTTTCTCTCTTTTTTCTTTCCTTCCTTCTTTCTTTTTCTTCTTTCACTTTCTTTTCTTCCTCCCTCCATTTCTCCCTCCCTTCCACTCCTTCCCTCCCACCTTCCTTCCTTCCTCTTTCCCTCCTTCCTTTCTTTCTTCCTTTCTTCATCTCTCCTTCCTTCCTTCTCTCCCTCCCTTCTTCCTCCATTCTTTCCCTCTTCTTCTCCTCCTCTTCCTTTCCTTTCTTTTCTTCTTTCTTTTTTTTCTTTTTAGAGAAAAGGTCTCTCTATGGTGCCCAGGCTAGAGTGCAGTAACTATTCACAAATGTGATCATTGCACACTACAGCTTCACCCTCCTAGGCTCAAGCCATCTTCCTGCCTCGCTTCCTGAGTAGTTGGGACTATATAGGCACTTGACATCATGCCCAGCCCTACTCTCCATTTCTTTTGCCAAATGAAGCCACTGGCAAACTGGTTCTAGTAATTAGTTTCAGTAAAATAAATCTGACTATTTACATCATATACACTTTAATATCATGATATGGAACTTATTTTCTATTGTGTTTTTACTTTATAACTCTTTTAATAATAACTTATCCATAAAGCAGAGGGAGCGTTTTCTTATCCAGGACTGTTTCATTTTTATTTTTTCTCAACTGTTAATAAAATATTTCTATTCAAACAAATTTCAACCAAAATAAGTAAATAAATCTATCTTCTGGTTTTGCTATTCACTCATTTCAATAGCAAAAACAACAGTTATTTTTGTCATGACTTTGTTGTATATTTACCTGTGTGTTTTTAGAAAATAAAATAGTTCAATACTAAACTTCAATTTTCCAGAGGTTCCAAATTTTCAAATTTCCAATTTATTTAAATTAAGCTGTTAGAACTGATTCACTTAGGCAGAGTCAGCAAATACCTCTATGATGGTGATGATGGGTGGAAACATTCACTTTTTTTTATATTCTCATCATCAGCGTGCACTTCATGATGCATATAATGCTGATAAACATTAATTCTGAGATTTTGTCTTGATTCTGCCAGCTAATTTTCTATTTAATCAATTTTTTTTTTCCACATGAAAATATCTGAAATTTCACAAGTAGTTTTTTTTAGTTTATTCAATAGTTGTATATTATTAAAGTATAATAACTTTTAAAAATTATAGTCATACAATTTCAGGTAATGTTAAGGCCATAAAAAAGTTTTTGGAATAGGGAAAAATATTTTTGGCATTAAATTATGCTTTGTCTTAATAAAAATTATAATTACTTGATAATAGACAGAATAGAAATATAAATTTCTGTGTTCACATGATAGTTTTGATTATCAGAGAGGAAGGACTAATTATATGTGGATGAGATTTTATCTTTTAATATAAAATTGTATTACCTTGTAACATCATTAAAGAAAAGTGTGCACTAGACAGAGTAATGGACTGTGAGCTCCTACTTTTGTTTTCCATTCTTTGATGCCCTTCACTGATCAGCCAGACATGGCAACCTTGTCTGGCTCATTGAATAACTAACAAGGCTGACTTAGGTTTTTAAGAGAATGATCAGACTAGAATTATACTTTTAAATATTTCAGTTATTTGTATTTTTCTCTAGAAATATGAAGGAAAATAGTGAAATCTATACTTTATTATTACTTTTAGCAGTATTAGATTTATATTGCATATTATTCAAAATGATGTAAATAAATTTATTGTGCTAGCTTACTTAATACAAAGAGGTTTTATTACTATCAAAGATGATTTATGGCATTTAACAAACAGTAATACACATACACACACACACACAATAATACCAAAGCAATGATGAAAAACCTAACTAATTAATCTTTTCACTATTTACATTTTAATGAAAGTGTTTTCAAAATATTTTACTAATGTCCAGAATTGTTATTGGAATATCAATATATTATATCAGTTTTCTTGATGCTTGCTTTCATTTAGGAAAACACACTTAATGATTGTATTTTGTTTTTAGGAATCAATAATGTTGACCTTTTAATATTATTTTACTAAGTTTTATTTCTATGGAGAAATAAAAGTACATTTTCTTTTAAAATTACACATTAATAGAGGTGTGTAAAATAAAGCATTAAGCAAAGAAAACAAAAAGAAACAAGATTTTACATAAACATACACCTTCTAAAGTACAAAAATCATTTTAAGTCTTTTTATTTCCTACAGTACAAAGTGTTTAAGATGGTAACCCTCCTTCTCTGCAATAAGTTTATGCCTCTGTCCCCTAGCAATTGCTATATTCATAGTTCTTTAACTATTGTATTCTAAATTTCTTCTACTTCATTTCCTTGTACATGCTATTACCTATATCCACATCCCTCTCCATTCTTCCCTTTAACTTTGACTAGAATCAACACATCTTTCAGTTCTTAGTTCAGATGGTATTTTCTTTTGTGGGGCTGTTTGTCCTGATTGTGTGCTCTGCTCACCCTTAGCACAGCATTCATCACACTATATTGAAATTATCTGTTTCTTACATTAGTCTATAAACTCCCAAAAGTGAGGTGTTTTGTTTTGTTCAGAATCATGTTCCCAGAACTTACATAGCACTTGACATAGAAGACACATGTTTTTCATTTTTATTTTTTTTTAAGTAGGTGGGGTAGAAGAGAAGCAGGTATTGAAAGAGGAAGAAATATTAGAGGAGAATAAACAGAGCCCCATATGAACAATTACACTCTTATTATAGGATCAAATTAGTTTGCCCACTTAAATTGTGGAAACTCATTATAATGATATAAGTAGAGATGAGCTGACCATTGCTAAGTTCTCTTCAGGGATCATGGATAAATACACAGCATACCTTAGAGATTTTGCAAGTTCAGTTCCAGACAACCTGAATCAAGCAAATATCACAATAAGCAAGTCACATGGATTTTTAAATTTCCCAGTGCATAGAAAGTTATGTTTGCACAATACTGTAGTCTACTATCTGTGCAATAGTATTATGCATAAAAAATAGGGTACATATTTTAATTAAAAATACTTTGTTGCTAAAAAATGCTAATATTCATTTGAGTCTTCAGCAAGTCTTAATCTTTTTGCTAGTGGAGGATCTTACCTTAATGTTGATGGTTGGGCTGTTGACTGAGCAGGGTGGTGGTTGCTGAAGGTTAGGGTGGCTGTGGCAATTTCTAAAAGTAAGAAGACAATAAAGCTTGTCCCATAGGTTGACTTCCTTTCATGAAAGATTTCTGTGTAGGATGTGATGTTGTTTGATAGCATTTTACCCACAGAACTTCTTTCAAAATTGGATTCAATCCATTCAAACCCTGTTGCTGCTTTATCAAGTTAGTTTGTGCAGTATTCTAAATCCTTTCTCGTCATTTCCACAATGTCCATAGCATTTTCACTAGGAGTATATTTTATCTCAAGAAACCACTTTTTTTTTGCTATCCACTAGAAGCAACTTCTTATCTATTGAATTTGAATCATGAGATTGCAGCAATTCAGTCACAACTTCGGGCTCCACTTACTGATTCCAGTTCATTTACTATTTCCATCGCATCTATACTTCCTTTCTCCATTTAAGACTCTGAACTCCTCAAAGTCATCCATGAGGGCTGGAATCACCTTCTTCCAAACTGCTGTTAATGTTGATACTTTGAGCTCCTCCCATGAATCACTAATGTTCTTAATGGCATCTAGACGGTGATACTTTTCCAGACGTTTACAATATACTTGGCCTAGATCCATCAAAAGAATAATTATCTTTGGCGAATACAGCTTTACAAAATGTATTCATTAAATAATAAGACTTGAAAGCCAAAGTTACTCCTTGTTCTTTGGGCTGAAGAATATATTAGCAGACATGAAAACAACACCAATCTTGTACATCTCCATCAGAGCTCTTGGATGAACAGGTGCGTTGGCAATGGGCAATAAGATTTTAAAAGGATTTTTTTTCCCTGAGGAGTAGTTCTCAATGGCGCACTTAAAATACTCAGTAAGCCATGCTATAAACATATATGCTGTCATCCAGACTATGTTGTTACATTTGCAGAGCACAGGCAGAGTAGATTTAGCGTAATTCTAAAGGGTCCTAGGATTGGTGTAATGGTAAGTGAGCAATGGCTTCAACTTAAAGTCATTAGCTGCATTAGCCTGTAACAAGAGAGTCAGCCTGTCTTTTGAAGATTTAAAGCTAGATACTGACTTTTCCCTAGCCATGAAAGTTCTAGGTTGCATATCCTTAAATACAGGGCTGTTTCATCTACACTGAAAATCTGTTGTTTAGTGTAGTCATCCCATTAATTATCTTTGCTGGATCTTCTAGATAACTTCCTGCAGCTTCTCCATCAGCACTTTCTGCTTCACCTTGTACTTTTATGTTATGGAGATGGCTTCTTTCCTTAAATTCATGAATCAACTTCTTTAGCTTCAGTTTTTTCTTTTTTTCTCACTACTTTCAGATTTCACAGAATAGAAGAGAGTTAGTACTTTGCTCTGGATTAGGCTTAGCTTAAGAGAGTGTTGTGGCTGGTTTGATCTTCTATCTAGATCACTAAAACTTCCTGTATTTCAGTAATAAAGCTGTTTTGCTTTCTTATCATTGGTGTGACAACTGAAGTAGCACTTTTAATTTCCTTCAGAGACTTTTCTTTGCACCCTCAACTTGGCTGTTTGGTGCAACAGGCCTAGCTTTCAGCCTATATCAGCTTTCGGCCTATATCAGCTTTTGACATGCCTTCCTCAATAAGCTTAATCATTTCTAGCTTTTGACTTAAAGTGAGAGATGAACAACACTTCCTTTCACTTGAACACTTAGAATTGTAATGCTATTAATTGGCCTAGTTTTTATATTCTTGGGTCTCAGAGAATAGGGAAGCCCTAGGAGTAAGAGAGACTGGGGAAAAGCCAGTTGGTGAAACAGTCAGAATACTGGCAACATTTATTAACTTTGCTGTCTTATAAGGGGGAGGTTAATGGTACCCCAAAACCACAATAATCTAACATAAGAGATCACCACAGAAGTTGTAATACTAATATAAAAGCTTAACATATTTCAATAATTACCTAAATGTGACATAGAGACATGAAGTGAGCATGGTGTTGGAAAAATGGTTCTGATAGACTAGCTGGATTAAAGGAAGAAACCATCAATTTGTAAAAGAAAAACCACAGTATGTGCAAAGCTCTGTAAAGCAAAGTGTAATAAAACAAGGTAAGCCTGTGTAAGATCTTCATATAAATTATTTGAAACCAGATTGCCTTGGCTCAAATACCAGCTCTTCTACTTTGAATCCAAATGACTTTGAATAATTAATGTAACTTTTCCATGCCTCCATCTGAATTAGAAATGATAACAGTACTTAATTCATAAGGTTGATGTAAGAATATAGTGGATTAATAATGTGGAATGCTTTAGACCTAGAACAATGCATGTCAAATAATACATGTTACATAATGTGAACTATTATTTTCGACATCTATCCAGCTTTTCCATCTGTGTTAACCAGCCATGATTTAAACATTAAAATGAGTTATGTCACCCACCTTCAAACATAAATGCTCAACTACTGTATTTTAATTTTTCACTAAACATACTATTATAATTCTGATACAAGTTTGAAGGACGCTATATAAAAAGGAAATTTGTCAAAATTCTATACTGATTAGTTGATTAGTTTAAGGGGAATTTTAATATTATACAAATATAATTTTAAAATATTTTATAGTTAGGAAATTAACTTACAAAAATCTAAACAATAGGTGAACAGAATAAAGTATAATGAATTGAACCATATTGTTCACTATAATCTTAATTATATCTCCACTCCAAAAGTGATCTGTGAAACCACTGAGTGTCATTCAAGTATCTTCCATAAGAGGGCAGTGGCACATTTCCATACCAATAGGTTTTCAGCTATTTTCATTCATATTATGTCCAAGTAAATTGATGCTAATAATTGGTTGCTTGGAAGGTGTATGTTTATGTAAAATCCTCTTGTTTTTGGTTCTTGTTGTTGTTTTAGTTTTATTTTGTGTACTCTATTATCATGCAATTTTAAAATAAAATGTATTTTATTTCCATTTAGAAATAAAACCTTTATTTAAAAAACATGAGAGACCAACATTATTGATTCCTAAAAACAAAATACAGATAATCATTAAACATTTGTTTTTCTAAATAAAAGCAGGCATCAAGAAAATTGATATAATGTATTGATTTTCTAGTAACAATTCTGGACATTAGTAATATATTTTAAAAACACATTTATTAAAATATAAACAGTTAAAAGATGAATTTGCCAGTTTTTTCATCATTGCTTAGGCATATATTATGTGTCTATATATGTGTGTGTGTATTAGTGTGTGTATAATGCCATGAATCAACTTTGAAAATAATAGAATCTCTTTGTAATAGGCAGGCTAACATAATCAATATATTCACATCATTATGAATACTATGCTAAAATTATGCAAGATTTTTATTGTTGTGAATTTATATGTTTCTTAAGAAAAAATCTTCAGATAGTTTAATGGTAACTGTATAGCATATGATTCTGATTTGGAAGATACATAAATTATTGTAGGAAAAAATCTTAAGAGTGCTAATGCTAATATTAACATCAATTGAACCTGATAGCAACAACAATACTACCCCAAATATATTTCAGCAACAACTAACGTTTCTTGTTGAAGTGATTACTACATGCCAGATAAAACTCATGCCAAGAACTTTAAGTTCTGATCTCATTTGTTCTTTACAACATCTGTATGAGTTAGCTGTCTTTGTAATATGAGCTCCATTTTATATTTGAGAATTAAAATCCATCACCCAAGTTCATAATGCTAATAAATGGCAGAATCAAATCTCAAAAAGTCTAAGATCTTAACCAGTTTACTGGAATAAAGCATCAAAAATTTGACACATTGAAAAAATAAAACATTATAAAAACTAGGTAGTCAATTTTCTTATATTTTTACGTGGGACTTGTGTGGCCCTCTGTGGCCCTGTGTGAAAAGGCCAGTTGTAAAGGGTAGTTGCATTTGAGCTAAGACCTCAAGGGTGAAATTGAACTAGTTGAAAGACATGGTGAGATTATCTCCTTCTTCGTTTTTCTTTTCTTTTTTCCCCCTCCATAGGTGTTGAGCTATTACCAAGACTGCTGTAAGATTGCTACATACGATATAAGAGGATGAAGAAAATAAGCAAACAAGGAATAAGGAAATAAGGAAGCTAAGTTTCACACTGTTAAAAAATGGAGTTACAGACATGGAAATGGAATGGCTAGAATTTGAAGTAGCAGTGTGAAATCATGATTTTCAAGAATAAATTATATATAAGTTGATATTAAAATAGATATGCATGTATGAGTTTGTACGTGTGTGTGTATATATAGATATACACACACATATATGTGTATGTGTGCATGTGTGTGTGTACATATATATATATATACACATATATTTCCCAAATCTCTCCACCGACCAGCCAATATATAGTGACGCTTCATTTGAAATGAGCACATTAGCACATTGGTCTTGGTTCATAAATATAATTATTCACTAAAATGAAGCAAGATTCTTTGAAGAAGTGGCTCACTCCAAGGCTTGGGCAAGGAAATACAGGATGAGCCGGGAACCACTTGGGCTTGGAGTAAGAATGTGCTCAAAGAATAATGTAGGTGTGTCAAAAAGATACAGCAACAACATTGAACAGGCTTCTACTTAACAAATATAAGATAATTTGAGTGTCAAAATAACTGTAGTAACAATGTCAACATTTTGAGTAGGACAGAAATCCAAAATCCATAAATAAATAAATAAATGATAACTGAATAATTATTAAATGGAAGAGAGGGCAAGTTCTACTTAAGTAGACTGCTGACTAATAAGTGCAAAAGAAATGCTGGAATTGGATAATCAGCATTTGGCAATCATCATAGCAATAATTCATGCATGAATCATAAATGGATGCAAATTGGTGGGTGAAATTTTGATGAGGAACAGGACAGTTACAAAGTGTCAGAGTATATTTCTACAAAATGCTTAAACTTATGTATTAATTAATGCATATATTAGTTAATTCTACAGTGGAGAAACCTGGCACTATCTTAACAAAATGATAAAAGTTAACATCATCAGTAAAATGACAGTTAGCCGTTGTGTACTTTCTGATACAATGTAACGAGAATACAAATCAATATAAAACACTATGCAAAGCAACTAGCCTGCATTCTTCATATCTCTCAAAACCATGAAATACAAGGAGAGCCTGAGCAACTGTTCCAGTCTTAAAAGGCTAATGAAACATGATAGTTAAATGTATTATACAATATTGGATTGGATTCTTGTCCTTAGAAGCATATTACAAGGACAATCAAGGAGATTTGAATACGGTGTGCGGATAAGATAATGATATTTAATCAATATTTGATCAATGATAATTTCATGATTGTGATTCTTTTGCTGTGGTTATTGATGCAAGTGTCCTAATCTAGAAAAAGTGTTTCTGGGAGTTCTTAATACTAGCCGACAACATTTATGTGAATTCAAAAATTATTTCAAAATACATTTATTTTTATTAAAAAAAAACACCAGTGGGCCAGTCGTGGTGGCTCACGCCTGTAATCCCAGCACATTGGGAGGCCGAGGCGGGTGGATCACCTGAGGTCAGGAGTTCAAGACCAGCCTGGCCAACATGGTGAAACCCCGTCTCTACTAAAAATATGTAAATTATTTTTATTTATTTATTTATTTTATTATACCTTAAGTTCTAGGGTACATGTGCATAACTTGCAGGTTTGTTACATATGTACACATGTGCCATGTTGGTGTGCTACACCCATTAACTCATCATTTACATTAGGTATTTCTCTTAATGCTATCCCTCACCCTTCCCCTACCCCACGACTGGCATGGTGGCGGGTGCCTGTAGTCCCAGCTACTCAGGAGGCTGAGGCAGGAGAATCGCTTGAACCCTGGAGGCGGAGGTTGCAGTGAGCCGAGATTGCACCATTGCACTCCAGCCTGGGCAACAAGAGCGAAACTCTGTCTCAAAAAACAAAACAAAACAAAACAAAACAAAACAAAAGGAAACACCAGTGATTTTACCAGGGAGAGAACTGAAAATGCCAAGATGCTAACACAAAGGAAGGAGGTTGATACAGAAGGGCAGAGTGGCTGCAGCATAGGAAGGGAAAGGGTGCAGTATTATGAGATAATGCTTGAGAGATGTGCAGGAGCCCTGTCTTGCAGGACTTGAGTGGCCAAAGGCATATGGATGTTGTCATTTAAAAAAGTGGAAGCCCTGAAAGTTTAAAATCAGGTGATCGGTATGATCCTGATTTTTTTAAAAACTGTCCTGTCCATGCTGAGTTTAAATTGGCTTGGTGGTGGTCGTGGGATGGGGAGAAAAATGTATAGAAGCAAGGGTGAGGAGGCAGGCCCATGGCGATTATGGATGACTCTGAGCTTCTCTATAAAATCAGGGAGCATGTAAATTATACTCTTTGCTATGTCCCAAAGTACATGCATAGCATAGGGTCTTGCCTGTATGAAATATTTTGTGTATGTTATATATTAATTAACTGGAGATTTTTATATCATTTAAAAAATAATTAGAAGAGTGAAAAGAATTATAGAATAATGCTTCCATAGGGAAAGTTTTAGGATGAAATTATGCAATCCTGTACCGAAAAACAGTTTTAAGTGCTAATATAAGCTATCAATCCTATTACTGCTATTATTCTATCACATTTTAGATAACTTAATAACAGTTCCACAATGGTTCTAAACGCCTACCATTCAATGATGGTTCATATAAATACAACATTGTAGCATTAAAGCTAATTTTAGACATAATTATTAGATTCCTTAAACGATACTGATTTTCAGCATTTTCTGACAAATGTTCATCTGATCCATCTCTAAGTATCCCTGGGACTAGGAAATCTTTGTATTAATTTCGAAGAAAAATAAACAAATATTGATCTATTTGCCTTTTCTGCTTATTCCTTCTGCTTCATCTATCTTCATTATGCCATTTATGAAGGAAAAGTATGGGATTGAATGGTTTATCGTGCATAGGTGACCACAGATTAATGTAATACAGGGAAAAGATTTAAATGAATAACAAGTAGCTTCCCAAAACCATTATAAGGGCTGAGAAAGGCACTTTTAGGAAATTGAGAAATGGAAATAGAGCAGAAAAGTAGTTGCCAGTGACCTCAGCTGCCTGCAGTACGAGGGTGGGTCATTTTCTGAAGGATCCCAGAAAGCCTCAGGGAGCCTCTACTAATGATCTCAAGTCATAGAATACTAATGTGGGACTCCTCAGGTGGAATTCCTGTCCAAAATACCCTTCATCTGCTGCTTGCCTGCAGATGCCCTCACACTTGCCCACAGCTGTCGCAGAATACTCCTTCTCATCTCCTACCTCCCAAACTTATATGAGTGTTTCTCACGGCCCTACTGACAGGGGATTAGGGAAATGGGGCCTTTAGCTTTCTTCCCCTGCAGTTTTGGGGAGAGATTTGAAGGATAGGGATGATACTGAGAATTAGCAAACAATGTCTAATACAGGTGGATTGGTGTTATTTCTTCTTTAAGCTCAGTATCCAAATTAATGGCTATTATTCAGCAACTGTCATTCTAGTCAGGTGAAGATAAATGTTTTATCTTTAGTTCTTCAAAAATCCTCATATCAATATAATAAAAAGCAAAGTGAGAAATTTGGGAACCTCTGTACAGGATTACTCAGAAGATTTTTATCAGGTTGGCAAAATTAATTGAGTCACTTTTTGGTTATATTTTGGCACACATGTATCAGGAAATGGGAATTTCAAACCCAAAGACATCAGTGTATTTGATCATTTAGTTCAGAAAACATCACTTGGTTTAATGACAATTTAATTAGTCTGGTAGACAACTTTTATTCAGTTGGCAAATACTTTTTTGAGCATTTAAATGTGCCAAAACACTCTTAGATTTTGGGGACAAAAATATGACTAGTCAGTATTCTTTTTTGATTACATATTCTATATGCCTCTAGTTTTGTGTCAAAAGTCTCAGCTGGTTGAAGTTCTTTACCTGGTAGTGATCTCAACCTTCATTTCTGAAAGGTCTGAATCATGAGTGGACCTGCCTCATCTGTTGTATGGTTGCTTGTTGGTTTTTTCATTTGTTTTGCACTTTGCTCCAACTTTTCATTGAAGACTTTTTTTTTTTTTTTTTTTTTTTTTTTTTTTTTTTTTTTTTTTTTTTTTAGATTAACCTTTACCAATTGGAATGGAAGAATGAGAAGAGCCCCTAGAGAATTCCATAGGTTTTAGAGCCTTTCTTGCTCCCCTGTGGAGTAGCAACCTCATCTTATATTAGTTAGGATCTATCACCCTGGCCAGTGTACTATCTTCTTTGCATCTTGTTTCAACAGCGTGAGGAGTGCAAAATGGCCAAGTGCAAGATGGGTAGGTGCAGTTTAACTTCCAATGCTATGAAAGAGCTGGCACACTGCAACAGGTTCATATGGACTCCTCAGAATCACTGATGTGCACCATTTCCCAACTCTGTTTTTAGTGACATCACCTTGGCATCTTGAAATTGGCATTTGTGGGAATATTTATCCCCACAGAATTCAGCCAATGCTACAAATCAGGACATAATATCAACTATGACTTTATGGCTGGTTACAAAAACAAGTACTAGAGCAGCTAAGCCTGTTTCTCCTAGCATGTTGTGATGTAGTGTGTGTGTGTGTGTGTGTGTGTGTGTGTGTACCAGTTACTTTGTATCCCACTCTTATCCTTATCATATTAAGGATTGTCATGGGTAGTCAATTTTATAATTTAGTCTTTAAATTACAGTATTTTCAGGTGGGGATTAATGGATAATATCCAGAGATGGATTCTATGACTGTTTAGATTTTATCTGACTTTTTTAGGGAGTAGATGAGAACATCTTCATGTGTATAAAAGATATTTGAATACTTTGAGGCAAAAGCATAAAATTGTTTTTATTGTTATATGGACATTTTAATATATGCAGAAAGGTGTGTACAAGTGATTAGTAGCAGAAGGGATTTATCATGTTGGTCATTTTTCTCTTATCTCCAAACCTACACTTGTTATCTGCTCTGTGATGCTAGTGTTATTCCTGACAGTGCTGTCCCAGTAATAACTTTCTTCACCAAACAGACTTATTACGTCTCTTTAGAGGGACTAGTTCCTGAAGGGTAGAGCCCTCTCTTTAGAGATCTGAGTTGCATCTTTGCAAAGCATGGATCTGAGCTCCTGAGGTACCAGCACCAGCCAAGCAGCATCTTCATTCCAACGCCTAGGTCCTAGGCTCAGCTGAGTTCCTTTCCCTGGCTCCTAAAATATTAGCACTACTTGGTCTTCCTCCTTTCTAAGGAGACTAAGCCTTAACTCTACAGGGTTCCTCTTTCAAACTTCTAAGTTCTAATACCTTCAACTTCTTCCCTTTTCCTCCATCTGAAAGGATGGTGGCTGCTTCTTTCCTTTACTCTCTTTGTGATACCTATTTATTTATTCAGAGACGGAGTCTTGCTCTGTTGTCCAGGCTGGTGTGGGTGGCACAATTTTGGCTCACTGCAACCTCTGCCTCCCGGGTTCAAGTGATTCTCCTGCCTCAGCCTTCTGAGTAGCTGAGATTACAGGCACGTGCAACCACGCCCAGCTAACTTTTGTATTTCTAGTAGAGACGAGGTTTCACCATGTTGGTCAGGCTGGTCTTGAACTCCTGACTTCGTGATCCCAAAGTGCTGAGATTACAGGCGTGAGCCACTGCGCCCGGCCTGTGATACCTTTTATTTTTAAATATTCTAGGCCCACCAATACCTCTTTAACAAATTACCTATATTAAATTATATCTATTAAAATAACTAGTATGGTTTCTGTTCTTTAAAATAGACTTTATTAATGTAATCACCATCAACCAACACAGCTCTGAAAAAATGTCGGACATACAAAGGTGAAAGTCTCTTTGTTAATTTTTACTTCATCATTCCTTCACTGTTGCAAAATGGAAAATCAAGGTATTACTTCTACATAATATGCATCTTTCTGTTTTATGTTTGTTGTGTGTTCACAGGAATCTTGGATGGTGACCAGAGTGAATAGTGATTTTTTAAAAATTAAAAAAATCTGTGATTGTACAAATCTCAACATAATGAGACTTGATGGAATAGAGGAGAAAAATTATAGAAGTAAACAAATTGGAGAAACAGATAATTAAGGGAAGAAGATGAAGGGATGGAATAGACAAAAAAGGAGATTAAACAAAGACAATATCCCTGGATTTTTAAAATAATTTCAAAACAGTTTTGCAGAACAACATAAAATGAGATTTAAAAAATATTTGCCGTACTACCATATGTTAGACTCACCACTTCATAAAGAAAAGACATTGGAATACAAAATGGAGGAAGAATATACTGTCAGAATTGAAGCCAACCCTTTCAAAGAAGAGGCAGTTGGCAACGTATTAGCGGACACAGACACATGTAGAAATACACAGATATTCCTCGAGGATCATTCTCTGCTACTATATTTGGGAGAGAAGGTAGTTATATCTTCAACTAGATTGTTTGGAAGCAGATATTTAAAGTGTTCTTTCCCAATTCTCTCACTTCTAAAATGGAACTCACGGCAACTTCTTTGCTGATTATGGTCTAAAGCTTCAGGACCATTGCCCTCCCCAGTATATGTGACAATGTTTCAACAGAGGTGTTGCTATACAAAAGGCCAGACTTCACTTGGGGACTCGAGGCAGGGGTGGGGGGCATTTAAAAGGGTCACTGTTTTAGATCTAGCTAAAATCAGAGATGACACTATTTTCTGGGCTAAAACTCAATGTTTTTTGTGTAATTTTCAGAAATACATAAGGAAGAGAGAAGGTAACAATAAACAAACCCCCTTGCACCCTTATTCATCCAACTGGAATAATTATAAATGATTTACCAATCTTGTTTAGTATATTCTGTAACTTTTTTCTAGAATATTTTAAAGCAAATATCAGACATCATGTAATTTTAGTTTGATTCTTCTGTAAGAAACAAAAATGACACAGAGGCAGAGACCAATCTACTATGCGTTTTAATTATTTACCCCAAACCAGCATTAAACACATTCAGTTTCTATCCCCACAGGTTTCATCGCTTAGTTCTAATTAGAATGACTCCTTTTCTTCTTCCTCCTTTTCTAAATCTCTGAGAAGTTCTGGGCTTCCCAGAGGGGGAAATTCTGATATGGCTTACAACCAGGTGACTGTTGCAAAGTAAAGAGGAATTTGGCCACTTTTATGACTTCCACTTGGGCAGAAACAATGGGTCATGGGAACAGGCAATTACAATTCTATCACCTCATTTGAGATGGGTTCAATGAACAGGTGGTCCCTTCCTATTTTCTAAAAACAACACTAAAATAGCAATGAATCTTACATGTTACTTCCATTATGGTTAATTTTATCTTCTTTGAGGAAAAGTTCATGCAGATTTTAAGGTCCGTTGTTGACAATCAAAAGTTCCTAATCCCACCTATACCCCTAGAGAATAAGGGAAAAAATGTCTTTCCTTTTATGATGAGTGTTAGGGAAATTCCCATGCTATTAAAAACCATTAAACCAAAGGATTTTCAGACTAATCCAGGCCCCCATGAGAAGACTCCCCAGAACCTAGCCCTGCTACCCTACATGAAGGCCTTCTCTGTTCTCTATCTCCTGACAATACTTTCCCGTAAGCTATCACAGTTTCATTTTTCCCTCTTGGAAAACTCCACTGAAAACTGAAGAGTCCAGCCTTATTTTATAATCAGTTCTTTCCTTCCATTAATACAATCTGGGAGACATAATAAATGGACCTCAGTAAATATCATAGGTCTAAGTCATTCTGTTTATAATAAACTGCCTAAGAAAGGTAGAGGAGGCTTAAACAGAACTGTCTGTATGAGACCTGGGACTTCAGGTGTAGCTCACAGGTCTGGAATCAGATTTTGGTACTCCAAGTTTCAAATAATAATTTGTCAATATGGCCCGTATTCATATTAAATACACTATGTATCTATAGGGTACCTTGCCTTCCATGTAACACCAAAGTGTTACAACTCACCCTTGTGTTCCTCTCCCTAATTCCAAAACCATACCCAAAGGGTTATGAGCCAGTGAGAAACTGTGGTAATTGCTGTGCATTTTCCAAGCATCTGTCCCTTGCAGATACCTTCTTCTAGTAAAAGTTCTTTCATAAAACTAAATACCATATTTACTTACCTTAGATTAGACAGAAGCAAATAGATGGAAGTGAAAAGGGTGATAAAGATTCATTATCCTCCTGTCCACAGCAATCAGTTCTCCAGGAGGCTGAGAACTAGTTATACACTCACTGCATTATCCTTATTTTCTCATGTTATTGTGGATCAGAGAAGACTTCCTCTCAGTCTGAGGAAAGGATACAAGATTTGCCCCAATATTTAAAATGATGATATGATAAATGTTAATTATGGAATATAAAGTTATTCAATAAACATGAATTTATTCATTTACAACAATAGTTTTCAAACTTTACTGTGATTCAAACAACTTACATTGCTCATTTGAATAATAGCTTCTGAGCTCTCAGAAATTCTAATTTAATATATCTGGAAGGGGTTCAGTGACCAGCATTTTTTTTTAAACAAATAACTTTGGGGATCTTGATGCAAATGATTTTTGTCACTTACTATAGGAAATATTATTCCATAGAGTATATTAAATAAACTTTAGTAATTGAGAAGAAGAAAAAAAAAAGTAGTGAGTATATTCCATACTGTACTAACTTAGGTGCACAAACTATTTTACTCTACCAGATGCCCTTAACTCTGTCCTACTGTGAAACACCTGGATCTAAATAATCCGACTTCCTTAGACCCAACACAGAGTCTTTGGCTAATTCTTTCCCCTGCATGGGCACTTTCCTTGCTTCCTTTTACCCCAATAGTTTGAAAGCTACTGTAAAACATAAATTCATGTTTATTAATGACCTGTCAATAATTAACATTTATCATATCATCATGGATACTTCCTTTCACCTACTCACAGTCCGTTTACATTCAATGAACTCAAATTTTTATGTGAGAGAAAAGGAAAGTATTTCGCTTTGCTTCTGAGGAAGGGGTGCCCAAGGACATGATTTGATAAAAAGGGAAGGAAAAATATTAACAAGAATGAAAGCACATAAATTATTAACTTAATGAATTATCTTACCACATGAATAAGGCAATTGGTGTAGACATCCTTGATTATTATGACAATATTCATACCATTTACGATTTGCATTTGGTCTATTTTTGAAATTTCTTTCTAATTGTGAAAGTAATTCAGAAACATTATGTAAATTTACAAAATACTGAAAAGTTACAAAAGTAAATAAAGTAACACAGAAATCCACCAATCAGAATTTAATTGGGAACACTTTTAAAGAGGCTTACTCTAAATAGGCCTAAAATCTCTTCACCAAACACTTTATTCCTGTATTTCTCAAGTAGATTCCCAAAATAGTCATAGATAAAGCAATGTCATAGGAAAGACTGGTAAGAATAAACATGACATAATGGAGTGTGGAAAATAGTAATTGCAGAAATATTTACTTGGGATTTTATTCTTGTCTAAAAAAAATTCTGTTTACTGCTGACACTGGCATGAGTGCCCAGTTACACTTTGTAGTCAATATGGTTGATCTCTGAGATAATACATAGCCTTAAGCAAGTTAGACTGATTCATTTATAGAAAAAAAATCTAATTTATTTGAATATTCAAGTAGTTCCACACTCAAATATAATATTTATAGATTTTTATGGAATTGTTACATATAACCAGTTATTTTTTATTTTTATGTTTTATTTTATTATCTCTTTAACATAATCTTATATATTTGCATCTTTTGACATAGATTATAAATCCTCATATCTAGATTAGGGGATCATCCAAGTCTGTTGGGATCTTTAAAAAAAAAACTCCACTTCTAGAGCTCTATCAACTCAGAATCTTCAGGGATTAACATTTGAATTCTGTAGTTTTCATTAAATAGTATGAGAAATTCTAGTGTGTGGTCAATTTTGGGAACTAGTGAAATAGGATGAAAAGATGTGAGTGTTATCAAAAAGTTGTTTTCCTTTAGAAACAGTTTTCAAAATATTTGAACTTCTTTCACAATTTTTCCCCAGACAATAGTCTCTAAATTGTCAGTGATTCAAATGTATATATTTTGGTCTTGCAATAGCTCCATTCTGAAGAAACATTTGATATAATCGAGAGTTGCTAAAAATAAATCAGTGAATTTCTTATCTCTACAACTCCCACAGTACTCAAGAAAATAGGCATAATCCGGATTTCTCTTTTTCTGAGATAATTCAGTGAAAGTTTTTTGGCATATATTATTCAAACTAATTTCATACACTATTAAAAACCTTGAGTTTATTTTAACTTCTGCTATAATGACTGTGTATTAGAATCTGATGGTTCTAGTTAAAATTAGGGCAATTTAATTTAACTATAAGGAACAATTTCTTTGGTCTTAAAAATGGAGGCACAAAGACATTCCGTCTTGGATACTAGGTATGTCAATAAATCCAATTACTGATATTGTGTATTCTCTTCATCCATTCTTCTATGCTCCTCAAACCACTGGATCTTTAGAAAATGTACAAAGGGCTAGAGAAGATAATTATTTCTGGAAAGCACATACCTAGATGGAAGATAGCTTAGTTAATGTTTAAAGAATATGAAGAACAATCCTAAAGATTTTGACCTTTTGATGAGTACTCCTAAAGAGTTTGGATTTCTGAGGAGCTGTCCTAAAGATTTTGACCTTCTGAACTAACAAAATTATAGTGAGGTTGAAATATATTTCAAATAAAAGTTATCTTAAAAAGTAGAAAAAATATATGAATTGTCTTTAACACTTTTTACATGCAATATATTTTATCTGACAGCTTTAAGCTTTTGGATTTAAAAGGTGCAGGCCAGTTTTTTTTTTTTTTTTTTTTTTTTTTTTAAAGTTCGTTACAGCATTGTGATGCTTCCTCCAAATTATTTTACTTATTTTTATCTCCTGAACTAATTACTCATTTTGCTATTTTTTATTCAGCTAATAATCTTTTCTCATTAAAGTTGACCTTACCAAAAAGTGATAATCTCTAGTGTACCATGTTAAATCAGGCTTTTAGAGTTTATTTATATATGTGAAACCCTAAATAATTTCCTTTCAATTTTTTTAATTAAAATATTTTGTTTCAATTATAGACTGTTATTTATTATTTAAAATGCATATGTGGAGAAAGAAATTTTGAGCCATAAGTGTATCCCACATGTCTACTCATTAGAAGCAGAGAGAGAAAGAAAACAATATGAGAAAAAAATTACACAGTTTGCCAGACCCTAAAAAATACGCTCCTCTCCCAAATTTTCCCTATATTAATTTGAACATTTTCTAATTTTGAACATGTAGAAGATCCCACGTGTATTTACAAGCTAGGAGAGGGGATATATTAGTCCGCTCTCACACTGCAATGAAGAAATACCCAAGACTGTGTAATTTGTAAAGAAAAGAGCTTTAATTGCCTCACAGTTCTACATTGTTGGGAAGGCCTCAGGAAACATATACTTATGGTGGAAGGCAAAGAGAAGCAGGCACCTTCTTCACAGGGTGGCAGGACAGAGTGAGTGCAAGCAGGGGAAATGCCAAATGCATACAAAACCATCAGATCTCATGAGACTTACTCATTATCAGGAGAACAGCATGGGGCAAACTGACCCCAGGATCCAATTACCTCCACCTGGTCCCACCCTTGACACGTGGGGATTATGGGGATTACAATTCAGGATGAGATTTTGGGTAGGAACATAGTCAAACCATATCATTCCATCCCTGGCCTCTCCCAAATCTTGTGTCCTCACATTTTAAAACACAGTCATGGCTTTCCAACAGTCCTCCAGAGTCTTAACTCATTCCAGCATTAACCCAAAAGTCTAATTCCAAAGTCTCACCTGAGACAAGGCAAGTCCTGTCTGCCTTTGACCCTGTAAAATCAAAAGCAAGTTAGTTACTTTCAAGATACAATGGGGGTACAGGCATTGGGTAAATAAACCTGTTCCAAATAGAAGAAACTGGCCAAAACAAATGGGCTACAGGCGCCATGCAAGTCCCAAATCCAATAGGGCAGACATTAAGCCTTAAAGTTCCAAAATGATCTCCTTTGACACTAGGTCTCACATCCAGGTCATGCTGATGCAAGAGGTGGGCTCCCATGGCCTTGGACAACTCCGGCCCTGTGGCTTTGCAGGGTACAGCCCCTCTCCTAGATGCTTTCACAAGCTGGCACCAAGTGTCTGCAGCTTTTCCAGCCACATGGTGCAAGCTGTTGGTGGATCTACTGTTCTGAGAATGGGAGAATAGTGGCCCTCTTCTCACAGTTCCACTATGCAGTGTCCCAGTGGGTATTCTGTGTGGGGGCTACAACCTGATATATCCCTTCTGCACTACACTAGTAGAGGCTCTTCATGACAGCTCTGCCCCTGCAGCAAACTTCTGCCTGGACATGCAGGCATTTCCATACATCCCCTTAAATCTAGATGGAGGTTCCTAACCTCAATTCCTGACTTCTGTATATCTGCAGGCTCAACACTACATGGAAATTGCCAAGGCTTGGGACTTGCACCTTCGGAAGCAATAGCCCAGGCTGTACCTTGACCCCTTTTAGCCATGCTTGGAGGTGAAGCAGCTGGGACACAGGGGACCATGTCCCAAGGCTGCATAGAGCAGGATGCCCTGGGCCCAGCACACAAAACCATTTTTCCCTCCTAGGCCTCTGGGCCTGGATGGGAGGCACTGCCATGAAGGTATCTAACATGCCCTGGAGATGTTTTCCTCATTGTCTTGGTGATTAACATTTCTGCAGTGGGCTTGAATTTCTCCCCAGAATTTTTTTTCTATCACATCGTCATGCTGCAAATTTTCATAATTTGTATGCTCTGCTTCCTTTTGAACACTTTTCTGCTTAGAATTTCTTCTACCAGATACCCCAAATCATCTCTCTCAGGTTCAAAGTTACACAGATCCCTAGGGCAGGTGCTAAATGCCGCCAGTCTGTTTGCTAAAGTATAGCAAGAGTTCCCAACAAGTTACTCAACTCCATTTGAGACCACCTCAGCCTGGACTTCATTGCCCATATCAGTATTAGCATTTTGGTCAAAGCCATTCAACAAGTCTCTAGGAAGTTCCAAATTTTCCCAAATCTTTCTGTCTTCTGACCCCTACAGTGGTTTCAATCTCTACCTATTACCCAGTCCCAAAGTTGTTTCCACATTCTCAGGTAACTTATA
The DNA here is from genome assembly GCF_000001405.40 of Homo sapiens. Lineage (NCBI taxonomy): Eukaryota > Metazoa > Chordata > Mammalia > Primates > Hominidae > Homo > Homo sapiens. Next base: position 84,828,115 of record NC_000012.12, on the reverse strand, counting down.
GCAATGCCCCACTATCTCGGTACCAATTTACTGTATTAGTCCATTCGTATACTACTATGAAGAAATACCTGAGACTGGGTAATTTATAAAGGAAAGAGGTTTAATTGACTCACAGTTCCACATTGTTGGGGAGGCCTCAGGAAACTTAAAATCATGGTGGAAGGCAAAAAAGAAGCAGGCACCTTCTTCACAGGGTGGCAGGACAGAGTGAGTGCAAGAAGGGGAAATGCCAGACACTTATAAAACCATCAGATATTGTGAGAAACATTCATTTTCATGAGAACAGCATGGGGCAAACTGTCTCCATAATCCAGTTACCTCCACCTGGTCCTGCTCACAACATGTGGGGATTATGGAGTTTATGGGGATTACAATTCAAGATGAGATTTTGGGTAGGGACATAGCCAAACTATATCAGGAGAAAAGTTTAATTTCAAGACTTCTCCATAGAAACTTAAAAAAAAGTTTCAACAAAGAATTAACAAATAATTGTATTATTATGGTATCAAATTACACAGAATTATCATGAAGGATTTCTGGTCACATAAACTGTTTTACAAATTGTTTCCAGGCTATAAAATATGGGTGAGAAAGAAAACAGATTTACATAAGAAGTTCGATGAAGTGTTTCTGTTGGGAAGGAGATTATTTTATTTCCTTGATCTGCAATTACTTTCATCTAAGAAATAGATTTGAAATACCTGGGCATATGTACAAAGACTGAGTGTAAAGTAATAGAGAGTTGAGAAAAAGAGCTAGAGAAATGCATCTCAAACTTGAGTATGCATATGAATCAACTGAGGAGTTTGTTAAAATATAGGTTCTGATTTCATAGTTTTCTGATGAAGCCTGAGTTTCTCATTTCTAACAAGCTCCCAGATGATGCTGATATTGCTGGACCACAGACCGCACACTGAGTAGCTAGCATCTAGAGCAGTGAGTCCTATATGTGACAGCCCATCAGAGTCACCTGAGGGAGGTTTCACACCAAAAGAGAAGCCTGTGTCTAAACCTAGTTCTGAATTAGGTTCACTCAAGTGGGCCTCTGACATGTGTGGTTAATAAGCTCCATCAGTGAGGATGAGTCCCAGCCAGGGTGGTGAACCACTGACTTAGACAAATTATTTTCTCTGCTGAGAGTGCACATAGGTATAGGTGCATGTTGGAGACATATGTGCATGAAGATTTGGGGTAGAAGTGTTTTGTAAGATCAAGAGAGAAAAGGAAGGGGTTTTCATTCTGAGCAGGTGCCCCTCCTCCCTTCAAAGCTTCTTTTCTATAAAGTGAAGCAGCGCTGAATTTTGAGGCAAAATAGTTTGACATATAGCTACAGACACATCATTTAGAGTCAAACCTGGAGACCTTACAATGTCCAGTAGGGTTCCACATGACCTGGATTCCCATTGCCTCTCTGCAATCTATCCCCTTCCTAACCCTACTGCAGACATACTGGCCTCTTTGCTGTTTCTGATCATCTCCAAGCAAACTACCTCAAGATTCTGCACTAGATGTTGCCTCTGCCTGGAATATGCTTATTCCAAATATCCTATGGCTAGATCTCTTACCTCCTTAAAATCTTTGCTCAAATATTATCTCTCCCCTAAAACTTCCTGATCCCTATTTAAATGGCAGCTTTCCACCAGCTCTTAGGATCCCAAATATCTGTTATCACCTTTAAATGGCACATATCACACTCTCTTATATTAGTTATTTATTATGTTTACTGATCATATTTTTGGTTTTCACTCCTCCATCATCATTGGAAGGTAGTGATGGTAGGGATATTTGTCTATTCACAATTATTGGCAAATTTCTTAGAAACCCTCATCTCCTATAGTATGTTTCATAAATAAAATAATGCATACAAACACAATTGTTATTTCAGACAGGTCTTCTTTGACAGTTTCAGTAAAAATAAGAGCCCACTTTCAAACTTCTTTCCTGTCCTGATCACTCTTTGTTATATTATTATATTATATTATTATATATTCCTTATGTACTCTCTTTCCATATACACATACACATATATAATCTTAATTTTTTTAGTTTATTATTAGAATATATAATCTTTAAGGAGAACGGCATTTTCTCAGAGATATCTAGTAAGCAATTATAACAGCTCCTAATACAGAGTATATAAGAAAGAAATATTTGTTGACTCTTTTTGTTAAAGTGGGGTTATAAAGATATTTTATCTTTTCTGCATTTCTATAACACGATAAGTAATTTCTGTCTTACATTTCTCTGTATAGAAAAACATTGTCTTGTGTTGATGGCTGATTTAATGCACTTTTATTCAAGTGATCAAGGGTAAAGAAGTCAGTTAGACATTTTTTCTCACGTATGCTATGATTCTTTCACTGTGGAAAGTTTAGAATATAATTGTGTCCAGTTGATTTGCTTGCCAAAATGCACCTAGGTATTTGGATATTCCCTCCCTCTCCATACCATTTTCTTGGCTCCAAAAGACACATACTCAGAATTCTACTAATGACGGATTGGCACTGTGAAGGGTCTGCCTCAGCCCAAGGCAAATTCACACAGCTGGCTAAAGTAATCACTTGGTGGGATGCTGTTTTTCTACTTAAATATACTTGTGGTCTATCGAAAGTTCACTGTTGCATTGTTGTTTACTTTTGATCCAGCAGGGCCTACATTTTCCAGGGTACAGCACTTCAGCCATGCTGTAGCTGTAGAAGCTGTCCACAGTGGCGTAGCCTGCATGAGGCAATAATACCCAGATTTGCTAAACAGACTTGAAGTTGTTGTTTATGTGATTTTTTCTGACCTAGGTCACCCAGGTGTGTTGATTTATTTGCATAGTTTGTAGCACAGGAGACCATACTTGAAGTTCCAAAAATAGCTGTGCATTTTTTGTTCCTCTTGATCTAGCTACAAACACAAGTATGTATAGGCAAGAAAAATAATCCTCAATTTCAACTTCAAAATCCAATAGCATTATTTTCTAAAACTAAGATAATGGTGAAAATCAAAGTAATAATTTCAGAGTTGACAAGGCAGGTGCTGAATGCAAATCATATTAGATATTTTGCTAAGCCTCTTGCCTAACAATTAGTAGTCACTTTATTTACACATTCATTTTAAAATTCATTCAAAATAGTTACTGAAACCTATAACATACGCAATGTTGTGGAGGATACTTAGAGAAGAAAGCTTCAACAATCTTAATTATCAAAATGTGAAAAAAAAGTAGAAGAAAGGACCATGGTTGTACTGATTATAATGATTTTAAATGCTGTTAATTAAACAAATGTTTATTAAGATACCTATTTTATGCTCAAAATATATCACCTTCAAATATACATAGATATACATATATCATTATTAGTTGGTCTAACCAATTACTAGCTGCATATTGTGTAAAGATGAATTTGATGTTTGGATTTAGAAAAATCTTAGAACATTATGAAAAGGAAATGCTGTAAAATCACACTCTCTAGCACTATTTCTTTGCAAAGTGAGAGTAAATAATGAAAAAAAGAGAAAGGAAAGAATTAATATTTGCACTCCCATGTTCATTGAAGCATAATTCACAATAGTCAAGATGTGGAAACAACCTAAATGTCCATCAGTGGATTAATAGATAAAGAAAATGTGGTATACATATATAATGAAATATTATTTAACCTTAAAAAGGAAGGAAATCCTGAAATATGCAACAATATGGATGAACTTGGAGGATATCATGCTAAGTAAAATAAGCTAGTCATCAAAGAACGCATACTGTATTTTTCCACTTATACAAAGTATGTAAAATAGCCAAACTCATGGAAGCAGAAAGTAGAATGGTGGTGGCCCAGGGATGAGGGAAGGGGAAATGAAAAGCTATTCAGCAGATGTAAAGTTTCAGTTACACAAGATGAGTAAGTTTTAGAGATTTGCCGTACAACATCATGGCTATAGCTAGCAATACTCTATTGTACACTTAAAATTTGTTAAAAAGGCATATCTCATGTTGCATGTTCTTATTACAATTTTTTAAACGTACTCTATTTGTAATCTATTCTTCTTTCTCTTTTACATGTAATCATAAAGGATTTTTGCACTATTTTGATTTACACTGAATTGTGTAGAAATGCCACTACTGTATATATCAAGAGAAAATTGCATACTCTTCTGTTTGGGAACTTACCAAGAGTATTTCACGTTGTGGGAAATAAAATAAATAATAGTAATGCCAATTAATAATATTTACGTCCACAGTATAATACACAGAATGAATAAGCATACATGGCAGTGAATCCACTGTAATTTTATATACAGGCACAACCTTTTCGCCACTTCATATAGTGTAGTGCAGACCTGCTGGGGCAGGAAAAGAAAGCAGTGTTTTATTATAAATTATTTTATTTTTATTTATTAAATGCCAAATTCCCAAATTGGCATTAGACATATTAGAGAGATTATTTTTTAATTAGTCATAGGCAGGTAATTATTTAATATATGAATTTAATTTCAGGAAAGTAAATAAATGTTAGAAAATTATAAACACATTTTTATATAACTGAAAAATGTGACCAGCATTAATTTGCCAAAAAAAAAAACATTTTAAAGAGTTACAGTTATCTATCAAAATCATTTGCATGTATATCCTGCTACATAAAATAAATTCAGTAAGTAATACATAAAAATGAATACAACAAATAACTTATGACAATATACAATATGTGTCATCACAAAGAAGAAACAAATGCCATTAAGAGCACACAGGAAAAAGAACCAGGCTTTGAAAGGTGAGTAGAATTTACCAGCAAGGCTGGAGAGAGGATGAAGGAATAATGAATGAAGACTGTAGAGATAAGACTAAGTATAGGATGGGTTTAGGAAAAGCAAAATTGTCTCAATCCTTGGGAGAAACTATATTGTAGGCAAACACTCTTTATTTTTGCCTTTAAATTCATTGAAAAACACAAATCACAGACAGGAATAACATTTGGAGCTTCTCATGTGGAATACAAAAAATGAATGCAGAGTAAAAAAGTAGAGAAAAAGCTACTAGAAACAAGTTATACAAATGACAATAGAACTGAACTAAGTGGGAAGCAAGAGTACTAAAATGTTTTATATTAAAAATATTTTCATGTTTTTACAACATAGAAATAATAAAATTGTGTTTCAATTAATCATATATGACTCAAATCCCATGCAGATTGAATGCGTAGCATGCCTGTCCTTTACATTTCAACTCAATGCCTGTTGAGTTTATGACTAGACTCAAAACATATTTCAGAACCCAAATTTGTCTAGCTTTAATCATGTTGGTGCCCTAGAATATGCAGACGATATGAGACTTAGTCTGGCTGACCCAAACAGAAACCACCTGTGTTCTGGCTATGTTTGTAAGGGTAGAGTAATTTAGTGGCTGAGAGTACATTTTTAGAGCTTATGGTAGGCAGATTAATGCCTGCCCACCCTCTGTCCTCACCACAAAAATGTCAACATTCTGCCCCAGAGCTTGTGAATATGTTATGTTATCTGGCGAAGGAGAAAGAAGTTTGCAATAGAATTAAGTTTGCTAATCAGCTGACTGTAAAATAGAGAGTGTATTCCAGATTATACAGATAGATGTAACATAATCACAAGAGTTTTTCAAATTGAAAAAAGAGAGGCAGAAAAGACAGAGTCAAAGAAAGGTGTGGCTATGGAAGAGGTCAGATGATATGTGATGTGATGTGAGAAGGACTCAAGACCAATACAGAGCCAGACCATCTGGGTTCAAATCCCAGCAATGCCGCATAGTAACTGTGCAATTCTGGATTAGTTGTTCAACTTCTCTTTTCCTCCATTTCTCATCTGTAAAATAGGGATGATGATAATAATAGTATATGACTTCTAGGGTTGTTGTAAGGATGAAATGAGTTACCTGAGTGTACTTTTGTTAATCACTAGAAACAGTGCCTAGCACTTAGTGAATGCTGTCTAAGCCACTATTAAAGATACTCTCTAGTGTTGTACAGACGTGTAATCTCTGAACTCAGGAGGAAAATTCTGGAGGAAGGGTCTTGGCTATTTCCTCTTCTCTGCCTGGAATATTTTCCAGGAATCCCTGTTGTTTGCTCCTTCTCTTCTTGTGGGACTCTATTTAATGCTGCATTGCTACTGAGCTATGGTTGACTTTCCACTCCCAGAATTTTCTAGCTTTCTTATCTGACATTTTCCCCCGCAGTACTTAAAAATATTTACTGTACTAAAGATTAGTTTATATGTTTTTATTGATCTTCTTTAAATGAATAAAGGCTAGGATTTTCTTGTAGTTGTTAACTGCTGTATCCCTAATGTCGAGCACAGTGCTTAGAACAGAGTGGGAGTTCAACCAATATTTGTTAAACTGATGAATAAATACATTAATCCATCTCAGTTAATGCTGGAGCTCTTAGGTTGCCTTCAGTGATTTTCAGATATAGCATCATATCATCACAGTGCAAGGGCTTGCTAAACTGCACCACTAAATGCTCTTCATCATTGCTTCTTTTGTTAATGCCACTGCTATGTGCTTTCTTGGTCTTCTCCTTTTTAACATTGCATTGGTTTTGCTTGAATGCAGTTGCCTCACACTGTATTCTGGGTCTGCTGTTAAAGGGGTATTTTATTTATTTATTTGGCCATCTGGTCTCCTAAAATGTCTCTGGCTTCATGCTTTTCCTTTTGTTTTTGTCACCAGGTCCACAAGTCTTAGTGTTCACATGTTAACCTTCTGGCTTAGGCAGAGCTGTCCTTCCACACAATGGAATGTCCATTTTGGTTTCCAAGACTTCCATAATCTGTCTTACTTGCATTTTCTATGTCAACCCACTGAAGGCCTGTTGCCTCACTTTGATCGTTTTGAAAGGGGAAAAATAATTTCCTATAGAATCCTGCTAAGGAAGGTTTCTTCCCAGAAAAATCACTATTTGTTTTCTCTAGACTTTTTCAGTATCTCATTTTGCAAAGTGTAGGAGAATGACTGTAACTTTTGGGTCCACCATGGTAGATTAGAACTCGGGCTATGAAAGGTATTAATCAGGCCATTGGAATTTATCTTCATTGCTAAAGGTGGTCCCTTGGCCTAGGCCTGATCCTTCCACTCGTATCCTCCATCTCGCTTTATTAGTTAACTCTTGACAGTCCTTTGGTTATAAGCTCAGTCATCATTACTCAAGGAACGTCTTCCTTGAGTCCCCAATCTTCTCAGTCACCCCTTATGTACTCTCATGTGATACACCATACTTTCACTTTGTTACATGTGCCAGTTTGCATATCTGTGTATGTATTTGACTGGTATGATTTCCTCACCTATAGGGAGCCAATCTGCTTTATTTACCATTACATCTGAACACACATGATAGATAATGAATAAATATTTTTGCTTTATTTTCTCTATCACAGAATATATCACAATAAGCATATTTATAAATGAACTTTGGCTCTTCTAAAGTACAAATTCCAAGAGGGCAGATACTGGATCTGTTTCCTAAGGTTTATCATAGTTCTACATCACAGACACTCAAAACTGTTTGTTAAATGACTGGATAAATAAAATATATGGATTTTACTCAATGTCCTTTATTAACACGAAGATTCTTTCTGAGTACCTTTTTGGTGTATTTCAAAGAAATTACTTCTCTCTACTCTGTTAAGATTCCCATGACTGTTGCTTCTAAAGTCACCTAGAAACCAGGGGAAAACATTCCCTTGAAATGCTGGGGTTTCCTTCTCAGTATCCTCTCTTCATCTCAGATCTTAATCTGAAATTCTCAATTCCTAATAAAACTCCATCTTCAATTAAACCTAGCTTGAGAGTTCCCTTCCATTCTTTTTTCAAGAGTGTAGACTTTTCCTCCAGTGACTCAGAAGACAGGAACAGCACTTTTTTGCTTTGTCAGGTTCATAATAGGCTCAGAAATAATTATGTTGAATAAATAAATGAAGGATCCATGAATCCTTCACTTGTGTGGAAAGATCCACACAAATAGAGGGAACTGAAGAGCAGCCTCCAAATTAACAAAGAGCCAAACAAAGCTAACATTTCAGAAATAATCATATATATATATGTAGAGAGGAGCCTAATGCAATCTTAGTTAGAGTGAGTTCCAGGTTACAGTGTGTTTTCTATAGACTGGAAAAATAATAAATTGTACCTAAATTTCAAGGAATTTTATTATTGATGTTTATCCATGCATAGATTGGACATTAAATGGAATTTCTGGATCCCTGGTTAAGGTTAAAGATTATATGTAGCAAGACTTTTAGATTCATAGAAAAGCTAGTCTGCTATAAAATTCAATGTACAGTTACAGTTAGTTACATGGTTATAGTTAGTTACACAAGTTTTCTATAAGAAGGCATATTCATTGGGGCAAAATTTGATGATCCAAGTTTGTCATCAGTTATTTTTAAAACAGAAAGTGGTATTTGACTATTATTAGTAACATTTTAAGAGGAGATCATATGTACCTACTCTTTTTACTTAAATTTTACATTGACACATAATAATTGAACATATTTATGGGGTACATCGTGACTTTGTGATTCATATAATGTAGAGGTATCAGATCAGTGTAATTAGGATATCCGTCATCTCAAAATTTATAATTTCTTTATGTTGGGAACAGTCAATATCCTCTGCCTAGCTATCTGAAATTATTTCATATATTATTGTTAATTACAGTCATCTTAGAGTGATCTAGAACATTGGAATTTATTCCTCCTATCAGGCTGTAATTTTGTACCTTTCATTTTCAACAAATATCTTCCTATTCCTTCTTCCTCAACCCTTCTTAGCCTCTAGTATCCTCTGTTCTACTTTTTACTTCTATGAGATGAAATTTTTTAAAGCCTCCACACATGAGTGAGAACATGAGGTGTATACACAAACAGAATACTATTCAGCAGTAAAAAACAAACAAAATCCTTTCGTTCATGGCAACATGGATAGAACTGGAGGACGTTATGTTAAGTGAAATAAGCCAGGGACAGAAAGGTAAACACATTACTTACTTTAAATCATGATTTTGGTTTGAGTTTTCAACTTTTTGTTGTTAAAGAAGTTTTGTTTACCCTTTCTTAGAGCAAGCACAAAACATCACACTGAAAATCATTAAAAATTAGCTAATTTTTTAAATTTTTTTAAAATCTAAAAGCAACTCAAATGCCTTGCTTTGCCATTTCTTTGATCTTGTAAGGAAAATTTGTTCGCTGTTATTATCAAAGAGGAAGAGTCATAGCATTCTGTAACATTACAGTTCAGGAGAAAAGGGAGATTTCCATGAGGCAAAGGAAACAAAGAAAAGCATGAGCTATTAATTTTCCCTTTTCCTTGACTCTCTAGAGGAGCATAAACTAAAAATAAATAACTAAAAATTTGTCACATTTTGGTCTTCTGAATTGGCTGTTAAGAAACAGAAAAGAAGGCTGCAATGTTGAAACATCGGGTAGTCTCATTTTTGTGAGTCATTCTGGAATCTAGATCATATATAAAAAAAATGACTCTCAATAGTTGGGATAAAAAGGTGACTCAGGCCGGGTGCAGTGGCTCATGTCTATAATCCCAGAACTTTGGGAGGCCAAGGTGGGCAGATCACGAGGTCAAGAGATCGAGAGCATCCTGGCCAACATGGTGAAACCCCGTCTCTACTAAAAATACAAAAATTAGCAGGCCACGGTGGTGCGCACCTGTAGTCCCAGCTACTCGGGAGGCTGAGGCAGGAGAATTGCTTGAACCCAGGAGGTGGAGGTTGCAGCGAGCTGAGATCACGCTACTGTACTCCAGCCTGGTGACAGAGCCAGACTCCGTCTCAAAAAACAAAACAAAAAACAAACAAACAAACAAACAAAAAAAGGTGACCCACACATATTACCTCTATTCTCTACCTCACTCCCATCCTGAAAACTGAATCAGTAGGCTTTATGTGGATTCAAGGCGGAATTTTGAAAAAAATAATGCTCTTTTGATTGATATTCTTCCACATTTATCATCCCTCACTCTTGGTTTCAAAGATCACTTGTTGATAACAAGATAAGAAAAGACTGATAGGTAAAAACTTAACGGTTTGTAATATTCATAGTTTTAAATTTTGAGTTCCTCTTCATTGCATAGTAAATACATATAACTCTAACAGTAATGATATAGGAGGCACTATTGTAAGCACTTTACACATGCAAACTTTATAATAAATCTATGATATAACATATTATACCTATATTACAAATAATAAAACTGAAGCATAAAAATGTTAAGTAACTAAACATTCAAAGAAGGGATTTGAACTCAAAAGTCTGGCCCCAGAACTCCCCCTTTTCTAACATCATAAGGTAGTATATGTATACTGCATATGAAACAATGACTGTTACTCTAGTTACTAATTTAAAAGCAAAATCGATTTCTAATTTTCAATAATAATGATAATTTATTTCGGATATTCTAACAGAAGAAGAGAAACATTTAGAATAAATGTAAGTTTTATTTTTGTCTTTGAAAGTTTTTACCACACACACACACACATATACACACACATCTTTTGTGTTCATATAAAGAAAAATATAAGTGAAATACATTGGTTAAGGTATCACTAAAATGTTTTCCCACTTAGAGTCTGAATATTTTTAATCACTTTTGCATTAGTCATCAATTTCCATGGTTTTCCTTACAATATCATCTTCTGTGTCCTCAAGAGGGTTGTTGATTCTCTTTTCCTTAAGAGAGCTTCACCATTATTTCCAGGATTTTCACACAAGGCACTGATAAACACTCTAATTTTTCCTGCTAGCACTTTGTTGATTTTACCAGAAGATGTCAATTGAACATTTTCAGGTAACTACTGGAACCGATATTCTTTTCTTAAATGATTCTTAGATAATGTAATGACTGAAAGTTTGAGAACTTGTGATTATCCTGTCATGCTACAAGGAATTACAAATAAGTCAAAGCATAAAGAATAACATAGCATACTTCCTGTCACAACTGCCCTCTGGCAGAAAGTGACTGTAAGATGTTATCAATTCTAAGATATATCCAATCGAAAAGATGTTAAACTATAAAAGAGTGCATATCATAATATTTGAAATATGATAATTTTGCCAAAGTTTTATTCGCATTATTCATCAGTGCAGAATGGATATGGACTTTCAGTAAATGAGATGTACTAAAAATAGATTTTACCCTAGCATCTTTCTTTGCAACATTTTTCTTATCTAAGAATTATGTTGAAGAATATAGTTAAATCATTTATTACATAGTTTGTGTACTTTAGGTAATGGAATCTAAAGCAGGTTCATAAATCAAAAGTAGACAGTATAACTTGGAAATTTTAAGAGTACATATAAGTGCTGAGATTTTTATGTATGTGTGTGTGGGAACCAAATATCACTAAACGTTTTTCAAAATGGAACACTTTTTGTTTTCTTGTTTTTATTGTTTGACTAGAAGATTTACTCATTTTTATAAGTTCAAGAGAGAAAAAAATCCATTCAATTCCCTTAGAATTGGAAATGAAGACTTCTTTAAGGTCACAGCCTGAAAAAATATAGTGTACCATAACTCCATTCCAAATAGATCTGAACCACAAGCTTTATACATGAGACTGAGAAAATAAATATGTTAAAATTAAGATAGAAAGCAACAAATGTCAATTGTTATTCTTTCATCTCTAGAAGGAAAGCATAATCAAATCTCAAATTGGACCTTTCGAAGGTGGTATATTTCAAGCACTGTTTATTTCAACTTGTTATAGACCACTTACCTTTTATTTACTTTATTTGATGGATATTTTTCAAACTCATATTCTAACCGATTTAATCTTAATTATTTTTTCCAATTTTAACTACAATTATGTTTACTACGTGCTACGTCAACTGGACTTCACATTAAGGTGTCCTGTGATTGGGCCTTTAGTTTGTTATAAACATGTTCTGTGTATGTTCTTTCCAACCTTTAAATGGCATTTCATTTTATTTTTGCAAAGCTGGTTCTGATTTGGATTTCATTTATTTACATTTTATTATTTTCACCTTTTACACTTTTAAATCTCATAACTTCTTATTTTCTAGTTCTTTCCAAATGCCAATCTTAATCCTCTTTTTTAAGAAAATATGATTTGTGTTTCTCTTATATGGTTGTGTTCTCTTTCTTTGTTTTTCTGTATTTATCATTCTTCAGCTTTCTTCATTTGGAATAATTGTTTTTTAGACAGTGCCTGCACAGACAGGTACTCCATAAATATCGACTGCTTGGTGGAATTACTGCAAAAACTAATTCAAAACAATTTTATGTATGTTAGAAACATTCAGACAGTTATTTAGCAACATTAGGATAATTTTTGGCAAAATTTTTATAGAAGTGATTGATATATTAACTTTCATTGAGGTGTTTTGGAAGTAGATATATAAAATAAATAATCACAGATTGGTTGGCTTCTGTGTTATTTATTGATTTCTTTGTAATAATATTTCATTATTTTGATATCTATTATGTATATAATATACTTTCTATATATAGAAAATAATGCACTTGTATACAGAAGGCTTGAAAATATCATTTTGTATTTAGAATTATAAGAGTAATAAAAATTATTTTCATCAGAATTTTTTGATAAATTTTATATCTTCTTTTAAAGTATTGGCCTTAAAAAAGTTGTTTTCTCTTGAATAGCAAAGACATTTTTAGAGTAACATAAAAGCTATCTATTGGATATATAAAATACCTTCGGTTCTAAAAAGTAAAAGAAAAAGAAATAGTCTTGTTCTTGGATTATTTACATGTTTGGCATAAACTTATCAAACAAAACAGAAACTTATTTTCGCTTTTTCCCTTTATGGCTTATCTTTCCACTCTCAGTTCATATTCTGTTAAACCTAGTATTTTCTATTGGTTTTGACAAAAATGGAATAAAATAATCAATCTTATTGAAAAATCACACTATATCATAATGTATTCTATTTGTAGAAGAAATGAATATACATATAAGTGGATGTAAAACAATTAGTGTATTTATCTAATGTAATTAGGTACAGCTGTGCATCTCCTGTTGAATCAGGACCAGTCATACCACCAAGAATAACCACAAACTCTGGAAAAGATACAAACCACTACCAGAAGACTGGAGACTGTCCAAAAGTAGGCAGATACTGAAAAGGAGGTGACACTTAGAAAAAAAGAAAAGAATTACACTGGGAGATTTTCCCATTTTTACAGCTTTTACCTTGTCGTACTCAGGACTCTTGGATGGTCATAGTTAATCAGCTTCCCCAGGAGTTACTTTTCACTTCCAGTTTGGATTCCATCACAGATAAAATAGCTGGGTGTGGTGGCATGTGCCTGTAGTCCTAGCTAATCAAGAGGCTGAGACGGGAGGATTGCTTGAGTCAGAAGTTGAAGTATGCGGTGAGCTAGAGTAGCGCCACTAGGCTACAGAGTGAGACCATGTCCAAAAACAAGCAAACAACAAAAAGAGACTTAGATACCCTCTGATACTCAAGCAGTTTATTGTGGCATATGCCACCACAGATAGTGAAAGCAGTCTTGTGACATGGGCCAGATAGAGAGATGCAGTTAGGGGTCAGAGGACTATCTGCCCAAGAAGGTCTACATCTGGAGACCATTCTCAGAGTTTGGGGGATACTTCCTCCTTTCTTATACTGGTGTTCAGTCTGTGTCAGTTACAAGGTGTTTCTTTCTTAAAGGGAGTTTAAGCTGTACTTTTAAGGATAAGCTTTGTTTTATGGTTTAGGTATATGAGAATTTCATCTGTGCTGAGACGATCTTGTTTCCTGGAAGTCCTTGGGCCAGGGCTGAAAAACCCCTGGGCTAGATTGCTAACTGACACATAGTGTCAGCACTGCAAGATGTTTGAGTGGACCTAAGAGTACTGGTGATCTTATAGCTACAATTTGTCACTTACAGTGTAATACATGCCTGGAGGCAGGTCTGAGACTATACATTGTGGGTCAGTTAAAACTTCAATGAAAAACCCTCAGTCTTGTTTGCTTGAGAACAAGGCAGAGCTCAGGAAAGGACCAAAGTTACTGGAAAGCTAGGGGTGAAATCCTGAGAGGAAGAAAGTAAAAAAGGGGAATCCCAAGTTCTACATATACTCTTCTCACATCTTTGTTTGACTCCACAATATGTGTGCTTGGGGGAAGTCTCCAAGCAGTCCAGAAGAGGCTAAATGACCTGATCTGAGGTTTAAGCTATTGTTCACTGAAAGGGAAACAAGAACTCTTGACTAGAGTTTAGCCAAGTTAAACCACTGGTTTCAAAATAAAGTATTTGTGAGAATATAAGAGTCAGAATTTCTACATCATATCATTTATAATGTGCAATACAAAAATATGAAAATAATTATATTTTGATGAATCAGGAAAAACATGGGAAGGAGACTTTTTTTCAACAAATGGTGGTAAAACAACTAAATTTATGGAGAAAAAGTCAATTCTTTTCTCCTTATATACAAAATTAATTTGAGATTAATAATTTGGATTATATACTTAAATGAAAAAGTTAACCACCATTGAGGGTTTAGAAGACAGAATATCTTTTCAACTTGTAAGTAGGCTAAAGTTTGTTAGGATATACAACTTTGCCATAAAAGTAAAAATAAGTTAGACCTCATCAAATAAAACTCTGTTCATTAAAGGATGTCATAAAGGAAACAAATATTTACATCTCAGATGTGGAAAATGTGTTTGAAATATTTGCTCATCATACGTCTGACAAAGTACTGGTATCACGAAAATATAAACTCCTTTACATCAAATATTAAAAGCAAAATCTGTCTCCTTTTGGAATTTCTTATTCCTGAATTGTTGCTTTAAAATAACATCCTGTTTCTGTTCTATAGGGGCAAAGTAATCTGGCTTGAATATCATTGAGGATACTTGATTTTAAAAAGTTATTTCTGTTGCCTGAGTTGTCTATTATGTATAGAGTGAATTGTAATATTATTTTGGTTCTCTCTTGCTTTTGATTGTTTTCATATGTCTAGTAAACTTTAATACTTTCATCATGTTTTAGAAGAACTTGAGTTGGTAATTTTTGGTGGTTGGCATGAGTTTATTTTATAGATGTGTACGTGTCATTCTATTTTCTATAGAGTTCATTCCTCTTCAAGATTGAGGCTAGTGAGGCTGAGGCAGGCAGATCACCTGAGATCACACTATCTCTACTAAAAATACAAAATTAGCCAGGTGTGGTGGCCCATGCCTGTAATCCCAGCTACTCGGGAGGCTGAGGATCGTGTGAACCTGGGAGGCGGAGGTTGCAGTGAGCCAAGGTCTCACCATTGCACTCCAGCCTAGGCAACAAGAGCAAAACTCCATCTCAAAAAAAAAAAAAAAAAAAATTGAGGCTGCCTGTGAGGACAATGAATATTAAGTGCTGATCTTCTTGCAGGATTCGCTCTAAGTTATGCAGTGCAGAGCTAGCCTTTAATGTATCATAGACCCAAATAAATACCAGATTGGGGAAGCTCTATACTGAGGTGTGAAAATCCTGCTCTAATTTGCTTCCCAAGTAGTTTGTTCCATTTCTTTAAAGAATGCTCTTTTCTTTTTGACTGAGAGTAAACACTTGGCTACTTGCACCCAGGGAGCAAAATCAAAGAATAGATGGAAAATAAATAAGACGTGAAGATGCCACTTGCTTTTTAGACATGTTGTCAATTCACCTCTTTAATGTTTTATTTCTTCTTCTAATTCTATGAAGATTTCAAGCTCAGGGTTATTTCAAGATGACAGATTCACACACACACACACACACATATATATATACACACACACACACACACATATACGTATATATATATACGTGTGTGTGTGTATGTGTGTGTGTGTGTGTATATATATATATATATATATATATATATTTGTATGTGTGTGTGTGTGTTGAAGTCTCGCTTTGTTGCCCAGGCTGGAGTGCAGTGGCATGATCTTGTCTCACTGCAACCTCCACCTCTTGGTTTCAAGCGATTCTCCTGCCTCATCCTCCTGAGTAGCTTGGATTACAGGTGTGTGCCACCACACTCGACTAATTTTTGTATTTTTAGTAGAGACGGGGTTTCACCATGTTGGTCAGGCTGGTCTTGAACTACTGACCTCATGATCCACTCACCTCAGCCTCCCAAAGTGCTGGGATTACAGGTGTGAGCCACCACACCTGGCCCTATTTTTTTTTTTTCCTAAATGCCATTCCAGTACTTTCTTTGCTTGTGATTTCATTCCTTCTATTAAATCACCATTAGGGTTATTTTCCTTTTATTTCTCGGAATCTTTTTAAGAAGTCTCTTAGCTGCCTATAATTTTATTCTCTTTAGCATTATAGAAGTTATAGTGTTATTCCCTTTATATATACAGAAGAGAGAGTCAGCTGTTAAAGTAAGTAAGTAACTTTCTCAATATTATCATAAGGGCATCTATGTCTTTTTATCTGTCCATAATCTGTTCCTTTTGAGAATTGTCCCCTCAACCTCCTAGGGTTGTCAATCTGGTATTTGGGGTTATGTCACATATTATTTGCCTTCATCTGACTGTAGTGAATCAGCATTTCCCTTTCTCTAACTACATGTTGAGGGAAGAATGTATAACAAAATTCAAGCCAATAAGAGTCATTCTCAAGAAATATTTTTGCCTGAGTTGTAAGAATGGTATGGTCCTGAAACAGCCAGTGACCATATTTAGTACCATGCGTAATCAAATTGTCTGCAATATAGGAGGAAGAAAAGCTGGCGGATGGAGCAAGAGAACGCTGGTGGCTTGTTTGTGACCCTGGATACAGTGATGTCTGAATTTATCTTTTTATAATACAGTTATAGAAGTCAATAGATTCTCTCTCTTTTCCTACAAGATAATATGAGTTGGGTTTTGTCACTTGTGCCACATAATTTCTGACTACCATAGTTACATAGGTAGCAAATAAACATTAGGACTCAGGTAATATGACAAAAGAATCTATATTCTCATTCACTGTTGGATACAACTTCCCCTGCATACGTAAAGCTAAGAGATAGAAGAGAATTAAGAAAGCTGATTGGTTAATTTGGCTTACATAATTTAAATAATAACACTTCACAATTTTTATTGCACTTATGTGTTTGTTCAAATGAGATAAAAAAGAATCCCTTTCTCTTCTCTAACTACTTGATTTATCTATATTTGTTTTTTAAATGTACCCAGAATATTCATTTCTACAACACAATCTAATAAAAAATAAAACAGGAATCAAAGTAGTTATGCATTCTATAACTGAATACAGATGATCTGATGGAAAGCAGCTAAAATACTTGTCTGGTAGCGGAGTGTTCCCACAGGAAAGTTATAGTGGAAAATCATTCTATGATATATTCTGAACTGCAGGCATACTTGCCCCCTGTTGATTCAATTTAAGACTAAAATGAAAAGCTTTCCAGCTAACTATAACAACTTAAAGAAAAAGGAAAATTTGGTGTCTTGCCATGAAATAAATAAATACATAAATGTTCAGCAGTTAGTCTATCTCAGTGTATTGAGGGGTAATGAAAGCTATATGTAAAATCTCAACTTTTAGTTTCTTTTGACTTTTTATTACTTATTGGCTAAAAATGTTATGGATAATTAAACACATTTAAATAAATGAATTAAGTGCTAGGAGGAAAAAAGAAAACTATGTAACTTAATAATTAATACAATAAATTTTTTAGAGAGCAATTTATTTCAAAGCCATGAACATACAGGTAATCAAATTAAGACAATTTCTTAGACTTTTGAAGATATTAGCTTTTGGCATGGAAGATATCTCCTGGGGAAAGTACTAAAGTAACCAAGTTACTAAAATAAATAAATTCATTTTCAAATATTTTTGTGAACTAAGAGAGCAAACTAATTAACCATCAACCCTGTACCATCCTGGGAAAATGGACTACTATGTTATAAAATTGCTTCTGCTTTTCCTACTTAGAATACATGTTTGTATAATTATATGTAGCTCAAGTCATTGCAAATTAATGCTCTAGGTTCATGATTTTGATGATTAATTTATATGAGTTTTATTTCATATTGTGCAACAGAATTCTCATTTTATTCTCCATCAAGTTTAAAGAAGTTTTAGCTTTGAGCAAATGTAGGAATCATATTGTCAAAAGCTGAGCCTATCTGTCATCACTGGAGGTCATGTTGCTTCATTATTTATTCAGCTGGAGTGTGTGGACAAAAATATAAGATTCTAGGACTTCAATTATTCCACACATATTTACAGTTGGAATTATATTTATAGTTTATAATTATCTCTTACATTAAACACAACCCTACTGCCAATAACAAAAGAGTCTCCCTAAAGTACAGATGTATATTTTTAATACTTCCATTAAAGAAAGTTAAATGAGATTGGTATAAAAATGACCTATTATATATGGTCAAGGATTTTGTTGTCTTTGATTTTTTTATTTTAAAGAGGCTTTAAGATTAAGCAAAATACTCCCTCCATTCCTCCTTATTCACTTTTCCTAAATTCATATGATGATCCTGTGGAGTCACAGCTACAGTTTTAAAGATAGTTTCCAGTAAATGGTTACATTATTGAATGGCTATAGCTTTGTATATTTATTAATTTTTGAATATGTCATTTTGAACATTATCCCAAGTTTTACATTGTCTTCAAATATTGGTATTTCTCTGATGACTCTCCATGCTTCCAGGAATAGCATTTAATCTTGCAAGCTCAAGTCAGCACTTCCTAAGCAAGTCTGAGACACTTATGAAGAGATACTAATTTTACTCCACAAGTCCAAGTGTAAAATAAACATTACTCTGTATATGCCATTAATTCCAATTTGTTTTGTCTCAGAGTTCCCCATCTCCTATGGTGGATGATATTTCATCCATTGAGAAATTATTGGGGTATTATTTTACCTCTAGTTTCACTCAAAATCAGGAGATCTAGATGCTGCCCCCCAAATGAGATAATAACTTGCAATGCCCTGATTACTGATTACCAGAGATATCTTTTGTGGTCTAAACCCAAAGTGTTCTTTTGATGTCTAGTGGGCCTGTCTTTTCATGTTGCATGTGAGATAGAAAAATTTCTGCACCCAGGGCCAGGCGCTGTGGCTCATGCCTGTAATCCCAGCACTTTGGAAGGCTGAGGCGGGTGGATCTCTATTGAGGTCAGGAGTTAGAGACGAGCCTGGACAACATGGTGAAACCCCTTATCTACTAAAAATACAAAAATTAGCCAGTGTGATGGTGTGACCTTGTAATCTCAGCTACTTGGGAGGTTGAGGCATGAGAGTCAATTTGAACCTGGGAGGTGGAAGTTGCAGTGAGCCGAGATGGCGTCACTACACTCCTGCCCGGCAACAGTGTGGGACTTTGTCTCAAAAAAAAAAAATATATATATATATTTTGCACCCAGGACTTATCTATTCTTTATTTATTTTTTTAAATTATTGTGGGTACTTAGTAGGTGTATATATTTATAGGGTACATTTTGTTCTTGAAAACTGCAATATCTTTCAGTTTCATTCCATGTGGTTTGGATAAAGCTGATTTTACTGTGAAGACACAAAAGTATATATTACCTAGATCTGGCTAATCAGCAGAGCACATTACTCTGGCTGCAGTGATGGATTCATAGATGAACATATGACACATTCAGGGCCAATGAGATGAATGAAACCTCATGGTGGAGGGGGTGGTCTTGGATAGGATAATCTCACACTTTCTTAAAAAACATGAAACTTGGAGCACGTATAGTTTTGAGCTGCTTAAGCTGTTTTTAAATCAAGAGGGGAAAGCTTACTGGAGAATAGCACTGATATTAGGGATAGTAGAGTTGAGTGATAGAGAATAGGAAACTAAATCCTAGAACATTATTTCAACTGCTGATCAAATAACTTCTGAATTTTTCAGTCATGTAAGACAATACCTAATTTTTCTGTTCAAGACTTTGGAATAATTTTTCTGTCAGTAACAGATAGCACAAACATATTTATTATTAGAAGTCTATAATAGGCCTAGTAAAAGAAGACAGGCAAAATTTTATATACAGCTGATTGATAATCTCCTTGAGACAATTTTAAATTTTTGACTACTTAGGGAAACAATTTTTTTTTAATTTTGGCAATAATAAATCAGTTTATTTTGTGAGAAAAATCTAAATGAAGTGCCACTATTGCTTAACAAGTTTAACTGAGACAAAGCACGCACTGTTTCATGAGCACCTCACTCAGTATACCATATGCCAACTCCTACTACACCTTCAAGTATGGAAAATAAATTTTGTATTGATTGCAGGTGATCTTTTTGTGACTCAGATAGCTGACGCTCTGTTGCCAACTATCTTTAAGTCTAAATCCTTACTTTCCATTCCATGTGAATAAAAAGTACCAGCCACTCAAATCTGTCCTTTGCCTGCTGTTAATTCCAAGAATCAAATAGATAATCTGATAACCCCTACTTGCATATTATATTATATTTGTTTGTTTTTTAACTTAAGCTAAATCAAAGTTTAACTTAATTGAGGATAGATTTTGGCAGTAAACAGAGTATTATCTGAAGTCTCCCTTCCATATTCTATTAAGCTGCAAGTTGGTGTCATTGCACCCCTGTCCATGGAGTTCTTGACTCATTTTTATCTGAAGCAAATTGATGTGGACTCTCACAAGCTCTTCCAGCCATCAGTCTTTTCCCATGTTCTGAGTCAGAGTTTTTTGCTTTTACTCTGTCACTGACTCATTGGCAACTCATGACTCCATTTATAACCCACTGTGGGCTCTGTCACCCCTATTTCAAATTCAATAACCTGCCAAACACTTCAACTCTCATCAGAATGCATGCTTCATGTTCTTAATTATTCAAAAACTTGTACTTCAACCTGGATATTTCATAAAGATTTCAAAATTTGCCTTATCCTAAATGATCTTGTTATTTTTAACTAAAACTGTCAATAAAATCCATTCATGCAATTTCAGTGAATGACTACATTATCTATCATTTGCCTATGCCAGAAGCCATTAACCTGAGGCCCAGTGGATTTTCCTCTGTAAAGTCTCTCAAAGTCTATCAATTACAGAGTTCTGTGGATTGCATTTCTTTTATCTGATTCTTTCCCTCCACCATAATGCCACACATTTAGGTCCTTATTTTTTTCTCCTGTACTACTGCAATAACCATCTACACTCTTCTAGCTAATATCTGTGATCAGTATATTGCTAGTTCCATATTCTTGACTTTGATATATGCTTCTGTCTAGCTATTTCTTCAGCTTTTTGAATTAAGTTCCCCACCAGCTTCCTGGATTTCCTCAGTTCTCTGATTTCTGTGTGCTCTGAATCTTAGTTTTTTTTCTATCATTCTTGGTCCAGTAAAAACCTACACCCTGGCTAAGTTTAAAATTCATCAACAGTAACAAAGAGATTCAGATATTGCTATTTAGCCCATATATACTGATTTAGCATCAATCCAAACTCTTTGATTTTATGTGACCTAATTATAGCTTGAAGCTAGTTTGTGACATCTCCTGGTTACTTCTATGGTATTCGGTTTGTATGTGCTTATCACTCTTTAAAGACATCAGCTCTTGAAAAATTTCTTCTCAGTAAGTTTTTATATCAATGTTACCTTTTGGAAAACTTTCCTGACTCCTCCCAATTAGATTTTTTTTTTTTTCTCACCTTCTTCTGTGTTCTCAAGATTATAGGGAAACAATGATGAATAAGAAAGAAGGGCCCGGGTGTGGTGGCTCATGCCTGTAATTCCAGCACTTTGGGAGGCCGAGGTGGACAGATCACAAAGTCAGGAGTTCGAAACCAGCCTGAATAACATGGTGAAACCCCGTCTCTACTAAAAATACAAAAATTAGCCAGGCGTGGTGGTGCATGCCTGTAATCCCAGCTACTCAGGAGGCTGAGGCAGGAGAATCGCTTGAACCCAGGAGACAGAGGTTGCAGTGAGCCAAGGTGGTGCCACTGCACTCCAGCCTGGGTAACAGTGCGAGACTTTGCCAAAAAAAAAAAAAAAAAAAGAAAGAAAGAAGGAGTGAGTATTTGTTTTAGGGATTATATTAAGGTAAAGTTAATTGTTCTATTGATCAACCCCAAATGCCTTAATAACTGAAACAATAGAATTGTTTTTTTTTTTAAATTTATGACAAGTCCAAAACAGTGTTACTGTATAGTGAATGTAAAAAAAAAAAAAAAAAAAAAATCCATGAGGTGATATAGTGACTCTGTGCTACTTCTGTCAAAGATTGCACTGGACCTATCAAACAGACAAGAAAGACTTTATTCAAGACTATAGCAATACATGTCAAGATTATTGCTGTCAGAGAAGGAGAATAAATTCAATGCCATTGAAATGAAAGGAGAGAAGAGTAAGCACTCTGATGAGGGAGTGAAGGAGTGCTGGAGGGCATTAGTCAGTGTGGTCAATGTGATTAGACCATTTGCATTTGCTATTTGGGCTTACTGAAGTTAGACTCCTACATTCCCATAGATGTAGGGGCTCTATCTTTCTCCATGATTGCATTTCAAAGGGATGGCTCTCAGGTTTTTGAGAAAGACATTCCTGCGTTGTAGAAAATTTGCATCTCAAAGGGGCAGAGAAAGAATTAGTAATCGCAAATTTTTTGAACACCCTAAGGAAAGAGGTTGGAAGCTTCAGTCAGGAAGAAACCTATCTAAATCTGTCTCAAGTTTGTCAAATTGAGGGGAGCTTTATGTCTATCTTGGTTACTTTTTGAATGTTTCCATCATATACACATACCTTTGAAAGTTCCATTGTTCGTCTCTATCAACCAAGTGCATAAGGAAAGACCATGAAAGAGGCCCAGGAGAGGTTTCACAGTCTAGTGCTGAAAGTCGCACATTTCACTTTCACTACTCTTCCCCTGACTAAAAGTCAGACAATTGGCTACATTCAACTGCAAATATGGGGGGCAGCCATGTGATATAAGTGATAGCTGAGACTATAACCCTCCTCTTTGGATTAATTATTCCGGCTTATTATTCCGGCTCCTGTGTTCTTTCTAGTGCACCACACTGGATAGCTTGCCAAAATCCGAGTGGGAAAAATCACCTGAAAAGTGAATATTTCAGTTGCCTATCAGGAGGTTTGGTTATGCTTTTCACAGCTTTAGGCAGAGACTATAAATCACTGATCTAGTGAATGAAAGAGCAACACATACAAAGAGGTGGAATTTTTTTCTCTATTATTTTAGTGACAATTGATGACCTTGGGCAAGTCACTTAAAGTCTCTTTGGCATTAAAATGAAACATTGTTTCATACCTCTAACTACCCTCTCAGGCAAGATCTTTACAAGAAAATTAATCCAAAGCAAACTGGAGTTTGCTTTTGAAACATTAAAGTTTTCTAGCCGCTTTGCAGGGACTGTAGATGCCCAGAGGACAGTCCTTCATGTTGTGTTCCAGTAATTCCCACTTGCATGCTGAGCAGTGAGAAAAAAATTAAAATATAAATAGAAGGCTGTAGAGATTTAATAAAATCCTCAGGAGTCTATGAGTTTTATCTTTATTGTAATCACTTCAATCAGTTATTAATTCAGGCTTTAAAAGCAGATTTTTTAAAACAAAACAAAAAATACTCTGTAATGACATAGAATATTTATACTTTGCTAATAAAAATGCCCCAGTTGTAACTTACACATTTACTACACTTCTTATTACATTTTGAGGTCATTAAGTTTAAGTCATGTTTGATGGGCATTTTTAAATGAAAAAATATATATATATAAAGAAAGACAGTTGTTCAAGTTTTTTTGCTATTAAGTTTGAATGGTAGTTGAAATTCCAACACTTTGCAGATATGTTAGACATTATGTAGGTGGAGACAAGGATATTTTAATGAAGGCTTCTTTTCCAAATCTAACAAACATAATTCCATATATTGGCATACATTTCTGCCGCAGCAGGGCAGGCATGGTGACCACTATAAATGAATGACACAAAATATTCACATAAATCAAATTGAATCAATTTCACACTTAAAGTTATTCACTGGCTTTCTGTTTCAATCAGAATAACTCAAAATTCCTTACCCTGGTGCACAAGTCCCTCTGTGATCTGATCTTCATCTTCTCCTAGAACCTCATCTCCTTACTCTCTCTCTCTTTATCACTGTGCTCTGTTCATAGTGCTGTCACTGTGCCTTAAACAGACCATCATTCCTCTCACTTCAAGCCACAGTTTTCGTTGTTTCCTCTGCCTGTAACATGCAATTTTAGCCACTCTGGTCTTAAGGCAAATGATGTGGACTCAGAAGCCTTTTCTGGCACAGTCTCAAAAATAGCATGCTCCTGACCCTTGCATGTCACTACCCTAGTTTGCCTACTTAATACTTAGTACTCACTTAACTTGTACTGATTCTTGAATTTTATTGTGTGACTGACTTTTCTGGAATGACTGCTAACTCCACATGGGCAGAGGACTTCTCAGAGTCAATCTTTTCCATTCCTGTGCCCACACTACCTAAAATGGCATAGGTGCTCACTGCAATGATTTGTATATCCCAATGTTCCTTTCTTCTAACTCTCTTATCATCCTGAACTTTTCCTTGATTCTCTTATGCTCCATTGATTGCTTTGTCTCTTCTGCAGAGACTAAGATGTTGAACAGATAAGCTATTGGCAGCAATAATCTTAATAGGATACAATTTTGACAGAATAAAATACAAGTTATATAATCCCAAGCAGTTTAGAGGTTACAAAATATAATTAAGATTGCAAGCTCTGGGGCTCCAAAATTTGCCTTGAATCCCAACTGTGTCATTTACTAGGGGTATATCTTGGGCAGATTACTTAACCCATTCGAAGCTCTGTTTTTGCATCTCCAAAGTGAGGATGATAGTTTCTGCCTCATTGAGGTTGTTGTAACAATTAAATGAATCACTACATTACTTCTATAAGCACAACTTTTAGAGAATTGCCTGGCAGTCAGTAAGTGTTAATTTTCTTTTTCTTTTTAAAAATTTATCAGCAATTCCAAAAGGAGTACAAAAGACTGAATGGACAATCTACCTAAATTGAAGAGAAATTTAGGAGCCAAACTGCTAAAAATAACAACAGCTTATACTAATTTAGTGCATATTACATTGTTTCTGGTACTGATCTGATTGCCTTATATATGTTACTTTATTTACTTATCATACCAGTGCTCTGAAGAAGTTATTATTTATGTCTCCATTTCAACATGGTGAAACCAGAAGCATAAGGTCATACAGTTATGAAGTAACAGAGCCTGGATTTGAATTTAAGCACTTTGAGCTCTAAGGTCCTTGTTCTTGATCATTAGGTCATACAAGCATTTCAAACAAACAAAAACATAAAACTTCTATCAATATAGATCATGAAAATATGACAAAATATAGGAATAAATTATTAAGATTTTTATATACAGAAATTTCTAATTCATATTCAGTGAAACATGCTTAGCATTTTTCTCCTTTCTATTGTAGATGTATCATTTAAAATGTATAGATGCTTATAAGTAATTTATAAACAGAAAAATATTAACATTGTCAGATATTTTCTCAAAACATAGAAAACTGTAAAATTATAGAACACTATTTAAAAATCAATAGGAGTTTCCATAATCCCAGTTTATTTGATTTCATATTAAAATGTTCTCATATGGAGATAGGGTTGAATACAATTTAGATTATCCAAATATAAAGCACAGTGTTTTACATGTAGTGAATACTCTTAGTGGTAGGAACATTTCCTTTCTTGCTTAGCCCCTCCTTACATCTGTTTCTTTGGAACAAGATTGTTTCCCTTTTATTTGCCAGATTTTTTATTACATTACTTTAAGCTTGTAGACCTAGCTGAAGTTAAAAGCTAAAAGCAGGCTTACATAACTTGCTTGTAATATGATTGTCTAGATTTATATATGAAGCCTATATTTAACATGTAAGAATTTGAAATTAATTTATAATATAACATGGAAGCAGTTAGTCAATTATGTGTGTGTGTGTGTTTGTGTGTGCATCCAATACCTCAGAGTCATGAAGCTATGTCTCAGTTACTCAATTATCCCAGTGAAAGGATGTGTGAGTCCATTTTCATAGTGCTGTGAAGAAAAGCTTAAGAATTGTCTTGGTAATTTACAAAGACAAAGAGGTTTAATGGACTCAGTTCCACATGGCTGGGGAAGCTTCACAATCATGGCAGAAGGCAAAGGAGGAGCAAAGGCGTGTCTTACATGGTGGCAGGTAGAGAGTATGGGCAGGGGAACTGCCCTTTATAAAACCATCAGATCTGATGAGACTTATTCACTATCATGAGAACAGCATGGGAAAAACCTGCCCCCATGATTTAATTACTTCCCACCAGGTCCCTCCCATGACATGTGGAGATTACAGGAGCTACAATTAAAGATGAGATTTGGGTGGTGACACAGCCAAACCATATCAAAAGAAGAAACTGTGGCTTTCTCTCTTTCTGTGGGGCAGCTTGAAGTTATAGGACACTCTTCATTATGTGAGGCTGCTGAGGTAACTGCTGATACTTGCTGATGTATATGTTGCAACAACAATATTTGCTCTTACACCACCTGCAGCATACCCACTTGTTTCAATTATCTGTTGCTCTATAACAAACAATCCAAAAATGTAGTGGTTTAAAATAACAACCAGTTTACTTGGTTCCTGATTCTGTAGTCAGAAATTTGGGCAGGGAACAGTGGAAGTGCTGTAGCTTAAAAAGGAAGAAGCAGGCTTCCATAGCTTTATTGAAGTTTTATATCTGAGGATTTGATTTTAGTGACTGACTGGTTTCTTAAGTTCACCTCCATGTGACCTCTCCACATAGCTACCTTGTACTTTTTCATAGAAAGGTGGTCTCAGAGCTTCAAGAGGGTGCAATATATGAGGACTAAACCCAATGTGTGTGCCTAGCAAGTGTCTGCTTGCATCAGATTTTCCAATATCCCATTGGCCAAAATAAGTCACATAGCCAATTCCAGAAACAGTGAGAGGAGACTGTATAGAAGGCGAATACTGGGAGGCAAGGGTTTGTGTTAGCAACCAATGTAAATGTTTTCTACAGTCCATCCTTTAATATAAAACAAAATTAACAGGGCCGGGCGTGGTGGCTCACACCCGTAATCCCAGCACTTTGGGAGGCCAAGGCGGGCGGATCACGAGGTCAGGAGATTGAGACCATTCTGGTTAACACAGTGAAGCCCTGTCCCTACTAAAAATACAAAAAAATTAGCCGGGCTTGGTGCAGGTGCCTGTAGTCCTAGCTACTGGGGAGGCTGAGGCAGGAGAATGGAGTGAACCTGGGAGGTGGAGGTTGCAGTGAGCTGAGATTGCGCCACTGCACTACAGCCTGGGCGACAGAGCGAGAGTCCATCTCCAAAAAAAAAAAAAAAAAAAAAAAAGAAAAGAAAAAAAATTAACAGATCTCTCATATATGAAATACGTAATATTTCTCCCCAAACCCCCAATATCATATTGCTTTATGGTGTCAGGCTCAGCATTTTGTCATCTAAATCAGGTTTAGGTGCAAATGAGGATCCTTAGATGCAGTTCTACCTCCAAACACCCAATATTTAATGATGTAACAGTAATAGTAAAATTACAGTATACAAGCTAGTTAAAAAGTGGGGAACATATGGCACATAACAACCACTGACCTGTAACAATTCTGAAATCCATACAGCCCCAGGGAGCAGGAAATGGTCCTTTATCAAGGGCCAGTTCTGTATCATGGGATGATTCTCTCTGGGTTTTCTTTTTGTTTTTGTTTTCTTCCCCCTGAGTATGGCTTTGTTTTTCATAAGAAATGCTCTACATATGCAAGCCTGTTGCCCACTTTCCAGGCCCAAGGCCAAAATCACATGTTTTAGGTTTTTATAATAGCAACACTCCACTTCTAGTATCAATTTGTCTTACAGTTATTTGTTGGTACATAACAAACCACCCCAAATATAGTATCTTAAAACAAGAAATATTTATTTGTTCACAATTTTGTGGGTCAGAATTTTAGACTGGGAACAGTAGAGATAGCTGGTACCTGCTGTACAATATCTACAGCCTAAACTGCTAGGACTGGAATGGCTCGGGCTGATTAAAATAGGTCACCTAGCACCATACACTTGGGATCTTGGATCTGGATATTGTTTTGATCTTTTGTTTCCTACCCATCGAGTTACACCTGTGGCTAGCTTGAGTTTTCTCATAGAGAGTGGTTTTATAGATTCAAAAGGCAGCATTTCAAGAAGACAAAGACCATGTGCAAGTACTTATCAAGCCTCTGCTTGCATCACATTACTAATGTCCCCTTGGTCATGCAAACCACATGGCCAACCTCAGAGTCACTGGGCAAGGGGTATACACAGGAGTGTAAATACTACCAAGTGTGATTGATGGGAGAACGCCAATGGAACAATCTACTACACCTACGTTGGGAAAGCATAGAAAGCTGCATTGAATTGTGTTTTTACCATTTGGTTTGTATTATCATTGGAAAGACCCACTTATTTTGAGAAGAAAGAACATGTTCTCAATTCATCTTGTATAACAAAAACTTCGTTGTTAACTGGACTCAGGTAGTGCACAGCTAATATTTGTTGGATAAGCTGAATGAATAAAATTCATGTATATCAATATTTCTAAGATGTGAGCTACAAATTCAATCTTGGAAGACACTATGTGATAAACAGAGTTCCCTGGTCAAATTCTATGGTAGTTTGATTACAATATTGGTTCCCATACACCATTCTGTTCTGTATAAATGTCCTTTGTAATGTAACTTCCATCAAGAGGTAAAATCTTTTTCTCTTTCCCTTCCATCTGTGCTGCACTTGTGACTTACTTTGCTCAACAGAATACAGCGGAAGTGATGTATTGCGATTTTGAAGTATAATTCCAGAGGGCTTAATATGCCTTTATTTTCTCTTTTGGAATCCTGCTTCTGCTCGGGGAACAATCCCAGGCTAGCCTGCTAGAAAACAGAAGACCATCACATTGCCCCAGCTGAGGATATTAGATTGTTCGGTCTCTGGCTGATCTGCCAGCTGACAAGAGAAGCATGGACAAGTCCAGAGATCAATGGTACTTGGTCCAGATAAGCAGAACTGTTCAAAATTCCATAGATTCAAAGTTTTGGAGTAGTTTTTAATGCATCAGTAGTTAATGAATAAAAATATCTTAAAATTTAAAATACTTAATGAATGCAATATTAACAATGAGAAAAAAAACCTACATAACCAAAACGATTATATTAAACGTATCTAATTCCATCTAACAAATTTCTCCAAATTATTTGGTGTTAAAACTTCATATGATCATTTTCTGTTTTTTTAATATTAATGTATTAATTGCTACATATACATATATATAATAGTCTTTAGAGCATACTTTGGAACTTCTATAGAATTCAGCAACACCATAAAATTTAAAGTATATTTTCCCAGAAAATATAAAGTGGGAATGTTTTTATTTATTTATTTATTATTTTTGCAGTTGCAAGATTTAATAGAGTGAAAACAGAGCTCCCATGCAATGGGAGGGGACACAAAGGGGGTTGCCACTCCCTGCTTGAATGTCTGGGTTTATATCCCGATCATTGTCCCTCCCGCTGTGCTCTCAGGCGATATATGATTTGACTATTTCTTTACCTCCTGCTTTAGCCTAATTTGTATTTTAGTGAACCCTCTTTACTACCTGATTGGTTGGGTGTGAGCTGAGTTACAGACCCTGTGTTTAAAGGTAGGTGCAGTCACCTTTCTCAGCTAGGCTTAGGAATTCTTAGTAGGCCTAGGAAATCCAGCTAGTCCTGTCTCTCAGTCCCCCCTCTCAACAGGAAAACCCAGGTGCTGTTGAGGATGTTGGCAGATGACCGCTCTTAACTGCTTCCTGCTGAATTGGGGTGTAGTAGGGGTCATGCAGTTGAGATTTCCTCAGGAGGGGTGCCTTCTATGTCATCAACATTGGAGCATGGGCTAGCAGGCCGGTTCAGGGGTCTGCAGTAGATCTTAGTCATGGACTGCATCTGGGGCTCCATTTGAAGAACGATTTGTAGTTTTACAGCTTCAATTTGGGAAGAGACAAACTTAACAAGGAGGTTAAAGATACAGGGATTGAAATGTATTGCCTGAAGTGCAGGGGCATATGGGTATGGAGGTGAAAGTGGGGTTTCTTTTAGAAAATCTCCTATACGATGGGGCATCAATATTTCTGGGAAGCCATATTCTCCATAGAAGCTGTTGGTAAGGGGAGGTACTGGTAGTACAGTGGCATGGAGGGGGTGCAGTGAGAGTTAAAGGGGGTAAGAAAACAGTAAAAAGAAAAACATGACAAGCAAGGGCCATGGGGATCTATGATTCTAGTTAATTTCCTCACAGTTATCCCTTGAAGAACAGGTGCAGATCCTCTAGAGGTTCACAGGAATAGCTAGCGTTGTCTCCTGGGATTTTCAGGTTTTTTTGGCAGTATCCAGGGTTTGACTTGAGTGTGATGTATCCAAGACTTCACTCCAGCCACTTTAACCGTGGTTGGGGTAGATAAAATGACTGGGTAGGGTCCTTCCCAGGATATATCTAGGGATGGGGAATTAAAGGGAAGGGACTTGACTAATACCATGTCACTAGGGTGGAACAATTCCTTTCCTTCCTCTCAGGAACAGGTTCCCTGTAATGTTTTAAGAACTTGTTGATATTTGGCTAAGGAGGTGATGTCTGCAACTAAGTTGGTCAGCTCTCTGTCAAGCACAAGGTCATTGGTTAGGAAGGGCCATCCATACAGCATCTTGCATGTATGCAAGTCCTGCTTTTTGGGGAGAGTTTCAGATTCTTAGTAAGGCTATAAGCAACAGAGAAGGCCATGCAAGGTAGGTTTCTTGGGTTCGCTTTTTTAGATGTCGTCTGAGCATTTCATTCATTTTCTCGACTTTTCCTGAGGATTGTGGCCTCCAGGTGCAGCGTAAGTGATATTGTATGCCTAAGGCCTGGGATACTCCCTGGGTTACTGCAGCCTTGAAAGCGGGGCCATTGTCACTCTGTAGGCCTCGGGGAAGTCTGAATCTGGGAATTATTTCATGAATTAGTGCCTTTATTACCTCTTGGGCCTTTTCTATCCTACAAGGGAAGGCCTCTGCCCAACCAGTGAAAGCATCTACCCAGGCTAGTAGATACTGAAATCCTTGGGATTTGGGCATGCGAGTAAAATCTAGTTGCCAGTCTTCTCCTGGGTAATGGCCTGTTCTTTGTTCTCCTGAAGGAGCTTGGCGATAAGGCAGGGATTATTTCTTTGGCACTCTTTACAGGCCCTGACTATCTGCTTGATAGCTTTGAAAAGGCCTGGTCCAGTAAATAATGATTTGGCCATCTGATGGGTGCTATCAATGCCTAAGTGAAAGGTCTGGTGAAGGGTTTTAAGTAATTTCCATTGGTTAGCTGCAGGCAAAAGTATTTTTCCTTCTGCAGTGGCTAGCCATCCTGAGGGGAGGAAACTATGTCCTCATGAGGTTCCCCATTCTATTTCTTCTGCTGAGAACTGGGGCTTGGTTTCCTGGAGTGGATTACCCCATACTAGGAGTCCTTCTATAAGCTTTTCTAATGGAGGATCCCGCCTTGTGGCTCTTTTGGCTTCAATATCCGCTTGGCGGTTTCCCTCTATTTCCCTTTCCTTTCCTTTCTGATGACCCTGGCAGTGTAAGATTGCCACTCTTTAGGTTTCTGTACAACCAATAATAATCTCCTAATGGCTTCCTGATGTTTGATAGGTGTTCCCTAGGAAGTTAGGAATTCCCTTTCTCTCCATATTGCTGTGTGGGCATGGAGAACTAGGTAAGCATACTTAGAGTTTGTATATATAGTTACCCTTTTTTCTTCTTCTAATTCTAGTGTATAATGGCCCCTGCTTTTGCTAGGATGTCACTCCCTAATAAAGGAATGGGGCTTTCAGTCATAATTAGAAAGGCATGTGAAAAGAGTAAAGTTCCCCATTTACAACTTAGTGGCTGGGAGAACTATCTAGTGACTGCCTGTCCTAGGACCCCTTGGATATTGACAGATCTGGAGGACAGTTGTCTGGGACAGGAGAGTAAGACTGAGAAGGCTGCACCAGTGTCCAGGAGACAGTTAACCTCCTGGCCCTCAATGGTCAAGCATACCTGGGGTTCTGTGAGGGTGATGGCATGGGCTGGCACTTGCCCCGGGCACCCTCAGTCCTGCTGCTGGATCATCTGGTTAGTGGCTTCTGACTCAGAGAACCTTCATCCCCTGAGGCAGTGGGCCTTCCAGTGATTCCCTTGACATAAGGGGCATGGACGAGGGGGTGGCTTATTTCTATTCGGACAATCTTTTTTAAAGTGTCCTTGTAGACCGCACTGGAAGCAAGCCCTATTGGGCATTCGATTTGTCCAGGCTTTCCCTTTTCCGGAGCCTCCAAAGTCCACTTGC
Source organism: Homo sapiens (assembly GCF_000001405.40). Lineage (NCBI taxonomy): Eukaryota > Metazoa > Chordata > Mammalia > Primates > Hominidae > Homo > Homo sapiens. The sequence continues at coordinate 84,795,730 of NC_000012.12, read as the reverse complement.
CTGAGGGCCATGACTAAAGTGGTGGCCTTTTTTTAATCCAGTTTTGTCTCATTCCACCTGCTCCTCCTGATCTCTATTATAAAAAACTGAAGTTGCCAAGTTCAACAGGGTTTCTAAGTTTTGCTCTGGGCCTAAGGCAGACTTTTGAAGTTTTTTTCTAATGTCTGCAGCTGACTGAGTAATAAACTTATCCTTTAAGATTAGTTGGCCTTCAATACAGTTGGGTGACAGAGAGGTTTGCTTCCTCAATGCCTCCCTTAGTCTCTCAGAAAGGCAGTAGGATTTTCTTCCTTTCTCTATGTTACAATCAACATCATTGAATAATTCATAGGCTTCTTCCTAGTTTTCCTTAGTCCTTCTAGCACGCAAGTTAGCAAATGTCTGCAGCACCAATCTTAATGTTCTGAGTCTGTGTCCCAATGAGGGTCTACACTGGGAACTGCCTGCTGGCCTGTGGGGAATTGTTCTTTTTCTTCTGTTGTCATCCTATCATTGACCTGACTGAGATACCAGAGACTGCCAAACTCCCGGGCTGCAGTTATGGTGGCACTCCTTTAATTTGGGGTTAGTGTCTGATCTAGCAGTAACATTACATCTCTCCATGTCAGATCAAAGGATTGTCCTAGTCCTTGTAAAACATCAATATAGCCATCAGAGTTATCTGAGAATTTGCCTAGGTCTATTTTAATTTGCTTCAGGTCTGAGAGGGAAAAGGGTACATGCACTCTGATTGGGCTGAATTCTCCTCTTCCCACTACCTGGACGGGGCATAATTGGGGAATAATTGGCACTCTTGGGTTCATTGTTTACCCCTTTGTCTATCTCTTTTTGGACTGTTTGTGTTGAAGGGGGTCCTTATTAGTTGGGGAAGGAGCCAGGGGAACGCGGGGCAGGGAGGTAGACTCTGAGGGCTGCCTGTAGGGCATAACTTATACTTTTTACATAATTGTGAGTTGTCTCTTAATGAAAAGAAAGTTTGCACATATGGCACTTCACTCCATTTGCCCTTCTTTCTACAAAAGAGGTCTAGCTGTAAGATGGTGTTATAATTTATACTTCCCTCAGGGGGCCAGGTTTCTCCCCTCTCGAAGAGTATATTGTGGCCAGGTGTTATGCAGAAGAATATAAGCCGCTTCTTTCTTAGCGTCTGAGGGTCAAATTGGTCCCAATTCTCCAGAATACATCTTAGGGGCATTTTTGCCTTGGGGGGAATGTTTCCCATCGCTTTGGAGAAGCCCCATATGGGCCACCAGATGTTACCGGTGGGTCTTTGTTCTTAGAGATCTCAAGGCGGTGGCAGGCCACTCCCAAGATTGCGGCAAGCCTTTTGTTCTCTGACCTGGGGTTCTTGGCCTCATGGATTCCAAGGAATGGAACCTTGGGCCATACGGTGAGCGTCATAGCTCCATTAGAAGCTGTGGGTCTTGGAAGAGAACCGTGGAACCGAGCTAGTAGTGTTCAGCTCAATTAGGAAGGACCCGGGCACTTAGCCTTGCAGGAACAATGGCAAACCTTTAGCCCGATCAGGAGTGGCAATGGGCACCTTACTGGATCAGGAGCACAGCGGACACCCTGCCGGATCCGGAGGGGTGGAAGTCAGTTACGGGTCTGCGATGGCGGCAAACAGCAGTGGTGGACTGTCAGCCAAAGCTCAGCTCGAGCCATAACAAACACGGACCAGAAGAGTGTGCAGTTGCAAGATTTAATAGAGTGAAAACAGAGCTCCCATACAATAGGAGGGGACCCAAAGGGGGTTGTCCATTTTTATTATTTCTATTTGTTTTAAAATAGTTTGTTTAGCTAAATTTGGTCAGGTTTATAACATGTACTTTCTCAAAAAAATGTAATGTTTTCCCTTTCTTGTCCTTGCTACAAAATGCCCTCAATCTTTATGGTTCCAATGAAAAAATTTGTAGAAGATCATTTTATGCCAGACATACTTGAGGGTTAGTTATTCACACTGAGTCATGTACATATCAGATTAAAGTGTTCAATGGTCGATGACTAATGGGTCAATATTAAATTGTGCATATAAGAAGTTCTCAAAATACTTCACACAACTGAAAAGGTAACAAGCCAGGCAAATGGAATACAAAATAATACTTTAGATATCAGATGAGTTTTACAGAACAAGCTTTAATTTTCCTGCCGTGCCAAAAAATATGACTTATATACTTCTAAAATGAAAGTTCATATGACTGTAGGGAACATAATATTTATTGAGATGAATCTTGTCTGATTTTATCATGATTGCTAGAGTAAAAAATATGAATAAAAGAGTTGCTTCTAAATTTAAAGAACTTTAAGATATTAATAGCCAATTGAATCTTACATGCAAATTTAAAAATGGATTTGTTCTTGCAGAATCTCTTTAAATTTTCATCTCTGCCATCTATCTGGAAAGCTATCAGGCTTTTCATAGATTTGAGATATAAGAACTCTTGATTTTGCAAGCCTATATAGTTGTAAAATTTGGGAGTGGATCAAAATTCAGGTCTAAATTAATTTAATAAAAGATGATTAAAATAAATGTATAAGAACAGTTATTAAAAAATTTAAACCTGTTGGCAGAATAACATGTAATAATAATTATTAACTTTATTTAACTTTTATTAAGTATGAATGCCTATTATTCCATTTTGTTCAATATAGCTGTAATTGTCTTACTGACTAAAGAAAAACAAATGAAAGAATATTTGAGGGAGACAGGCAATTGTATAAAACACTAAAATCTACATATCACTGACAGCCATTTCAACTTACAAATAATGGTGGATACCACATCTACACATTTATTCTTGGATATAATTAGAAGTATGTACAAATATTTATAAGTAAGAATGTCTATACAGCATTATTTACAAAAATCCTGGAAATGAAATACTAGAAATCATAAAAGTCAGATATATTGTAGTGTATTTAAAAATGGAATGCAATGTATCCCAAAATCAGAGTTTGCAAATATTCAATGGCACAGGAAATTTTGATAATAAACTATTAAAAGAAGAAATAATACAGTAAAACTATACACATAGTATAAGCCTTATTTGTTCATTGAAATGTAATCATGTAAATAGAGTATATACTGGATATAGAGACGCTGAATGTTCAACAGTAGTCATCCCTGGATGACGGCATGACAGATCCTTTCGAATGTGTTTATACATTCTTTTATTTTACACATTTGCTTCAAAAACGATGTATCACTATAATAATAGAAGTATTATTTTTAAAAAAGATTAGAAATTATGCCTACATATTAAAATTATAAATTGGTTACTTTTATTGGTATTTAGGCATATCTTAAATAAATTTTATTTTTTTCTTCTCTAACTCTTCTTAAAATTAAACAAATTTTCTATGCAGCAATTTTTTAGAGAAAGTCCTTACGTTTATTAATATATATTCTCAATTAAAATATATTACTCTCCAATATTTTGGATAATTGAGGCATCATTAGGATGTTTATTCATTTGTTAAAGTTGTTTTTCAAGAGTCTACTAAGTGCTATAAGTTTTAGTTGCTGTGGATACAGCAAAAGCTTAGTAGACATAAATCCCTACCTATCTTTATTGAGCTTACATTCAACTGACAAAATAAAAATGTATACTTCTGGTCTATTTTTGTGTAGGTTTACCAATCTGAACTCATAAGTCAATTCAGCCTTTTCATTTGTGATAATTTTGTTATGATAAATATGTATAATACTACTTCATGGAACCCAGTAGAGTGTATTAAAATTTAGTAATGGCCAATCATCTAGAGGATTACAGCATGGATTTGAACCTAGGTTGTCACTGAACAGGGTTTACTGTTGTGTAAGTGCTGGAGTGAACTTTTCTCCTCTCTGTGCTTCAGTTTTCTCATCCATGAAAAAGAGTGAAGTAGTCACTCACTACTATCATATTCAATTGACTACCCATTTCTTTCTTCTTGGCCATAGAAATGGCTTTTCTTCTGAGCTCTCTTTGCCATACTTATGTTACTGCCTTACTGCATGACCATACTTCTAATTGTAAAGACCATTATAATAGTCTCCCTGTGATGTCCAGGCTGATAACCTTTTTTCTCTTGATGGCCTGTGGAAAACAGCCATATTTTGATGAGTGTAATGACATAAGAATGTTCTACATGTACATGACTACTGTGCATTCCTTACTACAGTAAGGACTTTACTATTAAAGTCTGGGAAGGGCTTAAATGTTAAGGATTTCTGACTTTCATTTGCTTGTGTTGAGGAAGAGATAGTGTGTGAGATGCCATGGGTTAGATTAATGATATATTCATAGAGACTATATTGTAAAATTCATTGTGATGTCTATTTAGGTTTTACTTTTATATTTGTTATACATCTTATGTATATAAACTTTATAAATCACATAATATATAAGAACATTTATTGATAGAGTCAAATTACTAGTAAATTTAAACCTGTGGCATTAATTACTACATATACCCCAACTGCTTCTGTATCTCCAATAAATACATCTTTTTTCTCTCTCCCAAGAAGCAGCATTTTGTGTCTAAGTATACTTTGGACTTTTAATCAGTCCCATCAGTTACCTCAGATATAACATGTTTAGAATTAAAACTTACGTTTTTCCTCTCTTATTTTCTGCATGGATGAATAGCACCCCATTCGCCAGGTACCACAAGCTAGAAGCTTGAAAATCATTGCAGACTCTTTCCTCCCTCAATTATTTTCATGTGATTGCTTAAATAATAACTGAAATTCTTTATTCCTCTCTGCTACCTTAGTTTGTCTGTTTTGTGCTCTCTTTTTTGGACTTTCATCATCCTGTGACTGGTGTTTTTACCTCAGTTTCACCCTTTTCAAAATTCCTCAATGACTCTCCATTATCTACAAAATCAAATTTAAATTCCTTGGCATAAAATCCAATGCTATTTAAGATCAAGGACCTCCTTCTTATGTGTTTCAGATCTTGTGTCTACAAGTTTGCTGTTTATATTTCAGGAATACTGACTAGTTTTAGCCTGCAAACATGCCACCTGTACCCAGGTCTTTTCATATTTGCTCTTACAGTTATTCCTGCTAGAGATGTCTTTTTTCCTTGCGTTTTTAGCAAAACATCATTCGTTTATACAAAAGAAACTCATATATTGCTTCAAAAACAATTTCTACTCCACTAAGTTGACAGTGTTGCCAGAATTTATACACCTTGTCTATACTCACCCTAAATGGGGATTTTCACTAAATATTGTAAGTGGTGGCTCATCTATGTGTTATTTCAACACTAGACTTGGAAGCTGGCGCCATGTGTTTATATCCTCCATGTATCAGCAGAGTGTGTATTCCAGTCCCTGACAAAGATGTCAATAAATATTTCTTAAAATGGATATTCAAGTCAAACAGGTTTTGGATTCTGTAAGAACTGATTATATATATTAGAGTGATCTTGTTATACCCAACTAAATTAGAGTTAAGAGACAGAGCAGGTGGTGTACAGAGCAGGTGGTACACTCAGGACACAGACCTCATTTTGCCCAGGCATTATATCACAAACCAGCTACCAAAATGACCAGCTATAACCTTAAGACCAGTTTTACCTAGTAACTGCTAAAACAAACTGCTCTTAGTCTGAGATTTGTTTTACCTACCACTATCACTCACCAGTCAGAGCTTGCCAGCTCCCCAAAACTTTGCTCATGCCAATGAGTTTTTTAAGGCAATATGTAACATTATTTTTTTCTGATAAAATCCCCAACCTTCTCTTCATTCTTCAGACATACCCAAAACTACCCAGGTCTATGGATATGCCTTGAATTGCCATTCTGTCTTTACATACACTCCAAAATAAAACATTTTGCATAGAGATTCATTTCTATATTTTTATTTGGCCACAACGAAATGATGGGGTGCCTTTGTAAAATGGTTTAAGCAAGGTGTTAAACTTTCTAAATAATTCCTTGGACAACCTCTGCCAGAACTCCAATGAAACAAAAATCCCTTCTGGCATTGTTATCACTTTCTGGTAAATTGCATACTGGCTTCCCAACCATTATGAAGATTATGATGGTAAACTCAATAAGAAAAACTTTTAAAGGCATGCATATTTACACACATACACACATGCAAATATAGATTTACTTATATTGCATATTAGATTTATATATTTTTCATATTAAAATTTGGTTGTAACTCTTGCTTATAAAACAAAATCCTTAAGAAAATAAGTAGATACAAGATTTTGATGGGCTTACATCTTCCATGGATTTTTATGAAAATTTCTGATTTGAAGACCATTTGCCAGTGGTAGTGCTGAAAAACTGCCAGAGCTGGCTTTCATTAGTGGATCCCTTAATCTTGATTCAAGGTCAGGGCTTTTAGCAGTGCAGCTGAGTCAGCTCAAAAGCTTGTGATCAACCAGTTCTCTTAGAAATTGCTGCCTTTCTTGAGATGGAGTTGATGTCCATTCAGGATATAACTATTTTGATTTTTGTTCTTTCACCAGGAAATCTTAATTGCAAGGAAGTGGGAAAATACTTTGGCAATAAAAATTGATGATTTTAAATATTTAAGGTGATGAATATCCTAATTTCCCTGATTTGATCTTTGCACATTGTATTAATGTATTAAATTATCACATGTATCCCCTGAACAGGTGCATATATTAGGAATCAATAAAAATCAACAATTCTGAATTTTAGTGATTATAGACAGTACAATACAAAGTTGCAAGGTTAATGTGAAAATGTTACTTACGTTGATTAGTGTAATGAAGATGAAATGGATAGAGGAAAGGGTAAGGATTTGTTGAATGAACAATCATACATTAATCATAAAGTTTTATAATTAAACTGAGTTCCTAGTCAACAAGTGTTGTAGTTTTGATAGATATACTTAAACCAATAAGTTTTCCCTGTGATTGTTTCCATTTCTATTTTTTTGTCTCATGTCAAAATGACTTTTCACCAGGATCTCTTTGAGTGCAACACTTTTAGTCTTATACTTAAAAGAGGGGACAGATTTTACTTCCATGTTAATGAAATATGTACATAGTAATAATGTATTACAATTGCTGAAAATTAGACTGACATCCTTCAGAGGCAACAGTCATTTTAAATTGCTTATCCCAAATGTAAGTATAGAACATTTACTTTCAAACTATTCAATTGCTTATATTTCCTCATCTTAAAGGATTGAAGCATTTAGGCAATTGTAGAGCACCAAATTCGTTAATTTTCCAGTATTATTCACAAATGATTTGTTGATTAAATTGAATTCTTGTTAAATGAATAAAAATTGCTTTGACAAATTCCAAATTACTTCTTGTATCTCTTGAAAGATTCAGTAATTTGAAAGTGCTTATAGTTGAAAACTAAAATAATAGAATTAGGGTGCCATTTTTGTCTTCTATTTGATTACAGTAAATGTATTCTCTCTGAGTATAGCTAATAGGCATATTGTCTCTTTCCCTATGTATATGGTCATCATCTTTATCATTAACAACAGATATAAATGCAATCCTCTGGAGGGCATTGGGCATAAGAGAATATGTCATATAGTTTATAATTTATTTAGAGTTATATTCCTTTTAGTATTGAGTATAATAGTGACATCTACTGTGCATAAACTTAGTCATTTAGTAAGCATTCAATAAATATATAGTGCAACATATCCAAAGTCTGATTTCATAAGTGTTCTGTGACAAGGATGACAAAACAATATTACTCTTACTACTAAAATGCTATGAAGAATGAATCCACCCATCCCAAGCAGTTTACAATATTAGTGGAATTTTAATGGACTAGTATTAAATTTATTAACAAAGAAAATTAGTAACAAATAAATATAACTGCATTAAATTATTCTAACACGAAGCCATTTCTCTTAGAAGTGATCTGTCAATTCCTCTGATGTTTTACTTTACTAAATCTTCATTCACTTTGCATCGTAATTTCTTACTTTCATAGAACTTTCTTAATGGAGGGTCACATTAGTAATAGCTTATCCACTATCCATTTAGTTTTTCTTTAACTTTTTTTTTAACATCATTAACTTTAAGCAATAATCAAGCACTTCCCACTCTGAGCAACAAAATTAAAAAAAAAATAGCCACTTAGAATGCACATTTCTCATATATTTATTGTTAAATTTGTGAAATGAGAGGCTTTTAGACTGAGGCAGCTCCAACACCCTGGGTTTCTGCATAAAAATGAAACTTAAGCTCAGCCAATCACAAGGTAGGCATCACTTACATTGTTTTAAACTTCTTAGTGGGATAGCTCAAATAACTCAATTGCTCAAACGTCAACCAAATTATTCTCCTGCTTAGCTTCGACTTCACCCTATAAGAGCCTTTCCCTGTGCCCTTTTATCTGAGACCCTGTTCTCTTGCAGTCTAGAGATGCCTGATTAATGAATCACTATCACTCAGATACACTCCTTAAAATTTTAATTTGCCAAAGTGTATCTCTTAACACTATTTATAAAAATACTTTGATGAATACCTTACCTCAATGCTTTATAAAGACCACACATAAATACTTCATGATGCCTGAATTTATATTATATACTGAAAAGTAATTATTCATTTAATAAGCATACATGTAGGATCTACACAACATATTGTAGAGTGTTGAGATTAGTTTTAATTTTCTTCTTAACAATGCATTTGAGTGGAGAAAATGATGTTTTTATTCTAGTTTTCTTCTTTAGGAATTTAATTTTCACCAGTACTGCTATAAACTCTAGAAATAGTACTTTTAGTCAACTTTCCCCTTGCTTAGCCTTCTCTGTCCATCCTTTTAATCCATTTCCTTCAGCCTAAGGGCAAATTTTTACAATTAATTAAGAAGATTATCCTCTGTAATCTACTTCAAGGCTCTCATCTCTTTATATCAAGAATATGTAGAAAGTGATGTCATTATTAAGTTATTATCATGCTTTTCCTGACTTCCTTTTCTTCTTTTTGCCTCCAAATGCTTTAGCCATTATAATTTGTGGTCTGAATGCCAATTTTACTACTGCCACTAATCTGCATTGCACAGAATGTTGATTTGTCAAAGTAGACTCAGGCACATCATAAATCCCTCCCACCAAAATTTGCTAATGCTTGTTGTATTCACTTAATAAAGCACCACAAGTTGGGTGGCTTAGGATAAGAGTAATGTATCTCCTATAATTCTGGAGGCCAGAAGTCTGAAATCATGTTTCTGTAGGGCCACATGCTAAGTAATATTCTAGGGAAAATTTTTTCCATGCCTTTCTCTTAGTTTCTGGTGTAGCTGGCAATCCTTGATGTTCTTTAGTTTGCAGATGAATAACACCAACTTCTGCCTCCATTGTTACATGATATTCTCCCCCTACATATTCATATCATTTTTTAATAAGGACATAAGTCATACTGAATTAAGGGCCCATTCTACTCCAGTAAGACTTTGTTTTAACTATTTATGTCTGTGAGACTCTATTTTCAAATAAGTTTGCATTCTGTGGTACTGAGAGATAGGACTCCAACTTTTACTTTTGCTGGATGCAGTTCAACCTATAACACTTACCAAATGATGCAAGCAAAAATCAGGCACAGATTCAGCATTCTTTTCTAGAGAGGTCTCCAAACTTATCAGATGCAGTTTTTTAATGGCCTCTTTTCCCACAGTGTAGCACGTTTAACTTTTGGATTGCTACATCAACACTGACAATCCCTGTGGTACAGATGTGTAAGTTTAGACTTTCCTAAGTCTTATGCTTGGTGAATCATGCAAGGGTAGGGAGACTATGTGTTACTTTCAACTTTCTAGCCAGGTGCATCTCTCAACCAATGAATTCTGGGATTTTCAATAATCAATTTAATGAGATCAAACATAGCCTGCTAAGAGCAACCATAGGTGAAAACTTTTCTAGTTACTTCCCAGCAAGTAAACTACTCTGAGCATATTTATAGAAGGCTCTGGTTTATGTCCACAGCACCTCAGATGTCTCCTAAGAAGGAGAAAATGAGTTACAGGCCCTGTGTGTGATCACCAGATTGTGAGAGGGCTCTAATGATCCCTATTTTAGGTATTCACATTTGTGTGTAGTTTCCTGTCACATGTTAATTGGATTGGTGTTTGACCAACAGAATATAACAGAAGCCATTATATATGACTTCAGAGATGGGATCATAAAAGACACTGTGGCTTGGAGCTTTTCTCTAATAAGAGGAGCTGTATCTGATGCCATGAGAACACTCAAATAGTCCTATGAGCTCCAAGCCAGGACCTGAGGCCTCCTGTCAACATCTAGCAAGGAACTAAGGCCTTCTGCCAAGAACGTAAGTGAGCCATGGTATAAGCAGATTTTCCAGTCCCAGTCAAACCTTCTGATGGCTTTAGTCCCAGCTGATATCTTGACTGCACCTTGTGAGAGACACTGATCCTGAACCACCCAGCTAAGCCACTATTCAATCCCTGACTCACAGAAACTTTGTGATAATAAATGTGCTAATTTGCTAAATTTGGGGGTAGTTTTTAATGCAGCAGTAGACAACTAATACACATGGTTAACTTTTTCAGTGTCTTGTAATACTTTTCTCTAATTTTACATATGTTGGGAATCGCTTTTCTCCTCCCAGAGTATATTTTAAAATTTCTTATTGGTTTAGGAAGGCTTCTTTCTCTTTGTATCCATGGTTCTTCAACTTTCTGTCTCTGTAATCTGAGCACTGTGTTCTCTAGCTAACTATGTCTGAATTTAGCCTGAGGTGCTCTCTGTTTTATATATGAAAATGTGACTGATAAATTAACTCAAGTTTTGCTAATGGAGGAGGGCAGCATAGAAGAAATTCTTGATTGAGGGTAAATAAGAGTGAATTATTTCATTTAGAAGAAGGAGGAACATCATGCCACTTTCTGATTTGTATTATTAAATACATCCCAGGTTTTAGTTGTTCTGAGATATTGTTATTTAACAATTTATATTCAATATTCATGTCATTTCCATGTTTATATAGTTTCACTGAAACTGATTTCTTAGCTTTATTCATGGATTTACACATGCAGATAACACTTAAATGATAATTCCTCAGGGGTACGCTTTCATTTTAGGACACCTTTTAATTTCTGTGTCCTAGCTTTGAAGTCATTAGGAATGCCAACTTCATTTATGATTAAAATATTTTTTAATACATAGGAAGATTCTAAATTTTGCAAGATTTCTTAAATTTAGTGTTATTCTAGACAAAGAACTTCTTATTTTTACAGAGATGAAACTTACATTAATTGCTTATTCTGTAGCTCACATTTCAAGTTTAAAATTCTGCTACAGTTTAACCTGCTCTCATTGGAATTGTTCTTTCCATTATGCAGTTTTCATTATATTTTCCACTAGTGAAAAACAGCAATGACCCAAGGAATCCATGTGTCTAAGACATATAATTTCAGAAAGCGACAACTACATCATTGATTTTTCCCTCCCAAATGATGTGCTGTGAAAGAGAGAAAGGATATAGACATTCAGTAGAAAATAAGGACATGTTTCAGCAATATGAAACAATTTCACCTCAGATTCTTACTGAGTACAGATTTTTTTTTATATTTTAAAAGACATTTACCCCCAACAAACACAGTCACAGACTCCCCTTCTTCTCTCTCCTTCTCTCTCTCTCCACTTTCTGTTTGGCAGTAATTTTTTATACATATACTACTTTATTTAAAATGTTCTTAAGAGTATTTTCATAATTAAATAAAATACAAGCTAGCATAATTTAAAAATAGGTGAGAAACAACTTTTATATAAGGTAGTATAAAGGAGTTTTTTTCTTATTAATACTTTATCAGTGATTTATTGAAATCTACCACAAAGTTTCTATGTCTAGAGAAACTCTGGAAGGGTGACATTTACTCTTGAGGAATTCCAAGGAGGAAGAGTAAAAGTTGCCAATGGTAATTCTCTTGTATCTGAGAAAAGTAGAGTGATAAGAAAATAAGGACAGGAGACTGAGAGAATCTCACTGACAGCTTGAATGCTGAAGAGTTAAACTACAGAAAGGAGTGAATGATGAAGCAGGAAGAGAACCAACTGTGTGCTTACCACTCACTTAACCCAAAAGCCATCTAGTCACTGGACTAAGAAATACATTTCAGAGGGTGAGCGCGGTGGTCACACCTCCCAGCACTTTGGGAGGTGGAGGCGGATGGATCACCTGAGTTCAGGAGTTCAAGACCAGCCTGGCTAGCCTGGCCAACATGGTGAAACCCCGTCTGTACTAAAAATACAAAAAAATTAGCCGGGCGTGGCGGTGGGCGCCTATAATCCCAGCTACTGAGGCGGTTGAGGCAGGAGAATGGCTTGAACCTAGGAGGGAGAAGTTGCAGTGAGCCAAGATTGTGCCCCCGTACTCCAGCGTGGGCAACAAAAGCGAAACCACGTCTCCAGAAAAAAAAAAAAAAAAAAAAAAAAAAAAAGGAAGGAATTCCTTTTCAGGAGGCTATCTCAAGACAAAGATTTGAGAAATTGAAATTCTAAGTCAATAATAACAATAATGAAGATGATGACAACAGCAAAGACAGAGTTCTCATTCATTGAGTGCCTCATTTGATAAACGATACATTAATTAATAGTGGAAGAACAGCGCTGAAGTTTGGATAATAATGCTGTACAAAAAACATGGAAACCTCTGGTGCAAATTCACATACTTCATAACAAATAAAAAGAGAGAGAGAAAAAAACATTATCAGAGAAGTAAAGGTCCCTATCATCCTTTCATATAGTCCCAGGTATTTCTATCCTACTTCCACTCTGAAGGATTTCTGAACTGTATGCAGTAGTTTATAGAAATCATCAAATCTTACCTTCTGCCATCCCGTCCTGATCCCATATTAAATCCAAGTGCTGAGTAGACTTGGGTTTCTCTCTATACAAATTAAGAAAACAAAGAAATTTCACAATGGTCAAGGAAAGATATTGCCATTTAAAAGGAGAAAAATATTTATAATCTATTTAACAATAGTTATTGCTTATTTATTATGTGCCAGGAAATGTGCTAGTAACTGGGGAATCAAGAATGAGATCAAAGAGACATGCAACCCCTTAACTAAATTTACTGTGAGGACAAAAATGAGTGTATTTTTTAAAAAATTCTGGGTTCAGTTCTTAGTAAAGCTCAATAACATATTGCAACTGTATTAGTAGATAAAAATGGAAGAGAAACAATGCCAAAAGAAAAGACTGTGGAAGGAAAAGATTATTGAAGTAAAACCTCTGATGGGACTAGTTTTCTCATCTTAAAATTTGTATTGACTCCTTATCTCCCTCTAGCAGCTATCTTATCCCACTCTACCATCATTTTTTTCCCCCGGGCATTACTGTAAGTATTGGAGATACAGTAGTGAAATAAACAGTCAAAATGTCCTGCCCTCCTGAAATTTGTCATCTAGTGGACTTGGAAGTCCTCATCTTAATTGATTTCCTACTGGCATCAGTTGGAGTTGATAATCATCCTTGAAGTACTCTCTATTTGTTTTAATGGTGTCCCTCTTCCTTTTTGATACTTCTTGTCATGATCCTTTCCTGGATTATCCTTGACCTTTGGGGTTTTTATTTTCTCTATTTGCACTTATTCCTAGATGATCTTCTTCAATTGCCTGATGATCAAATACGTGTTTCTCACTCTAACTTCTCCACTGAAATAAAGATTTATATGCACAAATTTCAACTTGTAATTACCATTTAGAAATCATATATGCCAAGCATATCATGCAAAGAAATCCTGCTTTCACCTAATATTTTCTATGCCCTCAAATAGTATCAATGTTTTTCTAGTTACTTGAGCTAGAATCTTAAATTCATTCTTGATATCTCTCTTCAAACGCACATCCAGCTAGTTTTCCCTGTAAAATATATACCAAATGAATCTATCGAGTTCTACATATCACTGTTGCTGTCTTCCATGTCCAAGCCATTAACATGCCTTGTATGACTCACAAAATGATATTTCTGATTCATCAGTCTTCACTCTAATCAATTCATTTTCCATATAGCAGCCAGCAAAGTCTTTAATATTCTATATTTTAATCTTTGTACAGTGGGATGGTAATTACTTCATCAACTCCTCTAGTTTCTTCAATTTATTTCTATTCCCTTAATATCCTCCAATTCTCATCTGTGCTCATCTCTTCCTGGTCAAAAGAGGAATCTATACAGTACACATGTTCTAGTATCCAATCTCTTTCCTTAGACTTATAATACAACATCTGCTTCTAAGTTATTTAAAATATTAGTTTACCAAATATTTTGCCTCTCAAGGACATAGAACACTATATTTCCAGTATTTGATAAAAGATTTTTTACTACCCACCAAGTGGCCATGAAGCCAATCTAATATTTTAACACTGAGTTACATAACATTGTACCAATTTTTAGACTAATCAAATTGAGCTAGATTATGCTGTGACAATAGAACCCTACAATCTCAGTGACATAAAGTGCATGTGCACACACACACACACGTGCACGCTCATGTACCCAAACAAACACAACACTATTTCTTGCTCAGAGCAGGTCAATAGGAAAACTCATTACAGTCACTTAAAGGCTGAGAGAAGTTTATCCTTTCTTGGTTCACCAATGTCACTATAGCAATGAGAAGAAAATGTGAATCAAACACTGTCCCTAAAAATTTACTTCCAGAATAGGTCATTTGATTTCTGCTTGCATTTCCTTTGCAACAGCAAGTCACATAGATGTATGTACATATCTACAGAGGGGTTGGGGAAATGTAAATTTACTATGTGGCAGAAAGAAGAAAATCAGAAAAGACTTGGTGAATAGCACTGTTTTAAAACAATGAACATACACTATTTTATGGAGTTTGGAGTTTGTGCTAAGTGCCAAATGGAGCCATTTAGAGAATGTTAAGCCAGCGAGTGAAACTATCTGATATATATTTTTAAAGGTTTCTTTTCTTATACTGGTATGAAACATAAACTAGAATATCTTTATCTTATTCTAAAATACAGCATAAACACAGTTGACCCCATGTTCCATCTGAGACAGCAACTGTGGGATCATCATCTGTGACATATTCCCTCTGTTTCAACAGGTGACACAGCCTCCTTTATCTGGGGCATTACCACTTGCCCTGGACATGGGAAAAGAGCACAGCAAATTACCCATTAGCTTGAGGAATACAACTACATTGCTTACCCAGTTTGTTCTACTATACCTGTTGCCTATTGATGGATAATAGTATTTGTAGAAGCCAATAAATATTGCTCTGAAATTGAGTTTAGAAACAACTGGGAAATAAGACAAAGGAATCTGATTGGAGACAATGGTTCAACGTAGGGGTAAAATCACATTCCCTAATATGTGCTCTGAATTGAATGTCTTCCCCCCAAATTATAGTTCTCCTCATTGAAGAGGCAGTATTCCCTGATAAGCTTGCAATATGAATTAAAAGAGAAATACAGAGAGTGATAAATATTCTCTCCTACGGAATGGCAAAAGCTGAAGTTGTAGCTGTTTTATGTTTTTGTTGTTAATATTCTTTTTTAGTGTGTGGAGTTCAACATTTGCTCTTTTCAAGCCCTTGGAAAAGAAGTTGTGGTTAAGGACATTTAGTTGCACAAGAAAGAGACTGTAATAGTTTAGGGGTCAGAAAGCCTGGATTTAAATATTTCTTGACACCAAATAATTGCTTAGTGACTACAAGTGAGTATGAAGACAGCACTGCTGTGTGGTGTGGACCAGCTAGTCTGCCAGCAGAGACTAATTGGTTACTCTTTAATGTGTAAACTTTGGTGTGCTACTAAGGCCTACAATCCTGGATTTAAAATTTCAGTTATGTCACTGATTAATTTCTAAAGTTAACAAACATATGCTTTTAACTTTCTTTGAAAACAATCAGCTGCCAATTTTGATTGAATATAATATATGGGACACTGTACTTCAGGTCTGCTGCAAATTATCTCATTTAAAGAACCCAAGAGAAATATATTGTTACCATGTTCATTTTTGCAGATCAGGAAATTAAGACTTATTGAGGGTAACTTACTAGCCCCAAATCATAGTGTTAGTACCTTCCAGAGCAGTGATTTAAACTAAAGCTGATCCGATACCAGTGCGAGCGCCACCATAGTAGAACCTTGTTTTGTTGTTGTTGCTGTTGTTAAAAAGTGGAACAAATAATTGTAGCAGGAGAAGCCAAGGTCATAAAGGAAAAACATTTGAGAAAACTGAGGATAGATGGTAACTACATTGACTGGAGTAATTGCTTGGCAGTTGAAAATATTGAGAAACTGCTTTTAGGTTTGGATAATTCACAAAGAGAGGTTATGTGATCGTGAAGCCCTTTCATGCAGTAGCTACGTTGTGTTGCTGGATGAGTCAGTCCTAGTAAAATAAGCTTTCGGGCTTGACAGAAGAGATGCTTGACATTAGGTTAGGGCTCCCTCCACATGGGAACTTTGGGTCTGCATCTAATACTTCCCGTCGGCCTTGGAACAAAGCAGCTTTCTGGATCCTTCCATTATTACATGTGACATAGTGGATGAAACTGGTGACTTGAAGCTTTAGGGAAAGATAACTTAGGCTAATTGAGAGCAAAACTTGCTACACTGGAATCCAAATAACTGCACTGCATTATGACAAGATTATGTTGTTTTCTTGAAGATTGTCCTATACATGAAATTGCCTTGATCCTAAAGAGAAACCCTAATGAGAGAAACTCACTAACTCTTGCCTCCTTTAGTCCTCAACTTTCTATTATGCATCCTACACTTAGAAGATTTAAATGGTCTGCTCTGAGTGAGAAAAGGAGATTGATTTTCTGTTAGAGCTATTTAAATGGATGATATATGACCCATAGTCAGGAATGAAATTAGACTATGCAATCCTAATTTAGAGGTAATTTTAATTAATGACTTAAAAGGACATTTTAAGTAAATGACACACCTCTCTGTCTTTCTAAATTAAGATATGAAATACATAACTGGAATGCAAAGTTGCCTCCCCAGAATATTCACTAAAATATTCAAAGCACTCGCTTTACATGGTACTTGTTATAAATTTAAATTCTGAGAGAACTTTCTTGTCTCCAATTTTGTGCCAATTATATTCAAGCAATACAAATGTCTCATGAAAAAAAAGTAACAGTTATAGAGAGGGAACCCTTCCCTTAAAAAAAAAATCATGTAAAACTGAACCATCTTCTGATCTTAGCCATTTCTGCCTTTTAAAGAGCTGAATGAGGTTAGTGGCTGCATAATTCAGAGGAGTGGAGGAAATTAAAATATGTTTACTCCTTTTATCTTATAGGGCTTTGTTGTCAGAAGGAGATTAAATATTGGACATTTTATTAATAATAATGCCTTTGCCAGTGTGGGGTGCTAACAGTTGGCACCTGGTGTAGGTGGCCCATTGCTTAGTAGAATACATTAGTGAGTCTTTGTTTCTGCAAAGGCAGAACCTCAGTAAGCTGTAGGAGATGGAGACCGAACTTCTCCTTTAAGTAAGTGTGAGAATTAAGAGTCTGTGCATGTAGATGGATTGGTGAATAAAACAGGTCCAGAAAATAGGGGAAGCAGATGGTAGAGAGGAAAGAGTGCTGAATAACAGGGCAAAAGGCTGGAGCCCTTGCACAAAATGAGCTAGCAAGAAATCTCGTTGGTGAAGTGGCCAGAATTTCAATTTTTAAACATCTAATAAATCATATATTTACTTTGTGAAATATTAAACTTATAAAAATAAACAGATTTTTTTGTTTGTTTTTTTGAGACAGAGTCTCGCTCTGTCGCTCAGGCTGGAGTGCAGTGGTATGATCTTTGCTCACTGCAAGCTCCACCTCCCGGGTTCACGCCATTCTCTTGCCTCAGCCTCCCGAGTAGCTGGGACTACAGGCCCAAAAATAAAGAGAATTTTTAAATCATGCCCCCTGTCCCTGTCACCCAGCTTTAGCAGTTACCTATGGGTGACCATACTTGTTTTCTCTGTGCCCAGATCCCTTTCCTTTCCACACTCCCCCTGGATCATTTTGAATCAAATCCCAGTCATCCTATAATTACTTCTTAAATATTTCAGTTAGTTCTAAAATATAATGGCTATTTAAAAAAAATCGTCATAGTACCATTATTATGCCCTGAAAAGGAATGATAAGTCTTCAACATAATTGCATACCTAACTGGTGTTCACATTCTCCGTCTCATAATTTCACTTTTTAACCGTTTAAAATCACTTGTATGTCCCCAATCTTAATTCATTTGTCTTCTTCCCTATTTCTCTTCCCCCTACTATTTTTTGAGGACACATAGTCCTTTTTCCTTAAAGTTTGCCACATTCTCAATTTTGCTGATTACATATCTGTAGTGTTGTCAAATGTGTACTTTTTTCCCCTCTATTTTTTAGAAATTGAAGGTTAGATACAGAGACTTCATGAGATGCAAATTTGATACATTTTTGTGAAGAATGTAAGTGGTATTGTGTTCTCCCATCAGGACACAAGGCTTGTGCTAATCTCTCCCTTTTTCTCATGTTATCAACATTATTTATTCCTACATTCAATATTTATTAGAGGGTGCAATCCTCAGTCTATCATTACTTCTTAATTTATTAGCAGGAATATTCCTATAATGAGTAACTTGAAAAACTTTTAAGAATTGCAATTTTGGAGCTTCATTTTTCCTTGCACACTTAGTGAATGTAATGGTATTTAGTGAAATTAGTGTCCACTAAATAATAATTTATTAATTGATTTGTTCGTGTGTTAAGTGCTTAACATAATAACCAGGTATAGCTTTATTTCTACTCTGCTTGATAAATGTATCAATATTACAGTCCTCATATGTTGCTTATTTATAACAGCTATTATTTGTCTTTAGAGAAATGCAATCCCACTTGGCCATCGTTATTCTCAGTTATGACTACAAAACAGAAAATGAAGAAATAATGTTTCTATTTGGTTGATGCAATTGAAAGGCTATAATGAAACATTCTGATAATTAGGATTTTCCATGAGTACCCTTATTTTCAAATCATTTTGTAAGATATTCCTTTTGAAGACATTTATTCATTTTTTAAAAAATGAGGCTTGTGCCTTTAAGGTCTACTGGTATAAAACTTTCATTATATTCCTGAGAGATCATGTCCCTATTGTAATTCACTTTATGGAGAAAATGAACTGATTATATGGAAAAATGGAGACTCTATAATCCCTTTACAGTTCAGCTTAACACTTTAATTGTAATGGGCGTTATGTGCCCGGGGAAAAATAAACTTCTTTAGTTTATCCTTTTCCTTTTGCCACAAATTATTGTCTTCTCCAGTAAAGTTTAAGTTTCCATGGCTGTTAGAAAGGGAGAATCTGTATCTATTTTCATGTAAGTGGAGAATTTCTTATCCAAAATTTTATCACTAGATACCACTATCTACACAGCGATATTATCAGCTCAGTGTCTTCTCCTCATCATTGATCACAATATATTTTGCAATGTGCTTGCTGAATGGTTCAATACCATCAAAGTATGCACTCAGTCAAACATTTAAATATCTACCATGTGACAAACCCTGTGCTAAGCTCGATTTCTTTCTTCAAGGGGCTTATACAAGTGCAAACTATTGAAATAAATATCAACAGAGTTGTGTGTAGATATGTAAAAAATAAAAATAAATATGTAAGAAATAAATTTATCCATGGCTTGGAGGATGAAGAAAGGAAGATGAACCAGATTAAGAAAGGAAGCAAGAAGAGGCAAGGCACTCAAAGCAGAGAGAGTAACATGTACACAGTCACTGAAATACAAGTCAGAGGACCTCAGACAGGCCTGATCATGGTCATTTGCCATATGGCACTGCTTTCTCCCTTCAGCAGTACATAGACTTGATCAATTGCACCAGAGAAAATAGGAACACATAGTATGGGCCATTCCATTCTTAAGAGACAATTTATAAAATTTCTAACAGTTGGAAAGACTGGAAGGCAGGATATGTAATATGGCACTTACACATTTTACTATATTATGAGAAATATTGGGTAGTTTTATATGTTGGGTAGTTTTCATATCTCTATGTGAGAAACTAGCATTAAGTATTCTTGTATTCTAAATCATTTGGGGTGTAAAAGAGGAACAGAGGTCACCTTGTCAAAGGGTAACATAACGACAAGTTAATGATCATGGAGCTTTGTCTAGATAAACCTCTTCCTATCTACCCTCAAAAAAAAGTAGGTGATCCACTTTTTAGAAACATAAAAGGCCCACCAACAGGTGAGAAAACAACATACACAACTAATATCTCATAATTAATTACTTGATGTTATTGTGAGTACAGAATGAAGGAACATTATAAATAAACAAAAAACTTCTAGTCTGTCTCATGCTGTTCTGAACTTCTGATTCATGCCTTAAAAAATAAAACAAACCAAAACCTAACTAATTAGTCAGTAACCTGAAGAGTTAATGGTGACTGCCTTATCTTTGTCTAGAAATTCCTCTAAAATACATTCGTGGAATTGCATTAGTTCAATATTGTTGAAGATGTAGGGTATACAAATTTTGAAGGAAGAAATGAGGAATGCTGATGCTACACCCCAAGGGAGATGTCCAGAGGAAGTGTTTTACTTTATAACTTCTATCACCTATCTGAAGAAGAATATGGAGAAAGAGAGGGGGTTGATATCGGGCATTAGGGAGTTTAATCATGCAACTTGTAACGACTGGAGTTTGGCCTCCAACAAAGACCTTCTGCCTCCAGAATCTGCTCTCAGTCATTTTACTGTACTCTCAACATGTATAGAAGTTAGCCAGATGGAAAAGTTTGCTGCTACAGATAGGGAAACAGATATAGTTTGTATAAACTTGTAAAATACTTGGAAACATAGGCTGTTATATCATTGAATGATAGACTTTTATTTGCAACAAACTCACATTCTTCTGTTTTTCTTTCTAAAATACACTTCAGCTTCTTGTTTCTTTTGCATTAGAGATACTGGCACATATACTCTTGGGTATTTTTTTTTTTCCTTCCATAAGATTCTATTTCTTATACAGTTTGGGCCAAGTGTAGATTTCATTGAGCTTTTTCAAAGCATAATACTTAATGTTCTTTTTGTATATTATAGAATATATTATCATTAAAGGACATCATAAGAATTCCTGAATAATTACATCTAGTATCTTATAAAAGGAGATAGTTTATAGTACTTTAAAGTTAAGCCTATATGTATTACACTTACATTTAGGAAAATGCCAATGGATTGTTTTCAGGTGATAATACTATATTAGCCTAATGACATTTTTGAAGGAAAGGTTACTTAGTATCATATATTATATTCATCGACAGAATGAGTACCTACTATTAAAGATAAAGGTATAGTAAAGATAAATATATTACAAAATAATAAGTGCTGCTTAGCTGGCTTTGCCAATCTGTTGTGATGTACAGGTTTGACCTTTATGGCAGTGGACACAAAATAACTGAAAATTACCCCACAAGCAATTAGGGATCCAGAAGATATTTATTAGTGTTAAACAGGTGACTGTGTGTGTGTGTGTGTGTGTGTGTGTGTGTTTTCCTTTTCATTCCAAAAATATTTCCAAACTAACATTTACCAGGTCTTGTTCTAAACATTGGGAATAGAGCAATGAACAATTGTGGAAGAAAGTCTTCGCAGAATGGAGTTAACGCTGCCTGCAGGAGACAAACAATAAAGCTTGGACTCAATATAGAAGTTACATTTCTCAAACAAAACAATATAATTTAAATTTTACCATACACTGTGGTAGACTCTGTGTCAGAGTGTGACTCCAAATTTCCCAATTCATAGGCTAGGTAAGGTAATGTCCTATGGAATGTCCTAGTGTGAGAGGATTTCTTCAATAAAGATGATTGTGATTGTGATTAACTGGATCAACTCAGTAATTTGAACTTGAGATGCAAAGAGATTCACTAATAGGGGCAGAAAACAGCTGAATTATAAGCAAATACTAAGAAACATAATAGACCACAAACATATTAAACATTCATAGGAGTATATGGATGGGTAAAAAAAAATGGCTCTTATCTTGAAATGCATAAAGTTTCATGAGGCCATACAGACATAAAATCAAATAGTTTCAAGAGTTATATAGTAATCTTTAGAAATTTTGAGGTGTACATAGCAAGTATATTTATTGTCTACATGAGATGTTTTGATACAGGCATGCAATGAGAAATAAGCACATCATGAAGAATGGGGTGTCTATACCCTCAAGCATTTATCCATCGAGTTGCAAACAACTCAATTATACCCTTTATTTTAAAATGTACAGTTAAGTTATTATTGACTATAGTCACCCCATTGTACGGTCAAATACTAGGTCTTACTCATTTTTTTTTTTTGACACTTTAACCATCCCCATGTATGCCCCATCACCCCACTGCTTTTCCCAACCTCTGGTAACCATTCTTCTACTCTCTATGTCCATGAGTTCATTTGTTTTGATTTTTAGATTCCACAAATAAGAGAGAACATGCAGTGTTCGTCTTTCTGTGCCTGGCTTATTTCACTAAACATAATGAATTCTGGTTCCATCCATGTTGTTTGTTGAAAATGAATGGATCTCATTCTTCTTTTATGGCTGAATAGTACTCCATTGTATATATGTACCACATTTTCTTTATCCATTCATCTGTTGATGGACACTTAGATTGCTTCTAAATGAGGCCATGTCAATAGAAATATGCCATACTTTTATATTAAGTAACCAGCAGTTGACACTTTCAGATTACCTATAATATTGTTCACAAACAAATTAAACTGAACTTTAAGAACATGTGTATATGTAAATATATAAACTGACCTTTTTTGTACTTAAAACAAATAGGCTAAACCTAAGAATATTTACAGACTCTGAGAGAAACTACCAAATCCACTACACCTGCAGAAGGAGGTGGCCTGGCCTTAGACATATGTGTTCATGAACTTTGTCATATGATCCATAATTATGGAAAGAACTGATTGGATAAGATGAGGATATCTGACTCCAAAGTACCCAATTTATAGGCTAGGTAATGTCCCATGGAATGTCCTAGTATGAGAGGATTTTTTCAATAAAGATGATTGTGATTAACTGGATCAACTCAGTAATTTGAACTTGAGATGCAAAGAGACTCACTAATACAGGCAGAAACGTAATGAACAGTGCCAATTTGCAGATGCCAAAAAGTAAAAATGCTCATAAGTAAGCAGAAGCTGTGAAGAGTGCCTTTTGAAAGACTTTTATAATACAGAGGAGGTGTGTGGTTTATAGGAATAATGAAAATACCACACATTGGTTGGAACTGAGTCACTATTATGGAGAGATTACTAGTACACGGATTAACAAGCAGTGGCTTCTAATAGACAAGGCTAGAAACCAGTCCCCAGAACCATCTTGGTCCTGAGTGATCTTGTTTTTGAACTATATGCCAGTTTCCTCCAATCTCACTATACTTGTTTCTGTTCCTTGCATCATGTCTGGCAGGATAGCTTTTCCTGATTCCAGTGAGTTTAATTTTAGCATTTTATTTTAAGGGAAACAAAAACAACAATAACAATTTTTTTTTGAATTGAAGGAACATGAATGTGTTTCTGTTCCTTGCAATTAAAACTATTGCAAAGGGAGTGATATTCTAGCTCAGTATGGCAATGGATGAAAAAAGGATGAAACACAGAAAAGAATCTGCAGTAATTGTGTGGAAGAGGAAAACAGGGACCTTGATAAGTTCACAGTGAAAGGAGCCACTTTTATTGATGGACAACTATGTGGCAGGCTCTGTGCAAAACCATTTATGTGTTATTGAACTGAGTTCTTATAGCAGGCTTTCAATAATTAAAAATATGTATTTTATTGATGAAAAAATTAGACTAAGAATGAGTAAGCAGCCACTTTAATGTTAAACAACTTCTATTTGGAAGGCTTATTTGACTCTCAGACCAGTCTTTACTTCTGAAAAAAGTTTTTTTTCTGAAAGAAGAAAGTTTTTCTCCAGGCTAAATTTAACTGCTTTCTTGATGAGGAAGATAATGCAAAGGAATAGATGAGAGCTTTCCTTGCAGCTTCATTCAGTCTTTCTCATGTTTATGCTTCAGTTAGTTTAGTAACCTATATATCATTCTCATTCTCTATTGTTAGTTCAGTCATTATTAACTTAATATGTTTATTCTCTTCATAAAATTCTGGAAACCCTAGGCATGAGTTGTTGATCAAATTCAGTAGAAAAATAAAAACACCCACATTACACAAATGACACACAATAATTGTAAAAGTAAATATATGTCATAAGAAACTGTCCACTTCTCCATTATCTCCACTGCTACCACCCTCCTCAAGGCAACTGTCACTCCTCATCTAGACTATCATTATCACCCCCTACCTGGTCTCCATGACTGTACTCTTCCAATCAATTATGAATAAAACAGTTGGAGTTGCCTTATGGAAATATAATTCAGATTTGTTTTATCCTGTCCAAGTTTGCTTAATGGCTTCCTATAGTTATACTAATGGCTTCCTTTCAGTTATACTAAAAGGATAAATGTTTTAGTTATACTAAAAGCCAAGTTCTTTAATGCAGGCTAGATCCTGCATTAAAGTTCTTTAAGTTGAAAGTTTATTAAGTTCTTTAATGCAGGCTGGATCCTGAAGGATCTAGCTGCTCCCAAGTTTTTGAAGGAACTAGCCGCTTCCAACAGTTCTCTCAATTGTGATCCCTAGGGCCTGGTCACTCTACCTTTTTGTCAGTTGCATGAATTCACTAAATTAGATCTCACCTTAGATCTTTCTCATGTGTTGCTCCCTCTGCCTGGAATGTTCAATCTCACTTATTTTCTTCATTCAAGTATCACCTTAAATGTCACTTCCTCAGAGCAACCTTTCTCAACCAACCTACCCCAAGCTGTTAACCATTCAGTCTTTCTCATGTACTTCTGTTTGCTTTTCCTCAAAGTGCTTTTCACAAATTGAAAGTATTTTTATATGGTTGCTTATTTGTTATCTGTTTCCACAATCTCTTTTTCCTGAGTGTAGGGATCCTGACTATTTTGCCCACAACTATATCTCCTGTGCTCAGAGAATTGTGTCTATCATAGTAGAGAGTCAAGCAATAAGTACTTTTGTTGTAAATGGAATTGAAATATTATTTATGTGGGTGCATTGTGGGAGGTTTGACATTGTTAGAGATAAAGCTCATCAGGTTTACAATCTGCAGGAAATTATGGGCTCTATAAAAGAGTGGGCTTGGTCAGGCACCGTGGCTCACCCCTGTAATCCCAGCACTTTGAGAGACTGAAGCGGGTGGATCACCTGAGTTCGGTAGTTCAGGACGTGCCTGGTCAACATGGTGAAACCCCATCTCTACTAATAATACAAAAAAGAAAAAAAAATAGCCAGGTGTGGTGGTGAGCACCTGTAGTCCCAGCTACTTGGGAGGCTGAGGCAGGAAAATTGCTTGAACATGGGAGGCAGAGGTTGCAGTGACCTGAGATCTCACCATTGCCCTCCAGCCTGGGCAACAAGAGTGAAACTCTGTCTCTCAAAAAAAAATCGAGTAGGCTTTTCCCAAAAACAATGGCCAATTTGCTAAAATGTTTGAATCAGGGGAGTGACATTTTTCCAGTCTGCATTTTAGAAAGATCAGTAGTTTTGGAAAAAATAGTAACAACAGAAGTATGGTAATAGTAATAGCAGTAATTAAATAATAATACTAGTAGTAGTTGTAGTAAACAGATATTTGTAGTAAAGACAAGTTATAATAAAAGTAGCAATACCTTAATGCAACCTCACTATGCACCAAGTTCTAGGACATGCACTTTATGTGTATATTATGTATATATTACACATGCAATATACATATAGTATTTAGTAGTCACAATAGTAATTGTTTAATCTTCATAACCACCCTATGCAGTAGGTACTATTATAGTTCTTATTTTATATGTGAGAAATCCAGTAACTCATTTGGCAAAGACAATCCCATCTGGGGCCATAGGAGGGTAAAGTTTACATGGCGATAAAATAGCTGAAATCTGCCAAGAACAGGTTTTTTATTGTAGAGCAGGTGGAACTCAGGGGGAACTTCCATAATAATATTAACAGCTTTTATCCAATCACATATACTTTAATCCAATCATATATCTAAGGCTTTGTATGTTTAAATAGCTTCAAATCAGTAAGCAAGAAAGTTGAATGAATATTTTGACACAGGTTTTTTTACCTCCAAGATTTAGGCTTTTAAAATTTTATTTCGGTATGTGTATATTTTTCGGACTAAATTGTATTCTCTCAAAATTTATACAAAGAAGCCTGACTCCCAGTACCTCAGACTATGATTGTATTCAGAGATAGGACTTTAATTAAGTTAAAATAAGGTTGTTAGGATGGATCCCAATTCAATCTTATTGGAGAGTGGAAAGAAGAGTAGAATAGGATTTACAGAGTGACACTAGAAAGGTACGCACACAGAGAAAAGCACCTAACGTGAGAAAATGGCCATCTGCAAGCCAAGGAGAGAGAAACCAAACCTACCAACACCTCGATCTTGGAATTCTGGCCTCCAGAACTATCAGAAAATAAATTTCTGTTCTTTAAACCACTCAGTCTGTGGTATTTTGTAATGACAGCCCCAGCAAATGAATATAGTCTATGTTATTTTTCCTTATCAAACTTATAAAATCAGCAATTTTTTCAAATTTAGTTTACTTAATATTTTATATGGGACAAAATTACTGCTATTTTATTTTAATGAGACGTTTCTTTTGGAACCCAAATACTTTCTAAGTTGAATGGTATTTCTGTCTTTAGGTCTTTGAGGAATCACCACACTGTCTTCCACAATGGCTGAACTAATTTGCACCCCCACCAACAGTATATAAGCATTCCTTTTTCTCCACAACCTCTTCAGAATCTGTTATTTTTTGACTTTTCAGTAATAACCATTCTGACTGGTGTTAATATAATATCTCATTGTGGTTTTGATTTGCATTTCTCTAAAGTTCATGATGTTGAGCTTTTTTTCATATGACTGTTGGTGGCATGTATGTCTTCTTTTGAAAAGTGTCTGTTTATGTGGTTTCCCCACTTTTTTATGGAGTTGTTTGTTAGTTTCCTGTAAATTTTAATCCTATTAAAATCATTCTATTATAAAGACACGTGCACGTGCATGTTCACTGTAGCACTATTCAACCTAAATAGTGGAATCACTATTTGGAATCAACCTAAATGTCCATCAATAATAGACTGGATTAAAAAAATATGGAACATATACAGCATGGAATGCTATGCAGCCATAAAAATGAATGAGATAATGTTCTTTGCAGGGGCATGGATAGAGCTGGGGGCATTATCCTTAGCAAACTAACCCAGGAACATAAAGCCAAATACCACATATTCTCACTTATAAGTAGGAGCTAAATTGTGAGAACACATGGACACATAGTGGGGAACAACACACACTGGGGCCTACTGGAGGGCGGAGGGTGGGAGGAGTGTGAGGATCAGGAAAAATAACAAGGCTTAATACCTGAGTGATGAAATAATCTGTACAACAATTCCCCATAACACAATTTTACCTGTGTAACAAACCTGCACTTGTATCCCTGAACTTAAAATAAAAGTTAAAAAAAGAACCCACGTACTGTCAAAGGTATATATACGGTATCCTCCTACCCATGCTTCTCAGCCTGGATTTCTATAGATTTGTCATTAGATTACATTTCTGTAACCTGTAGAATGTTCAACTGTGCATTCTAAGCATCTACAGCAGTGTGGCACACCTATAATAGCTGCTGAATAATAAAATCCAGTACATAAGGGCAAATTAGAATATTTTTCTAAATAAAATAAAATCAAATATTATCTCAGGCACAACCTAGACATCTGCAAAAGAGTACAGATTAATATATTTTTTAAGAGAAAAGTACTCATAGGTATCATTTATTTTGCTCCCTTGCCTTTGCCATTATTGTGTTGACCTGAAGTTTTGCTTTGTGAGACTAAAAAGCTCCACCTTATTCAGTGAGGCATAATTGCTTCTTGCAGTTAAGATTAATTACCTATTTAATATCTGGGAAGATGAACCCCTGCTGCTAAGTTTTATGATTTCTTCCTCTTCTGTAACATCATACGCTCCTCTGGAGCTATGGGTAATTAAGCCCTTAACTAACTGCCTTATTATAACTTATTTCAATGAATGCTTTGTTTTTCTTTCCCTTTAAATCCAAGTTCTCTTACTGGTATTTTTTTTTTCCTACGGGTGTATGAGTGTGCGTGTGTGTGTGTGTGTGCAGGCAGGCCTGTGCATTGGCACCAGAAGGATTGTTATCTTTCCCTTTTGGGCAAAACAGCTCTAGTCCACTGTGGTCTAGATAGCTACTTTTTGTTCTCCAGTTGTGCTAGCCAGCTAAAGTGGAATTTCCTCTGAGCATAGAGGCATGTGGCCCACCCTCAGTCTGTGACTGAATTCCAAATGCCACCCACCTGATACGCATCTCTCTGTGTCTTTCCATTTAGGAAACTCATAAATTTATTCAACCACCATCAAAGAGATAACACAGATTGAGCTCTTCTGTACCAGGCAATATGCTAGGGCTTGGGTATACAAAGATAAATGAGATATGGCTTCTGAGCTTAAGCAGTTCATAGTAGTTAGTAAAACAGATGAACAAATAAAAAACTATTCCATACAGTCCCTAAATAACTTTAATGTGCTATTACTTTTCAATTATGAATGTACACACCTACCCTGCTCCATTTCCTTATTACTTCCTTAATCTTATTTACTTATTGTTATTATTCTCTTATTTACTTATTTTTCTTGCACTTTAAATGCAAAGGAACATGCAAAGATTCTTATAAAGCATATTCCTCAGTCTCCCAGCAGGTTCCGAGGGGGGTTGAATCTCTGAAGTAATCAATTATTTTGATCAGGAGATTGCTTTTCTGAAGTAGCATCAATTATACAATAATGCAGACTCTTCGACTTTGAAAGAAATGTGGTATTACTCAGTCTTTCATTCTACTGATTAGTTTGAGCAGCAACAATGGAAAGTATCTGTCTGGAAAAATAAGAATAAAAAAAGGGTGATTCTTTTTATCACAATCTGTTGAGTAATGATGTAGCTAAGGAAAACCTAAAATATTCTATGATTTGGCTTGTATTCTCAAGGTTAAAAATTCTGGCTTTCTAAAATAACTGATTTCTGCTGACCTTGACACATTTTGACTCTCACATCCTATTTATATTTTAAGGCATAATCAACCTTTATTTTCTTTTTCTCTACCACCTGCACTCTCCATATAAATAACCCAGTGTAGATTCTTTCATATTTTTCATTTTCATCAATATCATATGTATGGCTATGCATAAATTCTATATATGAGTGTGTATAAATTGCATATGTGTATACATCTTGAGACAAGGTATACACATATACATATGTACATGTATACAATTTTCATGTGTGTGTATATATACATACACATGATTTATGCACACACACATATACATAATGAACATGGTATACACACATATATACACACACAAACACACACACATATATATATATATATAAAATTTATACACACCCGTATATATGCATGGGATTGTGAACAACCAAAATCTGAGACAGGTCTCAGTCAATTTAGGAAGTTTATTTTGCCAAAGTTAAGGATCCATGCCCATGACACAGCCTCAAGAGGTACTGATGACAAGTGATGAAGGTGGTCAGAGCACAGCTTGGTTTTGTACATTTTAGGGAGACATGAGACATCAATCAACATATGTAAGATGAACATGGGTTCGGTCTGGAAAGGTGGGACAACTCAAAACAAAGGCCAGACAACTTGAAGCAAGGAGGGGGCTTCCAGGTCATAGGTAGATTAGAGACAAATATTTGCATTCTTTTGAGTTTCCGATTAGCCTTTCCATAGGAGGCAATCGGATATGCATTTATCTCAGTGAGCAGAGGGATGACTTTGAATGGAATGGGAGACAGGTTTGCCCTAAGCAGTTCCCAGCTTGACTTTTCCCTTCAGCTTAGTGATTCTGTGGCCCCAAGGTTTATTTTCCTTTTATGGAATTTTTTGATCTTTAGTTTTCATATGAAATCATAATACTTTTACCATATGGAAACTTTTCCAAGCCAACTTGTATAGTTCTAATTTATTCCTTTTAATAGCTTTTTATTTTCCATGTTATTGATATACAATAATTTATTTTACTATTCCTCTATCAATGGATGTCAAAATTGGTTTGATCCTTTTTCATTTTTTTGTGTTTTTCATTGTGTTTTTGTTCCATATCAAATATCTCATACAACTCAACAACAACAAAAATAATCTCATTAAAAAGTGAGCAAAGGACATGAATTGACATTTTTTCAAAAGAAGACATAGAAATGGCCAAAAAGCATATGGGAAAATGCTTAACATCACCAATCATGTGAGAAATGCAAATTAAAACCACAGTGAGAAACTGTCTTTACACCAGTCAAAATGGTAACTATTAAAAAGGCAAAAAAATAACAAATGGTGGCAAGGATGCAGAGAAAAAGGGAATGCTTATACGCTGTTGGTTGGAATTATATAAATTAATAAGAGATTGTAATAAATTAATACAACCTCTATGGAAAATCTCTTATGGACATTTCTGAAATAATTAAAGATAAAACTACCATTTGACACAACAATTCCACTAGTTGGTATCTATCCAAAGGAAAAGAAATCATTACATCAACAGGACACCTGCACTCCCGTGTTTTTCACAGCATTATTCACAATAGCAAAGACTTGGCATCAACCTAAGTTTCCATCAATGGATGATTGGATTAAAAAAGTTACATATATATATATATAACTTCTTTATTATATCATCACATATATATGATGAACACTATTCACCCATAAACAAGAATGAAATCATGTATTTTGCAGCAGCATGGATGAAACTGGAGGCCATTACTTTAAGTGTAGCAAGTCGGACACAGGAAGACAAATATCACTTGTTCTCATATATTAGTGGGAGCTAAAAAATGGGTACACATGGGTGTAGATTGTGGAATGATATTCAATAGAAACTTGGAAGGGTGGCTGGGGTTGGAGGGGAGTGGATAATGAGAGATTACTTCATGTGTACAATGTATTTATTTGCGTGATAAATACCCTAAAAGCCCTGACATCACCATTACACAATCTATCCATGTAACAACATTTAACTTGTACTCCATAAATTTATACAAATAATTCAAAATAACCAATCACCAGCATGGTTTGAGTAAATATTGAGCAAGTTGAGAACTTTTATTTTCACTCTCAAGCAAGGTGGATCCTGTAATGTTTGCCACCAATCACACACTAGACTTCAGGACATTTTCTGTAATATCACACAAAAATTTTTAGGAAAGCTTTTAAAACAGAGTTCAACAAGAAGAGGAGCCAGAGATCCTCAGTCTTCATTATCACCCACAGAAATTCCTGCCAGGGATAGAGCAGCTTATTGGATACACACTCAGTGCATAAATGTTCCAAGAAAGGAATCCTATTCACTGTTGTAAATTTGTCAGTGGAGAAATAAATATTCTAGTTTGTTCCAGATAAGGCAGATATTTCTTGTCAGATATTTACATTGGTTTGGGAGAAAGCCAATTGCCCAACACCTAGAAACCCTAAAGTTTATTTTGCTGGTGGTCGAAGGTAGCTACTAGTCCTGTGGGAAGCAGAGTTTTGGTGCAGTCATCATCTCACTGGTAACCAGAGTGAGGGCCCTAAATAATTTTTGAACAGCTTTGTTCGTTGCCCCACAGTTAGCTTCTTCCCAACACGCCATCCATCCATAGGTATTATTATTATTCTTTAAAACCTTTGCAAGTGGTTCAGATGTGATGGCTCATGCCTCTAATCCCATCATTTTGGGATGCTAACCTGGGACCATCACTTGAGCTCAGGAGTTTGAGACTGTCCTGGGCAACATAGCAAGACCTTGTCTCCTCTAATAAAAGTAAATTTAAAAAAAAGAAAAAAAAATAGCCAGACATGTGGCATGTTCCTATAGTCACAGCTACTCCAATGGCTGAGGTGGGAGGATTGTTTGAGCCCAGGAGATTGAGGCTGCTGTGAGCTATGATCAGGCCATTGCAGTCTAGCCTGGGCAAAAGAGTGAGACCCTCTCTCAACAACAACAACAAGAAGACCCACAAAACAAAAATAGCCTTTTGCCAGTCAGATGCAGTCAGATGAGTACGAAGATGTCCTGTTATCTTTTGCTATATAACAAACTACCCCCACATTTAGTGGCTTAAAATAATGACAATGTTTGCTAAGGAATGTGCAGTGTGGGTAGGACTCTACTGGAGATAGCTCATTGTTCAACTTCAGCTGGGCTTGCTCAAAGGCTGTGGGCTGGACTCATCCAAAGGCTTACTAACTCATATGTCTGGCAAGTTGATGGTGGTTGTTGGCTGAGATTTCACCCGGGGTAGTGGCTAGAACACATACATCTGAGTTTTTCAAGGGCTGTTTGGCTTCCTCATGGTATGATGGCTGAGTTCCAAGGGCAAACATTCCAGGAAAGAAATCTCAGAACTCCATGAGAGTCACTTAGCATCACTTCTACCTCATTATAGTCATTAGAAGTCAGTGAATAAGGCTGGTTTATATTCATGAAGAATTGGACTCCCCCTTTAATTGGGGTGAATCCATGTGATAAAACCATCACAATAGAAATAACTCATTGTTTCTTCAATTTTAATTTTTTTGAACCACTTATTTTCAGCATCTTGTTTTCTTATATATTAGTTTTTTATTGCACATTACAAATTACCACAAATTTTGCAGCTTAAAACAACACTCATAGATTCTCTAAATTTGAAGTTCAGGCATGGCTTCTAAGTGTGTGTGTGTGTGTGTGTGTGTGTGTGTGTGTATACATATATATATATATAAATTGTTTATATATATATAGAATTGTTTCTATACATATAGAGAGAATTTATATATGAATATATAAATTTATATTATATATAAATTCTCTATTTTTGTACATTAATTTTTTATAGAATTTTTTAATTCATAAAAATGTTTTAAATTTTTATTCAGTTTAAAAAGTTGGGCTGGTGAAACATTTATCTATATCTGTTTTGTCCAATAGCAACATAAATTTAAATTTATATTAATTGACTTAAATTGTAAAATTATATAAATTTAATTAATGTATTCATGTTGATTAAAATTAAATAAAATTAAAAATTTAGTTCTTCAGTTTCCCTGAACACTTTTAAGTGTCAGCAGACATAGGAGCTACAGTATTGGGCAGTAGAGATATAAAATATTTCTAGTATCACATAAAGTTCTATTGGACAGCGCTGGTCTAAACTCTTTTAAAAAGTCATTTAGAGGTTTTAACTTTTTCTATATATGCTTTGTTATATAGTCATTAATTTTATATTTTATCTTTATTGATTCCTTCTTTCTGGTTTATTTGGTTTATTTTGTGTCATCTTTCTGACGTATTTTGTAAGCTAAGAACTACCTTCCTTCCTTGCTCCCTCCTTCTTTGCTTTCTTCTTTCTTTCCTTCTTTCATTTCTTCTGTCTTTTCTTTTTTTCATTCTGTTATTTATTATTAAAGAAATTTAAGGATATACTTTTTTTATTTCAGTTTTGCCAATTCTTTTTTTTTTTTTTTTTGAGACGGAGTCTCGCTCTGTCGCCCAGGCTGGAGTGCAGTGGCGGGATCTCGGCTCACTGCAAGCTCCGCCTCCCGGGTTCACGCCATTCTCCTGCCTCAGCCTCCCAAGTAGCTGGGACTACAGGCGCCCGCCACTACGCCCGGCTAATTTTTTGTATTTTTAGTAGAGACGGGGTTTCACCGTTTTAGCCGGGATGGTCTCAATCTCCTGACCTCGTGATCCGCCCGCCTCGGCCTCCCAAAGTGCTGGGATTACAGGCAGTTTTGCCAATTCTTAAAAGTTTTGACAGGGCATGGTGGCTAATGCCAGAATTCCAGCACTTTGGGAGGCCGAGGCAAGGCGGATCATTTGAGGTCAGGAGTTGGAGACCAGCCTGGCCGACATAGTGAAACCCTGTCTCTACTAAATGTACAAAAATTAGTTGGATGTGGTGGCACGCACCTGTAATCATGTTGTGATTCGTTCTGTTAAGCAGAAGGGGTTATGTGAGCAGACCCTGAAAAAGACGAACATTGACTAGTAAGATGTCTGTATCATTTGATAGTTCCACATACTCCTGATTATTTTACAAGAGGTGCTAGCTGCTTCTCTAGGCCTAGAATCTTCAGGGACATTGAACCCTCAAGGTTTTTCACTTGGTCTATCTAGTGTACCCATCCCAAGGCTCGGGATCCAATTCCTTTCATAACTGGACCCCAAGTCCCTTTTATTTATTATTTATTTATTTATTTTTTTGAGACAGGATATCATTATGTTGCCCAGGCTGGTCTTGAACTCCTGGCTTCAGCCTCTCAAGTAGCTGGGATTGCAGCTCATGGTGTGAGCCACTGTACCTGGTTGGACCTCAAATTTCATGGAAGAGATTTGCCAACGTGAGTAATCAAACTACTACATTTTACTACATTTTAATCTTTAGATAAAGTTCTATACCTGTTCCTCGATATGGTAAGCCTTCTTGTTACAGAAAATAATGATGTTTTCAAGTTTTGCTAAGGAAGCCTCTCACTCTCACATTTTTATTTTAATTATTGGAATTAATGTTTGATTACCTGAGTCTCCCATTTTCTCTTTTCAAAGTACCAGTGCTGTCTACCAAGAACTATCTAGTTTTTCAATTAATATGCTTAAAATTATATTAAAAAATTAAAAGTTAAATTAAAATAAATAAAAAATAAAAATATAAAATTATATTTAAAAATTTAAAGTATAGAGCCATACTTCTTAAAGGTCGGAGATATTATACCAAAAATCCAATGCCATGTACCCTTTCCAAATGTAGTTTAGCTTAATTCATTGTAGGTGAAAGCCTTAACAATTGCAGTCTCACAGCCTGCCAGTGACTATCAATTTTCCACCTACCATCAGAGATGAGGCCCTTACTCCAGCTGGTCACCAGATGTTCAAGTCCAGAACCTCATTCTTAAATCTGCTTCTCTGGGGTCCCTCCTTAGGTCAGTTCCCTAGAAGTGAAGCCCTAGACAGGGATTCAGGAATAAGTGATTTTTTGAGTGAATTATCTTCAAGAAAATCCTGAAGGAAATTAGGGAAGCAGAGTAGCAGAGACAAAAAAGCTGAGCAAGAATGTAGACTATCCTTGCTCTGATACATAGAGGAATGAGGGGCCTTTCTGAAGAGTAAATTACACCCTAGAGTTGTACCAACTTAAGGCTTAGGGACAGTACTTGGTATCTTTTTATTAGTCAGCAAATATTAGTCAGTAAATGGTATAACCATCCATGTGTTTATGGGCAAGTTGACTTCCTTCAACCAAGGGCAGTTGTTTTGAGGTCACAGTTATAAGCTGCTAGCTGCGGTACTCACAGCATGGTAATCTGGTAAAGGGGATATGAGTGGAGCACCAAGAATTTCTACCACATATATGGAGTGTAGTTAAGAAGCACAAGCATCCATAATCTGTGACAGCTGAAGAATTAAGACATGAATTGTGTCATAAAAGGTCATTAACAAAATTTTGAACATTTTCTTGTAAGACGTTTTATTACATGTTATGACAGTTTTTGACTTTATTATATTTTGAAGGCCCACTACATGTTATGAACTTACACAGAGCTACAAAAGAAACATAAGCCATAATGCTGCTCTGATCGACTTTACAAGAGGTTGTCAACATTTCAAGACACCATGTAAATTCCAAGATAACTTTTATTATAATTACCATTGAATGCCAAGGAACACAAAAATCAATAAAATATTATTTTGTTTAACAAAACACCTCAATCACTCAGAAGTAAACACTTAAAAACATTTTTGGATATTTTTTAATCAGTAAAACTGTATAAATACTTCTGTTTTTTGAAGATTCAATTTGAGTTCTTTAGTATAATCTATCACCACAGTAATTACAGAAAGGGAAAAGTGAGACTGGATTTTTTGGTTATGATACGGTTATGGATTTGGGAAGGAACGGCAATCTTTGCAGTTTTAGTCTAAACAAATAATGATCACGTCAGTAATATACAATGTCACTTTCCCTTATTATAGCAGATACTGTTGAGTTTTTGTCAGCTAAGCTTACTCAGCAGTGGCTAGCCACAACTATTGAGTGTTGGATGGCAATTTTTTTCTATTTAAATTCTCTTTGGATGAGGGAGAGGCCAACCAGATTTCAGTTAGGAATTTATTTTTGATCAAGAGCTAGTCTTATAACAAATATTATATATATATATATATAGCAATAAAGTGGTCAATATCACACATGGTTAAGATTAGGAGTAGAAAACATGAACTGAAAGCTCGATTTATTCCCTAGCTAGTCATCATTTAGAGATCTATTTATAAATCATACCAAGATTGTATATACCCAGCATGAGTAGTAATGCACGTATGTAAAAGTGGGAAACCCTTCCTGCAGCCACATTTTCATGGCACTTTCAAAAGAAGAGCCTAAGAAATAGCACGCAATGGCACAAAAACACATTCTCCATGCTCTTCAAATGCTTTTACCCTTTCTTTAAATCAATAGAGCTATTTATTATGCTGATATCCTTAAGGAATCATTTTCCAAAGTTTATTTCTCAACATAACATTTCACAAGTTACAAGAGTTGTTTTTGTTCAGTGAACTGTTTTCAAGGTCAAAAAGGTTCAGGAAATGCTGGCTTAAACAAAATTAAGTGGATTATATTAACTACAGAACCTCTGAGAAAGTTTAATATTCTCATAAGCACTATGAACATCTAATTGAAAAAAAATAAGCTATTGGACCATGGAATCGATTTTTCTCGGAGTGCATCATGTGACAAAGTACATCATGTTCTGAAAAGCATTTTTGAGAGAAGCTGTTTTAAGGCAAATTCTATAAATACTTGTAAAATATTGCTCTAACTTTATAGACAATAGCCTCAAATAACTTGGAGATATAGCTTTGACATATGATGTGTGTCAATCAGAGTCTGATCAGGGAGACCACACAGTGATTTGAACAGGAAAATTTTTAATTAAACTTTTAAACTATAATGGGGATTAGCATAATGAGAGATGGGGTGGTAAAACATAAAGAGAACTCTAAAAGTCATGGAAAAAGCAGTTACAAGGATCAGCCAGTACCCTCTCACCGAGATAGAGCACGTGTAGAGGAAGATGCCCTGCCTTCCATCCTACCAGGACGAAAAGCTATACCTTGTTGGAAAGGGCATGGCCATTTCTCACTGAATGGTAAAGAAGTCACTAGAAGAAGCATTAGTGGAACTTGCTGGAAATCTTTCCTCTGAAACTTGCTGGAATTCCATTCTCTAGGGTGCAGAAGAAAGCTGATCACAAAAAAAGGTGTTTCATGGAAAAGTATTATAAAACAGCCTAAGAAGTTTCTGGGGGACGCTACTGGCTGCTGAGTACTGCTGGATGGCATGCCCTACAGGAAATGAACTGAAGAAGTTGCACAAGCACTGGAGGAGCCTGATAATGGAAAAGCTGTGTGTGCTGCAAGACCTGGACACTGCAGAAACTGACAAGCCATCCACATCACTATTGCTAAGTGCTGGAGAAGCCAAGTGTGCTACATTTACCTGCTAAGTAAGCACAACTGAACCAGGAAGGGAAGCAGAAGCCTTTTCTCCAGCAATGCCTTTCTAGCACCAGCTATTGGCAAAGCTTACTGCCAGCTGACAAAAGAAAAATACATATAAAGTGTCAGATCCATTTTTGCAGAGTAGACAAGGAAGAACAGATTTCATGGGGAGAGGCATTATATTAATAATTGTCACATAACATTATAAATATTTAGAAGAAAATACATTTTTATGTTCTTTTGTTACTATTTTCTGTTTACTCTCATTGTACTTCTATAGATACTAGAACTTGCCCCCTCCCCCACATCGATAATATTTTTTAATGAATAATAAGAACATGCATTTATTTCTAATAATTAGAAATAAATAAGAATATTTAGGTCATTTTTTTCAGAAAAAATTCTTAAAGTGTTGCTTCTAGATCCAAGGTAAACCAGATATGAGTGATTTTGACTTCTAACTTCAGAATATCAATTTGGCTGCCATTAACAATAAACTATTAGGTTGGTGCAAAAGTAATTACAGTTTTCGCTATGACTTTCAACAGCAAAACCCACAATTAATTTTGCACCAGCCTATTATTAGTAGTCACATAAACAAATAAATGCTGACTTTTCTCATAGACAAAATGCCTAAGGTAAGCCGCTGGAAGTAATAGTTTGGCGTTTCCTCACATCAGAGCAGCCATATCAGTGATTTTCTCGGCCTTTTAATTAGTACATGGCTCCAGGAATCAATTCTGTAAATAAGGTAGAAAGAAGAAATAATGTATGTCAGCAGATAGGTCTGACTCTTTTAAAAGGAAAGTAAAAATATTTTGTAGAAGGCCACAGTGGACTCATCAACCAGAACTATGTCATACAGACACTCATAGCCAGGATCCTGGCAGGGAAAGCAATTTACAAACTACATCAGTCTCTACAATGGAGGCTACAGGGAGAAGGGGGTTTTGGGATTTTTGTTCAGTGAGTCAGTGAGTTGTATCTTCTTCACAATAACTTCTTGAGGGTTTAAATGTATTGCTAAAATAACTTAGCCAGTAATTTACAGGACACAGAAGAAATGCAATGGAGGAGTTTGTTAGGTACACTAATAGCTCTTCTTTCCTTCTCTTCAAGATGCCCATGTCCTAGTCTTTGGAACCTGTGATTATGTTAGGTGGCATGGCAAAGGGGAATAAAGATTGGGGATGAAATTAATTGCTTCTCTGTCGACTTTAAAATAGAGAGACTATCCTGGATTTTTCTAGTGGGTCCAGTGTAATCACAAGAATGTTCATCAGTTGAAGAGAGAGGCAGATGAGGAAACTGGATGATGATGGATTTATGAAAGGATGTTGCTGGAGATGCAGTGTCACTGGTATTGAAGATGAGAAAGAGGGCCATAGCCAAGGAATGCAGTTAGACTTTAGAAACTAGAAAATGCAAGGAAATACACTATGCCCTAGTGATATTAGAATGAAATACAGCTCTGTTGACACCTTGATTTTAGTTCAATGAGACTGTGTTGGGCTTCCTCCCTCTAGAACTGTAAGATAACAAGGTCTTGTCATTTTTAAATCATCAAGTATGTGACAATTTGTTACAAAAGCAATACAATACCAAAGTATGGAGAAACACAACGCAGACACAACAATGGGATGGACTGAATATTTTTAATCTCTCATTCACATATTAGACACTTCTTTGTGATGTTTTCCAGAAAAAAAATTATTATATAGCAGATGTATTCAAAGTGCAGATATAGCCAACTGAAATTCAGGAACTATATTAAGTCCATTCATAACTTTTTATTTTTTATTGGAGAACAAAAGTAAAGGTGTGAGAATATCACTGAATAAATAAGACATAAAAGTCACATTTGATCCAAAGATATATAAATATTTATTGTCTTTTTCTTGGTTTTTAAAAAACTCATTGTAACACTCTCCTACTAATTTTTAGCATAGAGATTGTTACATTCCAAATGTTTAAAGAAGAAAGATGAATAGTAATTGTAATTTTTATAAGTTTTTTCCAGCTGTTTCAGCTTTTAAAAAACTGAAATTTAGTGGCAGATGTACTTACCATGCAGCTGTATACATGATTTTATAAGCAAGTTCTTTTCCAGATGCTGAGTACCTTTAATGTTATAAATAATTAAGAATAATACTTGCAGTCTCTGAGACCCTCTGAACTGTCAATATTAAAATAAATCAACACACTCTTATAGTATAGATAATTCTCAGGCTTTAGATACATTCTAACATGAGTTAAATGCCTTGCTCTACTTTTTATTTTCAGGTGCATTTTGGCAGGCCGTATGCCTCTCCAAATATCCGTTTTCTCATTTATAAAATGGGTATTACATTACATAATGTGTAGGATCTGGAGTTTTTGCACAGCAGGAACTTAATTGTAGTACTTATTAAAAATATTTGTGTTTACAGGCAAAACAAAAAAAATACACCAAATTCGTGGTTTAATACATATACATTCTGTAATGAAATATTCATTTCTAACAGAATGCTTTCAATATTCAAGCAATTAACTTAGGGAGTGTATATTTTAATTGATAAGGGTCTCTTTTTATTTAAATGAATGAAGAAATACTGAAGGGTAAGTATAGACTTTATTGAATTTCCAGATTACCCAACTTGGTGGCTGAAATATATAGTACATACACTTCAGAGTACACAGTTGAAAACTGAATTCAAAGAAACGTTTTCTTAGCTAACATGCAAAGGTAAAAAGGTAAGGCAAAGATGGAAACAAAGATGCGAATTTAGAATATATAATGTGTGCTTTGGTTTACACACACACACACTCTGTTACAGAAATGTGTAACCAAATTAAACTAAATCAAACAAAATAACTTTTCTGACTGCATGGTCATTGGCTTTGGACTTCTACATTCTTGTCAAGGACACTGGACTATGGGATCAGGTTTGATTCCACATATATTTTTAATATGTGGCTATGATTCTTTAAAAAAGTGTACTACTATTACTATTAATAATAATTACAATTGTAATAGTGGTACCCTATATTTTTGCATGATTGCAACATACCTAGCTATGTTTTAAGTGGTTTGGATTTATTATTAACTCATTTAAATTTCAAAACAATACCACTTAGGTACATACCTTTTTTGTTTGTTTGTTTGTTTGTTTTGAGACAGAGTCCCACTCTGTTGCCCGGGCTGGAGTAGAGTGGTGCGATCTCCACTCACTGTAATCTCAGCCTCCCAGACTCAAGTGATTCTCATGCCTCGGCTTCCTTAGTAGCTGGGACTGCAGATGTGTGCCACTGCACTGGCTAATTTTTGTATTTTTAGTAGCGTAGGGGTTTCTCCATGTTGGTCAGGCTGGTCTTGAATCCCTGGCCTCAGGTGATATGCCTGCCTCAGCCTCTCAAAGTGCTGGGATGAGCCACTGCGCCTGGCCTGGTATATACCATTATTATCATCTCCATTACACAGATGAAGAAAGTGGCTTGATGAGGAAAATAATTTGCTTACCACAACATAGTTAGTACAGTTAGTAAGAGAAGAGGTCAGATATAATAATGTATGTTAGTACATAATTCATATTTATTATTCAGTTATATGAATGGTTGGATTAGGGGACAATGTGAGTGAAGTATTAAGTGCAAAGTGTTTACACATTTTAGCTCTAATATCTTATATAACCCCTCATGTAATTAATAACATGTGAGCTGAAATTTGTATGAACACAGTTTCTAAAAGTCTGATAATATTTCTATTACAAAACAAATGTCCTCATCGGTTTTATAATTCTGTCACAGAGAACCAGCATAAACTGATTTCCACCACATATGTTTTTTAATCATGGAACCATGCCAAGATAATTAAAAATGTTTATTTTCTTACATCACTCCTAAAATCTCTCAAAGAAATATGGGTGGCCAAAGGTTTATGTCCAAGGATGCCCACTGCGGCATTATTTACAGTGGTGAAAACATTCCTGGTACATTTTTAAGAGAAAATGAGAAGTTTTAAAACAATTTATGCGGCACAATTGCAGTGAAGTACAAGAGATCCCATTCGTGAATGTTAAAAAATAAGTGCAAATATATTTACACCAAAATATATTTTTTAAATTATGCTTTAAGTTCTAGGGTACATGTGCACAATGTGCAGGCTCGTTACATAGGTATACATGTGCCATGCTGGCCCGCTGCACTCATCAACCCGTCATTTACATTAGGTATATCTCCCAGTGCTATCCCTCCCCACGCCCCCCAACGCACAACAGGCCCCAGTGTGTGATGTTCCCCACCCTGTATTTACACCAAAATCTTAATACTGGTTCTTTTAGGTTTTGAGATAGTCTTCATTTTCCCTTGGATAAAATGTTATTTTGAAAGTTAATTTTCATGAGTACTTGATTTGTAAAAAAGGCTTTTCATGCATCAACTTTTTTCTTCTATTCTGATTTGCTAGCAGAATTTTCATCTATTTATGATGTTTATAAGATGAGCTTCCTAGAACAATTATGTATATGGCAAAATAGAGGTTTAGCGCAAATTTTTTCATGGAGTGCGACATTCATGTGAGCCTTACAAATGGTGAAATGAGCTTGCAATAATCAAGCTATATTCTTCTTAATATTATTGTTAATAGTCCATATAACTAAAATTATAGTTTAAGTAAGTAGATGCTTCTCAAAGATATCTGACCATAACATGTTCCCTTGAACATTTTTCATATCATCATTTTCCAGGGAATGTAAAATATGATGTTGCCAAGATCCTTAACACATGTTTATTAAAGATATAAGTTGATATTTAAAATTTATTTTTATGTAAGTTCATGGCAATTAGGTGTCATTATT
Source organism: Homo sapiens (assembly GCF_000001405.40). NCBI lineage: Eukaryota > Metazoa > Chordata > Mammalia > Primates > Hominidae > Homo > Homo sapiens. The sequence goes on along the minus strand of NC_000012.12, from coordinate 84,753,235 downwards.
AAAATGTTAGTAATTACTGTAGAATTTTTGCTTATTAATGAATGACTTTTTAATGATAATTGTTAGATGATTGCATTCTCAAATTTCATTTTGCTCTCAACTTTTGCTTTGTTTTCTGCAGACATATAAATATTTGTGTCATCCCACTTAGTCCTAGAAATAAAGTATTGGAAATATTTTATAAAACCTACCGAGTAAAATAAATTGTAAAATAAGTGATTTACTTCACAATATTTAATAATAATCTGTGAAATAAATGGTGTTGTGGGGTGTGTTTTACAACACACCTACTTCACGCATCCACATGTTTATGAATGGCTGGCTGATCTTACTCTTATGCTGAGGCTGGTATTGTAATTATTTAAAATGGGCTTTCATTGGAGTGAAAACAAGAATATAAAAGGGAGAAACTATTTCCTGACATGGAATCACCAAATTAAAGCCATAGATTTCTGCTCCATGCATGCCAAATTTTATATCCTGATGTGTCAGGTTGATACTGAGTGATTTTCCTTATGGGGTCAAATCTCTAAGGGAAACTTCCACAATTAAAGAAAAGAGGCTTTCCTGAGTAACACCCATTTAAAAAAGTAAAGTCTTCCATACCCTTCTAATTTGAAACTTTTTTATTTCCAGTGTTTGAACTGAATATGTGTAATTCTAAATTGAACACTATTTGTATTTAGTATCTTTTAAAATAAATCTGTATATACTTGCAGAAAATGATGTGCCATTACATATAATAAATATTCATTTTTAGTATCTCACTTCACTTTTAAAGAGAAAAAAATATCCAGTTTTACTATTAACCTAATGCGAACTCTTCTCTACAGAATACATTTTTATTTGTTTTTACTTTGTTTCAGAAAAAAATCCAAATCTGAAATAAAACAGGTGGATGATCTTTCCTTCTTTCAAGTCTTGCATAGCTTTTTAGGTTTTAACAGGCTCATTCAAAACGTATTTCATTATACAAGAGGAAGCACCTATGCTTGACTTTAGTATTTAATATTTAATCACAGCACTGACAACTAAAATATTGACTGCTACATGCAAGCTTTTAGATTTTTGTCTGGAAGAAAAAATAACCCCAAATGTTACAGATTTATGGCCTTTTAGAACATTTAGCAGGTTGTATCTACTAGCAAATGTATTTCATTCAATTCTGTTGACTGACTACATGAACCCTTGGTTTTCAAATTCTCTTTTTAATTAAGCTTTTCATCTTATTAGTTACTTCATGAATTATTAAACTGAACAGAATCTTTGACAGGTATTCATTTTAGTCATATAAAATGATATTTTAACTATTATAATATGTATTTTAGCAGCTTTTTACTTATTAATTTTTCAAAAGTTAACCCATTATTGAGTTTTTTTCCTAGCTCCTGGAATTCCAAGTTTTGATAAAATTATCTATCTTTGTGATTGGTGACTATAAAGTAAGACTCTTTATAAAACTGAATCTACCAGAATTGGAGAGCAAAAATTCTGTCAGAACTATTTGTCAGTCACTCAGTTCCTAGTTCTAATTACAGATTATTTTTAATTCACATCACAACTTGAACTTCCCTCTCATTTAATATGCTCACTTCTAAATGAGTTTTGCTTACTACCAAAAATCAAAACAAAATTTCAAATATAACAGAAAGCTTTGTTAAATAATACATTTCTAGCTTTGTTTTTCCTCTTACCCAACAAAGTGCCAAAAATAAGAAATCAACCAAAATTCAAATTTGAATTACTGAGAATAGACCACTTGTTAACCCTAAGGAAGGTGGCAAAAACTTACACATTTTCCTTAAAAGCACATATGATCTCTGAGTTTTTGAAGTTTATTTTGTCAGATGGGTGTGGGAAGGAATCTCTGTCATTAATAGCATTATTTTCTTCTGTCATTTCCAGTAATGGCTTTATGATTCTTGGCTTCTATTCTGATTTTTTATTGCAGTTCCTTGCTAGCTGATGTCTGGGTTGCTGAAGTTGTTTCTAACTTCGACCTTAGATTTGCCACTACATCATTTTATTTTCCTCAAGCATATTCCTCATTAAAGTGGCCAGATATATTTCACTTCTACTTTTATTAAATTTTTATTAGGCTGCAAAGAAGAGATGCACTTTGTAGTTGCTTGGGTAAAAAGATATTTGTATTTTATTCACTTATTGTAGACCCTCATGAGGTAGCCCATTTGTTTAGGGAAAGTAGGCATAATGTATATTTTCCTTAAAAGTTGGCAAACTTCATGTGAACCCGCCAAGAGAAATAGAGTATAGTAGTTCATAATTTTTTTAAATTATTTTTTATTTTTTTATTTTTTGAGATGGAGTCTCACTCTGTTGCCCAGGCTGGAGTGCAGTGGTGCAATCTTGGCTCACTGCAACCTCCATCTCTCATGTTCAAGCGATTCTCCTGCCTCTGCCTCCTGAGTAGCTAGTATTACAGGCACTCACCACCGCACCAGGCTAAGTTTTGTATTTTTAGTAGAGATGGGGTTTCATCAAGTTGGTCAGGCTGGACTCGAACTCCTGACCTCGTGATCTGCCCATCTTGGCCTCCCAAAGTGCTAAGATTACAGGCGTGAGCCACCATGCCCAGCCTATAGTTCAGAATTTTTAAGATGTATGAACTCGAAAGGAATCAATACTAAGAACTGAGGGTGTGAAAGCACAAGCATGGAACATCCTTGGCTAAGTTTAGACTGAGGAATAAGTTAACTGTTTGTCAAAGAAGCAGATGGCCATTACAGAGCTCTTGGTTAGCTTGGCTTCATCTCAGCAATGGAGCAACACAGGATGCCAGTTTCAATTCAGTCTCGAAGGTGCAGGTTATAGGAGAATCATTCAAAACTAAGAGTCTCCTTCTTGGGTCTAAGCTCAAACTAAATCCCTTTGCAGACTGCTGGCCTTCAGGTTCTTTGATAGTTCCAGAGTACAGGGAAATCAAAAGGAAGATAGATTTTCTTCTAACAAAGCATGTGCAAAGCTCAAATGATTAGCTGAGAACAAATTGCACTCTGTAATTCACAAAGATGAACATTTCCAAAATAAAGTCTCATGCTCTGAAGACAACTCTAAAGGTTTAAATTTCTAGTAATAGATATTGCACAATTGGCCAAGGTTTTAAGTGATCAACAGGTACCTTTACACATGACTTCTTCTTCTTCTTCTTCTTTATTTTTTTTTCTTTTGCTAAAACTCAATTAGTATTTTGAAGTCTCACCTAATTTTTGTATCTGTATTCATTTTTAAATCTATATTTCATCAAAAATCCTCCTGAAATTTCCATGTGTATTTTTTGTTTATTTTGTGTAGTATGGGGCTTAATATGGTAGGAAGAGGAGGGGAAAAAAACAAGAGAAAAGGAGAGTTAAGGGGGAGAGAAGGTGAGTATAAAGGAAGAAAATTCTGGTATCTCAGGGACCATCTCCTAACCTAGAATTTATTATTTATGTCTCAAGTATTAGTTTTTTTCATATTTAGATACCACCATTATTTTCTCTTCTAAGCTATTTCTGGTCCTTCCTTTTTTTTCCCCTCTCCCCCATTTAAATATAGTAGTCCAGAACAGTCCAAAATTTAATATCATAGTCTTAACTGAAAATCACTACTTCAGACTAATCTAAATTCATTTGTAATTAGCACTAAGTGGGGAAAGGGGGCTTTCTTTCTTTTTTGTAGAAATACTTCCCTTGAACTTGTTGGTGCAATCTAAAGGTAAAGAACCTACATGGAAAATTCTTGACTAGTGAGATAATAGAAACAGAGTTTCAAAAGCTTTGAGGAATTATTTATAAGTGGTTGAAGTCTTATATATAATTAAAGATTCAAATAAAATTTTCAGTAGTGAATAGATGAATAGATTTAGAAACTATGGGCAATGGAAGGTTGTGTGTTTTGCAAATTTGTTTTAGTTCTTTAAAGCTCAGATTCCTTATCTTCAAAAATGGAGAAAGTAAGGCAAACTTGATGAATTTTGGGGGATCAATCAAGATAGTCACATATAAAGGAGGATTATTCTGTATGAATTATTTTGCCCAAATTTGGTTTCCATTAAGATTTTTCCCCCAGGTAGTCTTATCTTTCTTTTGTCTTCTTCTCAGAGCAGTGGAACAATGCCTAATCTCAGTTTGCAAAGATACTACATAGTGAATAAGTATGTTACCTGATTGGAAGGGGACAACCAGTTGGAATAAACAATGAAGAAACATTTTATGGGCAAGCTTGATATGTAGAGTTCAAGGATCTTGGCTTGAACTCTGCTGAGGGGAATGGCTCTAAGTTTTGGAAGTACTTTATCAGGCACCAACCACGCTGGCTCTGGATTGCCAAAACAGGGAGCTTAAAAGGGAAACCAAAGTTAAGATTTGTATATATGAGGGAAAATCCCTCAGTTATAACTGGCAACTGGTGTCTCTATAGTCTGAACTACTAGAAAAAAGCAGTCTTAAATGCCACTTTCTGGAGGAAGACTTGTTGTGTCACTGTGTCTTTAGGTAAGGCATGTGGCTATTTTTATACAGATGAATGTCCTTATGTATAGCAGGTGCCTGGCCTAAATAAAAGAATAAGGCTTTATCACGCAGTAAGCATGCAAGTGTGGCTGAAGCAAAGATTCTAAAGAAATACATTTTTATATTTCCATCTCTAAGGCCATAAGGATGCAGAACAGTTATTTGCTGTATTTTATTTTGTATTTCAGTTATACGAGTGGAAAATTCTAATTGTAGGCCTAAAAGAATGGCAGTAGATTGGTCGCTACTAATTTGGAATTTTCTAGACTAAAACTATAGAGAGATCAATTTTGAACTGTGATGGTAACATAATCAGTCATTTATTTAGTGAGTACTAATTGAGCAACAACTCTGTGCCATGCATTGTTCTAGGCACATGTTCTAGGCATAAACCAGTATGCATTTAAAAAAAAGAAGAAGAACCAAAAAAACTGGGGGAAAAAGCTATATTTTAGAAAAGCTATATGAAAAAACACACAAGCAGAAAAAGAATGAAAAAACTTAGAATTGACATTCTAGCTGCATTAATACTACCCATAGTCAGAGAAAGAAATCTTTGAAAGATTGGGACAGCTATATGAAATAAAAATCTGGACATTTTGGAGAAAAGAAGACCATGAAAGTGAGCAAAATGTAAGCAGGGAACTCTTGTTTTGAGAATCAAGGTGACATAATATTGAAAATTACCCAGGTTATGCTTAAGTCTTGAGAAAATGTACTTTAAAATCATGTGAAATTAGGATTCCTAGGAGAGCCATAGGAAAGATGATATAAAGAGAATTAAAGAGATATAAAGAAGACAATGATAGCTTGAGTCCAGGACTTGGCTAATATAGCATATGATGGGATTCTATCTCCTGATAAAGATTATTCAATCAGGAATCTGAAATGGGGCAAGATATTGGAACAGTTGATTCTCTTGGCAGTCCCAGAACTCATGGCTTCAAATTTTTCACTGTGGGGTTTCAACAAAATAGTTTTCTACTGGAAAATATCTGGACCAAAAACCATTAGAAGGCTGCCTGACCCAAGAAACGGTGCTTGCTCTAGGTGCCTTAGATAAAGACGGGCAAAATTAAGTAAGTTTAACTGTGCAAATGCAGCTGAGCTTCCCTAAGGGGAGCAGAGGAAAACTAATGAAAATAAAACGCTAGAGCTGTCTCCCACTAGTGTAGATAAAAATGTAATGGAGATAACCCACTCAAGGGCTGAAATAATAAAACACTAATGAAAATATTTCATGACGACTGCGTTAGTCTTCACTGCGGTTCTAGAGACATGGATTCACAAGTTTCAACAGCAGCTTCAATTCCGAATCTGCTGCAGGTGATTCTCTGTGTAAAACAAATGGAGGATGAGGCAGCTTCTTCCTTAGCAGGCAATTATCTTAGTTCTGAGTCATTTAATGGGCACATGCATATGCAAAGAATTCATATTCAGTTTGATACTGCAATGCTAAAAACAGGGAGCAAAAGAAAGAAACAGAAGTTAAAATCTGAATAAAAGGGGGAAAACATCTCAAGTAAAAATTGGTGACAGGTGTTTCTATGGTTGCAGAGGTTTCAATGAATTGAGAAAGCAGTAGGGATTGAATGCCACCTTGTGAAGGAAGATAAGACAGCATTTCCCTCTTCCCAAGTGTCATAATATAGGCTGTGTATGAAAATGAACAATTCATGGTATATTTCTCTGAATGGATAGGTTCACAAATCATAGATGTTTTCCATTGTTATAGACACTTGTTATATGGGATCCTGCTGAGGCTGAAGTCAAAGGCGTTCTTTGCCTAACCTCTGTCATTAAATAAGCCTGTGGCAACCCTAATTGTGTTCTGGGAATAATATTTTGTTGTCTGGAGTAACCACTGCTGGAGATGCAGATTAGTTTGTTTTCTAAATTTGGTGGATGTTGAGCAGTGTAGTGATAATCTTTGTGAAGCCGATTAATTATTTAGACTCGTTAAATATTTGGCTCTTGAAAGACTTGGCATTAAATTCATGTGATGGAACCACAACCATTTTCAGGGAGAAAGAGCACAGACTAGCTGCTGGAAAGAAAAAGAAACAACACAACTCTGCTTGATTTTGAGGAACACTTGCTGAGAGACTAAGCAAAATATAGAATATGGGTAGATACACTTTAACCTTCACTCTCTTTGCATTTACAGGGTAAATAACTTAATATTTGACTTTATTTTCTTTTGACTTTATAACACAAATTAATGTAATTTTTTATTTTTTAATTTCCCTTGGGAAGTTGACAAAAGGCATCAGCATTTTATTATTGGAATGTTTTCTTGAGGTTTAAGTTAATGTTGTCATTTTTGTTTCATGGTCTTATAGGCTGTATCGGACAAAGTAATCAGACATAGAATACAAGAAGAATGGAATAAAAAATTTGCTTTTAGTCATGAGTAAAAATTGACCTTAGGGTGAATGTATTCAACGCAATGTTCTTATTCATTTGAGAACCCTCTTTAGCCTAGACTTATCTCACCAACTGTGATTGACATTGTAAGGTCACTTCTAAAAGAATGGATCAGAAGATTGTTCTGAGAAACTGCTTATGTCCTCTTCCAAGGTGTTGAGCCATACTTCTGGTTGACCATATGTTTAGGATCAAATGGTTAAGACGATATGTTCTTGACGAGAAATGACTCATCCCTTACTACTAGTCTCAATAGAGATTTTCCCTGAAAACCCTTGCCCTCTTGTCTTATTTCTCTTCATGGAAGAAAAATGAGTGAGTTGACATGACTGACATTTCTTGATTTGGTGTAGTTCATCTTTTAGAAGTTTCTGTGTAGAAAAAAACTTGCTGTCTTTCAAATTCCTTGTATCTGCATTCTGACCTGTAAGAGTCTATCACTGGGAATGTCTTTTCTGTAAGCACAAATCCTTGGGAGGGTTATTTTAGGGTCCAGATTGGTGATTAGGGAAATGATAAACCCATTTTGACTATCCCAATATACTATATTCCAAACTAAACTTTGTTAGTTATAATAATGATATCCCTTTATTTGCTAATATTTCTTCTTTTCAGTATTACTCTAATGTAGGTAGATAAGTTGGGTATAAATCGTCATGCTCCCTCAGGAGCCTAATATTTCATATGTAACTTATAGATGCCACAGGCCTGCATACACTCTATTACTTCTCTATTTGCAAGGTTTACCCCAGGAAAGTCTAGGTTATATCTGCCCTGTGTAGCTCTAGTAATGTGTGTGTGGGACCCTCTTTCATGACAGATATCCATACCGTAATTAAGGAATTCTAGCCGCCCAATATATTTTTTTCTGATGACATTGATCTAAAAGATGCCCCTGTCCAGAATCCTCCAGGACACCAGAGGATATGTTTCTCTTCTTTCACTCCTGGTGATAGCCTGAAGGGCCACATGGCTTAGTGTTATGAGTCAGAGTAATATAAATTATCATACAATAAAAACAAATGGAAAATTTCACTTATTTAAAACAACAAAGTTCTTACACATGCTACATATCTATTGTGGGCAAGCAGTGATATTCTGCTCATCATTGTTATCTATGGATCCTGGCTGATGAAGGATCCATCACAATACGGGCTTCCAGAATTGCAGTCAATGAAAAGAACCTTCGGCCTGGCTGTGACACATGTCACTTTCACTTACATTTCCTTAGCAAAGCAAGCCATATGATCGTGTTTAAGTTCAATAGGTTAGGGATGTCTAATTCTCTGATAAGGACAATCACCCAATATTTTGATGTTCACATTTCTGGGTTCCTCTCATACTTTAATATTGAACTCTGCCACTTCGGAAATACGATCAACATTTTATCATCTTTTTTGCCTTATATTTTATTGCAGTAGGGAAAATACACCCTATTTCCTTTTGTGTCACTTTTTTGACCAAAAACAAATGCATTATGCTCTGAAACTTGACTATAGATGCTTTTAATTTCTGTCACTCTTCTTTTTAGGCTTTCTTGTACAGACTTGTCACAGATAACTTTAGAATTTTGTTTTCTGCCATGCAATCTATTTGGGACTGACAATTTAATTTGGAAATTCAAGATTTACAGGAGAAAAGTTGTATGATTAAACAGTCTGGCTTTTATCTCAAGCTGAAATTAACATTTAGAAAATCTATTATCTTCTTTGTAGAATATCTTCCATAGCTTCCTTTTGCACCATTTTTCACGTTACTAGTTGAAGTTAATAGAAGCTAATATTGAATTGTAGCAAAATATTTAATCTGAAATAATCAGAATATATTAGAGTAGCATAATTCATAAAAATGAAAAGTATCAACAGTTCTTTGAAGAGAGAAACTCACTTGCATTAGGCTGCAGTATGTTTGGAAAACAGTAATACACATTATGTTTTAATATAATTATTAGAAACATGTAGGGAAAGTTAGATTCTTATTTCATCTCAATTTTGAAAATTTTTAAATCGCTTTGAAATACATACGGTTATCTTCACAAAAACTTCAGAATTTATCACTACAGAAAATAGGTGGAAAATGTCAGAAAATTCATTCCTATATAAGCGACAGCACAGCACCATTTGAAGACTCACACGAAGGATTTATTCTGAAGAATATGTGTGTCTCTTTTGTGTACTATGATAGTGTCATTCCTCCAACACAAAGCTACCAATTTTCTACCATCTTTGTGAAGTGGATAAATGACCGTCTAAGATCAAACAGTTTGAAATTCAAGCCTCTAATTCTAACTCTGAAATGCTATCATATGAACTTGCCAGAATGTTTTTTTATTTTTCTTTTCTTTTACGTATTTATTTATTTTTGAGACAGGGTTTCGCTCTGTCGCCAAGGCTGGAGTGCAATGGCATGTCATAGCTCACTGCCACCTCTAACTTATGGCCTCAAGTGATCCTTCCGCCTCAGCCTCCCAAAGTGTCTTCTTTTTCTTTAAATATGCTTGCAGTGGTATTGCAGAGAGGAAATGTGCCAATATCCCCTCAAGAATATTTTTTAGAGGCGGGAAATATGAAACACCACATAAATATCAACTAAATAGAAACAGCTTCAAGGTGTAAATCTAGCAAAAACACAGCATTTGAAGCTTATTTTAAAATGTCACCTGAAGCTTACTTTTAAGCAATGAAGTTTAAAAATCTTTTGCTGTTTTCTCCCTGAATTCTCTGTGTTTAAAATGCTCTGTAAATTACAAAAGCTTCCACTGTACAAATTGAAGAGATCTTATGTAAATTATTTGCTACATGTATTTTATCATGTATGAAATTGTAAGGAAATGTTTCATCACAGGAAATCTGGATTTTTCTGAAAAATGAAGTTTGAAGCCTTTTAAGCAGAAGATTTTTTTATGACACATCTTAGATTTCAATAAAAAGAAATGACAATTTTCATTATCAGTTGCCAAAGGAACCATGAGCAATGACTACATAAATCAGGCTTAAATAAATCTGTCTTAAGTAAAGCCCTATAAGATCAGGGATGAATAAAGAAACATTTGTTTAAAATTGTTTCTCTGTGTTTGGTATTGGGTTATATCATCATCCCTTTTGTTATACATGCTTGATGCATTTACTAGAAAAATTATCCACTTGTATTAAGAAAGAAACACTATGATTAATAACACCATTTCAAGGGGAGGCTTCCAATTTAAGGAGTATGAAAGAAAAGAAGACCCTATCTTTAAGAAACTCATTTTCAAATTGAGGAATCATAGATTTTTTTACATTGGCCAGAAAAAAATAAAATTTCCATTTTCTAATTTAAATCTAGGGTAGGAGTCAACATGAGAATTAGTCATATAACTTCTTGAACATTTCCATTAATGCTAAGCTCTATATTTGATGAAGAAGCTTATTTCTCTGCTACGCACTCAAATTCCTTGAAAGTTGATGTTTTATGTTGAACCAAAATATGTTTTAGTATTATGTTTGCTCTTTTGAACCTAATTTTATCTTCAGGAATAGCATAGAACTAGTCTTTTTGCAATTTTTTAGAGCAATAAAAAATTGTTGTTTTTTCATTGTCTATCCCAATAATGGTATAACCCACAACTGGCCAGATGGTCTTGTTAGCCATCAATTCCTTCAATTATCATTATTATATTAAGTTTTTTAAAAGAATTATTCTGGATGTCTTTTCGTAATCCTTTTTTTAGATATGAGGTCCAACATTAGACAAGTTTCTTGAATGCCTGCAGAGCACAGCATATTTATGCGTATTTTCAGTATACTCTTATTTCATATTAAGTGACTAAATAAGCATCCAAATATTTTTCATTGAAATCACTGTATCTCTACCATGCTACCTATGCAATTGATTTTGAAGCCTGTCAATGTAATATTTCATGGTTGTACTAAACTTATTGTTGTTGACTTCAGTCAGGTGACTGCATAAATTCTCAAACCTATCATTGGTTCTATATCCTGTTCATCTTGGCTTTCTTCTTTTTTCTGGACATTTAATACTCTTTTTTCACAAGTTAGTAAAATTAAGAGTCTGGACTGTAAAAAGGAGAACTATTGGTTTATATTAATAATGGTTTAAATAGATCATATTCTGTTAAGTATATTATGGTGTTCAAAAGATAAAGGTGGCCCCTTTAACTATCTCTACTTGTCTTGGACTGGGCTGCTAAAAGCTAACAGCTGTCAGAAGGGTAAGTTCTAGTATCGACGATAAGAGACATTAACCAGAGAGCTGATTGCTTCTCTACTGAGTGAGAGCAGATTGTGTAGAGATGGGTAACCTCAAAGACAAGTTGAGCTTAGACAGACTTGATAATCCTATCCAAAGTGATGGCCCACCATGTTGAGGTACTTCTCTGATGATTCAGAGGGAAATCATGGGGAGGAGGCCAAAGAGTTCTGTTCCCACTCTGCCCAGAAAGCTGTTATCCAGATTTAAAAGAGATGCTTTAGCTCTGATGAAGTGACATGCTTGGATGCAGAACAACAGACTCCAAGTTGTAAATGGCTGGCCTGGGGCCCTGTATGGCAAGGCTCTGGCTCCTTTTAAAGTTAAAGATTTTCTACGGAAGCCTAAGAAAAGCCAAGTTTTTGTCAAACTGCTATTAAAATTAGAGGTGGTATAAGTTGAAACTAGTTCTTCTAGATCCTGTTTCAAATGGTATCTTTTTATATGTATATGATGCTAAACAGCATTTAATTTACATTGTGTATATCTATGAAACCTCTCTAAAAATCCATATTAGGAATTCAGAAAGCTATGCTTATTAATGAAATCTGGAGTGTGATAATGTTTTAAACCGATCAAGTAACACCACTCTCTAGTGTCAATTAAATTGCAGTGAGTAGTAATATGATTTCTCCAAGGGTATAAGTAATTAAGCAATACAGGTTTATAGAGAACCTAAACATTACCTCTGGGATTAGAAAATTGGCCTGGGGAAGTAGTTTAAGTCCTATAAATAACTTTAATACAGTTTTCTTCATGAAAAATGTGGAAACCTAATTTTATCCTTCATCTTTCTTCTTTCTCAGGGATAGAGAGTATGTACATTCACCACCTCCAAAAGAAAATTGTCTAAGAAATGTGGCACGAGGAACTGGCTTTTGGAATAGTTCTGAACTGAAAGAGAAGAGTGATACAGATCATCTGGCCCAATTTTTTTTTCAGATGAGTGAAAGTGAAGCTGAGAGAAGTATAGTGCCTTGTCCAAGATCTCATAAAACAGATAATTACAAAGGGAGTGTCTAGAATTTCAGTCCAGTAATAGACACGATGAAGAATATGGAAGTTTCTCCAAAATATTTAACAACTGCAAAAACAGCTCGCTGAAACTTCTGAAGTGATTGTGATAAAATATTGAAAGTTGAAACACTTAACTATTTAATAAAATACATTATAAGAGTCCTCTGAAATTTGGAGGTCATTATAGACTCAAAACTGCCTAGAGGTTGAAGATACCACGTGATCAAGTCCAGGGTTCCACCAGGATTCAATCCTAGGATTCAGTCAATTTCAAGTCACATGGTGTAAACTTTCTTTTAAAAATGTAAATGGTGTGGTTCTTACCACTTGTTACTTATTTTTCCCAATGTGGTATAGAATTAATGAAACTTGTCAATCAATGAAGGATAAGCCAAACATCCAATAAAAGTCAGGCGTGGGAGGGTCAGAGTTAAAGTGACAGGAGCCAGGATGAAAGGAGTTGACACGCCTCAGAAGTTGATTCTTTTTTGAGCTTTCTTGTAGTTTTCTAGACATGTGCTTGGATGAACCTAGTCTTCTAGCTTCTTGATTAATCCCAAAGTTTATCTTTTAAAATAATTGAAAAAATGTGATTTCAATATTCAAAGCAAATAAAAAAGGAGGAAACACAAAATCTGGCATTTTTTGCTACACCTCTATAGAGGTGAGGGTATGTGGCCAGATTCGCACTATCAAGTTATTCTTTTATTGGAAAATGAAGGAATAAATTCACCTAGAGAGTGCTACTAAAAATGTTGTCCTGATACTTGAAACATTCTCATTGTTACATTATTACAAAAGTAATTGTAGGTTTTAGCCATTATGTTCAGTGGCAAAAACTGCAATTACTTTTTCACCAACCGAATAAAATAGCAAATTCTCTAGCTCTGCCCCAGACCTATTCCATCAGACTTTCTTCAGGTGGCAACCAGGAACCTGTGTTTTAACAGGCAGTCCATGAGATTCCTATGCTTGCTCATAATTGAGAAGCACTGGTACAGAATACCTGACACTTTTCATCCTCTGTAGAATCATATTTAATTGGACAAGGAGATAAAAACAGGTATAAAATCACGAGTTCTACAGCTGGAAATGGTAATTTTATGAAATGAAAAGATGAAACGGCTCTTTTGGGTATATTTCTGATGCGAACACATATGGAAATGCAATCGAATATAATTTGAGAAATATTTTTTAAAAGAAGCAGGTAAATTGCAGTATTAATTCATCCTGGAGGGAGTTTTAAGGGTATTAGTGCATGTTTTATTTAAAGGGTTTTTTTGTTTGTTTGGTAGAAGAATTTTTTTAAAAAGATTACAGAACATTTAGAGATAAGGTAATTTTTTATTACAATTTTTCACATTTAAAAAACAGAAAAATGTTTATTCTTATTAATAGAATAATTTATTTTGATTTCTAAGTATGATATCACGTCTGCCATCTGTTCTAGTTGTATCATTACACCTGGCAATTTAGTTTGATTGTGATTTTTTAAAATTAAACATGGACTTCATATATCCTTCTTTTTCTCTGTAATAGAGTCATAATGCAATTATATTTATGTGAAATAATTTGGAAATGCTTCAACTATACCACCATCTGCTGTGGTATTTTAATTTTGGAAAAAAAACTTGCATCAATATAGAATATTTTGCTTTTGGGGTTTCAACAGTGGCTACAAATATCTTTTTAAGTACTTGATTAGAATAAACCTTAATATATACACGAAGTTAATATCCATTTGATATATAGTGAGAATAAAATGCTGTTTCCATTTATTGGTATATAGTGAGAATAAAACGCTGTTTCCATTTATTGGAAAAATTCTAATAAGAGTAACAATGTCTGCATGGCTATCTGAATGCCTCATTTTAAGGCTGAGGGAGGATGAACGCAGGGTAGGCAGAACTTCTGCTTGTTTTGCATAAGGAAAGTCAATATTTCTATAGTATAAACCTTCAGAAGCATAGCTACTGGAAAAGAGAATTATCCCAGTGACTTTAAACTTATACAATGATTATTTCTCTTGGAAGGGAGGTTAGGATCAAGAAGAGGGTGATAGTACCTTATCTTTCCTCATTATCACTATGCTAAGTTGCTGCCCAGTCATGAAATGGCTGTTTTAAATCATGTGTACAAGTGATTCATTTAAAAGAATGCTTACAGTTTAACCCCACAAAAGAGTAGGAGAAGCAGTAAAGCGAAGGGAAGGAAGCCAAGAAGTGGTGAGATTTTAAGGAAAGTCTCAGCCTGGGCCTGATGCTGCAGGGCATCTCTGGAGTATAAATAATGCCTCAGAGCTTGTCATGTCTGAAATCACAAGACTTGGAATTTCATACTTCTACACTAGTCAGTCATTGGCTAAGGGTGGAACAATCAGACCTCAAGGAGTACTTGGTGAAACTCCCAGCACTTCCTGTTGTTTGCATGTCTGGGCAGGCAAATGTGCCTCAGTAGGCCAAGGGAAACACTCCAAAGAGAGTTGCAAATGTAAGCTCTTAAAAGTAAAGACACAAAAGCTGGCGGAAGGGCCCACAGAAAGTGTTAAAGGCATTCAGGTACTCTGGGCAGGGCATCCACAGTCAGATACAGTGGCTTTACACCTGAATTCTAAAATATTGTGGCTTTTACTTAAATTAGTATAGTGCTAAATATAATAGGGCATGTGCACTTCTAATATATATTGAATCCAGTAGAATAAGACTACTAATTTTCACACAGACATTCTAAATACAAAAATATTACACTGGAAATTATTTTAATTAAATAGCTATAACATTTAGATATTGCTAACTTCTTAGCTTTTTATGCGTTAGCAATAAAATGGCCCATGCATTAATTTAAATTTGACACCTTATGAAAAGAAAATATTTGTATCAAATTGAATAATCAAAACTCTATAGTCACAACAGGGATAGTGGCTGTGCCTGTAGTCTCAGCTACTGGGAAGGCTGAGGTGGGAGGATTGTTTGAGTCCAGAAGTTTGAGGCCAGCCAGGGCAACATAGTAGGATCTTGTTTTTAAATACAAGCAAACAAGAATCCCCAAATCTCTACAGTTGGAAAGGTGCCTTATAGAAGTATAAATTCTAAAACTGAAAAAAATACTCTAATAAATGCTATTTAAAATTTAAAACATCTGTAATGGCCAAGGTTATGAGCTTTCAGAATGGAATATAGCCAAAAGAGAAAGAGCTACTGTGACCCAGAGAATTCTTTTGTAATCATCAAATAAATGTAATGATTTAGAATATACTTTGTACTTGGCTTAAATGAAACACCACACACACACACACACACACACACACACACACACAGTAGCAAGTTAACCTGAAGGTATCAATTTAACCTTAAAAATTAATATATATATTTATTATGAATATGTATCTCATATTAAATTTATAATATTCAATATATATGAATTATATATAAATATAATTATATAAATTATATTATTACTTAGTGTGTGTATGTGTGTGTATATATATATATATCTCCTCCTCAATGGAGGATGTATAATCTAAGATACTGATCTGTTTATTTCACTTAATTGTCAGGGTATCAAATAATGTTTCTATTAATGGATAAGAGAATTCTGGAAATGAATTATATTATTAGTGTTATCAATTTCTAGATTGGATCTTAAGAAACTGAGGAGTCAGAGACTTTCCAGTATCACCCAAATAATAGAATCAAACTAGAATAAAATCTAATAACATCCATATTTTCCAGTTATGGAATACTCTCATCAATGCTTGTTTGTTAATGCACATTTATAAAGATAGAATTTTAGAAGGTAAACATTTGTTTCCTTTATTTTCAATCCTGCAACTAGAAGTTTAATTTTTAGATTTGTACAGTCAGGGAACTCTATTGGCAGGATTTTTTAAATTAAAAAATTATACTTTTTATATATTTTTTTAATTTAAATAACTCAAAAAAGCATAACATAAAAATAAGGCTAGTGTCTCAACATAACTTGGTAAAGTTTCCATAGCAGAATATATAATAAATCTGCCTTATTTTAAAAACTTGCGGCCGGGCGCGGTGGCTCACGCCTGTAATCCCAGCACTTTGGGAGGCCGAGACGGGCGGATCACGAGGTCAGGAGATCGAGACCATCCTGGCTAACACGGTGAAACCCCGTCTCTACTAAAAATACAAAAATTAGCCGGGCATGGTGGCGCGTGCCTGTAGTCCCAGCTACACAGGAGGCTGAGGCAGGAGAATGGCGTGAACCCGGGAGGCGGAGCTTGCAGTGAGTCGAGATCGCGCCACTGCACTCCAGCCTGGGCGACAGAGCGAAACTCCGTCTCAAAAAAAAAAAAAAAAAAAAAAAAATTGCTGCATAGTATTCAATTGTATGAATGCACCAAAATTTCCTTACTCTGTCAGTAGGGAGATTAAAAGGAAACAAACAACACAGTTATGACAGACTTCTATTTTTGCATGGAATGGAATACTTCTTTGAGTGGACAAATGCTCCAAGGGACAATAACTAGAAAGAGCTAATTTATAAAGTTATCTGATAAATGTATCAGAGAGCTGCAGAAGCAATGAAACTGAAGTGGTTAGTATTCCACAGAGGAGAGAATCAGAAAGAGGGTAAGCTGATGATAGTAGCTGCTTTCTCCCTGATGTCATTTTCTATTTATGGACACAAACAAGAAGGTGAGAATTAGTTTCTTCACAAAGAGAAATCATGCTGGAGGGATGGGGAAACTAGCAGAGATTTTGGCTGTCACATGGGACTTTCTTCTGTCTCAAAACATTTGCTAGTTTGTGAGGTTGTGTGAAAGTGAGGGGAAAAATCTGGTACTGACTGAAGTTTACAACAATTTTGTGGAGCTAAGGTGACAAACATACCAGACAGGAACCATTATGAAGAGATATCTAAAGCTTTCAGATGAAAGTAAGAAGAATAAGTCAGAATAAGACTATACTTTTCCAAAAGTGCAATCCAGCTTTGAGCTAGCTTGGCCTCTGATTATGTTAAGGGGAAATTTTCTCAGTTTATTTGCCCGGAAGAGAAAATAAGCCTTTTTTTGGGAGAATTTAATATCATCTGGGACCTACAAATTTTATTTTTAATATACAAAGTGTCTGCTTAAGTCTTTTGCCAGCTTTTTAATGAGGTTTTTTATTTTTTGCCTATTGCATTGTTAAGTTCCTTATAGATTCTGAATATTACACTTTTGTTGGAGATTTCTCCCATTCTGCAGGTTGTCTGTTTACTCTGTAGTTTTTTCTTCCGTGTGAAAGCACTTTAGTTTAATTAGGTCCCACTTGCCAGCTTTTGTTTTATTGCAATTGCTTTAAGTGTTCATCAAAAATTATTTCCCAAGGCCAATGTCCCAAATATTTTATAGGTTTTCTTTTAGGATTCTTATAGTTTGAGATTATGTATTTAAATCTTTACTCCATCTTGAATTAATTTTTGTATATGGTGAAAGGTAGGGGTCCAAGTTAATTCTTCTGCATATTGGCTAGCCAGCTATCCAAGCACCATTTACTGATTAGGGAGTACTTTCCTCATTACTTATTTTTGTCACCTTTGTCAAAGACCAGATGACTACAGGTGTGTGGCTTTATTTCTGTGTTTTCTATTCCATTCTGTTGGTCTATGTGTCTCTTTTTGTACCCGTACCATGCTATTTTGTTTACTGTAGTCTTATAATATAGTTTGAAATCAGGTAATGTGATGCTTCTGGCTTTGTTCTTTTTGCTTGAGATTTGCTCTGGCAATTTGGGCACTTTTTTGATGCCATATAAATTTTAGAATAGTTTTTTTCTGATTCTGTGAAAAATGACATTGGTAGTTTGATAGAAATCTATAAATTGCATTGAACTTGTAAATTGTTCTGTGCAGTATGACCATTTTAACTCTATTGATTATTCCAATCCATGAGCATAGAATCTTTTTCCATTTGTTTGTGTCATCTGTGATTGACCACAGTGTTTTGTAATTCTCCTTATGGAGATATTTTACCTCCTTTGTTAGTTATATTCCTGGGTATGTTTGTTTGTTTGTTTGTTTGTTTTTGTGGTTATTGTAGAAGGGACCTAGTTCTTGATTTGGCTGTCCACTTGAGCTTTATTGGTACATAGACATCTGCTGATTTTTGTACATTAATTTTGTATACTAAAACGTTACTGAAATTGTTGATTAGTTCCAGCAGCCTTTTGGCAGAGTCTTTAGGGATTTCTAGTTATAGAAGCATATTGTCAGTGAAAAGCGATAGTTTGACTTCTTTTTCTGTTTGGATGCCTTTTATTTATTTTTTTGCCTGATTGCTCTGGCTAAGACTTCCTGTACTATGTTGAACAGGAATGGTGAAAGCGGGTTTTCTCTTTTGTAATAATTTTTTTAAATAGAGAAAAAACCATTTGTAACTCACAGACCATATGCAAAAACAGGCCATAGTCTTCAACCCCAGGAATAGAAAAATAAATTGTCATGTATTGATACTAGAAAATATTTATAAAGCAGAGGTGGGCAAAGTTTTCTGTCTAGGGTACAGATAGTAAATACCTGTGTACCATATATTCTCTGTCACACAATTCTACTGTTGCAGTACAAAAATAGCTGTAGCTATTGTGTAAAAATAATGAGTAGGATAGTTTCTTTTGCTGTGCAGATCTGGTCATTAGAGAAACGCAAGTCAAAATCACAATGAGATACATCTCACACCAGATAGAATGGTGATCGTCAAAAAGCCAGGAAACTTTTTAGTGGAGAGGATGTGGAAAAAGAGGATGTGGAGAAATAGGAACACTTTTACACTGTTGGTGGGAGCATAAATTAGTTCAACCATTGTGTAAGAGAGTGTGGCGATTTCTCAATAATCTAGAACTAGAAATACCATTTGGCCCAGCAATCTCATTACTGGGTATATACCCAAAGGATTATAAATCATGCTACTATAAAGACACATGCACACATATGTTTATTGTAGCACTGTTCACAATAGCAAAGACTGGGAACCAACCCAAATGTCCATCAGTGATAGACTGGATAAAGAAAATGTGGCACATATACACCATGGAATACTGTGCAGCCATAAAAAACGATGAGTTCATGTCCTTTGCAGGGACATGGATGAAGCTAGAAACTATCATTTTCAGCAAACTAACACAAGAACAGAAAACCAAACACTGCATGTTCTCACTCATAAGTGGGAGTTGAATAATGAGAACACATGGACTCAGGGAGGGGAACATCACACACCAGAGCCTGCCAGCGGGTCGGGGGCTAGGGGAGGGATAGCATTAGGAGAAATACCTAATGTAGATGATGGGTTGATGTGTGCAGCAAGCCATCATGGCACATGTATACCTACCTATGTAACAAACCTGCACGTTCTGCACATGTATCCCAGAACTTAAAGTATAATAAAAATAATAAAAAATAAATAATGGGTAGGAATATGAGAAATCTATTTGCAAAAATGGACGGTGAGCCAGACTTAACCTGTGAGATGTAGTTTGTAGACCCATGACATAAAAAAGTGGGAAAGAATGGACAAGATGAATAAAAACATTATGCGTGAATCTCAAAAACACAGCATTGACCAAAATAAACCAGAACCAAAAGTAATATACAGAAAGATCCCATTCACGTAAAGGCAAAAAACAAAACTAATCAATTGTATAGAAATAAAGATAATGGTTTCCTTTGAATGTGAGGGTGGAGGACATGACTGAAAGAAGGCTTAAGTTGGCTCCTGAGATGTTGATATTTTTCTGTTTCTTGATATCCTTGCTAATTACTCACGGATATTCACTTTGTAAAGCTTTTGAATTGTACTCTGAATTTGTGTATGTTTCTTTACGTATGAAATACCTCAATAAAATGCTTATTGAATAAAATAACACCTGCCACTGTAAAAATTTTAGCATGAAGTGTCTCTTATTGTGATGCTAATAGCTGCTATAAAATAAAGGTCTTCCTGTTCTGGCACTGACATATATTCAAGAGTGACTTAGTGTTAAGGAATCTGATTTGGGAATTTGTGAACTCTATACTCTTATGTAAAACTAATATGCCTGAGAATGTTGGCCAAGACCTTGTAGTTGTTGTCATTTTCCACAAATGTATATACATATACATACACATATACATATACATATGTATTTTCAAATTCACCTTTTTCTTTCTTTACAAAATATATGCACATCTCTCACTTGTTTGAACTGTTAACCCTAGTGTATTGGACCAGTGTATAGTATCTCCTTGACACCAAACAATTGATGATAGCAAATATGGATTTGTGTTACAAATAAATGGCTCCATTAACTGGATTACAATGCTGATTAATGTGTGGTTGTTTCCAAGTTTTATATGCAATACATTTGAAGAAAGGCCTAATTGTCAGCTGATTAAAAATACCTTCCTCAGTTGATCATTGTGAGTTCACTGACAAGCAACTAAGAAGGAATTCAAATAGTTGAGTGACATAACTGTAAAATTTTTGGGAGTAGAATTATGATAAATTTATTTGCAGAATAAACATTTCTCATGCACTTATTTATGGGAAGGTAGTTATCAATGGTAATTTTCAACATTCCTCATCTGTTTATTTATGGGAACATTTTCAACATTTCTCATCTATTTATTTATGGGAACATTTCTCATCTATTTATTTATGGGAAGGTCATCATCAATGCTAATATTCATCAAAAAATAGGATGGAAATCAATGCTGCATCCAGTCTCAGTCTAGGAATAATTTAGAGTCAACCATGGATATATGAAACAATTGAGAAAAAAAAAAAAAAAACCTTTCATCACACTGAGATAAAATTTTAAGTTAACCAACAAAATATGATCTATTTATAATGTTTCAGTCAGTAGTATGTCAATATTATTTGTAATAATACTTTAATCCAGAAAAAAATTTGAGCATTTTGGGGTCATAGAAAAATGCCAAATTTTAATTTATGTTTTTGTGTCAGAGAAGTATGATTGTTAAAATAATTTTAGGTACCAAAACATATTTTAAAATAACATTCTATCAGAGAAATGGATGGGAAATATGAGTTCGAGAGAAAATAACTAGGTAACTAGGTAAGAGTTAGGATGTTAAAAAGAACTTTTTCATACATTTAAAGAATGTATATTACAATAGGAATTAAATGCCTATGGTATTTAGGATCATTCCACCCATTTTCTATTTATTTCCTAGAAGGATTACAACCAATTTACTTAAAAAATTAAATATTTGTCAAATGCAGAAATCACTTCCTTTGGTAGTATTAAAATTTACAAAATATTTTAAGCTAAAAGTGTGTAGGGAATTACATAGTTTTACAAATTCCTTTAGGAAGTACTTAGCTAACACAAGTTGAAAACAACTGCTCTAATAAATTTGGTATTATTCAACTAAATAGAATACATTCTTAACATTTCCTTAGGATTTATTTTTTATTTTAGTTAATTGAATTCCATGCAAAATGTGTAACTTGGAGGTTTGCAAATCCATCTTAAATTATTTTGAGTTTGCTTTTTAATGCAGATTTTGTTATGTGGGTAAAATATTTTTGCTTTTTAGATAAAATTTGAACCTAATGTAATAATTATGTTAAGCTACTCAATAAAAGATTACTGTCTGTTCTCAAACACAGTTGATTTAGTTGTTTCACTCTTAGTGAGCATCCTGATTTTACTCAGACCAAACAGGCAGTCAAGTGGAAGTTGTATCTCTATTGCTAATCTTGCTGAATTCTACTGATTTTATTTATTGGTAGAGATAAAAGATACTTAATATATCCTGCTTTTGCTTCAGTTTCTGGACCAGACTTTTAATACGGAAGACAATGGAATCCTATAGAGTTAAAAAGCTGGTTCAGGAAGTGTTTCAGACACTTAGCATTGGTAAAGTAAATGCTCAAGAAAGAATATAAATCATTATTAACATTTCATTTTGAGAGTTAAGGTTTAATTTTTCTAAGGCAAATTCTTCCAAGCTGGCCTCCCAGGCAGGGGTTGAGCTCCCTTCTGTTTGCTCCATGGAAACCAGCAGGGCCTGGTACTTAAGGTAATCAAGTTTGGATTACTACAAGTCTTGGGAGCCAACATCCCCTTCTCATTCATCACCCTAAGGGAGGCAGTTTCTTTTTCAAAACCTAGTTCATTAAGTCACACAACCCAAATTTGGGAGCTGTCTCCAGTATCTGTCTTTTGGATCTGCTAGATCTCTAGGCTTAATGGGGAATCTGGACACCCGTTATTGCTTTTGTCTCTGAGCTTTCTCCTGTAAATGCTGTTCCAGCAGGCTTAGCGTGTGGATGCCCCCTGGCTATATGCCTTTGTCCACTCAACACCTTTGTACAGTTAATATGGTATAAATGTATACGCATATGCATGAAAGAGAAAAAAGCAGAGAAACAAAAATGATTAATATCTAAATTACAATGCTGATGCCACCACATTATAATTCTTAATATCACAGCCTCACAAATGCATTGGTGAAAATGTCACTTACTGGATTGTTTATTAGGTTTCATAAGATACTGCTTGTAAAGTACGTACAAGAGTGTCCAGGATTCTTTCATTCATTTATGGATATATTGATATATTTATTCATTCACTTCTAATGTTGATGAAGTACCTATAATGAGTCAGATGATGTTCCAAACACAGGGCATTAAGAAATTCTCAAAAAATATGAGGTATTATTTCAATAGCAGAGTTTTAACTATATACAGTACCATTATTAAAATTATTTTATTTTTAAGTTTATTATGTTGATGCAAAAGTAATTGAAGTTTTTAACATTAAAAGTAATGGCAAAATATTATGAATATATTATTTATAACCCATTTAAATCCATTTCTATGAATGGTTGTGTATGTATGTGTATAAGTGTGTGTTCTGGTTAGTTTTAATCTTCATTTTACTGCTTGGACAGTTGTCTAATACTGAAGTGTCCTAGTTTGCAGCACACACGCATGGATCATTTATATTCATTTGAAATATATACTCGGAACCCCATACTCCAGAGGTCTTATACAAACATGTGAATTCATCCAGCTTATCTAGCATTGTACTTCATAAACAACAGAAGCTGTTTAATTATATTCCTAGCAAATGTCACAAAGCATTTTTTAATGAAATAAGCATTATTTAAATATGGGAATTATAAGGAATAGTTGCCTCCATTTAAAGATGGAGTAAGAATCTAGAAATAAAACATATCGTTATAATAGTGTACTTGATTTGTAATTCCTTCCTGACTAGATTTTTGTCACTTTGCACAAGCTAGCTATTTAGCTAAACATTTAGCTGAATCCTGCCACAGAAATATTATTGCATTTGCCTTCTGCTGTTGGAACACTTAAAAGGACAGAGACTTAGAAAGTCACCACACTTACATAATGGACATTTTTCTGTCTTTACACATATTTGCAGTTGCGATAGCATTTAGCCTAAGGCTTCCTACCATAATATACTACCTGACATTCGATAACATCTTACCTGCTTCTGTTATAGGCTCATTTAGCAAATTAAATCTAATAATTTTGAAGAACAAATTAGCTAATGGTAAATCTATCGTGTTGATGCAAAAACAAAAATAAAGTGTAGTTTTCATATAGTGCTATACACTTTGAAAGGTACTTCCAAAACACTTGAAGAAATGTAAAATGTATATGGTTTGTATTACTATGGTCATGCTATGAGATTTTTTATTTGTTCTTTGTAGAAAGAATGGAAGCTTAATCAGCAGTTCTATATTCTGATTTCATAATAGAAAAACTGGATCTTAATCCAAAATTGTTTTTCTTTAAAATGTAAATATAAAATATGATTTTCCTTTTTTTTTAATTTTCTGACATTAATGCAACACACAGTTGCTTTAGAAAACTTAGGGTATATAGAGAAATACAAAGAAATATCTTCAATTACTCCAAATTTCACAACCCCAAATTTATTAATTTTGAAAGGTATTCTTCTGTAGTAATAACATTAACTATTCTTTAGTCTTTTGCAATAGATATATTCTTCTCTTTTATACCATCTAGTCTCTGCAATTTAAAAATAAAGCAACATTAATTCTACTTTCTATACCTTTGAGGAAAGAGAAATTGTGTAAAGTATTCTTAACTTGTAGTCCAAGTTATTAGATGTATGGTAGTATTGATTTACAAAGTTAAAGGGTAGAGTAGAGACGGATTTAATTTCAGGAGTTCAACAACAACAACAACAAAAATTAAATATGTGCCCAGGCACTGTCTTAGGTGCTGTGAGACAAGATGCTAATTATAGCATGTTCATAATTTTCAAAGACCTGAAAGCCTAAAGAAAGTAGACAGCAAAGGCATAAATACTAACATGTAATTCTGTGCAAACTCTGATATAATATGCATAAAATAAAATGCATACCTGAGACACAAATGAAAGGAGCAAATTTGAAAGGACATAGATCAGTACATCAGGCAAATGGGGCTTGGGAAACACAGTAATAGAGAATTCCAGTGTGATTTTGTAGCATATGCAAAAACACAGACACATAAAGGGGCATATAGTGGAATTTAGGAATTTAGCATGGCTGTTATGTGGATGTGAAGTAGGGTGTGCCCAGACTTGAGGTATATTTTAGGTAAGGTGGGAAATATGAACAAGTGAAGACAGCTGAATGAAGACAGTAACAAATGGTTGGAGGTTGTGGCAAATTATAAAGCATCTGATGCATCACAAAAGGGTGAATCAACAAACCTTTTTACAGAAATATGTGTGGAAGTGCAGAACAAGCAAGGTCTGTAAGGCAAGTAAGGTGTGAAATGCATGTTAAGAGCGGCAAGAATCTCTTGTGGGTTTTAGAAATTCCTTATGGTAGTTCTTACCTCAGGCATACAAGCATGAGCCAGCCCCCTTTTTCATAACTTTCTGGCTATACTCTAACTGGGTCTGACAAGAGTGACTTTATCATAGTATCAGCAACTTTGAAATTCGACACCATGGCTTTAACCTTCAGTCAGGGTTTCCCAACCTCAGCACTACTGCATTTTTGGGCTTTCCACTTCTCTATTGTGGAGGGCTCTCTTGTGCATCGTAGAATATTTAGCAGTCTCCTTAGTGTCTACTTATTAGATTCAAGTAATACCCTTAGCCGCCTTCTCCATTTGTAGTGTTCAAAAGTATCTTCAGACACTGCCAAGTGTTCCCTGGGAGGCAGAAATTGCTTCCCAATTGAGAGCCACTACATTTAATAATCACCCAAGTTCCATGTAATAGAGTTATATGATGAGATTTAGACTATAGAGGAAATTCCAGTTGCAGTATAATTAAGTGTGTGAAGGTGTGGAGAGGATAGAGAGAAGCTGGAGGCAGATGATCTAGCTTAGAAACTATTACAATAGCTTTCTCTATTCCTATGAATAAGGATACTTTGACAAACAATAATGTCAACAAAATAAATATTTGACCTTCTATAAAACCCCAAACTCACAGAATATTAGTCTATTGCCTTCTATTCTGAATATAAATATCTTGCCAATTACATAATATTATTAATTATATGCTGTAGTGCTTAATAACCAGCTCTGATTTAAGCATTTAATATTTTGTGTAACGTCTGTGGCTTTTCTTTTTGTAGACACAGCTATCCTAAATGTGTTGCTTCCTGTTTTCTGCGAGTAACTGTAAGCACTAATGTTTAATTACACTGGAAACAGAATACTGACATTCATAGAAGTGCATCTAAGCTGAGATTGTGGAAATCATAATGAAAGCATATATTATTCCCATCTTGGAGCATTTAGTTCTTTACACCTATTTTTAACAAATACATGGGATCAGCTATGTAAGAAGCACAATGTTACACTCTTAAGACATGATAGGGAGCAATAGTGACCTTCCTGCCCTCATGAGCTTGAAGTTCAATGGAAGGATCAAACATTAGTCAAATAACCATACAGTATAAGTAAGACCATATCCACAGAAAGTGCTGTGGAAGACAGAAAGTAGGGAAAACCTTTTAGAATAATTATAGTGATCATGTGAGGTTCAGAGTTATAATCACATTTCAGTATTATTACCCAGAGTGACACCTTTAGGACTATGGCTGTGGCTCAAGAGCATACTTTCATTTTATGCGAAAATGCATGTAGACTATATTTGAACTGATTTATTACTCTATAAAAGTTGTATTTATTATTCTACATATTCTTATAAAAACAAGTCTAATCTGCAGTTGACCCTTGAACAACACGGGTTTCAGCTGTGAAGGCCCACTTACATAAGGATATTTTTTCAATAAAAGTTACACTAAGTATGCCTGCCTCTCCTGCCTCATCTTCCACCTCCTCCACTTATTCCACCTCTGCCATGCAAATATCTCTAGAATACCTCTCCACTTCCAGGGCATGATTTTTTAAATGGATTAACCTATCTAAAATAAAAAACATAATATTCAGCATTATAATTTGACAGCAAGACCAGCCCCTCCTCTTCCTCCTTTTCCTCAGCCTAGTCAACATGAAGATGCCTAGGATGAAGACTTTTATGATGACCCACTTCCACTTAATGTATATAAATGTAGTTTTTAAAAATAATTTTCTTAATAACATATTTTTCTCTAGTTTTTATAAGAATACAGTATATAACATATATAGCAAACAAAAAATGTCTAATCAACCACAAATGTTATTTGTAAGGCTTTGAGTCAATGGCAGTCTATTAGTAAGAATCTGGGGGAGTCAAAAGCTACGTGTGGATTTTTGACTTTGTGGAGGTCAACACTCCTAACCTTCATGTTGTTGAAGAGTTAACTGTATATTTAACCTGCTAAAAGGAGTTGTTTTGTGTAAATATAATCTGCAAAACATTGGCAATTAGTTAACTAAATAGCTAGAGACAGGGTTGGGTTTCAATGCTGTTATATAAGAAGAATTTTGCATCAAACAAGACTGAATTATTTCTGCAACTAATACCAAAATTCATGATGCACAGTTCTGTATGTAACTAACTATTTACCCTCCAACGCTTGGTAAGTAATCACTAATGTTTGCTGAATAAATGAATGATGAATAAATAAAAAAACTTGCTCTATGTCAGGCACTGTGAAATCCAAGACATTACTTTTAAGAACCTAACAAATGAGGAAGAGAAAGAACTACATTCCTAGTAAAATGTATAATATTGCAATGTGTAAGAGTGATATACACAACTTTCTAATATCTTGGATCAGAAAAAGATGGCTTCCGATGGAAGAGAGCAGAAACATCCAAGAGGTTTTGGAAAGGAGTTAGCGTTTGAATGGCTCTTGCAAAGTGAGAAAGTACTTGAAAGGCAGAATTGTGGGAAGGAAAACTAACGGCATAGGAAAAATACAGGGAGATGATTTGTCTAAGAAAACAAGGAAGAGAACCAATGACCTTTAGTGATCTGCAAAAGTGATGTAATTGAAGGCTTTAGGAGAGCCAACTAGCAGTGGCAAGGCAAAAGGACCGCACTTGAGGAAGCACCATGCGAAGAGGTGAAGCAAAGTGTTTAAAAGGCCTTTGAAGTAATTTTCCAAGTTTTTATCTGGAGAACCCTTTGTACTCTTGAAAGTATAAGAGTGAAAAAGGGTTTATTATTGAAGACCCCAAATAACTTTTATTTTTATAAGTTATATCGTTTAAGATTAGACATTGAAATAATGCAATTTAAAACTACCAGCAGGGAGTGGTGGCTCACACCTGTAATACCAGCACTTTGAGAGGCTGAGGTAGGCAGATTGGTTGAGGCCAGGAGTTCGAGACTAGGCTGGCCAACATGGCAAAACCCCATCTTTGCTAAAAATACAAAAATTAGCCAGGCATGGTGGTGCCTGCCAGCACCTTGGGAGGCTGAGGCACAACAATTTCTTGAACTTGGAGGCAGAGGTTGCAGGGAGTCAAGATGGAGCCACAGCACTCTAGCCTGGGCAACTGAAGACTGTTTCAGAAAAAAAAAAAAAAAGAAAAAAGAAAAAGAAAAAAGAAAGAAGATGAAAAAAACTTATTAACTCATTTAAGAGGAACTATAATAAACCATTGAATTTAACATAAATAACATGCTTTACAAAATATGACTATATTTGTCCAAAACAAAAAACAGTAAGAATATTGGCATTATTTTGCATTTTTGCAAATCTAATAGCTGGCTTAATTGAAGACCCTCTGAATTCACATATATGGTTCTGCATTCAATCTATTGCTCTATGTTGCTTTGACTAAAGTATATGAAGAAAATCTAGCCTTATACCCACATATGGTTAGAAAAGGGAAAAGCCTTTTCATGGTCTATTTAGATAATTGTAGATATCTTTCTTTGATTCTAAACCAAAACTTACAAGTGGTAGTTTCTTAAATGATAATGGCAATGTGGAGTCTAAAACTATATCAATCAATGTTTTGCAGTATATTAAAATCCATTATTCTCGGTTATACTTTGAATGTATCTTTTACTTCTCCATTATTTTGTAGCACTTACATTAGTCTATGGGAAATACTGGTTCAATTTGTTATGCAGATCTTCCAAATTTTGACACATTTTATAATACAATATTAAAATATCATACTTGGTAATATTGCCATGAATATCCTCAGAAAAGTATGTGTTGGAAAGCTATCAAACATATAGTGGTGGATGCAATTTTTCTAAAATTATGATTTTTGCCCAAAAGCTTAAATTTTATCATTGGCAACAAATACCGTAATTTATTTTTCTGGAAGTGACAGACTCACTTTGTTAATTTTTGAGAAAATATCTGCCAAATATGCAAGCCTGCATAACCATAGTTTGTCAGTTGCTTTTTCAAGTGCAAATGTTTTTCCATGAAAAGAAAGCTGCTAGTTTAGCTCACCACTCAAACAATGGCAAAAATACTTTGCTTTGAGGCAACCATTGTACTTTCATTATAAGGAAGCGGCATCAGGCTGAATGTTAAAAGGATGCATACTCAAGAGTTAATGCTAAATATAAATTTCTAATTTTTACTGCATCATGGAGGGCATTCTTAAGTGAACCTGATATTTTTTTTTTAGCTGTGAGTGCATAGTAAATATTAGAACCCACTATAGTTTGGTGCCACTGCCTTGATTCATGCTCATTATTATCAGTGTAATTTCAACACATGAATAAGAGGAAGGCAAAAAAGGTCTTATAAAAATAATCTTTATCTTCATAACCTCCTGAAAGTGTTTCAGAAACCCTCAAGTTTCCACAGACAACACTATGCGGTCCAGGACTGTGGTAATTAAATAAAGCAGCTACTTACTTGATTTTGTAAATTTTGGCTTTATAATTGTCCATGATAAAGCTCAATTTACATTTATTTTGTTGACTTCGAGTAGGCTTTCCAACTCTGACTTACTTTTTTCTACATATAAATGGCTACAATACAATAAGTTATTACTTGTTTTTTTATCTTTCTGACCCCAGATATTGATCTTATATGTTAGCAAATATCTTTAGAATACCCTCTCCACTTCCAGGGCATGATTTTTTTAAAATGGATTAACCCATCTAAAATAAAAAAAAATAATATTCAGCATTATAATTTGACAGGAAATGTCACAAAGTCACAAGTGAACTCCAAACTTTACACTTTTTTGCTTATGATATAATGAATCATTATTTCTTAAATAATAAGAAAAATACTGTTACAAAAGTTCTTTTAACAAGGTGATACAATAACTAAGGGAGGAGGAGAAAATAAGGTAAGTAAGTTCATATTTTAAAAGGCTTTAAGATGGGAGATAAACAGTATGTACACATAGACATACAGAGTAGAATAATAGATACTGGAGACCTGGAAGAATGAGAAAGTGGGAGGGAGTGAATGATGAGAAATTACCTATTGAGTACCATGTACACTATCTGGGTGATGGTTTCACTAAAAGCTCCAACTTTACTACTGCACAATATATCCATGCAAGAAAACTGAACTAGTACCACCTAAATCTATTTATAAAAAAGGCTTTAAGTCTCATTCTGAGGCAAAGATCAAGATACAGAAGACCTCACATCTGGCTACTGTTTAATTGCAACAGTTTCCATTCTTTTAATCTGCTAGAGGGATATCATAATCTTTCTTACTGTAAGTAAGAAGTAAACTGACAAATTCTATATTCTTTAACAAAATATAGTGCTGTTAAAACAATTTAAAAGAGCTATTTTATCCATGTATAATTTCATTACCTTGTGGCATGGAGCTGTTTTTTTTTCCATTTTGCTTGTTTGCTTCTTCTTCATTAAATCAGTTCAGATATCTTACTTCAAAATAATATTGTTTTTCTGTAGGAGAGAAGAAGTACAATCTTTCCTAATCCATTGCAAATGTCATTGCTAACACTCTTATAACAAAAGGCAGATAAACAAGACAAAAGTTTTACAGATTCATTTAACCAAAGTTTTATGTGACACAGGAGGCTTCAGAAAGGAAGACCCAAAGAGATGGGAAAAACTGTATATTTTTATACTTAGGTTTGATGAAGAATTGGATAGTTGTATAGAAGTATGACTGGACAAAGTTGGTATAATCTAATGGTATTATACTGGGTATCTTCATCCATTTTTTTGTTGCTATATCAGGATACCACAGACTGGTTAATTTATAAAGATGAGAGGTTTATTTCTTCCATTCTGGAGGTTGGGAAGTCCAAGAAAATAGCACTGACAATCAGGTAAGAGCCTTTGTGTTGCATCACCCCATGGCAGAAAGAAGGGCAAGAGAAAACTCTTGAGAGAGAAAGGGGGGCAAACTCATCCTTTTCATTAGGCGTCCACTCCCACAAGAACTAACCTATTCCCAGGATAAAGCATGAATCCATTCATGGGGGCAGAGCCTTCATAAACTAATCACTGCTTAATGATCCCAACTCTCAACACTGTTGCATGGAATTAAATTTCCAACACGTACGTTTTGGGGGGCAAATTCAAACCATAGCACAGGGGGTGGGGCAGTAAGTTCTGTCTATTCAGATTCTTCTTGGCCTCTGGGTATAGGGCCAGGCTCCTCTGAAATGAGAGTCTTATTACCTATTATCAGGAGAGATAAGTCAGACAATTATTCTATATTCAGCTGTCCCACAGAAAGTCAGGGTAAGGTCAGAGTATCCTTGCTTCTGCAGTTTTCTCAGTTACCAAGATGCCTTATTACGGGGTATCATATTCTGAGCCCCAACACTTCTAATCTAGCTATCAATGCAAAACAGTCAGTCAAGCACAGATAAATTAGAATGCAGTTGCCGACACTGGCAAAAAATGAGTAGTAAAATAGTAAATGAGTATTTCAGGAATAACTGCAAAAGGCCATCTACTACTTGATCATTATATATAAAAAGGTTTGTAATGTGTGGCTTTTCTTAACTCACTAAATATAGAGAATAGAATGCAATTTAAAAAATGGCAAAGCTTAACCCTTTCTGTTTGACTTCCCCAAAATAAAATATTTATTTTAGAAATGTTTTAATATAATTTCAGGTTCCATTATAATCTATTTTAAGATTATGAAGATTATTGTAACTCTCTATATTTTTAAGAATATTTTAATTTTGTGCAGTTTTTTATACACTATTTTGCTTGTTGTGAATTTCAGTTAAAATTATTAAGCATTTAATAAACACTTATTTTGTGTCAGGCTCTTTGTTAAAAATATGGATTCATTGTTTAAAGAAATGTAAAATTAAGAGAAAAAAACTGAGAATTACTAAATACGCTTATACTTTAGGTTACAGTCCGTGTAGATTTATATACAGATCATTTGATATTTATAAGCTATCCATCTACAGAAACTCTAGATCAGATATTTAATTTCAGAATCTCAGCAGGAGATATTACAATTATATGTATATGTGTATGTATATATATATGTGTGTGTGTATATACATATTTTTATATATATATATATATATATATATGCATTTTTTTTTCTTTTTTGATGAAACTACATTTCACTTGTGATTTTCAGGAAGGAAAGCTGGATTATGAGCCAGAACTAATTTAGTCTTCACCTAAATTCCTTACTAGCTTTGTGATCTTCAATAACATTGCCCTGTATCCTAAAGTATAATTGTATGTAGTAATTCTCAGTTATTTGTTTTTCCTCTTAATTTTACATTTCTTTAAACATTGAATCAATCTTTTCAACAAAAAGCCTGGCACAAAATAGGTGTTTATTAAATGCTTAATGATTTTAACTGAAATCACAGCAAATAGAATAGCGTATAAAAAGCTGCACAAAATTACCCCTTGGATAAGGCTTGTTTCAACATGATAATATTCCTTCCTATCAGAGAGGCTTTAGTTATATCTATATTGTTATATATATAAAATAAAATATGGCACAATGCTAGGATGTAACAGCTTTGTAGTAGTGGTATGTGTTTGTTTATCATTCTCCTCTCCAGGCTTTTCTCTGTGTTTGAAATACATCATCACATATTATATATTTTCTTGAATATAGATATGTGACATTTGCCTGATTTA
Organism: Homo sapiens; assembly: GCF_000001405.40. Lineage (NCBI taxonomy): Eukaryota > Metazoa > Chordata > Mammalia > Primates > Hominidae > Homo > Homo sapiens. Next base: position 84,720,579 of record NC_000012.12, on the reverse strand, counting down.
TTAGATCCCAGATTTTTCTGTCTCTGAAATATCACATGGAAATAATGTTCTGTGGTATACAATTTGGTAAACACGTTAACACAAAATGATTAAAAAATTTTACAGAAAATTGCCAAGCACTATTTTATGTCCAATTTAGGTTAAATGGTGATACCTTGTAGTATAACTAATTGCCATAGGTTGCATTCTTTGTATATTATCAGCAGCCTAGGATTGAGCACCTTAAAATAATGAAAGGAAGGTTATTGTTTGTGATGTATTACATCAGTTACCAAAAGGGACTTTGAACTTCCCCCAAGAAATTGCTAGTCAGTAGTAAAAATTTATTTCTCTAGAATATGCCTTAAATTGAAGGTTGAAGACTTTAAATAAAAAGCAGACTTCAGTAATTTAATTTTAATGAATAGTTTGAATTTGTATCCAATGAGATGTTTGTAATGATAGGGTATAATTGACTTGGATTTGGCACACAAAATATCATGTTCTGTGCCATGGCCAAAGGAAGTCAGATGGCTAAATACAACATCGACAGGATGGGAAAGTATACTCTTCCCACAAGAAGTTACTGCTGGACACATGGCAATTGGCAAGAATATTTAATCCTTTTACAGGGAGGAAGAATAAATAGTTAGAAACAAAAAATAGAAACCATGGTAATCCTCTCTCTGGTACAAAAATATTTACTTTTTTTGCATGCAAAATTTACTCACTCCTTCCTGAGGAACACACCCCAAAATCTCATCCAATCATGGTATTAGGCTCGATGTGCAGGATGTCATGATAATCTCTACCTTAGATTGATGTAGGCTTCTCTTACATTTGAGACAGTGAACTAAGACAAAGTTATGTTTTTCTTCTACTTCCACAACATATAATGAGAAAATGGGAAGCAAGTATGTAATAACTATCTGCAATAAGCATACTAGTGTCTAGTATGTAAAAAGAAAGAATGGGATGTGAGGCACATAGCAGTCTCTGGTCATAATTATTCTGAAGTCCTGTAAGTCAAATGTTGTGAAGGATATTGTCTTTAAGGTAGGGAAATATTCCTGAATTAGTCCTCAATTCTGTGAGTAGTTTCTCTATGGGATTTGGGTTTCCTCTCTGGGAGGACTTTTCTTACCCATATCTGAAAAGAACACTGGGGAATATGCCATTCTTGAGAGTTGAGCAGTGTTCTCAGTCTGCTTCTTCTATCAATATTTGCAGTACTAAAGGTTTTTTTCTACCTCTTAATCCATGCACGAATTGGTGGTACAACTCTGAAATTATTTTTTCCTTTATGTACCAATATTCATACCCACAGTTTGTTGGAGAAATGTCTTTTTCTCCAGACTGAATATAATAATAAAAATCTATCTCAGCTGCCTCTACTGGGTAAGGAGATTCAGCTCCTCAAGAGACTACCCACAATCTGTAGGACATTTCCTTCTCTACTATCAGCTGGGATTTATTCTGCTGTTGGCAAAAGAAGTAATTATTTCCTGTTCCCCTGCTGGGGAATCTTCCCACTTCTTTACTACAGATTTCCAAATTATAGGAGGCAAGACATTAATACTTTTTTTTTTTTTTTACTTAACATACAGTTGGTAAGTCAATGTTCTTTGTGTAAAGGACCTATGATTTAAGATAAAATTTTGCTTTTGCAACTATAAAATTAGTCTTAAACTATGGTAGAGGAAAGGGATTTGCTTCCGAGGTGGTTATAATAAACAGAAACTTTTAGGAGAATAAAAAGGCATGGTCGGCATTACTGATGGTAGGGATTCACATTAGGTAAGACTGTAAAAAAAGGCTCAAGAAAGAATAATGTAATAGTAAAGTAGGGAAAAGGAAGAGATTGAACATTTCAGAGAAGATAAAGATGCATTTCAGTTAGAGTAAGAGAATGGGAGAGACTGGGATGATAGTTGGTGGTAGTTAGAGTGAGAATTTTGGAACTCACACAACTAAACATATCAGTATTCCGTAGAAAGAGTAAAAGATTTGGGGCTATGTCTTAAGTCTTTTTATTTAATTTTATCTGAAATATAAGATATCTAAAAGATGTTATTTTACGTACATTTTCTCAAGAAATCTTTGGCATGCATATTATCTGTTACATGTAAAAACTGAGAGATAAAAAAACACTATTAATTTCACATAGAATTCCAGAAATAAAAATTTAAAAAAAGATTTAATGTTTTATATTGTAATAGGAAAAAGGAACTACTAATAATGCAATTTTCAATACCAAGATTGTCTGCTAAAAAATGTTGTTTCAATTTGAATTAAAGTGACACATAAAAACCTACTGTTATCATTCCTTTGTAAATAAAGCACTATTGCACCAAAGTCAGCACTGGTAGAAACTAGGGGTGAATGATTGGTTAACTTCTTAACCAGAGAGAAATACATGTATCAAGAAGTGTGACTTTCCTTGGAATTTGGACTTTAATCTAGTCAAATCTTAATTTACATAGATGAGCATTATTGTGGAAATATATTGTCCACAATTTATTGAGACCAATACAAAGGATTTTCTGAAAACATATCTCCATATAATTACATTATCACTTTGGAACTTCTAAAGAATTGTAATTGCTTCTGCACAACACAGGGATCAAAAACAGCAATGAGATTGATGGTAAAATAAAATTGACACTCTCGGTGAGAAAATCTCTATGCAATGCTTAGTTCTTTTGCAGAATATCACTTGAATGAATGCATTGGAAAATTTGGAAATGTGTCGTCCTAAATGAGCCCTATAATCTGGAGTTTTGCATAGAATATTCCACCTACATTGAGATATTTGTTCATTTTTTCAAAAGGCACTGTGATAGGGATTGGGAATACAAGGATAAAACACAATGTTCTTGCCTGACCTTTTGAAAACCGAAGCACTGCCTTCATAGATAAAATTCTCAGGAGTTCTTATGCTCAAATCATTTTTTCTTGTCGGCTTCAAAGCTAGAAAGGCTACCTGACATGGGAGAAGTGGGTTTTTATTAATCAAGTGCTTCAACTGTCTTCCTGAAGGTTAAATAAAAATACAGAACTTATTGAAATGCATTGAGAAAGCTCACTTTATTGCCTAGTCTACTTTAAATCCAGTAGGTCTGATGTGAACATCTTTCAGAAAAATGTTAACGATTAAAAATTTTAATTGAAAATCTGAAAATACAGACATGTATGGACTCCCTGGTGATTTAAGAGTGATTGATGATATTTTCTATAGTATTGTTGAATATATGATTTTAAAATTACATTCTAAAAGAATATTTTTATAATTTTACTGAGTCTAAGATGTCATAAATAATAAATACACCTTTAATTTATGTGTAATTTTAAAAGATAGGACCAAATAATGACAGAGAGTCACTGGTTAAAAAAACCCTCATTTCCAATATCGTAAAATGGAAAAATCAATATTGAAATCAACAAAATAGAACATACAAATGCATATGTATTTTTCTTTAGTTTTAAAAGGATAATTATAGATGTAATTCAGCTATTAGAAATAACATAGACAGATCCCATGAATCCTTGGCCTAGTTTCCCACAATGGTTACTATCTTGTAAAACGACAGTATGATATCCCATGTGAGAAATTGACATTGATACAATCCACTGATATTATTTAAATGTCTCCAGTTTTACATGCACTCACCAATGTGTATGCATGTAGGTGTATTTATATTTTATACTATAAAAATGCTTAAGCGTCTATTTGTGCATCCACCACCACACACAAAATTTATAATAATTCAATTACCACATGGCTACTTTATGTTGCCCTGTTACCTGGCTTCCTTCCCACACTGAAACCCCAGCCCTGAACCCTGGCAACCACTAATTTGTGCTTCACTTCTGTAACTTCTTCACTTCAAGAATATTAAATAAATGGAGTTATATTATATATAATCTTTTGGCATTGGCTTTTTGTTTTGTTTTGTTTTCACTAGGCATAATTCCCTGGAGATTCATCCAAGTTATAGTATGTTCCAATAGCTGATCAATAGTCAATAGTTGGTTCCCTTTCACTGGTGAGTAGTATCCCATGGTATAAATAATCACCTATTGAAAGATATCTGGATTGTTTCCATTTCTGGGCTATGACAATGAAAGCTGCTCTGAAGACTCAAGTACAGATGAATATAATTTTTGGGTAACATAACTTTTCATTTCTTTGGGATAAATGTCCAAGAGTACAATTTCTTGGTCTTATGGTAATTTGTTTAGTTTTTATCTTCTGATCAGTTTTTATCTTATGTTTTGTTTAATCTCACTTTCAGTTTTATAAGAAGCTTTTAAACCGTTTTTCCAGAGTAGTTTTACCCTTTTACAACCCACATTCTTGCCAGCATTTTGTGTTATTGCTATTTTTAAGAAAAATTTTAGTCGATCTATAGGCATGAGGTGATTCTTGTGTTAATTTGCATTTTCCAAATGGCTAATGATGTTGAACATTTTCATGTGCTTACTTGCTATTTGTACATTCTGTTCAGTGAAATATTATTTCTTTTGTCATTTTCTAGTTGCATTATTTGTTTTTTTTTTACTGTTGGCCTTTGACAGTTCGTTACATAGTCTAGATACTAGTTCGTCTTTGGATATGTGGTTTGCAATATTTTCTTCTTCTGTATAGCTTGCCTCCTCATCCTCTTCACAGGATATTTTACAAAGCAAAACCTTTATATTTTGATGAAGTCCTACTTATCAGTTTGTCCTTTAATGGATTATTCTTTTGTTGTCAACTATAAGAGCTCTCTGCCTAGCACTAGATCTCAAGGATTTCCTTCTTTTTTTTCCCTAAAAACTTTGTGGTTTACATTTTACATTTATGTCTGTGATCTAAAATGAGTTTATTTATTTATTCATTTATTTATTTCTACTTATGGATGGCCAATTGCTCCAGTACCATTTATTGAAAATGGTTTCACTGAATGGCTTTCACATATCTGTTGAAAATTATTATTTGAGCATGAGTGTATATTTTTAAATTTCGAAGTATCACTATTTTTTGGTCAGGACTCAGTGCCATTCCATACTTCTGACAAAAATTGAGCAACTTAATTTGTAAATTACTTAATCTATTTGTGTTTCACTTTCATTTTCTATAAAAATAAAGGCTTAGATTTTATACTTTCTACATTTTTAACATTTATACAAGTGAGACTAAAAATTTTGCAAATTTGAATAATGCATACACTCTTGTGACACAAGATTGCATTCTCTATACAAATAAGAAAAATCTCATAGCTCTAACCATGAGAGAAAGCCACATGAAGATTTCAAACTAAGCATAACTGAAAGGAAGGCATTTACTTCTTAGAAATGAGTAAGGTACTGACACCATTTTACATATCCTAAATAAATGTTCTTTTTCCCAAGCAATAGCTATTAATCAGAGCAATGTGATACCAAAAAATAGTCACCCGTGGCAAAGTCTCTAGGTTCTTTTAGAGAAAAATTTAAGCTTCAATTTTACGTTCCTTTCCCAGAATTGGCAAATTATAACTTGTGCAATAAATTTGGTCCAATGCCTGTTTTATAAAACAAGTTTTATTAAAATGTTATCATGTATATTTGCTTACACATTACCTACGACTCATTTCATGCTACGCAGGCAGATGTACCACATAGCTTGCAAAGCCAAAAACCTTTATTGTCTGTATATTTATGTAAAAAGTTTGCCAGCTTTCTGGTTTATTGGAGGAGACATGTTTAGTTTTTGGGAGACATTAAAGTACACTCATTTAGAGAAGAAGGAGGCTACTAAATTTGAAAAGAATATTGATGTAAACTTGTACACATGTAGGGAATACTTAACTTCTGGAAAGGTGTGGTCCAAGTTTCATTTGAATGCCATTTAGTGAACATATTCAATGACTCATAAAATGACTTCCACACCTAGTAGGGCAAAATGAGTTTGGGGCCATCAGACCATGTATACAGCATTTAATGTATGCTATCTATCTATCTATCTATCTATCTATCTATCTATCTATCTATCTATCTATCTATCTGTCCATCTATGTATATATACACACACACATACATATATATACACACACATACATATATGATGTGCCTTTTGAAGTGAGTTATAGAAGTAAGTTTTGGATAAAGCACTTTATCCACTCTACCATTAATCTGTCTTTTTTATGTAATCAGAAAAATATTGTTATTTTAAGCTTTTTAAAAATCCATCCCTTCAAGCATTTATCCTTGTGTTAAAAACAATACAATTACACTCTTTACGTTATTTTAAAATGTACCATGAATTTATTATTGGCTATAGTCACCGTATTTTACTATCAAATAGTAGGTCTTATTCTTTCTTCTTTTTTTTTTTTGGACTCATTAACCAACCTCGCCTACCCACCAGCCACCCAGTACCCAACCCAGTCTCTGGTAACCATCCTTCTACTCTTTGCCCATGAGTTCAATTGTTTTGATTTTTACATCCCACAAATAAGAGAGAACATGTGATGTGCGTATGCCAAGTGAGATAAACCAGGTACAGAAAGACAAACATAATCTATATTTTAATTGGTGTATATACATCATTTATATTTAAGGTAATTATAAGTATTATTGAATTATTAATATTGATGTTAGGGCTTAAAATCTGGTATTGCATTATTCATTCTCCGTATCTGGTGATTCTCATTCCTCTGTTTCTCTTGTCCTATTACTTGGTGGATTATTTGAATACTCTTTAAGATTCCATTTTGATTTATTTATAGTGTGTTTGAGTATATCACTTTGCTTAGCTTTCTCAGTGGTTGCTCTGTTGGTTATATACATAACTTACCACAGTTAACTCATGTTGACATTTTGCATAGCCTTGAAGTAAAATACAGAAGACTTGCTTCCATTTTGGTCCCTTTATCCTCCCTGTTTTTAAGTGTAATTGTCCTGAGTATTTCCTCTTCATATCTTGAGCCCTACATCAGATAATGTTATAAGTTTTCTTCAGTCATCAAATATGATTAAGACTCATGAGAAGCAAATAGTCTATATTTTCATACTTTTAAACAATTCAAATATTCTTCATTTCTTTTTGAAGTTATATCATTTCATTTTTCTTTTGAGAACACACTTTAACCATTTTTTGAGGATAGATTTGCTAGCAAGAAATTGCTTATTTTTTCCATCTGAGAATATCTTCATTTTCCCACCTCCATGACACTTATGAAGGACATTTTCACCATTAAAAGTATGGCCCAATAAATACTCCTGATTCTCTTCCTTCCTTAGAGAATGATTTGTATCTTTCATCTCACCTCAACCCTGGATACCCTTCTATTTTTCATTGTCTTAATTTTTTAAAATGTGATTGCTTATTGAAATATGTGGGAAAGGATGTAAGAATTTAAGTCAGGAGATTTGGAGGGCAGAGTAGATATTTTAAAGATAAATATCTTTCATTTATTTTTTATACTTTTATGTTTATTAAAATAATCAGAATTACATACATATTCTTATCCATATTATATTGGAATTAACCATACAATACTATCAAAGCAAATCTTGCCCCAGACAAGATTAAACAGGAAAGGAAGACTTTATTCAGGACGATTGAAACAGAAGAGAGACCAGAATGCATTTTGAACTCAACTCTGTGGAAACAAAAGGCGGGAAGGTGGGGGATGGTTTAACAGTGAGCTAGTAGAAAAGTACCAGGGGATGACACTAGGACGGAGGTTGGTCATGGATTGTGTCAACCGCACAGAGTTTATTTCTGGGCTTGAACTTTTTTTTCTGTGATTTGTCCATCTGTGTTTGCTAATTGAGACCCAGGGAAGTTAGGCTTCTACTCTCTCACAGTACATAGGGGCATCATCATTCTTGATGATTACATTTCAAAGGGACGGGCCCCAGGTCATTGAGAAAGACATTTGTGTGTTGTAAATCTGGCTAAAATCCTTTAAAAAAATACATATAGGCCGGACGCAGTGGCTCATGCGTGTAATCCCAGCATTTTGGGAGGCCGAGGCGGGTGGATTACCTTAAGTCAGTAGTTCAAGGGCAGCCTGGCCAACATGGTAAAACCTCTCCTTTACTAAAAATACAAAAATCAGCTGGGTGTGGTGGCACCTGCCTGTAATCCCAGTTGCTTGGGAGGCTGAGGCAGGAGAATCACTTGAGCCTGGGAGGTGGAGGTTGCAGTGAGCAGAGATCGCACCACTGAATTCCAGCCTGGGCAACAGAGTGTCTCTGTCACACACATACACACACACATACACGCATACACATGCAAACAAGATATACATATCTCACAAAGGGAAGAGAAATAGTTTGTAATGACATTTTGCTAAAGTAAATGATCTAAGACAAGGGAGATTAGGGTCATAGAGTCAAGAAAAAGCCTGTCTGAAGCTTAGTCAGGCTGAAAGAAAAGTTAAGACCATCTTGGTAAATACACATATTCACACATACATATACAGTTATATTTATTATATATATGTAATATATATAATATACCTACACATTCAGTTATATATACATACATATGTATTCATATATATGCATTTACATACATACATATTCACTTAGGCATATATAAAGACATACAGATAAATTACACACACACACACACACATATATATGTGTGTATATATATATATATTTACATGAGTATTTACTACAAAATTGTTTGCAATGATCAAAATTGTAAGCAACACCAAAACTATGAAGGTAGATATTGCAAGTTAAATTTTGGTTCTCCCATATTATTTAATACTTTGCAGGCATTAAAAATAATGGCTTAGATTTGTATGCAATGATCATGGAAAGATATACTAGATGTATTATTACATTAAAAATATGATGATGACATAATGAGAAATTAAAAAAAACAAAAGTTTGAAATAAAAACAGGTCACAAATAATATATAGTAAATTAGTATATTTTGTAGAAAAGATAGTTTGTTTGCATATCTGGGTCAAAATCAAACAATTAACTTTTCATAGGATTTTGTATGTCATATTTTCCTATACAGGGTTAGTCAGAGCCATTTTCCTTTCTGTTCTGCATGTTACATGTGGCATTTAAAAATTAATATTACCATAGAATACTATGCAGCAATAAAAAAAATACAAGATCATGTCATTTGTAGGGACATGGATGGAGCTGGCGGTATTTTCCTTAGGAAACTATTACAGAAACAGAAAACTAAACACCTTATGTTCTCACTTATAAGTAGGAGCTAACTGATGAGAACACATGGACACATAGAGAGGAGCAACGCATACTGGGACCTTTGGGAGGCGTGGGGTGGGAAGAAGAAGACAATCAAGAAAAATAACTAATGGGTTCTAGGCTTAATACCTGGATGATGAAATGATCTCTACAACAAACCCCCATGACACAAGTCTACCTATATAACAAATCTGAACATGTATCCCTGAACTTAAAAGCTAAAAAACATTAAGTATTTAAAATGGTGTCTAAATACTGACATTTGCACTAAAGTAAATTACGTGTTTAACTATTCATCATATCTTATCCACAAAGTTAAGTTTGGAATCACCATGTATTTGACTACTTGTCCTGCATCTATCATATGAACATAAGTCCTAGTAATTAGTTTATTTGACTCTTGTTGATTGAGCTTGGCAATTTATATTTAAACAAACTATATTTAGTAGTGATAATTAACAGTGCATCTTCAAGTTAAAGCAATTTTCAGAATTGTTTTGATTATGGCTATTTTCAAATTATATTGATATTTTATAGTATTTTAAAATAAAATATTTCCAAAACTAAGCACCTATTTTAATATAATCATAAAATAAACATAATTATATGAGAAAGAATGTGTGTTTAAATATAAAGGAATATATGAAACTAAAAGGTGATGTAGGACACTTGAAAGAAAACTGATTTATAAGAAATGTGAAAATGTTAACTTGCTCAGAAAGATCTTACTTTCAAGCCAAATACTGAGGATCCATTCAGTCAAATGCATATTCTTCCCTGACTTTAAATACAGCAATTCCCTTCCTAAAGCTTCGAGTGGAAAATAAAATTTGTAAAGAACCATTCTTTAGTTATGGGAAAGCTAAAGCAATTGTTGAATTTGCTGAATTACTCCATTACTCCAAAGAAGTCCTGTAGGGATAGCCAAGGGTGATGGTAATAAATGAAATTGATCTAATCTTGCAATATGAAAAAAAAATTTAATGGAGTGAAACACTTGTATCACAGAGGAATCTTCAGGGAAATAACTGGCAAAACCATCCTTTTTTTTCATGGAAAGGAAATTATTAACATGACGTATAAGAGAAAGCATAGACATTTTAAATCCTAAAGCAAAGCTTGTCCATTGGAGCCTCACAATAATGCTAGCTTCAAGGGAGTTGGCAAGCATCCTGAAAAATGAAAATGCCACAGCCCTCGGCTCAGTTATATATGTACATTCTTGGCCAGATCCTTTTAGTTCTTCTTACGTAGTAAGGTAAAATTTAATTTACTTCTGTCAGGTACAGCCTTCAAGACTTTGATCTTCTTTAAAGGCTGTCACTAATAAATGGCACTGTGACTTTCATTCATAAGGAAAGCTACTATGTGGAACCTTGCAGTACTAGATCCAATGATGAAGTATATCTCTACAGTACTTCATAGCTTTCAAAGTTTGTTTATATATATTTGGTTAGTTGAATACTTTAGCAACCTCAGCAACTATTACAACAACTGCGATACTTCTTTAATTTATTTTGCCACCTACTCCTCTCTTTCATGACAGCAGCTGTCTATAGCTATAGAAAAATAGAAAACCATACTATCCTGACTTATCTCACTTTAAATTCATGACCAGGGATCTCAAGTGGGTCCTTAGCACTGCCAGGCAATTTTACTATGTTTCCCTAGTCAATATACTTTCCTACTTTTTAACGTAACTATTTCACATATTTTCTTCTCACTCAGCCGGTAATGCTTCTCATTCACTGAGATAAGAGATACAATGAGAATAGAATTTCCAAAAATCCTGTCATTCTGCTTGAGTCTGTACTCATATATTTTTTCTTCCCTTCAATTACAATGAATGAGCCATTCCTGCCCTCAGGCCAACTCTTCCACTTGTCCATCCATTCTATCCCCTCTCACCTCCTCAAAAATATCACTTCTGATTTCTTTTTGTTTTCTCTTGTATCATAGATTTTTCCTTTCTTCTCTCTTTACCAGTTGCAAACAAATTATGTTAGCTCTCTTCTTAAAATATTTTTTCCTTAACCCCATACTCCCTTTAGCTAACACCCCAATTCTTTTCACTTACTGAGAGCGTTTCAATATTTTCTATTTCCTCTCCTCCTATTCTCATACAATCCATTTCGATATTTTTCTGTCACCACATTCCACTAAAACCACTCTCATTGAGCTGACCAGTAATCTTTACATTATGAAATCCAAGCATCAGTTCTCATTCTACATCTTGTTTGTCTGCTAAGCAGCCCTTAACATGGCTAACACCACTACTTAGAACGTTTTTAATCACTTGAATATGGGATAACAATCACAACTGGTTATCTTACGTTACTGATTATTTTTTCTTTGTAGATTACTTCTTCTTTTCCTGACTTCTAAATACTGCAATTCTACAGGGTGATGTCCCTGCATTTCTCTTCTTTATCTACAATTATCCTATTTTGACATTATACAAACTGTATATTTAAATACTATCTTAATACAGATGATTTTGAATTTATATCTTCAGCTGCATTCACTTTCCTGAACTCTAGATTGAAATATTTCAACTGCTTATTTAATAATTTTTACTTGAAATACTAATAGAAACCCCTAATGTTAATATACATAAAATAAACTTCTGCTCATTTCCTCAAAAAAATGCTCATTCCTGTGTATATGGCAAGTTCATTTTTCCATTTTCTTAGGTCACCCTTGATGGCTCCATTTTTAATTTCTTTATATCCCATTTATCAACAAATCCTGCTGACTCTATCTCTGATATTATCCAGAATGTGACAATGCCACCATCATTTCCTCCCAACATTATTGAATCACATTGAACTTTTTATTCTCTTTCTACACTTTTCTCTCTGTTATCTACTTTCAATAAATTAAATCAAATCACTTCCATGCTCAAAACCACCAAGTGTGTCTCCATTTTACTCCATTGACCCAGGAATTGATCATCTAGGTTCTGGGTAATTCTCTGACCTTGGCTCCTCTGACTCTCTCACCCCCATTTGATTTACTCCAGCCACATTACCCACAGCCTGTAGTCTCTTCTTGACGACAACAAAGATACTCGAATCTTAGATTTCTTTTACTGTGTGATTTTGACTCCTCGCATTTTAAGGTTTTTACTCAGATGTCCTCTTCTCTCAGAGAGAGGGCTTTCCTGATGTCTCCATTAAATATGATTACTTTTCCACAAATGGCTTTAGTGACTCTCTAGCCCCATATTCTGCTTTTCTTTTTATCTTAACAATTATTATCCTTAATACAAATCTACAATGCAAGGATTTTTGTCTGTTTTAAATGGCGATTGGCACAAAGAAGTAGTCAATAAATATTTGTTAAATAAATATTATAGATTTTTGGTACACTTGCTTGATTCTGTCTTCCTAACTATGCATAATGCTCAATAGGCTACATTTTCCATGAAAGAACGGGCTTTTCTCTGTTTTTTGTTTGTTTGTTTGTTTTTGAGGTTGTATCCCAGTGATTAGACCAGTGCTTGCCTCCTGGTAAGACTTGATAAATACATGTTAAAAAAATGAACATGAAAAAAAAAGAAATCAAGCAATTAAGCTCAGAAAGTTTAAGTTGTATGAATTTACATTGCTATGTAAACTAAAACTGACATAAATGCAGATCATTAATTATAATCACTTCAATTTACATTTTCCCATCATCTCTATCATGAACTTCTCAATGTCCATATGCAACTTATCATTCAATGAAACTAGACCCAAAATTATTTCCTGATTATAACAGGAAACCTGGCACCTATTTTGTATGTTATTGCTCTTGGCTTGGATATGCTGCTCTTTCTGACTGCTTGTTAATATTCCATTTATCTTTCAAGACCCAATTCAAATGTCAACTTCTCTTTGAAACCTTTACAGATTTCCCCATGCAGAATTAATTACTCTCTCTTCTGGGATTTCTTAGCTTATTTATCCACTCATTAAAAAACTAGTTATTGAATTTTCCAAGCAGCATACTCAAATGTTTAGAAAGGAATGAGTCTTCAGAATATTTTACTGGGCGTGTCCTAAAGTAGGTTTTCTGGGGTAGTGGAATTGCGTATTGCTATCGTTTTATATATGTACTACCATAATTTTTATATATGCAGTACCATAATTTTTCTATGTACTACCATATCAGTGTAACTTTTCTATGAAGACATTCCATGAATTATCCTATTTGTGGTTGTTGTGGTTCTGAATACAATATTTGGTATGTAGCAGACTCAGAATGTATTTGTAGAAATAAAATATTTGTTAAAATGAAATTAGAATATCTATATTTCAGGGCTATATCTAAAGGTACATGCTAAAACTTCTAGGGTTTCTCTGTTACACACATTATTCTTGGTTAGAAAGGATACCTATTCATTCCACACTCAAATAAAATGGAGTGCAATTTCAGTAAATTTTACCTTGTCTCTCCCTGCTTCTTATCCCTACTGCATGTTCCTTTAGCTGATACTTCCACTGTGATTAATTTTTAAGGAAATTCCATGCCTATTAACCAGGAGAGACAAACAAAACATGTTTTTGATCTAAGGATTTGGGAGTGTTTCATTTTTGACATATATTTTATTTACTCACTTTTCAAGGTACTCCTTTTATCCCTGCTAGAAGAGCCCAAGAGTTAAGCAATTTGGGATAAATTTTAAATATTTATTCCCTTTAGAGCTCCAAGAGGCAACTTAAACATGTTGTGTGATCAGTAATTTATGAGTTATAATACTCTTCAGAGAGAGGTGTCAAGATTTCCACCCTTACTTGGAGTGTAATTGGGAAATTTCCAATTGTGTAAACATTACTTTCTTATGTAATTTAGCCCATGAATGAATGTAGGCTCATGTTCCCTGCTCTCTGCAGAATTTCTTTTTCTTAGACTGAAAACCAGTTTTCCATAATGGCAGGAGTCTTGATCTTTTCCATGATTACTTAATCTTGCTGATAAACCTTGCATACATCTCTCATAGCTCATCCTTTTGTTTGATATCAAAACAGGTATAAGACTTTCCTGCTACCATAAGTTCATAATTCAGTGAAAAATGGCAGCCATCAGTGCTAGCAGTTTTAGTCAAGATAATCTGAGATCTCAAAGTTTCTTTCACTTTTATAATATATTTTAAATATTACTCTTTTTGAAACCATTAGCAAGGCTACTTCCAGTTTTATGTTTTTTTTTTATGAAGACACAATTTTAAAATTATACTCATAGGAATATAGTAGCTTCTTAACTTTAATTCTTTAAAGAAGTTACAAGTAAGCATTCACCCTTAGAGTTCAGTAATTTATATTTTAAAATACAGCTTTGTTTACTCTGAAAAATAAATAAGCACAGTGATAAACAAGTACATTTTTACCTCTTCAAGTATGTGTTTTTGAATTAAACAAGCATCAGAAAATATAATTTGCATTCAAAATTTGTTAAGCTTTTAAAGTATTATAATATTTATATTTGAATTAGCAGATTCAATATGCCATATGACATATTTGTTTTGGTTCATAAAACAATCAAGTGTGACTGTGCTGTCTTTAGACAAGGAGACTTAAAAAAAGTTTCATATGAGTTATTCATTGTATAACCACTCAGTGTTCTACCCCCAGATAAAAATCATCTGAAGAAGTGACAGTGGAGGATGAATTATTACCGTTTTTTTGTCAGATGTAGTCAATGTAGAAATATAAATGGGGAAATTGTAGAAAACTTCAGATCACTTGATTCACCTTAAAATGTAGATACAAAATCAGTACTAGATAGAGCAACAGCTCCTTGAGAAAGTACTGAGGAAATCTTATCAGGCAGCGGTAAACAGTCAAAGTGATAGTTCTGATGTATACAGGATTCATTTGGCACATCACAATGAAGCTGAACCACGCATTTATGGATGTCTTGGTACTGAAGCCATGAATCAGGTATAAAATAACTAAGAGTCATATCTCAGTACTTTGCTTTGCACCATTTATTTTTAACCATGAAATTCTTTTTCTGTTGTAATTTTTTTCTTGAGCCATTCTTTCATTGACTAGGACAATTGCAATTTCATTTTTTTTTCAAAGTAGGATTGCCAATTGTAGCAAATAAAAATATTTCATTGAACACATTTATATAAAACATTAAACATTATTTATCTGAAATTTAAATTTGACTGAGCAGCCTGTATCTTATCTGACAAGCCTACTTTAAAGAGAAAATAAGAAAAACCTCATTGTAACCCAGTTTCAACCTGAAAATATGAAAGGTCAGATTGGGATGCTGAGAAAAGCCCATTTTCTTTCTGGTTTATTTAAAGTTCTAATCCTCTCAGCTGGAGTTGGACATTGACAATGGTGTCCAGACTGCTTTAGTTTTGTAGTCTTTTCAGAAGCTTAAAATTCCAGGCTCATTAAGTGGGGCATGAACTCCATTTTCTTTCACTCTTGTCCCCCAAACTCCATATTCAGAAAATGAAAAGAAAAATTAATGTGAAAAATAGGCTGAATAATATTCTCAACCTTTTTCAGACACCAAAATACCATGGTGTGAATTTTTCCAAACATGCTGTGGAGCTTGTGTTTTTAGGCAGAAATGAAAGGAGGGTGTTATGCTAAAGAGAAT
The DNA here is from genome assembly GCF_000001405.40 of Homo sapiens. Taxonomy (NCBI): domain Eukaryota; kingdom Metazoa; phylum Chordata; class Mammalia; order Primates; family Hominidae; genus Homo; species Homo sapiens. The sequence goes on along the minus strand of NC_000012.12, from coordinate 84,704,783 downwards.
TTTGACTTTGGTCTCAGGAGATGTGCTTTGTCTTGGCTTGCATCTTTAACTGAAGCAAATAAAGTCATCTTTTAGAAATTCAGTTTCTTTCTCTTTAAATGAGGGAAAGTTCTTTCCTAAGATAAGCCTTTTTCACATGTAAGAAAGTTTAAGTCATATTTCTCCTGGTAATTAAAATTTTAATCAAACCCTTATTTGTACAGTTATTTAATTTCTGAAATTCTGTTCTGTATTTTCTTTGCTTCATCGTGATACAGATCGCCTATGCCCCTTTCAATATTATATTCTCAGGATTAAGCACATATCTTGCAATTAGGAAGTATAAAATAAATATATGCCCTAATAGTGAAGAAATACTGAGTATAGAATGATGATGTATAATTGATATCTGGCTTTATATTGATTAAGTTATAGAATATTTTTCCCAAAGTGGTCAGTATCATGACTTGAATGAAAGCTCCATGACTGGATTTTTTATATGTAGTTCACTGTTTATCTCAGCATTTAGAAGAGGACCTGTCACATGATAGGCACTCAATACATACCTCCAGTACAAATTAAGAAGTCTGTAGAACCTCCTTATAGCATCCAAAATGTGAGGCCTCTTTTCTTTAAAATAAAATTCAGTATAAAATGTTGGCTATGGAAAGGAGAAAATATGGTTTTCCTAAATGTGGTGAAACAGTTTTAGTTTTATGAAAAATGCAAATCTTCATCAGGCAAGTTCATATACTATGTAAACAAAATAAAAATTTAGTTTTCAATTTTTTTAACCTTGTCAAATTATGAAAGTAATAACATATTTAAAAATGTCTTTTTGAAACTTTACTTAAAAAAATCTGTCTATGCTTTTTATAAATTGTACTTTAATATTGACATAGTCAACAGTTGAAAGTTTAAAAAGAAAAGGCCCAACACTGATTTTCTAATCTTTTTTTTTTGATATAGGAACCATTTTTATGGTAATTTTAGAAATGTGTATAACCTAATAAATGTATTATACATACATACACACACATTTTTATATCTAACATACATCTATATTAAATTTATCTAATCTCCTAAATTTACTTCATTTTGTTAGATCTAACTGATCTAAGTATTGGGTAGCATGTGAGACCCTAGGAAGAGAGGCGTACCTGAACAATATAATTCCTGATTTCAAGGACATTCTGGTATACTTTTTTTGAGACAGATCTTTTCCCCCTATAAGTATTTTGTGTAATATTAAGGTATAGACCATCTGAATTTCCCACAACACATCTAGTATAGTGAATTTCAAATTAAATTAAATAATTTATTAATGAGTGACTATTGTGAGACCAGAGAATGCTGTTGGCCAGAATGTATTAATTTGTAAAGTTAGTAATGATGGGCCAGGCATGGTGGCTAACACCTACAATCCCAGCATTTTGGGAGGCCAAGGCAGGCGGATCAGCTGAGGTCAGGAGTTCGAGACTAGCCTGGCCAATGTGGTGAAACCCCTTCTCTACTGAAAATACAAAAATTAGCCAAGTGTGGTGGCAGGCACCTGTAGTCCTAGCTGAGTCAGGAGGCTGAGACAGGATAATTACTTGAACCCAGGAGGCGGACATTGCAGTGAGCCACGATCGTGCCACTGCACTCCATAGCCTGGACAACACAGCAAGACTCCATCTCAAAAAAGAAAAAAAAGTTAGTAAAGTTAGTAATGATGCTGATTTACTTCAATAACTCTCCCATTTCAGTGGCCTTCCACATTTCCATACCATAATCACAATATCCTCAATAATAAACAATAATTACTAAAGATTTTATCATATAGGCTCCCTTCCAAACAGGTTTTCAGACATCTTATTTAATCCTCACAAGAACCTGATGAAGTAGAGACAGGTATCACTGTGCTTAAATTGGAACATGAAGCACACAGCAACTCACACAGTACATATGTAATAGAGCTAGGATTCAGAAGCAGATAACAATGGGCAATGCTGTATTTTTTTTCCGTAATTAACTTCAATTAAGCTATTATTTTAGAGCTCACACACACAGTTTTATGAACATCAAGAATGAACTGTCTACCAACAACTCCTAATTGAACTGTCCAGGCCAGAATTTGTAATTCTTAGTTAATTTATTCTGTAAATATTTATCTAGCACCTACTGTTTACTATTCAGTCTTCTGCACTGCCAAAACAGACAAGGATTTTGGTCCCATGAAGCTTATATTTAGGAGGATTAGATGCTGAAAAATAAGTGTACAAGATCATTTTAGAGAAAGTGTTGTATAATAAAGAATTTGGCTGGCCTTTCCCCATCTCCTGGGAGGTAACTGCTAAATCCTTGAAATTTCCTGGGTAATAGGAAGGCCTGAGCTATTCCTGGTGGGTCCTAATAGTTTATGGGCCCCTAGATAACTTGCAGCAGTGAGAAGACTCAAGACGGGCCTGCCCATGCCAAAAAGACTAATGAGATGATTAAAGTGTTGGACTTTGAGAAACATGATCTCTACTGACCTCGGGGAAGTGAAGAAGGGCTAAAGATTGAATTCTCTTATGTGGCCAAAGACACTATAAATGAATCCTCAACAAATATAATAAAACTCCACCAAACCTGGGTGAGCTTCTTTAGTTTGTAGTATACATTGATGTGCAGAAAGGATGACTCATCTTGAGGTCATGGGGAGAGGAAACCAGTAGTTTTGTTTTGTTTTCTCCTTTTAATTTGGGACCCTCTGAGATCTCATTCATTGCATTTCTTCTTTTGGCTGGTTCTTAGTTGTATCCTTTTTGCTATAATAAAACTGTAGTTGTAAATACAGCACTCTTCTGAGTTTCTGTAATTGGTTCTAGCGGATTTTCAAACTTGGAATAGCAGTAGGAAGCCCTGAATCAGTTGCCAGTTAGTCTGAAATTGCAGGTAGCCTGAGAAGCCCCAAACTTGAAGCTGGTGTCTAAAGTGATGGCAGTCTTCTGGAGGACTGTGCCTTTAACCTGTGAAGTGCAGCCTAATCCTGAGGAGTTAGCCTCAGAAGTCATTGCAGACAGGTGTTTTTCATGGCAGTGACACAAAGTGATATGAAATGAGATGTCTGGGAGTTTGAATTTAGAATGAGAAATTGAGAAAATGGCTTCCAGGAGTGACATTTTAGCAGAAATTTGCAGAAACAGAAAGATACAGAAATGAGTAATCTGGAGGTAGAAAATTCCAGGCAAGATGAAGCAGCAAATTCAATGCCATAAAAATGTTTAAGGGAAAGACGGAAGCTTATTGAGGCTATAGCAAAAGGAAACTGATAAGTGAGAGAGATTAATAGATGATAGATCTCTAAAAGCTAGATTTAACAGATGTGGCAGAGGTTGTTTACTATTCACCAAAATCCTTGCTATTTTTTTTCTTTATGATCATATTACTAGATTATGTTTCCCAGTAGCTCTTGCAGTAAAGAGGGGCCATATGACTGAGGGAAAGCAAGCAGAAGTGATGTGTGTTCTATCTAGTCCAAGACTCTCTTTCCTTCTTGTTGTCTTGACACGAATTACAACTAAGACTTAAGGAATGTTAGAGCCACAAGATGGAAAAAAGCTGCATTCCTGAATCACCACATGGAAGGGAAACATTTATTAATCAAGAACAGAACAAATTATAATGAACAACAACACCAAAATAAACTTCCATTGTTTAAAGCCGTTACAGCAGGGCACCATGGCTCATGCCTGTAACCCCAGAACTTTGGAAGGCCGAGGTGGGTGGATCACTTGAGGTCAAGATTTTGAGACCAGCCTGGACAACATGGTGACATCTCCTGTCTACTAAAAATACAAATATTAGCCAGGTGTGGTGGCACATACCTGTAATCCCAGCTACTGGGGAGGCCAAGGCAGGAAAGTCGCCTGAATCTGGAAGGCAGAGATTGCGGTGAGCTGAGATCGCACCACTACATTCCAAGCTTGGCCAACAGAGTGAAGCTCCGTCTCTCTCTCTCTCTCTCTCTCTCTCACACACACACACACACACACAAAGCCATTACACATTTGAGAGTCTACTCTCATACAGAATCAGATTATCCAATGTAAATCAGTGTGATGGATTATTGCAAACCTTTTAGACACTGGAAAGCTTTTAGGTAAGAGGAGACTTAATATTAAGGGTTGAAAGCAGATTATTCTTAAACAGAATACTTAATAGAAATTTCTGAGCCATAAATATTACCAAGTGTTAGAAATTAAGCCAGTAAGAGAAGAATCAGACTCTAAGTGCAATGGGCAATGAGGCAGCAAAAAAGAAGATATAATCTGAGAGCCAGGAGTTTTATCAAAGTTAGAATAAAGAAGGAGCATGAGCACTAAGTAGGTCATTGGCAATTGTTACCAGGGATGCTCCAATGTCCTTAGCTTCTTACTTCTGGCTTTTAGCTGTAGAGCTCTTTTATATATTAGACATATTAGGTGTAGTTAAGGCATAGGTTTTGGGTAGACAATAATAATCATTATGATTTATTAAATATCTAATAAAATTTATCACTAATTTTTAACATATAGTATCTAAAGACAATTTTAATGAAACAAAATACACTGTCTTGAAAGGACTATCTCACATTAAGATATTGAGATTTGGAAAGGGTGAACTTAAGTAACTTGCTTAATGTTGTTCAGCTATTATACAGCAGATTTTAGGTTAGAGTCTAGTTCAACTGACTCCATCAACTTTGTTCCTTCTGCAAAGTAACTGCTTCTTAACACTGACAGTCATCATCAAGAATCTTTTTAGGTGGATTTGATTGATAGGAAAAATCCATCTATATGGCTAACTGATCTTGTTTTCATTATATATATCTTAGCATCAGCAAAGCATAATCATAGTTTCATTTCCCTTTCTGCATGATTTCTCTTCTACCTACCTGTCTTTAATTTAATTAAGAACTTCAAGCCTGGGCACAGTGGATCATACCTGTAATCCCAGCACTTTGTGAGGTCGAGGCAGGAGAGTCGGGAGGATTGCTTGAGCCCAGGAGTTTGAGACCAGCCTCAGCAACATAGGGAAAACTCGTCCTTACACACATGCACGCGCGCACACACACACACACACTCTCACACACTCTCTCTCTCTATTAGTCAGGGTTCCCTAGAAGGACAGAATTAATTTTATATATATATAAACATATATATAATATAAACATACATATAATTATATATATATATGTTTATTAAATATTAACTTAGACGATCACACGTCCCACAATAGGCTGCCTGCAAGCCTGAGGAACAAGGAGAGCCAGTCCAAGTCTCAAAACTGAAGAACTTGGAGTCCAATGTTTGAGGGCAGGAAGCATCCAGCACGGGAGAAAGATGTAGGCTAGGAGGCTAAGCCAGTCTTGTCTTTTCACGTTTTTCTGCCTGCTTTATATTCACTGGCAGCTGATTCGATTGTGCCCACCAGGTTAAGTGTGGGTCTGCCTTCTCCAGCCCACAGACTGAAATGTTAATCTCCTTTGGCAATACCCTCACAGACATACCCAGGAACAATAATACTTTGCATCCTTCAATCCAATCAAGTTGGCACTCAGTATTAACCATCACACACACACATACACACACACACTCACACTCTCACACACACACACACACACACACAAATTAGCCGGGTGTGGTGACCTGCTCCTCTGGTCCCGACTACTCAGGAGGAAGGGGTGGGAGTATAACTTGGGCCCAGAGGTCAAGATTGCTGTGAGCCGTGATTGTGCCACTGCACTCCAGCCTGGGCTACAGAGATCCTGTCTAAAAACAAAACAGAACAAACAACAACAATAACAAAAACAAACAAAAACAAAAATCTTCACCAATGGAAAAAAGAAAGTAGATTGTTATCTGACTCCAGGTCTTTATTTTATATTATATTAAGAAAAGTTTTCTGAAAGTACTCTTCTCACTTTGGTGTAAGAATGGATTCATATTCTCTGACAGTAGGCATAATGCTTTTATTGCTATAATTATGCAAGGCACAAAGTCCAAAGCTAAACTACATTGAATACACAGCAGGCCTATTATTTGCAAGACCACATAAAGAATAGGTTAATTTAAGAAGATGACAGTTTATTATTTTGCATAGGGCCTACAAATACATAGCTTTTCAGATACTTCAGTGGTGTAAGTATTAAAAAAAAGGCACCACAAAGCAATATCATGTTTCCACTTAGCATTTACTAGTAGTTTAGTTCCTTTTAAGAAGTGATTTCTCAAAATTCATAAAAGAAAACAAAAATTTTATTTAAGCATCTACTTTTTGTTAGATAGTTTTGTAGATTCCTTATTTTATAGAAAAGGAAATACAAACTCAGATAAAGTAAACTACTTGCTTGAAGTTACAGAAAGTCTGTAAATTGGCAGAAACCAAGATTTATATGCAGATTATTCCCAATATAACAACCTATTGTCCTTTAAAAGTTTAGATTCATAGCAAATTTTTCATGCGGGAACTTGGTATTTAACATTTTAAAAAATGAACGCAAACTAATTTTTTTTCTGGAATGATATTTGAGTAGGTTTCATTCACTTGCCTAGTCATTCAGTAAATACTTACTGTGTGATAGAAAATATACCAGATATTTAGCTACATACAAAGCCTAAAGCAATGAACACAGGAAACATTCTGGAACCTCATGGAGTTTACATTTTAGGTAGAGGGGACAAATAATAAATTAACAAAATTTATGCTACATGAGGAAATGCTTTAAAGTTCTAAATATATAATAACATTGAATCATTTTATAAAGTTCTGTTAAAATTGACTTTTTTGGTGTTCTTGAATGAATATAAAGTTATATGACTATTAATAAAGGATGCTGAGTTAATTTCTGGTATATTTATAAGCTTATTTCACCCTTCAGTGGCTTACGGTAGTTGTTATCCGATAATATACAATAACTGTTAAATGACAAAGAAAGTAAATCCTGTAACAATGTTTTGAAAAATGCGATGTTTTAAAGATTCCAGTGAATTTGTTTTGATTACTGAAGGAGTGCTCTTGATATGCACAGAATCACAAATAGTAGCAGCTATTTTTCTTTTATGTTTTAGATACCCTTCTACATGCACAGTTATAGCAGTTCAACTGTTTGGTTAAAATTTAATATTTTTTAAAAAAATCCAACTAATGGCACATAAAACTGGGACAATTTTTAACAAAAAGAAAAATGATACTGCACCAAATATCTAAATTGATTCACTAGGAGATGAAGGAAAGCTGTTTGAACATCTGTTTAAAATGGCCCTGAGAACACAGTTCTTGTTGGATTAAATAAAGATATTTCAGTTTGGAAATTATAGCTTCTAAACGACAATACATTCTATTGCCCCCATTTCTAACCTGTGCGTGTTTTACAAAGACCAAACCAGATGCAAACAATTTAATGGCATTTAATGAAAACTTTGTGTGGAAACCCACAATGGGATAATGCTCACTGGTCATTATTCAGGCTTTCCTGGAATTCCACTTATTTTACATTTGCTCCTAAATATAAAAAATATAGTAACCAATATGCCACAATATCACAGTTGCTCAACACGTTGCAATTTCCTCTTTATTTTCTTACCTTTTAGACTAGGTTTTTTTTTTTTTCTTGTTTCTTTTTATTTAGGTGAAAGAAAATGGCTTTAAATGATAGGAACATCATCCTTTAGTTCTGTTTTCTCCATTACACAAGACCTAGCTGCACATGCAAAATTACTCTGCCCAGGGGATTGTTATTTGAAAGCTCTTTAAATCTGCTGTGAGAAAACAATCAAGAGGACATATAAATGTGATTTAAAAAAATCCCAAATTGCTACCTTTGAAGCTACATTTGCAAGATAAATATGTTTCTACATTTCCATTTATTCTGTTGTCTTTTTTTTTTTTATAAGACAGTGGTATCTAATACAAAATATTTTTGTTTCTTCATTAAAACGAAAGCTCAAAAGTGTCTGGATTATATTTGATATTTTTATGTCTCAATGTACTTATATCCATTTTGTTTTCTAAGAAAACCTTTCAGTTTTTATCTCAGAGAAAGGCAAAACGACATTAGGATAACCTACTTGTTAAGAATAATCACATTACAGTTACAAAACTCTTTGGCTGTATGGAATTTATTATGATTTTGGGCAAAATTGAAACAGATTTTTTTTCCTAATGTACTTTTATTTTCATATTACATATGGTGATTTTATTTTTCATGGGGCAGGGTTCAGTTAGAACAGAAATGTGAAATCGCATCCAGTCCTCTCCAAACAGAGCCAGGAAATGGCAATCATTTCCAACTTCAGTCCAAAGATGAAGAGCAAGGAGAGGATTTATCTTCACTGAGAATGGGAGGGGAAGATTGCATATTTTTAAAATATGCAATCGTCACACAAATCAGATAAAATGGTCCATTAAAAACACATTTTCAGCTTCTCAGGAATTTGTTTTTTTAAATTACTCTTTATTTTCAGTTCCTGCAGGTTTAGGATAATTCAACATTACTAAGGTCAGTGGTTCTCAAGCAGGGGAGAACCCTCACCCTTCTACCATGTGGATATTTAGCAACGTCTAGACCCATTTTTGATTTTCACTTCTGGAGGTGTGACTGGCATTTAGTGAATGGAAGACATGTATGCTATACGTCCAACATACAGGACAGCTCTCACAACAAAAAAATCACCTGGCACAAAATGTCAAAAGTGCTAAGGTTGAGAAACCTCGTAAAGGTATAGATAATCTTTTTATTGCCATCACAAAGGCCAGTTGAAGAGTTCTATAGAATCTGTCTTCTTTTGCATATCTAACAGCAGCAGTATGCCATATGTGTAATATGGTATATCAATTACTATAGAAAAATAATTATTTTTTTATAAAAGCTGTGCGATTAAGCACAGTTTTTCAAAGTTTTTAAAAAGGCATTTTCATGATTCTCTTATCTTATGCATCTTAGCCCTGCATTAGGTTACTATGAAAATTCTTAGTCTAATAATTTGTATTGGGCTAATTTATCAGAGAAACCTAGTACATGATAAAAACTTTTGACATTTCTGATTAGAAAATATAGTTAATCATTTGGAATTCCCTCATGCATATTTGATTATAAGCCTTTTCATATTTTCAGTGTAGTTGAAAAGAACTCATGTAAGAAAAAATAAATTCACCCAAATCTTTTCATGGAGTTTATTTTCTCAGACTATCATTTATCCTTTAGAAATCTGTGCACAAAAGAATGATCTATGTGTTCACTCGTTGTCTGTTATATATATTGTCAATATGACACTTCTTAGAACATTTCAGTTAAATGGTCAACAAATATTGCAGAAACCTGAGGAATATACATAAAATATTGTAAGTCAGGTATTATGAGTAATATAAAAAACGTAAGATGTAACCCTGTTTTCAGAATCTTATACCATGATTTTATACTCGGCATCATTCAAAATATTTTGACATTAAAAAAGATAAAGTTCTAATGATTCATCCACTCATTAATTCATCCAACAAATTTTATACTCCCAAATCCTCTATTATATACCCTTTGCTATATAGAGATGTCTATACGCATTCTACATACAAGGACACTGCAATTGAATATAAATATTTCATGCAAGCAGAGAATTATTCTTGATGGTTTACTCAATGTTGTATTTTTTAAATTACTAGAGCCTGAATACTCAAGACTTAATAAATGTTTATTGAATTAACAAATAAATTAGTGGATGTATGTGACACAACAGGAGTTCATTAGGTACACTGCCAGTGCAAAGAAGAAAATAGCATACATAGACACCTCAGATGGCTTTTCACGGATGAGGTAGCATTTGAACAGGCTCTAATTTAATGAAAAGATTATTGAAAAATAATGACACAATTGGAGAGGGATGAATGATCTTAGAGGAGAAGATGATAGATTTGGTTTTTGTACAAATTAGGGTTTAAAAGATAGGGCATTCATGGTGAAATATTAGGCAGACTATTACAAATGTGATTCTGCTGCTCAAGAGAAAGGCCAGGGCTGTTGATATCAAATGAGGAGGCAGCTACTTAGTGGTAAAAGAAGCATATTGAGAGAGGGAGAAAAGTTGGGTAAGAAAACAGAGCAGGGAAGAGAGATTTAAAAACTGAATGTCTGAAGAAATGAGGGATATACATATGTATCCATCTGTCTCTTCTGTGGCATAGTGCCATAAGAGCCAAGAAAGAAATGATTTCTAAAGGGATTATTCGTTCACAGTGACAAATAATGAAAAGAAGTTAAAGAAGACAAGGCTTCAGAAAGGCCAGTGGATTTTTCATTAGGATACCAATATTTTATACACATATTTCAGGTAATAGAAATAAGCAAGGACAGGAGTTAAGGGGTAGTTTCATGAAAGAGATGTGTAAATTTCACTCCTCTTTCCACCACCACTTTCCAGGTTCACAGCCTCATTATATTTTACTTGGGCTACAGCCATAGCCTCCTAAATGGTCCTTCCTTGGCACCATGCCTTTTATGCACAGCTGCAATGTGAATCTTGTCAAAGCTCAAATTTGAACAAATTACTCCCTGGCTCAAAAGTCATTACTGACTCATTATTTATAGTCCATTTAGTCCCAATTTTTTATCCTGGCATTCAAAGCCCTTCATTATCAGCTTCCAATCTATCTTTCTTATCTGACTCTTTAGTTTCATCACAGTTTGAAAATTATATAACAGGTAGTTCACTGTATTTACTCCATTATTTCTTGTCTCAGGGTCACAAAGTTTTTTCTCATGTTTTTATTTCACTCATCTTGTAATATCATTATTTCCATTTCTAAAGGTCAATATTCCAGGCATCCTTGGCTCATCATGATTCTCCCCATCTGAAGATGGCTTTCATTTTCCACTCTTGTGAAGAATCTTTGAACCTTCCTCCTGGAACTTCTATACTATTTTCTTAGCCATAATTATTTATTTTACTTGATATATAGTTTATTCAGCATCCATTTCACATGCTTCTGTTCATGGTAGACTAGTTTAAATTAGGGACCACTCAGGTTATATCGATTTGACTCAATTCCCACGACCATTGTAAATTGTTTTCTGATACAAGTAAGTAAGGCAGAAAAATTGAGCATCAACTCCTGGACTTCTTGAAATGGTGAAGAATGATGTATTCCCTTTCTACTGGGTCCCTGAAGTGACAGAATTAAAGCCTGAAGCTGTTGAGCACATGAAGAGGATCTGCTTGAGAATCAAATCAGTACAAAGAAAAAAGGAGTTGAAAACACATGGGAGATGAAGAAAGGTCAAATTCTAATGAAAAATTCTTAACACACTGAATTCAAATATGCTCTGTCACATGACTTCAGAAAATATTATTCATTTGTATTCTGTATAAATGATGCCTCCAGGAATTTTGTGATGTGACAGCCTGTCATTTTAGTAGTTTGAGCCAACAAACTCCCATTCTTGCATTAATTCAATTCCATTTTGTTCCTGCCACTGTCATTTACAAATAAACAAACTAATAACATTTATATATAGCTTTTAAAAACATTGTTCACAAAGAGAAATGTTTTCTTTTCTTTTTGTTTTTTGTGATGGAGTCTCACTGTCACCCAGGCTGGAGTGCAGTGGTGTGATCTCGGCTCACTGCAACTTCAGCCTCCCAGGTTTCAAGTGATTCTCCTGTCTCAGCCTCTCAAGTAGCTGTGATTACAGGTGTGCACCACCAGGCCCAGCTAGTTTTTGTATTTTTGGTAGAGATGGGATTTCACCATGTTGGACAGGTGGTCTCAAACTCCTGACCTCAAGTGATCCACCCCTCTCGGCCTCCCAAATTGCTGGGGTTACAGGCATGAGCCACTGCACCTGGCCCGAGAAGTTCTTTAATACAGTGATTGCTTATGCATTTTGAATTCAAATGGTTCCCAACACAGTGCTTTCCCTATAGTAAACAATTTTTTTTTATGTTTTAGCATACTCTATTAAAATTAGTGAGCTCTAAGTTTGATAAATGTGTGTGAACAGAGTGAAAACTGAGAAATATAAATCAGAGAAAAAGGGTTTATGTAGTAAGTATAAAGCTAACAGTTTAAGAAAAATACCAAAGATTTGAGGAAAAGACATTTGCTTTTGAAAAATTAAATTAAAAATCTAAAAACAAATGTAATTTACATTATCCAATTTTTATTACTTCAATTTATAATAATTACTATAGATCATTTTTATGCTTTTTTTAAATTACTGGATTTTTAATGGTATAACTGAAGAACTGTGGGCAATATGCAACACTTCTGATAGATTTGAATCAAAAGATATGTCTACCTATCTATGAATCTGTGTATCTACCTCAATAAGTATATCTTAGGAGAAATCTGGGCCCATTCTCAGTACTTAAGAAAGTAAATTGCTTTAATAGACACACACACACACACCCACACACACACATGTAAACTCTGGAGCTATAATAGAGCCATAATAGTGAGACATTCTGTCAGTGTTTTATAAGGAATCTAAGGAAAATAACTGTTATGATCTTCCTTTCCTCCTTGACTTGCTTGCCAATTTAAAAATTCTCCAACTCAGAGTCCTATTTGGCTCAATTTTCACTTTTTTTTCCCCATACATGTTTTAAACACATTAGTAAATGTCTCTATAACAAAATAAGTATGAGATCCTAAAGAGTGTTTTATTGGTTTTAAAATTTGGTGAAAAGAAGCAGAAGGATTTGGGGAAGAAAGAGCACAAGGCAAAATTATTTTGCTAGTTTTATGTAGTTGAAAAGAGTGATCAGGAGAAGAAGGACCCGAAAATTAATGGGTTTGTAAAATGACTAAAGTGTTTAAGTTCAAATGGGTAGAAATGCACTCTTTCAAAGGTTTGGAATGCTAGAGAGAAGTATGCTTAGGTGTGGAATCATTTTCTGTGATGTTATTAGTGAAAAGTCAAATCATTCTTTTTCTGGGCTCTTTCCAAGGCAATTATGCTTGGAGATGTGAGGACAGACCAGAAATCTTCTTGAAATTCTTCCTTTGATTTATTACTATCAAAATGGGTATATATAGACATAAATACACATGAACTCAATTTGAAAAAGAGCAGTGCTCCAGATATGCGTGGGCATAGCAGTTGTGTACTCCCTGCGGAAACCAATGGAAAATCCTCTGTAGAGAAATAAGTTTCTTAAGATTCAAAGAAGTTTCTTAAGATTACTTATACCCTTCACATTGATATTCTACCTAAGGCATTTTAGTGAAAGTTTTATAATCAACCCTTAAAACTTTTTCCAGCACTCTTTTCCTATTTAGAGAAAAAAGACCAATATGTTAAACAATGTGATGCAAATTAGTCCTATTAGAAACAAAACACGAGGAATGAGCTTAGTTAGCAAGAACAGGAAATAACCCAATATGTCTTTTTAACTACATTTATATGGTTACCAGCCAGACAGAGCAAAACATTTACATTTTTGTTTCTGTGTAGTTCTGACTCCAGAACATACATTGTTTTTAGAAGCTCCAATATTTTCTTTAAAATGAAAAAAAAAATGACATCATATTATGTAAGAAAAAAAAATCAAGCCATGGGTTCATACTTGGAAAAATTTAGCCTCATTCTTGGATATTTATACTCATTGGGTTTTAAAGCTCGTATTCACTTCACACCTTACTTATGCAGTAGGAAACAAGTTAGAGGAAATCCAACTTTATTTCTCTGAGCAATTTAAGCTTAGAAAATCCTGAATGCTGATAATGTAAAAAAATGAGAACAGATGGCATAATCTTTACGTAAATATAAATAACTTCCCTATGATTTTCAGCAGAGCTTAAGTTTGAACTAAAAAATATTGCTGAATGATTTTATAAATTATAGCCTTTAAGAATGAAATGAATAATAATAAAAAAGACTTTTCACAAAGACTGTCCACTAGAAACAGGCTTGTTTTGCAGCTAATCTATAACTTCATAAAATAAACCTTTATAATGAATTTTTAGTCAAAATTCTAAAAAGAGCTTTTCTTAAAATTTTTGATGTAATAATTATCTGGGATTAAATGTGGTAAGTTTCAGTGTGCAGCAGAGAAAACTATATATTCCAATATGGTGTAGTTCACTTTCCCCATTCCTAATCCAATAATCCAGTTTACAGTGCTCTTTGTTAGGTGACACTTTTTCTCTTGCACTTAATGTATTTTCTTCATTAAGTTTGCTTGCAATGTATTCCAAAGCTTTTCAGTGAAGTCTCTCCATTCTCGTAACATTAACAGCACTCCCATTTTATGTTTATCCTGCCATATGCACTAAAGACTGGAACTCACTACTCAAGTCCAAACTATGTCCCAAGAAAACAATTTCTAACACTTTGCACACTGTATTAGGTACCTGAAAAAAAGGCCTGCTATTTCTGAGAACTAAGCCACCAAGGTATCTATTCTCAAGGAAACTTTAGAACCTCCAAATTTATATAAAACTAGTAGAGGTCTCTGGGTTTAATCTAGTTATTCTAATTCTAGTTTTCTTTTTGTGACTGATTTTTAAATTATGTGCCTTATATTTAGATTATGTGTAGCTTTTTTTCTCCAGTAACATCTATTGCCAAAAATCTTTTGGTCTAATATTAATACAGGAGCTAAAAGGAAATTATTTAGGCAGATAGTAAGGGCAACAGAGTCCTCGGCAAGGTTTCCCTTTTAACAAAAAGCAGCCCCCAATTCATTTGTTTCCTAACAAAGAGCAGCCTGAAAAATTGAGCTGCAAACATAGATAAGCAAGGTGGAAGCTTGCATGGGTGAATGCCAGTAGCTATGCCAATAGAAAAGGGCTTCCTGGAAACAAGGTATGTTCAGCGTGGAGGCTCCATCTTCCCTCTTCTTTGTCGCCACTTGTACATTAAAGAGGCAGACAACATGGCGCCGGCCAGGTACATAACTCATCTGTATAATAAAAGATTAGGGTGGGGCGGCCAGCTTCTTCCTAAGCTATGTAAATAGCACACCTGTTCCAACCAATCTTTCGTTTCCTATGTAAGTCAGACAGCACCTCCTCAAGCTCATCTATGAAACCATATGCATTTCACTGGAACTGGCTACTCGTTTTCTCTGGGACCCCTCTCTCTTCAGGAGAAAACTTTCTCTTTCTGTCGCTTATTAAACGTCCACTCTTAACCTCATTTCTTGTGTGTCTGAGTCCTGGATTTCCTTGGCGTGAGACAATGAACCTCAGGTATTACCCTAGACGAATAGTGCCGTTTCATTATGCTATGGATACTCTTAACTTTTCTTTGATTTGTATGTAGCCATATATTTTTCCACATTTTGCTTTCAATCTTTATTTATGCTCATATTTTGACATGTCTTTATAAAATAACATAACCGGGGTAGGGTTTTATTTGTATGAGGTTGCTAATACAATTTGGATTGATTTCTACTATTTTATTATGGGTTTTCTTGTTCTACCTTTTTTATCCATCTCCCCAACCTCCTTTACTCCTTTTTATTGGCTATTTTCCATCTTCTGCGTCAACAATATAAGGATCTTTAAAGATATTAATTTTAACGAGAACCTCCCTGATTTATAAGGTTGTTCAGTATCTTAACTGTATCTTGTATAATCCCAGAAAGTAAATTTGTTTAGATTTATCTACATTTCCGATTTTAGTCACCATTATTTTTGCATCTTAGACTATTCTTTTGGATCTATTTCACTAATTTTTGCTGTATAAACGAAAGAACTCCTTTAGGTTATATAATCTTAGTTTTTAGTTTGGCTAAAAATGTTTTTAATGGACTCTTATTATTAAATAACTGATACATGATTTTACCTTGTCATTTCTTTACAATTATTTGGGTATATACTGATTTTCATTGTGGCAGTTGAAAATATCAACTATCTGATTAATTTTTATTTAAATTAATTTTTGTAAGCATTAATTTGGATTTTTTTAATGTGGCTTCTTTTGAGATATTCTCTTTACCTTCATTCACCTGAAGATTCATGATGTTATGTCTTAGGTTCAAATTTCTTCCTATTCATCATAATAAGGCCTTTATTCCTTCCCTAAATCTGATTATTTGTATTTTTGGTCAGTCCTGGAAATCTCATCCAGTAGATCTTTGAATTGCGTCTCTCATCCCTACTTTATTTTCTCTCTGAAACTCTTCATTCTATCTTTCTCATGTCTTAATATTTTGGCATTATGGGAAAAATCTTCCAATACATTTTCTAGTTCACAAATTCTTACTTCAGATGTGTTCAATATTTAGTCCATAAAAAATTAAGTTACTTAGTTTTAACTGTCACTTTTTTTTTTCCATATCTTGAAGATCTTTTTGGTTCTTTTTAAAAACTCCACAGGATCTTTTATTTTCAAGTCTTTTGTTTCTTTGTTATATTTTAATCCTTTCTTTTAATTTTAAATATATTAAATTCTTATTTCATATTCTATCTTATATAATACTGAAAACTGCAGTCTTTATGGATGGGTTTCTGTTTGTTATTATTTCTACTGCTCCTGCTGGCTTGTTTCATTGTTTATTTTATGACTTTTACTTTGAGCTCAATTTCCATAGGAATTTACCTATGGTAAGACATTGAGCTCTGGGCTGAAGGTGATTTCTTTCAGGGGGAAGTTATATTTCCTTCTGCCAGGCATCTGGGACACTACCAATCTGGAACTACTTTAAATTCAATACTGATTTGTAATTAGAAATTCTTAGGGGAAAATATTTTTCCCCTGTACCTATCCAGAACAAAGGCTGCGACAGTCAATCTTCATAACATCTCCTTTTGGATCAAGATACTATATGAAGGCATCCATCCAAATTCTCTTTTTGCACAGGCTGTAGGCTTTGCTCTCCATCACACACTTATGTGTACTTTTAAAATGGAGACCTGTACACAAGGAATTGCAGATGTTGTGGGGAAAGCTGTTGGCTTTAGTTTTGGATGGCCCCTCCAGAGTCATGTTTTCTTATAATTTTTTTCTCTAGGGGTTTTCTTCTCTTTATTGCTAGTTCAGTTATAAATTTAAAGAGAATTAATACATAATATATGCAGCATTTTTAGTTTTTCAATTTTGAATGGATTTCTCCAGTCATCATGTCTATCATATTTGCAGAAACAGAAGTGCTTAGACAAACTCTATGTATTTAATATGGACAGATAAATACACCTAGTTTTGTAATGAGTACATGGGGACCATCCACCTCATGAGCCTAATTATAGAGTATTCTGCTTTAAATAGTGCTCCCTCAAAATTCATATTTACCTGACACTTGTGAATGTGGCATTATTTGGAAATGAAGTCTTTGCAATGAGGTCCTATAGTTAACTTAAGAGGTCACATAGATTAAGGAGGACCCTGTATTTAATATTTCTAGTGTCTTTATAAAAGTGGGAGAACCACAGAGACAGACACACACAGCAAGCATGCAATGTAACAGCAAAGACAGAGACTAGAGTCTTGCATCTACAAGGCAAGGAGTCCCAAGGATTGCGTGCAACTACTAAAAGCTAAGAATATATGGAATAGATTCTTCCTGGGCACCTCCAGAAGAAACCAACCTTAATTTCAGACTTCTAGCTTCCAGATCCATGAGAGAATAAATTTTTGTTATTTTATTTTATTTTGTTAATAAATTTTTGTTAAAACTTCCTAGAAATTTGTTATAAATGCTATAGGAAACAAACACATATTTACCATAGGATTTCTGATTTTCTTCTAATGTATTCATCATGTTTCATTTGCATCTGTGGACTTGCATAATAGTCACTCTATATAGAAAGTATTTTTCATGCCTAAATCTCTTAGGCATTATTGTAGAAACTTCACTTCTATGAAATGGTAAGGGAGTAGATTCATGTAAAGTTCATAACATGTCTAAAGAGGAAACTGAAAATCACTTAATCATTTTGATGTATTAATCACTAATAGATAATACAAGTAGACTTTAAGCAGCTAAAAATCAGAACTCGTGATAACCTTTTTAAACATAAAACAAAATAAAGTAGTCTATAGTGTACTCACAATAGAGAAATTTCCATGTGGAAACTGCTAGAATGATTTTCCAAAAATTTTAATGACTATATAACTTATGACATATACACACTGATGTATGAGGTAATAGATATATGTTATATTGGCTTCTTGTTTGAAGAAGTATTGTGATACATTGTTGCTTGAAGTAAATATTGACTTTAGAATTTGGATATTCAATATTTACCACATCCATCAATGTATTTCAAGAGTCCCTGGATCATTCAATATTTCCTTAGTGTTAAATGAAGTAGCAGGAGTAAAAGCTGTTTATCTGTTTTTGTCCCTTTAGCCAAATTTATAAACAATTTATTTGGAATCAGAAACAAATAACTCCAATAACATGATTTTTTTCTTTTCTTTTCTTTTCTTTTTGAGATGGAGTCTCACTCTCTGTCACCCAGGCTGGAGTGCAGTGGCAAGATCTCCGCTCACTGCAATCTCTGCCTCCTGGGTTCAAGCTATTCTCCTGCCTCAGCCTCCCAAGTAGCTAGGACTACAGGCACATGTAGCCATGCCTGGCTAATTTTTTGTATTTTAATAGAGACGGGGTTTCACCGTGTTGCCCAGGCTGGTCGGGAACTCCTGAGCTCTGGCAATCTGCCCACCTCTGCCTCCCAAAGTGCTGGGATTACAGGCATGAGCCACCGATCCTAGCCCAACATGATTTTTTAAAAGCTACCTATTGCTTAAGGTGTATGTATATATACGTGTGTGTGTGTGTGTTTGTGTTCACATGCCTACACTAGTGACACAGAAAAGATGGAACTATAATCTAGATTGTACCGAGTTGTTACCAGGAGATTTAAGGAGGAATCATGTAGTTATGATGTTGAGATAAATTCCCAAGGATCATTTGTTTTCTTATATTGACTTCTTTTTCATCTTAAACACTGTCAAAATTCCTCTTTTTGTTATTCCATAATTACAGTCATGTATTGTATGAGAATGTTTCAGTCAATGATAGACGGCACATACAAAAGGGGTATCATAATATTATAATAGAGCTAAAAGTTACTATCACCTAGTGACATCATAGCTATTCTAACTTCATAGCACCATACATTATCTTTTCTGTGTTTAGATGCACAAATACTTAGAATTGTGTTACAGTTGCCCACAGTGTTCAGAGCAGTAATATGCTTTATGGGTTTGTAGCTTAGCAACAATAGGCAATACCATATAGCATAGGTATGCAGTAGACTATACCATATAGGTTTATGTAAGTACACTCTGTGATGGTCATACAAATGAAGAAATCACTTAAGGATTTGCATAACTTATCCCTTTTGTTAAGTGATGCATGACTGCATATCCATAATTGCCATCCATATTTTACTTTACACAGATAATATGTATTATACATACACATATTTATATCTACATGTGTATGTTTATATGGATTTGTATATGGATGCATATATACACATATATACGTATGAATATACACATGTATATATATATATATATATATTAAAAACAGAAAGATACTAAATCCTAAAACAGAAAACAAGATTCAAAATCTGGTATGAGCCAATCTTATTTAAGCTATGTATTTATATGCTGTTAGATTCCTACATTGACTCTGAAGACCTTAATCCTATTTTTTAAAAGTATAAATATTCTGTTCTGTTGGAGACTGGAGCTCATTTTTCTTCCACTATATTATACCAGTAAAATATTTAACTGCTTACCATGTAAATGATGGCAATATCATAACATAGCTAGCAATCCATAATTGCATCTGATAAAGGTCATATAATAACCGCATCCTTGACAATATCCTTAACTTCTTTGACATATTCTGTTTCTACTGTACCCATTTGATAAAACTCTCCTGAATTCACCCAAATATTCATCACATTTGCACCTGCTCCCAAGCACCTGAAAGTTGTTAGAGAAACCACACACTTTAACTGACTTTTACAGTTTTAAACGATTACCACAAACTTCAGGTGAGTATTCAATAATTATTTAAAACTATATT
This sequence comes from Homo sapiens, assembly GCF_000001405.40. Classification (NCBI taxonomy): domain Eukaryota; kingdom Metazoa; phylum Chordata; class Mammalia; order Primates; family Hominidae; genus Homo; species Homo sapiens. The sequence goes on along the minus strand of NC_000012.12, from coordinate 84,684,813 downwards.
TTCATAGTGTATTTGGGACTGGATAAAATTACTTTTCTTCCTGTATTTGAAACTATTTCTCTAACAAAAGAAAATAAATGCCTGAGAAGTCCAAGTTTAAGTTCTCATTAGCCCAGGGATGGGGATTTTCAGTCAGAAATTAAATTGCATAATAGAACATAAAGAGATGCAATTTTTTTTTTTTTTTTTTTTGAGATGGATTCTCGCAGTGTTGCCCAGGCTGGAGTGCAGTGGTGCGATCTTGGCTCACTGCAACCTCTGCCTCCTGGGTTCACACCACTCTCCTGCCTCAGCCTCTCGAGTGGCTGGGACTACAGGCGCCTGCCACCATGCCTGGCTAATTTTTTGTATTTTTAGTAGAGATGGGGTTTCACCGTGTTAGGCAGGATGGTCTCGATCTCCTGACCTCGTGATCCACCCACCTCGGCCTCCCAAAGTGCTGGGATTACAGGCGTGAGCAACCACTCCTGGTGCAAATTTTTACAAAAGTCAGTTTGTAAGCTATGACTTGTATTTACTATAGTATTAAATGACTTCTGTTGCAACCACCATATAATTCTGTCATGTTTTTATTCTTACTTCATGACCACATTTCATTTTCATTTAGAAAACTGAATTTTTAAAAAGGGGAACACTTTTATATTCTGTAGTGGACACAAAATGTGGTCACATTTTATCTAATGGATGCATTGCTGAAGACATTTTATAACTCAAAGCCTGCATACTTCAAGACTCAATTTTCTGTTTGAATGCAAAGAATGAGTATGCATATGTGTGTGTGTGCATATATGTTCATTCTAGGAGCAAATATATTTGAAAACATTAAGATTTTTCCCCTTTGATGTTGATTTTTATTTCTACAGCATTATTTCTTATATTCTGCAATGTGCTTTTCTCTAGATTAACTAACTGCATGGTGTATAATGATGCCATTTGTCAATCTTCAGTAGCTTTGATCACCTTTAACTTCCTCTCTAATGATATTGCACATTAATTACATTTTTAGCACCAGTCTCAAAAATTAACGAGTATGCATACGACTTTTTTTTTTGAGATGGATTCTCACTCTGTTACCCAGGCTGGAGTGAAGTGGCATTATCTCGGCTCACTTCAACTTTCACCTCCCAAGTTCAGGTGATTCTCCTGCCTCCCGAGTAGCTAGGATTACAGGCACATGCCACCATGCCTGGCTAATTTTTGCATTTTTAGTAGAGATGGGGTTTCACCATGTTGGCCAGGCTGGTCTCAAACTCCTGACCTCAGGTGATCCGCCCAGCTTGGCCTCCCAAAGTGCTGGGATTACAGGCATGAGCCTCCACGCCCGGTCTTCATATGACATTGTAATAAGACAACATTTTAAGTTACATAATGATATAGAAGTAATGGCACAAGAATAAACAAATCTTTTACAGAAGTACTGATACATACAAACAACAGCAAGGAAGAGACTGTAATTTCTACTCTCAGTTAAAGCGATTAAACAGTGTGAAAATATAGTACATATAGTTTACAGTTCACTTCTTCTTTGAGATTTGAAATTATTAAAATTCTATATTTTTAAACTGATGAATTTGCATAATTTCAGAATGTACACAAAAGAATGATTTATGGATTTTTTTTTTTTTTTTGAGACAGAGTCTCGCCGTATCACACAGGCTGGAGTGCAATGCAATCGTGGCTCACTGCAACCTCTGCCTCCTGGGTTCAAGCAATTCTCATCCCTCAGCCTCCCAAGTAGCTGGGACTACACATGCACACCACCATGCCTGGTTAATTTTTTTTTGTGTGTATTTTTTTAGTAGAGATAGGGTTTCACCATATTGGCTAGGCTGGTCCCAAAATCCCAACCTCAAGTGATTGGCCCACTCAGCCTTCCAAAGTGCTAGGATTACAGGCATGAGCCTCTGCACCTGGCCTAATGTTTTTATTGTGTAACAAAATTCGCATCACTCTTTTAAAGTTAACTTTATTTTTATTTTTTTATTTTTTAAATTTTATTATTATTATTATTATTATTATTATTATTATTGAGACAAAGTCTCACTCTGTCACCCAGGCTGGAGTGTAGTGGTGCGATCTTGGCTCACTGCAACCTCTACCTCCCAGGTTTAAGCAATTCTCCTGCCTCAGCCTCCCCAGTAGCTGGGATTACAGGTGCATGCTACCACGTCTGGCTATTTTTTTTTTTTTGTATGTTTAGTAGAGACGGGGTTTCACCATGTTGGCCAGGCTGGTCTTGACCTCCTGACTTCAAGTGATCTACCTGCCTTAGCCTCCCAAAGTGCTAGGATTACACTTTATATTGTTTTTACTCATCAGCAATTATTCACCATTCTTTTCCTTACCGTGCTCCAGAGTTTCACTGGCTTTCCTAATTACCATCTCAACACTTAGCAACGTAAGTGGATGAGGTTGACCCATATTTAATTCTAGGGGAAAAACATAATTGACTTAAATCAACTAGTTTATACTCTACACTTAAATAAAGACATTCTAGTGAAGAAATGAAAGGAGGTCTTTCTGATAGTACTGGGAAAGAGAAGCTTGCACTTTCTTTCCTATATGTTGGTACAAAGATGTGATTTGAAGCTGCTCCCGTTAATGCAATGCACAGAGAATTAATGCACAGACTGGAGGCAGAGTCAATAGAAAGCAACCAGGTATAATTACAACATTTGAGTAAGCAATTCAAAGACTCCTGAAACTAGTTCTTCTCCTGGACTTTTAACTTATGTAAGATAACAAATCCTCGTCTTTTACTTAAACATATTGTGTTAGCTGCGGTTCTTTAAAGAAACAGAACCAACAGGACATGTTCTCTGTGTGTGTGTGTAATGATAATTGGCTCACAGAATTATGGAAACTCAGAAGTCCCATGGTCTGCCATCTACAATTTGGAGACCCAGGAATGCAGATGGTATAATTCCTTTCTGAGACCAAAGGCCTGAGAACCAGGGGAGAACAATTGTGTAAAACCTCTTCTTAGGGTAGTAGAAGACCCATGTTCTAGCTCAGGCAGACAGGAAGAAAATGTGTGAGTTCCTTCTGCCTCCGTGGTTTATATGACGCCCACCCCAGGAAGGCAATCTACTTTACAGACGCCACTGGATTCAAATGCTATTCTCATTCAATCCCAATCTCATCCAGAACCACCCTTTCAGATATGCCCAGAAATAACATTTAACCGGATATTTGGAAATCCCCTGTTTCAGTCAAGTTGACACATAAAACTAACTCCCACAACCACTGAATTGTGTTTTCTGTTACTTGTAACTGGAGATATGATATTCCCATTACCAAATCTTAAAATCGTTTTTCTGCTTCTATCTTCTCCATCATAACGTCTCTTATAATGCAATTGATGTCCCTTCCGTAAAACATGTCCTTCATTTGTTCTTTGATTCACTTTCTCAACTCTTCAAGTTCTTCAGTTAGTTCTTCACTGAGCTACATTTTTTTCTTCTCTAGAATTCCTGTTACTAAAATCTCCCAGCTTAAAGTATCTCTCAGCTTAAAGTGTCTCCTAGCTGAAAGACTAATCACCTAAAACAAAACCTTTCTTTGTCCTCACATCATCCTCTCAAATACTATTACATTCTTCTGCCGGTGTCATAGTGAAAAATAGAGGCATCGTCTATACTCTTATTAATTACTTACTCCTTTTTTCAGAACACTAATCTGGTTCTCATCATTATCACCTTACTTAGAACTCCACTTTCCAAATCACCACAAGTTATCCTCCTTTCTTTGTTCATTCCCATTTCAGTATAATGTTTGTTCTTTCTCTTACCTTACAGGCTCCTTAATTCTGTGTTTTGTTACCAGCTGTCTACATTTTAACACACTTCTGAGATTCCATTCTGGATCTCCTTCCCTTTACTTCTTTTAATATTCCAATTTCAGTATAATGTTTGTTCTTTCTCTTACCTTACAGGCTCCTTAATTCTGTGTTTTGTTACCAGCTGTCTACATTTTAACACACTTCTGAGATTCCATTCTGGATCTCCTTCCCTTTACTTCTTTTACTATTCCAATTTCTCTCTTTCCTTTAATTACAATGGTGTCTTAATGCAATTTTATATAATCCTATGACTTCAAATGATGACTAAGTTAGTACTCTCAAAATGTATATCTCAATTTAAGACCTATCCTCTGATCTCCAAATGTATAAGCCTAACTGCCTATTTGACATTAATTCCTCCAATCCATATTTATTAAGCACTTATAAAGTGCCAGACATCTTTTTGGTGTTTAGGATGCATCATTGAATAAAATATCTACAATAGAGTCAGCAAACTTGGTAAAGGGCCCAGCAGTGTGTATTCTAGGCTTTGCAGACTATATGCTCCTCATTGCAACTCTTCTTTTAAGCATGAAAACAGCAAGATATAAAATGTAAATAAATGGGAATTTTTGTGTGTGAATAAAACTTTATTTATAAAAACAAGCAGTGGACCATATTTGCTCCATGAGCTATAGTCAACAGACCTTGGTCTATTACAGCTCATTGAATTACTCATGGATATCTTAACCATAAATTTCCATCACAGTTTGAATTAATTTCAAATGTGTATGATCCAATCCTACTGGAATCCTTTCAGTTTTCTGATTACATGAAGGTCTTTCCTGTCTAGTGGAATTTTCATCCACTATTTCTACACCTGGAATATTCTTTCTCCAGTTCTTTGCATGTCTGTCACCTTCTATATCCTTGCTAATGTGCTGCCAACTTTCGTCCCCAATGCTAGTTTCTGTGATATCCCTCTGTTTAATTCTTTGTTAACATTTATCACAACGTAATTATTTGTTCATTAGTTTATTATCTTCTCTCTTCCACTGGTATGAAAGATCCTTGAATACAGGGTCCGAATTTACCAAAGAATCCCCAAGACCACCAAGCATAATGTCTAAGGGTCAATGGATATGTAATAAATAAGTGAATGAATGAATCCATCTCTAATAAATAACTGTAAAGGAAAATAATATTCTAATAGAAACAAAGTTTTGTTTATTCATGTTCTCTCATCTGCATTTCTTCCTAGTAAAACTTACTGTGTTCATTAGTTAAATTATTCATTCTATAAGTATTAACACGTAGAGTAGAATTTCTCAATATCAGCAGTATTGACATCTTGAGCTGAATGCTTCTTTTTGGGGGGCTATCCTGTGAAGTATAGGATGCATGGCAGCATCCTTGGTCTTTACCTGCTACACATCAGCATTGTTTTCTTCTTCCCTCACTGCCCAGTCATGATAACCATTAAAATATGTGAAAGGGAAATTTAACCTAAATAAAGGATCGGAAAAATGTTTCCCTTGAAGAAGTTATTGTAAGCTGAGATTAGTTTTTTAAATGAATAGGCTAATTAAGGAAGATTGTGTATGGGTACTGGTATGGAAGAAAAGAACAGTCCAGACAGAGGAAGCAGCATGTGGAGGAACAGAGTGTGGCCCGTGTGAGGATATGAAAACAAAATGTCAGTCTATCTGCAGTATAGAGGACAATTCATCATATGAAACCTGGAGAGGCCAGCAGGTGCCAGATCATGTTTATGCAGGTGCACTCCATTAAAGATTTGTGACTTTATTCTACAAAAGACATAAAAAAGAGAAATATGATCAGACATGGATTCAGAAAATTCACTCTGAATTATCTTAATAAGAGAGATCAGAGGGGGAAGGAGGGCCTGTAAAGTGAATAGAGAGGGCTGGATATAAGTTTCAGATGCCAGGTGATGGGTGAAAACTGTGAAGAAGTAGAGAAGTGACTGGATGTGATAAATTTTTATATGTGTGAATCAACTGGGCTTAGTGATTCAATGGATGCTAGGGGCTAAGAATAAAAGAATCATGATATAAGCAACAGAGTGGATGCTGGTATTTTGTTATTTTTAATGCTAGGTCCACATACTCAGAGTAATACAGGGAATATCTCAGAAAATATAAATGTACTTTGGGCTGCAGAGAAACTCTTAATATTGACAATTCCTGACATTTGAATTTTTGCTCTTAATTTATTTTATTCCTATATTATCTTATGTATTCGGTATCTGTTACTGCCTGACAAATTATCACAAATTTAGCAACTTAAAACTATATATATATATATATATATATATATATATATATATATATGTATATTTTCACAGTTGGTCAGGAGTCTGGGCGTGGCTTAGCAGATCCTGTAATTCGGGACCATTCATGAAGCTACAATCCAAGTATCAACCAGGGCTGGGTCTTATTTGAAGGCCCAACTTCAGGAGGATCTACTTCCAGCTCTCAGGGGTTATTGACAGGATTCAGTTTCTGTGGGCTGGGCTGTTGAACTGAGGCCCCCAGTTCCTCACTCGGGTGGAGTTTTCCCTGAGTTCCTTAACTCATGGGCCTTTCCACATAATATCTTGCTTCCCCACAGCTAGCAAGAGAGAGACTCTGCTAGCAAGACAGAAATCACATAGGTACCTAATCATGGAGGTAACTTCCTCTCAGTGTTGTGATTGTCCCTTGGTTAGAACAAGTTACTCAAGATAGGGGATTACACAATGCTATGAATGATGCCAGGAGGTGGGATTTTTTTGGTGTCATCATATAATTCTATCTACCATATTATAAATATTATGTCAAGCATGAAGTTTAAATAAAATAAACATAATGTGAATGCACTGGCATTTAGAGGTACAGTCTAAAATAAATGTTTTACTTAAAATTAGTTCTTCTTAAGAATAAATTTACACAGGTATTGGAAGCTAATATGTAGCAGGACAAGAAAATATATGTTCTATGCAGAACATGCAAGTTGAATGGAAATAATAAAAAATTTGGTAAAATGTTTCCTCTAATTACAAGTATTTATAATGAGTGAGACTAGGCAGGAACTACAGAGGGGAGTGCCAAGATAACTGCTAGGGACTATAAATGTAAAAGCATACATCGTTATAACTTTCTTAAAACATTTCACATTAGTTCTTTTAAGAAACATCTGATTTTGACTACTCTTAAGGCATGATGTCCTATATTCTTTTTAACAGTGGAGACACTCAGCATCACATTTATTTGCCAAGTGTCTTACTTTACAAAACTTCCTGCACATTGTTTGAAATTGATCTGGATATATTTTAATCAGGTTCATGGAACTCTGTAAATTGTCAAGCATAAAATTTAATATTTTGTCTACCCATTTCAGGGGATGCTTAAAATGAATGTAACTCATCTGTGGCAGTAGCAACAAATGTTTTAAAATGGCTTTTTTCTAACTTTCTTTGTTTTTCTAGATAAGGGTTTCCAGAGGATAAAATTCCAGATCTTTTATCTACCTTAACATGACATCTTATAATTGTGATATTTTCAGTTTATTGATGTTGTAAGCATACAGGATTTGAGGGTGTTTTTTGTTTTACTATTTTCCTATCTTAATTCAAGCTGCTGTGTGAGTGCTCTAAATATTATTTCTATCATTTCATGCACACAATTTTTAGCTTTGAAAATAACTCAGTTCTATTTCATAATTCATTGTTGTAAGAATTTTTCATGTAAGTACTTCAGGAAAGGGCTATTATTTTTAAATATCAGTTTTCTATGTTCTCTATTATTCCTAAATGTCAGGTCAGCATTGCCAATTTTATGATTTAATTATTTGATCTGTGATGTCAGACACTTATTATAAATAATGAACAATACTTCCTTTCATCTAGCACAAATGTTATTCATATGGAAATTGGCCAATTTGAAATTTAATGAGAAAGGAAGTAAGATAACTTATTAGATTTCTTTTAACTTTGCTCATGTTCAGTAATGTGCAGTGCATACTATTAATATTGTCTGCTGTAAGTGAGGTCAAAGTTATACTGTCATCTGTCAGTAAGAATGAAGTCTCAGGTTAATAGGCTTGGTTTACTCCCTTCTTGAAATTTCTAAGTTCTGAGACTGCCTCTTTTCATTTACATTTCTGTGAACTGAAATATTTACAAATCAAACCAATTATTTACAAACTTTTTTCTAGTGATGAACTGTGTATGTTGTAATAAAACAAGGGGAGCTAGTAAAAAAAAAAACATATTTCAGCATTTTTAGTCTGCCGTGTCAAATAATAGGAAAAAGAGACCAACATTAAATTCATACAGGTTATTTGAAGGAAACTTACGAGACATCCAGAACTTCATTACAAAAGAGAGAAGGTATAGAGGAAAGGACTTATAGGGGAGAAGTGGAAACTACTAACCTGAGAAGAGGAAAATGAAAACATTCTGAAGCTGAGAAGGGTATGTTAGTTAATTTCTTACAGTAGGAGCTGAGTTCAGCAGAACAGTGTCACTGTGGGGTGGTAGCAGGACCTCAGAAGGGAATGGATTCAGAGATGATGGAGCACATGGGAAGTCTGGGGTGTATAACATAGGCTTCTTGTTATGGCAAGAATTCTCAACATTAAGGCAATGGAGATGCCCACCATCCAGGAACCATCTGAACTTAAATTATGAATTGATCAAACTAGGGGACCTAGTGTCACATGTATTAACATGAGAAAGAGCTTCTGGGCCTTCTCAGAAGATGAGTCAATGACAGAAGCTATCTATTTATTTATTTACCATCTGGTAAGAGACATCTGGGTTGAGAAGTGGACAGAACCATATTTAATTTGATTTAGAAAAACAGTCACTAGGAAATTTCTACCTGTTTAAAATCTTTAACGTTGCTTTGAATGGATACTGCTTGCATGTATTTGAGGGATCCAAAAATGCATGAAATGATGTTTGCCTAGAACATAATATTAACATATAAAACAAATAGTTCTCTGTAAAAGATATTGTATCCTAAGAAACAACTTAATAGTATTGAAAATTAGTGCTGTTGCAGCACTATTCACAATAGCAAAGACATGGAATCTACCTAAATACCCATCAATGATAGAATGCAGAAAGAAAATGTAGTACATATACACCATGGAATACTCTGCAGACTTAAAAGGAACAAGATGATCTCCTTTACAGGGATATAGATGGAGCTGAAAGCCATTATCCTCAGCAAACTAATGCAGGAATAGAAAACCAAATACTGCATGTTCTAACTTACAAGTGGGAGCCGAATGATGAGAACACATGGACACAATGGGGAAACAACACACACTGAGGCCTGTTGGAAAGTGGGGGTTGGGAGAGCATCAGGAAGAATAGCTAATGGATGCTGGGCTTAGTACTTAGGGGATGGGATGATCTGTGCAGCAAACCACCATGGCACATATTTACCTATGTAACAAACCTGCAAATCCTGCACATGTACCTCTGAATTTAAAATGAAAGTTGGAAATAAAAAAAGGAAAATTTATGCCAAAGTAGTTGACAAAAACCTTAGAATTGACGAACAAAGAAAATCACCCAGAGAGTCAAGAAGATACTGTTGTAAATGATATTTAAAAGATGAGTTTAACAATGGACTTTGGGGACTTAGGGGAAAAGGTGGGAGGGGGTTGAGGGAAAAAAGACTACACATTGGGTAGAGTGTGCACTGCTTGGGTGATGGATGCAACAAAATCTCAGAAGTCACCACTAAAGAACTTATTCATATAACCAAACACCACCTGTTCTCCAAAAACCTACTTGAAATAAAAAATAAATTAAAAAATAAAAATAAATCAATAAAAATACAAACTAATAAAAAATACAGTATACAATCTAAAATAAAAGAAAATGTAATTCCCAATGGCCCTATAGTCAATATTACCTTTTTTTTTGAATGCTAATAAATGAAATAACCTTATTTTTTTTGTGATTTTTTGACAACTATATTTGTATTAATTATTAACGTAGTTTATTTCTTGGTTATTTTGTTTTACATCTGTTTACTACTATTTCTCCCCAGCAATAGACAGTCCTCAGCCCAGTATCTGCTAATATGTTTCGTGTTTTTCACTTAAAAAATAAAAATCTTAAGAAGTAATAATAATAACAACAATAATAAAAGGTTCCAGTAATTAAAAAAACAAATAAAAAGGTTTCCCTTAGCAAAGAGTAGTTGGAAAGACATAACTGAGGATTTGCTTGTAAACAATAAAGGTTAGTAAGAATCATTTTAATGAATTGTCATCTCAATTAATTCAAGTTCAAAAAATATATTATTGATACCTTATCGTAAGATTGTTTTAATTTCTGTAATATATATTCAATTTTAATATACCAGAGCTAAAATAAATCTGAAGCAGAGGAAATCTATTAGATCATCTTATTAATTATTATCAATAAATTTTTCACTGCAATCCAAAGTTTTTGCCTTGATTGTTTAAAAGAATCAAGTCCAATTTATGAGCAGTCATAAAACAGATTCTCTCTCCTTCCTTTTCTTAAATTCTGAGACACTTGGATTAGTAAGTTTCCAGGAGGAGACTAAGATAAAATGTAGAGCAAAGTTAATACAATGGCCAGCTCAAGCCAAGTTCAAGCCCAAGTTAACAGAATGTGTAGAAACTTTGACGAAGCTGAGAGTGACAGTCTTCAGAGAGAGAAATTTTATGGATGCACACAGAGAAGAGACCACAGAAATCCTAGAAGAAAGGAAATATACAGACAGTGGCTTCTTTAGAAACTGGCACTTCCCTAATTCTTTATTCTGGATTCTGAAAATTAACTGTTTTATTTCCGTTCATGATTCTTGCCATTTTTATGTGAGCTAGACTGATCAAATTATATTACTTATGACCAAAAGAACTTTGACTAGAACATGTAAGGGACAGATTCAGATGGCAAATACTTATTTTTTTTTTTCTTTTTTGGGAGGACAAGGTCTTGGTCTGTCATTCAGGCTGGAATATAGTGGCACCATCATAGCTCATTGTAGCTTCAAACCCCTAGGCTCAAGAGAGCCTCTCACCTTGGCCTCCCCAAGTGTTGAGTTTAGAGGAGTGAGCTACTGTGCCTGGACTGATTACCATTTTAATTTGGAAAAAAGCACTAGACTTTCAAAGAGAAGTTTATGAAAGAAAGAAAAATACATCTAGTTAAAAAGTTCACCTATGTATACAATTTTGCGTCGGGTTTCTTGTTTAAAAGAGATGCCACTTTATGCTATTATCCTTTCTCCTAGTCTGGTACTAGACTTGACATTTTCTTCCAGGATTTGGGTTTTTCCATTGTTTGGCTAGAGTGAAAAAAAAATGCATTCATTGGAAAAGTGCTGCAATATCTCTGGGAATTCAAGGTCTAGGAAGTGTCAAAAGAGACAGAAACAAGCAAAAGATGTACTGGAAAACACAGGACGTATAGGACACTTTCTCTGTCTACCTCCAACTCATTGCTTTCCCTACTCCATATCCCCTCCCCCCACTCCATATCCCCACTCCCCACCTCAGGCCATGTCCCCTCCCCCCACTCCATATCCCCACTCCCCACCTCATGCTTTCTTTTACTTATCTCTACATAGCTGCATTATTCTTTTCTCTCATTTTCATCTACCTTTTCCTGCTTGTTGGCCTACAGGCAAAATATGGCCAAGAAAAGTTTTTGAATTTACCTATTCTTAGATTCACCTATCTGAAAAGAGAAAGATCTTTCTTCATTAATTCCCGGTAAGAAAGGATGCTGGGCAGAGAAAATAGAAGGGGTCCAATTCAAATACATGAAGACTTGTTTTTGTACGCTATGCCTGATTTACTTTATTCTACAAACTGTCATTGCAAATACTTCTCATTTATTTTGTGAAATATGTATGTTACTTGCTGTATCCTTTTTTTTTTTTTTTTTTTCTTGAGACGGAGTCTCGCTCTATCGCCCAGGCTGGAGTGCAGTCGCATGATCTCGGCTCACTGCAAACTCCACCTCCTGGGTTCACGCCATTCTCCTGCCTCAGCCTCCTGAGTAGCTGGGACCACAGGGGCCTGCCACCTTGCTCAGCTAATTTTTTTGTATTTTTATTAGAGACGGGGTTTCACTGTGTTTGCCAGGATGGTCTCGATCTCCTGACCCCGTGATCCAACCACCTCGGCCTCCCAAAGTGTCGGGATTACAGGCGTGAGCCACCGCGCCCGGCCTACTTGCTGTATTCTAAATGTCCTATGAGTGCAACCTGTCAAAGAGTTTTTGCATATTGCAGAAATGAGTTTTTGAAGGTAAATATTCTGTTTCATTAACCTTGTTATCTCTTGGACCTAAGGAAACAATTGTAGTCACAAATAAACCACCTAATACATTTAAAAAATGAATAACTTAATGAAAAAGTGAGTAATAATTTGATTCAAACTGGCTAATTGTGCTTCCTATCTTGCTTTTGGTAGTGATTCTCTCCTTTTGAAAACGGGAGGCCCTCTCTGGGAACCCTACCTCATGTTACATATGGAAAAATTCTTTGCTTGCCTTGATTTCACATATGGCTGCCGATGTCTGCCTACTGTTGCTGTGCTCTTAGGACACCCTGCTTGTGCTTCTTGTTCTGGCTTTTTACTTGGTTCCTAACTTCAGAGTTCTATAAGTTGTTCCTTCCTTTCCAATTCTATGTATAGTGTTAAAATTTATAACTAGTATTGAATAAGAGAATCAATCAACCAATCAATAAAAGAGGTTATTGTTTTTTATTTTTTTATTTTTTTAGTATTTATGTATTTAGGAGGTACAGGTAGAGCTTTTTTTTTTATTTTCAGTTAAAATTCATTTCCCGTTTTTCAAAGTCCAAGTTACCATTACATGGCTTGGTACTCAATAAAGGAAAACTTGTTCAAATAAGGTAATATGTTATCATCAGTATTTCCACGTGACTACAATCAAGTAGCAATTCCAACAAATCCTTGGGAAGCACATCCGTGGGGTTTACACTTTCTCAAGGCCATGTTCCTCTAGAGTGGATATGCCCAATACATTTAAGATTTGTCTAAGTTTCAGATGACATGGGGGTAGATTTCTTTATCAGGTCCTGCTTTGTCTTTAACAATCTCTAGGATGAGAACTGCACTAGGAAAATCATTTAACCATCTACAAGCAGCATCAATAATTTTGGGCTCTGGAACCAGATAGTAGATAATAAATGTGTTCATTTCTTTATGCAATTCCCAGGCCTCTATATCTGGCTTGTTGCAGTATGTCACGGAGCGAGCATCGAACTTCTCATTTATTTCGTGAAACCCATGGGAATTGCAGTGAACTGAAGTGGGCCAGGGACTAGAGTGGGGTGCAGGAGGCCTGGAGGGCCTACCTGGGTGGCTGATTCTATGGTACAGTAGGGGAGAGCTGAGGCCAGAGAGAAGCCTGGTGTGTGCTCGTGCCACGTGCCTGTTTCTTATATGCATATAATCAGTACGCATCACCCAAATAGTGAATATTTTACCCGAGGATGATTTTTCAACTCTCAACTCCTCCTACCTTCTGTAGTCTCTGTATTCCACTCTGCATGTCCATGTGTACCCATTTTTTAGTTCCTACTTTTAAGTGAGAACATGTAGTACTTGACTTTCTGTTCCAAATTATTTCTTTTTAAGATAATGACCTTCAGTTCCATTAGTGTTGTCTCAAAATACATGATGCCTTTAAAAACAAGCTATAATATCCCTAAATGTGGCTTTGTATAATTCGATTGAGCTTTTCAGATTTTTAAATACTTTGGGATATGGGACAATAGTTCAACGGTCTTTCCTATGCATTTCAATCTCATGACACTCAATTATTTTAAGGGAAATGAGCGCACACACACAGACACACATAATTTTTTTTTCTATAGGATTTGATATATAGTGCTTGGAATTTAATAGACTACACATTTTTCTTGTGGAAAAAATGTAGTGAATTTTTTTTTTTTTTTTGCTAGCAGATCCCAACACTTCCTCTGTGTGACCACTCCTCCCCTCTGCTTCTAGACATGTGTTTATCTGAAGCTGTCTTCCAAGAAATATTTGTTTTAATCAATGGTGTTTTCCTCATATATTATCAAATGACTGGGCTTATTAAAATTACAAAATCTTGATAAACTGACAACACAGATAGTTTCTATGTATTGCTTCTTTACAGTGTTTAGAAAACATGGCTGGCATAGTCGTTCTAGTATAAACTCTGAGTTTACTAGCTAGAACTAACACAGTTGTACCAGAGGCTCTCATAGTCAGTAATTCAAATCCTCTTTCAGTCTTTAACACTCCTGCCCCAAAGCCCCCAAGGGAAGCTAAAACTCAGGGGAAAAAACAAAAATATAGGAACAACAATGATTCAAGGTCTCTTGCTCCAACAATGTCCAGGGCAACTGGTTATCAAATTCTGCTTGTTTCCTCTGGCAGAGAGAGAGGCACAAATGAAAAGCTCTTGTGAAAATGCAGGTAGCTTGTTGATCTTAGCCACTCTCCCTCCGCTGTTTCTTGTGCTGAGATCCTTGTAAATCTTACAACTGCTTTACTACCTAATTGAACCATGTCAGAAGTGGGCATAGACTCTTATTTCAAATTCTTCTGAGTTCTTAGCTACCTACCACCAGCCAAGCACCTTCAAATGTTCCTTTAAAATAAAATGTTTTTAAAAAGATATGTTCCTTAGACATAATGACAGTGTAAAATTAAAAGAAAGATTGTAGGGATCGAAATTGTTTTAGCAAAGGGAAAGAGCATGAGTTTGTCCTAGCCATTTGTAAACAATAGCCATAGAACTTTGATTTTGTTACTTATAGGTAACAGGACACGGTAAGGGGCATTACATGATCCCTAAAGCCAGGTTTGAAAACTTGGAAACTGTCCGAAATCTTCCTCCAACACACCTGTGAAACAGAGAATGGAAATATATTTTACTGACTTTTTTTCCCCCACAGTGGCCTCTATAGTGCTGAAAGTTCCATGTCTATGGAGATTATGATAATTATTAATTTTGTGTTACTTTACTGTTAAGATAATTTGTAGCTCTGATTAGTCACAAATGCTTAATATTTTACTATAAATGTGTTTTCATTGTTAAACACTACAAAATAAAAAGTATTAGCAATCAAATGGTCTTAAAATGATGTTTTAATAACTGATCAAAAGTGAATTCAAATTAATAGTATAACAGATTAGAGAGCTTCTTAGTTAATGCTTAATCTCTGCCCATGGGCAGAATTCCATGAAAATTAGAAACAGGCAAATAAAAACATGAAGGTATAAAGCTAATAGATGAAGGTCAGAGAGGAACATTCAAAATAAATTCATGAATTTGCTATAATTTTTATAGATAAACTAAATAGAAGATCATGTCAACTGTGAAATGACTAACTCATATTAGGATACATAGCCTGAAATTAAAAAAAGATTAAGGCAGTTGGTGATAAATATTATTGTGCCTTCCCCAATCATAATTTAACAAAGGGCTCTTTACAAAATTAGATGGGATCCTAATGGTCCCAATATAATAG
Source organism: Homo sapiens (assembly GCF_000001405.40). Lineage (NCBI taxonomy): Eukaryota > Metazoa > Chordata > Mammalia > Primates > Hominidae > Homo > Homo sapiens. The sequence continues at coordinate 84,669,477 of NC_000012.12, read as the reverse complement.
AACAAATAAAAATCTGCAATTTTTTTCTGTAAGAAGTCATCATACTTGGTTAAAATGTTACCTACCATTTATTGAGGTACTACACGCCATTTATTGACTTACTACACATCAGGTGTTGTTATAAATGTGAAATGTTTTATATATATATTATTGCTAGTGGTAAACTATACTGTGAGCTGAGAAGAAATCCAGAAGTTTGAGAAGGTGATGGAGTATGGCACCATTTGTTGTCAAATTTGATAAAAAGGGCCCCTTAAAATTCTCTGGTTTAGTTTTTTGTGCAAATCTTTGTGGCAAATAATACTTTTAGATACCTGTTGATAATTCGTCTTTCAGAGACTTGGGGCAACCATTGACTTTTTGGCAATACTTGAATAGCTTTGAAAGTTCTTCATTTGCTTTGGCATAAAGAAATACAGCCAATAACAAAGACATTATTGCTCAGCTTAGTATTTCAAATTAAACCCCTTTTAAAGCCATAGGAAAAGTAATAATCCTAAAAACAAAAATTGTAGAGTTGGGACTTTTTTGAAACAGAAATATATGCTGAGTGTCAAGAGACTAAAAATGTTAGAAAACCCAGGGAAATGAATTTAGTTAGCACCACAAATCAGATAGCGAAAAATTAAAAAAAGAAAAAAAACCTTGGCTAGAGAAAAATGTGATAATTTGTCCATCCTTTGATTTTATGGTTTGAATTTTAAACCAGAGCGATGAAAATGTTTTAAACATTCTTGCGGACTTGAACATGGGTTTGCTTTAAGCAAAATTACCCACAGATAGTACCTGGATTAGGAAAAGAACAATTCAGTTATTGATGGTTACCGCCAAGCATCACAGACACCATCATTGGTAATTATGAAGTGGTCGGGAAATCAGAGCATCTGAGAAAATGATAGTTTTGGTATTGTAGAACTCCAGCCTTTCAAAGGAGCATTATAGAGCTAGTTTGTGAGGAACGAAAGAAAAGAGAATCTGACAGGATTGCAAATTTAATCTTTTCAATCCCCATGAATTAGGTATTATTTTCTTCCTCCAATTGAAGGCATCGATACTTAAAGTGTGTAAGTGATTTTCCCAACATTCTACACTTAGTCTGTAGCAGAGCGAGGAATCAGCTACCCTAGGCTTTTCTGATTTCCCAGACTATGTTTTTGTCACCCTGAAATATGAGTTTTGCCACAGCTTAGTGGGTGAAACTTAATTCCACACATGGCAAACAGTAAATGCCACCCACATTGGTGTCCACAGAGGAAAAAAATATATTTTTTATTTTATTTTTATTTTTTTAAGACAGAGTCTCACTCTGTTGCCCAGGCTGGAGTGTGGTGGCACAACTTCAGCTCCCTGCAGCCTCGACCTCCCAGATGCAAAGGATCCTCCCACCTCTGCCTCTTTATTAGCTGGGACCTAAGACATGTGTCACCATGCCCTGCTATTTTTTTTTAATGTTTCATAGAGATGAAGCTCTCTATGTTTCCCAGGCTCACAATATTTTAATTTTAGATGCTGTACTCTAAGCATATGCCTGTTTTCACCTCCAATATGAACTGTATCTTTTTATTTTTATTTTTTTAAGCAAAAACATTTTGCCTATTTGAAGAGGAAATGGGGGATCCACTTTAGGTAATAACTGGGGTGTGAAGCAGAAGAGAGGTCTCACATTAGCTTATGATATCAGGGCTTACTGTAAATAAAAGACTTTGCTAAGTCTGCCCATCAGTAAACAATGCTGTCTTTTGACATGGGGAGGAATTATTTTTCTTTTTTTTCCCTTTGGTAGAAACAAGTTTTGGAGTTAGTACGTTTCAGGATTTTTCTCTTCATTCAGATGTGTCTCCCTAATATCTGTTTGAACATGCCTTTATTTAATAAAATATGTATTAAATATATATCATATTCTTGGCCTAATGTTAGGCATTGGTGGTAAAAAGCTTAATGAGACACTACTTTTTTCTTATTAAAAAATGATAGTTGTAAGCTGGGCGTGGTAGCTCATGCCTGTAATTCCAGCAATTTGGGAGGCTGAGGCAGGCGGATCACGTGAGGCCAGCCTGGCCAACATGGCGAAACCCCATCTTTACTAAAAATGCAAAAATTAGCCAGGCATGGTGGCGGGCACCTGTAATCCCAGCTACTCAGAAGGCTGAGGCAGGATAATTGCTTGAACCCAGGAGAAGAGGCTGCAGTGAGCTGAGATCCTGCCACTGCACTCCAGCCTGGGTGACAGAGTGACACCGTCTCAAAACAACAGAAAAGACAGTTGCATGTGGAGACAGACATACTCATAATTTTTCTAGGATATGCTATTTAACTTATTTGTTTCATACTGCAACTATTTATTGCTAATATAATTGATATTAGACACTGGTAGTAGATTTGGTTCCTGTCCTCATAATTTTTACATTTTATGAAGAATAAAGACAAGCAGCAAATACACTATGTATGATAAAATCTCAGACTGAGAAAATGAAAACCCTGTGGAACATTTGAAGGGAATATATAACACATACTGAGGGTCTTTTCCTACACCGAGAGCCAAAGTGTAGGTAGAAATTCCACTGAAAGTACTTGTAGAGTTACAGGCATCAGGAACATTAAGGACCTATGCAAAAGCATGGTTTATTTAAGGACTAAAAAGAGACTAGCCGGATTAAAAAAATTGAACCTTCATCTACCAATTTCAAAATCTTGACTAACTAGAAACTATGGGAAAATATTTTTCATATTGCTATAAATTTTATATTAATGTTATAATTTATATAATATAATATAAATTACATAATTGTTATAATTTATATTAATGTTATAAATGTTTTATATTAATGTTATTAACTTTTCTTTTTTTTTTTTTTGAGATGGAGTCTCGCCCTGTCGCCCAGGCTGGAGTGCAGTGGCGCGATCTCGGCTCACTGCAAGCTCAGTCTCCCGGATTCACGCCATTCTCCTGCCTCAGCCTCCGGAGTAGCTGGGACTACAGGCGCCCGCTACCATGCCCAGCTAATTTTTTTGTGTTTTTTAGTAGAGACGGGGTTTCACCATGTTAGCCAGGATGGTCTCGATCTCCTGATCTCGTGATCCGCCAGCCTCAGCCTCCCAAGTGCTGTGATTACAGGCGTGAGCCACCGCGCCCGGCCTATTAATGTTATTAACTTACATTATTTGTCTTTGCTATGTAAATTTGAGCCATAATAGCTGATTTTAAAAGAAATCAGACGTTGTATTACTTTCTCTTCTAAAACTTATATGACAATAATGGCTTCAGCAATGATGACATGTTCTTAGTAGTTTCTGCTCTGGTTTTATAGCAACAATTTGCTTTCTAACTGCTTGTCAGCACAGAGCCCAAGGTATAATGTATTCTTTACTTAATTTTGCATCATATAATTGAATTCATTTTTGAAGGCAAATTAATAAAATATATAATACCTGCCTTATAAAAAGAATAATGCTCATGTTTTCAATTTAGAAAGTGAAAAGTTGTTGAAAAAATTCCATAATTTCTTGACATTATTATTGGCTCACTGTCAAATTTCTTTCTTGCTATTGTATTCTCAACATTTTCAAAGTTAATTTGTGTCACTATTTGCATTAGCCCACAGTCTGGTAAGGTTTTTCTTTTCCTGAAGTTCAAAGAGCTCATGTGTCAATTTTCATTCCTACTGTCATCAGGGAAGCAATATTAGATATCAGTGAATATGCTTTGCTGAACTTCTATCGATCTTAAACTGCAGAAAATAAACACAGTCACCCTTAAACTCATGCTGTCAATCACAAAATCAGAAAGCAGGATACAAGTAACATATGCTTGTAGCAATGTAGAATCTACATGTGGCTGACCTGCTGAATGATTCATAAATATATATCTTTACCCTCAGAAAAGAAGGAGAATTGGAATGAATAAGAAGAGGACAAAGTGAATCCTAAATATTCAGGAAATCAGAAAAGGAAAAATAAATTTTTCATTAAGAGAGACAGAGTGAATAAAGCATAAGCAATTTGTTATAAATGGCTTTGAAATAAACTAGGTAAATTTTATATTAACATGAAATGTAAGTGCTGCTTCAAAATATTCTATATTTACACATATGTATATATATTTATATGTATATATATGATGTGTATATATGTATATGTATACGAAATATGTGTCTTCATTTCTAAAGGCAGAAATGAACACAATCTAAGAATCAAGACCTTCTCTACAAATGCCTGTTTTAGGAATTTGATTTCAGTTTTGGCCTATTTATTCTTTGGAAATAAACTTTTATTTTAATATTAGTTGCCTATATGCTATATCTTTCTTGTTTTAAAATGAATAGTATGTGTTTCAATTATTTGGTTTGGTTATCTTTGATTCAGGTACTAACTTATTGAATGATTATTAGAGATTTAGGACAAATTCTTACAGCAACACTTAAATGTGATCATTAGGAAGTCAGAGTTAAAAAAATAACTTCAAACACTGTAGATACTGTTCTGATTCATGTTGGGTTAGAGTGTTCCTATAAATAGCCAACCCAACTTTAATTTAACTTTAGGTGCTTTGATTAAAATCAAAAACTTTCTTCCATGGTTGAATTTGTTGTAGTAGTGTCATGTGTGCATCTTGGGTGTTTTTGTTGAGTCTCTGTGAATTTATGATATCTGGAGTGATCAAAACAGACAATCACTTTTGCAATAGTAAGGCACAGAGATTAATATTTTCTTTTTCCTTTATTAATATACTAAGTACATTATCCTTAGGGAAAGAGATTATTTTTGTGTATGGTTTGGTAATGTGTTATATGTGGATTCTGAAAGGGTACTCTGTTAATAAGATGAATATCCTGTAGGACAATTCATGAGTTTTTTCAGAAGACAAACTAACAATGGTATTGGTGGTTGGAGCCAGAAATAGTATATCAAAGTGGCTAGGAGGGCTGGCTGTGAAGCCAGTTTCTTTTGTTCAAATTCTTATCCTACCACTTAATAGGTATGTGACCTAGGGAAAGATACTTAATGTCACCATTCCTTCCTACCTCAGCTTTAAAATGCTTGTAAAATAATAAATCCTACCTTAGGGAGTTGTTCTGAGGATTAAATGAATTAATACATGTAAAATATTTAAATAACACTCAGAATATATATTCAATAAATACAATTTATTAATATTATTGAATATAATAATAGCTCATGGGAAGCTAACCCAAAATCAGAAGTCATTGTCTCACGGATGAGAAATCACAGAAGTCAGTAAATATAAAGAATGTTTCCAGATGGGTAGACACATAGAGCAATTAAAAGTTTATTTATTTTTATCAGTTGCTTTTTCTGAGCATGGTTTTGGTATAGATAGCAAAAGCTCATTATTTGAAAAGCATTTACGTCTGCATTTCTAAATGTATTAGGAGATAAAATAGCTGAAATAATTTACTACAAAGCCTCATATGTTAATAATTTTTTCTGTTTCAAATAATTTTCTATGCAGATTGGAAATATTCAAAATTCAATAATTAATACTGTCTCCAAGACAATGTTGATATTCAGCATTCAATTTTTTAACATACACTTGTTCAGCACCCTGTATAACTATATGCAATACTCAGGGATAAGCCTATGGCCCTCAAAAAATGTACTGAATGAAAATATAACAATGTGAAAAAAAATGGTCTCATGCATTGCCTTTTTGAGCTATTAGAAAAGGATGTCTGTCAGAACAAAGGATGCTTAGAAAAGATAGGTAAAAAGATTTGCTTTTTAAGGTTGAAGAATGTTTTGTTTTTACTCTTAGGCATCTAAAATAAAATATTCAGCCTTTATAATAAAAGGAATTCTTCTAGAAAAACAACCTTTACAGTAGTATGAAATTTATATAAGATTGCATGTTGTATTTTAAAATTCCACCAGTTATATTTTCATTTCTCAAATTAAATAGTACCTGAATCTTTTTGGAAATTTAAAACTAAAAGTGAATTATGTTTTCTTCATTCCTGATAGTGAAGAAAAATTCTGGATTTTCTTTAACACTTCATCATCGTCCATTCTGTTAGATTTGTTGTTCTGTTACATTTAATATTTCTTATTAGAATAATTTTTAGATGTTGCTCATATTGGTAACTCAGATCACCAGATTATTACAAATATAATTTAAGGATTATACAAGCATACCTCATTTAATATACTTTGTTCTATTGCAGTTCACAGATACGTTTTTTTTTTTTTTAACAAGTTGAAGGTTTGTGGCAACCCTACATTGAACAAGTCTATTGGTGCCATTTTTCCAACAGCATGTGCTCACTTCGTGTCTCTGTGTCACATTTTTGCTAAGTCCCATAGCATTTCAGACTTTCCTTATTATTATACCTGTAATGGTGATGTGATCAGTGATCTTTGATTTTACTATTGAGTTTATCCAGAGCTCTGCCCACATAAGGCAAACTTAATTGATAAATATTGTGTGTTATCTGATTGCTCCACCGATTGGCTGTTCCTTGGTCTCTCTTCCTACTTTTCCTTAAGACACAATATTGAAGTTAGGCCAATTAATAACCCTACGATGGCCTCTAAGTGTTTAGGTGAAAAGAAAAGCAACACTACTCTCACTAAATCAAATGCTACAAGTGATTAAACTTACTGTGGAAAACATGTTGAAAGTTGAGATATACCAAACCTAGGTCTCTTAAGCCAACAATTAGCCAAGTTGTGGATACAAAGGAAAAGTTCTTGAAAAAAATTGAAAGAACTTAACCGGTGAACACATGAATAAGAAAGTGAGACAGCCTTATTATTAATACAAAGAAAGTTTTAGTGGTCTCAATAGAATATCAGAGCAGCCACAGCATTCCCTTAAGTATGCCAAAGCCTAATCCAGAACTAGGTCCTACCTTTCTTCAACTCTATGAAGACTGAGAGGTAAGAAAGCTGCAGAAATAGAATTTGAAGCTAGAAAACTTAACATTTTAGAACTGAAGTCATCTTTATAATATAAGAGTGCAAGGAGAAGCAGCAAGTGCTGATATAGAAGCCGCAGCAAGATATCTAGAAGATCTAGCTAAGATTATTAATGAAAGTCGCTATACTAAACAAATAGATTTTTAATGTAGACAGAACAGCTTTCTATTGAAAGAAGATGCTAACTAGAATTTTCATAATGACAGAGGAAAAGCCGAAATCTACCTTCAAAGGACAAGCTGACCCTCTTGTTGGGGCTAATGGAGCTAGTGACTTTAAGTTGAAGCCAATGCTCATTTACCATCCTCAAAATCTTAGGGCCCTTAAGATTTATGCTGAATCTGCTCTACCAGTGCTCTACAAATGGAATTGAAAAGCCTGGATGATAGCACATCTGCTTACAGCATGGTTTACTGAGTATTTTAAGCTCACTGTTGAAAACTACTGCTTTGAAAAAAAAGATTCCTTTCAAAATACTACTGCTCATTGACAATGCAATTAGTCACCCAAGAACTCTGATAAAGATGTACAAAGAGATTAATGTTTTCATGTCTGCTAACACAACATCCATTTTGCAGCCCATGGATCAAGTAGGAAGTTCAATTTTCAAGCCTCAGTATTTAAGAAATACATTTCATAAGGCTGGCTGTAGCTGCCACAGATAGTGATTCATCTCATGAATCTGGGGAAAGTAAATTGAAACCTGGAAGGGAGTCACCATTTTAGATACCATTAAAAACACTTGTGATTCATGGGAAAAAATAAAAATAGCAATATTAGCAGAAGTTTGAAAGAAGCTGAATCCAACGCTCAAGGATGACTTTGAGGGATTCATGTCTTCAGTAGAGGAAGCAACTGCAGATATATTAAAAGAGCAAGATAATTAGAAGTGGATCTTGATGATGTGACTGAATTGCTGCAATCTTATGAAAAAATTTGAATGAGTGAGGAGTTGCTTTTTATGGATGAGCCAAGAAAGTGGTTCCTTGAGGTGAAATCTACACCAGGTGAAGATGCTGTGAACACTGTTGGAATGACAACAAAGGATTTGGAATGCTACATAAATTTAACCGACAGAACAACAGCAAGATTTGAGAGGTTTGACTCCAATTTTGAAGGCAGTTCTAGTGTGGCTAGAATGCTGCCAAACAGCATTTCATGCTACAGAGAAGTCTTCTGGGAAAGGAAGAGTCAATTGATGTGACAAGCTTCATTGTTGTCTTATGTTTAGAAATTGCCACAGCTACCCCAAACTTCAGCAACCACCACTTTGATCAGTCAGCAACATCAGTATGAAGATGTTGCCCTCTTCTACCGGCAAAATAATTATGACACACTGAAGGTCCTGATGATCATTAGCATTTTTTGACATACAGTATTTTTAATTAAGAGGTATATTCAATTGGTGCAAAAGTGATCGTGGTTTTCACCATTGAAAGTAATTGCAAAAACCACAATTACCTTTGAACGAAACTAATACATTGCTTCTGTGGATATAATGTTATTGCACACGTAATAGATTAAAATGTAGTGTAAATATAACCTTTATGTTCACTGGGAAACAAAAAAAAAAATTGTGTCACTTGCTTTTTTGCAGTGGTATGGAATCAAACCTGCAATATCTTCAAGTTTTGCCAGTAAATACTTATGCATCTTGCTTATTTTGCTTTTAATTCATTATTTTAAACAGTGTCTGTGTATTTAAAAGTAAAATCAAGATATTATATGTCTTCCTGTTATTTTTTTCCAGATCTGTCTTTTCAACTCTAATACATTTCTTGTGCTATATCAATCATAACTCTTTTGGACTCTATAAAGGTTGACGTAATTACTTTTCATGCTTCTGAATCACATGAGCACGTTACTATGATTAAATTTCCTCCTCTGCTCTAAGTTAAATTAAATTATAATACTAATACCAGAAAAGTCCCCAACAGCTCCTTCTCCATACTTTAATAAAGCAATCGTTAATATAGAAGCATTTTTTATTACAAAGAGAATTTAAGAACACTGTTTTGCTAGAGCTGACAGATGACATCTACTATTCTTTAGTGCTTCCCGTTCTGTAACAGCAAAACTGTGAGAAATATCTTATTAACAATTGATGTGGGTAAAATTGTTTAGTGACTCCTAACAGCAGCATTTGACTTTTTCTTCTGCAGCTGGCTGCCTCTTGCTTTCTCTTTCAATGAAAATGAATGTAGAGTGAATGTAAACACATTTCTGCTCTACTCTCACTTTCATAGCTACATTGCTCTTGTCAAACAGTTGATTTACACCAGGGCATACAGAAATTCTAAATTATGCTGAGGTGTATTTCATGCCTCAAATAGCTCCAATTGGAGCTATACCCAAAACTTAAACCAACAGACAGACCTTCATGGTTACCTTATATAGAAAGATGCTTATGAAGGAATCTAATAAATGTAGTTCAAAGTTGGTGGGCAACTATTTAAGCTATTAAGTCATCAGATCTTAGCATAAATGATATTATGATTAGGTACATTTAAAAATTCAACCGAGTGGAAGTTTGACATGAAACATAGATCATAAGCATACACAGGAATTAATGTAAACATATAACAATGGAAAAAGATAGTCACATTTTACTACATGGAAAGAATTTCAATATGATTTACCCATGATTTGTTGCAATTAAATAGAATTTAGCCTTCCATTTTGTTTTAAAATGGACTCCGGCAATGAGACCTTAAAATAAAATGTACATGATATTATGGCCTTCTATGTTGAAAGTAAAGTGTAATAGAAAAAAATAAATTTTACAAGAATTAAAATATATGTGTTATGTTGAGGTTTTTTGGAATGTTTTCTGCTAAATGCATGCTTTAGAGGGTATAAAATAAAAAAGTTACTGTGTTTGTTGTAATTTTTCGAGTTACTGAGCTATTAAGAGACCTTTTTAAAAAGAAGTTTATAGGAATTGAATCATAAAACAAAAATTATATTAAAATAGATAATATGGAACTAAAAGAAAAAATAAAACAGAAGACTAGAACATAAATGTAGACATAAAAGCTATGATCAATGTCAATGTTTTAAAATATTAAGCGAAAAGGCACAATTAACGATGCTAAAGAAAATATAATGAGTTAGAAGAGTTAGAATATATTTTCTACTTTTTCTCTGTTTCTTTTGCTGAAGGAGACTTGATAAAGTATTTTATTTTAATGTTTTCAACACTCAAAAGTTTTTTTCCTCTTACCAGTTATGCACAGTATCATATCATTTTTTTCTTTTCGCTAAAAATTCTTTTTATACCTTAAGAATTGAAATGAAAACATGTGGAAGAAGAGCAATGCTTCAAACCTCATTTAAGTACAACTCTTTGTGCTCATGAAATGTTTCTAGGGGAGGAGAGAAGGCTGTTAAAGAAGACAGATATCATACAGGAATGTCAATCACATTTAATAGGCAGTGGTGGAAAGTAATCTCCTTCTCCCCATCAGTCTCTAGCAGACTAGTAGACAGAACTCATTACTGTGCAAATGAACCTGCCAGACGCTTCAGCCATTTGCCTCGCTAGAGGTCACAAAGAGTTGACACCAGTTAAACCTGGTAGATGTGTTGAGGAAAAAAACAAGGAGACAGAGCAGCTCCATAGGTTGAAATAAACAGCATCATATTGACAATAACCTTAAGGGAGTTTAAAAAGTCCTTGAGGAATTTTGAAAAAAAGAAAGTTTTTATCATTGGTTCATGTGTTTAAAATTAGTTATTCCCATCATTTAATATATATGAAAATGTCATTTAAGTTATCCAATGTGATGGGAACATAATTTCAGCTCACCATCCTTTAGCATAAATTTCAAAAAGGTTAATCTCACTTTCAGCAGGTTATATCTTACCTGGTCAATTTAATGACTTCAAAACACTCAGAAAGCACCATCTTATTATTATTTTTAGCTTCATTGATTATTAGTTACTTTCTTTGCAGAGCTCTGCTAAGTATCATCTTACCTTTTTAATTCTCAAAACTGCTCAATAAGATAGGTATCATAATTTTTACACGTAAGGAAACTGGGGCTACAAGAAGTTGGAATTTGCATAAAATCATCAGCTTGAAAGCAGAAAACTTATGATATGGACTCAAGTGTGTCCGACCCCAAGTCCAATCTACTAGAATCCCATTATTGTTCTCTTATAATTCCTAACTTTATAATATTTTTCTTCAATAGTTTTCCACTCGTATTAGATTTACTTTTTATAATGATTATATAGATAGATTTTCTTTTTATCCTTATCAGAAGATCATAATAAAAAGAAAAATAATAACTAACTAACTCCTAAAGCTTAGGACTTCATTTGCTTGCTCAGAGCTAGAAGGTTAATGAGAACTAGAGATTTGAATCTCTATTAATGTCTGATTTCTTATTCCATAAATTGAGTCACTCCTGTAGCTGGCCTTTCAGAAATGCTCTAGATAGAGCATCTGTAGCAGAAACAACACTTGAGATTGGATTAAATAAAAAGCCTATATAATAGTTTTGCAGGTTTCGTTAGTATTATAAAATATCTCTAATAACAAATGATCTAGAATAAAACTCATTTAATTGTTACATGCCATCATGTCATGAGAAAAGCAAAGCTATGGAGAATAAAAGTATTATGGAGAATAATCAGAAGTTCTTTTTTGTTTCATTGATTTTCCCACTTTTCCTATAATCAAAGATTTTATGACAAAAATAGCTTGCCATTATTTTATGCATCAAAACTATACTGAAATGTGTTTTTTAAAATTACTTCATTTGCTTATTCATTTCAAATATGTAGTTTAGTTTTTAAAAATAATTAGGAAATGTTAAAAAAATTACTATTATTACTAAGAAGGGATTTGTTCATATTGACTAGCTTGTGAAACTTTTTTTAGCCAAAGAATTACAGATTGTGCCTTAAAATATTATGTATTTATCTATTCCTTATTTCTATTCCTTTGTGTTCTTTGTCCACTCTTGTTTACACTTTTTCTTAGGTAGCAAGGCTATTATTTTTATTTCTCCAATATAATTTGTGCTGGCTCTCAATTTAATCTAACTTCCATGCAGGCCTTTCCCCAAAATCTCAGCCTCTTTGGTAAAATGGTAAATTAAGTTCGTAGTACTTCAGTGTTCCTGGCTTTATTCTCTCTTGTTAGCATGTTTACAGATTAGAGATACTGAAGTAAAGCCAATAATGGCTTCAATTTCTTGCTCTAATAAAATATTGTATTTTGAAAATGATGCTTTTAATTATTTCATTTTAAAGAAAATTATTTATACAAGACAATGAATTTAAACCTTCTTAATTATATCCATTATACAATCATTATCTATAATTGTTTGATAGTGACAAATATTTTGTATTCAATACTACCTTAATTGTACAATCCAGACAAATAACTGAGTGTTGAAACTATTGTTTTTAATAAAAGAGAAAAAATCATAAAGTTAACTCACAATCTCTAATATATTTTCCTTGTGGACTTTCCAGTCCACAAGGAATATCTAGCCATGATTCCAAAGTTAACCTTTCAAGAGATGAAAGAGCTGGAAATAAACAAATAAATGTGAGAGGAACACCGGAAAGATGTTATCTTCGGAAGACAGGGGAAGAAAGAGAATGAGGCAGAGACAGAGGGAAAGATCAGAGATACATTAATCATAACAAATATTCTAGCCCAGAAGGGAACACTGGAAATTAAGAACTAGTGATGGGTAAGCCTTTTAAGGTTGAGAGATGAGGTTCAGATAAGAAACTCAGCCTTCTTGTGATTATCGTAACCTTTCTCATGAAAGGTTGAAATCAGATTGGAAATACAAGAACAAGCTTTCTTGTAATATATTGCTCCTTCCAGAGTCAGTCCAGCTGGAAATGCATAGAAGCATGAAAATGAAAAAGAAAACAAACAGAAATAAGCTAACCAAATTTTTGAACCATAGAAAAGTTTCATTTGGGTTTGGGTAGGCATAGGTCACTTCTTTTTCATCTGAATTGATTGTTCCCTTGTTTCTTGTAAGAACTCTTTGTTGTTTTTCGTAAATGAGCCTTCATGGAAATAATTCATCATGTCTTCACAAAGAGCTGAGATTATTATTTTTTCCTGAAGAAAGAGTTTAAAACATCACGACAAAAATGTTGAAGAAAAGGACATAGTTTCAGATGAGGATGTAATGGTTGATATTGAAGGTAATTAATGAGAACATTCTCACAAATGGTGTGGATGGCAAAATGAATGAATTATGCTATATTATAATAGACTCAGGAAACCTTTGAAGACCAGAAGTCTGACAGAATGATATAAAGGGATCAACATACAAATTGCAGTATTAGTGCTCTGATTCTATTTTTCTAAAGAGAAACAATATAATTACAGAGCCAATTATCTCAATCTGTAATAATGCACTGAAGAAGTGTCTACATGTTCATATTAAAATTTATTTTAAGGTTCAGGGAACAAAACTACAGGCTAGGGAAGCAAAACTGCTGAGAAATTTAATTTGATACGAAGAACAAGAGTTTTAGGCTGTGCTAGTGGGAAGAACTTTATATATAGCAAGAATCTCAATTTAAAAAATGACAAAAAACGAAAAACAAACTTTTTTAAAAATCCAAATCTTACACAATACAACACACACACACACACACACACACACATACACACACACACATTTTGTCCTTATAAAGTAAAAACCACTTCAACAATGGAAAAGATTCCCTGATTTATGGAGCTAAAAAGCCTAGAGATAATTCTGGTGGCAGGCATGGCCAATCAGGACTCTAGCTCAATTTTTCTGTGACTCTCTCAGCAATGCTCTCTTTCTTATCTGGTTTAGGTCTCAGGGTTTTTCTACTTAGTGTACCAAATGGCTGCCACTAGCAACCAGGTCTACAAGTGCTCTAATTCACATTAAAGGTAGAGAACATGAACTCTGACCACAATCAAATAAATCCATGAGTTTGGTCTTATTTATTGAGGCTGCTCCTCATGCCACAACTAATCTTCAGCAATGTGACAGGATTATGTTAATTAGGTGATGTCACTGAAGTCCTATCATTGGAACTTGGTATGGGCTGAAAACCATAAAAATATATGATAAGATTGGAGGAAGGCTGGTTACCAAAAGGAAAAGCTGGAAGTTGTTAGAAAAAGTGGGATAGCTGGTGATATGGTTTGGCTCTGTGTCCCCACTCAAATCTCACCTGGAATTGTAGTAATCCCCATGTGTCAAGGGTGGGACCAGGTGGTGGTAACTGAATCATGAAGGTGGTTTCCCCCTTACTGTTCTCCTGATAATGAATGAGTCTCAGGAGACCTGATGGTTTTATAAGTGTCTGGCGTTTTCCTTTCTGGCACTCATTTTCTCTACTGCCACACTGTGAAAAGGTGCCTTCAGGCATGATTGTAAATTTCCTGAGGCCTCCCTAGCCATGTGGAAATGTGAGTCAAACCTCTTCTTTCCTTCCTTCCTCTTTCTTTCTTTTCTTTTTTTTCTTTTCTTTTCTTTTTTTTTTCCTTTTGAGACAGATTTTTGCTCTTGTCACCAAGGCTGGAGTACAATGGTGAGATCTTGGCTCACTGCAACCTCTGCCTCCCAGGTTCAAACAATTCTCCAGCCTCAGCCTTCTAAGTAGCTGGGATTACAGGCATGTGCCACCACACCTGGCTAATTTTTTTGTATTAGAGACGGGGTTTCACCATGTCGGTCAGACTGGTCTCGAACTCCTGACCTCAGGTGATCCACCAGCCTCAACCTCCCCAAAGTGCTGGGATTTAGAGGTGTGAGCCACTACGCACATCCTGCATAAACCTCTTTTCTTTATAAATTACCCATTCTTGGGTGTTTCTTCATAGCAGTGTGAGAATGGGCTAGTACATCTGGTTAATATAAAAGCAATGACTACTCAATATTATAATAAATATCATGGGTATAGACAGTAACTCCAGATACAAGAAAGACTAGAAAATAGGACTCTACATGATAAAATTATTTTGTTTCCATATATAATTGTTATTCACTGGATTATTATAAACTCAAACTTAATGCCTTATACAAGGCATTAAGTTACTTTGTCTTCACTCTTACCTTTTTAGTCCTTATTGCCCAAAACAAGTTCCATGCAACTTCCTCAAGCAAAGGACATTCAAAAATAATAGTATACAATTAATGAGATATTTTTATTTCAAAAATTAAAGTTTATGCCTGTATTTAAAATATTCAGATGAATCCTTTTTCTTGTATCTACTGAGTATAAAGGTTATTTGATGTTATGCCATACATGTTGAAAATCCAATGGCTAAATTTTCCCAAATAATAATCAAATTTCATGTAGATTTGGACTCCTATTTCAATAAAGTTGTATTTTTGTTGTTTTCTATATGTCTATAGCTGTTTTTCTTGTTTATCCCTTTTACTTTTATTCATTCCTATGTTTATTTACAGCCACATATCTTGTATTAAACATTCACTTTTCTGTCATTGAGGTACAATGAACAAACTAAATTCCGAGCCTTACTGAGTTTGTAGACTACAGAATATGGTATCTCTGATGATGATAATAATTATAGAAGAAAACTTTCAAAAAGAAAAGGAAATAAATAAGGTAAGGAGAGCTGGTTTCAATGTTAAATAGTGCCATCAGTAGAGAGCTTAAAGGAAAGAAATAACAAATGATTATATTGAAAATATCTATATGGTGAAAGAATTCCAGGCATAGTGTAAAAGCAGGTATAATGTCTGAGACCGAACATGTCTGTCCTTTTTCAGGAGCAACAAAGAAACAGTGTTTTGGGGGCAGAGTGGTATTAAGTTAGGGAGAGTTACTGAGAAATTAGGTCAGAAAGAAAATAGGCAGATTCCCTCTCTCTCTGTTTCACTCTCTTTCTCTTTCTGAGTCATAAATATGAAAGTATTGTCTACTTGAATCTTTCTGTGAATCATTGTCTTCATTAATTCTTTAGTTTTTCTCTTAGACTTGTATTTGTATTAATTTTTTATTTGTGGCGGCTTTGTTGTCCTCTTTGAAGATCTTTCAAATAATAATCTCATTTAGTTTCCATTTTCTCATTTGATGACAACGAGCATAAGGGTTATCTGTTCCTTTGAGGATCACTTTAGCTCTACCTCCAAGCTTTTGATGCACTATATTCTTAATGTTATGTATTTATGGTAGGTTGTCATTTTAATTTTTTTTTATTCCACAAGAATTTCATTTTATTATAGGGCTTATAAATTTACTGATCTTTAAATATTTTAGATATTTTATTATGTCTTTTTTTTTAATTGTAGTCAGGCAAAATGACCTGCAATATTTCTGAATTTTTGTTTTTTTGTCAATATCGCCTTTATGGTCATTTTTGGGGAGTTTCAAGCATGGGTTTGAGAACAATGTATATCCTTTCTTTTGGAGGTTTACAGTTTAATTATTTTTGTTGTACATAGAATAATAGTCTCTAAATGATGTCCATGCCCTAATTTCCAGAACCTGTGAATATGTTACTTTACATGATAAAAGGGATTATGCAGAAATGATTAAGGTTAAGGACCATGAAATGGTCCCAGTTTTGTTCAGTGAGAGAAATGTGACAAATGAGAAGAGTTTGAGAGAGATCCTATTTTGTTAGCCTTTAAGATTGACAAAAGGACCGATGAGCCTAGGATTGTGAGTTTCCTCTAGCAGGTGGAAAAGGCAAGAAAAAAAGAATCATCTTTAGAGCCTACAGAAAGGAAGGGAGCCTCACTGACATCTTGATTTTAGCTTGGTGAGACATGTGTCAAACTCCTGACCAATAAAACTGTTTGAAATAATAAATTTATATTGATTCAGCCACTAGGTTTGTGATAACTTATTAGAGTAGCAATAGAAAATGGATAGAATATCTTTTAAATCAAGCTTGTTGATTCAGTTATTTACCTCTTCTATATTATTATTGTTTTCACCCCAATCTGTCAATTTCTAAAGCTGAGTCAATGAATCGTTTATCACATTTTTCCTTCTATTTCTAAAATTTTCCAATTTATGTATATATATTTCAAAGATATATTGTTTGTTGAGTAACAGTTTGAGGATGATATATATTTTTAATATCTTCCATAAAAAGAGATAAATAAGAATCTTATTGCAGCAGTTCTGGAAATACTAAGAAAGATATTTATTAAAGCAGAGATGTTTAGAATACAAATAGGACATTGATGTTGAAATATTTTAAAATGGTAAAGCTTGATAATACAGTGAATAAGCAGGACAAGGAGTAAATATTTAAGGCTGAATTCCAGGTTTTTACTTTGAGTGACTAGGAAGATGCTAATTCACTCAACTAAGATGTAGATGCTATAGCAGTTTTGATAATACAAAAAAATATAATATTGCAATGCACGTTTCACTTTTGTAGCTAGAAAGCACCTGAACAGTCAGATTGTTTGAAGATAAACCAAGTAAGGTGTAAGTCTCCTGTGGCTGGCCTTTGCAAGGTTAAAGGGCCTGAACTAGTCTTGGAACTTCCAGAAAGGAGGGATCAAAGTCCTAGTAGTGACATCATAACCTCAGTGGTAATAGCAGCGGCGATGTTCTCATTGGATAGCTCCTATGATGTGCTTCTGGTATTATTTCCTGCTGCCTAGTCAAAATAGGTTCTGAACGCTGCCCAAGTCTTTTCTTGAAGCTTCCTATTTATTCTCACATATCCAAAATCCTTTGAAAAAAATATTTTTTTTCTAAATTAAGCCAGTCAGTTACTGTTCTTCCATATAGCATACCTATGTGATATAACCTTCTTTTTAAAACTTTAGCAATGCCTTGTTAAGAAAAATGAAAATAATTTACAAATAACATATACTTTAGAATAACATACATAGAAATATGACCAAAGCCAGACATAGTAAGATCTAATTGCACATACATGTTTCTTGTTTTATTTCAATTTCTCTTGTATCTGAGCTGTTGTTCTGTTGTAAATTAATCATATTTGGAACTGCATTTTTAATAGAGGAAGTTATATTTCTAGGTTATATATCCATATTTGTGTACTTTAAAGTTGTTTGAAAACAGAAAAAGATGATTAATTTTGACTAATTTGCATTCTGAATGCACAGAAACATTTATAGTCATATTTTAAAATGAAAATAAATGCTTTATTATAAAATCACATAACTTATAAAAGTAAAATGAATACAGGTATTTTAGAAAAAATAGAAAACTATTAAGAAAATATGATAAACACTTAGCACACCAGAAAAATATACCTGAAAATATGTTTCTGCATTTTCTTCTATTTTTTCTATGCATATTTTTTGGTTTAATGTATTTATGATTATATAAAATCTTGTTAACTCTTCATGCCTAACAATTGTATAACACTTAATCTTTCCATAACTGTTACTCTATAGTAATTATTTACATTTTTGTCCTCAATTTTTTGTATACTATTATAAATGATGTTATAATTTTAGATTTTTCATTTATGATAGATTATCAAAAGAGAAAATCGTATGTAAAAGTATATAAGCCTTTGTAGCTTCGTGAAGTCTCTTAGTGGTGGGTCTTGTGATAGGACTGCAACATATGGCAGGAAGAAAATAAATAAAGATAGTCACTTATGTCTGCTCTTAAAAGTTGACTTGGAGATTTTTTTGTTGGAAACTCCAAGGTCACTTTAATATAGATCATAAGTAATTATCTCCTGCTCCCAAGGAGATTCTTAAATACAAAGAGTTTGATTATGGCTTAAGACTATCAGTATGTAATCAACAAAACTTCTTCAGGAAATTTGAACCAATATTCAAACCAACATAAGCAGAGGGAGCAGGGATTGAGAATTCATTTTATATATAAGAAAAAATGAAAAAGTTTGATTTCTCTGTATCCAAGTAACTAAATCCGTTTGTACATTTGATAAATTCATATATTTAAAAACAGAATATTGTCCCTTATTATTTACAGTATTGTATTAATATACAGTATCTAATCATAAATTAAGTATATTAAAAATTCATAGACAAGCTAAATTTAATTGAATTTTTCTTTTTATAGGTTAATTTTTCCAACTTTTTATTTTTAATTTTTATGGATACATAATACTTATACGTATTTATAGGGTACTTGTGGGTACATGTGGGTTACATTTCCATACAAGTGTATGATATGTAATGATCAAATTAGAATTACTACAATATTCATCCCCTTAAATGTTTATTTTTTGTGTAAGGAACATTCCAATTCCACTTTTCTAGTGGTTTTAAAATATACAAAAATTATTGTTAACTACAATCATCTTATTGTGTTATTGAACACTAGACGTTATTCCTTCTATCTAACTGTATTTTTGTACCCATTAACCAACCCTTCTTTAGCCCTCTTCCTACTACTCTTCCCATCCCCTGGTGACCATCATTCCACTCTCTATCTCGAAGGGATTGACCTTTTCAGCTACCATATATAAGTTAGAACATGTATTATTTGTCTTTCTGTGTCTGACTTATGTGGTAAAATACACGATGAAATATTATTGTCATTAGAAAAATGAAATCCTGTCATTTGTAACATAATGGGTGGAACTGGAGAACATTATGTTAAGTGAGATAATCCCTTCATTATTTGTGGTCAGTTCAAAGAGTCTTGATATAATTAATACCTGTGAGGTAACTATAAATTGCCAAAAAGCTCCATTAAAATGTAAAAAGTATTGATTAGTGATTAGCAGTGATTATCAATGAAAAACTTTAATAATTACTTTTATCGAGACTACAGAAAAGAAGACCGGAAAGCTTTAATAAATGTCATCAAACAAGATGTGATGCATGACAATTAATAAATCATTCCTTCTCTTTAAGCAAGAAAGTATATAGATTAGAGCACAGCTTCATTAGCTTTGACAAAATCGTTTCCTAATTTTGAAAATTAGAAAAGCACTTTACACTTATTGGACAGAAATATTTAAAAGTTAATTTGAAGATCTGGTCATCTGTAGGTTGCTTGTAAGACCCTTCTTTTAGAACAAACACTAATGTTCTATGAATATCCCAAACATCTTGCCACTGCCAGTTCCTTTCAGCCAAAAACTGCCAGGAACACACTTTTGGTTTAATGAGTTGAGTTTATCCTGGTTGCAGGGAGGCAAAACGTTCACAAAGTGAAGAATGGTGTGACTCGGTAAGAGAGTGTTAGAAAGAACTTCTTATACAATTTGGACATTGGTTGAGTAATTTGAACAAGAGATTTGCTTTACATTGGATATTATTAGAAATCTGGGCAATTTTGTTATTGGATGTGTGGATCAATTTCATCTATAAAAGGATAGACTAAAGATAAAGATGTAATGGGTAAATGTGTCAGAGAAATGTTTGCTATTTTGTGGGTTGCTCAGTGACGTTGTATGAAGTAGATGTTTTGTGAGATTGTTTAAGTCTAAAGGGAGTGCAATATCACTTAGCTGCAAGTACCAGATAAATATGTAATAACATTGATGCTTACTTGTGAGTATCAAATTTATTTCCCAGTACAGGGCTGGTTTTTTCCCCTTTCTTTTTCACAATGTTTAGCAGCAAGTAGCTTAAAAGAAAGAAGATGGTGTATTTTTGTTTCTTTTAACAAAACCTTTTAAGGGGAACAGTGTGATATTTGGTAGCATTGCATGTTTTTGAGAAAAATTTATAGTTAGTACATGTGTCATTAGCTAAAATGTTAAGCAAAATATATTCTTAAAGCCAATTATACATTTTCTTCACTCAAAATTAAAAAAACAAATTTTTGTTGTCTTTTATTAACTGTGTGGTTACTTTAAAATTGTATTTCAAGAATTCTTCAGTATCTTATATGATTTCATAAGGACCTAGAGAAAATACCCTAAAGACTCATGAAGAAATTGGGCCAAACTCCTTAACAGATTTGTTGGTGTATTGCCCTGCATGCAGAGGATTTATAGCTGCATGAAACAAAGCATGAAAAAAGTAAAGATTGATTGGAATTAAATAAGAGCAAAAGGGTCAGTTCTTGAGCACATTCCTTGGGAGAATTATTATCAACTCTGTTCTGTTGTGAGCCATTAGGAAAACCCTAAGAAATATTAAATGAATTTTAAAAACAAGTCATCTTTGATTTCACAATATAGAGAAAAGCTGTGAAGGGTTTTGTTCCTTCAATACATGTTAGGAGAAGGCAGGGTAAGAAATTTTGCTTTACAAGCAAAACATGAAGCCAAAGTAATTCAATTTAATACCCTGAAATATATTTTATGTGTGCTTTCACTTAAAAGCAATGTTTTAGAAACGTTGGTTCTATAAGGCAAGTGTGTCTGGCCATTTTCAATAGAGAAATAAGTTTTACATTCCTTTTTTTTTTCTTTTTCAAAATTTGAAACTAGAGTTGCAATTTTAGTTATATAAGAAAGATTTATTATTTGAATTGCTAAGATGCCACGTAAGTCTGCGCTAAATTAAAAGGAATTACACCCAAATCTCCCTATTTCAACTTGACAGAGACAATACGTCTTTTCAAATCTGTAGATTTACATTATAAAAAGAAAACTAGAGGCCAAGGTGGAGGATCACAAGGTCAAGAGATAGAGACCATCCTGGCCAAATGGTGAAACCCCATCTCTACTAAAAAAAAAAAAAAAAAAAAAAAAAAAAAAAAAAAAAAAATACAAAATTTAGCCGGGCGTGGTGGCGTGTGCCTGTAGTCCCAGCTACTCAGGAGGCTGAGGCAGGAGAATTGCTTGAACCCGGGCGGCGGAGGTTGCAGTGAGCCGAGATCACGACACTGCACTCCAGCCTGGCGACAGAGTGAGACTTCATCTCAAAAAAAAAAAAAAAATAAAAGGAAACTGACATCTTCAGATTAGTAAGAAGTTTTACTTTGACGTTCGAATCTAAGATTAATTTTAGTCAAAACCATTATTCTTATAGTGCCATTTACAATGGCAATTAAATTTGTAACATTTTGGCCATTTTTCTTCAAAATTAGAAATTAAAAAAATACATTGGACTATTTTAACAAAAAAATCATGTATTAGTAAGGAATAATTTGATGCCCACTTTAACAGATGACAAATTTATCAGATTATTTTCACTATTCGAATATTCATCATAAAAATGAAATATAATTATTTTCAAAACTGGTCAAGCCTTTTTATAAGAGATAGATCCTTAAAATTCTCCTGGTGTCCTGGCCTGTTTCACCATATCACTTTCTTCGGAGCAGCACCAGATGGGCTGCACCTTCTTTGCAGCTTGCCCTATCAGACTGACATACAAAGCTGGCCACTTAATTCTGAGGTTTCTTATTGGTTGAACTGTTCCGTTCCGTTGGTTATTATCATTGCTGTCCCTTGAATGCTTTTGGTGGTGGAGCTGCTCAAGTAAAACAAAACAAAACAAGGAATATTTTCCCAGGCTGAGTTCCCCACAAAGCTGACTCCGAGACTGAGATTAGTGTGCAAGAGGTTATCTAGGAAGCTTTACAGAGCAACACCTATGGAAGGGAAGTGACAGAAGCAAGACTGGTTTGAGGGGGAAGTTAAAGTCTGATGAGATCTCAGTGGAAGTTGAGGCTAGGATATTCATTCAGAGTTTTCCCCACTAAGGAAGGGGGCTGTCTTTGATACCTCCGCGTTGATCAGGCATTGCTTGCAGTCTGCCCTAGTATGGGAATGTGACCTTCTGTAAGGCAGCGCTGAGTTGAGGCAAGCCTCAAAGGTAACAACACTTTCGACACCTGGAGAATAAGTCCTTAATTTCTGAAGGGTGTTCTGAGTGGTGCATCACAGATTATATCTTGAATACTATGCATTCATCCTTTATAATTAATTCTGAAAACATCAATTTTTTTTTTTTTGCCTCTGACTAGAATTGTTTAACTAAAAGAAAAAAATATGCTATTCTCCTTTTTAAAAACTAACTTGTTTGTACAGCTCCTTTTTGGTAATAAACAGAAATATCTATATTTTATTGACTTTCCCGTTATAGGGATTTAGGGTGTGTATGTGTTTGTGTATGTGTTTTTTGCATATTTTTGCATTAAAAACTACACTAAAAATAGAATATAATTTCCTCAAAATATGTGAATAAACAAGGTATTTGTGTATCAAGGACATTCCATTTTCCCACTATATCAAACTATATACAATTTTTGTGCTCAGGATTATAGAAAACTGTAGAATTTTAGAAAGCTAAAAATTAGTATCTGTGAGTGATAAACAAAAACCCTGGTAATCATCATGGAACATAAGAAGCAGCACTGGAAAATATGAAAAACTTTGAGGTATACATTTTATAGTTAAATTTTTTTGAACTGCTAAACGTTTTAGCATTGTGTAATGAAAAACCATTTCTATTAATATATAATCCTCAAACTGTATATGGCATATGATATAATAATTAGATATTTTAGTAATCTCACAAATAAATAAAAATTAGATTTTTAAATACTCCCTTAGAAAAAATTTTTAATATAAATAATGTCTATCTTTTTGTGACTGAAAATAGTTGTTCTCATTTGTGAAATGAGGGCATTAGTAACAGTATCATAAGGTTAT
Organism: Homo sapiens; assembly: GCF_000001405.40. Taxonomy (NCBI): domain Eukaryota; kingdom Metazoa; phylum Chordata; class Mammalia; order Primates; family Hominidae; genus Homo; species Homo sapiens. The sequence continues at coordinate 84,646,019 of NC_000012.12, read as the reverse complement.
TATGAGATTAAATTACATAATGAATGCAAAATGTAAAGCACTTAATACCATGCCTGATGCATTGTTACTATTCATTAAGTGTTAATGCTTGTTTTTGTTGTTAATGTGAAATCACCAATTACAAAAATAGCTAAAATGCATCAAATCGTTAATTTTCTTATGATATATTTGGGAAAAATTTGTAAAGCTCACATCCTCCAAAATTAAAGTGTTAGTCCAAAAAGACATTTAAAAATTCCTGTGTTTACTTCTGTTTGTGGATATGGAAAACTCTCACAAAATGCATATTTTAGCCATAATAATTCACTAATTACATTTAGGTGTAGTATTTGCAGTGTTTTCTGATGTAACTAGATTTATGCTCTCCTTTTCTTTCTTTTTCTGTCACTTTTTTTTCTACTAAGACCACTAGAAAAGACCAAGATATCTGTTTGCTAACTAAGTTATAGCTCATCTAAAGACATTTTAGAATATAGAAATATTTTCTAATTATAAGTATCTGAAAGAAGAAAATAATTGAACATATTCCTCTTTTGGTCATTTTCTTTAGGCAAGAGGGGTATGAACAGAGTCTAAGTAAAATAAATTAATTGTATAATGAAAGATGTTTATTCAGATTAAGGTGAATATAGTTTTTATTATGCATCTCAGGATCAGGAGTTGCAAAATGTCTCTATTTGCTCCCTAAAGGGCATTATTTTATGCAACCTCCCTTTCCACATAGGCCTCAGCCTTACTGTGCCCTTAGCTACTTTATAGGGATCTTTTCCATAGGCAATGGTTCTCCTCATCTTAATATGTTTGTATTATATGGTGTGTTATTAGATTATTTAGTTCACATCAGGGTCACTCTGTAGATTAGATATCCAACATGAAATGTGAGTAGTCATCAACGTCAGGAAACCAGCTGAATCAGGTACATTGAAATTTACTTGCAGTCTGAATGAATAGGTCTGGGACAGGCAATAAGGCAAATACATAAATAAAGACTGTCTTCTAATGAGACCAAAGTGTAGTAAGATGCTCAATGCATTTCCCTAAGTAAATAAAAAAGGTGCCTTGTTATCCAGAGGTTCATGAGAAATGACTCTGAGACGGAAGTGGAGGAAAGTACTTCTTACACGTTTGTAGAACATAAACAATTTGAGAAGATATTTGATATCTGTTTGTATCCCAGACAAGGAGAGACGTTTTTAGGATTCATTTTATCTGAGTAGAAAATGAATGTTTAGGCAAAGAGGGAGCTTTGACCTTCAAAACATCGTCGTGGGTTAGCAATATAATTCTAATTGTTTATGAGTACACATACCTTCTATGAAAAATGAGATAATAAATATCTATTAAGAATAGAACTTCTAACTTACTTGATGATATGTAGGGTGGTTTATCTCAATGTGAATAACTTACTAATGAATTACTGCCTGTTTTATTACTTGCATTGTTTATCCTTTATGTTCCACTCACTAGTCCAATGTTCTGTCTAGTGTGAACTCACATATAATTAGAGGATTTTGCCTTCCCTCTGAAAATCATCAAATATAATCATATAAAATATAAAATTAACTTTATTGGGAATTGTTTTGTGTTAAATCTGTGGATTTGAAAGTAGTAGATAATTGTTCATGGCTACCTGAGTTGTTCTTCTGGAAGTGTTTTTTTTTAATTGATTTATCTTAAAAGCTTTTACTATTTCTGTGAAGCTTATCTATCAGCAATGGTTGGCACTGAATTGGCAATGAAACAGATGGCATTTATATAATTTTAAGTTTGTACAGTGGGGGTGGGGAGGGAGAGTGAGTGATGGTATCAGTCAAATGGAGACAGAAAGGGAGAAGTGGGGGTGGGGGGATTCATGAAAGGAAGAAAAATAAGATATTCTGTTACAAGTTTTGCTCTTAGTCCCCGTCATTTGCATTTCTCCTAGCACCCAAGATAGCTATCTTTTAATTATGTTTATATACCCCTACTCTCACCATCTTTCCCTGGCTTGAGAGGGAAAGCTAGGGTAGATGGGTGTGTTTGTATAGAAATAAATTCCACATGAATACACCAAGAGGACATTCTGCCAGGATGAGTCCATGTATACCTGTCCCTATTGTTCCTGACGACTGAAAAGTATAAATTCATGCCATATAAAATTCGGTGGTAGGAGGGGTTATAACTTAGCTAGTTGTATTGTAAAAAGTTGCATTTCTTCTGTTTTCCAATATTTCAGAGAATTGTGTGCATATTACTAACACTGTCTTCTCCCAATGGTATAACAATATTTCAGATTTGGTCTCAGGTAATTTTATTGTACTCTATTAAATAATGTACAGGAAACCATCCATAGAAAATAAATAATTTCTAATGCCTAGAGAGTAAGAAAGATTGGCTGCTATAGGATGCATAAAGAAAACACTGTCCCTGGGGAACTAGAAAAATTTGACTTCAGTAAACTAAATTTACTGTAATTATTATCCGTTTGGTTGCTGCCTTTGTTTACATTTCTTTCAATGGTTATCTTAAAATCAAGCCTTAGTCTTTCAATAATGTGTAATTCCTGATTCCCCAAATCCCAGTGACCCTATTTCAAAAAGTATACTTGAGTGAAAATTTAAATATTTAATTAATTCTGCAGTTTAAAACAGCTTCTTACTTTTGTTAAATACTTTCATGTAAGAAAGACTTCAGTAACATGCCAATTCTTCTGTTTCTATGCTGACATGTTGCTAATGTACAGAATATAGAAATCTATTTTGTGAAAATAATTGATCTTGAATGGGATCAAATTTTAGTTCATTCAAATATAATGCTAAATTGTTAAAATTTTCATGGGACATAAACAGACATCTCAAATATACTGGTTATGCTCACAAATTGATGTATTAATGAATTTTCCTCAACATGGCTTATGTTCACAATTTGATGTATTAATGAATTTTCTTCAGCATGGTTTTATCACATAAATCCCTTAGGGATTATTATCTGAAACTCCTAATCTCTTTGAAATTGCTTGGAGGGTGGGGATTATGCTGGTTATGGGGTTCCTCAATACTGTTCTTCGTATGCTGGCATTTTTCCTCCAAAGCATAAAGCATCTTAGCTGAAAATGTTCCTAAAGATTATTTTCAGTACAAATCCATGCCAAAGACTTAAAAAAAAATAAGACTGAGTATATCTGAGGGTATAAGCAACAAAAAAAGGTCTGACTAAATTAGTGCAAACTATATACAAATTAATACTAGAAGGATTTGTTCCATTAAGTAAACCTGTAACTCTACAAAAATATTTTGATATTTTTGTTCAAAAAGAAAAAACAAAAAAATAAAAATAAGCCAGAAAAAAAAAACAATAGTCAGATTTATTTATTGTTTTGGTAATCTACACATTTTGAAAAGTCCTTGTAGCTCAACACTTAATATTTACATTTTTTTTTACCAGTATTGAACGTCTCTTTATATGAGAGAAAATGTGTTCACATTTTCACTAAGGTTTCTATTAAGGTTACTACATTCTTTTTCCATGTCAGCATCTCTTGTAGTATAGCCAAACTTATGTTTAGAGAATTGCTTATTCACTGCAATAGTTGGACTGAAAAGATGCAGAAAGAGGAAATGTTTAAGGCACTGGAATTGATCGGTTGCTCAATACAATGCTGGAAAAGATTATGCAAATCAGCAAGTTTAATAAGAGAAATAAAATCTGTATGCAAAATGAATCTCCTGGGAACAACTGTAACATGAAAAGGTTTAATATTTCAGCAACTGCTATTGATTTTTCTTTGTTGTCTCTCCCTCTTCCTACCAGCTGGTGAACTCCCTTAATGACATCTCTGTATGATCCCATAATTTGTATTCACATTTGGTTATAATAATGTCAGATGTTAAAGACTTCTTAGGTGGGGAGTAAGAGAGAGCATGGCCTCACTTACTTCCTCTGTCTGTTCTAGCCTGTTCCTGCTGCCAATGCTTCTTCAGCCATTGGGTATAAGAGAATGGCAACTTACTTATTTTGCTTTTCTTCTATTTTTCACGGTAAATTTATAAAACATTTCATCCTGTCTTATATTCAGAAGCAGACAAGGTATATTATGCCAAGAAACAGGCATTTAAGAAGCTTGGCCTTGAAGAATTTAGTAACTTTGATCTCAACAGGGTGCTCACTGTCTCCACCATAACCTGCATTCTCTGGAAAGCTCTGAAGACCAGACCGTATGTCAATCAATACCTCATACAGGCTGTACCTTGTAAAATCATTATACTTGGGGAAATTTATAGTGAAGGGAAATGGTTTTTAATAAGTGTAAAACTAAAATGGCAGCCGAAGAAAGATAATACATTTGGAAGTAATTTAAAAAACAGAGCATTAAGTCAGAAAACCTAGATTCAAAGGCATTCATTGATTAATTCAAACATATCATCATTTATTCAACAAATGTTTTTCAAGCTCCTACTCTATTCAAGGAGCTGTGATGGGAGCATGGCAATTACAACACATAGCTCTTTCATCAACAAATAATGGATTCAGAAATGTACAATGTTATCTTAGTATCTCAGTATAAACTTAGTATAAAAGATGGAACAGAATAGAAAAACCACTATATAAGATGACTTTGTAAAAAGATCTTTTATCCTGCTGCTGAATAATAATATCTTGGGAAATATGAATTTGTCAGTATTTATTCTCTTTGGAAGATCTAAAAACATAAGCCAAAAACTATCTATCTATCTCTCTCTCTCTCTCTCTCTCTCTATCTACCTATCTACCTATCTGTCTATTCATCTATCTAAAAGCAAAGTTAATACAAACAGAGGCAGTGATTAATATTCTATGAGTAATTTTTTAATTATAACTGTTTATGGAATATTTAAAGAAATTGAAACTCAGTCAGATTAGATACAACTAAAAATATTTTAATATAACTTGTAAACATATTTATGCTAAAATTGTTTGTTTTAATATATCTAAATTTTAAAAATTATAATAATATATTAGGCAAAAGCACGAATTAACTGACAAGAATTGAACATTCTATGTACATTCTAGATGTTTCCATACATGTACAGCATAAGTAAAAGGTACAATTTACAATTTGATAAACAGTAGGTTTTTAAACAATGTTAATGGCATTGATTATCATAAAATTTTTTTAAAAAAGCATTCCTTACATAGCAACCAGAGGAGTAAAGGGGCACAATAGATTCAAAGGAGCAATACTATAACCTACTGCTCAATATTTAAAAGAAACAATGGGACTCAGAAGGCAATGGGATACTACTTTAAAATCTAGAAGAAAAATAACTGCCCACACACAATTCTCTAAGAAATAAAAATAACTTTCAAAAATCAAGTCAGAGTAAAGACATTTTCAGCAAATAAAAACTTAAGGGTTAATGGGACAACAGAATTTTAATAAAAGATATCATTAACTGGAGTTCTTCAGGTAGAAATATCGAAATCTCAATGAGAAACACAGAAATGCAAGAAAAAGTGAGGGAAAACGGAAATGGCAAATATGTAGATAAATATAAATAAATATTTCCTCTAGAAGTTAGTTAAAAACATCTTGTGTTCATTAAAATATAAATATAATCAAAATGCATCAAACAATAAAATTAAGGTGCGTATGAAATAAATGTAACTAAAGAGTTCTTTTATTATATTATTGAGGCCAAAGATAAAAATTTTTATTACATTTTAATTAATCAAGGAGTCATTTTAATGTTTAGATAACTAATATTTCCATAAAGAGAAAACAGGATAAGAAAATATTTTTTATTAATTTTAAAAAGGCAAGAAAGCAGATAATAAGTAGATTATTTCTTCATTCAACAGAAAGTAATTAATATCATATAGACCAAATAGAAAACAAATAAGAAAAATGTTGTTATAGTCCATATGGTTCAGTAATTATAAATCTAAGTTAACTATTCTAGAACTACAGAATTGTAAGACTTGATAAAATATAAAACCCAAGTGCATGTTGCTTACCAGAGGTAAACTTTAAATCTAAAGATATGGAAAGGTTGAACTGAAAGGATGGGAGAATATAAATAGCATCAATCTAATCAATGAAGGTTGAGATAGGTATAATAATATCAGAAAGTAGACCTTAAGATAAGACATTTTAAGAGAAGAAGATGACTTTTCACAATGATAAAATGGTCCTCCAGGAAGACATAACAATTTTAAATCTATATGCATCCAATTTCATAGCTTTACCTGTAGGATAGAAAAACCTAACACAACTAGGAGAAACAAGTAAATCCACAATCATAATAGAACACTTTCCATAGTTGATGAAATAAGCAGAAAACACTCACTCATGATTCAGAGGGTATGACATCACAATTAACAAGCTTGACCTATTTGACATTATTTTCCATTCATATCTGTAGCCAATAATGACAGAATACAGATTCTTTCCATGGAGCATTTCATAGTGCACCATGGAATATTGCAAATGTAGCATTTCTTGACATTAGGATTAAGCTTCACCAAATTTCACATGATTGCAATCACTCAGCATCTGTTCTCTGACCACAGTTAAATGAAGTTAATTATAACTAAATAACAACTAGAAAAAATAAGTTGCACAATTGCAACTTATTGTGCAATTGATTCTATCATATATAAGATATTGATTCTATCATATGTAATTAAAAGAAGTCAATTTTTAAAAAATTTTCTAAGACTTCAAATTAAATTTAAAATGGAAAACCCGCTATATGTAGCATTTTCTAAAATATTTTAGAAGTATTTTAAACATGCTTTAAAACATCAACATTTATGAAGTAACTTGATTTAATTTGAAGGTATTCAGTTTCTCATGTTCAGTCATGAAGGAAACATTGGGCAGTGACTAAGCAAAGATCAGTAAGCCTGGTTGAGATCCTGTCATGGCCTCTTGCTGGCCATGCAATCTTAGACGTGTTACTTAGCCCCACTAAACTCTAGCTAACTCATCTGTAATATGGAGATAATGATGGTACTTACTGCAATAGCCTGGCCATGAAGATAAAAAAGGTAATGCTGATGAAGTGGTTTGTACAAAGCAGAAAAAAAAAATTTCAGAAAAAGTAGTGGCTTGCATCCCACACACAGTATTTTCCTGTCATTTACTTGCTTCAATTCCACAGGATGTATTAGACAAGATATTTCTGGAGATCAGGAGACAGGCCTTGAGGCAAATATTTTTCACAACACTAGCAATTCTTTAATCTCCCATCTAACACGATTGCCTTCAGGAAAAGTTATATTTATAAATCCAGGATAAAATTTAAATACCACAATTTTGAACATAATCCACCTGGTAATAATAACTCATAAATTATTATTGTTTGCTTTTTTTTCTTTCTTGTGTCTGAAACAAACACCATGATAGCTACGTGGGGCTCAGAGTCCTCTGTTTCTTGGTGAAAGGCTCAAAACTGAAAGTAGTAGAGGTTCAAAACAAGCTAAAAATTTTTACATTTGTCTGTCATTACTGTGAAACTGAAGGACAGGTAATATATTAAAAGAAGGGTTATGAAATCATAGGTGTGTCTACTATTTCCCTGCTTGAGAAACTTTGACATCTGTTAAGAATGATGTACTTTAAGTGTAATATGTTCACTATTCAGACAATTATACTTTATCTGTTGACCAGTATAAAAAGAATAAAATTGACAAACTTAAAATCTTCAAAATAATTAAAAATGCCCAAATGTGAGAAATTTAACATTAAAGAATGTCAGTTTGTATTTGTTTTCTATTGCTTAAGAAGAATGACCTCAACTTCAGCAGCTTGACATGATATTCATTAGCTCATAGTTCTGTGAGACAGAAGTCCAAACATAGCATGGCTGGGTTTTCTGCTCAGGAATTTCCTGGCTAAAATCAAACTGTTAGATGAGCTGAGTTCAAGGCAAGAGGCTCTGGGGAAGAATCTGCTTCTAACATCATTCAGAATTTAGGCATAATTTAGTTTCTTGTGGTTGAAGGACTGAGGCTTTTGTTTCCTCCAGAGCCATCTTGTAGCTCCCAATTAACACACACATTCCTTGTCACATGACCCCACCAGCTTCAAAGCCAATAATGAATTGCTATTGTATAGAATCTCTCTCCTGATGTTGATCTTAGGTGATTAGGTCACATCCATTACTCTCCTATCCAATTTTCAATTGATTTGGGACCTTAGTTATATTTGCAAAATCTTTTCACAGCAATACCTATATGAGTGTTTGAGTAACTGGGAGAAGGTGCACCACCTACTGGGAATCTTGGGGGCCATAATAGAATTTTGCCTAAGTTTAAATAATATACTTAATTAACCATATTTAGTTTCATAAAATTCATTATTTCCTTTAAAAAGCATATAAAGTAGCAGAAATGGAGAGGTGCTATTTTAGCCATCAGCAATTAATTATAAAATCTGTAACTTCAATTAATTGCCAAAATAGATTCCGGTAATTTTCTCCCGGTTTTATTCAACTTTTCTTCATTTGAATTGACCATTTTTTTGTCCATTTCTGAAATATTCCATCATTTATTATGCTTTACATGATCTGGCTTAAAGTATTACAAAACCGTTTTAAAGGAAGGCCTACTATATGTCAACGAAATTTTACCCATATTGTTCAAAACATGGTCCTTAAATTGAGTTTCTTTTATTATTTTTATTTATCTATCCTGAGCAAGATAGTCAATTAAGCAAATGTGAGGGTATTATATGATTACTGAATTCTTTTCACTTTTTTTCCTCAGGTAGACTAAGAGAAACTAAGAGTTTATTAAATACAAAATTAAATATATATATTAATTGCACATAACTCAGCAAAGAGTCATTTACATTTCTCTCAATGGCCAGGTAATAAACATTTTAGGCTTTGCAGGCCATGAGGTCTCTGCTGCATTTTCTTCTTTGTTCTCTGTTTATTTTCCTATGGCCCTCTAAAAATGCAAAAACATTCTTGTGTCATGAGCCATACCAAATGAGGCCATAGACATAATTTGGCCTAAGAGAACAGTAGTTCCCAATCTCTCTAAAGAACAAGAAGAAGAAGAAAAAAAAGAAACAAAGTGAAGAATCAACAGATAATCTTACTGTCATTCTCATTATTATTATTTAAAGTAGATTTAGTGTTTATTATGTGCCAGATTCTGGGTTACATGTATTATGCCAGGAAGAAGGACTAATTTTTATACACAAATTGCAGATGAGGAAAGTTAAGCTTAAAGAGACTGAATTGTCTAAGGACACAAAACTCTACTGAATAGTGTTGCCAGTATTTGACAATAAACTATAATTTTAATCCCTATTCTGTAACTGAAATTATAGCCTACTTGGAAAGAAACATTATTCTTTAAACAACAAGATAAGTTATACGTAATTTCAAAAAATATGTGATTTTTGTGAACCCTGAAGATGAATTATTAAAATTCTTAAGACTTTTGATTATTGAAGTTTTCCTTTCTGAGGTAATTGCATTGCTATGAGACAAAAAGAATGTCCTGCTTTAACTGGGTGCTGTGGCTTATGCCTGTAATCCCAGCACTTTGGGAGGCAGAGGTGGGCAGATCACCTGAGGTCAGGAGTTGGAGACCAACGTGACCAACAAAGCAAAACCCTGTCTCTACTAAAAATACAAAAATTAGCTGGGCGTGGTGGCACGCACCTGTAATCCCAGTTACTCAGGAGGCTGAGGTAGAAGAATTGTTTGAACCGGGGAGATAGAGGTTGCAGTGAACTGAGATTGTGCTACTGCACTCAAGCATGGATGGCAGAGCTACAGTCTGTCTCAAAAAAAAAAAGGAAAAAAAGAAAAATTTCCAGTTTCAACAGTGAGAAAATATAGGATTCCATAGACTGAATATTTGTCTAATAACTGGGTATTTTCCTTCTATTCTGCTGACCACCTTTTCTTTGAAAGATATTAATCAACTCTTTTTTGATGCTTACAAAAATGACTCCTGCCTATAATGTACTTTCAAAGCAGTGCAACTTATTCTTTTACTTATGGATATTGTGAAATAGTTTTCTCTTCCTTCAGGATCTTCCAAATAATGTTTCTTAATACACTTTACAAAAATATGTTCTAAATAATAATTTACTTAAAAGATTACTTATATTATTGCTAAAATTAGTATAAAATGATCGTATTATTTAGATGTAAATTCTCTACAAGGAAAATTATTAACCATTTATCAAAACTATTGTGAAAATTCCTAGGACAAATTGTTCAGAGAGGCACAAGATGTATATTTGTTGCTGTTCTAAAATAGCATACAAACTCAGGCAATGTTTTAAAAATTTCCCTTGAGTACTTGAGTTTTAAAATTGCAAATCTTGAGTGGGGTTAGATCAGAACACTAATAAATGTGTAAATTTTACAACTTATACAACAATAAGTTATACAACTTTTGTCAGATAGATAAATTCCATGAAAGACACACTATCAAAATGAACACGAAACTATGTAGAAAGTACAAAGGCCTAAAGAAATTTAAATTTTATTTGACAATGCATCTTGCAAAGAAAAATTTAAGGCCCAGTTGCCTTTATTGATGAATTCTCTCAAACATTTAATATTACAGAATATTGTTCATAAAATAAAGAATATTAGAAATATTTCCCAATTCATTTCATGATACTAGTATTACTTTACATTTACACTTTATAAAGTTCTTGCAAATTTTTAAGAAGCCTACATATCAATATCTTTCAGGTAAGTACAAGCAAAAATTATCCAAATATACTATAAAAAGACCCACCTATAAATGCAAATAGAACATTATGCCAATAGAATTTATGCCAGAAATGCAAAGTTGCTTTAAAATGTATTAAAACAGCTAATACAATTTATTATAATAACGTCACAAAGTAGGAAACAGAAGCCCAAAAAGGAATTTATAAAATACAACACCATTATGGTGAAAACTTTTAGTAAAAGAGTAATAGAAGAGAATTTTTCTCAGACTTTGAAAAAACATTATGAGAAACTTCCAAGTATCATCAGATAATGATATCCACCTAAGAAAGCTCAGGAAAACAGACATGGATTTGTCTCATTCTATTTAATATTTTATCTGCAAGCCTACTAAGTATAATAAGGCAATAAAAATACACAAAAAGCAGATAAATCAGCAGACAAGATGATTATTGATATGGTTTGGCTGTATCTCCACCCAAATCTCATCTTGAATTTTAACTCCCAGGATTCCCACGTGTCATGGGAGGAACCTGGTGGGAGGTGATTGGATTATGAAGGCAGGTCTTTCTTGCACTGTGCTCTTGACAGTGAATGAGTCTCCTGAGATCTAATGGTTTTAAAAATAGGAGTTTCCCTGCACAAGCTCTCCTCTCTTGTCTGCCGCTATGTGAGGCATGACTTTCAACTTCCGCCATGATTGTGAGGCCTCCCCAGCCACGTGGAACTGTGAGTCCATTAAACCTCTTTCTTTATGTCTTCATCTTAAAGAAAGGGTATGTCTTTATCAGCAGTCCTGGGTATGTCTTTATCAGCAGTGTGAAAATGGACTAATACAATTATAAAATGTAGAGAATTCTAAAGAATGTCTCAAATAGCTACTAGGTACTGATGACAGGATAAAAGGTCGATATATAAAATGTAATTTTATGTGTACACAGCAATTTAAAAATGGAAGATAAATTCATATGGACTATTTATGATAACATTCAAAGCATAAAACACTTAGAGATAAATTTAGCTAAAGATTATACAGAAAATCACAAAAGTTAAAGAAGTTAAAGAACCAAACGGATGGAATGATATATCATGTTTACGTATTAAAAGACTCATTATTGCTGAAATGATTTATTTCAAATTAATCTGTAGATCCAATACATTTCCACTCAAAATCCAATCAGGTTTTTTTTTGTTTTTGTTTTTGTTTTTTTCTGTCAGGTTTGGGAGAGGTTTAAGAATCTGCTTCATAGATGTAGAAGAATATGCAGAGGCCTATAGCAGTCAAAACAACTTTGCAAAAGAACAAAGTTGAAGGACTTACATTACTTGATATTGGGACTTACTATAAAGCTACAGGAATCAAAACAATATGGTGTAGTATAAAAGACAGATGAATGGACCAATTGAATACAATACTGAGTCCAGAAATAGAATTGCATTGCCTCATTTACTTAAAAATGCCAACACATGTCCTGTAATTGTATATCAACATTCATAACAGCTTTATTCATATTAGCCAAAGACTGGAAACAATACAAATGTCCATCACCAGTGAATGAATAAACAACTTATGATGTAGCCATATACTGGAATACTAATCAGCAATAAAAAGGAACAAACGACTGACTCATGCAATAGCCAACTGAATCTGAAAAATACTATGCTGAACAAAAGAAGCCAGACACAAAGACTACTTACTATGGCTCTAATTATATGAAATTCTAGGAAAGGCAAAATTAATATCTAACCACATAAAGCAGATCACTGGCTTCTCGAGGAGAGTAGTGCGTTCAGTTGACAGCAAGGGAGTCACAAGGGACCTTTTTGGTGTGACGCTAATGATCTTTATCTTGATTATGGTGGATACGCTGGTGAATACAAATGTTAAACATGATCATACTGTACACTTAACATGTGTATATTTTATTGTATGTAAATCGTACCTCAGTAAAGTTCAAATAAAGCAGTTTCAAAAATAACATATATATTTCCTATGAATTGTTTACTTCTTTGCACTTCATTTATTTAAAACATTTGTGTTACTATTTTTACATACTTTCCACATTTTTGTGCCACTTTTTAATTATAATTATTTTTTAGTGTCAAGATCATCAGGATTTTATTTTTCGATGTTAATAAATTGTCTTTATTCTCCACAACAGAGTTTATAGCTAAGTCTGATGTCCTCCATTTAAACCCTCCTTATTTGTGTTTATATTTTTTGTCTGCTGTATGCAGTAAGATTTCTATTAACATGAATATGACAAATTCTAGGGAGCCCAAAAATCAGGGTAGCATGATATTTACCCATGTACAGTGAAAACTGCAAACAATTATTTTTGTATTTTTTAATTTAGCTTACTTAAATATGGCATTATATCTTCTTCTCTACAAATCCTAAATCTCCAAATTAGGCAACAATTTATTTTCTCATTTCCTCTCAGATTGTTGAATTTAACAATTACTGTCACAACCACCACTAACACCACTATCATAGCTAATGCCGTCATCACACTATGCCAGAGACTGTGCAACACCCTTATTTGTGCATTCTTTAGTACTTTCATACTAGTTTTACATTCAATGAGAATAGTTCAAATTAGTGAAAGTTTACCTCATCTTCTTTCATGCGAGAAGGTCCTTGTTATGACTACTTCCTATGCAGTGATCGTGAGATTAAGAAGAAATTCCTTAGAGTTAATCATCATAAAAATAGATGTTCTGGTTTAAATCCTTATGCCATCTTTGAATATGATTGAATTCCCCTGCATAAAGCAACAAGTTTTTTGTCCGGGTCTAGGAAACCATTTGGTAAAAAACACTTGTTTGCATATAATGTTAACTTAAAATTAAAGTAAGTTAGGTTGTTTAAGAATGTCTCATGACGTGCCTTTCTATAATTTCTCCTAAATTACTCTCCTGTATTGATTTTTAAGACATGTTGGGAAAATGTGGAAAAATTAGTTTTAAGCTTAAAGCAGTGATTTTAATCTATAAGCTCTCACAAAATCATTTGTGTGTGTTTGTGCCTCAGGCTGAAAAACTCATCGAAAAAGCCAAAGTTCTTGTTAGCCAGCAAGTAAAATATAATTTTTGTTTACAGTTATCAGAGTTCTCAATGCCACTCTAGGAGTGGGAGAGCGTGTGTCCTAATGTATGTCAAGGGAGCTTAGCGTGACACAGTCACTTTATCGTAAGAGACACTGTTTACCCTGTAAAGGTGGCAACCACAAACAGAATGAGAAAATGTTGCACTGCCAGCTCAGAAAAATGGATGAAAGTGAGCACGCATCAAAGTTTAAAGATGCAGAAGTGTTCTGATATGTTCTGAAGAAATTCAGGTCTGTTCCTAAAAATAAGGATACATGTCTTTACATCTTCAGCCCTTCAAGTGGCATAAAAAATTAAATTGAGCTGCTAAAAGCTAACTTATTCTTAACTTAATTCAATTTTACTGGGTTTCAAGCAGGGACCTTCTGTAAAATATATTGCATTCAATTGATAATTCAGTGTAAAAATGATAAGATAGTCACTATAGGAAAAACAGACTTGGATTGAAATGTAATTTTCAAATCCTTTATTCAAATTATAATAGCCTCTGACAGTGGAAGATGCTGAGTTTTATAATAGGTCTTGAAAAATCTTGAGTTTGGTTATTATGTATGCGATTCATATTATTGACTGACTATATTACTACTGTAGTCCCAATCTCAGCTGTGAGTATAGGAATAAATGAAAACACAAAGATGGAATTGGCAGAAGGGCATAATTAAGAGAGGCATCAAGCTGATTGTTTTCTCAGAAACAGTAAGAGGGTATGAATAGGGTTCAAAAGGGCATATGGACATCCAGAGAAAACCACCTCCTCCAAAGGAAAAAAAAAATCCATGGCACTTTATGGCACACACATACATGGGAATGAAATTATAAAGGGCAAAACTGTAGGCTGATGAGAGTGAAGGAGAGACTAGAAGAGAAGGAGCATTTGATACAGGAAGTAAACCCTGAGTGCTATTTGTCAAAGTATTTTCTTTGAAACATATTTCTTAAGAAACATTCTTTGAACAAGGTTTACCCTAGTTAAATTTGTTCAGTAAACACATTGCATAATATGTCCCTTATGTTGATTCAAATTATCTTTAGAATATGTAACCATTCTAGAAGTTAGAGTGTAAAGAAATCTGTTTAACACTTCATTTCCCTAACATTACAGAATGTATTTTGGGACACCATGCTATAGAATATTATTTGAATAATGAAGTTGTTCTCCAAGAAAATCTTCAGCCCTAGGGTTATAATATTTATGCTAATTATGAACCTTATTGCAGGAGAGTGCATAAATAAGTGCAGTAGTCTTAAAATTGCATGTTATACATCTGTGAAAATAAATTTTTGCCATATACATCAATATGAATATAACTTACAGGCAAAAGTAAGCTAGATATAAGTGTGAAACTAGTAATTATATTATTTAAGGACATAAATAGATAATAGATATTAAAAAGTGAACTGATTATCCTAAAAGTCAGAATAATAGTCATCTGTGGGGGCAAGAGAAAGTGAGATGTACCTTATTGCAGGCACACATGGCAGAGAACAGAAGGACTTCTAAGATAATGGCAATGCTCCTTTTCTTAATCTGCATAGCAGTTACATAGGTGTTTGTAATTATTCTTCATTCTGTTCATACACATTTATATACATCTTTAGTCTAAAAACATGCATGGGAGCATGCAAACAGATGTACACACATGCACACGCACACACACACACACACACATGACCACACAGCCGCAATATGGCATTCCTGAGCCGTAAAAGGAGAATTTTCTGAGTATCTAATGGAGAAGAGTGAACTTCCTTAGAAATGTTTTGGTAGGTATGAAGAATAAAAATAGCTGCAGTTACTGAGATAACAAGGACTGCAATTTAAAGGCTAAATGTGAACAATTGCAGAGAAAGAATAAGCTAGTTAGGAGTTATATCAAGTAATATACAGAGTAATATGGGAGAGTATAAAATACAGATCAGCATGTGACAAATAAAATCATAACATGAAATAGGGCCAGCTGAATGATAGAAAAACACTTAAACTGGAATTAGAGCAGAAATGTGAGCTTAATACTAATTATATATTGAAGAAGAGTTTGGTTTACTACTGAAAACTCCCTATCAATGGATGAATATTATTCATTAGCATATAAGTTGATAAAATCAGTTACAACTTTTTGTAGCAAAAGACAGGAATCCAGTCCAAATTTACACAAAAGGGGGAATGTTTGACTTCTGTGATTAATATGTGGGAATAAAGTGGTGACACTGACATTAGGGGTTCTTGAATGGGAAACTCAAACATAATGAAGTCTCTCTATATGTATTTTCTCTCTCTCTCTCTGTCTCTCTCTCTCTCTCTCTCTCTCAGTGTTTTGTTCTTTATTCTCTTTCTCTCTTTGAATACTTGATTTTTTTTTGTTATTCGGGAAAGAGGGGCAGATTCAATAATTTATAATAATATGTATTATGTATGTATGTGATATATTACAAATTGTTAGCTCTGCCTCTCTTTCCTAACTGACACAAGACAGTCGTAGCTTAGGATGTCCTACAAGAACCTGTAAACTGACTTCTGTGTGCTTCATCTGCTCACATGTTCTGCCTTCCACTTTATCACCTAGTAGTCTTTAACTACTTGGAGGAGTCTTATTATATCCACTACTTCTATTGTACCTCTGTTTCTTGTTTAGAACACTCATCCCTCCTCCATTTATATTGATTGCTTATTTTGTGCCGTGCTGAAAATTTTACCTTTGTCAATGATACTTAAATTCTTGAACTCATTTGCTCAAGCCCCAATACTTGGTGTTGTCCTTTTCTCCTCTCTTTATTTAACACCCTGGTCAATCAGCAAATTCTTTTAGTTCTATCTTCTAACCGCATCTTACCACCCTTCACCATGGTTCAAGCTATGATTTTATTTCACTGGAATTATCTCTATTTTAATAGCCTCTAACTTGACTCCCTTCTTCTGCCACTCTCGCCCTGTGATAAACCAAACTGATAATTTCAAAATATAAGTCAGATCTTTTCACTCTTCTGCTCAAAACCCTCAAGGTCTTTTCAGCTGGCTCCAAGTAAAGTCACAGCCTTTAAAAGGCATCAAAAGCCCCATAAGATAGTAAACCTTGCTCTTTCTCTGAACTCACTGTATGCTTTTCTTCCCAACAGGTCATCTTAGCCTGCCATCTTGGCCTGATTGCTGTTATTGGATATTATGAACAAGAACTTTACACGTGCTGTCCCCTCTGCTTGGGAAGCTTATTCTTCTCCCACATACATGTGGACATTCGTGCTTCATTCAGGTTCTTGCTTAAAAGTCTTCCTTGGCTTTTCTATCTACAATTATAAATTCACTCATTCTTTATATATTCTTTCCAGCTTTTTTACCCCATTATGAATTATCTTTGGCTAATATGCTATAGGTTTGTTTATTTTTATTTTCTCTCTCCTCAAAACAAACAAACAAGCTAAAAGCTTCATGAAGGCAGGGACTTTTTGGTCTGTTTTGTTTGGTGCTATAGGCTGAGTGCCCAGAATAGTCCTGACTCCTTAAGTATTTGGTGAATAATAAGTATTGGATCACTTTTGAATATAGGAAATGGATAAATTGATTTGCTTTTAGTCGTAGACCTTAAAGGAGCATAAATAATACTGATCTAAATCTAAAACTGAATATATTTTATCTAATTATGAACACCATATTAAATCCTTAATGAAGCCTATTTTTATCCCTCTTTAAACTTTTTTCTATTTTTTGGTTATAACATATTCAGTTGAAGTTAAATACGTAATTAAAATCCTGAACCTGTAAAAAATTGAAATGTAGAAGAAAAGTTTCAGTTATTAAGCAATTTATATGTATTATATTTGAAGTGAAATTTCAAACTTGCTAGTGAAAAAATACTTATTTTTCTTAAAATTCTAGATGGTTTTGCATTGTCTCTATTTCATTTTTAAAAACAATAATCATTAAATATAACATAATTTTCCTGAGTAATCCTGATACTCTCCCCACATACACACTCCTTTGTGGCAATGAACTTGCAGCAATGTCGAGGAATGATGCTTGAGTTTATTTAAGTGAGATAGCTTTGTATTCTTTAGATATAATTCAGTTTTATATGAGGAAACCCATCAGAGGAAACCTCTAGAGTCCTTATATTTTACTCTGTCTTCAGCTTTGTAAAATTTAGTATTAGAAATAAGCCTTATTTTTTTCCCTTTTGATATATCACTTGGTATAACCCCCTAGGTATATCAAGATTGCTTTCAAACTATTTTGATTTGTTGTGATTACTACAGCTAAAATTAATCTCATAATTTAGATGTCCCTGGAGAATCATTCAAATTCCCTCAAACTATTTGTGTGTGTGTGTGTGTGTGTGTGTGTGTGTGTGATCAAGTCCTGTTTATTTTAGAAGCATGAACAGTAGGACTAGGAAGGAGTGATGAAAACAAGGCACCAGTCCCCTTGACAGGGCCAGATACGGCACAGGCTCTGTCTGTGCGAACAGGGCTGACCCAGCAGCCTCAATCTGCCTTTTCCTGTGAGGAGAGAGTATGAGGCAACCTGCACACAGGTGACTCTTCCATAGGATGAGGTTGGGGTAAATTGGCTCTTGCTTAGAAAGAGCTGGCCTTAAAAGACTGAGTTAACTCAGCGTGGGAATAAAATGATACCTACCACTTAACTCTAGAGATATATTTCCTAAAAAGCCAATTCCTAGATCAGGAAGTTCTTATTGCAATATAGTAGCCTAGATGAGGCCTGTCTTATCTCCTTACAAAAAATGTAGAGCATTATGGAGAAGAATCGCTTTCCTAGAGTCCTCTATAATATGTCTACTCTGTTCTGGCTGACATAGTTTGTGTGTTTGTGCCTTAACTGCCCAATACAGCAGCCTCATAAGGGCTTATCTCCTGACTTTGCAGATTCTCTCTCCCTCTCTCTCCTTTAAATCCTAAATACATATATATAAGGTTATACATTTCCAGGTAATCCACCCTCACTTTGGTCCCTGAAATACTGGTATGTAAAACAACCTGTAAGAAGCCAACCACAAAAACCTAAAAGATAATTTTAAAGAAATGAAAAATAAAGACAGCGATTCTTCCTATTTATTCTAATTTTTGCCTTCATAAGAACTAAACAGCCTAGCACATGCTGAGCAATCAATATAAGTGAAGGAGGGATCTGTGTTCTGAATAGAAAACAAAGGTACAATAGAAATAATGGATATAATAAAACTTCTCCAAGTAGTTGAAGACTGCTAGGTGATAAAGTGGAAGGCAGAACATGTCAGCAGTTTGATAACTGCTTTCCTTTGCAATGATTTTCAATGGGCTGTCTCTGGGGAAAAAGAATAGAAAAATTTTGAAGACTAGTATTAAGAAAATGGAAGAAACTAGTATTTAGAAAATGGTGGAAAAAAGAAGGAAGATGAAAACAAATAGAAACAAATAGAAAATAAGAAGAGTGCCTGGTATACCATTTGTTTAGTTAAATCCAATTCAGCTTTAGTAGTCATGCTTTTATATAAAGCACAGAGAAAACATCTTAAATTTTTTTAGTTATATTCTTGCTCATGGGAACCATTAGCAAAGTTTTTAGACTATATTTTGAGCATTCCCATAGTAAGACAAATTGTATTACTTAAAATTCTGAGGGCTATTATCATGTTGGCTTACCTACTGATAGAAGCAGGCAGCCGTTTGCATACATTTTTTTTTTCCTTCTCCAGACCTTTAATTACTCAAAATCACATTATTTTGTTGAAGCACTAAGTAATTAATACTTCCATACAGGTCTATTTTATTTGACTATATTTCCAGGAGCTTTTGATACCTTTAACAAATAAAACAGTAGGTTCTCTCTACACTACTTAAATTGCCAGATTCTGCAGTATTAGCCCATACAGATTAATTTGCGCAATAATTGAGTTAAAGGCATCTATCACCTTTTTACCATAACACATATAAATAGAAGTAACCAGAATGTCTACAACTTGCATTCTGTTAAGTGAAAGCAAAATTCTAGAAGAAAAGGTCATTTATAATTAGGTCACAATTTCCTGAACTATTATCAGAAACATTATAATTTTATTTAGCTGTTGTAGAAGGACATTAGCCAGACCCATAGTTGATACACAAAATCAACTATTTGAAATTATTGGTTGGGTGCGGTGGCTCACACCTGTAATCCTAGCACTTTGGGAGGCCAAGGCGGGCAAATCATCTGAGGTCGGGAGTTCAAGACCAGCCTGACCAACATGGAGAAACCCTGTCTCTACGAAAAATACAAAAAAATAGCTGGGCGTGGCGGCATGTGCCTGTAATCCCAGCTACTCAGGAGGCTGAGGCAGGAGAATCGCTTGAACCCTGGAGCCAGAGGTTGCAGTGAGCCGAGACCATGCCATATGCCATTGCGCTCTAGCCTGGGCAACAAGAGAGAAACTCCGTCTCAAAGGAAAAAAAAAAGATTAAAGATTATTGTTTGTTTCTTTCTTTCTTTCATTGTGTTTGATAATTACTTTAAAGTTTAGAATGTTCTGACATGAAGGAAAAATGTTAAGTAACACTGCAGCACATTATGTCCCAGTAGTCTATTTTCCTTAAGTCACAAATTATGAGGGGTGTGGGTAGTTTTCTCACTAAGAAGATTTGCAATTTGTAAACATGAATGTAAAAAACAATAAGCTTAGCCAAAGATACCACTAAATAAAATAGCTTCAAGTGTTTGAAAAACTTTAGCTTGCCTTCTTGATAGCAAAGGATAACCAGAACCTGTTTGTGGCTGTCTGATTGTTCTTTTTTCACTGTCTTCAGGCATTCAGTTTAAGGACTAATTTCTGTTTTGCTTGGGATGAAGTCTGGCCAGGGTATACTTGAAGTGAGAGATTTTAAGCAAGAACTCTGTGCCGGTTATTTGTTGAAACATTTAAGATCCTTACTTTTGGGAATTGCTAGCTTTGAGGAAATACATTCTTCCCTTCTGGAGATATGAAAGTTTCAAACTATTCAAAGCAGAATATGAAATATTTATTTTAAACTGACAATATTTGTTACTACCTCACTTGTATATTGTTTTTATGTCTCATTCTATTAACTTTTATTAGAACTCTGCTTGTACAGGCTAATACAAAGTGTTAAGATTTTTCTATAAGGCAGTTATGATTCAAACATATGAGAAATAGATACAAATTACATTGTAAAAAGATATGAAAATTTAAGTATATTTTTGAAGTGAGAAAAATAAAAATTATAATTGAAGCATATTCTAAAAATCATATAAATATTAAAAACAGTTAGAAGTAATTTGTTCATATATTAGTGTGTCAATATTTTCTCATGGAGTAAGTGCTCTCGGATAGGATAAATACTGATGAACAAAAGAGATATAGCTTTGCCTCATGGAAACCAGAGGTGCTTTAGCAATGTGACAATATAGCAGACCCTGTTGATTGATTGATTCATTCACATAGATAAAACCCTTTAAGCAGACAATATGTTTAAAAAGGTGAAAAGAACATAGCCCCAAGTCATTTACAGTGTGTTGAAAAAGACAGACCTGTAAATAGATATTACATTACAGCATACAATACAATGAATGCTATTATCAGAGTTTTATGTGGGTACCTTAAACAGTGCCATTAACTTTTCCTGTTGGAATCAGGCATTTTCCCCTCAAAGTATGTAATATTTGAGCAGAGATGTAAAAATATAAGTTGATCATTTTCAAACAGGGAAAGGAGGATATTCTGGCACAAGAGTTGCAATGGGAACGCATGCTTAGGGAGTCCTGGGCCACACAGGTCAGATGACAGTCAGAGATCAGGAGTGAAGGGGGCAACAGGAGAGAAGCTGCCACAGGTCCAGATGTTAAAAGACTGTGAGTGCCCTGTTAAAAGGTTAAAATTCACCTCTATCTCAGTTTATGATGCAGATAATATTTTGAAAGAGATAAACCTGGATTTAGTTCAAAATTTTATAAATGTCTTAATCTTCTTTGCATTGCCAGCACTGAGCAAATCCTGCATGGTGTACTAGTTGTCTTAGTCCATTCAGACTGCTGCAACAAAATACTATAGCCTGAGTAGTTTATAAACAACAGAAATGTATTTATCATAGTTCTGGAGGCTGGGAAGTTCAAGATCAATGCACTGGCAAAGACTGTGTCTGGTGAGGCCCTGTTTCCTGCTTCATGGATAGCCATCATTTTGCCATGTCCTCACATGGCTGAAGGGAATAACAAGTTCTCTAGAGTCTCTTATATAAAGGCACTAATTCTATTCATGAGGTCTCTACTCCCATGACCTAATTACCTCCCAAAGGCCCCACCTCCTAATAGCATCACCTTGGGTGTTAGAATTCCAACATATAAATTTTGGGGGGACACAAACTTTCAGACTATAACACTAGCAGTATTTTATTATTGTGGTTGCTTTTAATGGAAACATGACACCTTTGATAATAAAAGGTTCAGTGTGCAGTTTTGAAATTTTGTGAGCAGACAATGTGTGCTGAATGTGTGTTGTGTAATATATTTTTATATAAAGGCTGAAAAATGAAAAAGAGGTAGCAAGTCACTCTAATTATGTCCCCAGTAAGAAGCAAGGAATAAAGGAACCATTTTGATTAGTGTATTCTATGCAAAGTTTGTTTTACACATAGTATTTGAAGTGTAAGAATAGTTGTGAGAAGAGGGAGACAATTGTGAATTGGGGGTTTTTATGAATTATTATTATTGTTCCTATTATTAAGGCTTTATTATTATTTTATTTTATTTTATTATTATTATACTTTAAGTTTTAGGGTACATGTGCACAATGTGCAGGTTAGTTACATATGTATACATGTGCCATGCTGGTGTGCTGCACCCATTGAGCACACTGTACTATGTCCAAGAAGAATTAAAGGCATTTTCTAAAAGCTGGCTGCCTCACTTCTTTAGAAGAGAACAGAAAACCAAATATCACATGCTCTCACTTAAAAGTGGGAGCTAAATGATGAGAACACATGGACACATAGCAGGGAACAACACACACTAGGGCCTTTCAGAAGGCGGAGGGTGGGAAGAGGGAGAGGATCAGGAAAAATAACTAACAGGTACTAGGCTTAATACCTGGGTGATGAAATAATTTGTACAACAAACACCCATGACATAAGTTTATCTATGTAACAAACCTGCACTTGGAACACTGAACTTAAAATAAAAGTTAAAAAAAAAAAAAAAAAGAGAAACTATTATAGAGGTCTGGGGCAAAATGGTTCCTTCCAGGCATACAATAAGGATCCCACACATGGTGATTCCAATATAGAGGGGTGATGGGGGGGAGTATCAGACTGTGCTCTGGAGCTTGAAAAAATAAAGAATAAAAATATCCTTATACGACTGCAACTCTTTACTGTGTGGGGCTTCCATGTGCAAATTGGATGTGCTCCTCAGAGACAGAATAAGACAAAAATTGTAAGAGTGAAGCAATTATAATTAGCACAGACAATTCAGAGACCATTATCCTCATGAATATTCCCATTGTATTTTGCATCTTGTGTGAGGTATTTTCTCTTTCTTTCACTTCCTAGAGCACTATACGGGTCAAAAATTCCTCCCCAGTTTCAAAATTCCTCTAGTTTTGCAGAGTCTGGAATTGAAGGTTGAGTTTTTTAAAAATTGACCCATGCTTACATATGTTTACTTCATTATTCTCTCATAATTGAGCCATAAGCTGTAGACAACTAAGGCCAGGGGCCCAAAAGAACAGAAAATGAGGACTGCCTCTAGCTTAGAATGAAAACATTTTTCCTGGGTTTAAATTAAAGCCCTAGCTAATAATATAGACAGCAAATTTGCCAAGAGGTGTGTGATATCAGTTTTTTTGTGTGCTTTTGGCTTTTAACATGGCATATTTTTGGTGGTATAAATAAAGAGATCAATTGTTCCCTCATTATTATGTTATTTACTTATTTGTACTGGAGAGCTGTGTTGCCATTCAAGAAACATTATTGCTTCTAACTCTGTTTTTTATATACAGAATTTTTGCATATTTATTTGGGTAAAATTCTTGGTTGAAGAATGAGAGCTCTCTCTCTGCTTTCATCATCATTAATTTATTAATAATTTTTATAAAGCAAAAGAATAAAATATTTGAAATAGCAAAAGACTAGCATTTGTTGGAGAGCAGAGATTTTATTGAAAAAAATGAGAGTAGTTCATTGATTTTATTCCTTTAATTTATTAATATTATTCTTAAATAACATTACATAGTAATTCAGATATTACTCACATGTCTCAGCCCTTAACTAATGAGGTACTTTGCTTGAATTGCTTCAAAACCTGTGCAGAACTGCAGTTTATTCTCTTTTGTTTAAGGAGGGCAGAAAAACAAAAGGTTTTATCCACAGGCATGGTCTGTGAACATGACTCTGTCCATACTCCCCTAGTAAGATGATTTGGTTTGCTCTTTCATACCAGAGAAGATTGACAATACTAAGCTTATTTATTTATAACATTTCCTTCTTTAATGGGGACACTTATTTTCAGATAGAAATGCCATAAACTAGTAAGTAGCAAGATAAAAATATATAATGGCTTGAAGCACTGCCTGCTATTGATCCTTCTCTCTTATGTAAGATAAAACTTATATTTTGAGGGCTGGGTGCAATGGCTTACACCTGTAATCCCAGTGCTTTGGGAGGCTGAACTGGGAGTATCGCCAGAGGTCAGGAGTTGGAGACCAGCCCAAACAACATAGCAAGACCCCACATCTCTACAACTAAATTTAAAAAAAAAAAATAGCTGGGTGTAGTGGCCTGCACCTGTGGTCATGCTACTCAGGATGCCGAGGCAGGAGGATTGCTTGACCCCAGGAATTCAAGGCTGCAATGAGTTATGATCACACTACTGTACCCCAGCCTGGGTGACAGAGTGAGACCCTGTATTTTATTTATTTATTTATTTTTTCAACTTTTAAGTATGAGGTACATGTGTAGGATGTGCAGGTTTGTTACATAGGTAAACGTGTGCCATGGTGGTTTGCTACACAGATCAATCCATCACCTAGGTATTAAGCCCAGCACCCATTAGCTATTCTTCCTGTTGTTTTCCCTCCTCCCGCCTCCCGCCTCCCACCTTCCAACAGGCCCCAGTGTGTGTTGTTCCCTACAGTGTTTCCATGTGTTCTCATTGTTCGGCTCCCAGTTATAAGCGAGAACATGTGGTGTTTGGTTTTCTGTTCTTGCATTAGTTTGCTGAGGATAATAGCTTCCAGCTCCATCCATGTCTCTGCCATCCTGTCTCTTAAAAAAAAAAAAAAAAAAGATGTTGAGAAAGCAATGCTCCAAACACTGTTTTTCTACTGACAGTTTATCAAGGTTGTAACTACTTTTCTGTACAAACAAATAATTAATCCATGGCAAATGGTAAAAATTACTCCCAACCTGTGAGGTAGGAATGGAGTAGATTCACCTAACAGAATGTTCCAATGAACTCTTGAGCTTTAGTACTATCTGGCTTGTCTGGAGGCTTTACTATGTTGTGAAACAAGTTACTTCACATCAGGTTCCATGGCTCTCTAGCTCCTTGGTACATTTTAGAGATAAAGCCATATGTAATGTTTCCTCAGTGTAGCAAGTTAGGAAAACTCAGTTTGTTTGAGTAATGTATTATGAAATATATACTAACGTGTTATATTTATTATTGATAAGTAGAAGATTGACTGAATGACATACTTATTAATATTTTATCTTAAAATATTGAAAATATCAACTGAATTTTCATTTAGACTCAAAATTGTGTGGCAATGTTATTTTCTTCTAATGCTGCAATCCCCTAAATTTTATGGCTTCATCTCATAGCTACACACAGGAAACATGTAGATTTGCCAAAACACAGACAAAATAATTCTTTTTAATTTTAACAGATATCATTGTTCATGCAATTTGGATCACAATAAGAATATAGCATTGCCAAATAAAATATCGTTACCTGACATTTGAATGTCTCTTGAATATTCAGCAATAGTTCTTCATATTAGTGGACATTTTCTGATATGGAAAACCACCAAACAATTTGGAGTTACTCCATTTTGCTGTTGTTCCCTTTTCAGTAAATACAAGAAAGGTGAAGCAAGTCAGTTTTGAGAGGCATTCACAGATTATCTAGTATTAATAGTATAAATTTGTCCATGTTTTCTATATGACTGTATCTAATTTAAAAGTCATAGATTCACATAGGAAATTAAAAGAATGCTGGTAGATAGGCTCCAT
Organism: Homo sapiens; assembly: GCF_000001405.40. Lineage (NCBI taxonomy): Eukaryota > Metazoa > Chordata > Mammalia > Primates > Hominidae > Homo > Homo sapiens. Next base: position 84,620,028 of record NC_000012.12, on the reverse strand, counting down.
TATATCTTTTCAATGTAGAAGATTTGTTTGTTGATATTGGCCATTGATAGATAAAGAATAATTACCCTCTTAATGCTCTTGATGGGTCTATCACTGGATTTAAAGTAAAGTTCAAAAGATCTTCATTAAAATGATTTCCCAAACTTAGCTTAAACTTTGATTTTGACTCAAATCCATTCTGTTGGTGCCCCACAGACCCTGATTTGTTTTTGAATAGTGGCATCTCTTAAAATCTCATCATTGTTTTAAAAACAATTCCTTTGTAGGAATGGAAGGAGGCTTTAGGTTAGGCTCCTTTTACTTGGCACAAACAAACTGCTCTAATCACAGATTAAATGTTTTAGTGTGTTGGAGGCTAGTAGATTTGGAGGAGGCACCCATTTTAGTGAAATGTTTACCCTATTTCATATATGCACACAGCAGAAAACATGAAACTCCCAGTATTTAAAAGGGTAAAAGCCACAGTCTACCTTGGCTGAACCTTTGAAATCTAAAGATGGATTAATGCAAATGAGAAGTCCTGTCTGGCATTCAAGAAGTGGAAATGGGGCCGTTCAATCTGAATGGAAGAAAAGAAGCAAAAAAAAGTTACATTTTGTTGTGTTTTATATTTAGGTTGATTTGACATCTGGCTCTAATTTGCTTTCCAAGCTGAATTTCTTTCACTCACTTCATATCGATCCAAAATCGCCATTTATTAAATCTTGCATTTTTAAAGCAATCACATAAGTTAGAAGATAAAATGCTATTGTAAATATCTGCACACTAGAGGGCACTAAAATATCCTAAGATGAAATGCACCTAATATTTAACCTTAGATGACTTTCGAGGAAATAATTATCATAATTTTAAAATCCTTTAAAAACCACAGGAATAATAATAGGATTGAACATCATTGTAAATATTAGCTTTGAAAAAATCAGTGTACCATTATTTTTTAAATGAAAATTACATTGGATTTCCCTAGTAAGGAACGCATCACTGAACATCAGTGTCTCAGGATATTTTATAGGAAACTCTCAAACACTTTCCTGTGTCTAAACTTCTCTTTCCTGAAGTTATAGTTACCAAACTGATTTTAACTGGTTTTCCATTTGATCCATAATAGTAACTTTTCTAACCTTCTTGGTATAATCACATCAATGTTTATAATGTCATTAAATGGTCATTGATCTACCATTACTAGTTCTGAGAGGCATTAGCTATCTATCGGATAGAAGGTTAAGGTTCAGAGCCACCATATTCAAGTTTTTATTTTATAGATTGGAAAGGTACTTAAAAGCATAAGGATTTTTCAAATAGCCAATAACATATTTTCAACAGTTTTTCCTCATCTTTTTTGTGTGTTTTTTCTTTATCCATTGTTCTTTTTCTTCTCAGTACTTATTCATTCTTAAACAGCTTCTCAGAAGAAACAGACTTTTTTTCCCCTTTACCTTCTAGTTTTGTGCATCAACTACCAATAAGAAAAGGCAACTAGAACATTGTGTGCTACAGAATAGGAACTATTTCAAATCTGTCTTGATTAAGGAACAATGTTCTTTGAAGTATGCATATGAAAGTGTTAAAGGAGGAGAACTTAATAATAAATGAAAAATCAGCAATCAGAAAGATGACAAAAATGATAGAAAAACAAAGACGTGAAAGCATTAATTTTATATTTATAGGTTTGAGGTAAAAATGTTTGGTTTTGAAAATTGTGAGTAGAAATAATTTCTTTTATCTGGAAAATAATGTTCAGGAAGTTTGGCTTGAAACATGCTCACAATAGTTCACACATTCAAAAATGCATCTGTATTAGTCCATTCTCACACTGCTATAAAGAACTGCCCGAGACTGGTAATTTATAAAGGAAGGAATTTTAATTGACTCATAGTTTTGCATGGCTGGGGAGGCCTCAGGAAACTTAAATCATGGTGGAAGTGGAAGCAAACACGTCCTTCATGTGGCGCAGGAGAGAGAAGTGCCAAGAGAAGAGGAAAAATCCCCTTATAAAACCATCAGATATCATGATAACTCATTCACTATCATGAAAACAGAATGAGGGTAACCACCTTCATGATTCAATTACCTCCCATTGGGTCTCTCCCATGACACGTGGGGATTATGGAAACTAGAATTCAACATGAGATTTGGGTGGGAACACACCCAAACCATATCAGCATCCATTGTTTTTAGTTACACAGAAAACAAACCTGTGAATACACCAGTTGATATAAACTATTATGTGCCATGAAAAAGCTTTTTCTATGTATTGCCATATCCATCGAATACATTCTAGTAGGTCATTAACACCACATAAAATAATCATGTTATACTAGTCTGTTCTCACACTGCTAATTAAGACATACCTGAGATTGGGTAATTAATAAACAAAGATGTTTAATGGACTCACAGTTCCACATGCCTGGGGAGACCTCAGAATCATGATGGAAGGTGAAGGAGGAGCAAAGTCACATCTTACATGGCAGCAGGCAAGAGATCGTGTGCAGGGGACCTGCCCTTTATAAAACCATCAGATCTCTTGAGACTTATTCACTATCATGAGAATAACATTGGAAATACCTGTCCCCATAATTAAATGACATGTGGGTCATTCCCACTGGGTCCCTCCCAAGACATGTGGCAATTGTGGGAGCTACAATTCAAGATGAGATTTGGGTGGGGACACAGCCAAACCATATCACATGTCTAGTTCTAAAAGGCTATGGTAGGTAGCATTATAAAGATACTAAGTATTAATAAACATTACAAAAGTAACTTATAACCCCTATTTTCTATGCTTAGTTATATTGTTAAACATCATAAGCAGCATACCATGGTGTTTTTCACACTTTGTATTCTGGAGCCAATCTGTCTGGGTTGGAATATTGGCTCTGCCTTTTACTGGTGGCATAAGCTTCAGCAAGTTGATTAGCATCCATATGGACAAATTCCTCACCTGTAAAATGGTAATAATAGTAGGAGTGGTTTTTTGAGAATGAAATAAAATTATTCTTAGAAAGAGTTTAGATCAGTACTTAAACAGTAGTACGTAAGTGTTTATTTAATATTTAAGGAGTAAATTAATCTGAATTAATGAAATTGAGTTATTTTCTATATTTAGAAAAATGGCAATTTATATGTTAAAAATATATATATATCCTTAGACTAAATCTTGTTTTCCTAATTAGATGGCAGTTAATGGAAGTAAACGTAGCAAAGTAAGATCCTAACTACCACATAGATTTTCTTATCTACTTGATTTTTAAATGCATTCCAAAAGCACTGAAAAACACCTTATTCTTTAATCACTGGTAATTTTCTGTCTTTACATTTAGTTTACACTCTGGACTTAAATATTTAATCATTTGACTACAGATCATACAAATATAAATTTCAGCCCATCTTCCAGAATCTAACAATAATTCTGAAATCTTCCATTCCTCATATAGCTCATTGTTGGCCTCTCTTGCATATGGCACTTAACACAGGTTGCCTTGAGTTAAATTTATTTGCATATATATATACATATTGAGTTAAAATTATTTGTACATATATATATACACACACACATACATACACAGAGAGAGAGAGCCTTCAGTAAGTCATAATCTTTTTGCAGGAGGAAAGTCTTACCTCAAAGATGGTAGCCCCTGCCTGATTAGGATTGTGGTTGCTGAAGGAGGGGCTCACTATAGCAATTTCAACAAATAAGACAACAACAGTGAAGTTTGTCATATTGATTGACTTTTCCTTTCACAAAGGAATATATATATATATGAATATATATGAATATATATATGAATATATATATGAATATATATGAATATATATGAATATATATATGAATATATATATGAATATATATATGAATATATATATGAATATATATATGAATATATATATGAATATATATATGAATATATATATGAATATATATGAATATATATGAATATATATATGAATATATATATGAATATATATGAATATATATGAATATATATGATATGAATATATATATGAATATATATGAATATATATGAATATATATGAATAGATGTATATATGAATATATATGAATATATATATGAATATATATATGAATATATATGAATATATATGAATATATATATGAATTACATATGAATATATATGAATATATATGAATTACATATGAATATATATGAATATATATGAATTACATATGAATATATATGAATATATATGAATATATATGAATATTTATGTATATATGTGAATATATATGTGAATATACATGTGAATATATATGTGAATATACATATGAATATATATGTGAATATATATGTGAATATATATATGTGAATATATATGTGAACACATATGTGAATATATATGTGAACACATATATGAATATATGTGAACACATATATGAATATATATGTGAACACATATATGAATATATATGTGAACACATATATGAATATATGTGAACACATATATGAATATATATGTGAACACATATATATGTGAACACATATATGAATATATATGTGAATATATATATGAATATATATATATCTGCCTATGTACCCTATGACCTTCAGACATTTATAACTAGAGGTTGAAAAAAGTGAGATTTTTACATCAATTTTCAGTATTTGTGTATATTTGTGTGTGACTGATGATTTTGAATCTTATATTCCTCTAATGTCTGGGTTCAGTAGAAATAAAAAATGTGCATTCATATTAGCATAGCTAGGCTACATGCTATGGAGGACACAGATGAAGAATATCTACAGTAGGTCATAGGTAGAAAGACCTAAATGTAAATAATTTCAACTCAAGGCAGTGTGTATTCAGTATTACACATAATAGAGGCCAGCATGAGCTATGGAAATTGGAAGATGTGAAAGGTATTTTTAAAGATGATGATGTTGAGATGGCATGTAGATATGGGGAGAAAAATAATTCATGCCAAGACAAGCAACTTGATCAAAGATAAAGAAATGGAAAAATGTAAGACAGATTTCAGTTATAACAACGTCAGTTATACATAACCAATTAAAGATATAAGTTGGAGATATTGCAGGTTTGGTTCAAGACCATCACATTAAAGCAAATATCACAATAAAGTAAGTCACACAATATTTTAGTTTCCTAGTACATGTAAAAGTTATGTTTACACCATAGTTTATAAATTGTACAAGAATATTATGTCTAGAAAAGCAATGTATATATCCTAATTTAAAAATATGCTAAAACTTCTAATGGTATTTTGAGTCTTCAGTAAGTCATAATCATTTTGCAGGAGGAAGGTCTTGCCTCAGTGTTGGTAGCTGCTGCCTGATCAGAATTGGGTTGTTGAAGGAGAGGCTAGCTATAGCAATTTCTACAAATAAGACAACAATGAAGTTTGCCATACTGATTAACTTTTCCTTTCACAAAAGATGCCCCTGCAGTATATGATGCTGTTTAATTCTACTCACAATCAAACTTTCTTCAAAATTGGATTCAATCCACTCAAATCCTGCACTGCTGTAGCAACTAAGTTTATGTAATATTCCAAATCCTTTGGTGTCACTTCAATACTGTTCACAGATTCTTCACCAGAATTAGATTCCATCTTATGAAAACAATTGCTTTGCTTATCCATAAAAAGTTACTCCTCATCTTAAAGTTACATTATGAGATTGTTGCAATTCAGTCACATCTTCAGGCTCCATTTTGAATTCTAGTTCTCTTCCTATTTTAAACACAGCTGTAGTTGTTGCCTCCACTGACATCTTGAAACTCTCAGTCACCCATGAGAGTTGCAAAAACTTTATTCCCAACTCATGTTAATGTTGATATTTGACCTCTTCCCATGAATTACATATGTTCTTAATGACACCTGGAATAGTGAATCCTTTCCTGCAGGTTTTCAATTTATTTTGCCCAGATTCATCAGAGGAACCATTATCTATGGCAAGTATAGCCTTACAAAATGTATTTCTTAAAGAATAGGACTGGAAAGTCAAAATTATACCTTGATACTTTGGGCTTCAGAATGCCGGTTGTGCTAGCAGGCTCAGCAACATTAATATCTTTGTACATTTCCATCAGAGCTCTTGAGTCACTTAGGTGCATTGTCAATGGACAATAGTATTTCAAAAGGAATCTTTTTTCCTGAGCAGTAGATCTCAACGGTAGGCTTAACATATTCAGTAAGCCATGTTACAAACATATGTGCTGTCATCCAGGCTTCTTTCTTCTATTTATAGAGCACTGGCAGAGTAAATTTTGCATAATTCTAAAGTGCCCTAGGATTTTTGAAATGGTTAATGAGCATTGGCTTCCACTTGAAGTCATTAGCTGCCTTAGCCCCGTCAAGAGTCAGCCTGTTCTAACTGGTGTGAGATGGTATTTCATTGCGGTTTTGATTTGCATTTCTCTGATGGCCAGTGATGATGAACATTTTTTCAAGTGTCTTTTGGCTGCATAAATGTCTTCTTTTGAGAAGTGTCTGTTCATATCCTTCGCCCACTTGTTGATGGGGTTGTTTTTTTCTTATAAATTTGTTTGAGTTCATTGTAGATTCTGGATATTAGCCCTTTGTCAGATGAGTAGATTGCAAAGTTTTCTCCCATTCTGCAGGTTGCCTGCTCACTCTGATGGTAGTTTCTTTAGCTGTGCAGAAGCTCTTTAGTTTAATTAGATCCCATTTGTCAATTTTGGCCCTTGTTCACACCAGTTAGAATGGCGATCATTAAAAACTCAGGAAACAACAGGTGCTGGAGAGGATGTGGAGAAATAGGAACACTTTTACACTATTGGTGGGACTGTAAACTAGTTCAACCATTGTGGAAGTCAGTGTGGCGATTCCTCAGGGATCTAGAACTAGAAATACCATTTGACCCGCCATCCCATTACTGGGTATATACCCAAAGGATTATAAATTATGCTGCTATAAAGACACATGGACACATATGTTTATTGCGGCACTACTCACAATAGCAAAGACTTGGAACCAACCCAAATGTCCAACAATGATAGACATGATTAAGAAAATGTGACATATATACACCATGGAATACTATGCAGACATAAAAAGTGATGAGTTCATGTCCTCTGTAGGGACATGGATGAAGCTAGAAACCATCATTCTCAGCAAACTATCGCAAGGACAAAAAACCAAACACCACATGTTCTCACTCATAGGTGGGAATTGAACAATGAGAACACATGGACACAGGAAGGGGAATATCACACATCGGGGCCTGTTGTGGGGTGGGGGGAAGGGGAAGGATAGCATTAGGAGATATACCTAATGTTAAATGACGAGTTAATGGGTGCAGCACACCAACATGGCACATGTATACATATGTAACAAACCTGCATGTTGTGCACATGTACCCTAAAACTTAAAGTAAAAAAAAAAAAAAAAAGAAAGAGTCAGCCTGTTTCTTTGAAGCTTTGAAGCCAGACATTGACTTCTCTTCTCTGGCTATGAAAGTCCTAGATTACATCTCCTTCCAATGGAAGGCTGTCTCTCTATTTTTTTTTTCCTTTTAGATGGAGTTTTTGCTCTGTTGCCCAGGCTGGAGTGCAATGGCCCAATCATCTCAGTTCACTGCAACCTCTGCCTCCTGGGTTCAAGTGGTTCTCCTACCTTAGCCTCCAGAGTAGCTGGGATTATAGGCACCCACCAACACACCTGGATAATTTTTGTATTTTTAGTAGAGATGAGGTTTCACCATGTTGGCCAGGCTGGTCTCAAACTCTTGACCTCAGGTGATCAACCCGCCTCAGCCTCCCAAAGTGCTGGGATTACAAGCATGAGCCACCACGCCCAGCCAGAAGGCTGTTTCATGTACGCCGAAAATCTGTTGTTTAGTTTAGCTACCTTCATCAATGATTTTAGCTAGATCTAGATATCTTGCTGCAACTTCTCCATAAGCACTTGCTGCTTCATATTGCGCTTGTATGTTATTGCGCTTGTATGTTCTTTCTTTAAACCTCATGAACCAAGCTCTGCTAACTTCAAACTTTTCTCTTGTAGCTTCCTGCCCTCTCAGGCTTCATAGAATTGAAGGAAGTTAGAATCTTTCTCTGGAATGAACTTTGACTTAAGATAATGTTGTGGCTGGCTTGATTTTCTACCCAGATCACTTAAACTTTCTCCATATCAGCAATAAGCCTCTTCCGCTTTCTTATCTTTTGTGTTTTCATTGGAGTAGCACTTTAAATTTCCTTCAAAAAGTTTTCCTTTACATTAACAACTTCACTAACTGGTGCAACAGGCTTAACTTTGGATCTATCTTGGCTTTCACCATATATTTCTCACTAAGTTTAATCATTTCTAGTTTTTGAATTGAGAATGTGACTCTTGCATTTATTTGAATCTTCAGTGGCCACTGTAGGGTTTTTAATTGACCTAATTTCAATATTATTGTGTCTCAAGGAATAGAAAGGTCTGAGGAGAGGCAGAGATGGAAAATGAGCTGTTGATGGAACAGTAAGAACACACAATGTGTGTGAATTAACTTTGCTGAATTATATTGGTGAGTAAAGTTTGGGGCACCCCAAAACTATTACAGTAGTAACACCAGAGATCACTGATCATAGATCAACATAACATATATGATAATAATGACAAAGTGCGAAATATTGGAAAAATTACTAAAATGTGAAACAGAGACATGAAGTGGGCACCTGCTGTTAGAGGAATGGCACTGATAGTCTTGCTGGATGCAGGTTTGCCACAAACTTTCAATGTTTGAAAAGCATAATATCTGACAAGCAAAATAAGTCAAAGCACAATTAAAAAAAGGCATGCCTGTATATATCAGGCACTGTCCTAAATAGATTGTCTGTGTTAACTCAGTTAATCCATATTGACTTTAAGAGGTAGACACTCTCATTTTCTAAAGTATTATATTTAAGAAAATTGAGGTATTTAGAATCTTTTTCATTGTATCAGTTTATCAGATGCTTATAATTCTAAAGGGAAGAAAGAGAATGATATGAGAAATAAATGAAGGATAAGTTTTGAAAAGACTTACATGCAAAAGCCATATTACAGAGCATTTAAATATCCTTTTGTAACCTATCTTTATTTCTCTTCTCTCAACTCCCACGAATCCCTTTATATTTTACACCATAATCCCGCTATGTTGAATGCCTTTCAATTCCTCCAATAAACCTTTTTTACTCTTAATTCTAGGTGTCTGGAACCGCTATTTCTTTAACCTGGAACACTTTCTTCCCACAAGCACCAACGTAGTTTCTTCTCATCATTCTGGACAATTTAGGTGTTACTTTTTTTTAGGATGCTACTCTTTTTTTTTTTTTTTTTTTTTTTGAGACGGAGTCTCACTTTGTTGCCCAGGCTGGAGTGCAGTGGCGAGATCTCGGCTCACTGCAAGCTCCGCCTCCCGGGTTCACGCCATTCTCCTGCCTCAGCCTCCCAAGTAGCTGGGACTACAGGCGACCGCCACTACGCCCGGCTAATTTTTTTGTATTTTTAGTAGAGACGGGGTTTCACCGTGTTAGCCAGGATGGTTTCGATCTCCTGACCTCGTGATCTTCCCGTCTTGGCCTCCCAAAGTGCTGGGATTACAAGCGTGAGCCACCGCGCCCGGCCTAGGATGCTACTCTTGACATTCCCAGTGGCTTTCTGGCCTGTGCTGAATTCTGTCTCTTGGCCCTGAGCCAACATAGCACTCTCAATTCTCCTTTCGTGGAGACTATTTGGTGCAATTGCATGCTAAATTGTGTCTTTCCCTAGACTTAAACATTCCTGAGCACGGAGATCTGGTCCAGTTTATCCATTATGGTGACTCTGTATTAATACAGTTAAAATAAGACCTGGATAAATATTTTGGGGGATTTTGGTTTTCTGTATGTAATAATAAAATTGTTTTTTGAGATGATCAGTGATATGTACAGATCTGTATTTTGGAAAAATAACATTTTTTTGGTGTGAAAAAAGAGAAAGACTAGATAGAAATACAAAGAAGGAGGTGAATGCTGGGACATTTCAAAATTTATACATGTGGTGGAAAAGTATATGTTTTATTATTAGGTGCTAAAGCTTTAAAGGCATTTTTATTTGTTGCTTTTGAGCCCAGAATATGCTTATCTTTATTTTGGTTATTGCATTTGATTTTTCTTTTAAGAAACATATTTTTCAATTTTAAACCATAACTAGGTCTTGAGCCAGTAAGAGTTTCTAGCACAGCGATTGTTTCAGAAATATACATAAAACTAAAGGCCATGAACATTAGCCCTGGGGACTTTTCTACATTACTGCTTAAAATACCTACCCTTTTTTGTCAGATTAACCAAGCTGAGGGAATGTAAGCCTGCATCTACCTATCTGCCAGTAGTCATCATTCTTACTCTGTAAGTAGAGCTGGCCTGATGGTATTTCCACAAACAGTACAAAGTAGAATCAAGGGACAGAGAGATTTGATGCCCCTTCTGATATTGTATAATTCCTGGACCCGTAAATATCAAAGATCATATGTCTTTTCTTGGCTTACTCATTACAGGTGTTAGTAATGCCTTTTTGTTTTTTGCTTAAAATAATGTGAGTTGATTTCTTCTTACTTACAACCAGTAAAAATCTGTCTAAGGTAAGTTAACGAGTGGGTAAGAATGGAGAAATGCCAATTCTCTGAAATAAGAAGAAAGAAGAAAGACATAAAGGACATTATGAAACAATTTTCAGGATTCATGCTTCATTTTTTGTTGCAATGTTTTTTCCAGAATGACATTGAAATTAACAATATAATTTTAATATAGTATTACAATTTTTCAAAATTAATTTTATTTTAAAAATATATTGGATGTTAATTTCACATGAGTTTTGCATATAAATTTTCTAGATATCTGAAATGGATTCTTTTTCTATCATTGTTTCACCCAGTTACATTTTTATCCATTCCACATTATTTCTGTCTCAGCGCTAATTCTATACTTTGTGTATACATCACCTTATTACATTTTAACAACTGAATTAAGTTATATATTGTAGTTTACAGTTGTAAGTTATTGATAACTGTGTGAATTGTTGAGTTTATCTAACACTTACACTAAATGCTATTAATTACTTTTGGTTTTGCTTTTGATATGATGCTATACACATTAAAAAATATATACACACATATTTTCGTTAAACTCATATTTAGAAACAAGGATTGTCATATAATAGATATTTTTCTCAAATAAATGCGTTTTTCCAAATTTTAAATTCCTTTAATTTTTAACCAAAAAAACGTAAGTGGACATTTTCTTTCAATGAAATAAATGTATCACATATCTTTATTATTTTTCACTTCTGTGGATTGTAGAATATAATCTACTGACTTCACCCAAGTAATCAGGAAACAATGTTATTCAAGCCTTGATTAGATAATATTTAGACTTTTCATGTACAAAAAATAAGATTTTGTTTCTCATTAGGAAGGAAATATGAAAAATGTTTCTCCTGATGTGCTTTTAGCAAGATATTTTTAGAGTTGATAGTACTTCGGCATAATTGGCATTTATAAATAATTTTAACTATTTTTTTTGTCTCTGAAAATGAACTTCATTTACTAACAGTATTGGATACTTGCATAATATATATGGAAAATATATATAAATTATAAAGCACAATACTGTTATGAAGTTAGATTATTATGAACTATCTACTCAATCTAAGAAGTAGAAAATTTATAGTAATTGAGTCTATCCGTTAGTCCCTTCCCTAATACTTCCTCTACTTCCCCCATCAGATACTCTAAAATTTTCTAAATTAAATATGCCCAAGAAAACAGTAAAATTGTATAATTTAGGTAATTATATAACTTCTAATTTAGTGTTTCTTAGAACAACTATTATATGGTGGATAGAAAAGGCATATTGTAGTAAATTTAAATTTTATTTTTTTTTATTTTTTAAGAGAATACACCGTTTTTAAATGATAGGAAATTCAGTGTTTTCATTTCTGTACATATTGAATCACACTATGGAATTTATAGTAACATAATAACAAAACAATAACTTTCTCTTGACTTTAGGATAGCTTGTGAATAGCAAATTTTGAAATGTTGGAAAATACATTACTTTTCTAAGTTATATTGTATATGGATGTTCTTTGGAAAATTTAACAGGCATGCAGTTCCTGGTTTAGAGCAAATAATATATTTTCCCTTCAATTTTACAAATTCCTTAGTGTATAAAGTGCTTGAAGTTAAACACAGTCTTAGATTTTTAATCTAAGAATATGTTCTGTTTTACCTGCCAAAGTAACTTGAAGGAAACATTTTGATTTGACAATGAAGTGTTCAAACAGTCAGGAATCTAAAAAGAAATCTGCAAAATGTATAAAACTTGAAAATTAAATGGATTCTTTTTAGCTCTGATCTATATCTTGGGATTATTCATGTCATCTTTAAGAAATTTATGAAGGATCTGATGGCTTTCTTACAGTATGTCTTTATTATTTTCTAATTATGTGCATTGTGGAAAATTCTCTGCCAATTATTCCCATGTCATCAAGGAACAATGTTACTCAATTACATAATAACATCATTCATTCAGTCAATAGATATTTTATTAAAACCTTATTTACTAAGCCCATACCCTGTATCAGGCTCTATTCCAGGCTCTGGCAATCCAGTGGTGAACAAGACAAATATGCTCCCCTTTGGAGCATGTATACTCTTAAATTTGCTAGTATCAGCAAATCTATCCAACCTTTTTTTAAATTCTGTATTAAAACAGTAATATAACTTCCAAATAGAAAATATTATTTTTCTTTTAAAATTTTATCTGAATTATTCTTGTTTTGTAAAGTCTAAATTACCTCTATGTTAGGCCAACAATTACTTTTGGAAACATTATGTCATTTATTGTGAATGCATTCGAAGAAATCAATGGTGTTAATGATATTCAACAAATATGTAAAAACTGTCCCATGCAAAATGATTGAATTAGTATAGGTATGATTCTAAAAATGCAGATCTTTATTAAGCTAATTTGAGAGAGTAAATAGGAAGTAATAAGAATCAATTAAAATATTAGTACTATAACTTAATTTTCTGGTCTATGTGGGAGATTATACTTTCTAGACTTGACATTAAGGATAATTTTATTTGTTACACATCTTTAAAGAATTCATAATTATATTCTGAAGAACTGCGTTGAAGAGAAGTAGATTTTAATGCTTACTTGCACTTCACATTCCTGGTTTTATAATTTTTATGAATTCCCATAGAGGCATATACATGTTCTTACCTAATTATGTCTGTGACTCTATTTCCCTTGGAAAAGTGGCTAAGTGGAAAGATTCTTATTATGTTACTGGAAAGCTTTTCTGCATTATGTGATATAAGAACCACAAAAGATTCAATAGCTTATTAAAATTTAATTTGTTAATGTTCAACTTGTTTCAGAAGTGGTAAAATATGATCATCAAAGTAATCTAAGTAGAAATTTTTTGTTTGGGAAATAAGTATAATTGCCTCGTACTTCAGAAATACAAAGCAGATATACACATTAGTTAACTGTTTATAGAATAATTTCTGCACGTAGGTAATTTGATTGGCTTAGTGTAAAAGAAATTGATTTAAAAACATGAAAATAATTATAGATTCTAAAAATGGAGGCAATCCTTTCCTTTCCTCTGGTTCCATACCCTTTGCCATGTGACTCTGTGGTCCTTGTAACTAAAAAGTCAGAAGTTTTCCGGAACTGTGAAATTAACCTAGCCTTTTAACTTGTTTAGCCAATAAGATGTTGATATGATTGTGTACTATCCTTGCTCTATGCCTCAAAGACAATGTATGTTTCTCTTGTGCCTCTGCCCTTGCAGTCATGAAAGTGTGGCCAGGCTAGCCTGGTGCAGGATGAAAGATGAGGAGCTGAGCTGACTCAGCCCAGTCACCCCAGTGTATGTTAACAGCCATCTAACATGCAAAAATGTGAGTTGATCCAATTGAGAACAGCAGTACTGCGTAGCTGATTACTGCAGATGGAGGAGCAATATACACATTGTAATAGTTATCTGGGGTTTTGTGGCCATTTGTTATGCATGATTACTGTGGCCTTAGGAATTGATTTAAAACTATTTAATATTTTCAACACCTACTTTAAATTTTTAAGGGTCAAAGTGCAAACTAATTAATTAACTGAAGAATGCTCATATAATCCATCTTTCAGATTTTGTATTCTATGTGATAGAATCATATTGTTTGTTTCCTTTGCATAATATGTTTCAAGATTTTTCTTGAACAACTAGGCAATAACTTATCAGTAAAGGGTGAAATGAATTAGTGATATAAGAAAAAAATTAATAAAAATGTATATAAGCCTATGAAAGATTGCATATGAACACAATCCCTCTTTTGGAATGAAATGAAGTTTCACTGAAACACAGAACAATTTATTCTTAATTTACATTTCCCTTTTTTTACTAGATTATTTTCCTATTCTAGACAGAAGTAAACGATAATAGGTTCAAATATGTTTTAATTAGAATATTTACATTTAAAGAAAACCTGGTTCTGATATGTCTGTTTTTAGATTTTATTCAAAAATCACAAATGCAACTAATATGAAAATTAATTAAATTCATGTTATTTCATTCATATATTAAAAAGATGAAAATGTAATCACAGAGACATTCACATGACAGACTGAAATGGCATAAAATGCAATTCGAGTTTTAAGAAGAAATAATTATGGGGGCTTCATGTCTACACTTCTCTTTAACTTTGGATCCAGCTTTCTGAGTGTCATCTCAAATCTGTAATTACAAACTACATTTGTAAAATATTTCCATAAAGTATTCATAATTAACCCATTGGAGATCTTTCCTTTAAACCCTAAACTACATGTGACAGAGTTTATCAGTGTTAACTCCCGTAATTCTATGGTGGTTCAAATAGATATATAATTTTCATTTAGCTCAACTGATTGCAGAAATAACATTATTCCATTCAAAAACTCAACCAATAGTAAGTTTCAAAGCTATCTGAAGAAACTTGTCCTCTCTCTAAGTCAAAATTTCTTTCAGGCTGTTATTTTGTTAAGGAACCTACTGCTCGAGGGTTGACATTAGTTTGGTGGTAAAAGTAGTAGATAATAAAAATGCTTTATTTTCAGATATATACCAGTGAAAACTGTTTTCTCTCTGTTTTTCAATCTCTTCTCTTTTTCATTTATCTTATTCTTAAAATTTTGGCTATAAAAATGTTTTCATATTTCTTCTTTTTAAAAATAGCCATCTCATATGTATTTGGTTTTCAGCACTTTTGAAGTGTTTGCCAATTTCTACATTGCTATGTGATTACCCCTTCTGACAATTCCTTGTTTTCCCCTTGGAGTGTGCTGGATTTGTATGCTTTGCTTAGCTATCTTAAGCATAATGTAGACTAATTCAAAAACTATGTCATTTTTATTTGTATGTTGGCAAAAAAATAGAAACATATTAGAAATGCTAAAGCTTGAAATTTAGAAATCATTTTTATTGATAACTTCAAAATTATTAGCTAATTTAAACAAAGCTTCTTCAATATCTTATTATAGTTACAGTCATGTCTCATAGGGCTCTAAATCTATAATAATAGTAATAATAGTCATCATTTATTATTTGTTTAATCCATTCTAGGAAAAGTGTTAAATCAATTATTTTAGAAAGTTGATCTTATAGAGTTATTCTTATTTTAGAAATGTGGCAGCTGAGGCTTAGAAAGGAAGAGTGACTTTACAAAATTTATGGTGCTGTTAAGTAGTAGAGCTAGGGTGACTGATTCTAGAAACTATTTATACCTATTATAGTCAATCACCACTGAATTTCCATAATTTTTTTCTGTTAAATTTCAGCATCATCTCTATAGCCTTCCCAACAAATGTTGTATTTAGGTTTTTCTAGTATATTCATTTTATGAATTATAAGCCAATTAGTCTTTATTTTTGTAGCATTTTTCATAGTGTATTGGAGCAACAGCCTCAATTTCAAGACTCTCGAGTGTCAGTGTGCTATTTCTGGCTGGCAATATTCACTAGAAAAAGGCCAATTGGCAGTTGTAAGATTATGCTAAATTAGGAAAGAATAAGTTTCTCCATATTTTCAAGCTGCAAAATGATGCAGAAGAATATCTTTAAATGTTGATATTTAAAAAATCCCACCATACACAATAAACATAATGTCATTCAAATAGACAATGTTTAGTTTTTCAATTAATGATTTTCATACCAGAGCAGACCCACGGCATTGCTTGACTAACTTTAATAAAACTGTACCAGAAATCAAAAAGGTTGCTCTATTCCTAGTTTCATCATGAACTAGATTTAAAGAAAGTCATTTGATTTTGTTAGAGCCTCAGGGCCTCATCTGTAAAATTGGGGTTGTTATAATCTCTGTACTTAATTATCTGTCACAAGCATGTAGTCTATTCAAATCAATTCAGTAACAGGAAGTGATCACCTACCATGGGCAAAATTTAGAAACTACATAAATGAATAAAACTCTACACTCATCTTAAGAATTTCATGGTCTCTTATTTGAATAGACATTGAAATATGTAAGTGCAATTGCCTCCCAGCTCCCTGTTACAGATCCCGACCTCCCATGTTATGAAGAGTGATTTGTGCAGCTTCCTCACTGGCTCTAAGAGAAAGTACTGTCTGGGATTTCATCTCATTTTTCTTTTTGTACAGACCAAAATGCAGATGATTCGCGGCTCAGTGTGGACCACGCCAGAGTCCAATGGCCAATGATGGCGTATGACGTCCAATGGCAGAGCAAATGATGGAAGGGATCTCTCCCTGAATGATCTCACAAAGCACAACTGCCTAATTATCCAAAACTAACTGAACTGTTTCATGAGAGAAATGCACTTACTTGTGTCTTTTTGTTATAACTATCCTAAATTAGCTTTCACCTTAATTAATACAATATTTGAATTAGTACTACCAGATGACCAAGAATGTAGAAGCAGAGAAGTAGGAACTGAGGTTGACAATATAGTAAGAAATCCAGACTTTTAAGAGGCTCAAATGTCATTAAAAATATTCTGAAGGCAAATAAAATCAAAAGTGAAAAACAGTTTTAACTATGAAAAAAACGTTTTTTTTTCGGTTGTAATTTGCTTCAAATGGCATAAGATGCCTGGTAGAGAGGTCAAATGATAGCTCAGATACAGGATGGCACCCTGAAGTATTCACCATGAACCAGGCGGGCAAGAACATTACATCTTGCCAGTTCCCACAGAAAATACCAATATCTTATGTTGACATGCTCTAGCTGAACTTCTAATTCTTGGAAAACTAACTTTTAGCACAGTGAAAGGGAGAAGCCATCCATGGATAATGTGGTAACTAGTATAATTTTGCCTAATCTAATAATTCCAACAGTAATCCAACTTAGAGACTGGGATGTTCAGTTCCTAAAGTTCTGGCTTTTACCATACAGTGGACTGTCATTGTCTGGCTTTTTGGTATGTGAAGAAATCAACTCCAGGTATTAGTCAGGTAGTGATAATTTGCAGTTTCACTCAAGTGAGGGCAGAGTTAAAACTTTACTTCTTGCACATTCTCCTACACTGTTTTCTTTGTGGTCCTCTACAAACAAGAATAGTGGAAAAAACAAGGGGGAGTGAACCTACCGATAAGTGGATGTATAGAGAATCCCAAATTATCACTTCTTTTTTTAAAAAATGACAAATTAAAGCTAGGAAAGTATATAGAACTATTTACAGCAAAATTTGTTTTCTGTTTTCCTCCCAATCTGTCAATTTCCCTCTCCATATTTAGAAATTTCTAAGATAAGGTGGCCAGTCATCCTAATTTACCCAGGACAAAGGGATTTCGGTGCAGTCAGAGCTTTCAGTGCTAAAACCAGGCAAGTTCCAGGGAAAAGGTGAGGAATTGTTCACTCTATTCTAGGGCGGGGAGAAGGAGAGCAATGTGATACATTGAGAGCATTGAGAATGTCTACATTTACAATAATCTCATTTTTAAGTGTATTTCAGTCATAAAGCCTTTGTTTACCCTTGTAATCTGAGCTTTGTGACACTGAGGCTGGGACTCCGAAGACTGCATTTTTTCTTTGTCACCCAATTCCCTTTGTCACTAGCGGGGAACTACAGAAGAAAGGATATTGAAACAGGTAGAGAGAAGAGATATACTCCCTTCTATTTATTAGTGCTATTGTCAATATAGCCCAAGCAATGATCTTTCACCTGGGTAACAATAGCTGGTTCCAGGTTTTGATACTTTTAAAACGAACTTCATTGTGTTCTCTCACGTGTATCCACACATGCTGGACAACACTATCTATCTCATCAATTTTAGCCCCAACCCTCTAGGGCCCTTCCTTGGAGCTCTTAACTTACTAGCATCAAGCAGTGCAGCAACCCTTCCTCAGAGGTTTGAGTGCAAGCTCTTTCTGGCCCCTCCCATAAGCTTCTAGATTCTGATCATTCTGCTTTCTACAGCTAGTAGCTGCTTCCTATAGTTTCTGTCTTTGCATTACCTCAGTGTTCCTTTTTGCCTTATGAGTCCTCCACACGTGAAACTAATCACTATATTAAATTCTCTTCTGAAGTATGTAGCGTAGTTTCTATTTCACTGCCCAAACCTTGACTGATGCAAGCAGTTATTTAAAATTAAAATAAAAACTTTTATAAGAAATGTTATTAAAAGATTTCATACCTAAAATATCAATAAAATATTTAATAGTTACAAAGCAACTGACTTTTAGCTACGATTGTTTATTGTATCAGGTTTCTCCCAAATATGATTATAATTTCCTAATTAATAACTATGAGATCCTAGTGTAGGAAAGTCTAGTTGTAAACTTCAATATCTCATCAGATATTTGCATAAGGAATTGAAGTAACTTTATCCTTTTAGCTGACTAATATAAATGTATTTGGCTTATTTTTAATAAAATATTAGAAAATACCCACTCGTTTTTATGCTATTTAATTGTAAAGAGGAATAATTTATTTCTAGAGCACATTTAGGTTGTGTAGCTTATTTACTATTTACTGTATAAACATAAAAGAAACAAAAATAGAAAATTAAACAAGTCTTTATTCTGAGCTTTGTGACATTGAGGCTGTTGAAGATAGTGTACGATCATTAGTGTTCTCTATTAAAAATTGTTTGTCTTATATATTCATATAGATATATTTTACCTTTTTCTCATAAGCCTCTCTAAGGGGTTAATTGCTAACACAGAGGGCCTACTACTCCAGATAAAATTATAAACCTTTTTCTTATGAATTAATTTCATTACTCAGCCAAGGTAGAATTATTATTTTCATGCTACAACAGAGGAAATGGTGCACAGAGAAGTTACATTACTTGCTTAAGGTCACATAGATTGTCAGAGCTAGTAGCCAAACCTAAGCAGCCTGGATATCTAATGCATGCTCTAAACTACTGCAATGCTGCTCCTTACCCAAGTGGACACTATGATTAATGGTCTATATCTGGACATGAGCAAAAACATGAACCAAAAACACTCATCATTTTACAGAATGGTACTTCAAGTAAGCAAGAATGTACACAACAAAATAATGTCATTCATCTTCCATAAGAAGTAAACAAATACTTTTGTTTTAACTTACCATTATTCTTTAAGTAACAGATATTTTTCTTTCTGGTTTTCTATTACACCTACATTGTTCTATTGCAGAAGGAAATAAATACCACCAACTGAGATGGATCTCTTTTTACAAGTTGTGCCTATGAATCTAGTATAAAATTTATTTTGAAATTAATGGAACAGTTTACATGAAATTTCTTCAAAGAGTGACTTTAGCTTGTTAGGAAAGTGGAAATTTTTGAGAAAATTGTTTTTCAAGGAAAATAATCTTTGATATATTTCTATTACCAAAGAAGGAACATATAGCACAAATATACATTACTTAATAAGCTCGAATAGCTATAACCTTAAGATCTATTGTATTATAGAATATACAAACATATTAGATACTAGATTTAAGATTATAAAACAAAAATAAGAAATTTAATTTTATCCCAAAGAAAAACTATTTACATTTCATTAGAAATTGATACTCATTAACCTTTTATATACTAGGTTTATGATCCATTACAAGTATAGATTAGGATTTTTTTTGTGGTCTTCCTTTACAAACTATTCATCATTACAAAATTTTCATAGGAAAGTTACTCCTAGAAAGCATGCATATCCTAGGAATGTGAGGCAGTGTGACATCTAGGATAAAAGCAAAGGATTGCATATCCAATCGGTCTGGTTCACATGCCTGACAATTTCACTAAAAAGCATTGTGACTTGTGTGACTCATAGTTTTGTCATCTGCAAATGATGAATGATTGCAAGAAGCACTTAAAGCCATTATGTCACATGTTCTTCTTAATGATAATAGCTATTTTATTGTTACGGATGTCTGAGGCTAGGGACAGTATAGAAGGCAAGATGAGATTTTTCTCACAATGTAACCTGAGCTCATAGATACTGAATTTAGAAGAAAAAACTGAAAAGAGACTGTGATTTTGGTCAAAAGTTCCATCCCCCACATCAGATCAGACTTCTGACTTGATGTGCTAGCCTTACATGAATTATGGTATTTCATGGATACTTGTGGAGCACTGTCAAATAGAACTGTCTACAATGATGGAAATCTGTGTTCTCAGATGTGGCTATTGAGCACTGAAAATGCAGTAGTGCAACTTGACAAACTGAATAGTTTTTATTTGATTTAATCATATTAATGGAAATTTAAGTAGCCATCCATGGCTAGTGACTATCACATTGGACAGAGGGACATCACTGATTTGATTAAAGTTAAACAATGAAAACAACTAAATGCCAGCTGATAATTATGCTACCTAATAGGTGAAGCAACAATGTTATTGGCCTGTCTTACAGAAAACTCAGAGAGGTAAGTTCCAAGGTCACAGAGATGGTACATGGGGACTTCACTGGACACCTCAACTTTGAAGAGCTTCTACGTGGATAGAAAATACTGGTCGTACTAGGAAAGACAGTGGAAAATGTGGAAGCCTTCTAACCTAAAATGAAACATAGTGACCAAAAAAACAACAACTCCTGAAATCATAATACTCATATTCTAATGATAGGAGAGAGACAATATGCAAAATAAGTTAAACATACAGCATGAAATATCACTTTCTATATAAAAGAAGCCACAGCTTCTGTATGAGTGCTGCTTTTATAACATGCTACAGCAACAAATGGACCCCAAGACTTGGATTAAATTTTCACAAAATCATAGGATGTAAGAGGCCTGAAGGATCATTTGTACCAAAGTTCTCATTAAATACTTAAGTGTAAATAAAATCCATAAGCATTAATTAACTTACCTGAGGTCACCTGGGAACAGAATCGGACAGAGAGACAGCACTGATTTGAATACAAATACAGAAAACTCAGAGATATAATTATTGTTCCAAGGTCACAGAGATGGTACATGAGGATTTCATTAGCAAACTCCAATTTGACCCCAAAATCTCTTTCTTTCTCTCCATATGAACTGCTTCCCCAGACACTGAATTCCACAGTTTTAGAGACCACTAGGGGTCAACATCAAATTTGGCCTGTGGAACTGTGAGCCCCTTTAGGTACAGCATCGGGGGCTAACCAAGAATCCACTCACAAGGAGAGCTTAGTGAGTTGCTGCACGACAGAGGACAGAACTAAATATTATGAGTTCTGTATCATAACAATGAGTAAAATAATATCAAGCACATTTAACTGAGTACCTGAGTAATTTTAGCTTTTTAGAAATGTTCCTGGATTAAATGAAAACTAATTATTTTCCAGGCAATCTAGAGGAATTAATATCCCAGGGCTGATATTCTCAAAGTGATAAAGATACTTGTTTTAGTTGTAAGAATGTTTAGCAGTGACATGCTGAACATTGCATTTACTAGCTTGGCAGACAAGGCTGTTTAATTTTCAGGAATTTTTAAGGCTGGTTGATGCACGTCGGTAGCTTGAAATCAGTGATGGTGGCAGAATTTACACCATGGAAAAGAGCAAATGTTACAGATGATGAGCCATCCTACTCTTGGCAAAGCCAGTTGTTAAGTGTTTACCAGTATACTACTAACCTTGAGATTCTGTGATTGGTGAAAATTGCCAAAGGCTAATTATCAATGTTAATTGAATTATGAACTTGCTCCAGTTTATAATTTAATTATTTAATTATTTCTTTGTTTTTTTTTTCTATGGCTCTGTAAATGTACTTTTCCACTTTTCCCCTTCTCTATCAGGAAAAATGCTACTTAACATTTTCCAGGGATTTTATTTAACTTCTTCAATTCATGGTTTCTACTCTCTTCTAGATTGTTTCTTCTAGTCTTATAGTCTCTTGCAATTTTTCATTTATTCCTTTTCCTTTGTTTTCATGTATGCTAATCTTCCTTTCCATATAAGTGAAAATTATCCTCTAATTTATCTTATTGTAATTATCTGATACATAGTAGACACTTAGTAAGTGAATGTTGGCATAATCATAGAATAAATGAAAAACCTACTAAATAATGGAAACTGTCCTCGATACGAGGCACACGGCAGTGAATATCAGAATGAGTTCTTGTGGCAGATGGTTTTATTTTTCCCAATTATTTGCCGCCCTCTCTCTAAGAGGAATATGGTCCTCACACATTGCCATATGCCTTGCAATGTACATCCAAGTAGAAATATATCATTTTCTGTTCAGTTGACATCAATATTGGCCATGCTATTGACCAGGGCCCGTGGCCTGTAAGCATAAGTTGTGCATGCCATTGTCAACAAGAAATTTCAAGAGGCCATGTAGATTTTTACCATTACTCTTTTCTCTCCACCATGAGAATAAAATGTCTCAAATAGTGGCTGATTCTTCAGTCTAGATTCCAGAATGAAGATTCGTACAGCAGAGCCTTAGTCGACCCACAGTCGACCTATAATGTTAACAAACATAAACCTTTGTGTTTTTAAGCCAGTGAAACTATGGGGTTATGTATTTCAACAACATGACTGAGGGAAAGCTAACAGTTCCTGACCTCATGTAGTTTACAGACACAAAAGGAAAGGCATCAAACCTACTGAAACATTTCTTATGTTCTACTTAATTAAGTTTAAATCATAAAGGAATCAACTGGACATGGAAACTTTACACAATGCAAAGAAAACATAATTCAGGTGTCTGAAGAATGCTAAGTATCTGGCCCATATTTCTTATGATATCTCCTCATTCTGGCCAAACTCACAGTTTCTCACATCTGTTTATTTGATGTATTTCTGTTTTTCAGAGACACTTTATGCAGACGCACGTCATTGAGATGAAGAGGAACATGTAAATTTGAACAACTTGTCACAGTTTAATGTGGTTCAGGAAGTTATATTCCTATTACACTGAGCCATTTTATACTTTTAAAATACTCATTTATTTTATAGATTTTGACGTAAGTAGCTCGTCAGAGAAAAAAAAATACATTCTACATATGAAAGAGTCATGGTTTGAGCCTATAGCCCAACTGAATTTCTGTGAATAGAGACTTACAATGAGTCTAGTGTATAAGCAAATATGGGGATAAAACAGCAGGAGGGAATGCATACAACTTCCAGCTAGAAAGAATTTCTATAAGCTTACACCTCACACTCTATCCTCAGAGGCCAATGCACAACTGTTTCCAACAGCATGCTTCTTTGTTCTTTGTTTACCTCTGCATGCCAAGTTTTACATTTAAACTCAAAGCAATTTTTAATATGTTGTGGCTGCAAAAAAGAAAGCTTGACTTTTATTAAGTTACCTTACTTCTCAGGTAATTTTTCACTATGTTAGTGAGTGTTAAAATTTTTTTAAAAGTATAATTATATCCTTGGGAATAAACAAGGAAATAAAATCTGGGTAAAACCAAGCAATAGGAATAAGTACATAGTGGAGGACGATTACAAAATTCAATTTCAGATGTAAACTGAAAGGAAGAGGGTGGTGTCATACATTTTCATCTTACTTGGTTGTCACATAATTTTTAGAATCTTCTGTAAGCATGGATTTGTAAAGTCTTTCCAGAAAAAAATACTTCTTGAGCTCAAGATTTGTGTTTTTTTAATCTCAAATGTAAAATATCTCATATATTTTATATATACACACTAGTTGGAAAATATTTAGTCAGTAACTTCTTTTTTTTTTTTTTTTTTTTGAGACAGTCATGCTCTGTTGCCCAGGCTGGAGTGCAGTGGCATGATCTCGGCTCACTGCAACCTCTGCCTCCCGGGTTAAAGTGATTCTCCTGTCTCAGCCTCCCGAGTAGCTAGGATTACAGGCGCACATCGCCATGCCTGGCTATTTTTGTTTGTTTGTTTTTTGTTTTTTAGTAGAGATGAGGTTTCACTGTGTTGCCCAGGCTGGTCTTGAATGCCTGCACTCAGGCAATCCACCCGCCTCGGCCTCCCAAAGTGCTAGGATTACAGGTGTAAGCCTCCGTGCCTGGCCAACTTCTGCTTTTTTTTTTTTTTTTTAGAATTTTATGTAATATCTGAAACTTAAAAGAGAATGTATGTAAAATATATGTAAGCTATGAAGTAGATTAATTAATCACGCTTGAGGACAGACTACCCAACATGAACTAATCATCCCAAGATAATGCTGTTCCTACCATGCTGCTCCTGTCTTATCTCATACACCTGTTATCCAAGAAGGTAGCAACATCCCCAGATTTTGGTCTATTATTTCCTGATCACTAATACTTTACTAAGCACCTGTTACTTATTTTTCAAACCTGTGTTTGAGAGAATGGCATGTGAAAATTTATATATAAAGACTTCATCTTTTTCCATCTTGTGCCCTACTTTAACGCAACAGATTTAACAAATTATTATAATTAAAAATAATATACAGGGCAATGATAATAATGGTGGGGTTCAATGAACTAATTCTAACAAAACTTTTATGAGCCAAATAAAAAAATATATAATTTTATCTTCAATTTAGAATTAACGATGTTGATTCTCAAAAATAAGTAACTTTTTCAAGGTCATGCTGATAGTAACATAGACATGCCGACGTCCAAGGTCCCTTAGTAATATTCTGGTGGTGAATGGTTAATAAGCTCCCATTATGTGACAGGAAGTATGCCTAGGTCTTGTCAAAAAGCCACAAAGCATGTACAATTACTACCCCAATTTTCTGTTGAAGAAATTGGGACAGAGAGAAGTTAAGCAATTCATCTGCAATCACACATCAAGAAAGTGGCAATACTGATTTTTATGGCAAAGTCTGCAGAACTACGAAACCCATTCTCGTAATGCTTTAATTTTGTGACTCTCGAGTTATTTTGTCAAGTAGTTACTTTTATAATGTACTAAACATAAATGTGGTAGGACTTCAATGATGGAGGACTCAATATAAGTTAATGTAATAGAATAATGAAATAGAAAAATTTTCTTCAAGGAGAAAGCATAAGATTTAAACATGATGGAAAGAATAAAAAATGAGAGGGAACCATAAGTAAAGTAAACACGTGAAAAGTAGAACAGTAAAGCTCACAGAAACGAACAACTTACAGAAGGTAAAACCGTGTAAGTTAGTTATTGGATTTACAATTCAAGAGCCTTGGCATCATTAAACATTGAAGTGTGATTAAGTTGGAAAATTGTATCCGTTACTTGCATGTGTCAGAATCCAAATATTTATTTAGGTAATGTATACATTGACTTGAAAACTCAACATTAACAACCATGATTTTAGCTCCCCCTTATCTGTGCAGGCCATTTGGATGTAATATGGTGTTTTCTGACCATCTATGTATGAATAAACGTTACTGTAAATGTCTTCTTTAGAATTTAGACGACTGGAATGAAGGGGTGTTCTTCAAGCTCATATCTTCTTCAGGAAATCTCTGATTATAACATGGTTGCAACGTCTCAAAATTGTGTTTTATTCATACTCCAAGTCTGAAGATTTAGGCTGGCAATGATATAAATTGTATTGTCATAGTGTTAGTTAAGCTTTGGGTAGTTATACAAGGCAAAGAATAATACTCTATGCCAAATAATAACATTAGAAACACAGAATCAAAAAAGTGAGGGGACAAATATTGTGGAAGATGAAGACTAGGAAAAAGATTTACAATTATCTAGGAATTATTTGGAAAGTTAGGATAAAGGAATAATTTATTACTTATAAGTAGAAGTGTGAAATAGCCCAATCTTTTTATTAGGTAGGACTTTTAATATTAAGGGATTAATCTTATAGAGAGATGGAATGTTAAAATCATAAGTTATCTTTGTTTCCAAAATTTACAAATTGTATTTATTAATTAAACAATATTTAATAAGTACCTGGTATATGTCAGGTAATTCTATGCACTACTGAAAAAGGTAATTATAATTCCAGCCCTTGAAAAGTTCATAGATAGTCAGAAAAGTAGGCATTAATAAAAAAAATCAGTTTTCAGAGTGTTATTAAAGAGGCTCAAATTTGTATGTGGGCATAAGATGGTATTTTCCTACTAGAAACTCAAAAAACAACCTCAGTATTCAATATCTCTTGACTCACTGCAGTCATGCTTTTTGGAATTTCTCACAAAATCATTAGCTGTGTTTTTTTTCTAAATATTAATTCACTTATGTTATCAAACTAAGTTTGCAACGGTCAAGTATCAAACCTGTAAAACCAATGATGTTCTTTTTTTTTTAAATTTGATTTAATTTTATTATTATTGTACTTTAAGTTTTAGGGTACATGTGCACAATGTGCAGGTTAGTTACATATGTATACATGTGCCATGCTGGTGTGCTGCGCCCATTAACTGGTCATTTAGCATTAGGTATATCTCCTAAAGCTATCCCTCCCCCCTCCCCCCACCCCAAAACAGTTCCCAGAGTGTGATGTTCCCCTTCCTGTGTCCAAGTGTTCTCATTGTTCAATTCCCACCTATGAGTGAGAATATGCAGTGTTTGGTTTTTTGTTCTTGCAATAGTTTACTGAGAATGATGATTTCCAATTTCATCCATGTCCCTACAAAGGACATGAACTCATCATTTTTTATGGCGGCATAGTATTCCATGGTGTATATGTGCCACATTTTCTTAATCCAGTCTATCATTGTTGGACATTTGGCTTGGTTCCAAGTCTTTGCTATTGTGAATAATGCCGCAATAAACATACGTGTACATGTGTCTTTATAGCAGCATGATTTATAGTCCTTTGGGTATATACCCAGTAATGGGATGGCTGGGTCAAATGGCATTTCTAGTTCTAGATCCCTGAGGAATCGCCACACTGACTTCCACAAGGGTTTAACTAGTTTACCGTCCCACCAACAGTGTAAAAGTGTTCCTATTTCTCCACATCCTCTCCAGCACCTGTTGTTTCCTGACTTTTTAATGATCGCCATTCTAACTGGTGTGAGATGGTATCTCACTGTGGTTTTGATTTGCATTTCTCTGATGGCCAGTGATGGTGAGCATTTTTTCATGTGTTTTTTGGCTGCATAAATGTCTTCTTTTGAGAAGTGTCTGTTCATGTCCTTCACCCACTTTTTGATGGGTTTGTTTGTTTTTTTCTTGTAAATTTGTTTGAGTTCACTGTAGATTCTGGATATTAGCCCTTTGTCAGATGAGTAGGTTGTGACAATTTTCTCCCATTTTGTAGGTTGCCTGTTCACTCTGATGGTAGTTTCTTTTGCTGTGCAGAAGCTCTTTAGTTTAATTAGATCCCATTTGTCAATTGTGGCTTTTGTTGCCATTGCTTTTGGTGTTTTAGACATGAAGTCCTTGCCCATGCCTATGTCCTGAATGGTAATGCCTAGGTTTTCTTCTAGGGTTTTTATGATTTTAGGTCTAACGTTTAAGTCTTTAATCCATCTTGAATTAGTTTTTGTATAAGGTGTAAGGAAGGGATCCAGTTTCAGCTTTCTACATGTGGCTAGCCAGTTTTTCCAGCACCATTTATTAAATAGGGAATCCTTTCCCCATTGCTTGTTTTTCTTAGGTTTGTCAAAGATCAGATAGTTGTAGATATGCAGCGTTATTTCTGAGGGCTCTGTTCTGTTCCATTGATCTATATCTCCGTTTTGGTACCAGTACCATGCTGTTTTGGTTACTGTAGCCTTGTAGTATAGTTTGAAATCAGGTAGCCTGATGCCTCCAGCTTTGTTCTTTTGGCTTAGGATTGACTTGGCAATGCGGGCTCTTTTTTGGTTCCATATGAACTTTAAAGTAGTTTTTTCCATTTGGCTTTTGATGTCTCAATCCAATAATTTAGGCAATGACTGATAAATACATAGAATAATGTAACATGACACCATCCTAGGTTTCATATACAGAAAAAATACAAATATTTTCTGGAGTCCACAGAAACAATATATCCTCACATTTACATCAATCCTCTATACACTTATGCATGTTCTAGGTTTTCCAAACATTCCTAGAAGCTTTTCCTCTTCATAAGTAAGGGAATGAGGCTCAAACACATCTGTGTAGTCTCTGTTTCCTTTTATCCAAATATTCTACCCTGCCCCATGAGACAACATCTGTTTTTTCCATTTTTAAATATACTCTATTGCTTTATGTTGAATATTTCTAAATGATTTAACTCTGAGTTTGAGCATAATTTTCATAAATGGTATCATTATAAACATCATTGAATTTGACAAAATTCAACATAAAGCAATAGGGTATAATTAAAAATGGAAAAAAGAGATATTGTCTCATGGGGCAGGGTAGAATATTTGGATAAAAGGAAACAGAGACAACACAGATGTATTTGAGCCTCATTCCCATACTTATGAAGAGGAAAAGCTTCTAGGAATGTTTGGAAAACCTAGAACATGCATAAGTGTATAGAGGATTGACGTAAATGTGAGGATATATTGTCTCTGTGAACTCCAGAAAATATTTGTATTTTTTCTGTATATGAAACCTAGGATGGTGTCATGTTACATTATTCTATGTATTTATCAGTCATTGCCTAAATTATTGGATTGAGACATCAAAAGCCAAATTGAACACATGTGCAGTTTTAAAAACCACACTAATAAAAACACATCCTGGTTTGAGAGAGTCAGGAATAGAAAACAGAATTCCTTCTCAGAATCTGTGGTCATGAAGCAAACAGACTCCATTCTCAGAGAGAAAATTAGATATTATTATGAAAAAGTATGATTTGGCAAATGATTTTTCCAATGCTTTAATAATCAAAATATTCATTAGCAAAACCTTTCTGACCTAGTAATTCATCCGTGTAAATAACAGGAGAGGTCCACCATCCACTATTCTTTTAAGTTATAATAATTGACAAAAGTTATATATATATTTAGAGCATATGATATGATATTTTGATATATGTATCCAATGTGGAATGCCTAAATGAAGCTGATTGACATAGGCATTGTCTCACATTTTTCTGGTTTTTTTTTTTGTGGTGATAATACCTTAAATCTACTCATTTAGTGGCAATTTTCAAGTGTAAAATATAATGTTTTCAAATATAGTCACCATGTTCTACAACAGATCTCTTTAACTTATTCCTCTTAACTGAAATCATGTATACTTTGACCAACGTTTTCCCAATCCTCCCACTTTCAAGCCTTGTAATCACCATTCTACTCTCTGCTTCTATGAGTTCAACTTTTAAAAATTCCTCATATAAGTGAGGGATGTGTTATTTGTCTTTCTATACCTGATTTATTTCATATTAACATAATGTCCTTTAGGTTTATTCACGTTGTAAAAATAACCAGATTTTCTTCTTCTAAAAGGCTGGAACAGTATTCTATTTTGTATATATACCACATTTTCTTTATCCATTCATTCATGGATAGACACTTAGATTGATAAAAAGGTTTGGGTATTGTATTTAATGCTGCAATAAACATAGGAACTCAGATATCTCTTCAATATATTGATTTCAGTTCTTTTGAATATATATCCAGTAGTAGGATTCCTGGATCATATGGTAATTCTATTTCTAATTTATTGAAGAACCTCTATACTGATTTACATAATGGCTGTGCTAATTCCCACCAACAGTGTATGAATTCCTTTTAAGTCCACATGCTCACTAACATTTGTTATCTTTCATCTTTTTTATAACAGCCATTCTATCACATGCGAGGTGATATCTTATTGTGGTTTTCATTTGTATTTCATTTGTATTTCCCTGATGATTAGTGATGTTGAACACTTCTTCATATATCTGTTGGCCACTTGTATTTCTTGTTTTGAGAAATGTTTATTCAGGTCCTTTGCTCATTTTTAATCAGGTTATGTGTTTCTTACTATTGAGTTGTTGGAGTTCCTTATATATTTTGGATATTAATTCCTTGTCAAATGTATGGTTTGCAAAACTTTCTTGCATTCCGTAGGTTGTCTCTTCACTCTGTTGATGGTATCCTTGGCTGTGCAGAAGATTTTTAGTTTGATGTAATTCCATTTGTCTATTTTTACCTGTGTTTCCTGTGCTTTTGGGGTCATATCCAAAAATCATTGCCCTCATCAATGCCATGGAGATCTCCTCCTATGTTTCTTTGAAAAGTTTTTACATTTGCAGGTCTTACATGTAAGTCTTTAACAATTTTGAGTTTATTTTTGAATATAGTGTGACATGAGGGTTTAATTTCATTCTTCTGCATGTATATATCCAGTTCTCCCAACATAATTTGTTGAAGAGACTGTCCTTTCCCCATTGTGTAATCTTGGCATCTTTGTCAAAAATCAATAGACTGTGAAAGTGTGAATTTATTTCTGGACTCTCTGTTCTGTTGCATTTGTCTACGTGTCTATTTTTATGCCAGTACCATGCTGTCTTGATTACTATAGACTTGTGGCAGATTTTGGAATCAGGTATTGTGATGCCTATGGCTTTGTTTTTGTTTTTGTTTTCTCAGGCTTGCTTTGTCTATTCATGGCTTTTGTGGTTTTATAAAAGTTTTAGTTTTTTTTTCCTATTTCTATAAAAAATGTCACTGAAACTTAAATACGAATTGTATTGAATTTCTAGATAGCTTTGGGTAGTATGGACACTTTGACAATGTTACATATTCCAAACCACAAACAGGAGATATCTTTACATTTATATGTGCTTTTTTTCCAATTTCTTTCATCAGTGTTTTGATTTTTAGTGTACAGTTTTTTTCACTTCCTTGATTAAATTTATTCCTAAAGTTTTTTAAGATATTTCAAATGGTATTTTTTTAATTTCTTTTTTGGATAGATGGTTGTTAGTGTATAGAAATGCTACTGATTTTGCATGTTGATTTTGTATCCTGAAACCTAATGAAATTATTTGTTGGTTCTATGAGTTTTTGTAGAGTCTTTAGGGTATTCTAGCTATAAGATCATGATGTCTGCAAAGAGAGACAATTTAACTTCTTTTTTTTTTCCCATTTTGGATGGCTTTTATTTCTTTGTCTTGCCTAATTTCTCTGACTAAGGACTGCCGGTACTATGTTGAGCAGAAGTGGTAAAAATGGGCATTCTTATCTTGATCTTGATCTTAGAGGAAAATCTTTCAACTTTTCACTGTTAAGTATAGTGTTAGTTGTAGGTTTGTCATAGACAGCCTTTATTGCGTTGAGGTACACTCCTTCTATACTTAATTTGTTGAAAGTTTTTGCTTTTTTAATCATAAAACAGTGTTGAAGGTTGTCAAATGCCTTTGCTGCGTGTATTGAGATGATCATTTCATTTTTGTCCTTCATTCTGTGTTGTATCACTTTAGTTGATTTGTGATATGTTGAACCATCATTGCATCCCAGGGATAAATCTCACTTGATTATGATGAATGATCCTTTTAATATACTGTTTAATTGGTTTGCTAGCACTGTGTTGAGGATGTTTGGATCTATGTTTATCAATATTATTGGCATGTATTTTTTTTTTCTTGTAGGGTCCTTGTCTGGTTTTTGTATCAGGATACTCCTGGCCGCATAAACTAAGTTTGGAGGTATTCTGTCCTCTTCAGTTTTTTTGGAGGAGTTCGAGAAGGATTATATTGGTTATATTTTAAGTGTTTGGTAGAATTTAGTGGTGAAGCTATCAGGTCCTGGGATTTTCTTTGTTGGAAGATTTTTCATTACTGTTTCAATCTCTTTATTCATTATTGGTCTATTCAGGTTTTCTGTGCCTTTCCAATGAAATCTTGGCAGGTTATATTTATTCAGAAATGTATCCATTTTTTAAGGCTTTCCAGTTTGTTAATGTAGAATTGTTCATAATAATCTCTGATAGTCTTTATATTTCTGTCATATCAGTGTTAATGTACCCTCTTTCATTTTATATTATCAATTTTCGTTCTAACAGATTTTTAAACAGCTTTGAAAAATGTACCCTCAATAAATCTCTGTTGATATGTAAACTAATTTATAATTAATAAAGTGAACATAATCAAAATTGTCTCAAGATAGGTGAGGTAAAAATATTAATAATTCATAAAATAAATTAGTAAATATAGATAAATCAAGTCTTATATTCTCTTCTATGATACCAGGAGTGACCAGATCAGTTTATTGATGCTTTCATTTAACATTTTGACTTTTCAAGTATAGCCAGCTCAGAGGTTATTTGAAAACTGAACCACTGAAAGTCATTAGGTAAATAGTTAAGTGAGTAATTTGGGTATTCTTTCTTGCAGTTTTGAAGGTTATTGATGTTCTTAGACTCTAGGAATAGGCCCTATTGGCAGGTACACTTGAAACTTCTACTTAAAAAAATAAGTCTTGGCAGAATCAAGTAAAATATAGAGAATGTCATTCATGAAAATGAGTCAAGATTTCACTTATGGAATTTTAAAACCTAAATTTTGTAGCTTTATAGTGCACTTATTTTTAGTCCTAGGTGGCTTTTAGCTGTTTTTCCTTTTGTGGTCATCAGTTTTTCTCCACTTTCTTATAAATTAGTGCTGCATCTTCAAAGCAGAGTAATAATTGATTTAATATTATTGTGTTATATATATATTTGTTATCACTATTTGAGAGGTAGCTCTTACTATGCCTGTTTCATAGGAAAGAAAACAGATTCCTGAAGACAATACATAACTTACCAAAGTCAAATAGAAAGTGGCAGAACAAGGAGCAACTCAAATTCTCTCTATCCATATGCCTAGGAATTCTTTGCCAACTATGGGCTAATTCTTTTTCTACCAGTTACCTTAGTATTTCAATTAGTATAATAATTTAACCTTTGGGGGGTTGAATTCTTATCCCATTACCATCAATGCTTACAGTGTTCTCTCCCCAACTTTCTCTCATGCCTTATCTTTATCTTGTAGACTGGATAACCACATTCTCTCATATAGTTTTTAGCTCACGTGGTTCATCATATTTGATATTTTATGAAACATGATATTAATTATTTGCTAATTATAAGAGTATTAATATGAAATATATTTTGATCAAAAGATAGCCTAAAACATATCCAGTGAGCTTTGAACATACCTTTGTGGATTTTCAAGATAAGCACATATATCAAAAATTCCATGGCTTGGTTTTAATCTTCAAATCTTTGGAAATAAATAACATATATAACAAGATTGATTAAATACCCCTCAATTAGAGAAATAACTCTTGTTAGTTTTCATTGTATAACACTCTTTCTTGTTTATATAACCAAAACCATAAAGTCAGGGGTATAGATATGATCATATATAATTCATTGATGCCCTTCTACTTCTGTAATTTCCAGTGAGCATATGTACATGCAAATGTGTTTGTGTGTGCCACATAATTTTCATCTGGTAGCCAATATGGGTCTATAAATCTTCATCTAGAGGAAATCTTTAGCCAGATGCTTCTTGTGGGATTCTGCTCGTAATATCAGGATTAGAGCAAGTAGGAAGGAGACCCAAATCTGACCGAATGAGATAGAACATTCTCTTGCACTCCATGATGACTAAGTGATGAGTGTCCAAATAAAACTTTGAGATACATTGTGATGCTTTCTTTGGCAACTGTAAGAAAGGGACAAACTCTTCTTTGTTAAACTTAAATCTGGAAAACTAGAGACTAAAAACAAAGCCAACATCGTATATGTAGAGGCACAACATGTAGAGGAAAATAATTCCTGTTGACAGCATTGGAGGCTGTAGATCAAGCTGCACCTGAAAACGTACAGCTGGATGTTTCAGTTACATAAGGCAATAAAAATGTTTTTGTACTGTTGTTTAATCCAGTTTGAATTGCATTTCCTGTCATCTGCAAGAAATAATATTAGCCGATCCAAAACAGATGACTTGGATGTAGTGACCTAGCACACCCCAGTTTATATTACTAGTTTTAAAACTCAGAATTTCTAGGAAAAGAAGTTGTGTTTTATATATGGAAACAGACACAAATGGAAAATAGTTTAGAGATGGGGGCATATGAGAAGAAAGGGAGTCAAAAAGAGTATTCATATCTATGCTAACATTGTTATTGTTACCTACATTAACAATAACATTTGTAAAGCATATTACTATTTAAATGAGAAATCAGATAAGGTCTTGAAATTCAAGGGTCTTATTAGAGCAAAAAACAAGTGATTGCAAAAAACAAGTGATTGGATAAATAAATGTAATGATAATTTAGTTAAGCATAGATTTGATGACTTCTAAAAGAGTTAAATTATACAGAACACACAGAAGACTTACCCAAATACAGAGTGTTCAAACTGCCATCAGAGGATTTGAGGAGTCAACTTAGGTGAATGGGCTTAGGGGTTTATGTGGATTGGAGGCTGACCCCAATAAGTATGGGGAAAACTCTGTGCCAGGAAAAAATAAATACCAACTTTAAAGGATTTAATAGTCCAGTGAAGCAGAGGTGTAGTGGGAAAAAGGAGATGGAAGTTAGATGCAAAGAAGAAATCAGCCTGCTAAGCCAAATAGGCTATACACAGAGGTAAGAAAAGACAAAAAGCTGTTGGTGGATACACACAAAGGGAAAGAATCAAGACTAGGAGATCCCAGTGAAGCTGGAGAACAGGGGATGTAGTAATGGAGAAATATTGTTAAAAGTGGAAGGTATGAAATTGTGATTCCAGATAAGGAAAGTATGTAGGAATGAAAGAGTTCATAGTGTGACTGAGATTAATTAATGAGATAGATTAGAAGTTGTTTGGAAATAATGAAGTCCAGATCTCAGAAGTGTTAGATGAGTAACCTATAATGTTATTCATATCACCCAGTATAACAGTAGAAATTGGAGTGTCACAGAAAGAAATAAACTGATTGTCAAGTCTTCAGAAAATTAGCAACGTCTGTATATGACATATAGCAAGGGGCAAATAAAATAGAGTTACCTATTATTAAAAAAAATGAAGTAATAGGCAAATGCTATGTATTTTATTTATAAACATTATTTTAATTATGTCATAATAGTCTCTAAACTATTTTCCATTTGTATCTGTTTCCATATATAAACACTTTTATCCCTATCAGGTAATTACTTGATACTTTTGATTTATAGATGGGGAATCAAACTATAAAGTGGAGTAATTAGGTCACTTGCCCAAAGTCAGAATTTGAACTTGTGTATTTTGAGTTCAGAACACATGCACTCTTAAAACCTATATTTCAAGTTAAAGGTAAATTTCATGATGTCAATAGAGTAGAAAAAGTGGCAGTGGGGAAGACAAAATATACTGACCCCAGCAGAAGTTTTAGAGCAGAAGTTTAGAGTTCCATATATTAGAAAATAGCATGCAGAGTGAGGAAGAGGAGCATTTACTAAACAGTATAGGGATGCTGATAAGATAAAGGATGAATAAAAGGAATACACACTTGGGTAACATGAAATATGAAGCATAGTGGAATTAGTCCCATGTCTGTTGAGAGTTGAAGAATAGAGTTTTTATTTAAGGTCAATGCATTTTATTTGTAAACTGTTGATTTCTGTACTAATTAACCTGGTGACCAATAACACATTTTGTGTGTATGAAATATCATAATGAGTCTTATTATATTGTATTTAGTTGTAAGACTACATAACCTTTTAAATTGATATGGTACCTATTAATCACTTTAATATCATTTTTAATGCTTTAACAAATTGAGCTAAGTAATATAACCTTAAATGTTTGGAACTTACAATGACTAGTTTAGTTGAATAAATAGATAAAAAATAAGAATATAGTTGAATCACACAAAATGTCTGAAAAATATATCTGTAGTATTTAGTAATACAATTTCTCTTTGACTTTCACATTGAAAAAAATAACCTGAGTAATTGTAATTGCACGCATTTTGGATTTAGAGAGGACAGCAGTAATTATTTCAGCTTTCCACTTTAGTATGGCATGCTGAATGAGGTTCATATTTCTTGTATTTTGTGAGCTAGAATATCAAAAAGTCCATATTTGATTAAGTTCTATATAACATTCATAGGAATAAGCACAGAGATTTTTAATTACATGAACTAAGGCCATTTTAGGTCTTGAGATATGTATTCATTCAAGGAAGACCATAGCTCCATCTTCCGTGTTAATCTTGTACCCTGGCATTTGTTCATAGGATTTTTACATTTTTATAAGACATTTCATCTCAAATTTTCAGAAGAGGAGAAATCAAGGTGGATGGTTTTCCATCTTGCCCAGTACGAAGCAGTAGGAAGCAGAAAAGAAGAAAAATCCTGAAGGTAGTAAGAATGAATGCTCAATCAAATGTTTCATAAGCTAATAAGCTGGCTTAATCACTCTGCTTTTAAAATATGGAAATGCAAGAGATATATGTTAATTACAAACGTAGTTTTTCCTCTTCCTTAATTTACAAGTGTCATTGCAACAGCAATCAGAAGAAAAAGAACAAAGTGGTACCAAGGAAAATAGAATGACACGCCAAGATGAATTACAGAAAAACACAAATTATTCTAAAATTGGTTCACTTAATAGACAGAGAAATATGCCAACTATGGAAATGGATACTTTTTCATTTTGTGTTTTTCCTTTCCTTAGTATTCTTTTAAAATGGATACTGATGAAATAAACAAAATAGTCTTAGTGTGTCTTCATCCTCTGTTTAAAATGGCCAAAACAAACAAACGAATATAAAAAACTAAGCATTTTATTGACAAAGAGTAGAGTTTAGTTCAGAGAAATGTTTTATTCACCCCCCAGATTTGTAAGAGTGGCATGACATTGTTCTTACAGTATATATTTTATTCAACATGTGTTCCAGGATGTGCCTCACGATCATAAGTTCCACAAGGAAATGCTTCCATAGTTGAATGATATTCTTTTCTTGAGTAGTCACAGTTAATTACCTCACTGAAAATGCCTAGAAATCTTTTGGTATGATAAAGAAGCTTATTAAGCTTTGTTACCCCAGTGGCAAACTTATTTCTCTTTATACTATTCTTACATATTACTCTCTTCACAGTTAGTATTAGTTGACAGTAAAAAGGCACTTACGGTCAGAATGCTTAGGTTCAAATCCTGGCTCTGCTACATGCTAAATGCTCTATCTATGACAAGTTATATAACATTGTTTTAAACTATTATTTTTATTTTAAGAGTAGTTTTAGATTTAGAGAAAAATTATGAAGATGGCACAGAGTACCCAGTTTTCCCTGTTGTTAATGTCTAACATTAATATGACATATTTGATATAATTAATGAACTTATATTAATAGATTATTATTAACTAAAATCCTTACTTTATTCAGATGTCCTTGGTATTGAACTAATATTCTCTCTCTGTTTGAGAATCCTATCCAGATTATCACATTACATGTACTCATTATGTTTCCTTAGAGTCCTTTTGACTATGACAGTTTCTCAAACTTTCTTTGTTTTTGAAGAACTCTCTTGATATTTTTAAGAAGGAATGGTCAGGTATTTTGCTTAATTTCCCTCAACTGGTATATGTCTGATTTTTTTAACGATTATACTGTGGTTATGGGATTTGGGGAAAAAGACCACAGAAATAAGGTGACATTTCTATCACATCATATCAAGGGTATGTACAATTAACATGACTTACTATTGTTGATGACTTCAACATCAACAGTAATACTTCATGTTATAGCTTGATATTGTGCACATTAGAAGGACGTCAGTGTGCAACTCACACTTAAGTGGAGAGTTATGCAAAACTTACTTGAGAGTGGAATACCTACATAAATTATTTGGAATTATTTTGCAGAGGAGATTTATCTCTTCTCTCCCGTTTATTTATTCATTCATTTATTTATGTCATCATTGAGTAATTAACATTTATTTTATACTTCGGGTTATAATTCAATATTACTTTATTTTGTTGCTCAAATTGTGTTAGTTTTGGCCATTGAGAGCTCTCTCAGTTGGCTCAATATTGTGTTGACATCCCCATCATAGTGAGATTTTTTAATTTGAGCATTTCCTTACTTTCTCGCACTACAAGATTCTCTAAGCTCATCTTGTATACTTCATTCATCAGTTATTGAGCTCCAAATAGCTATGATCCCTCTTATTAGATTTAGGATATAGGTGGATAGGTGTACTGCTTGCTACTGAGGTGTCATTGCTTCTAGGTCCTCTCTGTTGGCACAACATGAAAATATATATGTGTATGCTAATCTGTGCATATACAAAGACATAGGAATATGTCTATGTTTAACCATCTGTATCTATGTTAAAGCAAATATGATTTCATTCTGATGTCTCTGACCGCAATCCATTACCAAATGAATTACTCTAGCCTATTTATCTATAAATCCCCACTTCAACCATGAGAAACTAGAGTACCAGCAACTGCCATCCATTTAAACAATTTTTCAATTTCAGTATGCACATAGAGTGATGTCAGAATTGTTAACCTGTGCCTTTTAGAAACAAATTGTATAAACTAGAATGTGGTACTAATGCATAGTTTCTTTTGCCTTTAGTCTTATTGACTTGACCCTTTTTCCAAATTACTTACGTAAGTGCTTATTCCTCCGCCACCATTCAGTGTCATTGTTTTAGGCATTCTTGATACAGTTGATGGTTTTCTCATCTTCTGCATGCATATTGATATCCTCTGACCTCCTAAATATTAAGGTTCACTCTTTGCAATTTAAAGTAATGCAAGTATTGACAAATGTGTAGCGTCAAGTATGCACCATTATAGTATCATATAGAACAGGTTCACTACTCTAAAATATTTCCCTCCATTTAACCCTCTTGCCTTCTGTAAACCCTCAAACAGTATGTAGTCTTTTCAGACTGGGTTCTTTAAATGAATGTATTTAAGTTTGATTCATTTTTATTTTAATGGCTTGATAGCTTATTTTTCATAATAAAATTATTATATTGTATTGATGGATATACCAGGTTTGTTTATAATTTGCCTATTGAAAGATATTTTGGTTAGTTCCAGTTTTGGGAAATTATAATAAAATTTATATAAACATATGTGAGCATTTTTTTTGTGTGAACATACATTTTCAAATTAATTGGGAGACAAATAGGAACATGACTGCCATATCATATGGTAAGACGATGTTTAGCTTTGAAAAAATGCTGAACTGTGTTCCAAAGTGCTTGTATTATTTTGCATTTCCAAAAGTAATTAATAAGTGTTCATGTTGCTCTGCATCCTAGATAACAATTGATATTTTCAGATTTTTTTCTCATTTCAGCTGTTCTAATAGGTATATGAAATCAAAGTAATATTTATTTGTAATTTCCTAGTGACAAATGGTATTGAGCATGTTTTGTAGTTTTATTTTTTATGCTTATATTTTTTGGTGAAAAGACTGCCCAGATTATTTGCCCATATAAAAAAAAAGCTTGTTTGTGTATTTATTCTTAAATGTTAAGAGCTCTTTATATATTTGAATACAAGTTTTTTCTTTCAGATATTTGTTTTCCAAGTGTTTTATCTCATTCTGAGTTTAAAGTTTTTTTGTAATATGGAAAAATGAGAAAACTAAGGATGACTGACTCGCTAGATTCCATTGCATGTCAGTAAGCATGTTATTGATTATTTTGTTTGCAAAGTTCTTAAGAAATCTTTGAGACTTGGTTTCTGCTGGACCACGCCTGGCCTGCGTGTATCTTTATAATAGAAATATTTATATCCCTTTGGGTATATACTCAGTAATGGGATTGCTGGGTCAAATGATATTTCCCCCTCTAGGTGTCTGAGGAATTCCCACACTGTCTTCCACAATGGTTGAACTAATACATTCCCATCAACAGTGTAAAAGCGATCTTATTGCTCCACAGCCTCACCAGCATCTGTTGTTTCTTGACTTTTTAATAATCACCATTCTGACTGACGTGAGATGGCATATCATTGTGGTTTTGATTTGCATTTCTCTAATGATTAGTGATGTTGAGCTTTTTTCATGTTTACCACATAAATGTCATCTTTTGAGAAGTCTCTGTTCATATCCTTTGCCCGCTATTTAATGTTTGCTTTTTTCTGATAAATTTGTTTAAGTTCCTTGTAGATGCTAGATATGAGACCTTTGTCAGACGAATAGATTGCAAACATGTTCTCCCATCCTGTAGGTTGTCTTTTACTCTGATGATAGTTTATTTCGCTGCACAGAAGCTCTTTAGGTTAACTAGATCCCATTTATCATTTTTTGCCTTTGTTGCAACTGCTCTTAGTGCCTTGTCATGAAATCATTGCCCGTGCCTATGTCCTGAATGGTATTGCCTAGGTTTTCTTTTAGGGTTTTAATAGTTTTGGGTTTTACATTTAAGTCTTTAATCCATTTTGAGATGGTTTTTTAAAATATGGTGTAAGGAAGGGGTCTAGTTTCAATATTCTGCATATCGCTAGCCAGTTCTCCCCACACTATTTATTAAATAGAGAATCCTTTCTCCGTTGCTTGTTTTTGTCAGATTTGTCAAAGATCAGATGGTTGTAGATGTGTGGACTTACTTCTAAGTTTTCTATTCTGTTCCATTGGTCTATATGTCTGTTTTTGTACAAGTACCAGGCTGTTTTGGCTACTGTAGCCTTGTAGTATAGTTTGAAGTCAGGTATCTGTAATACCTCCATCTTTGTTCTTTTTGATTAGAATTGAATTAGCTATATGGGCTCTTTTTTAGTTTCATATAAATTTTAAAGTAGTTTTTCTAATACTGTGAAGAATGTCAATGGTAGTTTAATGGGAATACCGTTGTATCTATCAGTTACTTTGGGTAGTATGGCCATTTTCATGATATTGACTCTTTCATGAGCATGGAATATTTCTCCATTTGTTTGTGTCCTCTCTGATTTTTTGTTGAATAGTGGTTTGTAGTTTTCCTTGAAGAGGTCCTTCACCTTCACTTCCTTTGTTAGCTGCATTCCTAGGTATTTTACTCTCTTTGTAACAATTGTGAATGGGAGTTTATTCATGATTTGGCTCTTTGCTTGTCTATTGTTGGTGTGTAAGAATACTTGTGATCTTTGCACATTAATTTTGTATCCTGAGACTCTGCTGAAGTTGCTTATCAGCTTAAGAAGCATATGAATTGACAGGCTGAGTGTGGTGCCTCACTCCTGTAATCCTAGCACATTGGGAGGCTGAAACAGGTGGATCACCTAAAGTCAGGAGTTTAAGATGAGCCTGGCACACATGGTGAAACCTCACCTCTACTAAAAATACAAAAATTAGCTAGGAGTGGTGGCAGGCACTTGTAATGCCAGCTACTCAGGAGGCTGAGGCAGGAGTATTGCTTGAACCTGGGAGGCAGAGGTTGCAGTGAGCAGAGATCGCACCATTGCACTCCAGCCTAGGCAACAGAGTGAGACTTTGTCAAAAAAAAAAAAAAAAAAAAAAGCATATGGGCTGAGACAATGGGGTTTTCTAGACATAGGATCATGTCATCTCCAAACAGAGACAGTTTAACTTCCTCCCCTCCTATTTGAATGCCTTTTATTTCTTTCTCTTGCCTAATTGATCTGGCCAGAACTTCCAATACTATGTTCAATAGCAGTGGTGAGAGAGGGCATCTTTGTCTTGTGCTGGTTTTCAAAGGAAATGCTTCTAGCTTTTGCCCATTCAGTATGATATCAGCTGTGTATTTGTCATGAATGGCTCTTATTATTTTGAGGTATGTCCCATCAATACCTAGTTTATTGAGAGATTTTAACATGAAAGAATGTTGAATTTTTTCAAAGGCAATTTCTGTATCTATTGAGATAATCATTTGGGTTTTGTCTTTAGTTTTGTTTATGTGATTAATTACATTTATTGATTTGCATATGTTGAACCAGACTTGCATCCCAAGGATGAAGCCCACATGATTGTTGTGGATAAGCTCTTTGATGTGCTGCTGGATTTCCTTTGTCAGTATTTTATTGAGGATTTTTGCATTGATGTTCATCAGGGATATTGGCATGAAGTTTTCTTTTTTTATTGTGTCTCTGCCAGATTTTGGTATCACGATTATACCAGTTTCATGAAATGAGTTAAGGAGAAGTCCCTTCTT
The DNA here is from genome assembly GCF_000001405.40 of Homo sapiens. Taxonomy (NCBI): domain Eukaryota; kingdom Metazoa; phylum Chordata; class Mammalia; order Primates; family Hominidae; genus Homo; species Homo sapiens. Next base: position 84,577,721 of record NC_000012.12, on the reverse strand, counting down.
TTCAATTGTTTGAAATAGTTTCAGAAGAAATGGTACCAGCTTATCTTTGTACCTCTGGTAGAATTCAGCTGTAAATCTGTGTTGGCCTAGTCTTTTTTTGTTTGATACACTATTTATTACCGCCACAATTTCAGAACTTGTAGTAGGCCTATTTAGGGATTCAACATTTTCCTGATTCTCTCTTGGGAGGTTGTATGTGTTCAGGAATTTGCCTATTTCTTCTAGATTTTCTAGTTTATTTGCATAGAAGTATTTAATAGTATTCTCTGGTGGTTGGTTGTATTTCTGTGGGGTCAGGGGTGATATCCATTTATCATTCTTTATTGTGTCTATTTGATTTTTCTCTCTTTTCTCCTTTATTAGTCTAGGTTAGACTAGACAGCAGTCTGTCTATTTTCTTAATTTTTCCCAAAACCAGCACCTGGATTCATTGATTTTTTGAAAGATTTTTTGTGTCTCCATCTCCTTCTCCTTCAGTTCTGCTCTGCTCTGATCTTGGTTGTTTCTTGTCTTCTGCTCTCTTTGGGGTTTTTTGCTCTTGATTCTCTAGCTCTTTTAGTTGTGATGTTAGGATGTCAATTTGAGATCTTTCTAGCTTTTTGATGTTGGCATTTAGTGCTATACATTTCCCTCTTAACACTGCTTTAGCTGCATCCCAGAGATTCTGGTATATTGTCTTTTTGCTCTCATTGGTTTCAAAGAACTTCTTAATTTCTGTCTTAATTTTATTATTTATCCAGTAGTCATTAAGGAGCAGGCTGTTCAATGTCCATGTAGTTGTGTGGTTTTGAGTGAGTTTCTTAATCTTGAGTTCTAATTTAACTGTGCTCTGTTCTGAGAGACTGTTTATTATGATTTCAGTTTTTCTGCATTTGCTGAGAAGTATTTTACTTTCAATTATGTGATCAATTTTAGAGTGAATGCCATGTAGCACCAAGAAGAATGTATCTTCTGTTGTTTTTGGGTGGACAGTCCTGTAGATATCTGTCAGGTCCACTTGATCCAGAGCTGAGTTCAAGTCCTGAATATCTTTGTTAATTTTCTGTCTCGATGATCTAATATTGAGAGTGGGGTGCTAACGTCTCTCACTATTATTGTGTGGGAGTCTATGTCTCTTCATAGGTATCTAAGCACTTATTTTATGAATCTGGGCACTTTTGTATTGGGTGCATATATATTTAGGATAGTTAGCTCTTCTTGTTGAATTGAACACTTTACCATTGTGTAATGCCTTTTTTGTCTTTTTTGATTTTTGTAGGTTTAAAGTCTGTTTTGTTAGAAACTAGGATGGCAATTCCTGCTTTTTTCTGTTTTCTATTTGCTTGGTAAATTTTACTCCATTCCTTTATTTTGAGGCTATGTGTGTCTTTGCATGTGAGATGGGTCTCTTGAATATAGCACACAAGTAGATGGGTCTTAACTGTTTATCAGCTTGCCATCCTGTATCTTTTAATTGGGGCATTTTATAATATTGGTTACCTGTTACATTTAATACCTATTACACATTAAACTTAATATGTGTTAATATTAAGTTTAATATGTATTAATAGTAAGTTTAATATTTATATTTATATAATAATATTATAAAGGTAACCGATATTACATTTAAGGTTAATATTGTTATGTATGAATTTGATCCTGTCATCATGATGCTAGCTGGTTATTTTGCAGACCTGTTGATGTAGTTGCTTCATATGTCATTGGTCTTTGTACTTCAGCGTATTTTTATAGTGGCTCATAATGGCTTTTCTTTTCCACATTTAGTGCTTCCTTTAGGAGCACTTGCAAGGCAGGCCAGGTGGTGACAAATTCCCTCAGCATTTGCTTGCCTGCAAAGAATTTTATTTCTTCTTTGCTTAGGAAGTTTAGTGTGGCCGGATACGGAATTCCGGTTGGAAACTCTGCTCTTTAGGAATGTTGAATATTGGCCCCAATCTCTTCTGGCTTGTAGAGTTTAGGCTGAGAGATCTGCTGTTAGTCTGATGGGCTTCCCTTTGTAGGTGACCTGGCCTTTCTCTCTGGCTGCCCTTAACATTTTTTCCTTCATGTTGACTTTGGAGAATCTGATGATTATGTGTCTTGGGGATGATCTTCTCATGGAGTATCTTCCTGTGGTTCTCTGGATTTTCTGAATGTGAATGTTGGCCTGTCTTGCTGTGTTGAGGAAGTTCTCCTGGATGATATCCTAAAGCATGTTTTCCAACTTGGTTCCATTATCCCTGTCTCTTTTAGGTACCCCAATCAATTGTAGGTTCAGTCTTTTTACATAATCCCGTAGTTCTTGGAGGTTTTGTTCAATCCTTTTTATTCTTATTTCTCTAATCTTGTCTGCCTGTTTTATTTATGCTGATGTGCAGAAACCACAGCCACCCCCTCCCCACAGGGGCACCATCCCAGGGAAATCAGAGTTCCGTCCATAAACCCCCTACTGGAGTTGCTGAAATTCCCACAGGGAGCCCCCACCTGGTGAGGAAGGATGGTCTGGATATGGCCTAAAGAGGCAGTCAGGCCATGATCTGCCACAGCTGCTGTGGTGCACTGTGGGAAATTCCTCCTGGGTTCAAACCACCCAGTCTCCCTGGCACCAGCAGGAGAAAACAACAGACTGGAGCTGAAGTGATGGCTGCTGCTCTTCCCCCTGGGAGTTCAGTTGTCTTAGGCAGAAGGCAGCCACAATGATGGTGGACATGCCTCCCCTGGGTAAAGTGTTGGTGTTTGTCCCAGATGACGGTGATCCTGCTCTGTCAGATACCTCCGTTGCCAATACAGGATTTACTCACCATTTTCATTCTTCTTGGTGGGAGCCTCTGACTGCACCTCCCATACTTGGCCATCTTGCCTACCCGCTATACTCTTTAGCAGGGAACCCAAAGGAAAATAGTCAGTAGAAGGAAAAGTAAATAAGTTGATATGGACTGAGACAATTTTGAACTTGAAATCTAAAATAAATAATCAAATTATATACAAAATGTAGTGGAAGGCCTATATTGTTCATGAGATATTACATGGGACAAATTATGTTTTATACAGAGAATATTAGAATCCCAATTTGACACTGGAGAAGATTAGCAGGGACTATGTGAGGATTTCAGAACCCTCAGCTAACCATGCCAGCACACAGAGCAGAATGACTTTCTAGTAGGGACCTGGAAAGGGATTATATGCCAGTAATTTATTCAACAAATTGGGTGCATCTATGAGACAGGTAGGGAAGCTGCAATCCAGTGTCCCTGTGGAGCTGGGGAAAGTAAATTTAACACATTTACTATTGAATGCCACCAGATACCTGGGAGTGGAATGTGAAGACTAGCTCCAAATTCTATTTTACATGAGTGTGAAAGTAATCTCTAATGTAAGCAGAGCTCTGTGTCTCTGACAGAGGTAATGTGAACTGAAGCAAATTATGAAAGCTTTTGGTACACATGGTTGGGCAGGTAAAGAAAAGGCAAAGGCTGAAGAAGAAATATCTGAATGTTAATAACATCTTTCTTTGGTTTGTGAGAAACTACCAATCCTGCCAGGGTTTATATGACCCTTTGTATTATAAACGTGGTGCAGGAATTTGGATACTTAGCCCAGAGAGTTGGCCTGTGAAAAGAAATGCCTTAAATTTAAATGCAAAATAATCTAAGGATTGTCTTCAGATTAGTAATGGAAAACAAAACAATAATAACAGCTGCAGAACATAAATACATTGGAGTTTTCAAAACAATTTGGAGGAAACTAGCATTCCATTTACAGATATTATTTTGAATATATAAAGGACAGGTAGTAGACAATTTTCATTTTTCAAAGCACTCACAACAGTATTTTCCTCCATTCGGGCTGCCAAAATATGTTAAATACTTTTAGCAAAATAATATTTAGGTTATCCACATTTGAGAAAATTCACATTTCCCGAACAAATTATGCTAGTGTTTACTTACGGTTTTGAATCATAGAAAAAATAAAAAATAAATTGAAAATATGAAAATTAAAATGCCAAATTAAAGATTTTGTGCATTAATATTAGGCAATTGATTGAGCATTTGTTGAAACTTTATAATTATTTCTGGATGCTCTGCAGAGTGGAGTATAACAAAAAGATTCAGAACCTATGCTTGGGCAGCTCTATGACTTATGTTGAATGGCTTATTCTCTTGATCACTCACTTTTTATTTTAGTGCAAATGAAGAAAATATCTATATCTAAGCATTTTAAGATTAATTGCTTAATTTAATTTTTATTTTTTAATATTAAATGAGATGATGCATATTGCAAACCCCACCTTGACCTATATTTATGAATACAACCAAGATGCTCATCTGAGGCCAGTAGGTAGAGCCCACCAGAAGGGCAGTTGCACAAGGATCTTCAGAGGCTACATATCCTGTAGGTAGAGAAAGGCATGTAGGTTTGATCTATTAATAATGCCTAAGTCAGTGATACAAAGGAACACTCATTTAGAATCTCACTTAAAAATAATTACATCTCCAAGCCTTGGTCTGTATTATAGATAATGAGACAACTTCATTAACGTCACCTAGACTTATTAAAAGTGCGTATTCCTGGACCTCTTCTTAAGAAGACATTCTGAATCATAATCTTATTTTTTAAAATCTTTCCATGTAGTTTCTATTTGAGCTAAAATTTGAGAACCACTGCTTTATATTAGGTTGGTGCAAAAGTAATTCTGTTTTTGCCATTAGACTACAATTACTTTTGCACTAACCTAATAAAACAATCTATAATTTCTTGAGACAAAAAGGCTTTGAGTGAAAAGTAAATAAACTGTTTTTACTGAAAGTTCTGTAAAGTATTGGCAAACCTGCCAGTAATGCTTAGATTCCAACTTAATTGAGTATAACAAGAATGGGAAACAGGTATTTTTGATGCTTATACTAACAGTACCTCTCACTAGAAACTATAGGTAGGAATCACCCTACTTATCGTTTTTTCAAACAAAGTTAAATTTGTTTATATTCATGTTAAAATAAACACCTTTTTCTCTCTCCATATATCAGTCTAAAAATACATCTCCTCTTTTGTAGTTTTGCCTGAGGCTGCAACGCTAAGAAACATACATTAACAACAGAGCAGCTTTTGAAGAGCAAGCCAAAACATATTCTAATCTAGTTTTTTATTCCAGTAAAATATTTTTAAATTCAGGTCCTCTACTTGGAGAGTTTTAAAAGGAGTGTTTTAAAACCAGGAGTTAGAAAGTCTTCAGTACTCTAGGGTCACCTCAAACCAAGTGAGGGAGATTTCAAGAGAAACATTAAAGATTCTGATATGGACCCACAGGAAGTTGACTCACAACTAAGGAGTCTAAAGGTGAGAAAATATGTAGAGAGAAATTTCTTCCTGGTTGCAGAGCAACCAGACTGAAGGCTACATTGGAAGTTGGCTGTATCTCTCCCTTAAGTGGAACACTATCAGATTCCTTTGCATATACATGATGCCAGAAAAGAGAATAAGCTTAAAGGCATCCATTAACAAAACACTTTTTTTTTTAGATGGAGTCTCGCTCTGTCGCCAGGCCGGAGTGCGATGGCCCCATCTCGGCTTACCGCACCCTCTGCCTCCAGGGTTCAAGTGATTCTCCTGCCTCAGCCTCAGCCTCCCGAGTAGCTGGGACTATAGGCACGCTCCACCACGCCCAGCTAATCTTTGTATTTTAGTAGACGTGGTTTCACCATGTTGGCCAGGATGGTCTCTATCTCTTGACCTCATGATCTGCTTGCCTGGGCCTCCCAAAGTGCTGGGATTACAGGCATGAGCCACTGCATCCAGTCTAACAAAATACTGTCTAAAAGGACTCCCAGAAGAGGCATTATAACTTCCACAAAAAAGGAGACATAGCAGAAGTCAGAGAATAAAGAAGACAAACAGTTACTGGCAGGATGAGGCAAAGCTCACATTTCGCATTAAGCAAACTGCGGTAGAAAATGATAAGAGATGAATCTCTGAGGGCCTTGCAACAGCCCCTGTAATGGAGATGGTGGATCGGCCCTCAGCATCCATTCCATCTTCCTTTTAGTGTGTCTCCTTGTACAGCAGAGGATGAAAAGCTACATTACATTCGCTTATATTTTCCAGATTATCTGCAGCTTGCTTGTAGATAAAATTTAGATTTAGCCAACTAGGTGTATTTTTGTGGGATAGTGAAGGTGGAAGTAGGGTGGGTTGAAACTTCTGCTGGTTCTGTGGTTTCTACTGACATGCACAATTGTAGAAGTCCTTGTTTTTCTGTGTTAGTATCCGGAAATTATCAGTCACTAACTTACAGATGTCAAGGGGGAAGAAATGTGGCAACTGTTTGCTGAAGTCACCCACTTTCAGGAGCCTGAAATTTTCTGAATGTAATACGTTTCCGATACCTGATTTTTGACTGAAGCTATGGCAATGACAATATTCTCTGGATTAGACAAATCAGCACCTTTTTGGAGTACTGCTTCTGTAATTTATAACGTTGGGAGACGTTTCTGAAAGCCACTTTTAAGAGTCAACTGCGTCTGCTCCCCTCATTTCCTAGATAACAATAAAACCTTAACATTTTCTAACTAGTTATTTTATCTTAAAATCGCTGGCATGGACACTTACATAGAATGGAATCATAACTGGTGTAATATTTGATGCTAGAAGTAGTTGCAGAACACAGGCACTCAGAGATATAGTAGCCTGAGATTGGTTCTTTCTGGCTGAGTTTGAAGTCACTGGTGTGTACATGAACATTAGAAAATTGAGGCTGATATTTCTATAGAAAATTATGGCATAACAATTATTTTAGTCTGAAGTGCTGAAATAAAATACTTATCAAATGTAAGGTTTGGTAGACTGAAGTTGTTCTACAATAGCTTACCATGGCAAAAATAAAAATATATACAGATACTACAATAAGCTGACAACTGTGAGGGAGAACTTAAACATAAAAAGAACAAGTCCAGGGAATAGCCAAGTCCAGGACTTGTCAAAAGAACAAGTCCAAGGTCTGTGGGAACTCCGTGGACTGCCCTTATTCTTACCTTTGATCACGTGAGCGGCCCAACTAACACAGATATGCCTTGTCTTTTATGTAAGAAGTAGGGCTTTGTTTGAGAAAGAGAGAATTTGCATGATGGCATTAGGGTATATTTGGATAACTCCAAATACCCCAAAGCCCCAGTTTCTCCTGAACGTTACAGAATTGAAGCAGTAGTCCTCATCCTTTGTCAGTTGGATGGATTCTGCCTTGTTTGGAAATACTGTAATGACCACATCTGAGATAGTTACCTATTAGGAAGCTGTCAATCATCTTCATTATCTACCCTGACAATTTCTCAATGTCAGAAGACACATAATTGAATCACATCACACCCTGCACCAGAAGGGCATATGGGCTGTGTATCCAATAGATAAATAGGAAGAGAATGAAGAGAAGAGAATGTAATACATGAAGAGAAGGCTTATACATCAAAGAATTGTAAACTTTGCTAACTTACAGCAACTCAAATCTGAAGAATATATGTAAAAAATGGTTCTCAAAATGAGATAGAATTGTAAGAAATTCAATGTTAGAGAAAGTGATTGACATGGGTAGCTTTATTATGAGTAGTTTCTTTTTTTTCTTTGAGACGGAGTCTCGCTCTGTCCCCAGGATGGAGTGCAGTGGCGCCATCTCGGCTCACTGCAAGCTCCGCCTCCTGGGTTCACGCCATTCTCCTGCCTCAGCCTCCCGAGTAGCTGGGACTACAGGCAACCGCCATCACGCCCGGCTAATTGTTTTTGTATTTTTAGTAGAGACGGGGTTTCACCGTGTTAGCCAGGATGGTCTCGATCTCCTGACCTCGTGATCCGCCCGCCTAGGCCTCTCAAAGTGCTGGGATTACAGGCGTGAGCCACCGCGCCCGGCCTATGAGTAGTTTCAAATAGGTATTTCAGTTGAGTACCTGGAAATTTTCTTACCATTTTCTTACCTGGTTGACTGAAATGTGGACTCAAAAAATCCCCACCCTAAATGAGGTTGATATGCCAGAAACAATGCTATTCTCTTTGCATGTGCTTCAGATCAAGAGAGTGGATTCCCTTGATCTAAGCCATGGCGAAGCAACTCTGCCACTTGATCTTTATGGCCCACAGATCCAATGTTACTCAAATATCTACATGAAATTTGTGATAAACACTGATAGGAGAACCATTGCAAAGTTCCCTAGTGTTTAGGAAAGAAGCGAAGCATGCTTTCTTCGGTTATCTATTTTAATTTTGAGAGATAGCTCCTGGCTTCCTAGCAGCAGTAAACATTGTTATTAAAAGCATTGATTCTGAAGCCAAATTTACTGTTTTCAAAAAATGGCTCATTCTCTCATTAGTTTATAACTGTAAGCAGGTTATTTAACATTTTTGCACCCCAACTGAGCATCGCTAAACTGAGAGTAATAATAGTACCTATCCAGTAAAGTTTTTGTGAGGACTGGATAAATTAATATAAAACTTCAGATTTCCCTACAATCTTTTCTGCTGTGCTTTTCCTAATCTCAGATAAGGGGCAAAAGCATAGGTTTGTTCTTTTTTGTTTTTTTCCTTAGGTTTGTTCTTCATGTTACTCTCTCTTTTCTACTGTATGGTAAATCCATATAAAATTTATGTTTTTATCTCTCTTTATATCTGTAACTAACTTCTTACTATTTCTATTGATATCATTTCTACAATTATCATCTCCAGCTTGCATTGCTATTTTAGCCTATAAGGGGCCAGTTGTGGTGGCTCACATCTGTAATCCCAGAACTTTGGGAGCCTGAAGCAGGAGGATCATTTGAGATCAGGAGTTTGAGACCAGCCTGGGAAATATGGCAAGACCCTGTGTTTACAAAATACATTTTAAAAAAAAGAAAACTTTAGCTGGGTTTGGGGGTGTGTTCATAATCCCAGCCACTTGGGAGGTTAATGTGGGAAGACTGCTTGAGCTCAGGACGTCAAGGCTGTAGTAAGCCGTGTTCACACCACTGCACTCCAGCCAGCCTGTGGAACAGAATGAGACCTTCTGTCAAATAATAATAATAATAATTCCTGAGAAGGAGTTTCTGTTGTATCTTTGATGATCTACAGCATATTCTGATCACAATAATCAGAATAATCCTGTTAAAATTTAAATTAGATCATGTCAAGCCTCTGCTAAAATCATCTGGTTGTACCCACTCTGTGCACAATTAAAATCAATGTATAACAAGTATCTACAAGGCTCCACACATTCTGTTCCTGTGTTACTTCCTGGAACTTAATTCTCTTTGCTCAGTTATCATCTTTACAATGCGAGAATAGCGTAAGCCATCATATTTAAAATAGGAGCTGCTCTTTTCCCCTACAATTGACACTCTTTAGACATTTTTCTCTGCTCATTTTTTTTCAATCACTTAACACCTTTTAACCTAATGCATAATATTCTTGCTAACTAAATTATTGCATTTTTCAAATCCCACTAGGATGTGTGCCCTATATGGAAAGCTATTTTGTCTACATTGATAAAATTCCAGTTTCTAAATAGTGTCTGGTATATAAAATAGCCACTCTAAATGATAATTCAATGAAAAAGTCATCAAACCAATGAAGATATATTAAGTGCTTAATGCAATGCCTGTAAATATAATAAAACTGTTAGCTATTACTATAATTATTATTACTAATCATCTTTGTCCTTTTTATTAGTCTGTTTTCATACTGCTATAAAGAACTTACCAAGACTAGGTAATTTATAAAGGAAAGAGGTTTAATTGACTCACAGTTCAGCGTGCTGGGGAGTCCTCAGGAAACTTACAATCATGGTGGAAAATGAAGTGGAAGCAAGGCACCTTCTTCACAAGTCAGCAGAAAGGAGAAGTGCTGAGTGAAGGGGTAAGAGCCCCTTATAAAACCATCAGATCCTGTGAGAACTCCCTCACCATCAAGAAAACAGCATGGTGTAAACCGCCCCCATGATTCACTTACCTCCATCTGGTATTTCCCTTAACACCTGGGGTTTATGGGGTTTACAATTCAAGATGAGATTTGGGTGGGGACACAAAGCCTAACTACATCAGCATTGATTAAACTACTAACCATCACACATCATATAAACATCCAACATGCATCCTGAGTTGACTATCATTCACTGGGTGTTATTTCATCTATTAAGCCGTAGGGTTGGCCTATTCAGTAGCACTGCATAATCAAATAGATGAGGGCATTACATACATTTTATGAGCAGAAGTTTCACATTTGTAGGAAAACTATGCCAGCAGCAGTGTTTCAATCCAAAACAATGGTTTCATGGAGAATTCTTGGTGAAAAGATTGTTAAGTAAATAAACAAATCCAGCCTCCTTTATAGTTTTTTTTTCTACAAATAAATACCAGTCAGAAGAGGACTGCTGTTAACATTAGGGCTCTACTCAATACTGGCCCTGAAGTATAATGGAAAAAGAAAATCTCTTCAGTAGGAAGAACTTCAGGTGTTACATATGGATGCCCACTTTGCTTGAAAGGTGAGATGTTCAGGGTTATGAATCTGTGCTGATTTATGAACAGTGTCTATCATTTTCCCAGTTAGGAATTTGAAAGGAAAAAGATTATAAGAAATGGTGACTAGGGGAATGGAGAAAATATAGGAGGTTGGGCTTCAGGATGGGATATTTTCCATGATGTGAAAATATCTGAGACTCATCTGGATATTCACAAAAAGACATCCAGAGGAATGATAACTTTTAATAATTTGGTGGAAAAGACGACCTAGTCAATAGATTTCAGCCATAACCTTTTCCTAGTTTTTTCAGCATTTGCTGAATGGACTCAAGAACCAAATAATCATAGTGGTAGAAATGGAAATTCCACATTGTTAAAAAAGGTTGATGGTAACTGCATCTTCTGATAGTAGAGACCAATGCTAAACTACAAGTATCTTGCTGTGGGATGACTAATCACCTGGTAACAAGTTATCTTCAATTTGATTGTGGAAGACAAAAAAAGTAATCATTAGATGTGATAGGCTGGTTATATATTCTTTAAGAATGTCCACCTCATAGTCTACATAACCTGTGAGTGTTATCTTATGTGGCAAAAAATGTACTTTGTGGATGTGATTAAATTAAAGATCTTGAAATGAAAAGATTATCATAGATTATCCAAGTGGGTCTTCAATTCAATAACATGTATCCTTGTAAGAGAGAGACAAAGGGAGATTTCATATACACAGGAAAGGCAATGTTAAGAGATATATTTAAATATTCTGGCCTTGAAAATTGGAGTGATGTGGCCACAAGCCAAGGAATCTTAGCAGCCATCAGAGGTGAAAGAGGCATGAAAGGGACTGTTCACTAGGAACTCAACAGGAAGTACTGCCTTGCTGACACGTTGACTTTTGGCCAATAATACTGATTTAGGACTTCTGACCTCCAGACTGTATGAGAATACATTTCCGTTGTTTTAAGTTTGCAACCATTTGTTACAGCATCTATACGGAACTCATACACCAGAATATATATTTATGCTAGGAAATAATATTTCTTCCTTACTTGCCATACCACATGCCTTATTCTTATCATAGTATTCTACACAATAATGATGAACTATAAATAAATTTTAAAGAAAATGATGTAAGGCAATTGACTATTTCTTATGAGATTCACTGTTCTCTTACTCTGTATTCCACAATCCTGAATCTTCTAGGCTTATAAAATAATATTGTGACATTTATACATTTCTTTACAGCAGATAGGAGGAAATTTTTATTACTATTTTAATTGGTTTGAAGTTTTAAAATCAAAAGAATAGATTACAAGTAGACCAGTACTAGCTAGTGATTTTTGTGATAGATTGACTGGAATAATCCTTTTCATCCTTAGTATATTTTGTGTTTCTATGCTATGAATAATAGCAATTTAAATGTTTCATTTCCTAGACAACATTACAGCTGAGATATTATAGATTATGCAGATTTAAGGGCAGAGGGTAGATAGAAACTGTACTTTCTATGTTGCTTTTGCAATTCCTCCTTAAATAAGGAATTTAAATTTTTATTTTTCCTCTGAGACACCATGAGCACAGAGGATAGTTCATCAGCGGTTGCTGAGAAACAGGGCTCAGGGTATGTATGTTTCCCATGAAGATCACAACAACACACACATGACACAGAATTAAGCAGCAGTATAAGTAGCTTATTGATCATGGTGGCTTTCAGATGTTTGTGGTTGCCTAATACTGGCAATGGTGGTGGTGGTGGTGGTGTGGATCTGGGGCAGCTGTTATAGCAGCCTACTTCTATGATGCAGCTATGAACATTATACATGGATTATGATTGTTGATAGAGAAGTCTGTCATTCTGTGATTTACTTTTTATATATTCTATTTTTAAAATCTTTATTCTCATTTCTACCTTTTTTTGAAATTCCATCTATCCCTTTTGTTGGAATCTATCTATCTATCTATCTATCTATCTATCTATCTATCATCTATCTATCATCTATCTATCTATCTATCATCTATCATCTATCTATCTATCATCTATCATCTATCTATCTATCTATCTTCTATTTTGCAGACAAGAGCAGTCTATGCAAAATACAGGGTGTAATGTTATTAGTGTGGGACAGAAAATAATGCCTTACAGAAACTTCTTGTTCTTAGTATAATTCCTTCTTATAAATTATCAAAAGTAACAATTATACCAATTCGGAAACAGAGGAAAGAGAAGAAACACAAAGAAATGTATATGTTGATTATTTTATGCATTGGACTTACAATTTCTTACAATTTGTTTGTGATTTTAATTTCCTGGCTTCTCACAATTTATACATGTTGCAGTATTTCTTTGAAAAAAAATGTACTCAAGTATATAATCCTCTAAATCTAAAGAAAAGGAACTGGTTATGAAAGGAAGTTCTTAATGCTTACAACGGTAACATAAAATAAAAGGAAAAGAAGAAACATAGTATTTAGCTTTGTGTGTTATGAATAAAGTTTGTACCCAGGAGTGTTTAAGGTAAACAAGCATAAAATATTCAATAAGTAGAAATTTTCTCCAATGTACTAAGGACTGCTCAAAAATCATAAAGGATAATAACAGAGGTGTCTATAGAATGTAAAAGGCTAGAGAAACATAAATTAAGTTGTGTAATAGTAGACTTTGTAGTCTTTTTCACTCCACCGAGGTTAGATCTTAAAAGTTCTAACAAGAAATGTCAAATTTAAGCAAAACAGACTCACACTGTTTGTTTTATTTTCCAGTACTGAGGACTGTATCTGAAACCAGATCTCTTTCTTCTTTTCTATTCTGCTTTTAAATGTCGTTTTAAATAGAATAACACACATATTTACCCGCTTTGTTCTCTTTTCCCCTTTTTGATTTTCAGCTTTAATATCACTTTGTGAAAAACATTCTTTACAGATGAAGCTTCCTGAATGGGTCTTTCATTATTTCAGAAAAAAGCATGTATTATAGGACTTAGTCTATTATATTTTGACTAAGTCCTATAATTTACAGCTTTATTCTTCTTTGTAAAATACCCTAAAAATGTGATGACAGATATAACATTTTCCCAATAAATATTTAGGAGCATGTCAAGGAAATCTCATGTTTATTTTACACAAATAACATACATATGATTTCCAAAAAAATGATTTTGATGATTAGTTTTACTGGGTGAAAAGAATTTTTGTATCTGAGATTTAAAGTGAGTTTTACAATTACAAATGCTATATATATATGTTAGATTTATATGCTTTTTCAGAATTAAAAGAAAGTCACAGAGTCCTCGTTGTCCTGTTTTCTTTTTTCTGCAGAGCTGTATGTGAATGTGTGTGTACTTATTGCATAAGCATGTATGTAGGAGAATATGTAAGGACATGAGCTCATCCATGTGTATGTAAGTATGTGTGTGTATGTGTATTTCCTCTCTGATAAAATCAACTTGCTCTTTTCTAAAGATGAAGTAAACATTTCTTCCTTCAGTCAGTTCATTTCCTGTACTTGGAAAACTCTTCTCTATCATTCTCCACCCATGGAAACCCATGGCAGCTGGGATCCTGATCTAATAATGCCATGTGGTGGAGCCAGTTTTACCTATTTCATCTTGAGGCTATGTGTTCATTTCTTGAAGCTAAGAACTTGATTTCTTTCATCTTGTTTACTGCAGTGTCTCATAATTGGTTGTTGTTCAAAAACCGTTTGCTATACGCATGAGTGATTTTTGTCCACATCATCTAAAGTGTCTTAATTCCTTATCATCTCTGTTTGAAAACAGGTTTGTAGTTTCTTTGATACAATGTTCCCACAGATGTTGAGATTCAAGTGCTCTATAAAGTCCCCATGGAAAGAAGATTTATAGCTGTTTTTCATTTATTCTGCTACTTTAGTGGCCTTGTTAGGAAAGCATACAGTATAGCTCAAAGCAGTGTAAGATACTAAAGCATCGTAATAAAGAGTTTGGATTTCATCTTGTTATTTTTTTCCATAAGAAAAATAAAATAATATCTATCTCACATGCTCTTTAAAAGAATAATGAAGTGATACTTGTAAAATGCACAGGAAAGGACAAGCACATAATAAGCAGGCAATAATGGCAGAATAATAATAAAGAACTTTGTGTTTAATGAATACAATAATTTTTCCCAGTCAAGAGAATCTTAGAATTACTTTGGTAATATCCTTTATGGCCACTGCTGTGTATGGTTTATACCACTTATTGTTACATAATTAGTAGTAGTTAATAAATAAGGCTTTAAGAAGTTTTTTAGTTTAGGAAATAAATTATATGATCATCCTGCTCCTAGTCTGCCTGTCTTCATTTCCCCTCTACTATTTAAAAGTATATTGATCCACTTACACATTGTGGAACTGGAAAAATCTGATGATTCAAGTAAGCAAAATTATCAAGTACTACTTTCTTTTATCTCCTATTTAGGAAGAACATAAATAAAGTTTTATGTTATGCCATATTAAAATATCTTGCTATGTTATAAGAATAATTGCATTTTACATATTTGTAAAAATGCCATTAAAAAGTGCATACATCTTTTAGTATTGAAATTGCATCATTTCATATTTTGCTTAATGCAAAATTATGCCTTTTTTTTGTATAAAATGACTTCTTACCAGGAGACACAATCAAAAGCTACAAAATCCGCTGACATAATCCAACCATAGAAACCCTGTCCTCATTGTTATTGGTTTCCCTTTTGATGCACATAGGGCCCTGTCCTGACCGTTGATCCTCAAAGGGATGTTTGCTATTTGTTTTTAGAAGAAAATTTTATTCCCTTATGGAAAGAAGGGTAGAGAAAGGATACAGCTGGCTTAGTTTTGTTTTGTTTTGTTTTTTCCCCATCTTCTCTTTTCATTGTGCAGTGTTGCACGGTAATTGATGCCTAGGTCTGCTGCATTATCATGTGAATAGTACTCTTATTCTGAAGATGACAGAGCAAAATGATGAGAAAAACCTGTATTCTTAATAACATCATTAAGTCACTGAACTATGAAATGGCCCACCTCCAGCATTCTTGTTAATTTATGTAATAAATGTCTGAATTGTTTAAGTCATTATTACAGTGGTATTATTTAACTTATAGTGAAGCATTATAATGGCTACAGATTTAAAGCCAGTTATTCTGGGAGCAAATTTTAAACCATTTCATACTTTTCATCCCTGCTTACTGTTTGTCTGTTACATTTTCTCTTTTCCTAGATTTCAGATCTTAAGATAATATTTGCATTGCTTATATCAATTTACTTCATTATTATTATATAAACTTTCTCTTTTTCAGATATTTTTCTGTTCTTTAAAAACATTAATTGTGATTAAGATCAGTTACTTCTTCAGTTTGATCTCGAGGCTAATATTTAAACAGACTGAATGATTAAGAGATGCTCAGCATCAAGAATATTAATTTCCTCAAACTTTGGATATTATTGATCTGTTTAAATGTTGACTTTCCGTTAAATATTTCTTTCAAAATGTCTTCAAAATACCTTTCCTTTATTTTGTGAAATTACAGATGTTCTAACATATTCCACTTTATTTATTCTTTCGCTAAACCTTGTAGAAGCATGAGCTATAGCTTATAAAATTATTAATTTCCATGGTAAGTAGAATGAAGGTAGAATTTAATTTTAATGAAGCCTAGTGTAACAAACATTCCACTCCAGTGAAATCTTACAAAGTACCAGCTGGAAAACAGCTGTGTCCCATGCTCTTTGACTGTTGTGAAATCTTACTACAACCAAATAAAACAGATGCATCCTTGAAAGTTTTGATGAACTTTGTAAATCTTCAGATCAGGTCTTTCATACTTTATATTAGTTAAAAGGCAAAAAAGTTTCATTCTATTTGGAAGTTCATTAGCTTCTCTTTGAGGCTCTGCCAAGAATTCAGTTCTCTGTTAACATATGGAGATGATACCACATTTGCCTGTTTGGGTACTAGTGTCATTCCTTCAATGTAGATAACCAAATACATCAGCACTGTTTACATCAAAACACACTCTTTATTAAAATGTATAAGCACAAATATATAATCATACATCATAAAGAAGCACAAATTCAGAAACTAATGCTTTAGTTAATGGAGGTTCCTCTTTGTTAAAAATTCAGATGAGTAATTCAACAGCCTCAAAAGGCAAATAATTTACATAATCATAAAACTCCTAGCAGAAGGCTTTAATAGTAAAGTATCATGAGTTATATGACCGAATAAAAATTACAGACATGCTGATGTGTTCAATATAATGTTTGAGAATGTGAAATTTAAGGCAATAATTTTAATGCCATAGATTTGTACAGGTGTCAGTGTCCCATGAAACTTAGGAAAACCAAATATTACAAAAAATATTTGCTTCTAATTAAACAAAATGTATTCCAAAATTGTAACTGGACTCTTCCTAGACTCCTCTTTAGGTAAAGCATAGTTCTTATTCATATATATATTCTTACAGCCTACCAACTCCAGTTTTGGTTGAAAATTTGTAGCTAATTATTTAACATGTGGTTGGTTTACATAATTCTCTATTTAATCTATGTAAAAGGCACATAAGGATACCTACAACCTGGGTCATAAATTTTAGTATAAATGAATCACAGAGCACAAATAAAATGCAAACAAGAAGCTCTGTCTATAAATCTTGAAGGATGTTTTTGAGCAGTTTAAATTTAGTCCCAATAGTTATGATATAGCCTATTTAAATATGGTGCGTGCACATAGAAGATGAAAGTAGGAGCTTTTTAGGCAAACAGATGAGCATGACATAGCCAATTGTTTAACTTGTGAGAATGCTGATATAAATAATGTCAAGATTTGGGATTCAGTCTCTGTAAAGGCAGAATGTTTTGTTTTAGGGATTCAATCATTTATAAATGAAGCAATAATTTCCAGCACGCCTATTTTGAACCAGGTATTATGATAATCTCTTAAAACAAGACAGTCACTGTTTTTACTATTGTTATTTTGCTTAATGTCTTACAAAGACCTATGCTATAAAAAGTTACCTACAGCTGGGTGAAAAATCCAGATATATTATTAAATATATGAACATCAAGTCTCAGTTTACTTATAATTCAAAATGTAATAATAATATTTTAAAAGTTCGATAAAGTGATGTGTATGTGTGTCTATATAATATACATAATAAATACATTGATAAATAATAGATAACATAAACACACAAATTTGAGTTCAATAAAGAGTTATATAATAATGTCTAGCTAAAACAGTTCTCTCAATAATTAACACAATACCTGCTATACAATGCATATTTTCTGAATGAATAGATAACTATATAAGTGAATTACTGAAAATTAAAAAACTATTTTCTACTACATAGCAATACACTAATAAACATAAAATAAAAAGAAGGGAAGACTTCCTATTTCTGAAATGATGGAATAGCTGATAGACTTGCCTCCCACTGAGACTATAGAAAAACTCTGAAAAAAGAAATATACAAATTTAGCAATTTGATGCGTTGGAGAGCAACCAGGGGAGATTAGATCTGAGGAGGCAAAAGCCACAAGACAAGAAAATCCATCAAGATGATACAAACGTTAGCCACTGTTCTCCACTTCAGGAAATTTTATGATTGCTTGCATGAGACATAAGAAACTGCAGACTTTGTGGTACTCCTAGTCGGTT
Source organism: Homo sapiens (assembly GCF_000001405.40). Classification (NCBI taxonomy): domain Eukaryota; kingdom Metazoa; phylum Chordata; class Mammalia; order Primates; family Hominidae; genus Homo; species Homo sapiens. The sequence goes on along the minus strand of NC_000012.12, from coordinate 84,559,615 downwards.
TTGAGAGGAAAATGGAATTTTACGGCTAACAATGCAGAAAGAGTCTGAAATAATGGTCAAAATTCTGAGCAATTTGCCAACTTGAGACGGAATCTTCCTCTGTCGCCCAGGCTGGAGTGCTCGGCTCACTGCAAGCTCCGCCTCCCGGGTTCACGCCATTCTCCTGCCTCAGCCTCCCCAGTAGCTGGGACTACAGGCGCCCGCCACCAAGCCCGGCTAAATTTTTTGTGTTTTTAATAGAGACGGGGTTTCACCGTGTTAGCCAGGATGGTCTCGATTTCCTGACCTCGTGATCCCCCCGCCTCAGCCTCCCAAAGTGCTGGGATTACAGGAACTCTGACTCTTAAAATGGAATGGAGATGCTGAGGAGCTAAAAAGCAGAGCTTTTAACAGATGATGAAACTTTGTTGACTAGAAAGGGAGCCAAGGGTCCAACAAAAAAATCAGTCGAGACTACTAAAACAGATTCCCTAGGAGTAAAAGCTCGTTAAGGTAGACTCCATAATTAACTATCTTCTAGTTCTATACTTAACATTCTTTAAAGGAAGATAGAGAAGTGAGTCTTTTTAATGTGTTATCCACCGTAACTAGTTTATAAAAAGAAACTTCTAGCCATGCAAACACATAGAGATAAAAATGATCGATAGAATCAGACCTATATATAACTTAGACATTGAAATTACCGAATAAAGACTCTTAAATACGTCTTTTGACGTGTTTAGAATTTATAGAAAAAGATGGATATGATAAGTGAAGACTTGGCATATGTGGTAGAAGCATGACAATTCTAATAGAAAAAAGTAGAAATTATAGGATGAAAAATGCAACATTTGAAATTAAAATTTTTAGTACCACCAGATGGTACTATATAGCAAAATTAAATATTACTGATGAGAGAGACAGTAAATATGAGATCAAGTAAAACTTTTCCAAGCTGAAACTCAAAGAAAAGAAAGATTTAAATTTAAAAGAGCCTCAAAGACATGTATGGCAATATCAAATGCTTTGCCATTTTTATACCTGGAGATACAGAAGGAGAGGAGTAATAAGATTAAACGGAAAGAAATATTCATAAATCAATAACTAAATTTTTCTAAAGTTAAAAACATAAGCTCAACATAAAATTAAATTTAAGAAGAATCATGTTAATTAAACCACATTTAGGCACATCATAGCTAAAATGGTAAACCTCAAAGTTAAGAAAAATAATTACAAGCAAATAAAAGGACAAATTATTTTAAAAAATTCAAAAATGGCAGCATACTTCTCATTAAATGTGTGTTCCAGAAGTCAATGAATCAGTACACTGGCAGGAAAAAAAGGAAAATGTCAACCAAAATTCTATATTCATTTAAAATCTCCTTCAAAAATAGAGCTGAAGTTATTATTATTATATATGATATAAATATAAATAAGTATATATGTATTTATACACCTGTATACACAAAGTTACACACACACACACACACACATGCATATGTATAAAACAAAGCTTAGAAAATGTGTTACCAACAGATCCAAACTTTCAAAAAATATTAAAGGAAGTTTTTAGGCTGAAGGAAAATTCTTATAGAAATTTGGATCTACATTGATGAATAAAGAGCACTGGAAGTGGTGAATATGTGGATCAATATAAAGTTATTTTTACTTTCCTTAATTTACTTAAAACAAGATTGGCTACTCATACAAAATTATATTTTATTAGGAGAAAGTTACATCATATGTAGAAGTGTAATACATGACAAAATGTCATTAGCATGGGAAGGGCTAAATAAACATGTTACTCTGTGATTCTCACATTAAATGTTAGGTGGTATATAATTAATCCCAGATAAGGTATGATAAAGTATATACTCTAAATCCTAGAGCAACTAGTAAAACATATGAAGCCATAGCAATAGAGGAAATAAAATGACATATTAAGAAATATATATTGAAATAAATAAAGGTAGAAAAAGAAGAAACAAAAAAGAACATATAAGACAAATTGAAAATAAATAGAAAGATAGTACACTTAAACCTGCCATATAAATACTTTTATCACATATAAATGTAAACATCCCAATTAAAATGTAGAGATTTTCAGACTGGATGAGACAGCAATGCTTAACCATATACCGTATAAGAGACACACTTCAAGTATAAACTCTGAGAGCTAATAGAAGTAAAAGGGTGTTTCACTTTTTCACACAATAATAATGACACACATAAAAGACAAAAAATCAGAGAGAAAAGACAGCACTAGATATTTTATTACTTTATTATAAAAATAAAGTAATTACTTTATTATAAAAATATATAACCAGATTCAAACTTCCTATACTATACATGGGCTAGATTCCAAGTTAAAAGTATGTACTATATTCCTAAAACAACCACTAAAATAACAAAACATATGATTATGCTAAATAACACTTCAAAGGAGATAAAATGAAATAATAAAATTATCAAATAATAAAACATGCAAAAAAGATTAAAAAGGAATAAAGAAAACAGGGAACAAATAGAAAACATGCAGCAAATTGATATATTTAATCATAACCATATAAATAAACACCTTAAATGTAAACGACTGAAATGGCCTAAATAACCTACTTACTAATGATTCATTTAAGATGAAGAAAAACTTACTAATGATTTACTTAAGATGAAGAAATTAATATATGCTGCTTACAAGAAAGGCACTTCAACAATAAAGTCACACATGAATTAAAATTAAATTAGTAGTAGTATATATACCATGATAGTACTAATAAAACAAATTATGAATGGCTATTAATGTCAGACAAAGTATATTTCAGAATAAAGAATATTATTAGATATAAAAAATGGAATTTCATAATGACAAAAGGGTCAATTCATTAAGAGGACTTAACAGTTCTAAAATGTTATATACCTAACAACAAAGCTCTCAAATATATGACAAACAACCTGATACAACTGTAAAAAGAAACAAGCATATCTAAAATTTTAGGCAGATATTTCTATATTTCTCTTCCAAAAATAGATTAGAACAAGGAAAATAAAAGCCAATAAGTACATGGGAGATTTGAACAAAACTATAAACCATAAGATGAAATTTAGATTTTTAAACATTCTGTGGAACAATAGCAAAATATATATTATTTTCAAGTACACATGGAATATTTGTTTAGATATACTATATTTTGACCAAAAATAAGTCTTATTCAATAAGAAATAGATAGTTTGAATAATCTTGTGATATGATCTGGATCTGGGTGCCCCCCTGACGCCACAAATCTCAGGTTGAATTTTAATCCCCATTGTTGGAGGTGGGGTCTGGTGGGAGGTGATTTGATCATGGGGGTAGATCCTTTATGAATGGTTTAACACCATCCACTTGATGCTGTCCAACAAAAGAGTTATTAAAATGTGTCTTGCAACTCCCCACTACCTCTTGGCTCAGGTTCTGCCACATAAGATGCCTGCTCCAATTTGCCTTCCACCATGAGTAGATCCCTGAAATCTCCCTCATGGAAGCAGATGCTGCCATGATTCCTGTACAGCGTGCAGAATCATGAACTAATTAAAACTATTTTCGGCCGGGCGCGGTGGCTCACGCCTGTAATCCCAGCACTTTGGGAGGCCGAGGCGGGTGGATCATGAGGTCAGGAGATCGAGACCATCCTGGCTAACAAGGTGAAACCCCGTCTCTACTAAAAATACAAAAAATTAGCCGGGCGCGGTGGCGGGCGCCTGTAGTCCCAGCTACTCGGGAGGCTGAGGCAGGAGAATGGCGTGAACCCGGGAAGCGGAGCTTGCAGTGAGCCGAGATTGCGCCACTGCAGTCCGCAGTCCGGCCTGGGCAACAGAGCGAGACTCCGTCTCAAAAAAAAAAAAAACAAACAAACAAACTATTTTCCTCATAAATTACCAACTCTCAGGTATTTCTTTATGGCAATGTAAGAACAGATTAATACACTCTGTATTTATTAAAGCAATTTAACTTTAGTTAATTTGCTTTACTTACATTTAGTGCCACAGAGAAAACTGTAGTCCTTGGTGTCCTCTAATGAATCCTATTAAATATTGCAAAAATATTTACTCAAATCTTTACAAATATTTAAAAGAAGGAAATATATCCCAAATCACTCTACGAAGATACCATGATCCTGATTCCAAAACCAGACACACACATAATTCAAAAAAAAGAAAACTACAGATTAATATCCTCCTCATATATATAAGTAAAAATATAGGTATAAAATTTTAGCAAATTAAATTCAACAATACATAGCAAAGAGTAATGCTTCATGATCAAGTGGGGTTTATCCCACAATTTATCTCACAAATGTAAGGCTGATTTAACATTCAAAATCTAGTCCTCTATGTTAATAAACTAAAGGATGAAAACCATATAATAATTTCAGTAGATGCAGAAAAAGCAAATGACTGAATTCAGCATCCATTCATCAGAAAAACTTTAAGAAGAGCAAAAGGAGGATAACTTTCTCTAATTATATGTGCCTGGGGGGAGAAAAAAAAAAGAAAAATAAACAAACAAAAAAACTATGGCTAACATCATACTTAAGCGTGAAAGGTTGAATGCCTCTACCACTAAAATACAGGAAAAATACAGGAATGTTCATTTTCACCACTTCTATTCAGTATAATTGTAGAGGTGTTATACAGTACTTTCAGGTAAGAAAAATAAAATACTAGCCAATCGTAAATCTAATAAACGGCTTATATCCATAATATGTAAACAAGTCTCACTACCTAATAATAAGGAAGAATGAAAATGGCTGAAAGATTTCTACACTCACTTCCTCAAAGAAGACAAAAAGATTGCAAATAAGCACAGAAAAAATCTTTTTGTTGCTGTTGATGCTCAACATCAGTAGGTATTAGGTCCAAGACAAATTAAAACTGCAGTGAGATACTACTATTCTACATCCGTTAGAAAAACAAAAGCCAAAAACCAATAAAACAAAACTAATAACATCCATTTTTGCAATGATCTAGAGCAACTGAAATTCTCATAGTGGGAATGTGAAATGGTGCAATCATTTCAGAAATCAGTTGGGAAATTTCTGAAAAGTTTTCTCAATTATCTGTAGTTCCAGCTACTTGGCAGGCTGAGGTGCGAGAATCTTGCCAGGTCAAGCCCAGCCTGGGCAATAGTGAGACCTTTTCTTAAAATAAAATAATAAAATAAAATAAAATAAAATAAATAAAATAAAATAAAATAAAATAAATAAAATAAAATAAAATAAAATAAAACAAAATAAAATAAAGGCCGCGCGCGGTGGCCCACGCCTGTAATCCTAGCACTTTGGGAGGCTTAGGCTGGCGGTCACGAGGTCAGGAGATCGAAACCATCCTGGCTAATACCGTGAAACCCAGACTCTACTAAAAATACAAAAAAATAAATTAGTCGAGCGTGGTGGCGGGCGTCTGTAGGGCGCCCGTAGTCCCAGCTACTCCGGAGGCTGAGGCAGGAGAATGGCGTGAACCCGGGAGACGGAGCTTGCAGTGAGCAGAGATGGGACTACTGCACTCCAGCTTGGGCGACAGAGCGAGACTCTGTCTAAATAAAATAAAATAAAATAAAATAAATAAAATAAAATAAAATAAAATAAAATAAAATAAAATAAAATAAAATAAAATAAAATAAAATAAAATAAAATGAAATGAAATAAAATAAAATAAAATATAAAATAAAATAAAAAATAAAAAATAAAATAAAATAAAATACCACATAAACCAGCTATTCCACTCTTAAGCATTTAGTCCAGAAAAACATATGTCCATGCAAATACTTGTATTTGAGTGTTCATAGCAACTTTGTTTACAGTAGTCTGAAACTGTAAACAATCTACATGTCCATCAAAGAATGAAGGAATAAACAAATTGTGCTATATCCATACAAAGGAAGTATACTCAGCAATAAAAACAATTTAACTACGAAAACCCACAGAAACATGGATAGATATCGAAATAACTATAATGAGTGAAATAAGTCAGATAAAAGATACATATCATATGATTCTATTTATAAATATTCTAGAAACTCAAATGGAAGAACTCAGTTTTGTGGCAGTGTAGGGACTGGGTTGGGTGTTGCGCAAGGAGGAAAAGGAGGGAGGGAACAAAAAGGGATATGAATAAATTTGGGGGAGGACAATAAATGTGTTCATTATCTTGATTGTGATCATGGTTCTATTGTTTCATGTATGTCAAAACTTTCAAGGTGCACATATTAAATATGCAGTTTTTAATGTTTCAATTAAATTTCAATAAAGCTGTAAAATACAAAATAAACTAATATAAAACAAAAATCATAAGCATGCAAATATCTAGTGCAATTGATTATGATTATCTGAATAGAGACACAACATTCAGTATACCAAAACACCTCTCTAAATGCTGTGTAAACAGAATTTGGAAGTGTTAGAGAGTGTTCCATAACTGACCTTTCCAGGTTTTTCCAGATGTTTTATATAATGGAGATAATCAGGAATCGATCATTATGTTGAAATTTGTTAGAATGAAATAACAGGGAGGAAGGTCTTGATAAGTGATGAGTGTTGCAGACACCAGGAAGAAGTGAATGTGTGAATTAACTCAAATTTAGTATTATAACCATACGGAGGTTATGAAGAAATAAGTAAAAAATATTGCAATGACAACTGAAAATGCCATTTCATCACACAATTTTTTTGTACATTTTTAAACAAACTACTTATTGTTTTGGCATGTCATTAATGATTATGTGAACACTCCTTTGAAATATTCAATACTATTTAAGATATTGTCATTATTTTTTTCAATTGTGTCAGCAACAAAAGATGAACTAGTAACAACTTTTGTTTTCATTTATTTTGTATTTTTAATAAATTGCTAAAATATTCTAATGTTACAAAGAAATACTTGAAAAACATTTTCTAATATTTACTAAACCAATACTAATCTTTAAATCGCTTTAAATATTACTTTATGCAATGAAATTTTTATGACTATAAATGCAATTGTGCTTCCATTCATCTTAACAGGGCATGTAATATTTTATCTTTAAATGACATTGCAAATGAAATTTAAATGATTACAAAACTTAAAATTCAAGTGGCTATCCAGTTTAGGCTTCTGATAGTATAATTTTATAATTTTCTTCAATCAGACAAACCAGAGAAATAGATGGACAATGAAATACTTTTATTAAGTTATGTCTTGGTAGTATTCATTAATATCATCGTACACTTTCATTCCCATTCACCTTAGTGGCAAATCATTATTTATCTTTGAGTGGTATTAAGAATTAATTAAAATATTTTTAAAAGTCCAAATAACCTCACTTGACTGCTGTATTTACATCAAACCTTTCAAATTACTGTGGTGCTTATGAATAATAAAAGATATCAAGTTACATAATGTATAATCAAAACTTTTGTTTAAATAAAATTCTATTTAATTATATGTGCTAAAATAATATGTACTATGTTATAATTTTGCTTGTTTGAACAAATGTTATGATAGAAATTTAGAGAAGTTCCACAGGGAATTACTGCTGGTTTACACTCAAAGCAATCAATTATATAAAACATGTTAAACAAAAAAATGTGAATGCTTAAAGCAGTGTTTGAAGTTTCTCAATTAAGGTTATAAAATTACATCTTATACTTGATGTCAAAAGTTTTATCTAGTTTTTCATCACAAATATAGCCATTTGCTAAAGCTGTCTATTGCTTCCAAAATGACATATTGCACTGTAAATAAATGTGAAAAATGTGATGTGTTAGACACAAAGAAAATGAGAAGGGAATGGAAATGAAACGAAAAAATGTAAGGCACGTGAAATTGCACAAAACTTTGGAAATGAATTTTGTATTACAAAAATCTATTCTCCAATGCTAGGATATTCAGTAGAGAATACAAAGTATTGCTCCTAATAAGCTTTTAGTACTACCTGTCATAGCAGAAGCTTTTCCGGTTAATACTGACACCTTTGAAAAGCAATTTGCTTTGTGGAATAAAAAGGAATCAGCAGAACCCAGACAGAGAAATCCAATTTTATCCTCAGACAGACACAAAGCTGTATGCCTTCCATTTTAATGACTGACAGCTTCTATTGCTTTGTACAAGAATCATGTAACAAATGAACACAACCACCAGGAGAGGCACAGTCAAGCCCAAAAGCACTAGTGTCATCTTCTGTGTGAGTACACCTTGGATTCAAACCCAGAGAAAACTATTACAAGCTCATGAATTTCTATACTGTGTTTCTATGACAAAATGAGCAATATTATATATAAACCAATGTATCCTTGAAAAATAGCACTGGATTTATGAGGAGGAACTCCTTGATATATTGCATTGAGGAAGACCTCAGATTCCCGTAGGTCTGAAGGTTAAGTAATTTCTGTCTGTGGGATAAAATAATAAAAATATTGAGAGGGTTGTGTGTGGAGAGAAAAAATGGAGGTTGAATAAAAAGACGGCAGAGTACAATTGCCTGTTTTGTTACTCTTTCTGAATGTGCAGTTCTTCAGTAAAATTATTAAGTTCAAGAAATATTTCGTGAATGTGTTCATGTGGAAGCCTGTGAAAGAACTAAATTTTGTGATCTGAGGAAGCATCTGGACCAGAAAAAGGAGAGCAAATGCAGACCAGAGAACAAAGGCAGAGAGATCAAGACAAGGAAGGCAAGGGCAGATAGAATAAGCAATGTGTAGAAATTGAGGGAATGGCTCAAAACATAAGAAATTGGAATTGAGGGTTAGGCCAAATTTATACCCTGTGGATCTTTTTTTAGAGCTACCTAAAGTGACCACTGTAAACTAAATTACATTCCTATATCTAATAATTTAATTTGTGATTTCATTTCATTTGCTGTTATGGTTTTGACTTCCTTAAACTGAAAAATGTAATCGCCAGCTTGTGCACATCTGAAATTAATTTTGTCAGCAAAAGCAATTAGTTAATTGAAAACTGGAAAGCAGTTTGGAAAAGAGGAGATATCCTTCAAAAGTATTATTTAATTTAATATTTATATTAATGAGATGAGAGCAATTAAACTACTATATTACATTTTTGTTTTAAAGTGACTAGATACACATCTATTGTGAAGCTTGAATTTCTTTCTTATTCCAAATCAAGATGAAGGCTAAGTACATTTGTTTTCAGCTCATGGTTTCATTTTTCAGTACATGCCATGCTTAGTTTTCCTCTTTGCAGGGTTCTTAAGCCTTTTCCAGCAAAAGTCCAATTTTTAATATAATTAAAATCTTAAGCCAAAGGAACGAAAATGAAGACATTATTTTTTAGAGTCCAATGTCAGGTTTACTAATAGGGCCTCAGAATTAGTAAATAAAACCAACAAAAGTTGGATCCCTTGGGAGTGTTTCCAAAGCCCATTAACTACTCATGACTCAATGTTGATACTGAAGTCAATGATTATCACTAGGTACTGATAGGCGGAATTTTTTTTTTAAAGAATCTCTTATCACTCTTCTCTCTATGTGTGTGTGTGTGTGTGTGTGTGTGCGTGTGCGTGCGCGTGCCTGTGTATGTATGTATGTATATATACTTTATGTGCATATGCTTAAATATATACTTTCTGATAAAATTTGGGGAATATAGTTAATCATAAACAAAATGTCTTTATAAAGCTGATAATATTATTATTTGTCTTCAATTTAATACAAAGGCACTAGAATATTTTGGTCTAATTAAACTAATTAGACTGTAGTCTGGTATCATATTTGAATGACAAAATTAGTTATTTTGAATGTATTTATTATTGTAGTGTTACTAACAAATTCATTAGCTACATATGTTGTTGAATACTTATAAAGGGAATTGTTTCTATAGTTAGTGTAGTTTTAAGCTGGCATTTTGCATTTATTTAAAGGTGAGGATATTCTCAGTAAAAGCAAGCTTGCTGTAAAATTTTAAAACTCTATATTCTAGGTAGTTTTTTCCTCCTTTTTATTTATTACTTTTGGATTTGGTAATTTTTGACTTGATACTTCCTTTCTCACTCCAGCGTATAACCAGTAGATTTTGGAGTCAAAGTACTGTGTTTGAATACAATCAGGGGTCTCAGCAAAATTGCTTAAAATCCCATAGCCTATTTGCTCATTTATTCAAATGAGATGATAGATAAAAATCTCACTAAAAGAACAAGGCCTGTAGTATGCATATGAACATTGTCATCATCAACATATCACCAATAACACTGTTATTATTAATTAATAATGTCATCATTGGTTTGCTCCAATTATAGATTAACATTATGTCCATATGTCTCTTTTAATATTATTCGTCATTTGGTTTGTGGCCAAAATCTTTATTATGGTCTTTATTATTATTGATTTGTACTTACCTACTGACAGTATATTTCAGGATTATTCAAAAAAATACTAGGAATTCTTAAAAGGTACTTTTATTGTGTCAGAAATAATCTTTATATTTTGCCTTAATAAATGTAAATTTATAAGATCAATGTGAGTATAAACATAACCACAAGTTAGTCAAAGGAAGATAGGTCATAAATGGTTCGGATAACATGGTTATTGGCTATGATTAAGTGTCATTAGAGTTGGGAAGAAAAGGCCAACAGCACAAACAGAAATGTAGGCCTCTGGTTAACTGAATATTTAAGATAAGTTGATAGGACCAATATATTTGTTCAAGTTTATATTATACCCTTACATGCCATATCATGAACATTTTAGACCTGCTTGGCTTACTTTATCTATCCTCTGGGCTCTATGTTTATTGAAGAGAGGAATTTTTCTCCAATCATGGCAAAATTTATTCCATTAAGGTTATGCATTAAATCTCAAAGTTTTATAAGCATTTGTTCTCTGACTCTTTTGATGAATTACTTCTTCTTAAATGAAAGTAACTCCAGATAGTTTTCATGAGTTCATGGGATCTAATACATTAATCACTTTTGGCCCCATTTTATTAACATTTTAAAATTTCCTGGCCCTGGACTATAAACTGCACACTATGGGTTTTCCTTATTTATTCTCTTCTGCTTCTAGATAACGGAATGTTTAGATAACATCTTACGTAAGTAAATACTATCTACCCAACAAACTTAAAACTATAGAAAATATGCAAGTATGCAGGAAAAAAACAAAATTTAAAAATCTGAAAAGCATTAAAAATTCAGAAACTAAAAGTACAAAGACTATAAAATCATAAAGTGATTATAGTGTAATTAATAGACACAATTTAACAAGTTAATTGTGTTGATTTCCAGTATTTAAAGTTTTAGAATCCATAACTAATAATGAACAAAGGAAATTCCACTAGAGAGAGTTTTACCAAAGCAACTGAAATCTCAGCTAATAGAAAACTAGAAATAATTGTCACATTTTTACCGAATGTATCATAGTCTAATTATTAATATTCTAAAAATATACCATGCTCAAATTTGTAAGAAGCATTGGGTCACCAAAAAATAATTTAAATGTCTATAACAAAGCAAATCTCAAAAGAGAAAATAAGGCATTTGAACATTAAAAGTACACAGTATCACAATTAATTTACAACATTGAAAATTTCTTTGAGTACTACTCAGCCACAAAAGAATTAACATATTTTTGAAATTAACCTATCACTCAGACATTATCTTCATCTATAACTATTTGCCCAATGAGCAGGGATGCACTTTTCTACTTTGCTACTAAAAATATGGTTTTATTTGCACATCAATGTGCCAGACAAAAGGTATAAAGCACAGGTGGTCTAGCCCAATTCTGATTGGACTAGATTTTCTAGTCCAGTGGTCATATGATTCAGTTCTGGCAAATAAGGAAGAAGAATGTACTAGTGGTCTTCTGGAAGGATATTTCCTCCCTGGCCAAAGGAAAAAGGCATATTAAGAAGTCACTTTCACCTGGTTATGCTTTGTACCTTCTGTCTTTGAATAGCAGTTGTGTAAAGAAATAAAACCTAGGGATTTTGCAGCCACCTGTAAGCTATCAGGGAATGTTTAAGAGAATTGGTAGAGAATTATCTTTCTGTGTTGGGTTTATTTCACTTAATGTAATATCCTCTGGGTTCATCCATGTTGCTGCAAATAAAAGAATTTCATTTTAAGGCTGAATAGTATTTCATTATTTGTGTGTGTGTATACATATATATTATATATAATATTTTCTTTATCCAGTCATTAATTGATGAACAACAAGTGGATTCCATATCTTGGCTATTGTAAATAATGCAGCAATAAACATGAGAGTGAAAAATAGCTTTTTAAAATACTAATTTAACTTTTTTTGAATATATATCCAATACTGGGGCTTCCAGACCTTATGCTAGTTCTACTTTTGATTTTTTGAAGAATCTCCATACTGTTTTCCATATGACTATACTATATCTCCACAACATGCAAGAATTCTCTCCTCACCCTCATCAGCACTTGTTATCATTCACCTTTTTAATAATAGTCATTCTAAGAAATGTGAGGTGATAGCTCATTGTGTTGAATCATAGAAGAAGAGAGTAGAAGTAGAGAGTATGATGATGGTTATCAGGGGCTTAGGGTGGGGTTGGGGAAGATATTGGTCAAAAGATGCAAGATGTCAGCTAGGAGAAATACATTCAAGAGATATATTATACAACACAGTTACTATAATGAACAACAATGTTGTTATTGAAAATTACCAAGAGACAGGGGCTACAAAATGGTTAACTAGAGACATTGCCTCCTCTGAAAAGAGAATCAAAGTAGCAAGAAGATAATCACACTTAGAATAGATTGTTTAAGAGAGAACACTGGAATTCAACAGAGAAGTGGAATTCAACCTCTTAAACATGGAAAGAGAGAGAAGTAAAGCAGCTTAAGGGCCTAGAGAAACTCCCCAAAGTGAGAAAAGGTTAAGAGAGTGACTGCCAGTGGCCCATATTCCCACTACAGACTCCTGCATCTTGGCTACAGAAAAGCCCTTAGACCCTTGGCAGGCCCAAAAACTAACATGGAAATCTGTCTGGAGAATGTGCAAAGGCCTTGTTCCAGAGAAGGAGCTCATACTCCATCCCACATATCCCCTGCAAGCCTTAAGCAGTCACAGCAATGATGTCATATTGAAAGCCCAATCCCCGCCAGACTGCATCTTGCCTGGGGGCCCAATAGCACTGCATCTCCACATCTCTGGACCCCATTGGAAATTTGCTGCCCTCAGACACTTGCCACTGGTGGCTGCTGCCACTAGAGCTGAACCATGATCTATTTTCAAAGATTCCACTACCCTGATCATCAAAGCTGCCACACAGTTTCACTTGTTCCAAAGATAAGCCTTTCCTGCGGAAGCCACCACTGGCCGAGGGGCCAAACCATTAGCAAGGTGCACAATCCCCAGCTGCCTACATAGGGCTGCTCTCACTAAACACAACCCCACCCTCTGCAGTACCAGGCTTGCAGCATATCTGCTGGTAACACTATCCAAGCATTCTACTGTGAGCTTTGGGATTATTCCACACTTGCCTACCACAGTCAAAGAATGAGTATGAGTCTGCCCAACCCAGCTTCACCATCTCCTATAGTGCCTAAACAGCCATGAGAGTGTGTTGGGACCACCCAATCCAGTCCACCACTGTTGGTACCTAGACACTCCTCCCATGGCTTGAGGTTAGACCCATGCAATCTGCTGCTACTGTCACAGCTGGCACCCACCTGCACATGCCAACCATGGGCCTGCAAACTAGCCCATTCAGTCTGTCACAGCCATTGTGAACACCAGCATGAACTTCTTGAGAGTCAGAGGTTTGTCTCACTGCTGCTATTGCCATCAACCATGCAATGCTTCCTGCCCAGAAGCCTGAAAAACTGCCTATCTGCCCAGCTACCACTGATACTACCAGCACTGAACAAGCTCCATGAGGCTTAAGAATAGGTCCATCTGGACCTGCTAACACCCGTGACAGCATACGCCACCCTGAAACCCAAGGTTAGGCACATGCAGCTCACTGTTGCTGTCACTTGGGCCTTAGAACAAACACACCTTGTGCCCTCATTCCAAGCAAAATTTCACTGTAGCCTCCACTAACAACTGCACCATAAAACACTTAGGAAATGACAGCCACAAATGACACTGTTCACAGACAAAGAAATCATACAGAGACTATACTGTTGCATGCACCAAGAATCAAAACCAAAGTACTCTATCCAAACAACATACCTCTTCAGAAAAAGTCTTCTTATATAAAATAAATTCAAAAAATTAGAAGAAGTGACTGTTGCACCAGACTGTTACATCAGAAAAACTACTGAGGATATTTACCAAAAGAGATAAATACAAAACTTAATCAAGCAGAAATTCTGGAGCTGGAGAATTCATTAACTAAAATTCAAAATAATTAGTTAACATTATAAATTAATCAATAATATTATTTACTTATTATTAATCAATTTAATACAATTAACTAAAATTCTAAAGTTTTAACAATAGATAAGATCAAGCAGAAAAAAATATTCAGAACTAGAAGACAGGTCTCTTGAAATAAACACAGTCAGATAACAATTTTAATATAGAACAAAAAATAATAAACCTATATTACATATGGGACACCACGAAGTGACAAAATATTCAAATTTTTGGCATCCCAGAAGGTAAAGGGAAAAGAAAAGGAATAGAAAACCTATTAACAAAATAATAACTAAAAATATCTCAAATCTAGCAAGAGGTGTAGACATCCAGATACGGGAAGCTCTGTATGGGAGATCCCAAACTGTATGGGAGATCCCCAAACAGTTCCAATGCAAAAATGCCTTCTCCATGCCACATTATAGTCAAACTGTCCAAAGTCAGCCGGTCGTGGTGGCTCACGCCTGTAATCCCAGCACTTTGTGAGGCTGAGGCGGGCGGATCACAAGGTCAGGAGATCGAGACCATCCTGGCTTAACACGGTGAAACCCCGTCTCTACTAAACAAAATACAAAAAATTAGTCGGGCGTGGTGGAGGGCGCCTGTAGTCCCAGCTACTGGAGAGGCTGAGGCAGAATGGCGTGAACCCGGGAGGCGGAGCTTGCAGTGAGCCGAGATCGCACCACTGTACTCCAGCCTGGGCGACAGAGTGAGACTCCGTCTCAAAACAAACAAACAAACAAACAAACAAAAACAAGAAAACTGTCCAAAGTCAAAGACAAACAGAGAATTCTAAAAACGGCAAGAGAAAGACTCTAGTCACTTATAAGGAAACCTACATCAGACTAACAGTAGATGGGTCAGCAGAAATCTTATAGGCCAAGAGAGAATGGAATGATATATTCAAAGTGCTGAAAGAAAAAAAAAAAAACCTGCCAGTCATGGGTACTAATACCAGCAAAGTTATCCTTCATTAATGAAGGAGAAAGCTGAGGGAATTCATCATCACTAGACTGGCACTACAAGAAATACCTCAGCAACTTTTATACCTGGAAGCGAAAAAACACATCTATCATCGTAAAAGCACAAAAGTGCAGAACCCTTTGGTAGAGTACATACACACAATTGAGGAAGAGAAATAACTCAAATGTTATGACTACAGAAAACCACCAAACCACAATGATAAACAATAAGGGAGAATAAATCAAAGAAAGGATATACCAAAAAATACCCCAGAAATTAATTCGTATAATGATAGAAATAAGCCCTCACATATCAATAGTAATCTTGAATGCAAACGAATTAAACTTTCAAAATATATAGACTCTATAGACTGGGCTGAATTGATTTTTTAAAATGGCCCAACTATAAGCTTCCTACAGTAAACTTATCTCACCAGTAAAATACACATGGACTGAAAGTAAAGGGATGGAAAAAGGTATTCCATACAAACACAAACCAAATACAAACAGGAGTAACTATATGTATATCATGTAAAACATAATTTAACTCAAAAACAGTATAAAGAAAAAA
This sequence comes from Homo sapiens, assembly GCF_000001405.40. NCBI lineage: Eukaryota > Metazoa > Chordata > Mammalia > Primates > Hominidae > Homo > Homo sapiens. The sequence goes on along the minus strand of NC_000012.12, from coordinate 84,543,740 downwards.
AGCCATTATATATTGACAAAGGGATCAATTCAGCAAGAGGATATAACAATTCTAACATATATTCACCCAACACCAAAGCACCCACATATATATATAATATATATATGTTTAGATGTATATATATTTACATCTAAAAGGAGAGATAGATTCTAGTACAATAACAGTTGGGATTTCAACACCTCACTGTCAGCATTAGACAGATTATCTTGATAGAAAATTCACAAAGAAATAGTGAATTTAAACTTTACATTGGATCAAAAGGACCTAACAGATATTTACAGAACATTTCAACCAAGAGCTACAGAGCACACATTCTTCTCATAAGCATATGAAACATTCTCCAGAATAGACCATATTTTAGGAAACAAAACAAGTCTCAACAAATTTAAAAAAATCAAAATCATATAAAATATTTTCTCAGACCACAATAGAATAAAACTAGAAATCAAAAACAAAGGAAACTTTGGAAACTGTACAAATATGTGGAAATCAAACCACATGCTCCTTAACAACCATTGGATCAAAAAATAAATTAAGGAAAAAATAAAACAATTTCTTGAAAAATGAAAATTGCAACACAATATATCAAAACATAGGGAATACAATGAAAGCAGCGCTAAAGAGGTAGTTCACAGCAGTAAATGACTACATCAAAGAACTATGACTGGGACCCAAATCCACCAAGAAAGGACCCACAAATGCCTTAGATACGATTTCATGAGTTTTGTATTTTAAATTTATTATTGCTTGGTTGAATATAACATATGCTCATGTATTTTTTTTCCATAAAAGTTGTGTTTTTCTTGCCCATATATAAGAATACCTTTATCCTCCCTCCACATATTACAAATAGTTTTGTTGGAATAAAATTATTGAATCCTGATTTTCTTTACTAAAAAAGTAGAAAGATTTCAAATAAACAATCTAATGATGCACATCAAAAAACTAGAATAGCAGGGGAAAAAAAAACAAATATAAAATTAGTGGAGTGAAAGAAACAAAGATCAGAGCAGACCTAAATGAAATAGAGACTAAAAAGTAACATAAGGGATCAATGAAACAAAAAGTTGGTTTTTCAGAGATAAAGAAAATCAAGAAACTGTTAGATAGACTAACCAAGGAAAAAAGAGAGAAGATTCAAAGAAACTAAATTTGAAATGAAAAAAGGAGAAATTACAACTGATGCCACAGGAATGTCAACAACTATCAGAAACTATTATGAACAACTCTATGCTAACAAACAGGAAACCCTAGAGGAAATGGATAAATTCCTGGACACATAAAACCTATGAAGATTTAATCAGGAACAAACAGAAAACCTGGAGAGACCAATAATGAATAATAGCAGTGAATCAGTAATAAAAGGTTTTTCAATAAAAAAAGTTCAGGATCAGATATCTCCACTCCTGGATTCTACCAAACTTTCAAAGAAGACCTAATGTCAACTTTTCTAAGAATATTCTGAAAAGTTGAAGAAGAAAAAATACTCCCTAACTCATTATGTGAGACCAGGGTTACTCTGATACCAAAATCAGCAAGGATGCAACAACAACAACAATAACAACAACAACAACAAAACTACAGGTTAATATCCTTGAAAAAAATAGACACAAAAACCCTCAACAAAATAATAGTAAAACTAATCCAACAACACATAAAAAAGATAATACACCACAATCAACTAGAATTTATTTCAGGGATGCAACGACGGCTGAACATAAGCAAATAAATAGATGTGATGCATCACCTCAACAGAATGAAGGACAAAATGTATATGATGATCTCACTAGATGCAGAAAAAGCATTCAATAAAATTCTACACCCCTTCATGATAAAAAAAAAAACCTCTCAAAAATGAGGCATAAAGAGAACATATCTCAACATAATAAAGACCACATATGACAAATAAACAGATAATATTATACTGAATGGGGAAAAGCTGAAAGTCTTTCTTCTAAGAACTAGAACAAGACAAGAATGCCTATTTTCGCTACTTGTATTCATGGTACTGGCAGTCCTAGTCCAAGCAATCAGTTAATAGGAAAACAGTAAAATTCATCTAGATTGGAAAAAAGCAAGTCTAACTGTCCCTTCCTGCAAATGATATGATCTGAAATCTAGAAAAACCTATAGCCTCCACCAAAAAATGCTTAGGTCACATAAATAAATTCAATAAAGTAACAGGATGCAAAATCAACATAAAATAGCTGTAGCATTTATATACAGAAGTAATAGAGGATCTGAGAAAGGAATCTTAAAGACAATCCCAGTTACAATAGTTATGAAAAATTTAAATACTTAGAAATAAATGTAACCAAAGAGGTAAAAGGCTTCTACAATGAAAACTACAAAACACTAATGAAAGAAATTATTGAGGACACAAATGGGAAGACATCCCATGTTCATGAATTGGAAGAATAAACATCATTAAAATGTCCATACTGCCCAAAGCATTCCACAGATTTAATGCAATCCCTATCAAAATACCAATGTAATTTTTCATTGAAATAGAAGAAACAGCCCGAAAGTTCTATATATACCTAAAAACCCAATAGTCTCTGCTCAAAGGCTTCTAGAACTCATAAACAACTTCAGCAAAGTTTTAGGGCACAAAATTAATATGCAAAAGTCAGTAGCATTTCTAATACCACCAATAATGCCCAAGTCAAGAGCCAAATCAAGAATGCAATCTCCTTCACAATAGCCCCCCAAAATAATAAAATATCTAGGAATATAGCTAATCAAGAGAGGTTAAAGATCTCTACAATGAGAATTACAAAACACTGGTGAAAGAAATTAAAAATGACACAAACAAATGAAAAACACTCCATGCTCATGTATTGGAAGAATCAATATTGTTAAAATGTCCATGCTGCCCAAGGCAATTTATAGGTTCAATGCTATTCCTGTCAAACTACCAAAGACATTCTCAACATATTTAGAAAAACCTATTCTAAAATTCAGATGGAACCACAAAAGAGCCCAAATAGCCAAAACAATCCTCAGCAAACGTAATCAGGCTGTAGGCATTATACTACCTAACTTCAAACTATATTACAAGGCCTTAGTAACAAAATAACGTAATATTGGTACAAAACAGACACACAGACTGATGGAACGTAATAGAGAACCCAGAAATAAATTCACATATTTATAGCCAACTGGTTTTAGACAAAGGTTCCAAGAACATACATTGGGGATAGGATACCTTTTGCAATAAATGGTTCTGGGAAAATTAGATATAAATATGCAGAAGAATAAAACTGATCTTTATCTCTCACCATATGCAAAAATTCACACAATATTGATTACAGGCTTAAGTATAAGATCTGAAACTATAAAACTACTAGAAGAAAAGAGAGAAAACACTCAAGGACATTGGTCTAGGCAAATATTTTATAGCTAAGACCTCAAAAGTACAGGCAACAAAAACAAAAATAGACAAGTGGAACTTAACCTAAATAGCTTCTGCACAGCAAAGGAAACAATCAAAAGTGAAAAGACAACATGATGAATAACAGAAAATATTTTTAAACTATTCATCCAACAAGGAACTGATATCCAGAATATAAAAGGAACTCAAATGACTCAACAGTAAAAGAAACAAATAAATGAATAGAAAATTCTCAAAAGAAGACACACACATGGCCAATGGGTATATGAAAAATGCTCAATATCACTAATCATCAGGGAAATGCAAATTGAAACCATAACGAAATATCATCTTACCTCAGTTAGAATGGCTGTTATTAAAAAGACAAAAAATAACAGATGCTTGCAAGAATGCAGAGAAAAGGGAAGTTTTATACACTATTGATGGGAATCTTAATTGTTAAAGCCACTATGGAAAGCGGTATGGAGATTTTTCAGTAAGTCAGAAATAGAATATGATCCAACATCTCATACTGGGTGTTTTACCAAAGGAAAAGAAATCAGTATGTCAAAGATATAACTGTACTCCCATGTTTATTACAGCACTAGTCACAATAGCAAAGATATGGAATCAATTGAAGTGTCTCTCAACAGACAAATAGGTGAAGAAAATATGGTATATGTACACAGTATGAAATACTATTTAATCATAACAAAAAATGAAATCATGGAATTCGCAACAACATGGATGAAACTGGAGGTCATTATACTAAGTAAAATAAGCCAATCATGGAAAGATAAACATTTCACATTCTCACTCATATGTGGGAGCTAAAAGCTTTAATCTCAAGGAGGTAGAGTAGAATGATAGATACCAGAGGCTGGGAAGGATGTGTGGGTGGGAGTAGCAAATGAAGAAAGAGGTTGGCTAATAGGTACATGTTAGATAGAAGAAATAAGTTTCAATGTCTGAATGCAGAGTAGCATGACTAAAGTTACAAATAACATGTTGTATATTTTTAAATATCAGGAAGAGAAGACTTGAAATGTTCCTAATACATAAAAAATGATAAGTACTTGAGATGATGGACTCCTAAAATACCCTGATTTGATAATTTTATAGTCTATGTATGTAACCAAGTATCACATGTAACCTATAAATGTGTACTAAAATTATATATCAATAAAAAATAAGAAATTGCTAAGAGACTTCTAAGTGTTGTCGTCCGCCCCAAAAATGCACATGAAATAATGCATATGTTAACTAGATTTAGCCATTCCACAATGCATACAGATTTTAAAACATTATGTTGCACATGATAAATACAAATGCTTTTTGACAATTTAAAAAATAAAATAAATGTGAGATAGGAAGGGACATGAAAAGAGAATTATTGAGAACATAACACAGGCCTAACTTTACTAAGTCACTAGGCTGCCTTCCTTTAGATGACTTTTTATGTAAGATTATAAAATATGTATACATTTATTGTCTTAAGAATAAAACATACATTATGAGCTGAAGGAAAAACCTAGGGACCACCTAATTATCCAGCAATATATGCTTTAACACAATAAAATTGAATACTATTTCATTAAAATCATGTTTTTGAAATAATACAAATGTGCTCATAGTTGTGTGTTAAGTGAAAAAATACAGGATGTTTAATTTTATGGAAATAATACTCTAAGCATTTGAAAAACAGAAAAAAGTCAGAAAGGAAATATGGCGATAGGTAGTGACTTATGGATTACTTTTTCTCAGCTTCTTTCATTCTCATAACTCACAGTATTTTCTTGATGAGTTTATGTTATATTCTATAATCAAAAAATAGAGCAAAGGTCATTGCTATTGGTGTTCTTTATTGTTGAAGCATTTGTCTTTCCATATACAAGTGGGAATTTCTAAGATATTTCAATAAATTATATTACTTGATAATTGTAATAGTGTACTGCAGTTGGTAAGAAAAATATCAATCATGTTCGGAACTTTTTTTTAAGACGACAGAAAAAAATGTGTTCTTTATAAAACTATTAGGCCAAGTTGTTATTTAAAATATTTATTAATAGAAATATTGATGCATATGGACAACTTATTTTGTCTATGGTTATTAAATAAATGATGTTGTTATTTTACAATAAAGCCTCTGGGAAACATGGAGTTAAGAAGTAGGATGAATAGACATACTCTAAATAAATATTATTCAGCCTTATAAAAATTATAATTTTACTTTAAAATATTATAACTGAGTTTAGCTGTTTCTATAATTTTTTAAACAACATCTGTTATTTTATAAATATTTTTATAGATATTTAATATGTAGTTTATGTTTCCATAGCACAGTATTATTCATTGTTTAGATCAGAGCGTAACTTTTTAAGATTTTAGTCACCATTTGGGGGAAAGGCATTAGTGCACTTGATATTTAAAAGTGCACCAACTCTGAAAGTGAGATGCTCTGGGGGAGTATTAAATGTTCTATACTCTACAAGAAGTTGACATCATCTTGGGGATGTTGCCAGCAGATATTTGAAGTGTCAAACACTAAATAATTTTAGTGTCTGCTGACAGTCTCTGAGTTCTCTTATTCAGGCAAGGGAATGAAAGACTATAAAGAGAGCATATTGTTTAGAGTTTCAAAACTGCTTTTTTGACATAGTTAATCTTTAGAATGGCTAATACTATTTTATTTACTAAAGATATCATTCCAGAACACATACAAATGCCTCTAAAATTCAATCTCTAACTAATAGCCTGTAATCTTAACATTTCATAGGCAAATTTTGAACTGAAACAAATCTTTAGAGCTCATCCAATCTCAAATTCTATTTTACAAGTAAAGACATTGAAACAAGTATTCTTAGTGATTTGTCAAAAAACTTTGTATGTCCTGGTCTAATAATCTTTGTAATATACTACAATTATAAAGTTTGGTAATATTTTAATATTTTATTGGAACTTATTTTTTCCCATTTATTAGAAACCAAAAAAAAAGCAACCAAAAACCAATGGCAAAAATCTTAATAATATTCATAATGTAATTGTCTTATTATTCTACCTGTGTGTATCCTTGTTATAGGAAAAGATTAAATTTTGACACAATCTCACCTTATTTTGAAGTTCATTGAATGGAATGGAATGCTTAGGTATTGACTTTCATTTTATTTCACAAGAGTAATTTATCTCTTGTTTAACTTAAATATTTTTCCTTTGCTTACATGTTTCTGAGTTTGCGTATTCAATATCTTTTAAATATGGAAGACATAAAAACAGAAAAGGAAGACTAGTCACTATCATTTTAGACAATGAACTTGTTATTGTTTTTGTTTGTGTATCTTGTCTTATGCAAGGCTGAAATGTAACTTTATTTTAATAACTGTGTTGCAAGACATTTTAATTGTTTGCAGTAGTATTATATCTTCTTTCAGGTTCTTAATTGATTAAAGGGAACTCTATATAATTTTATGTAAAAGAAGACACTGAACGGGAAGAAGAAAAATATGCTAGAATAGCAACCACAGTTAAGTAGAGTCTTATTTGAAAAATCTGTAAAGATAAGGATGCTTATTTTCTGATTTGTTTCATGAGACATATTAGCAATTCATATCTCAAAACAATATTACGTATAATATTAGTGAAGACTTTTTTAGTCAGGACAATAACACAATATATAATTAATTATAAAAAGTAAACATTAATTTGTGTCACATGGTCAAAAGACATGGTCAAATGACTAGATTTTCAGACAATATTTTACCATTTATAGATGTAACATCATGGTTTGATTTATTTTTACATATGTGAATAAACATTTGAAGTTACTTATTAAGTCAAAGTGGTTAGAATAGCACTTGGGTCTTGAAATATTCAAGAATTTGACTTTCATGAATATTTATGTAAATGCATTTGTATAATTCTACATTGATTTAAGCTTTGATTCTTTGTCAGATTGACGTTCTCAGATTTCCGTCTTAAAGTTTTAAACTAAATTACCTTGTTGCATATTTTACAATTTCTAAATCTATTTAAAATGAAACACTAAAGGATTGGTGGACAAATATTTTTCAAAGTAATATTTTGTCACATGAAATATGAGTACAATATCAAATGGAGCCCCAAATCTCTCATCAGCAAATGAGTCTGTCTGCAGTGTGTTTATTTCATTACACTGTTATAATTTCAGAAGACTCCTACAGGAATGGCCCCCAAGGCTGTAATACAAATCACACACATACATACACACACTTGAAAATATAGCAAATTTTTATTTATATCATGATAGAAAGAAGCCTTATTTCTCTGTAGATTAACATAAGACTTTCCATCACATTTTGAAAATAGTTGTTTTTAGAACTTTACTCATTAAATTTCCATTTTTTATTTCTAGCTTTCTGTCTACTTTTCATTACTCTTTAATGTCAATGATAAACTTTTATTAGTAAATAATTGCTTTGCACTTGAATTAATAATGTATTATTTTTCTGTTGTTCAATGAGTACAAAATTCAGTTATGATGGAAAAATAAGTTATAGAGATCTGCAACATAATATAATGCCTGTAGTTAACAATATGATATTGTGTACTTCAAAATTTGTTAAGAGGGTAGATCCCATGTTAAGTGTTCTTACTATAAAAACAATACAAAAACAAAGGGACACAGAGAAACTTTGGAAAGAGTTCATCATGCCTATTATCTTGACTATGGTTATGTCATCATAGGTATTTCTCTCCAAACCCATCAAATTGTATACAGTAAATATGGGCGGTTCTTTTTACATAAATTATACCTAAATGTAGCTGTTAGTAAAAGAATTATGTCTTTATCCTTCACATTTTCTTGGTTAACATCTCACTATGCCATTGGAATTATAATTAACTAAGGCTAAAATATGTCTAAAGCCAAGTATTTACGACGTGTGAACTCTTTGAACTCGGTAGGTTTTGCAGCAGTAAGAAATAATCCCCCAAATATCAGTGGCTTAAAAAGAAAAGATTTTCACTTGAGGGCAGTAGAAGTTTGCCCCCCACTCCTTCTTCAAAATCCAGTGCTCCACTATCTAGGTCATTGCCATATGTTGTATCAGAGAGGGGATTGTGTGTACACGTGACACATCACATCATTGATGTTTTTCAGCCAAAGAAAATACTTTAGCCAAGACTGAATTCAAAAGGACAGGTATGCATAATCATATGACAGAAGGCAATCATCATAATCATATGACATAAGACAATATCATAATTATATGACATAAGACAATATAAATAACAAAAGACAATCATCGGTGTCTTCTATGTATATATTTGTAAAGAAAACAAAGTGATTTCTCAGAAAAAAATAAGGAATTTAGAGTTAGCACAGTGTTTTTAAATTACACTTTAGCAAAATGTTGAAAAATCTGGACAATCAAAAGCAACAATAAAAAAGTATAAATACTTATGTCTTTTAACTTTGTGAGTCTTTGAGAAATTTATTCAACATCTCTAAAACTCAGTTTCCATCTCTGAAAAATATGCTAGTAATTCATTGTCTCATAGAATGATTATAAAAGTTAAATATGATGATCTATGAAAAACACATAAAACATAGTAATTTATGGGTTGTAACGTAATGCTAATATATAGCAAGTGCTAAAATGACAATTATTGTTATTTAGTTACCATTATTATAATAATTCACGAAATTCATCAGAAATTCACCAAGGAATATGTAGTGAATTTAGAGTTAGTTCATAGGTAGAATTATTCAGGGCTGCAGCACATAAATTGGGCAATTTAATTCAATCAATTATTTTTTAGCTCTTCTTATGTGGAGTACATTGTGTTAGAGAAAGAGAATACAAAGATAAGCAAAATTTGGAGCTATTCATAATCTCAAGTATAATTTTGATGCAACATGGTCAAGTGTTATGCTGATGACTTATGTAAAAGGTAAAATAAGAGCATGATGGTGAAGTATCCAACCTGGCTACATCATTAGAGGATTTATAAACTGAGAAAAACTTACAGCAAAACATTAGGCAGAAGATCATGGACAGATGGATGTATCTGTGGTTATTTGTGTGTGTGTGTGTGTGTGTGTGTATAATTCTTTTTCTTCAGATTTGCAGATAGTGTGACATATTAGTCCATTCTCACCCCGCAATAAAGAAATACCTGGGACTGGGTAATTTATAAAGAAAACAGGGTTTAACTGGCTGGTGGTTCTTAAGGCTTTACAGGTAGCATGGCTGGGAGGCCTCAGGAAACTTTCAATCATGGCTGAAGGTAAAGGGGAAGCAAGTATGTCTGACATGGCTGGAGCAGAAGAAAGAGAAAAGTTGGAGGAGCTACACACTTTTAAACAGATCTCATGAGAGCTCACTCACTATCACAAGAACAGCAAGGGGGAAATCTGCCCCATGTTCCAATCACCTCCCATCAGGCCCCTCCTCCAGTGTTTTTTTTTTTGGCGGGGGATGGGGTGAGGACACAATTATAAACCATATGATTACACTCCTGGCCCTTCCCAAATCTCATGTCCTTCTCACATTGGAAAATACAATAGTCCCTTCTTGAGAGTGCCCCAAGTCTTAACTCATCCCTGCATTAACTCAAAATTCTACAGTCCAAAGTCTCATCTGAGACAAGGCAAGTCCTTTATGCCTTATGTGCTTGTAAAATAAAAAAAACACGTTAACTACTTCCAAGATAAAATGGGGAAACAGGCATTGGGTAAATATTCCCACTCTAAAAGGAAAAATCAGCCAATAAAGAGGGTGTACAGATCCTGTGCAAGTCCGAAACCCAGAGGTAGTCATTCAATTTCAAAGCTCCAAAATGATCTCTTTGACTCCATGTCTCACATCGAGGCCACACTGTTGCAAAGGGTGGGCTCCTAAGACAGGTAGCTCCACCCCTGTGGCTCTGCAGGGCTCACCTCCCATGACTGCTCTCAAGGGCTTGCAATGAGTGCCTGCAGCTTTTTCAGGTGCACTGTGCAAGCTGTCGGTGGATCTACCATTCTGGGGCTTGGAGAACCGTAGCCCTATTCTCATAGCTCCACTAGGCAGTATCCGAGTGGGGACTCTGTGTGGGACCTCTAACCTCATATTTCCCCTCCACACTGCCCTAGTAGAGGTTCTCCATGAGGGCTCTGCCCCTGCAGCAGGCTTCTGCCTGGAAATCCTGGTGCTTCCATATGTCCTCTGAAATCTAGGTGGAGCCTCCCAAGAATTTCTTCTTGCCCTCTGCACACCCACAGGCTTAACACCATGTGGAGGCCACAAATGCTTATGGTTTTCAACCTCTAGAGCAGCAACCTGAAACATATCCAGGGTCTGTTTAGCCACAACTGGAGCTGGAGCAGCTGAGATGCAGGGAGCAGTGTCCTGAGGGGAAGGAAAATGCATGGAAGTGGGGCCCTGGGTCTGGCCCGTGAAACAATCCTTCCCGCCTAGGCCTTGAGGCCTGTGATGGGAAAGGCTGGTATGATGGTCTCTAAAATGCTTGAGGCATTTTCCCCCATTGTCTTGGCTATTACCATTTGTCTCCTTTTTACTTATGCAAGTTTCTGTATAGGCTTGAGTTCCTCCCCAGAAAACAGTTTTTTCTTTTCTAACACATGATCATGCTGCAAATTTTCCAAAATTTTATGCTCTGCTTCCCTTTTAAATAAAAGTTCCAGTTTCAAGTCATCTATTTGCCCATGCATATGAGCATACACCATTTATAGCATCCACACCACATCCAGAATTCTTTGCTGCTTAGAAGTTTCTTCTTCCAGATACCCTAAATTGTCTCTCTCAAGTTCAAAGTTCCACAGATCTCTAGAGCAGGGGTACAATGCCACTAGTTTCTTTGCTAAAGCATAGCAAGGGTGAACTTTACTACAGTTCCCAACAAGCTCTTCATTTCCATCTGAGACCCCCTCAGCCTGGACTTCATTGTCCATTTTTCATTTACCTATCAGCATTTTGGTCACAACAATTTAACAAGTCTCTAGGAAGTTCTAAACTTTCTCTCATCTTTCTCTCTTTTGAGCCCTCCAAACTGTTCCAACCTCTGCCTATTACCCAGTTCCAAAGTTGCTTCCATGTTTTCAGTTATCTTTATAGCAATGTTCCACTCCTTGGTACCAATTTTCTGCGTAAGTCTGTAAAGAAATACCTGAGACTGGGTAATTTATAAAAAAAAGAGGTTCAGTTGGCATATGTTTCTGAAGGCTGTACAGGTAGCATGGCTGGGGAGGCCTCAGGAATCTTTCAGTCATGGTGAAAGGGGAAGCAGACATAGCTTACATGGCCAGAGCAGGAGGAACAGAGAGAAGGGGGAGGTGTTACACACTTTTAAACAACCAGATCTCCTGAGAACTCACTCACTGTCACAAGAACAGTAAGAAGAGAATCTCCCCCATGATCCAATCACCCCCCTCCAGGCCCCTTCTCTAACATTGGGGATTATAATTTGAAATGAGATTTGGGTGGAGACACAAATTCAAACCACATCATGTGATGCATAAAGGTTGTGGTTATCATCTATGATAGTAGCTTAACTATTAAATCTCCACAAATATAGGCCATATATGGAATCTCATCAAAAGCTAGAAAAGGGAAGGTCTTGACAATTGTCTTTGCTTATTTTGTAGAAAAGTATTCATTTCATTTGGAAATGAAAGACTAAATATTATAGTATTTTTATTTAAACTGAAATTGATGTCATATTCATTTATTAAAATTATATGATTTATGCTTTATTTTTTGTGGATTTATATTATGCAATATAATGTGAGTACCTCAATCTTCTAAAGAGATTTATTACACAGACTCTAGGTTTTTGTTTAATTAATCACTATTGTGTTGGGAATAGCATTAAGGTTCAATGTCAGAGATTGTCATGTATCCAATTCTTATTACCACTTTTAGCTAAGGAAAAAAAATGTGACAATAATAAAACATGGGAAAAAAATCTATGGAAGAATGGACTTTGAGGGTTTGATTTGACAAGGCATCAAGTTATTTTGAGTGGCTTGGTCTAGGCAAAATATTTTTTCCAGCAGCATTTCTCATTGCTTTATCTTGTTAAATAAAATTTAAAACATATAATAATGATTACACACATCTTAGCAAAATATTGGTATAAACATTCTGAATTATGTGGACACTTGTGACTCACATTCCTTTCCTAAGTTTTTATAAAATTTTAACTAGGATTTGGGATTCAAAATATATATATATATATATATGAGAGCACTTAAGCTACTTAGAGTCAACTGAAGTCCAATAAGATGGAGAATGACATGTTCATCAAATAATTTATCAGTGGATTTGCATCTGTACAATACTTCTGGAGATGATTCATGAGCAAGTGTGGCACAGTATAAAGAAGAGTGAAACAAGAGTCAAAAGTAAGGTTTGAACCATGACTTCTAACATTCTAAACTTCAGTTTTCTCATCTATATAATAGTGATATTGCTTTGTGGTCTACGGGATTGTTCTAAACATTAATTAACATTAATTTAGTAAAATAAATAGAAATGCGTAAATAATGTCTTATATGTGGCAAGCATATTTGAAGTTCTCTTTGAATGAAACAGCATAACTCTGGAACTTTTGCGTGTTAAAATTTAATATAACACTCCAGAAGTCTTTTTTTTTATTAATTCTATGTCTCTACATCTCTATGTCTCTATCTATCTACCTACCTACCTATCTCTCTATTCATCCATCTGTCATTTCTCATTTCTTTTACTAGGATTTTCAGAGCTTGTTCCATTGATAGTTCTCTTTCCTAATAGGCATGGCATCCATACCCAGCCAAATCCTTATATATAAATGGACAGGATGTATGTATATTCAACGATCACCTCCTCTCCCTTTTAATCAGTTTTGCAAAAAAGTTCTTAGTTAAGTTTTAGTCAAACAAGGATGCAGTACTCATTAATAGGAACCCAAAAGGAAAAAAATGGAATTATCACAAATGTGAATAAGATATATTTTACATGATAAATACAGAGAATTAAGATATTTGTATAAGCTTCATTTAAATATTCTTAATCATTTAAAAAATTTGATCATTTAGTACACACAAAACTGGAACTCCAACTTAGAAGACAAATAAATCGCTTTTAATTTTAGGAAACATATTTCTTTGATAAAGGGGCTAGCCTGAACAAGTTCTACCATTCTATATTATATCTACTTCATGTATGTAACCCCCACCACCATCAGTGAACTCCCATTGACTTCAATATGGTCAATTTAATTGAAACTTCTGAATACCCAACTCCTACTAACATAATTGAAGAACAAAATAATTAGTTTCAGTGGGAGTTATGCGAATGCACAGATTGAAGATTGGAGGCAAAGCAGAGTCATTACTCATTTTCACAGTTTTGATGGTCTCCCAAATTAGAACCCTAGTCTTATTTTTTAAAACAAAATAAGAGAAATTTTTTAAAACAAAAAAATTATTTAAAATTATTTTAAAAATTATTTAATAAAAAATTATTTTTTAAAACAAAATTCTACTCTATGCAGGTTAGCAGTGAGCAGAGGGGCTTGCTTTGTGTCCTCATAGCTTTAACCCATGTGTTTTCAATATGTCATGAGGAAACAGCATACAACATGTGAAGATTGATCCTAGTTTTCTTAGAGGAATACCCGGGTAAGATATATTCCTTAGGTGAAAAATTTTCTCGTTTTTATTTTCTGAGGCTATTGTAAGTGAAATTAGTGGCCTTGTTGAATCCAGCATTTTATTTAAAAGGACATCACATAAAACCTATTTTATACCATGATATACAACACTTAATTAAATTAACATTTTTAATATAAATTAGTATTGGATTATATTTTAAATGTATTCTGTTAATGTTTAAATATTTGAAGCTTGAGCTAACAATTCCAAGTGTTCTTTTTGAGATTTAATAAAACATGGCTTATTTTTTTTGAAGGGAGGTCAACATCTTTGTCATAAGTCAGGAGGCCAAATATATATATAAAAAAATCTGCAGCAAAATTTTAAAAGTGAAAATCTTATTATTAATAGTTTTTAAAAGCAAAGGCTCTAAGAAAATTTAAGCCATGGTATAATGACACTATTATGATATCTTCATTTATTAAAATGATGAATATTAATTTTTTCTTCAACTTCAATAATATTTGGCTTAGTCTGTTACTTTAAAATAGATGGTTATATGTGAATAATATATATGAAGAAAATTTGTTTAGAAAAAGCAAAACATGAAATACTGTTACAGCAAACTAGTATGCAACTTTATTAGTAAGCAACTCTTAAGTACATTTGTAAAATAAAAGATGTTTTATTTATTTGATGGTGAGGAGTCATTTATAAGATATTTATAAGATGAAAATGGAAAAACATCAATTCTGGGGACTAGGATAACTGAAAGAAATAAAGGCATTATTGAGAAGTTTATATGATTTAAAAGCAATTAAACAAAGAAAAAGTAGAGAAGTGATTAAAAATTAACAACATAACTGAAAGAGTAACATTAATTTCTTAGATAGATTGGAGATATATTCAAATAAAAAATAAAAAGTGCTACATTCCCCTGAATTTTTTCATATTAAGTTATTATGTTTATGACTGACAAATTTATAACAACATTGAGTTAAGCCTGTGGGATTATGGTTTTTTGCTTTATTATGACTTTGTTTCAATTTCTAGATGCATTAATTTTATAATAAAATAAGTAGTTTTCATTGCTAAATGTACTTTTGAACTTGATAAAGTTGTTAAAACCAATTTTATCAGAAAAACAAAATACAAAATTTTACACCATTTTTTCACATATATTAATCTGTTTCTTAGAAAACATTTTTGTATTTATTTTAAAGTATTAAAGATAAATTAACATGTATATTTTACTTTTTTAATGATTAAGCCAACAACAATATTTTTAATAACTATCCATGCCTACATAGTAGTATAAACTATGATAAAATGTATAAACATTTTAAAAACTATTTTTGGAGGAAGATTACAAATGTTTATCCACCATGCCCATTTGGCAGGAGCAAAATAACTCTCTAATCTTTGAAAATTTAATTTACTTGGCTAATTTTAACGTTCAATGTCTTCTAGTATCATTCGATGTTGGAAATATCTCAATTTGAATGAAAATTCCTAACATTCTCTAACACTTAGGGCACAAATAATTCAGCAAAAAGGCTGTATAATAATTGAAGAATGTATAGATATAAAAAAATGAATGAACAAACCCAGTAATCTTTGAATAGATTTAGAGGTTAACTTGTGCTCAGAAGGTAGATCTACAAAATGAAAAAAATGTAAACAAATAATAATTTATAGATTCAGGCTCAAGAAATAATGAACCAATTCTGAGAACAGAATTTTCTAGATTGCAGACTGTATATTAATCAAACCTTAAAATGGCTATCCTTTCTTTGCCCATAATCTGTGCTATGAAAAACACAGTAATTTTATATTAGCCTCAGATAAAAAATAGATAAATACTTGGTAAAAATTCAAAATACTAGTCTTTCTTTATCCTTTTTGGTGAGTTAAGTAATATGTATTTATTATAATGATTGAAATATAGAAATATAAAATTTGATCACCTTATATATTCTCATTTACAAACATAGAAATCCACAAAACAATCTCATGTATCAAAATATAATTGATAAGTTCAAACGACTTCTTTATTTCCTGTAATTACATTTTCTTCCTCTAAAAAATAAAAAGTACTATTACTTTGAAAGTTATGTCTTGAAAATTGTTTTCTTTATGTAATATATATGTCTGTCCTTAACATTTTTCTTCAATATAAAGACCAAAATCTACAGGATTTGCCTATAATGCATTATAGAGAACCGTTTATATTTACCTTAAAATTTTATTTCAGTTATCCTTAACTCTTCTACTTTATTGCATCAATCCTTATTGCTGCAGATCCTTATATAGATATGTCTCTCAGCTATTAATTCCTGAGAATCTATTCTACCTTAGAAACCAAAGGGTTGGAACCAAGTGTGATGATCTTTTATGTTTAAAAATTTATGAGATATTAATTTCAGGCCTGTACACTTGAAACCTAAAATTAACTCCACATCTGAAGTAAAAGTCAGTTAGCACAAGACAAATAATTCCCCCGAGGGCACAATTTCTTCAGAAGATGCAATTTGTCTTAAATATATGCTGATAATTCAAAGAAACTATAACACATCTGCTTAGTTCTTTGCAAAGCAACTAATTATAAACAGAAGTTAGAGCAGAACATGTTGTAGAATGGTGGAAAACAGACCCATAGTTCACAATTTCACAGCATCTGAGTTCAGGGCATGTGGTCTACTTACAGTTTTCATAAAGACTCAACAAATAGCTGAAATAATTTATAAGATAGTTTATCACATTTTTTTCACATTAAAAAAAAGTACCTCACATAGTACTGCACCTTGAATTGTTGTATAAAGATAAGTTTCTTCATTCAAGAAGCCAAAAGTCTGGCCAGCAGCTTAAATAGTGAAAATGGGTCTGGATGCAAAGTTTATTGTACAAACTTTTAAAACATGGAAAGCTCCCCTCTTTTTAGGCTTTGGCTAAATATATGGAAATATTTTTAGTGGAAAAGTAAGGATGAAAATATTGTCAAGTTCTATAAGGGAGTGCATAAATAAATAAATAAATAAATAAATAAATAACTGATTTCTCTTTGGCCTAAATAATATTGTTCATAGCACTGATTGTTGCCAGTAGTCTAACCATGACACACATTGGGACATCTCCTTCCCAGTGTTTCCTCCCCAGATCATAAGCTGATGTGTTCTGGCCCAGTTCCCTAACCCTGGACTAGCTGTAAGTCTCTAGAAACATTGAGACTGATGCACATGCATACACTGGCCACATTAGTTTAGATTCACCATAGACAGATAAAATAACTTTGCAATAATATTTTGTTTACGTTTGAGTGATGAAGTCAATATTCAAGCATGGATTAGTGTTAAATGGGAATCATATAATGGTAGGATACATTTTCTGAATTGCAGTCTAATATTCAAAATTTCCCATGATATCTAAGAACACATAACTGCCAAATGGAACATATAATGGGTGTGGCAGAAGGCTTGGTATTTATGGCATTTCTGTCATTTAGCATTGTCATGTCAGGTAATGAGTTTGAATTTGTGCCAGTACCATTAGGACCATCTTTAAGTACTGGATCATTGGAAAAAAGGTGATGTGGAGAGTTTTGAGTTACAGTAAGATTCTGGAACACACTATTATCCTAGACTACTGGAAACTAAAAGTACATCAAAGATAATCTAATTTCTCTATTTCCAAGTTTGACTGAGTATCCAAAGAGCTTAGAGAAATGTTTAGAGATCCTGGGGGTATGCTGCAGATAAACTATTTTTGTATTTCTCTTATTTGGTGTTGTTGCAAAAAAAATTCCAAATTCAGAGGCTTAAAATAACTTCAAATTTTTAATTTGCAAAATCTTATTGGTTGGCTGGGACTAAGAAAGGTTTTTTTTGTTGTTGTTTGTTTTTTGTTGTTGTTGTTGTTGGTGGTGGTGGTGTTTTTTTTTTTGGTCCCCTACTAGTCGTATTGGCAGTTGGTTTCTCATTGACAATAATGAAGTAGAAGCGTGGCTGGAGCTGGACTGTTCAAATGGCCTCTCATTATCTAGAGCCTCTGTACACATGGCCTCTTTAAAACAGAATTACAAAGAGGGACCTGGAAATTTGTTTATTATTTAAAAAGAAATTTTCATAAGTGATTCTGATCCACTGAGTCTGGGAATCAGTAAAGAAATCAATGAGGAAATGACAACATGTATCCAGACTGGTTCAATGTCATTTTTGAGGCATTGCATCTGATTAATGAGACGCCCAATCCAAAACTCTTATTTTTGGAAATTATAGACCTAGACAATTTCCCTACATCATTTATATTTTGACACTGCATGTAGAATAGTGAAGGTTTAATATACTGAGTACTGTCACCGGTCTTTATGGCTAATGTGACAAAATGTTAAATGTTATGAAATTATGGATTTTTCAAAGACGGACACAAATTTTTGAAGATTTTGACTCCGTGTGTGTGTGTGTGCGTGTGTGCGTGTTGTATGTGTGTATACCTAGTTAAGGGATCAGAAAAAGTTTTTTTTTTTTTTTTTAAATATAGATCAACGTTGGCTAGTCTTTATTGGGATGTTAGTTTCTCTAGGCCTCCTCCTTTGCAGTGATTTTGATGTAGATGAGCCAATTTTCAGTTGCATCCTTTTCAAGTTTAAGGAAGAAAAGGGTCTTAAGACATCCCAATAGGAATACTTTAGGAATCTTAATGCCCGCGCCCCACCAAAAAAAAAAAAAAAAACACCCCACCGATTCAGGTCTAGCTTCGTAAAAAGATATTTTCTCCAATCCAAGATGAACGGTACCGTCTGTCAGAAGACTGACTTTTTAAGAAGGAGATTTATAATAAGTTTATTCTTTGTGTTTATGGCAAATCATAACACCCATGTCTTCAAACGTGCTGGTTCCCTTTGCTCTCTTCTCCCCCAAACCAGAGCACAACCATCCAGCATCTAAGCTATTTAAAGTAAGTCAAACAGTTTAGTACAGTTACTTTTCATATATACTCCTTAAGGTTATGATGAAGTCTAAATCTACATGTCCAGTTTATCTGCAAGCCATTCCTTGACAGATAACAGAGAAACAAAGATGCAATAAGAATTAATAAGGTATGATGTAAAGCACCCTAAGTGAAGATTTAGAAAAACAAATAATTCTCAAAAGCAAATATATTCATCTCAACTCTGACTACTATAAGCAAGGAAAAATATTTTTGTTGCTAAAAATAATAATGTGGCATATTGGAGATAAAAACTCAAATATCTCAAGAAAGAAGCTTCTACTCACTCTTAGCTTTTCTTTCCTTGTGGACACACAGGTACATCACAGTTTCGCTTTCCTTTACTTAAGAAGGGCCATATGACTGGTTAAGGCCAATGTGTCATGGGAAGAAATGGAACCAATGTGATAGTCTGAAGTGGTCTCTTCCCTAGCCAGAACAACCACTTTAGCATTTACTGAGTTGGAATAATAAGATTGGCATAATCTGGACCACTGAGTAACAACATGGAAAATAGTTTACTTGGAGAGTCACCAGGCTTGTAGTATACTTTGTATGAAAACCAAAAGTTTCATTTTTTGAGCCACTAAGATTGATGAGTTTTGTTTGTTTTTACTACAGCATATCCTTGCATACTGCAGCCAAGAAAAGTTCACTCTAAAAAAGTGATTTGTTCTACATTTCCAAACATAAATAACAATTACAGTGGTTTCTCCAGTAGTTGCTCTTAAAGGTAAATTAAACCTTTCCACTGGCATCCTATAATATACCCTATGACTGCTTTTCTAGAAATTTATTTTGCTGTGGATGAGAGATGATGTGAAGGGGGTTTCTGGGGTGTTAGTAACAGTATGTTTTATGACCTAGTTTTTATTTACACATGGGTGCATAACTGGTGAAAATTCATCAATGCTAATTACAGAGGTATATTCACTGTTAAAATCTGTCAATCTGTATACTTAAAATTTGAATACCTTTCCAGATAAATATGTTACTTTCATAAAAAGTTTATTTGAAAAGAAACTAAAACTCAAAATTATATTGCTGATTGGTTCATGTTTGTTTCCAAGATTCTCCTTCTCAAAATTATAAAATCTTTGATATCTGATAATAACAAATTATTTTCTTTAAATCTCCAGAGCTGTAGGTTCAATTTATTCTTGTAAAAATTCATAACATTTTTGGAGTAGCAGAACCAGAATAAATGAATAATACCTTATGTCTTATGTCAACTGAATTAACTAGCTATCTCTTGAGACCTAGAAAAAATCAGCTCAAACTTCCATTATATTAATTCAGAGATCTGAGTATTCTGTATAATTTCTGTGATGTTGGGGGATGGGAGTAGACTTGTGTCATTTCTATTCTGGTGTTCTCATTCCATAGAATATCATCCTATAGCTCCTATAGAGTGTGTGCCCTATGTGCCATCTCTTCAGAGATACATTGACAAAAACACAAAATTCTAATTATTTAACTAGAACAAAACAAAATAACACATCAAACTCTCACAAGATATTTGATGATATGGTTTGGAGGTGTGTCCCTGCTCAAATCTCAGGTCAACTTGCAATTCCCAATGTTGGAGGAGGGGCTTAGTGGGAGGTGATTGGATCACGGGGCTGGATTTTTCATGAATGGCTTAGCAGCATACCCCAGACCCCTTGGTACTGTCTTCACATCGGTGAGTGAGTTCTCATGAGATCTGGTCATTTAAAAGTATGTAGCTCCTCCTCTATCCTCTCTCTGGCTCCTACCCTTGCCATGTGAGACACCTCACACCTGTTTTGCCTTTCACCATAATTGTAAGTTTTCTGAGGCCTCTCAAAAAGCTGAGCAGATGCCAGCATCACTGCTTCCTGTATTGCCTGCAAAACCATGAACCAATTAAACCTCTTTTCTTTATAAGTTACCCAGTCTCAGGTCTTTCTTTATAGCAATGCAAGAATAGACTAATACACTTGAGTGTGTAATAGAGTGATCGAAGTTTGAGTGGGGCTAGATAAACAAGTCCATGTTAAATCAGTGTATATTATTTGAAATTGGTCATTTTTTTCTTAAAATAACATTAGTGCGTATCTGATTTCAGTTCTGACACAAAGTGAAGAAAGGAGAAATGCTTGCTCTCATCTTTACAAGAAAAATTTGAACAAACTGAACACCAACTTTTCTTGAGCCCTGCATAGAATATAAATGTTGATTTTGGTTAATTATCAAAGATGAGTGTGGCCAAGCTCAAGAGTGAGAAACTCTTGGGGTCTGCAGTCTTAGAAGGGAACAAGCTTTTGTGGATCTTAGTTCCCAGGACCCCACCATGGTCTTCTCAGGGAGATCTCCTCTTAACTCTAGCGAAGAGAGAGTAACAGTATTTGTTGTGAAATACATCCAGAGCATCATTCCGAACAAAGGACTACTTCCTAGCTGAAGATAATTTACTAGAATTTTTTCCCATTAGGAAAGGGTATTCCTCCCTCTCTAACAACAATTTCCCTTAACCCTCAGCCTTTTTGTCTCACATAAGGAGAAAACAAGCTATATCAATGAAGAAGCTGCTGTGAAGATCATAGTCTAGAGATACAGGCCTACAAAATGTTTGAGATGTAATCATGAGATTGTAGAATGCTTCTTTTCTACACCTTACACTACACCAACAGAGCTACAATAAAACAGTGGATTATACCTAATAGTGCTGTAAAGACGCAGATTCTGTCTGAGGAAAAGTAGACAGGGAAGTCCAAAATAAAGAGAGGATATAAAAAAGGAAACCACAGGCATTTGATGATTCTGGAACTTATAGCTACAGCAAGTATTAAACTTAGCCCAACTCCTAGCCAAATAAACACAAAACTTCACACTAAAGCCTTTTTTATCTCAGTTCCCATTATCAATTACATCATATCAGGTGTTCGAAAAAACATCGCAAGGCATGTCAAAGGCAAGAAAAAACATGGTGTGAATACACAAAGCAAACATCACAACCAGATTCATACATGAGACAAACACTAGAATTATAAGATGGGAAATTTAAAATAACTATGACTACTATGTGAAGGGCTATAAAGGAAAAATAGACGACATAAAACAGATATATATTATAAGAAGAAAAATAATTATCAAAACCATTTGAAAGGGGAATCTAGAAATCAAAAATACTGTAAGAGGAATGAAGAATCTTTGTGCTATGCTCAACAATAAATAGTACACAATGGAACAAAGAGCCAGTGATATTGAAATTAGGTCAACAGCAACTTTCCAAATAAAATGCAAAGAGAAAAGAAATTTAATAAAAGATAATAGAATGTTCTAAATGTGAGATAATTTCAAAGTTTCAAAATATACATAATTGGAGTACCAGAAAGAGAGATAGAAGAAAGTAGAAGCACTTGAAATATTAATGTCTGAGAAGTTTCCAGATTAACTGCAGACACCAAACCAGAGTTATAAAAAGCTCAGAAAACATCATGCTGGATAAGTATTACATAAATTAAAAAAAAACAACAACAAGACCAAAAAAGTAAGCCTAAGTATATCATATTTAAAACGTAGAAAACCTAAGATAAACAAAAAAGAAACATAAAAGCAGTCATAGAAGTATAAGCACCTTACCTGTACAAGTGCAAGAAAAACAACCACAATGGCCATCATATTAAAGAACATGGACATCAAGACAATAGAGTAAGAAATTTAAGTATTCAAAGAACAATAACAGCCAGTAACCTAAAATTCTATATGAGGAGAAATTATCCTTCAAAAATAAGAGAGAAATAGACATTCTGTGAAAGACGTAAACCACAGGAATTCATCACTGTGAGGCCTTCCTTGCAGAAACTGTTAAAAGAAGTTCTTAGGCAGAAGACAAATAACACCGGACAGAAGTTCAAGACAACAAAAAGAAAAGAGATGTAATAAATAGAAGTAAAATAAAATCATTTATTTTTCTTAATCTTAATTAGTATAAAGGAATAACTGTTTAAATAAATGGTAGTAATGTAACTGTGCAATATTAAAATAAACACAGAACAATGTAGTAGGATATCATAGGATATGGATAAAGGATATGAATGGCAGGAATATCGTTAACAGATGGGAAGGACAGGAAATAATTTCTCATAAAGTATTTACACTATGTGTAAAGTCATATAGTGTTATTTCAAATTAAGTTAAGAACATTTAGAAATATATTTTGGAAGAAGAGCAATGTAAGTCTAAAGCAAGCAGAACCAAAAACCTAATAAATATTTCAATAAATATATGTGAAAGTGAAAACAGAAAAACAATATAGAAAATAAAAATAAAAGCTGGTTCTTTAGAAAGATCAATAAAATTTACAAATCTCGAAACAGGCTAACAGAGAAAAAAAGAGAAAAGATGCAAATTACCAATATAAACAATGAAAGAAGGGCAGGTAATCACTACTAAATATAAGGATATTAAGAGGATACTCAATATAAACAAGTCTATACCTACAAATTTGCTAACAGATTAAACTTACAAACTCCTTGAAAGACACGTAGTACCAAACTCATTCAAGGAAAAATAGATACTATAAGTGGGCCTATATATATATAAAGTAAACTGAATCAATTATTAATCATCTTCATAAAAAGGAAACACCAGGTCCAGATAGTTTTTAAATTCTATCAAACATTTAATGAAGAAATAGTATCAATTCTCCACAAATTATTTCAGAAAATAGAAGCAATGATCATTGTTAACTTATTCAATGAGGTCAGAATTACCCTTAAACAAAAGAAAGTCATTGCGAGAAAGAAACTCATACATCTCTCACGAACATAGATGCAAAAGTCCTCAACAAAATATTAGCAAATCAAATCTAACAATGTTTTAACAAAAGTTATACATTCAGGCCTTGCTTAAGTAAGAAAGGATTATTTATTCAATATCCAAATATGAATCTGTTTAATATAATACATCAAGAGGCTAAAAAATAAAAATCATATATCATAATGATTCAGAAAAAATTCAACAATACTCAGCACCCATACATGATAAAACTCTCAGCAAACTTAACACATAAACTTTCTCAACTTGAAAAGAAACATGTACCGAAAAACTTGACATGTAACTTTGTACTTACTAATGAGACATTAGAACAAGGCAAAGATGTCCTTTCTCGTTGAACCTATTTAATGTTGTATTGGAAGTCTCAGCAAGTACAATAAGACAAGAAATAAAAATAAAAGGTAGACTGATTGGAAAGGAGAACATAAAACTGTCTTTAGCAGCACATGGCATAATTGTCTATGCAGAAAATCTCAAAGAATTGACAAAATCATATGAAATAAGTGAGTATAGTAAGGTTGTAGAATACAAAGTTAATATGCAAAAGTTAATTGCTTTTTTAATACATCAACAATAAACAATTGGAACTTGAAATTTAAAAAAGAATGCAAATAACATAATTTAACATAGCTTCAAAAATAAAATAAATAATTAGGATTAAAGTAACAAATATGTAGGATGAACAAGTCTAGAGATATAATGTATAAAATGAAGACTATGGCTACTAAAATTGTATTGTATTAGGAATTTGTGTTAAATAAGTACCTTTTAGTTGCTCTTGTCACACAAGAAAATAACTATGTGAGAGGAAGGATATGTTAATTTGCTTCACTATAAAATAGTAACCATTTTACTATCACTTGTATCCCAGAACCTCATGATGTAAACCTTAAATAACCACAATAAAATTTATTTAAAAGAAAAACTATTTAGGTATAAATCTGACAAAATATGTACAGGATCTATATGTGAAAAAAACACAAAATTTTGATGAAAGAAATAAAAAAATCTAAATAAATGATAATATTTATACATATTTATATTTATAATAGCTTTAGACTGAGATTTTGGAGGCTTCTTCTGCCATCTAACCCCAATTAATAGGATGGAGACTCCAGATATAGCAAGTAGAGGATACTGGGGCCTGATTAACTTTTCCTTCAGTCCTGTCTTAGGGCAGAGGTTCCGCACTGAGTGAGGTAAGTCAGTAAGACCAGAGGATACTGGCCCCAACTCCCTGGTATGGTATGTAAATTATATCTCAATAAAGCTGTTATACAAATGGAAGTTGATATTTTTCAAATTATTTTCTTCTTAATTTGGATTTAGTTTCTTCATATATAATTAGCTCTTTGAAGTGGAAATTTAGATAATTTTAATATTTTTTCTTGCAATATAAACATTGAAAGTTAGAAATATTCATCTAAACCTTGCTTTAGCTGCTTCCTACCACTTTTAATTAGAAATTCTCATATACTTAAGTTTGACA
The DNA here is from genome assembly GCF_000001405.40 of Homo sapiens. Taxonomy (NCBI): domain Eukaryota; kingdom Metazoa; phylum Chordata; class Mammalia; order Primates; family Hominidae; genus Homo; species Homo sapiens. The sequence continues at coordinate 84,518,474 of NC_000012.12, read as the reverse complement.
TATTTCTAATTTTTCTGTACTTTTGTCTTCCTCTCCAAAGATATATATATATATATATATTTCAAGTTGTATTTCAATGTGGTCAAGATATATATTTGGTGAAATATAAATCCTTTAAAATGTATTTTAAAATACTTTATAAATCCAGTCTATCACTCAAGTACAAGTGAAAATAAATTATATTTTAAAGTTGTCTATAGGGTTCAATGATTGTCAAATAGGTCAAGGTTATTGAGAGTATTTATTAATATTCTACATTCTAAATATTTCTTTGTTCCAACAATTACTGTAAGACGGCTATTAACATCTCCATTTGTACTTATGCATTTGTCTGTTTCTTCTTTGAGTTCTGTCAACTTTTACTGCACCTATTCTAAAGCTGTGTATTCAAGTGCCTAAACATTTATGGTTATTATGTCTTACTAATTAGTTGACTGTTTATCATTATGAAATATCCTACTTTATATCTTGTAATTACTCTTTATAAATTTTATACTTAAGGTACTAATTAGTCACTCCATATTTCTATTCCTATTCCTCTTTTCTGTCTTTTTTTTCCTCTTTGTGTTATGTTTAGTTAATCAACATGTTTTGTATAACAATTAAAGTCCTCTATTAAATTTTAAACTTTTTCTCTTTTGTTTTAGGATTTGATGTATGGATCCTTAGTATATCAGAGTCTCTGTATAGATTTTTCTTATAACTTCATATAAATAGTATAATTCTATATTCCACCATGATATTTTGTATTATTTTTGTAACATATATTACACTTACACACTGTATTTAGTCTATTCTCACACTGTTATAAAGATATTACCCAAGATTAGGTATTTATAAACAAGGGAAGTTTAATTGACTCACAGTTTTGCATGGCTGGGGAGGCCTCAGGAAACTTACAATCATGGCAGAAGGGGAAGTAAGCACCTTCTTCACAAGGTGGCAGGAGACAGTATGAGCATGTGAAGGAGGAACTGTGAAACACATAAAACCTTCAGATCTTGTGAGAACTCACTCACTATCATAAGAACAGAATGGGGGAAACCAACTCTGTGATCCAATCACCTCACTCCATGGATACATGGTGATTACAGATCCCTCCCTCGACATGTGGGGATTACAATTTGAGATGAGATTTGTATGGGGACACAGAGCCAAACTATATCATACACATTAAATAGCTCAGATGACAATGTTTTAATATGTATCATACCACACATTTTTTTAAGAAAGAAAAAACACATCTAAAAATTTTAACCACATATTCACAATTTTTCATTTAATTGACCTTTCTTTCATATCTTTTCTTATATTTGGTGTCATTTTTGTTTCATTTAATAACATCATTTCTAAGAGTGCAGGTATGCTGTTGATACATTTTTCTCAATTTTCCTTTATATGAAAATGTCTTTGTTTCTATTTGTTTAATAAATTAATTATAGAATACAGAATAATTATCACTTTAATGCATTTTCTTGTCTGCTGACCTCTATTTTTAAATTAAATATCAAATATAATGTATATAAATTCATGCTTTTACTTAATGTGTTATTTTTTTCCATGACTTGCTTCCAAGATTGCCTCTTTACTTTTAGTTTTAATCTATTTGACAACGTTGTTCTTAATTGTAGTTTGCTCATATTTATTACATGTATAGTTTGCAGAATTTAGTTATCTGCAAGTCCATGTTTTTGTAAAGGTGTGCAACATACATTAATTTTTATTAAGTATTTTGTGCACCATTAATTTGTCTCTTTTCTCTTTATCTTTGACTCATTATACATGTATATGGTCATTTAATATGGCAGTAAAACTCACTGCAGTGTTGTTAATAATTTTCATGTTTTATTTCTCCCTGTTTTTCATTTGGAATAATTCAAATAATCTATATTCAAGTTCATGTATGCTTTATTTGCCATAAGAAATCTGTTCTTAATTCTATCTCTTGACACATTAATTTCTGATATTGTACTTTCAAATTCTATAATATCTACTTACATTTTCCTATCAAGAGTGCCTACCTGGTCAATAATTGTGGTCATTTTTTTTTCTTTAAGTTTTAAAAATTACATTTATAATACATTATTTGAAGTCCCAGATTGCTAATTCCAACATCTAGGGTGGCTATTTCTTGACTATTTTTGTTTGTTTTTTACTATGGGTCAAACTTTCACATTTCTTTCCTATACATTAATTTTGTATTGTATACTAGACATTCATGGGTGATAGAACTCAGGACTCCTTTTAAGAGTAGTTTGTTTTATTTTAGCAGAGTTAATTTAGATATTTTAAAATGGCAAACCCTATCTCTGGTTATGATTAGCTGATGGGAAGCCTCTCATTTGTTCTTTAGTTTATCCAGTTTTTATTTTATTTATTTATTTATTTATTTATTTATTTATATTCAGGTGCCAACAAAATATTGGGTTGAGTTTATAAGCATGTTTCTGGGAACCCCTTTTGGGGAATTTTCGGCAAGCACCTCCTCTCAAATTTTAGCAGTTCCAGTAGCCACAGTATTCTGACTTCTAATTTCAGAAATCAGAAGAAACGGATTTCTCTAAGTTTGTTTGCTTGGTTCAGTGCATACTAGAGAGTAGCCTCATGTGAAAAGTTGTACAAATATGAACATCACTCTGTACATTTACTTTCTTTCTAAGATTGAAATCTCACCAGTTTCTGCTTGCTATTTTTAAAAACAAATGCATTCAACAGATTTCTTTTAAAAATTGTTCAGCATTTACAATTTTTCACAAAATTTTAAGTCTGATAAAAGGTAATCACTCATTACAAGAAGTATAAATTTTCCACTTAATCTTTTGTATTTTGAAAAGACAAAAAACAGTAATAAATTGTTATATATAATAAACAGTATATATAACTATTGTACATATAATAGTTTGCTCATTAATTGGTTACCATTTTGATATATATTATGATAAAGCAGGAAGATCTTAATAAGATTATATTTCAAGCCTTTGTGGAGCCACGTTTATTGCTCAAAGGAAAATAGAAAAGAAAAATAATGCTTTTCATTTCCAATGTTTAGAAGTTTTGCTTCAGACAGATAATAATATTTCAAATGGAAAATATTCTTCAATATTTATATAGCTTTTGCTTTTGGAAATACTTGCTGACCAACTATAAATTAGAAAAAGGTTTTTTGTTTGTTTTTTTCAGACAGTCTTACTCTGTCACCCAGGCTGGAGTGCAGTTGAAGATCTCGGCTCACTGCAACCTCTGTCTCCTGGGTTCAAGAAAGTCTCTGCCTCTGCCCCCCAGTAGCTGGGATTACAGGCATGCACCACCATGCCTGGCTAATTTCTGTATTTTTAGTAGAGACGGGTTTCACCATGTTGGCCAGGTTGGTCTCGAACCCATGACCTCAGGTGATCCACCCACCTCGGCCTCCCAAAATTCTGGGATTACAGGCGTGAGCCACCGTGGCCAGCCAGAAAAAGGTTCTAATGAATTTATTTATCTCTCTATATATGGTCTGTATTTATTAATCTAACCATATTTTAAAAATTATATGTATTATCCCAATTGGATAATATATGCTAATAGAAAACATTATTTTTGTCATAGTTCAAATATAATCAGAAACTTGCAATGAACTTGAGTTATTCTTGTCTAATTGAGAAAGTATGATTGTCACAGTTAAAATAAAATATTTTATGAACAACCTAACTTGTAGGAAACTATGTATATGCTGGCAAAGATCATTAATATTATGGTTTACTATTTAACCATTCAAAAAACTTGAAATATATGTCCATTTTTGTCATATAATATTGTAGATGAAATTAAAACTTGTAAGTATAGAGGACAGTTAATGCATTCAAAGATTATTAAAACTATTGTGGGGACTCTTGCCTAGAAGATAGTTTCAATGTTAAGTCTAAGTATAAAGCTAGGAAGATAAACATACTTTTTTCTTTTTAGCTAAGTACTCATTGTGGGAAAATTCTCACATTTATTCTCCTTATGAATACTACTCACTAACTTTTCCTCAATTATTTGACAATGTAAATCTGCTCCTTTCCCCTCAAATCTATATCTCATACATACCAAATTACTATATTTTATTGTTAATTTTTAAAGTATTACCATTAATCAGTGTGTCAATTCAAATATAGGTTGAGAATTCAGCAATCTATGTGTGTTTTTGTATGTATGTGTATATATGTATACATATATACAAGTTATTAATAACATATTATATATTTATGTATACACTATTAAATACAAATTTAAATATTTAACACAAACTTAAATATTTGAATATTAACATATATTTAAAATATTTATAAGAAAAAAATATATATATTTTAGCAATTTACCTTAATTCTTCCAGGATATGGAGCATTGCTTGTTGTTGACTACTGTATGTGTGAGCAGAACTGGTACCTAACACTTGATTTCTAATAGCATTCTACAAATACTGAAACCAGTGCTTCTTGGGGAAATGGCTGATTCTAGGACTGGGGAAGGACATATACAAGGTGATCCTGGATCACTACTTAGAGATAGAAAGTAAGGAAGTGCTAAATAAATAAACAAACACTCCACACTGATATTGCGTTATAAGGACATGACCAATTAAAGGAACTCCTAATGGCCAAAGCTGATTTGATATGAGCAGTGAAACAAATGTAGTAGTATTGGATTATAATGCAAACCATAAACACCCCTGAGACCATACCGATATAAATAAAGGGTTAGATAAACAAATGAGTGAGGAAGAACAATCAAATGCCTTTGCAGAAGAATTAGAAATACTTTATGGCTACTAGGAAGGCTGAGGCAGGAGGATTGCTTGAGGTAGGAGGATCCCTAGAGGCCGTAGGATTGCTGGAGGCCACGAGTACAAGAACAGCCTGGGCAATACAGTGGGACCCTGTCTCTAAAAATAATAGAAAAAAATAGCGTGGCACGGTGGTGTACTTGGCAGGAGTTCAGGAGCTCAAGGCTGCAGTGAGCTATGATAACAACACTTAACACCATCTGAGTGACAGAACAAAATGCCTTCTCTGAAAAAAATAAAAATAAAATTTAAATTAAAAAATAAATAATTCACACATTGCCCCACTCCTTAAGTGTGGGTTGCACATTTTTACTTTCTTTCCAGGAGTACAGTATGGAAAGGGGGAAAAGGGTTACTCTAAAGTGAAGAGATGTCCCAAACACTACTTCATCCAGGTGATCAAAGTAAACATTCACAGTCACAAAGCATCTAGATAGAATAAACATTTGATATGTTATAATGAAAGTAACACTTTGTTTCTGAGTTATTTCACCTAAAAACCCATAAATCTAGTCTAATGAGAAAAACAACAGACAAATTTGAATTACAGTACATCTTCCAAAATAATTTCCCAATACTCAAAACTATCAAGGCCATCGAAAACACAGAATGTGAGAAACTGTGATAGCCAAGAGAAGTCTAAAGAGACATGAAGCCTAAAATATGTTGTGGTTTCCTAGAGAAAACAAAGAGCATTTGGGAAAAACTAATGAAATCTGAATACAGTATGGACTTTATTAAATAGTAATGTGTCAGTATTGAGTCATTAATTGTGATGAATGTTGACTGCGAATGTCAGATATTCATAATAGAAGAAACAGAGTGTGGAGGATATGGGAACTTTTTTTCATTTTTTACTGTAAATCTAAAAACATTGTAAACTAAAAAGTTTATCTTAAAAACCTACTTAAACATATAACCTAAATTAATAACTGAGCAGTTTGAAGTTATTAATATGATTCATATTTTGTTTTAACTAAGCCAACAACCTCAAAAGTATTTCCAAGGCTTATTATATGCTTGAGCAACTACTTGAAATCCATTTATTAAAATATTTGTTTTTCTTCAAGTACATTTGAATAGCATCCAAAGGTTTTTGTTGCATCATGAACAATTCAGATAAGTTCGCTATACTCATGGAGCTCACCTTTTAATATGAGATGGAATACCAAATGAAGAAAATAGTCTTATAAGATAAATGAGTCAATGGTCTAGTATGTTTGTATGTGATAAGTGACATGGATAAAAAGAAAAATAGAGCAACGTAAAGGAGACAAGGCTACATTTGAGAATAATTGTAGCTATTTTCTTGCTTACATACAAATTCGGCTATTTATTACCAACTTTAGTTTTAGATAAAAAGTGAGTGTGTTGTCATAAGAAGAATAGATTAAATTAAAAACTGAAGGAAGCATAAAAATGGGCATTTGGACTCTTGCATAAAGTTAGATGGAAACCTGAGTACGAGTCCAGGTGATTTAATGGACTGTGGTGATCAAATCCAATATCCTGTGAAGAAATAATATGGGATCTTATATTTCCATAAAGTAAGAATTAGAATGGAGAAATGACTAGAAAACATGGGTCCTCATTGGGCTGCAATTTTAATAAAAATAGACTAATAAAATGCATCTATACTTTTGGAAAGACCACAGAAAATTTGTCATTCTCTTTCCTTGGGTTCAGGTTGTAACTAAATCTTCTATAAGAAGATAGATGAGCACATTCACATCCATGTTGAATGAATTGAGAATAACGTACATAAGAAAACAAAATATTAAATACAGAAGATATAGAGAAACAATAAAGTAAGGTGAGTAAATAACTCAATATACATACATGTAAGTCCAAGAAGACATTGTTCATAAAACAATAATAATAATTGCTAATTTGTTGTTGTTGTTATTTTAAAAGTTGTTGTCCTAAAAAAGGTAATATGAAAGATATGTGAGGGAAATTATTTTGTTTAAGATATTTGAGTTATTTTTATGGCTTCAGATAATAGAAATAATAAATAACTTCATATGTTGGTAGTCAATTATTCATTTTAAAGGTTTTAAATAACCACTAAAAACCCAAGATGTAATTTGTAAGTTTTATCAATAGAAAAAAATTAAGGAGAAAGGAGAGAAATTTTAAAATTCAATTAGAGGCAACAGAGGATAATAGAACCTAAATCTCTTCACAGTATGTATAAAGTTATAGACTTGCAGTGGGCACAAACTCCGAAATTGAATGTTAAACAATATCCAGCTATACTTAGTATAAAAGGTATAAATGAAATATTATTATATGACCATTAAAAAAATAAAAAGTTTTACCAGACCCTTAGTCTCCCAAAGATAGCTAGAAAATGAGAATAATCGCACATACTTGAAGTAAACAGAAAATAATAGGATTAATAAAGATCCCTATAATAATGATAAAAGGAATATTCACCAAGAAAAGTAAACATGCTTGACTTGTATGTGTCTAATACACCCTCATATATATAATATGTATATACATATGAAGGTCTATTAGGAAAGGGTATAGTAAGAAAATGGGATATGATGTTTGATACAGTAGATAATTCTCACATTTGATAATTTGTATAAAATGAAAACTTTCCTTGGACATATATAATGATAAAATCTGAATCATAATTTGAAAGTAGTTATAGATATATGACTCTAAGATAAATTAAATTAGTAATTGCAAATCTATGCAGAAAATAAAATTAAGACAAAGAACTAGACCCATATGATTTACCATATATTCATAGCATAATAATTGGAAAGCACTTCAAGAAGACTATTATATGAACATAACATTTTCTACAAAGAAATTGAAAATAATCTGAAAAGCGCAACTATACTAACAAGAAAGTTCACATAGTACGTACCTATACATATTACTTCAAGTGTACTACTTCTCCAATGGCAATTAAGAGTTCAAAACTATAATTTAAGGATATACAACTTATGGTGGCAAGAGAAACTGTAAAGTAATTGAGAATAAACATTTCAAAAGATACAAAATATTCAATGAAGAAACATTAAACTCTAATGAATAATAGTCAAAATAAGAAATAAATATAAAATGGAGATATATCTGATTTGTAAATGGTAAGACTTAATATAGCAAAGATGTTTATTTCTTCAATATAACTTACAATTAAATCAAATTCTTTAATGTTTTCAATTTTATAGATTCTTATAAATATTATAAACTTATAATACATAATTTGATAAATTAAGCCAAATATTCATATAGAGAAGCAAAAAGCCCAAAATAGAAAATTTGAAATAGGAGAAAGAAGAGGGATAGAATATTAAGACATATTATAAAATTACAGTTACCATAAAATTATTATTAAAAGTAGACAAAATAAAATAATATGTAACTTTTGTAGGACTCAATTTCAGAGTTAAAAGTAGACAAAATAAAATGATATGTAACTTGTAGGACTCAATTTCAGAGTTAGAAGAATTTATGTGTATGCATGTGTGAAAAATGTACTATTAAATAATATTGCTGGGAAAATAGCTAGCCACATAAGAGTAATAAACTTGGATTTATACTTCCCACCATAACTAAAAGTATAGTCTGATATTTTAAATATTATTAGTCTTCTAGGGCTACTCCAACAAAGTGTCACAAACTGGGTGGTAAAAAACAGAAATTTATTATTTCACAGTTCTGGAGGCTAGAAGTCCAAATTCAAGATGTCGGCAGGCTCATGCTCCTTTGAAGACTCTGGGTAGAATACTACCTTCCTGTTTGTGGCTTCTAATAACCATTAATCCTTGGCACCCCTTGGCAGAAAGGCACCTCACAGCAATCTATGCCTCTTTCATCATATGGCATTATACTTATATTGGTCTCTGTCTCTGTGACCAAATTTCCTTCCTCTTATAAGGATACCAGTAATATGGGATTAAGGCTCTACACTACTCTAGTATGACCTGATTTTAACTTAACTAATTAGACCTACAGGAGACTTATTTCTAAATTAGATCAGATTCTTAAGGAGTAGGGATTAGAACTTCAACACATATTTTTGAATACACAATTCAACCTCTAACAGTCTGTTAGAGCAGGTAGCTAGACATGAGCAGGGCAGGAAAGACAGTGCCTGGGAATGCTGGGCATTTATCAAGTCACAGTCAGACGATTATAAATTGTCCCTCTGAAATAATGAGCAGGAAAAAGGGAGGTACCCCAGGGAGGGACTCCTTTCTCTTTTTTCCTTGGTATCTCATTGAGTGAAAGACAGGTGGGCATAAAACTATCCCTCTGAGATAATAACTGGCCATGACTGGTACTGGGAATGACAGGAGTGTTGCAACAGACAGAAAACCTGGAGTTAGTAAGCCATAATTCCTGATAAGGTTTCAAGCATGCCCAGTAAAAGGGTAGAAGATGGCAGAATTTGACCAGTATATGATATGACCTTCCTCTGGGTGTACTTGACCAGTAAGGGTGAATTGCCACTAACAAGTATGTACAGGGCCTGAGTAAACACACTGCACATGTGGCCCCTGACAAGTGCTGGCAGGCCACCTTATATGCAACAGTTAAGCAACAGCCCGCCCAGGGGAAGAAAGGGAGGAGATAGAGAGCCTGGGAAACATTATGGGGTATAAAATCTCTAGAGTCTAAACAAAAAAGAGAACAGGGAAGTCAATTTTTCAAGTCATCCACTTGGCCTTCTTCCCAGAGTATCCTACTTTCTCTAATAAATTCTCACTTTGCTTAAAAGAAATTCTCTCTCCTTCTTTAAACCTTGCCTGTGTCTCTCATTTGAATTCTCTGCGTTGAGAAGTCAAACTACCAAGTTTGCTGCAGAGTTGCCACTCTGGAGTTTCTTCGGACAGCTCACCAGCTGGTAATGTACTTCGGTGCCATGACTCAGATCCATCATCTAGTGGTAAGGCCCTGCAATGCCTCACGTTCTTCCACTAGAGGCATTCAAACCCTTGTATGTGGTTTCTTCTCCTTTCTCTTTTTTCCTTTTTGTCTCCTACCTTTTGCTTTCCCTTCCTCTCCCCTTTTTCTTCTTCCTGCCTGTTTCTTTCTTTTCCTTTTTCACTTCCCTTTGCCTTTCTCCTACCTACAAACTGTTCCCCAGAAGCACTCCCCTTGGCCACAGTGATTCTGTTCCCTCTGGTTTCTCAGGTCATCCTGATGGGTGACTCACAGAGGTGGGAGGAGTTTAGGGTCCTAAACTACTATGCCCCTCCCAACAGGGAGTGTGCAAGGGTGGTGGAGCTAAGCCTGCACTGTGAAATTTCTGGGGAACTTCCCTGCTTCTCCTTCAGCTAAAGTCAGCTCTTTCCCTAAACCTGCACCTGCACCATCTATTTTCCTGCTCTTTTCTCTGTACTCTGAAATGGCCTTGCACACTGGCAGGAATATTGGCCTCAAGGGCAAATCATCCTCCTATCTGCTCTCACTGTGTGCTTGCAAGTTCTTTTCCTGCTTGAAACATACACTCTCTGTTTGTCATTTGTGTGCTGGCAGCCCTTGTTGTGTCTGCCTGGCAACCAAGAGGCGGAAACCTTTATTGGTGTCCCCGGAGATCTGCACTTGATTTTACTCCCCCAGTCCAGATGATCTCCAGCCCATCTCCTGCCTCTTGGCTCACTGTCAAAACGAGCACTGGTGGGAGCCCTGGTTTTGTCAACTCCTGGTTGCTTACTATTCACTCTTTATCCCCATCATGTTCCAGGACTTAGTTTTCTGCTGGTTCTTAAAGAGCTTTATCAACTTTCACAGAACCTCCATTTGTGGTCCACTAAGGACATTCCCTACCTCAATACTGGGGCTAGTTTTTTTTGGGGGGGAATAAGCATTTTTTTTTCTGTGCCTGATGAGAGCTCTTATTCCAAACTCTCTGGTTCTCCAGGGCTTTCTCCTTTATGTCAAGAATGCTGACAAGCACTCTCTCTAGGGACCAGAAGCTGGTGTTTCTGTGAAAGCACAAGAGCTTTCCATGAGCATCCCCAATGCTTCCTTCCCTATCTGCCTATTACAGAGGGATTGCCCTGCTTATTTTAAACACTTCTTTTGCACATTGCCTATCAAGGGTAACATTTTCTTATTTTCTTCTGACGTTCTCCAACTCATTCTCAACATCAACAAAGATTGCCAAGGCAAGGCTATTCAGAGAAAAAGGGAGCCCAGCCTCATTACGGCTCTTGGCTGGAAACAGGGTCCTCATCTGCCTGAAAGGACCTGGGGAATGGGAACACAAAAGGATGGGAAATTATTTCATTGCTAGGATTCTCCGGACAAGGGTCAATGCAAGGTCCTAGAGTCAAGCATATAGGCCTACCTGAGGCCAAAAACACAGGAAACCAAATTATCCATAGGACAGAGATGAAGGCTGGTGCGAGGCTACAGGCACAGAACAGATTACCATTAGAACAGAGGTAAAGGTAAGGTTCAGGGTACCCGGTGATACCAGTTCATTCTGGAACCCCAGGGATGATTAGAGGGCCTTTGTTCATTCCCATATGCCCTCTGTTCTCAAGTGGATAATCGTGCCTCCTTAAAACAAGATGGAACGAAAATTAAGGGTACCCGGTGAGACTGGCTCATTCTGAAATCCCAGGGGTGAAAGACAAATGCCCTATTCAAGGATAATAGGGAAATAAAAGGGGGTGCCTTTTTTCCCCTTCTCTCCTCTGTTCTTTCTTTACAAATGGGTAATTGCATCTCCATACCACAGAACATGCCTCTCAGATATATCCTCAAGAACTGGAAAAAGTTTGACCCTCAAACTCTAAAGAAAAAAAGGCTAATATTTTTCTGTAACATAGCATGGGTTCGATACAAGCTCTGGGGCCAGAAATCTTGGCTGTAAAAGGAAGCATAAATTTTAATATGATGTATCAATTGGAATTGTTTTGCTGTTAGCAGAGGAAATGGACAGAAATCCCGTGTGCAGGCTTTTGTGGACCTAGGAAACAACCCTGACCTTCGTTGGGCTTATACACTGATCCAGCTATAGTATCAGTTAAACCCCACGGCCCCTTCTAACTCATTATATCCAAGTCTTTCAAAATCCTGGAGCCTTTCCCTCCCTAATCAGAGCTATTCTCAGAACACCTCCCCTTTGGCTTATGTTCCCTTCAGGACGTTAGCAGTCCCAGCTGGCCCACTAGGGTTCAGGCTCGATTCACTATGCAAGATCTGAGACAGATTACAGCAAACTAGGAAAGTGTATGGATGACTCTGACAAATACATTGAAGGGTTCCGTAAACTGGGCCTAACATTTGAGCTCACTTGGAAGAACCTCACAGTTATACTGGGCCACTTTCCAAGGGAGAATGTGACTCCATTATGGAGGCAGCCCAGCGATTTGCAAATGCAATGCAAATGATTAACCCTGGTGGCTACTCTGTAGGGGCCACCACAGTTCCCAGGTTGACCCCAACAGGGATTGCAATACCCAGGGCGGGTATTTGGGCAAGAATCCATGTGTCCATTGGTTTAATTGAGAGACAGAGCTAGCAGAAAAAATCCAGTAAACTATAATAAATTGTCCTTAATAAATCAAGGTCCTCTTGAAAACCCCACAATATTCATTGAGAGGCTACAAGATGCCCTCATGAAACCTAAACCCAGAAACACCAGAAGGGCAACTTGTCCTAAAGGGCTATTTGCTAATGCAAGCAGCCCCAGATATTCAGAAGAAATTCTGAAAACTATCACTGGGCCCCAACATCGTTATGCCTGACATCCTCAAAATAGCTTCCTCAGTCTTTTACAACTGGGGCTGGAAGGAAGAGGGAAGGGCTCAGGAAAAAAAAGATGCAAAAGGAAAGGTGGCAGCTTCAACTATTGGCTGCCTTACAAGTTCACTTGCCCCAGTAGGTTGCCCTGGGAATACTCCCCCAGGTAACTGCCATTGGTGTGGGAAGCCAGGCCACTGGAGGGCAAGCTGCCCCAATGGGGTAAATGGGAACAAACCCTGTATGGCTTGTCCCCTCTGCCACAAGCTTGACCACTTGAGACAAGACTGCCCTGAGGGCTGAAGGGCCCTTGGGACAGAATCCCAACTCCTGATGGCCTTGAGTTGAAGGGACCCTCTTTTCCAGCTGGCTCCCAGATCAAACATCATTATTGAAGGGATGGAGCCAAGGCCTTCTTTGGATGTGGCAGGTAGGACAATAACCTTCCTTTTGGATCGCATGCTACCTACTCAATTCTTACCTCTTTTCCTGACAATTATCCCAAGTCCTGCCAGGTAATGGGGATAAATGGGGTGTTCATAACCTGGAGGTTTACTTCTCTGTGCTGCCTGTTGGGGGAAACTCTTTTCTCATTCATTTTTAGTGATGCCAGAATGCCCTACATCTCTTTTGTGCAGAGATATATTGTTCAGACTAGAAGGTCAATTACTTTTTTTGCAGGGCCAACTCCTACTTTTCCAAATGCAATCTTATGCCTCAAAGAGACCACACACAGGGATGAACTGCCCACAGATCTTCCCAATAACCTGGAAGTTTGGGACACAAGACTACAAAGGAAGGGCTATAACGTCAATTCCAGTAGTAATTCAGCTCAAAAGCCCTTCTAGCTGTCCTTGTAGAAAGCACTTTCCTCTTCTACCAGAGGCCAAAGAAAGACTTTGGCTCTTGATTGAGAAGTTTCTAAAACATGGACTGTGGTGATACAGCTCACCCTGTAACCATTCCAGTCTTCCCATTAAAAAGACCAATGGTGAATACAGACTAGTTCAGGACTTACAAATAATAAATGAGGTAGTAGTCCCAATACATCCTATGGTCTCCAACCCATATGTAATTCTAGGGAAATTACCTCCAGATGCTCAGTGGTTTTCAGTCCCAGACCTCAAGGATGCCTTCTTTTGTGTCCCCCTAGACCTGCTGTTGCTGTCTCAATTTCTCTTTGCATTTGAAAGGGATAATGAAAAATGTAGGTGTCAACATCTTACCTGGAATCTTACTTGGACAGTGCTTCCATGAGGTTTGAGAGATAGTTCCATTTGTTTGGGCAAGCCTTGGCTAAAGATTTGCAGGATCTAACTCTTATGGGGGGAGGGGGCACATCTCCTACAGTACATGGATGACTGTTAATCTGCTTCCTGACAAGAGAGTTGGGAATCCAACATTTAGTCCAGACAGGGATTTTCTTGCAGACCAGGGATACAAAGTGTTGGAGGCCAAGGCACAGCTACTAAGACAGGGGGTCAAATACCTGGGAATAATTATGACCCTTGGAGAATGTAAGCTCTCCCGAGAATGGATACAGGTTATTCTTAAGACAGCTACCTGGAGCACCCAAAAGCAGCTGCAGGCCTTTCTGGGAATCACGGAATATTAGAAACTGAATACTGGGTTATGGTGGAATTAAGTCCTTATATCAGGCTCTAACAAAAGGGACGGATAGGGACCCACTTCTCTGGGAGAAGAATCAAGAGCAAACCTTTAGGCAGCTAAAAACTGCCGTCTTACAAGCCCTAACCTTTGGGCTACCTATACTAAGCAAACCATTTCAACTGTTTATCACTGAAAGGCAAGGTGTAGCCCTAGGAGGTCTAACTCAAACCATTGGGCCAATCAAATGTCCATAAGGTAATTTTTCAAAGTACCTAGACCAAGTTGCACAGGGGTGTTTGCACAGGGGTGGTCACACAGTCTCAAGGAAGTGGCTGCAGCAGTCCTCCTACTTGGGGAGGCCTTTGAAATCACCATGGGGCAGTCAACCCAGCTCCTAATGTTCCACCAAGTTGGCCCCTTACTGGACAAAAAAGGGCCACAGTGGCTCACTGACAGCAGATTGTTGAAGTACCAGGTTTTGTTATTAAAAAACCTGCAGGTAACAGTTGAGTGGTGCTAGACCCTCAACCCAGCCACCCTCTTGCCCCTACCAAGAGACAATAACCTGGCACATTCATGCTGTGAAGTACTCAGCCAAATTTATGCCAGCAGGGCTGACTTAAAGGACCAACCCTTGGGAAATCCCATCAAAATATGATTTTCAGATGGAAGCAGTTTTGTCTGGAATGGAACTAGACATGCAGGATAATGCTTTGGTGTACCTCTACCAAGTGACCGAAGCTAGAGCTTTATCCCCAGGGACCTCAGTTAACTAGAGCTTAACTCACTATGCTAACCAGAGCCCTAAAACTAGGGGAATGAAAAAGAATAACCATTTATACAGACTCCAAACATGCTTCTTTGATCCTTCCCACCCAGGCAGCTATCTGGAAGGAAAGGGAATATTCCTATTAAGTACAGGCCTCAAATCTTAGAGCTGCTAGAGTCTGTTCATTTGCCCCAGAAGGTGGCAGTAGTGCACTACAAGGGACACCAGAGGGCCACGATGAAACCGCACAAGAAAATAGTTTGGCTGACCAGAAAACTAAAGAAGCAACTGTTCCAAAGTTTACATTTCTGGGAGCCTTGCTCCCTTCTCTCCCCACTGAACTACCCCCACTCCAGTACACCCAGGAAGAAATAGATTTGGACCACCCAACAGGGATATCAAAAAGAAACCAATGGATGGTACAGCCTGGGGGCACTTTTCCATCTGCCAAAGGCCTCCCAGTGGAAGGTCATCCAGAGTCTGCATGACTCCTGCTACTTTGGAAAGGACAGTCTAGGGAAAATTTGTAAGTGGGTGTTTAGCAGGAGGGGACTGAACAAGGCTATTGAGAAGGCTTGTCAGGCTTGCTCCTTGTGTGCCATAAATAATCCCCAGAGAGGGAAGCCTCCTCCATTAATAAGTCCGATCCAAAGAAGAGGTAAATACCCTGGAGATGGGAAGATGGATTTCACTCAGATCCCCACATGCCATAGATATAATTACCTCTTAAACTGTGTAGATAATTTCACATGATGGGTAGAGACCTGTTGCACAAAGACTGAGAAGGCACAGTTAAGTAGCTGAATTCCTCCTCAAGGAACTTATTCCCCGATTTGGCTTCCTAGGTCATTGCAAAATGACAATGGCCCATCCTTAATTCCCCAAATGACTCAACAGGTTAGTAATGCCCTTGGCATGAAATGATACCTTTAGTCTGCCTGGAGACCACAATCTTCAGGAAAGGTGGAAGGAAATAACCAAGCCCTCAAACACATCCTCAATAAACTGTGTCAGGAAACAGCAAGTCATGGGTGGACCTCTGACCTCTAGCCCTCCTTTGAATCCATGTTGCCCCTAAGGCTTCTTTACAATTAAGCCCCTAGTAGGCCTTATATGATAGACCATTCCTATATTCTGACTTATTGCTAGATGAAGAAACTACCAAAGTCACCCAGTATGTCTGTTCTATGGCAGGCTTCCAACAGGCCTCCGGGAATACTGGTTACAAATAAACCCAAAATTGAAAGAGGAAAAAGCTCAGACTTTATACCCTCCAGGCTCACTAGTTCTCATGAAAGGTTGGAAGGATGGAACCCTGAAATCCCAACTAACTGGAAGGTCTGGAAGGTCCCCTTCACTGTTCTATTATCTACTCCCATAGCTATTAAAGTACCAGAGGTTGCCATCCAGATACACTATACTTAAGTGAAGTGAAGCTGAGGTCCAAGACAAGGGACTGAGATTCCTGCAGAGGTGTCACTCTGGAGTTCTCTGGATAGTTGCCGACTCACCCACCAATAATAAGTCTACCTCCCGACTCTCCAAAATTTGTGTCCTTCCCCTGTGCAAAATATATCCATCAATCCCAGTATCTCCAAGATCCTGCATTAACTCTAAGTCTAAAGTCTTATCTAAATATCATCAGTTCAAAGTCCAAAGTCTCATCATCTAAATCATTTAAACCAGTGTGGGTGAGACTTGATGTATGATTCATCCTGGAGCAAAAATCTCCCTTTACCTGTAAACCTGTAACACCAGACAAGTTATCACCTTCTACGTTAAATAGGGAGACAAGCATATAATAAATATCCACATTCCAAAAGGAAGAAATTAGAAGAAATAAAGACATTACAGTCCCTGAACAAGTTCAAACACCAACAGAGCAAATTCTGTCAGATTTCAAGGCCTGAGACTCATCCTCTGTGGCCCCATGCTTTGTCTTCTGGGTCCACTGGGTGACCATTAATCCTTAGCTGTCCTGGACTCCCAGCTGTATCATACATGGCATTCTCCCTGTCCATCTCTGTCTCTGTTTTCAAATTCCGCCCCCCCCTTTTTTTTTTTTTATTAAGGATACTAGTGATATTGGACTAAGACCTTACCCTACTCCAGAATGACCTCATTTTAACTTAACTAATTTCATTTATAACACTTTTCAAATTAGGTCAAATTCTGAGAGAATAGGCGTTAGAATCCCAACATATAATTTTGGAGGGATGAAATTCAACCCATAGTAAATATGTGCATTTCTAAGGCAAAATTACAAAAAAAAAAAATAGCTTGAAAGAAAATATAAAAATACTTTTAGACATTATGGTACACGAAAATTTTCTTAAAAGACCCAAAATCTAAAATAATAAACTATAAACTTGCCTACACTAAAGTTATATACTTCTGCATAAAGCAATTATTTTACCACTTGATGACAAAATCTGCATTCTCAGAAAAGCATATAGAATTTGCACTGCTCAATAAAGTAATAGCAATTTGATTATGTAAAAATAATTACAGCAAAACTCCCACACGTTAACAAAAAGGCAAATTATTTTAAAATGTGGAAATATGAGAACTGAATTCACAGAAGGTGCTGAAAATCACTAGAAATCTGAATACTCAATTTGAACAGGAGCTAACTAATCATTCATTTGATTGACATGAAAATAAAAATACGACACTGTCAGCATGTAAGAATGTGAGATACATGATTTTCTCAGTAATGCTAAGAGGAGAATAAATTGATAAAGTCATCTTGAAAAACAACTTAAGTGTATGTTATAAAAATTATAATGTAAATGTCTCATCCTTTGATTCATTTGTAAGGTTATATTTGTATCGGTTAGCTAGTACCATGACAATGCTATATAAAAAACACCCCAAAACTGAATGGTTCAAAGCAAAACTTATTTATTCTCATGGATCTGTGGGTCAGCTTAACCATGCTTTTAAAAGAGTGTTAGCAAAGCACAGATGACCAAGCAGTAATCATTTGAGGCCACATAAGGTTATGTGCAGAACTAGCACACTGTCACTTCCATCCTCATCATTGACCAAAGCCAACAGAAGTGCACTTAACCCTTTTTTTTTTAATGAGAAAAACTACAAAATTATCTATCAAAGCACACAGACACAAGGAGGAATAGAGAATGTTCACCAATAATTCCTTTGAAAGCAGTGTATTCTCCTGGTCATAATCATAATATTTAAAAACTTAGTAAAACACAGTCATCTCAGGACACCTAATCTAATCACATCAGCAGGCCTGAAGTTTAAGATCCTACAATCTATAACAAGTTTAGATGAGTTCTTCATGATTCAATGATTTATGAATTTAAGAGGAAACATTCTCCCAACATGCAATGGTAGGAAAGGGTAAGTATATTCTCAATAACAACTCAAATTTAGTACATTTGAGATATGTATTAGTCGCTTATCCATTATTCATAAACTTTGTGAAATCCTGTTGGACAAACGATGCTATGTCTTGGTATCTGTGAGGTATAAAATGCATTTTACATGCTGATTCTGCTTCCTGGGTCTAATTCACCATTCCATTATTCTCCGAGGTTCTTTGATCTGCCCTCAGGAACGTATTTCTCTTTTCATAGTTTTCTTTGGCCATTCCTAGAGAATTGTAAAATATGCCTTTTGGTGGATGAACCACTTTTTTCTATTCTTCTTCGTGCCTATAGAAAGTTGAAGACCAAGATAACTTTTCTCATCTTGAACCATCTCAGTCAAAGCATGATTTACATTTCGTTTTTTAAAAGAAACGTAAATCTTGTAAACATTTTTTACATTTCTTTTAAAATTTTCGTGGGCTTTCTACGTATTTGATTTCAGTCAACTTTATTTACCACAATCTATACTCATATTTTTAGATACATTTCTTTCCTTCTAGATATAAGTACAAGTAATGTAGGCACCATGACCTTCAGCAAAACCATGTACTTATTCCTTTTGTAAGTCACTTGGCCCAAATGAAAAGATTAACTAGATGTCATCTTAATTATTTCACAAATGTTATTAAAATGATTCCTTTGACATTGATTATTTCTGTGTTTTAAGGCTGTATCTTAGTTTGAGAATATTTTATGACTGAAGAGATAGGAAATAAGAGACTTTTATTTTCCCATCCATAATGTTCTGGGTTCTCTCCATTACCTCTAATTCTGCTTGCAATCTGTTCAAATCTTTTTGAGCTTATCAATTTATTGTGGGTAGTTATGTTATGTAGCAGGAAGTTCAAACTTTCAACATTTTGCCTAGAAATCATTTCACCATAAGTTCATTTGGTATTTTCTATTATTAATTGACTAAAAATGAAAGAACACACACACATGCACACATACACACACACACTTTATGTGTGGATTTATATCAGATCTTTCTTGCAACAAAAACATCATGATACTATTATGCAGCATTTTCCAGAATTGTGTCATCAGTAAACAATTTTTTTAGTCTGTATGATATTTTTATTATTGCTCTAGAAATATCCACTGGTTTTATGATATAAATCAGGATATACATTAAAGATTTTAAGCCACACTCTATTCAGACATATACAGGGAAATATGAAATGCTTGAATGAAGTTTATGAATGCCGTCTTTTACATTTGTATAGGTTCTTTGTATTCAGCATGACAAAAAGCTAATTGTAATCTAAGAATAATTATATGGAACCTATGGGAATATAAATGTCATACACATATTTTTACAGTTATTCTTTGAAACAAATGGGTTTCAAAGTTTGAATAGTGTAGAGCACAGAGCACTTGTAAATAACTAAACATCACTGGGTATATCCCAATAGAAGAATTTGCCTTTTATAAACATTGGAAAAAGTAAACCTTCAAAACATAGACGCTTTTTGTAAATTATGTGGTTCCATGTGCAGTTTGGCTAAATTAAAATTTAAAGATTGAGTATAAAAGTATGTAATACTATAAAATTAGTTTACTATAGTACTTTCTTAAAACACATGCTAACATAGTAACTAAAAGTTCACAAAATTGCTGAAACATTACAGATCCTTGCCACATCATTGATACTGTTTTACACATTTTTTTTAGTTTACCCCACCTGTGTTTAACAAAGAGGCCACCATCTCACCTTGAGGTAGGTATTCTATTTGTATCTAGAATTTGCTCCATATTTGAAACATTAAGGTATTACTTATTAGTCACTACTTAAGTTACCAGATAGGGGTCCAAATATTGACTAAATTAGTCTTTTTTCCATTCTATACAGCATAATAAAATGTATGAAAGAGACATATTGTTGCGTGTAGCCTTCTTAGAGTAATGCAATCTCTGTGACTGGGAAACCCGGTATTGAATCCTGATTGCATGTTGTACTAAATGTTCTGAGTCAGAGACTATCTTTCTAAGCCTCTGTGTCTTCTGCCTTCACTAATGAATGTTTGATTATCATTAGTACATTGTTTAAAAAATAATTTTAAATTATTTCTCCTATATACAGCTTAGTGATTCTGAGATTCTGCAAATTTCATTTCTCCATTATCAGCTAATTCCTGTTGGACTCTGCCAACAGGGGGCTCTAGTGGGCAATTAGAAGACAGGAGAAAATACATGTCCATTTCCTTGCTGTTTCTGGCAGGAAGCTTCAGCAACAGCCTTTCCATTGACAAAGGCAGTTGCTTCCAGTTTTCAAATTTTGTATATTATATTTATTTTTACACGACTCCCAGAACTAGGCTTACTATGCTGTTCTTTCAAATTTCTGAGATACCAACACTACCAACCAGGTGTTACCTCTCCTCAGAGGTCTGAATTTTAGCTCTCTGGTACCCCTGTTCCAGGCTTATATTTTGACAACTTCAACTGCCCATCCTGAGGGAAGAATAGTGATCAGTGGTAGTTTACAGTGTTTGCTATCTCATATTTTCTGTTTCTTTTTTACTCTTTTGATTCTCCAAAACATTTATAACTGCTTATTTATATCAAACTATTTTAGTCTTAAAACCTAGTGAAGTTCTGCTTCCTAATAAGACCATAGGTGATACTTCCTAAGGTTTTGTGAGAACAAAATTCATTTACCTTTGTGAGGTAAATAAGTGATGCTATGATCACCTGTGGCCCTGTGGGCCTATGGTCCTGTTAGCTTTCATTATTGGATTAATTTTTTTGATTCTCAAAGATTCATTTCTTAACCTATTTCATTTGCACCCAAATCAGTGCTTTTTCAGTGGGTGAGCTTCATATTATATTGTGAAATCTCTGAACAAGTTCTGCCTTTTAAAAATCATATGTACACATTTTTAAACAAGTTGCTTTCTTTTTCTTGAGATTGTTATGATTATTTTATAGTGAGATATTTTACATGTTTCACAATGTTTGACTTTTCCTTTGTTCCCTTGTTATCCTAAGCTATTAGACATTCAAATAACCTATAGAAGATAGACTTAATTTTTAAAATCAGTGCTAATTAGGAAAGGAATATAATAGTAAATTCTGTTAGTGAAAATTTGTTCTTCTCAAGTAAAGTATTTGCAGTTCTTGCTATGCATTTATGCTTAAGTACTAGTTTAAAGATAACAAATTATTTTACACTTTTTAATTTTTTTAACTAAGTGAAGAAAAATTCAGCATTTGCCAAATGTTTACATTTACCCAGATTTCCATTTTTAGTGCCTTTTTCTCTAAAAAAAAAAAAAAGTCTAATCCATCCAACCACGTTATTTTGTGGACATTTACAGATAGATTGCAAAGGTTATATAAACAGGCAAAAGACCCAGAGTAGCCAATATAACATTAACGAAGAACAAAGATTGACATTACCCAACTTTAAGCCTTATCATAAAAACTAAAGTAATCAAGAGAGTGTGGTATTGATAAACTAATAAACAAAATAATGCATAGAATTCAATAAAGAGCCTAGGAATAGACTCACACCAATATAGTAAACTAACTTTTGGTAAAGAAGCAAAGGCAATTGATTGGAGAAAAGATTATATTTTCAACAAATGGTAATGGGCCAACTGGATATCCACATGCAAAAAACAAACACCAAAACTAAATGTGGATATGTATTTGATAGACATAAATGTAAATGCAAAATTATACAACTTCTAGAAGATAATCTTGGGTTTGGTGATGAGTTTCTAGGTATAACAATTTATAACAAAACAGAAAACAAGTTGTTACAGTGGATTTTATTAAAATTGAAAACTTCTACTCTGTTAAAATTAAAGGAATATAAATACACACCACAGACTGGGGAAAGTATTGGCAAAACACATAACAGGAAAACATCTATCTGATACATCCTTTATCACATGTATTTGTACATCAGAAATATACAAAGAGCTCTTAAAACTCAGCATAAAAAACAATCTAAATAAAATAAGAGCAAAACAACATGAACATATGAATACTTTGCTAAGGAAGATATATAGAGGGCAGATAGGCAAATGAAAAGATACTCAACATCATATGTCATTTAAAAAATGCAAATTAAAACAACGATGAAATACCACTTTACACCTATTAGAATGGCTAAAAACCAAAACACAGGCAAGACCAAATGCTGACAAGAATGTGGAACAACAGGAACTTTAATTCAATTTTGTTGAAAATTCAATACGGCACAGTTGCTTTGGAACACAGTTTGGCAGTTTCTTATAAGCTAAACATAGGCTTACAATATGATCCAGCAATTATGTGCTCCTAAGTACTGATACAAATTAGTTGACAACTTATGTCCACACAAAAACTTGCACATGGATGTTTATAGCAGCTTTATTCATAATTGCTTTAGCTTGGAAGCAACCACAATATCCTTTAGGAGATGGATGGATAAACTCTGTTACATACACATAATGAAAAATGAAATATCGTTCAGTGATAATAAGGAATTAGCTATCAAACTACATAAAGACATAGAAGGACCTTAAATACGCATGACTCAGTGAAAGAATCCAGTCTGAAAAGGCTATATGTTGTATTTTTTCCAATGATATGATATTCTGGAAAAGAAAAACTATAGAAATAGTTAAACAGTCATTGGTTGCCAGAGGTTTGAAGAGAAGGAGGGAGGTAGGGATGGGTAGAAAGAAGGGGAGTTTTAGGGCACTTAACCATTCTGTTAGATATTGTAATAGTGAATATATGATATTGTGCATTTGTCAAAACCCATAGAACTATATAACACAAATTGTGAATCCTAATGTAAAACATGGATTTTAGTGGATAATTACGTGTTAATAGTGGTTCATCAATTCTAACAAATATATCACATTAATAAAAGGTACTAATAGTAAGGTAAATGGTGTGTGGGAGAAGAGAAGCTCTGTGGAAACTCTTTAAGTTCTTCTCAATTTTTCTGTAACCGTAAATGTTGCTCTGAAACATAAATATATTAATTTTCTCTTTAAAAACCATGTATTTTCTGCTACTAGAATATAACAAGCTGGTTACTATACTGTACTATGTGTTATTAGATGTTTAGATAATGCATTCTCCTTTATTTACTTTTTGTTTCAGTTACATTTAATGTGGAAAATATTAATATGTGTATATCTAGTACATAGATATTGCCAGTACTCCATCATAAGTAAAAATTTAATTCTGAGTAATGCTGCCAGGTTACAAAGAATGTTTTATGGATATGTATTTTAAAGATAATGCTGTTGAACTATCATCATAAATATGATATACTTAAAATATTCCCTTTTGCATATTAGTGAAAGATTATAAATGTTCTATATTTTTAAATCATCCATCCCTTTGTAAATAAGATAAAATAATGTATGAACAATCTCAGGGCAAGACATCTGTATATGACTGAGATAATTTCTTAATTGTAGAAAGGTATCTATATTAGTTCCCTAATACTGTCATAACAACTTACCCCAAACTAGATGGCTTAAAACTACATAATTTTATTCTCTCTCAATTTTGGAAGCCAGAAGTCTAAAATCGGGATTTTGGCAGGACCACTACTCTTCTGAAGAAGCTAGAGAAGAATATCTTCTTTGCTTCTTCCAAGCTTCTGGTTGTACCCATAACCCATGGTGTTCCTTGGCTTTTAGCTGCATCAATCCAAGCCCTGCCACTGTTGACAAATAGCTGTTTTCCCCATGTCTGTCTCTGAATCTTTCTCCTTTTTTCATAAAGACTTCAGTCACTGGATTTAGGGACCACTCTTATCACCTATGATCTTATCCAAACTTAGTTAATTATTACATCTGTAAAGATTGCATTTTCAAATAAGTTTATATTCTGAAATTTTAAGTAGAAAAAAATTGGAATGTGGGGGCATTTTTCAACCCCATATAGTACCCTTCTGCTAATCATATCTGTGTAGCTTGCTTATTTAGTATTGTCTTCCCATGAGTTTGAATGATATACCTTTTTTTCTAATGTATGCTTTATAATTAATTCTAATGAGAGACTACAGGATAGACACTTTTATACAGTGATAAAAGGGTGACTTTTAATTGGGTCTTAATTTGCCTTTTATCCCTAACTGAAACTTAATTGTGTTTAGCAATGAAAAATAATTTTATATCAAGTAGGTTATAATAATTGAAGATAATGTAAAAGACTATTTTATACAAGAGTGTTTACCTTATAATTCATTCCAAATTTCTTAAACTGTTTAATGATCTCAACTTAGCCTGCATTTGGATATTTTAATGCAATTTAACTTTATTTTCTGTGCCAGAGGGCTTATCAATATTTCCATGTTTGTATGTCAATCCAATAAAATTATCACTTTAAGTACAAAAAATAAAGATACAATGACATATGAAAAGCTAAGATTTTAACATAGATTGATTTAATTTATTGGATCATATAATGATAAAAAAAGCATAATCTGCTTATGGATAATGTGTTCACTATATAAATATATAAAGGGTCTCATGAATATCATACTTGTAAATTTATTCCATAGTATTCTTTGTTGTTTATTTTCACTGACTTCTTTCAATAACTCAGATTTACAGTTGTCAGATAAATTTTTATTTTTTTGAGATGGAGTCTTGCTCTGTCGCCCAGGCTGGAGTGCAGTGGTGCAATCTTGGCTCATTGCAATCTCTGCCTCCTGGGTTCAAGTGATTCTCCTGCCTCAGCCTCCTGAGTAGCTGGGATTATAGGCATGAGCCACCATGCCTGGCTAATTTTTCTATTTTTAGTAGAGACGGGGTTTCACCATGTTGGTCAGGCTGGTCTCTAACTCCTGACCTCATGATCCACCCACCTTGGCCTCCCAAAGTGCTGGGATTCCAGGTGTGAGCCACTGCGATTGGTCTGTCAGATAAATTTTTAAGAGAAAAGAAATATCTCCAAGCTATATATCATTACCTGAGGACATGTGTTTTAATATAGGTAGTTCTGTACCATGTTAAACAATATTTCTGACTGAAGTTAATTAAAATAACATTAAACAAAAATTGAAAATCATGCTACGTTAATGTTCTTCCTACCTTTAAAGTTTATCTTGAAAGTTCCTAGGAAAAGTCAGCTATTTGCTGATAAGATTTACAAAAATTAACAATAAAAGTAATCCTGAGAATGGATATATTACCAGTAAATTTCCTACACCTTGGTTGCCAATGTTCGCTCACTGAAGTAACTTGCTATACTAAATGCATTCTTTCTGCTTCTCCAAGAAGCAGACATCCAGACAGCATTAGATCTGCAAGAGATTTATTGGAGAAAATGACTGTGAAGAATAGAAGAAAAACTTCAGACCACAATGCAGATTTGACCTGTGTGAAGAAGAGTGGAAAGAAGGAGGTTTGAGCAGAAAAAGCATCAGACTACAGTGAAGTTCTGAGAAAAATATGGCCAGGGTAAAGCATCCTCCAGTCAAAGTCACCTGTCAGAGGAGTCCTACTTTCCAAAGGAATGACTCAGCATCTTACAGAGTTCTCTCAGTAATTGGCTGGGAGCAGCATAGGAGAAGGAGAGCTTTGATATAGATGTGAGTCTACAGAAGCCTCAGCTGGGATTGTCAGTCAACTATTCTCCCTAAAGCAGGAGATTTGAGTGGCTTATTTCCATGGCCACTACTCAATAAGTAGTACAGAGGCTTAAGCAATCCACCACGGCCTCACAAGTATTTAGGACCAAAGGCTCATACCACCACACAGAGCTAATCTTTATTTTTTTAATTTCGTAGGGTCAGAGGTCTCACTATATTGTCCAGACTGCTCTCGAAGTCCTGGGCTCAAGAAATTCTCCTGCTTTGGCCTCCCCTCAAAGTGCTTGGATTACAGGCATTAGACACTGTGCCCAGCCAGTATTTTTTTTAACCAAAGAGGAGAATCTTGTTGAGTCTTCTGAAATGACATTTTAACATCTTTCTTTTGATGTAGACTTTGATGATGCTTTATTGCTTCTTTATTTCATAAATTGACTTTATTTTAACTTGTAAAATATCAAACTACCAAAATTCCAGAGAATACTTCAAAAAATTTCTGGATACCTAAGATTTATCTTTATTGTTTATTTAAACCTTTGGGTCAGCCGTTTTCTTCCTCTATTGGGGAATCTTTTATTTCTATCATCCTGCCTTAGCTCCAGATTTTTTTTTAAATTTTATTTTAAAGTATATGAGTAGATTACTTGGGCATAAAATGTTACCGTAATGCTGAACATCAGATGTCTTCTACTCTTCTTGTTTTAAAACATTATAGAAGACTTTTACATCAAAACTAGGATGAAAATATTAAAAAGTGGTTGTAGAAATGAATTATAAATAACGTTTTTTCTTCTGATTGTGTTTGAAAACTATAAATTCTCTCAGATGAATAATATTTATTATAACATAAATGTTTTAGTCATATAGATATTTAAAGATCACTGAATTTAATAGTAATACATCACTTCCAGTTTTGTTATTTTAATTATAATATGATTATTTTATGACATATCAAAAATGGGTTAGAATTAATCTCTATAACATTTTAAACTAGAAAATTTTAATATAGCTCTTCAAAATTAGATTTATGTATCCAATATACAAAACTTGGATGAGTGTAATTTATTCATAGGATGATTTCTAACTATCAGTGGGGGCACCCCTCATTTATTAAAGCAATTCATTTAATGAATTCTCAACAAATTCTGCCTTGGGCTGGATATGCATAATTTGTATCCAGTGAAAATTAGATATCTTCATCTCAGGAAGTATTTTACCTAAAAATAAAAGAAAATATTGACTTTATACTACTCTTATTTTTTCTGATTCTTTTCATTATTTCAGATGAATTTCATTATGGTCTTGTTCCAGGTTGTTCACGTTAAAACCTATTTCAATCAACATGATTTTTCTTTCTTTTTTTTTTTTTCTTTTTTTTGAGACGTAGTCTCGCTGTCACCCAGGCTAGAGTGCAATAGCACAATCTCTGCTCACTGCAACCTCCAACTCCTGGGTTCAAGTGATTCTCCTGCCTCAGACTCTCAAGTAACTGGGTTTACAAGTGCCTGCCACCACTCCTGACTATTTTTTTCTATTTTTAGTAGAGTCGAGGTTTCACCATGTTGACCAGGCTGATCATGAACTCCTGACCTCAGGAGATCCACCTGCCTTGCTCTCCCAAAGTGCTGGGATTACAGGCATGAGCCACCGTGCCCGGCCAACACTATTTTTCCTTTGTACTTCTTGCTACTTTATTGAAATGAGCATGTTGCTATATCAAATTGAGCTCTAACACTTAATAGTTAAGTAAACTTGGGAACGTTTTTTTTTTTTGTATCAGTTTTGATAATATTTAGGTATATACCTATGAAAAAGACTGCTAACTCAAACCTAAGATTTGTTTTCCTCCTGATTTAGAATAAGATAACATTTGAAATAACTCCAGTTTCCTTTGTGACTACCTATGGCTGAGTATAATATGGCTTTTGAGATACAGGAAAAGGGAAGTGTATAAAATTCAGGACGGTTCTTTTAAGACACAGCTTGTGTCTCCTTTTTCCCCCTTTTCTTTTTCTGATTGACTAAAATGTAGATGTCAAGTCTGGAGCATCCAAATAAATCTTGAGGAGACTTGGAGAATATAAACTCTGCAGGGTGGAACAAAATAATAGAAAGTTATGTCATGGAAGATTTTGTGGAATTTAGCCTCAATACAAGCTCTGAACTAATTTTTCCTCCCTAAAAATAGTAGTAAATTGAAACCACTATATTTTCTTTTCAGATCTCCTTCTTCATTTTTTATAAATTTCTCAATTATCTGTATAAGAATAAATATTTATAGAGACAGATTCTTGATCCAGGTGCTTATAATCAAATCTTGCTTTTAACACTTAATAATAGCTGTGTAAACTTGGGCAAGACATTTTGCCTATTTGTGTTTTGGTTCACAATAGCAAAGACTTGGAACCAACCCAAACGTCCATCAGTGATAGACTGGATTAAGAAAATGTGGCACATATACACCATGGAATACTATGCAGCCATAAAAAGGATGAGTTCATGTCCT
Organism: Homo sapiens; assembly: GCF_000001405.40. Classification (NCBI taxonomy): domain Eukaryota; kingdom Metazoa; phylum Chordata; class Mammalia; order Primates; family Hominidae; genus Homo; species Homo sapiens. The sequence continues at coordinate 84,490,109 of NC_000012.12, read as the reverse complement.
TTGTAGGGACATGGATGAAGCTGGAAACCATCATTCTCAGCAAACTATCGCAAGGACAAAAAACCAAACACCGCATGTTCTCACTCATAGGTGGGAATTGAACAATGAGAACACTTGGACACAGGAAGGGGAACATCACACACTGGGGCCTGTCATATGGTGGGGGGAGGGGGGAGGGATAGCATTAGGAGATATACCTAATGCTAAATGATGAGTTAATGGGTGCAGCACACCAACATGGCACATGTATACATATGTAAGAAACCTGCACGTTGTGCACATGTACCCTAGAACTTAAAGTATAATAAAAATAAATAAATGAATACATATGTTCGAAGAACTAAAATCACATCTAAAAAGAATACCTATCTAATTGGGTTTCCTTAAACCCTTAAAATGGTACTTTATACAAATTAATTGATACATGATTATTGTTATTCAGCAGTTGTTGTTCAAGTATATTTTTATAAAAGATCATGAAATTAAAGTATAAAGACTATGTAGATAAAATAAAATGTAATAACTTCTATAATTTATGTTATATGTTTCTATTCATTTATTTAATAAAGATTACTTATTCAATGTTTAATATATAACAAATGTATTAAACCAAGAACTAAATTAGAAAAAATAATTACTTTCTACTACTTATTTTCTTGGTTATTCTGCAAAAATATTGAGTGTTTTTGTTGCTTTTTTTTGCTTATTAGTATGTTCTAAATTTTCTACAGTGAACATATATTATACATGTAGTACAACATTAAAATATTCTGATTATATTTTAGACAAATGTATAGTCAACTACATGAAAATGCATCGAAATGGTTATTTAATTCTTAGGTTGTTTTTGCCACCACATATTTAGGCCAGGAATAATCTAATTGGTTACATGTTACATTTACAAGTAACATGGAAAACTTTAGGAAATATGAAAAGTGATAATATTCTGTAATTTTTTAAGATATAGGATTTCCTGTTTTTCTGAATCAGGCCTACTTGGAAATTTTGTTTTGTTAATTCCCAAACACAAGCTGTGTTAGAGATGTGGTCTGTTCACTCCTTCCCCAAGGACATGCTGTGTTTATCACACACCTCATTTCATCCCATTATTCTACTAAGCCATCTTGAGATGTGTCTTTGTTTGTTTTGTTTTTTTAAAATTCATTTTACGTCTGTGGTAGAACTTCAACAGAGAGAAATATCTATTTTTATTTTTAATAAAGTTGCCTTAAAATATGGATAGGATGCATTATGCTAAAGTAATATATTCCTAACAATATATTAAAATGATATTGACATTATCGACAATTATCTCTAGGCTTTTAAATGTAGTGTTATGAAACAAGTAGTGCTTCCCATGTTATAGATCAATTGTGAGCATATTTACATAAGAACACAAATCATATTTTATTCAAAGTATACATTCCTACTGTAATGCATATGATCACAAATTGAACTACAGGATAAAGAGAAAATAAAGTTGTTTGACAATATGGGTATATTTTTCCCTTATGCTTTAAAAGTGGTCCAAAAATGTCTTATTGGCAATCTATGGCAACATTCTTGTAAAAGAAACAAAGAGAAAGGTAATATCAGGCTGGTGTTTCAAGATACAAAAGAAAGCAAACACAGCTGTGTTCCGTACATGTTCATGGGTGAGTTCATCTGCTTTCTCTCTCTTTCTGTTTTTCTTTTTCTCTTTATTAAACTAAAGTTTTAAAACGTGTTCCTTTCATGGTATTCTAAAAAAGTAAAGGGGGAAAAACAGATGGCACTATGAATAAATTAACTAAAGACTGGAATCTTCAAAGGAAAAAAAGTATAAAACTTTTCAATATTTACACTGTTAAAAATAAAAAAAGGAAGGGGGTAACTTCCTGGATTAAAATGGAGTCAATTTCTTTCTACTTTCATCTAAATATTCCCAGAACATGAACACCTGAAATTTATTTAAAGTGCAATATCTAAGATCAACAGAAAACTAATAGAAATTGTGTTAAGTATCAATTAATATAAATTACAGTTATAAACACCATCAGTGACAGACTGTCTCATCACCTCATGAGACATGGTGCCATGAGTGGTTTTTGTTGTTGTTTGTTTGTTTTCCACTCTCTCCTCTTGATTCAGAAAAATCAGAGTTTGTGCCAAACAGAAAACTTGGGAATCATCTTTCTTCTCTCTCCTGCTGCTACCTTTTTAAAGTAAACATCTGTTCTAGGTGACTGTTACTTAATCTTGTCTCTCCAACATTACTTGACATCTTTTCAAAAAATGCAACTTCTACCAATTAATGTGGCAGGAAATATCAAGTGTTTGGTGATACCATATTGCTTCCTGAAAGGTGTAAAATTTAACAATAAAGTTCTTTAGACAAGTAAGAGGCCGAAAAGTCTGGACAGTGTGTGGTCAAAATTATATGAACTCTCATTTGCTACCTTTCAGTGCTTGAGACCCAGGCAATGGGGACAGGAGAATAATCATAGTTGGCAGTTGAACTGAGAAGCTGCATATTACACTGCTTTTCACATGTAGTTTGGAGATGGACTTCACCCCCACCTAAGTGCACAATGAATTACCCAAAATCAAACTAGCAAGCTAAAAAAGCTTAATTAACTCTTCTCTTCAGCAAATGAACAGATGAGGTTTCTCCTGGATAAAAACTAGTAATAATAAGTAAAGGAAACTTAACAGACTTATAATAAAACATCATAGAAAATAAGCAGAAAAATATCCAGAGACTCAAAAAGACTGCTTTACTAGGCTATAGGTTCAAAAGGCATCCCCAGCTCCAACAGTGCTGGGTACCCAGGACATAATGACTGTGCATAAATTATGTAAGGATTTGTAATGATGGTGTGGTGATGGAAAGTGTGTGATTAAAGTGGAATATAAAATTTAGCACATGTGGAAAATAAGAAAAAGAGAGAAATTGTAGATGAAATGATTCAATCCTGGATGTTTGAGACAATGATGCTACCAAAAATTCAAATGTGGCTAACAAAATAAGATGTGAAGGGAAATGAGTTTTATAATATAAATATGTAGTAGTAGATACTATTTCTTTGCTTAGATGTTGATAAAATTATGTTATCTGATTTAGAAAGAGGAACAAATAGTGGCTTGTTGGATAGTTTTGTATGAAAATTTTGACAATACTTTATTACAGGGAAAAAATTGTTAGACAGTGGTTTAGCATCTTCTAAATAATATAAGAAGATGGCCTCTAAGAGTAAGATGCAAAATATCATAGTAAGAGAAAATGTTGATTTTAACAAAAAATTTAAGAAGGAGAAACTTGGTGTAAAGGACTGGAAGCTGATCTTTGAGCCTGACTGACCATATATTTCTTTAAAATGTCACATTTGCGATTGCAAAACTGAATGCCAATATTCATTCACATTTAAAAAGAATAATATAAAATAACATAATAAAACATGAACATAAAGTGCAAAAATTTGCATGTTATTTGATTATAATTTATATATTTTTAATTAAACATATTTTAATCATATAACTGTTATCTCTTCAATCCTATCAGGCAGATTAATCACAAGCAATTATCTTTATAATATAGTGGTGTAAAGATCAAGGTTTTAGTAACTTCCACAAAAATAGGGAACTTTTATGAAAACATTTTTAAGTTGATCATTAGTTCTGAGCAGAAATAATCCTTCTTTTATAATAATTTTCAAAAAGAAACAGAATGGGATAGAAGTAGCTATGGGCAATATAGCCCATAAGGATTTCTCATCTGCCATAGGTGAAACTTACAAACTTGCATCATAGTATAATACACATTTTGAATGTGACTTTGCGTGAATAAAAAACATCACTGTAGGTACCGTAATCTTTCTCTTCTTAAAGAAAAGGAGCCAAACCCCTTTTTTATGTTCTTTAGTATATGATTTTAAAAATCCCAAAGAAACTGTAACATATAATTCCATATTTGTTAGCTTTTTATTTCTACTGGTAGTATGTATAAACTTAGCTGGTGCAGGTTTCGTAGGTGTAGAAAATATGACATGTTAAATAATACAGTTTATAGAAATGTATGAATTTTTCACATGAGTGTTTATGATCCTAAGAACTCACAGCCTATACACATCCCCAAAATTGCTGTGGCACCCGAAACGTCAGTAGTAGAACTTATGGCTCTATGTTTTTAAATCAGAGGTAATTATTGAGATTGGAGACTTTATCTGTTTAATTCACTTCTCTATTTCTAGGACCTAAAACAATACAATAATATGACAAGTGCGCATTCAACATTTATTAAGTGAATGACTTTTCTAATCACTAAGTAAACTGCATGACAAAACTTAGATCCACATAGGTAATAAGCATTATCATTTTAAAAGTTCTGATCACTAAGCAACACATTAATATGAATCAGAAGTTCACAGTTCAATGAAAATATAGAATGTTGGTCAATATAGAATAAATATTACATCTAGTGGAAAGAAAAATGAATCTGTCTTTAGTAACTCTGGTTTAGAATTTCATGTTTATGGATTTATAGTCAGATTAAAATTGGGAAAGAGAATTTACATAGAAGTTTGAAGAGGAAATTTTATTTTATAGAATTATTAACTAAAAGAGGGAACTGGAGTAATGAGCAATTGACCAGTAAGAAGTAAAGAGAACACTAATGAATATAAAAACTGCAGGTGTAAAGAGCAGCCACTGTCACAAGGAAGCATCCCCAAGTGCTGATACTCAGACCTTGTTAAAAACCTATCCCCACCTCACCAGTATGGCTCACTGAATGTGGGGGGTTTAGGGAAAATATAGATGGTTTTGTTAGGTTTTAGTGATTAGGGAAAGGGATTTCAAGATTGTCATTTGTTTTTCTGTCTTGGACAATTAGTTAATTCTAGCAACTTATTGAGGTAGGAAATAGAATGAGATTGAAGGAAACCAAGTGAGCTCACTTTGTATCTGTTAATTTTGTGAAGCTATTCTTACTTAATTGGAGGTGTCTCTTCTGTTACAGTGAAGTTACCCTCTTTCTGTTGATTGCTAGTTCCTCAATTTCTACCTTGGCACACACTCTCTTAACCATAATTTAGAATTTGGCCTCTAAAATTATTTCTGTTCTTTGCCATGTCACCATATTTTCCACCATTAAGAACATCTTTCATCAGTGAACAAAGTACATAATAGAACCATAAGAAAAATGCCTTGGATTCCACATGCCTGTCCAACTCAAGCTACCACATATTTTTTCCATCCCCAGGAAAAGTTTTCACAACGTTATCCATAAACTTAGACCTACGCTTTTCACCACTTTATACTGTTCTCAAACTATTCAAATTGGGCTTTCTTCTTTCCTCTCAATTGAGAGGATCTTGTTGAGATTTCCTTTCTTCTATTCTCATCTCTTTTCTTTTCTTGCTACACTCTCAACTAAGGTGGACTTATCCAAGATCACTGTTCTAAAAGTCATTTATTTGCTTATAATCATTTGTCATTTCTTTGCATGAGATTTATTATTACCTAATATTTTATTTCAAAATTGCTTGGTTATTTATTTATTGCCTATTTTTTTCTGAGAATGTATTATAAAAGACAAGTAGAAAATATTTTTTATTCTCCATCGCATCCCAGCACTAAAAGATATGAACTAGCACAGAGCAGGTATTCAGTACATTTTTCTAAAAATTAAAAAAAATTATGTATTGCATAACATTTCCAATTTCTTCCCAGTGATATTAAAAGAAAGAACAAATTTCATAGCATGATCTAAAGCCCTATATTGTATAACACATGCCAGTCTCTTTAGCTCATCTCCATATATTGTACCCCATTGAGTACTTCCCACTGGCCTCATTTGTGATGCCGAACACACCAAATGAATTTACACATTAGAATATTTGCTGGGTGTGTTAGTCAGGGTTCTCTAGAAGGACAGGACTAATAGCATAGCTGTATATATGAAGCGGAGTTTATTAAGGAGTACTGACTCACATGATCACAAAGTGAAGTCCCACAATAGGCAGTCTGCAAGCTGAGGAGCAAGGAAGCCAGTCTGAGTCCCAAAACCTCAAAAATAGAGAAGCTGACAGTCCAGCCTTCTGTCTGTGGCCAAAGGCCTGAAATCCCCTAGCAAATCGCTGGTGTAAGTCCAAGAGTCCAAAAGCTGAAGAACTTGGAGTCTGATGTTCAAGGGCAGGAAGCATCCAGCATGGGAGATATATGAAGGCTGGAAGACTCAGTAAGTCTCGTCTTTCCAACTCCTTGCCTGCTTTATTCTAGTCACACTGGCAGCTGATTAGATAGTGCCTACCCAGATTGAGGTGGGGTCTGCTTCTCCCATTCCACTAACTCAAATGTTAATCTCCTTTGCTAGCACCCTCACAGACACACCCAATAACAATACTCTGCATCCTTCAATCCAATCAAGTTGACACTCAATATTAACCATCACACTGGGATTACTATTCTGTTACACCAATGATGGCTGCCTTCTTCTAACGATCAGCTTAAAAATGCCTTGTGTTATTGTCAACAATATCTTAGATCCTCTCTGGCACATATAGAAATTCAACAAATATTATTTGAATAAATTATTGAGTATATGAATTAATTAGACTGCTAAATAAGCAGAGATAGAATAAGTAATGAACTTAAAAAGAAAGTTCTGAGAAAACCAATTTTGGTGGTCCTGGAAACCAAAAAAACAAGTGTTTTTCAATGTGAAGGAAATACTTAACTACTGTGATTGAAAATATATCCAGTGCATTGATTACTACAAAATCTCTATCTTCAACTTTGTCTTCTCTTGTATTTATTTTCTCAGCTGCCTAGTGCACAATTTACACTAAATGTCTAACAGTACACAGTCCATCATATCCAAAATCCACCTCATTAACATCATCAAATCCTCAATTGTATTTTGCCAATATTTGCAAGTTAAGCTTGCCAGGAATAAAACTCTGAGGCAAAGATTTGTGTGCAGGCTGCACCAATGACTTGGAAGAGATGTCCCAAATTTGGATAAGGCGACTCTCTTATGTATACCATTATCATCCATGACAATAAAGAAGTTGCTTTCAGCTGTCAGGTTCAGTTGTGACACTCTAAGCAGAGTTGGAGGAACTAATGCTTCCATCCTAAAAAAAGGGGAGGGTATATGGACAGCACAATTCAGTGTTCATAATTCCTACCTCAACTAGAGAATAAACAAGGTCCAATTCAAGGTGAAAAGTAGCACCTTGAAACAATTTAAATACATATCTTTATGTTTTTATAGGAAAATACTCTAATCAGCATCTAGAGTGGAGAGATTGACCTTTACCATATAGGTATTTAGCTAAGGGCCTCAGAAACTAAAGGGAGAGACTAAATATGCTTTGTAAGAAAATATAAAACATTAATTTTTGTTTTTAAGAAAGAAGGAACAAAGGCCGTTGACTAGATAATTAAATGTTGAGATGACATGGAACTGGAGATCAGATAACATAAAACAGTTTTTGAATATGTCTTACTGGAGGGAAATCTGAACTGTAATTACTGGCTCTCTATGTTTCTACTTAAATCAATGTATGTTGTTTGGATATAAATAAATATTCTATTCTTCCCACCACCATTCCAATCTTCAATATAGTCTTCTAAATTTAAATGGTTCCAGGAGGGCGCGTGCAAGTCTGTGTGCATGTGCGCACATGTGTGAATTTTATATGAGTGTCAACATGATGGAAACAGAAACAACTGTGGGATACTCAGATGATCTTTAAATAGAGACAATTTATCTGCAGTGGGTGCTCTGAACTACAGACTACAATAAAAACTTAATGCCCTCTATGCTTTTATACATTATAAAAATAGGGTTTGGGAATTCTGTAGTACTAATTGTTTGGTTATTTATCAGAACTTTGGTGTAAAACTTCCTTGTGAGATTGTAAGATGCTTAAAATCAGAGTGTCTTATTCAGATTTTGCAATGGTTACTTTGACAGAGTAGATTTCCTGGAGTAAAACAGAAAACAATATTTGTTATCTTTGTCTTACACTGTTCCTCACATTTAGTTCTGGGGTGATATCGTCCTTTCCCTGTAGATGAAATCTAAGGCAGAGTTAACATTTAATTATCTATTGCTGTTTTTGTGTAACAAATTGTGCCAAAACTTAGTGTCTTAAAATAACAATGTTTATTATCTCACCATTTCTGTAAGTCAGGAATTGAGACATGGCTCAGGTAGATCTTCAGATTCTGGATCTTTCACAACACTGCAGCTATGATGTTGGCCAGTGCTGTAGTCTCATTTGCAGGCTTGACTGGGGGTAGACACATTTCCAAGCTCATTCTACTCCTCGTTATCAGAATTTCTTTCCTTGCATTCTGTTGAACTGAGGCCTTCATTTCTTAAAAACTGCTGAAAATTAGGCTTTCATAATTTTCTGACCATGCCATGTAGGCCTCTCCATATGTCAGCTCTTAACATGGTATCTGGCTTCATTGAAATGAGCATGCAAGAGGTCAGAGAAAGAATGCCAGCAACACAGAACTTGCAGTCTTTGGGAACCTAATCTCAGTTGTGATGTCCCATCACCTTTGCCATATTTTATCCATTTAAAAACAAATCACCGGATCTAGTTCACATGTAAATGGAAAGGATTACACAAGGGGATAAATATTGATAGTCAATATCATGGTAGGCTATCTTCGAAGTTGTCTACTATAAATATAAATTTTTTTATGGTACTTAGGTACCAAAAATTGTTTGATCATCTCAATTTGTAAATGATCTCTCTCTCTCTTTCCTGCTTCAAATCTATTGGGAAAGATAAATGGTTCACTTTTCTCTTGTCCCACCCACCAGTTTTTGTTTTTTTTTTTTTCTGCTATTTGGGATTGCTATGTTGCACACATTTTGAGACAGTATTCACATTTTATTTAGTGGGAATGATGCCTTTTGGAGTCATAAAAAGTGGGTGGCCAATAAGGAAATGTAGGAAATAGAACAGAAAACAGGAGGAAGTCAAGCAAGAATAAGACCTCAAGTGAAATCATTCAGAAGGTACCTTAAACCTGATCCCATAGAAGAACCCTAGAATTCAAGTTTCACTTCTAAGTTAAACTAACCTAATGCAAAGAGGCTGGGTTTTCTAACTTTCTGTCACATGCCTGTGAATCATTAGGTAAGGACAGTCTTAGAGTGAAAAAGAATTCTCGAGCACTGTCTGGCTCTCAAACGATGTCAAAAGTGGAATCTAGCAGTTTGAAGTACCCTCTTCTGAAACACACAAAATGTTAGAAAGTATTCCAAAATATTCGGAGGATACTGGATGAAGTTCCAGACTTGCAATACAGATGTCTTTTGATAGGACACAGGTATCAAAATATTTTTTCCATTAAATCCTGTCATCATATTTTGGAGTATTTATGAAATTTACTATTTCATGTCTCATTTATTTTACCCCAAATTTTCTTTGTGAAAATTCACTGTTATATTCACTGTAACAAATCTATCTTGTAAGGGACAATCAAAGAGTATGAAGGAAATTATTTATGAGAAGGTTTTTTTCTTTCTTTAGCAACAAATACTCTTAATACATAAAATACAGGAAGGAAGGAAGGAGAGAAGGAATGACATAAAGAAAGAGGGAAAAAGGGGCTAGCTCTGTTGGTTACATTTACAGGGAGTTGTTGTAAAACCAATTCCAGGACAAGCTAAATTGTTGATTGATGCTAATCATGTTGTTAGTATGCTATAATTAAGATAAAGTATCACCATGAATAAAGCATGAATGACTCAACAAAATATATTACCACTGAAAGAAAAATAGCTCTAAATACATGTCCTGATGGTTGTGAGTATATGACTTATTTTTAAGAGATGCAGAGAGGTGCTTTCCATTTATTTTATACATAGCTTTTTCTTAATTCCTTGCAACCTTTGATGTATCACCTGTTCTAGAAAACGTTACCAGTGTCCTCCTTTCAATATTTTTCTTTAATTTTTAGATTACGTATAATAATTGAGTATATTTGTGGAGTACAGAATGATATTTTGATATGTCTATACAATATGTAATCATCAAATCTGAGTTATTAGCATATATATCACTCAAATATTTATCATTTGTGCTAGGAATATTCAAAATGCCCTCTTCCAGCTTTTTGAAAATAAACAATAAATTATAGGATTATCTATATTAACCCTACAGTTATCTATTATCTATATTATCTATATTAACCCTACAGTGCTACAGAAGACCAAGAATCATTCATCCTTTATTGCTGTAATTTTGTATCTGCTAACCCATCTCTCCCCATCCTTCCCTACCTGCTACCCTTCCCAGCGTGTAATACCAACAATTATACTCTCTACTTTGATAACCTCATATTTGTTTTTAGTTCCCATATGTAAGTGAGAACATACTGCATTTATCTATCTGTGCCTGACTTCTTTTGCTTAACATAATGTCCTCTAAGCTGACCCATGTTGCTACAAATGACAGATTTTCTTTTTATGGTGAATTACATTCAATTGTGTATATATACCACATTTTCTTTATTAATTAATCCATCAATGGACATTTTAGTTGATTCCATATCTTTAGTATTGTGAATAGTGCTGCAATATACATGGGGCTGCAGGTATCCCTTTGTTATATTAATTAACTTCCCTTTGAAAAAGTATGCAAAAGTAGTATTTATTGCTGTATTTATACATTGTATACATTTATATATTTACAATGTATAAATACAGCAATACATTGAGATTTATTGTGAGATTTCTATATCATATGGCAGTTCTATTTTTAGTTTTTTAGTACTTTGAGAAATCACCACGTCGTTTTCTATGACTATACTAATTTACATTCTGAACAAGAGTGTATACATTTCATTTTCTCCTCATCTTCACTTTTTTTTTGATAATAGACATTCTAACTGGGATGAATGAAATCTCATTGTGATTTTCATTTGCATTTCCATGGTGATTAGTGATGTTGAGCATTTTTTCATGTATTTGTTCACCATTTTCATGTGTTCTGTTGAGAAGTGTCTATTCAGATCCATTGTCCACATTTTAATCACACTATTTTTTTTTTTTGGTGTTGAGTTGTTTGAGTTCCTTGTATATCCGGGATATTAGTCCCTTGTTGGATAAATAATTTGCAAATATTTTCTCCCATTCTATAGCTTGTCTCTTTACTCTGTTGATTGTTTCCCTCACAGTGCAAAATTCTTCAGTTTACTATAGTCCCACTTTTATATTTTTGCCTTTCTTGACTGTGCTTTTGATGTTTTAGTCATGAAATCTTTGCCTAGACCAACTTTCTGAATTGTTTTTTGTTTGTTTGTTTTCTTGTGGTAGTTTTATAGTTTGGGGTCTTAAATGTAAGTCTTTAATAAATTTTGAATTAATTTTTGTATATGATGATAAATAGTGGTCTAGTTTCTTTCTTCTGCATATGATATCTAGTTTTCCCAGCACAATTTATTGAAGAGTGTGATATTTCCCCAATGTATGTTCTGGGCACAGCTGTTAAAATCCATTGGCTGTAATTACATGAATTTATTTTTGGGCTCCATTGCTCTATGCATCTGTTTTTATACTAATAACATGCTGTTTTGTTTACTATTGTTTTAAAGTATATTTTGAAATTATGAAGTGTGATGCCTCCAGCTTTGTTCTTTTTGCTCAGTATTGGTTTGGCTGCTTGGAAACTTTTTTGATTTTACACTTTTTAAAAAACTTTTAAGTTTGGAGGTACAAGTGCAGGTTTGCTATTTAGGTAAACTAGTGTCATGGGGGTTTGCTGTATGGATTATTTCATCATCTCGGTATTCAGCCTAATACCCATTAGTTATTTTTGCTGATTCTCTCCCTCCTGCAAAAGGTCCCAGCAAAGAACCCCATAAGAAAGTGGGCAAAGACATGAACAGACACTTTTCAAAAGAAGACATACATGCAGCCAACAATCATATGAAAAAAAGTTCAGCATCGCTGATCATTAGAGAAATGCAAATCAAAACCACAATGAGGAACCACCTCACACCAGTAAAAATGGCTATTACTAAAAATTCAAAAATTATCAGATGCTGGTGAGGTTGTGAAGAAAAAGGAACACTTAAGCATACAAATTTTGGGATTTGTTTTTTATATTTCTGTGAAGAATGTTATTGCTATTTTGATAGTGATTGCATTGAATCTGTAGAATGCTTTGTGAAGTATATGGTCATTTTAACAAAATTCTCCTAATCCATGTATATGGGCTGCCTTTCCATTTGTTTGTGTCCCCCGTAATTTATTTCATCACTGTTTTACAGATTTTATTATAGAGGTATTTCAGCTCCTTGATTAAATTTCTTTCAAGTATTTTTTTCTAGTAGCTATTGTCAATGAAATTATCTTCTTGATTTCTTTTTCAGATACTTTGTTATTCATGTATACAAATGCTACTGTTTTTAGTATGGTGATTTTTTCTTAACCTGTAACTTCATTGAATTTTCTAACATCTGAGATTTGATAGAAGTGTTTGGGTTCTTGTATGCATAAGAACATATCATTTGCAAAGAGGAATAATTTTACTTTACCTTCTTCAATTTTGGTGTCCTCTACTTCTTTCTATTGCCTAATTGCTGTGGCTAGGACCTCCAGGACTATGTTAAATAAGACTGGTGAAAGTGAATATATATATAATTTTTAGATTACATATAATAATTGAGTATATTTGTGGGGTGCAGAATGATATTTTGATAAGTCTATAAAATATGTAATCATCAAATCTGAGTGTATATATATATATATATAATATTTTAAATTCTGGGATACATGTGCAGAACATGCAGGTATGTTACATAGGTATACATGTGCCATGGTGGCTTTTTGCACCCATCAACCCGTCAACCAGGTTTTTAGCCCTGCATGCATTAGGTATTTGTCTTAATGTTATCCTTCCCCTGGCCCCCTCCCCACTACCAGCCCCTGTGTGTGATGTTCTGTTCCCTGTGTCCATGTGTTCTCATTGTTCAACTCCCACTTATGAGTGAGAACATGCAGTGTTTGTTTTTCTGTTCCTGTGTTAGTTTGCTGAGAATGATGGTTTCCAGCTTCATCTATGTCCCTGCAAAGGACATGAACTAATTCTTTTTTTATGGCTGCATAGTATTCTATGGTGTCTATGTGCCTTATTTTCTTTATCCAGTATATCATTGATGGGCATTTGGAAGTGGATAGTCTTATCTTGTTCTACTTCCTAGAGGAAAGGCTTTAGCTTTTCTCCATTCAATATGATGTTAGCTGTGGATTTGTCTTATATGGCCTTTATTATGCTGAGATATAGTCCTTCTATGCCTCATTTTTTAAGAGTTCTTAAAATAAAGGGATGTTGAATTTCATTAAATGGTTTTTCTGCATATATTGAGATAATCATACTTTTCCCTTCATTCTGTTGATGAGATGTATAACATATCAATTTGCATATATTGATCTATGCTTGTATCACTGGGATAAATCCCATTTGATTATAGTCTATTATCATTTTGATATCTACTTGGATTTCATTTGCTAATGTTTTGTTAAACTTTTTTTGCATCTATTTTCATCAGGTATACTGTGCTATAGTTTTATATCTTTATTCTGTTCTTGTCTGATTTTGATACGAAGGTAATCCTGGCCTCATAAAATAAATCAGAAAAGAATTTCCACCTCTTCAATTTTTCAAAATAGTTTGAGAATAGTTTGTGTTTCTTCTCCTTCAATAGTTTAGGAGGATCAGAAATTAAGCCATTCAGTCCTGGCCTTTTGTCTGGGGAGACTTCTCATTACTGATTAAATCATGTTACTTATTAACATGTTCACATTTTCTTTTTCTTCTTGGTTCAATCTTAGTAAGTTATATATGTCCAGAAATTTTTCCATTTCCTGTAGGTCTTCCAATATGTATGTGTATAGTTCTTCATAATAGTATTATTTTTCAATTCATCAGTATATAGTTCTTCAGGATAGTCTCTAATAATCCTATTACTGTGAATCAGTTGTAATGTTACTATTTTTTTTCTGATTTTATTTATTTGAGCTTTCTCTCTTTTTTACTTTAGTGTAGCTACAAATCTATCAGTTTTGTTTATTGAAAAAACACATTTTGTTTTAGTGATTCTTTGTATTTTTAAGTATCTATTTCATTTAGTAACTCTGATATTTATTATTTATTTTCTTTTACTAATTTTGCATTTGGCTTCATTTTCCTTTCTACCTTGAGGTACTTCATTAAGTTATTTGATTTTTTTTTTTTTACCTTTTTGTGATGTAGGGAATCTTTCTTTGCTATACATTTCCTCCTTTTTATTTATGATTATTTTCTTTTTGAGACAAAGCCTCATTCTGTTGCCCAGGCTGAAGTGCAGTGGCACAATCACAGCTCACTGATGCAGACCACAGACACACACCACTATGCCCAACTATTCTTTGTAAGTTTTTTTGTAGAGATTGTGTTTTGCCATGTTGTCCAGGCTGGCCTCGACCTTCTGGACTCAAGCGATCCACCCTACTTGGCCTCCCAAATTGTGGGGATTACAGGTGTGAGCCCCCATGCCCAGCCTTTGTTTCCTTCTTAGCACTGCTTTTGATGTGCTACATAGGTTTGTGTATGCAGTGCCCTGTTCTTGCTTTTCTAATTTTTGATGTGCATCATTAGTTTTTTTATTTGAAATCTTTCTACCTTTTTGACATAGCCATTTATTACTACAAACTTTCCTCTTAACACTGCTGTTGTTTGCTCTGATAGGTTTTGGTATGTTATGTTTCAATTTTCATTTGTTCCTGTAAATTTTAAAATATTTTTCTTAATTTCTTCATTGACTCAATTATTATTCAGGAGAACGTTGTTTAATTCCCACTATTCATATGGTTTCAAAAGTTCTTGTTATTATTTATTTCTAGTTTTCTTCCACTGTAGTCTAAGAAAACACTTGATGTGATTTTTTTTTCATATGTTAAGTCTTGCTTTGTGACTTAATGAATGGTCTGTCCTGGAGAATAGTCCACATTTTAATGAGAAGAACGTGTAGTTCCACGTTCTGATGAGAAGAACTTGTAATTATAGAATACTTATAATACTGCTTATGAACTGCTAACCAATGGATTAGACATTTTACCAGCTTTTTAAAACTTGAAACTACTTACAATCTGTAATTCAATGAAAGAAGACAGGGAGACATTTTTTCTCAACTTCTATTTCCAGATGGAAGAATATCCAAAAGTAAAGTTATCCTGCCCCTTTTTTCTGCTTATTCACCCACCCAGTCCCAAAGTAGGAGTGAATTATCTGAATGGTAAATGGTGAACAGAAATTAGTAATGTGTACTGCAAATTCTTCCCTTTCCCCTCTCTTTATGTATGCCTGCCTACAGAGAGCACATTAACTATTTTGCTTCCCCCAGTATCCTCTTTTTGAGAGGACAGTGGTTTTTTTTTTTGGTACTACCTGGATTTGGGTGGTTGAATACTACTGTTTAATTCAAGAATACAGTCATAGTGTTTGCACATCTAGTGTACATAATCCATAAGTTCTATACTTTGGTACTTGATCTCTACTCATGTATCTCTCTCTCAACTGATTTAGAATATAGGAAAGAAACTAAATATGTTGCATATACTGAGCTCTCAATCCTCAACACTTACTAAACTCTATAACACAGCCATTTTAAAATCTGATTTAAAAAGTGTAATCTGAAGATAAGTAAAATATTGATTCAAATGAGACTGTAAACATACATTCCCTCATCCACTCTGAGTTCATAAAATGCATAGGACATACATACACATGGACATACACACATACACATATATGTGCACACAGACATACACATACGTACATTTATCTATTAATCTATCTACTATATATATATATATGTATGTATGGTGGGTGTTTATGTATATACACACATATACATATTTTAAGACAGAGTTCTGCTCTGTCACCCAGGCTGGAGTGCAGTGGTGTGATCTCGGCTGACTGCAACCTCTGCCTCCCAGGTTTAAGCGGTTCTCATGCCTCAACCTGCTGAGTACCTGGGATTACAGGTGTGATTCGCTACACCAGGCTAATTTTTGTATTTTTAGTAGAGATGGGGTTTCACTATGTTGGCCAAGCTGGTCTCAAACTCCTGGCCTCAAGTTATCCACTTACCTAGCCTCTCAAAGTGCTGGTATTACAGGCATGAGCCACTGTGCCCGGCCAACAATTTAGAATTATAAAATGAAATTTAAAAAATTAGACACTTTATTTAAGGGCTACTAAGAGAGAAACAGTAGTCAAAAACAAAAAATAGTGTGGGATAATGCACTAGAGAGAAAGACCAGTGGCAAAGTTGGCTAGTGCTAAGCAGGCAGGAGATTCCTGTTCCAGAGAATGCGACGCTGGCTCAGTCCAGCAGCAGTTGAACTTCCCCTCCTAATTCCATCAATGAATTCATTCTGAAGTAAAATTTGACAGCATCATAGTCCTCTATACACACAAAAAAGCTGTGGTAAATATATATAGGATTCAGTTAACATACAGAAAATGAGCAACACAACAATAAGAATGGAATCAAGAATAACCAAATATTTAAAGGCAAGCAACATTTTAAGAGACAAGAACTAAACACCTATCAAACCACTGGCACAAAGGCAAAAGAATGCTCATAGAAAAATGTTTGGATTGCTTTGTTTTAAATAAGAATGATAAAAAGACATTACCAGAAAGTAATTTGCTATAGAGAAACCCGAATTAATTAACTAGAAAAACAATTGTATAAATTATTAATAAAAATTCATATTCTTTACAAACACAATTTAATCAACAAATTTATTGCAATTGTGATTACAAAAGAAAGGAGAAAGCATACACTAGTAAGTCTTGGGACAAAAGAGTGTATAAGTGAAGCTTTAAGGAAGAGAGATAAAATAACAAGTCAATATTGTGTTCAGCTTAATAGCAATAAATTTGACAACATAGGCAAAATAGTCACTCTTCTGAGAAAAAGAAAGTACTTTTCTAAAACTGGCTCAGAAGCAAGCATAGGCCCTCAAGAGATCAATAAACGCAGGAGATATATGAAGGTAGTGCATTTTCTACCTATAAAGAGAAAGATAGTGCCAAGGCAGTTTTAGAAAAAATTTTAGCAATCATTCAAGAAAGAGATCATTCTCATCTTCATAAAACATTTTGAAGGTGGGGAAATGGAGACTTATCCAAACAGTTTACAAAACTTACAGTCTTGGTTTAAATTTATATTTTTAAAAAAGAGTATCAACGAGCAAACTGATAAGCCAGCAAACAAATAAATCTACTGGCCAGTCTCATTCATGATCAGAAATGCAAATGTTTGCATGAATAATTAACAATTGCATGAAGAAATGAATGTTTGCAAAAGTAATTAAATATTATTAAAATAGAGTAATAATATATTAATAAAATATATCATGATCATGTAGAATTTATTTCAGGATGATAAGGGTAATGTAACAATAATAAATATCAAAATGTAATCTTTGTCAATTTAGTTAATTCTACCAGCAGTGTCCTAAGTTCAAGTTGATGATCAGACTCTTAAAAGAGGATAGGAATCAGGCAGCGCTAAACTTACTTAGCTTTAAAAGGAAATAGTGAAACTTGCAATAGGAGAGCAAAGGTATCACGATTCCCAGCACAGCTGTTCATGTCCCACTCATCATATATGGGATATTCAAGGTTATGAGAGATGAAGTGAGTTTATGTATATAGCTTAAGGAATCCAAATAATTCTGTCCATTCACCTTTTTTATTTAACTAATCAGGCATATATAACTAACAGTCACATAACCACCTCAGGGATATGTGACAGTAAGTCATTTTCTGATGCAGCTGCTTAATCTCAAACCTGTTACTTATCATACAATAAACAATCTTGACAATGACATTTACGTAGTTGGTCTAGGATATATTCTTCACCTATATTACCATTTATCTTGTGTCTGGCATGAATATCCTCTTAAAATTTTGATGTAATAATGCAATAAAATTTTAATTAAATCATCATACGTCACTAACCGTACTGTGCTATTTCTTATATTTTTTTCTTAAAAGTAAGTATACTTAGTGTGTGTGAAATCTACTATTTCTGATGAATTATATTATTATTCTGAACTCAAGACCACTATTAGTAGTAGAACAGAGAAGACGCTGTAATGTGACAAATTTACAGTTATAATTTAATAGAATTTAACACACATTCATATTAAAGTCTTACATAATTAGGAATAAACAAACAACAAAATTTAAAAGACAGATATGGGATACACACAGTAACAGTATATTTTATGATTAAATATTAAAAGCATCACAAGTAACAGAAGGATTTGACAAAGCTGTCTTACTATTCAGTATTAAACTGGAGATTGTAGTTAGTTCAGTTAAATAAAAAGAAAACCTATAACCAGAAGTAACTTTATGGAACAATAAAAAATGTCATACTAGGGTATGAGGATATTCCATGAGTAGAATATATAGATCATGTAGAATATATACATCATGTAGGTGTTTTTTGCTCAAGGACACTCTTGAAGAACTAATTGGATAATGGGAAAATTTTTGCAATGTATACATGTGTACTAAAACTAACACATAGATTGAGCAGGGTTGTATGACACAAGGTCAATATGCTAATTGCATTTCTATATGAACAATAAACAATTGAAAGACAAATTTTAAAAAATGTTAAACATATTAAATGCATAATTCTTAGGAATGAGTTTGACATGTCATATTTAAACCTTCTACATCAAAAACTACAATAATTACATTAAAGAAGATGTATATTAATGAGGAAAGATACTGCAGTCATGAATTGGAAGACTTGTTGTTATGTAAACTTATGCTGTCCAAATCAAAATTATTGCACACTTTTTTTTTCTTGCAGAAACTGATGGACTGATTTTAAAATTTATTTGGAATTGAAAAGTGTTAAAATAGTCTAAATATTATTTAAAAAGAAGAGTTTGTAAATATGCATTTTCTGATTTTAAAACAGTAAAAATCTATAAAAATCAAGAAAGCATAATATTGGTATAAAGATAGACAGGTAAAGTGATGGAACAGAATAGATGCCGGAAGACTCATACATATATGGTCACATTATTTTCTTCAAAGGCTCCAAAGAAGTTTAACTGAGGGAAAGAAATATCTTGAAAAAATTGTTTTCTGGTAACTATACAAATATAGAAAAAGATTGATCCTAGACTTAATTTAAAAAGCTAAAATTATACTTACAAGATAATCTTAGAAAAATATTTTGCTATCCTAGTTATATTAGGGTGTTTTGCATTACTCTAAATAAATACCTGAGGCTGGAAAATTTACAAAGAAAAGAAGTTTAATTGGCTCATGGTTCTGTAGGCTTTAAAGGAAACATGGTGCTGGTATCTGCTTCTGGTGATACCTCAGGAAATGTAAATCATATGTATAATCAATGTATAATTGAATGTATAACCAAAACAGCAGCAGGGAACCATCATGTCACAGGAGAACAGAAGGAAGAGAGGGAGAAAGGAAAGGTTCCAGACTGTTAAACAGCCAGATTTCTTGTGAACTAACTGAGAGAAGACTCACTTATCATGAAGGGGATAGTGCCAAGCCATTCATGAGGGATCTGCCACCAGGATCCAATCACTTACTACCAGGCTCTACTTCAAACATTGGAATCTCATTTCAACATAAGATTTGGTGGAGACAAATTCCAAACAATATCACTGTGGTAGAAAACAATTTTTTTTAGACAGAATAAAAAAGCACTAATTATAAAGGAATAAAAGTGACATGCTGGATTTTAACAATGTAAAATATTTCTTCACATCAAAAAAATAATTTTTACAAATGAAAAGAGAAAACATAGACTTAGAGAAAATATTTACAGTGTATGTATAAAAAAATTAACATATTGAATATAAAAAAACCCCACTACAGATAAATAATTAAAAGACAATGTAATAAAATATTGGTGAAAAATCTGAATACATATTTTATAAAAAATGATAGTCAAATAGCCTATTAGTCCATAAAAAATCTGTTAAGGTCATTAGCCATCAAGGAAATGCAACATGAAACTGCAATGAAATATGATAATTATTCATTAGAATAGCTGAAATTAAACAACTGACAACACAAAATGTTGCTAAAGATTTGGGATAATTAGAATATTCATATCTAGCTTGTTGGGATGTAAAACAGTGAAACAACTCTGAAAAACATTTCAAAATTTCATACAAATTTCTTTATAAATTTGAATATATTTATGGAGTAAAAGTATAATTGTGTTGCATGCATAGATCGCATAGTAATATAGTAAAGGCTTTTAGGGTATCCCTCACCTGAATAACATACATTATATTCATAGCAATTTGTCATCATCCATCCCTCCCACTCCTTCACCCTTTTGAATCTCCATTGTCTATCATTTTACACTCTACTTCCATTAGTACACATTATTTAGCTCCCATTTATAAGTGAGAACATCAGATATTGGTCTTTCTGTGTCTGAATTTTTTCCCGTTCCATCCCTGTTGCTGCAAAATACATGATTTTACTCTTTTTCATGGTTGAATTGTATGCCATTGTGTATATTATTCCATGGTGTATTTTATATTTTATTTATTCAATCATCCATTGATGGTCACTTGTTTCCATATATTTGCATTTTGAATAGTGCTGTAATAAACATATGAATCCAGGCGTATTTTTAACAATACATTTTATTTTCTTTTGGGCAGATTCCCAGTAGTGAGATTGCTAGATTGAACAATAGTTCCATTTTTAGCTCTTTGAGAAATCTCCATACTCTTTTCCACAGAGGTTTTACTAACTTACTTTCCCATCAACAGTGTATGAATTTCCTTTTTTCCACATCATGCCAACATAAAAATTTCTTATATGGCTTTCCTAAATATTTATCAAAGAGAAATAAAAGCATATGTTCAATAAAGACCTGTATGAGAATGTTAAATAGTAGCTTAATTTAGAGTACCCCAAATTTGGAAACAAGTAACAGCAGAAGGGATAAACTGCTCATGGAATACCACTCAGCCATATAAGGAATAAGCTACTGACACACTTGTTGCCCCAAGGCATGAGGGTCAGGGATTGAAGTTTTAGGGAGGAACACTGATTAATCTCACAGGTATAATGCTGAGCCCAACCAAAAGAGTTACAGAGTATGATTCTATTTATATAAAATTCAAAAAAATACATATGTTACATATGCTATTTAAAGTCAAAATATAGTTTGCCTTGGGGAGCAGACATTGCCATTAACTAGAAAGAGTCAGGAGGGAACTTTCTGGGATGCTGAAAGTGTTCTTTACTTTGACTGTGGTGGCAATAACTGAGTATATATTCCTCAAGTCTCTTGAAACTGTACAAGTAAGATCTTAACATTTCTTTACATATAAACTATAGCTCTCTATCAAAATAAACACCATTAAAGTAATTGAGGATTGAAGACCCAAAATGTATTAGAAAAATAAGCCAAAAACATAGATGGCCACGGTTGATCCTAAAATAAATGTAAAGTTGCTCAACCTCACTTATAGTAAGATAAATGTAAATTAAAATTACAGTATGTGTTTTTCACCTTTTAGATAGTCAAGTTTCAAAAGCCTGACCACACATTTTGCTAACAAGACTGGAAAAGTAAAAGACAAACTTTCATAGATTTCTGGTGAGCGTGAACAATGGTACAATCCTTATGGAGGAATTTTGGAAAAATTTTATGAAACTACATTTGCTTTTAGTCATTGGTCTAGCAATTTTGCTTCTAGGAATTTTATCCTAAAAATAAACATACACTAAGGAAAATAACCACAATAAAAACATAGGCACACATTTATTTATAGGAGCAATTTTCCTATAAATATCCTGAAAATCATCTGGAAAGATACATAGGTTATTGACTGGAAAAATAGTTACATTTATGCATTGGAACATTATGCAGCTATAAAGAATTAAGAAAAATATTTGTGAACTGATATAAAGAGCTTTTCAGGCTATACTATTAAGTTAAAAAATAGGGTAAGACAGCTTATATGATATGCTTTTTATTAAAAATGAAAATGAAACTATATTTTAAAGTAGTTGTTTATACAAAAACAATAGGCTTTGGAAACTAATAAAAATACAAGAGGTGAATTGGAAGTGTTAAATATGTGGATACACTTTTTTTGAATATATTTTTCCAATGATTTTGAATTTAGAACCATTTTATTATCTTATACATCAAAACATTAAGCTAAATTTGTTTATTACAGTAAGAAGTAAATAAACATTAACATTCTTGTGAACAATTGCTCATATTCTGGTGAAAAGATAAAAATGTGGAGTGGGAAAAAGAGAGGAAGAGTGATATTGAATTATGATTTGATTTGGACTTAAAGGCATTGAAGTGAAGTCATTATAAAAAGGCATGAAAACAGACACCTTATCAGCAATGAGCAATATTTGAGGCAAATCTAGATACTACTACCTACTTAAACTAATAGTGCTTGTAGTAGAAATGACTGGTTTCAGGTCTGGGACAGTGAAATTTGAAAGTTAACTGGAATATTTTATTGTCCAAGAAAGTGAGAAAATTCTCCCTACTAGTGGAGATCTGTCAAAAAGACAACATTGGAGTCAGATTAAACAGCTCAACTGGACAAATATGATTATCAAAATGAATAATGACTAAAATGAAATCTAAATCTAATATATTGATTTCAAAATAGAAAAAATATGCAAGTCCATACTTTTGCTAAATTAAAATAACAACTAAAAAGTAAGAGAAGAACAAAAGAAAAGCTTTCCTTATAAAAGAATGCTGCTCAGAAAGCTGTGGACTTCATTTCTCTAAAAATTCAGGGCCTATTTTATAGAAGACATCCATAGACTTCACACAAATAAATTTAAAAATAAGTATGATGGAATATTCTTATTTGAAACTTCCTATTTGTTGATGAGCATTCATAATGAGCTATTATTTGAAATGTTCATAAAGAATAGTGGCATAGGCTCATTTGGAAATTGGTATAATTGCAAGTCACAAAAGCTTTTGCAAATGTAAGTAGGACGATGTGTACCTACTTTAAATTTTATGAGCAAAGCTAATTATTTTAAATATGCATAACATCATGAATGATGGATTGTCAAATATACTTTAGAAAATGCAAAGATTAAAATACTAACCTATGCCTCCTTAAAAAAAAATATTGTCTTTCTACTACCATTATAATAAAATTCAAACCTCTTGGCAGATCCTATGAGACCCTGCCTAACTGGCCCTTCCCACTTCTACTTTCTTACTTTGCTCTGTTCACGTCAGCCCTCTGTCATATTAAAAAACCTATCATGCTCTTACCTTCATCAAAATCTACTTGCCTTTTGACCCCACTTGTGATGTTTTTCCTCTAGATCTTCTCATGACCATTTTTATTCCCGTTAGTTTTGGTTCACAAATTATATTTTCCTGACCACTCATGCTCAGTTTTTTTATTCTCTCTCATTAAACTATTATTCCTTCAGATACATTTTTAAAATCTGCCAATATTTACTTTTGTTTTGTTCCTTTGTTTAGCATTATTTATTCCACTAAACTGTGATCTCTATTCTACTTAGAGAATGTTCTGGTCACCATTATTCCCCCAAGGGCCTTAGTATGGTGTGTAGCACATATTGAGAGTATCAGATATAGAATTTTAACATACAATAGGCTGGGCGCAGTGGCTCATACCTCTAATCCCAGCACTGTGGGAGGCCGAGGTGGTTGGATTACCTGACGTTAGGAGTTCAAGACCAGCCTGACCAACCTGGTGAAACCCTGTCTCTACTAAAAGTACAAAAATTAGCAGACGTGGTGGTGGGCGATTCTAATCCCAGATACTCGGGAGGCTGAGGCAGGAGAATCGCTTGAACCCAGAAGGTGGAGGTTTCAGTGAGCTGAGATCGTGCCACTGCACTCCAACCTGGATGAGGGAGAGAGACTTCACCTAATAAATAAATAAATAACATACAATAATGACTCAATGTTAGTTACTATTATTAATGACTCATAATTCAGAATAAATAATTGCTTTATTCTTTAAAGACATTTTATTTAATAAACAAAGCTTGATTTAATTATCTGTATATTAAGTTTAGGAATATGGTTGGTGCTACAGTAATTACAAGGATTAATGTGCAGCAGACAGTTACATCTTGAATCTATATTGCACGTCTGGAAGATCACGGTGAGCTACCAAAACTTTGTTTGTATGAAGAATGTAGAAACATCTTATGGGAAGAGATGGGATAGTGAAATTGGCATTAAATAAGAAACCAACTGCACATGCCTAGTAAAATATTGCCTTAGTAGACAGAAGGAAGGAATTCTGAATAAACTCCCTCAATGGTCAGCTTCCTTTCTTAAGAAGGAAAAAGTTTGTTGTTTCTCATTAAAAGTTGCCCTTAGCTCAGTCCAATGAACTCATATCTGAATTCTGGGAAGAGAAAGACAGGTGCAATAAGTTAAAAATGATGCAACTGTTTTTAGACAAACTTCTGTGAGATGTTGGGATCAGAATGTAGCATTATCTTGGGAATAACACAGAAAAGAATGGTATCAAGATTAAGTAAGTTATTAATAGACATAGTCTCCTTGCTTCAGCCCAATGCTGCCTAAGTTAGAGAAGGGATTGGCAGGTGGATGGCCCCAAACCAAATGTCTGTCTGGGTAACAGTTATCCTGACCCTCAGAGGAAGATGAGAGCTTCAAGCTGTCCTCTTACAGCACTTATTAGATAACTCCCTGAGCTCTAAAAGGTGAGAAGGAAGACTTCCTGAGGAACTAGTATTTGTAATTGTGGGTGGAAAAAGAAAAAATTTGTTTATCACCATGTGACTCAATTTTTACTTCCAGGTCATTATGACCCAAGGGTGCGCATAGCTTCTTGTTTCACGGAATTCACAGACAAATTCATCTACTAGTGTATTGTATAATATTTTGAGGCCAAAAATGTATATGTTTTTGAAGAGCTCTCAAACATTCATACAATAGGTATTAGCCTTACAACTTTCTTTAACTGAGTGTTTATAGAAACTAAATTTGAATAGAAAGCATGACAAATAAGGTATAACCAGAAAAGTTAAAAGATAAACCGTCTCTAACAAGCGAGTGGAGATGTACTTTGGAGAAGAAAAATTTTGAAAAGGACTCAAATAAGAGACGTTGTAGAATATTATCATTTCTCCAAAAAAAAAAAAAAATAGACTATTGGCTTACTGAAGTCCTCGTAGCTGCCAGAATTTTTACTAGGAAGTAAAAAGAAACATTTTCTTATATAAGCACTTCACCAGTGAAGATCAGCAAAGAACACTTAGAAACTTCCCGACTTTTAGTTTGAAAAGAGATTAAAGAAAATAGCACAATGCTGAAAACATGCATTATTTAAAAAATGTGTTATGGTTTTGATAACACCTATTTTATTATTTTGACTTCCATCTGATTGGTTAGTTTTCTATCCAAAAAAATTCTAAAGTTGCCTCAGTGATTTGTGCTTTAAGAACTTTCAACATGCAGGGGAATTTTAAAGTACAGAATAAATCATCAACATATTTATTAATACTTATGATTATTAAGGTAATAGAATTTCACTTACAAATTGAATGAGAAAAAAAGTGTTTCCAAAATATTTTTATAAATTGACACACATACAAGTAAGGTTTGTGGTCTCCAGCATAAGCACTTGTATTCACTCAACAACATTTCTGTAATTTCTACACTTCCCAATGGTATCTAGAAGTTACATTATGTGGTTTTCTAAGAGGAAAAACTCTAAACATGCTCTCTCTATACCACAATCCTTAGGAACCTACCTCATCCTTTAACCTCCTTCCAAGTAATTTTATTTTATTAATTGCACAAATTTTTGCAATGTTGGGGATTGTTAAACTTAGTATTTTGTTTTCTTTTGATCAGGAGGTGTTAGACTTTATTGCCTGAAGTGGTACCATTTGTTCTCTGTGAAATATGGTTACCATCACCTTACTTTTTTATTAAGTGTATATTTATAAACTTTAGAAGCAAATGTACTGTATCCACATGGCTAGCGTTTATTGTTTTATGTTCTGCACGCAAAGCTGCTTTTCTTAATAATAAGAAACAGCTGTTGTAAGCACAACAATGAAAGCAATGGGTCATACATGCTTAAATTAGATACAAAGGGAGTCCAAAAGGGCTAAACTCTTTAGTTCTGTCTCACTCTTCCATGATTAATGCACTCTAAAAAGAACAGTTATACACTGTTGAGATTTAACAGATGCTAAAAAGAACCTATTCCACTGTACATTTGTTAGGCAGCTGTATTTTACACCAGCAGTGATTACAATGGGGAATAAATGTTTCCATGACAGTAAGACCCACAGAACTAAGGTAAAATAATGGAAAATATTAATGTGATATATAAATGCAATCAATCAATTCTATGGTGTGTGTATACACACACACACACACACTATATATATATATATATATATATATATATATATATATATGTATCTCATGGATTTAAAAGTCATCTTTTGATTATGTAGTTCATATTTTAAACCTAAAATTTTCATATTAAGAAAAATAAGATAAAATCAAGTCATTTCTGATGCATATGTTATCTACTTTGGAAGGAGGCAAAGAGTTATATATAAAATAATGTCTACAAAGTATTTACAAAACGTGGTTTTAAAAAATTCACAGTTAAGAATATAGGTTTGCCCATATTTCCATGCACATAGTTAATTGTTAACATACAGTCCTTTCAGTTTTAAAATATATTTTTCAAATGTGTATTAAAGAAGGTAAAATAGTTTTTTTTTCATATATGAACTGGAGCTCTGTATATTTGAGTACACGTATAATTCTTCACTTCTGTAATATACAGAAGCACTTTGGGTCCTTTGATGTTAGCTGAAAGTTTTAATGTAACTTTACTTATACTAAATAGACATTGTTGGTGCTCTGAAACGAAATTATTTTTGAATGACTCAAGAGTTACAATAAAGAACTGCTGCATCTATGTCTTCTTTTGAAAAGTGCTACCTAAAGACAGAAATACCAGTCAACCCAGCCATCCCATTACTGGGTATATAACCAAAGGAATATAAAACATTCTATTATAAAGACACATGCACACATGTGTTCATTGCAGCATTATTCACAATAGCAAAGACATGGAATCAACCTAAATGCCTATCAATGATAAACTGGATAAAAACAAGGTGGTACATATACACAATGGAATACTATGCAGCCATAAAAAAAGAATGAGATCATGTCCTTTGCGGGGACATGGATGGAACTGCAGGCCACAGTGCCTAGCAAACTAACACAGCAACAGAAAGCCAAATACTGCATGTTCTCACTTATAAGTGAGAGCTAAATGATGAGAACACATGGACACAGAAAGGGGAAAAACACACACGTGGAACTTTTGGAGGATGGAGGGTGGAAGAGGGAGAGGATCAGGAAAAATAACTAATGGGTACTAGGCTACATACCTGGGTGAGAAACATTCTGTACAACAAACCCCCATGACACCAGTTTACCTATGTAATAAACCTGGTCATGTACCCCTGAACTTAAAATACAAGTTAAAAAACATCCAGAAATATTACATCTCAATAGCACAAAAACAAATGACCCAATTTAAAAATGAGCAAAGGACTTGAAGAGACATTTTAAATGTTCAACAGGTACATTATAAATTCTTAACATTACTATTTATCAGGAAACACAAATCAACCAATGAGGTTTTCACCTTACACCAGTTAGGATAGCTGTTATAAACAAGACAAACAAACACAAAAATATAACAAATGTTAGGATGTGGAGAAATTATAACCTTCTACACTATTTTTGAGAATGTAAAATCATTCAGCTGCTATGAAAAATAGTATGGAGATTTCTCAAAAATAATCAAAAGTAGAACTGTAATACAGTCCAGAAGTCCTACTTCTGAGTATATACCCAAAGACTTGAAATCTGGATCTGGATGAGCTATCTGTACTTCAATGTTTTGTGTAGCATTATTCACAATAGCCACATTACAGAAACAAACCAAATGTCCATAGACAGATGAATGGATAAATAAAATGTGGTATATACACACAATAATATATTGTTCGGCTTTTAAAAATAAGGAAATCCTGACACTTGAAACAACACAGATGAAACCAGAGGTCACTATGCTAAATGAAATAAATCAATAATAAATGAACAAATACTGCATGATTCCACTTATACAAGGTACCTAAAGTCCTCCAACTCGTAGGAGGAGAGAATAGTGGTTAGCAGCGGTTGGAGGAAAAGGAAATGCGGAGTTGTCGTTCAATTAGTATGAAGTTTGAGTTATGCAAGATGTATTAATTCTAGAAATCTGCTGTACAGCATAATGCCTACTGTCAACAATACTGGACTATGCACTTAAAGTTTTGTTAAGAGGAGCGATCTCATGTTAAGCATTCTTAACACAGACACACACACACACACACACACACACACACACGCAGAAACAAGGAAATTGGGAGGTGATGGATAGTCTATTACCTTGGTTGTGGCAATGGTTTCATGAATGTATGCATATGCCCAAACTCATCAAATTGTAAGCATTAAATATGTTCAGTTTATTGCATATCAATTATACCTCAATAAAGCTCTTAAGAAAAGAGTTACAGTAAGATCTAGAGTTGTACTGCTGGCAATTCTATATCTTTGTAATAGAACACTAAACACAGTCATGGATCACTTAATGACAAGTATATATTCTCAGAAATGTGCCATTGGGTGATTTCATGTTGTGAGAATATCACAGAGTGTGCTTACACAAATCTAGATGGTAGAGCCTATTACATGCCTAGGCTGTGCGGCATAGCCTGTTGCTCCTAGGCTACAAACCTATTCAGCACGTTACTCTATTGGACACTGTAGGCAATTGTAATATAACGTTAAGTATTTGTGAGTCTAAACATAGAAAACGTACAGTAAAAATACAATATTATAATCTTCTGAGACCACAGTTGTATATAAGGTCAGTCATTGAGTAAAAAGTTGCTACGGGGTATGTGACTATACTATATACTGTATTATAAAAATTTCCCTTTTTACTTAACAATGTGCATATATCATATGTGCTAATGCATAATGAATATAAATTGTCTAATTATTACATATTAAAATAATTTAAATAATTAACAAATAATGTTACTAATAAATAATATCTCTTTAAAAATCTTAGAATGAGTAACTTAGAATATTAATATAATAAACACATCTAGAATATTGTTTCGCCACAAAGGAAATACACTTACCTACTATTTCTTACAAAAATATTGAGATGAAATTTTAGATAAATTACTTTTTTAGAAGGTAATTGGTAATAATTATAGGCAATTTTTTTGTTGTTTAAAGAATTACCCATGCACTCTTCTAATACTATGTGATATAAGGGCCGGGCGTGGTGTCTCACTCCTGTAATCCTAGCACTTTGGGAGGCTGAGGCGGGCAGATCACGATGTCAAGAGATGGAGACCATCCTGACTAACACGGTGAAACTCCGTCTCTACTAAAAAAAAAAAAAAAAAATTAGCCGGGCGTGGTGGCGGGCGCCTTTAGTCCCAGCTACTCAGGAGGCTGAGGCAGGAGAATGACGTGAACCCGGGAGGCGGAGCTTGCAGTGAGCCGAGATAGCGCCACTGCACTCCAGCCTGGACGACAGAGCGAGATTTGGTCTCAAAAAAAAAAAAGTGGTTTGGAGTCAATACTCACTCTTTCCAAAAGGAAATCACTGTTCCTTTTTCTGTCATCATAAATTAGATTTTTCTTTTTTTGAAATTCCTATATATAGAATAATCCTGTATGAGCCTTGTTGCTTCTGGTATGTTTGGTTATTATAATATTTTAAAAAATTCGTTTATGCTATTGCACAGTAGTATTGAATCACATGAATGCACCATAAATGTTTTATCCCTTCACTTGTTGCTGTCCATTTTATTTGGGTTACAACAAAATACCGGCTTCTATGAATAGAACTGCTAGAAATATTACCGTGCAAGTCATTTTACGAGCATATGTTTTAATTTTGCTCAAGTAATAACCTGGAAATTGAATACATTTTATAGGTTAGGTGTGTATTTAACTTTATATCAATATGCTGAAATGGTTTCCAGAGTGGCTGTGTCATTTTACTCTTCCATTAACAAGGTATTAGAGGTCCATTTTCTCCACATCTTCTCCAACATTTTGTTCTGTCACTTATTTTCAATTAGCTACTCTACTATATATGAATTAGTGTTATATTGAATTTATGTGATAAGTAGAATAAATTATGATGTTGATAACCTATTCATATGCTTATTAGCTCTTCATATACCTTAGTTTTGAAATGTGTGGTGAAATATAAAGCTAAACATAAAAGCTAGAAAAATAAAGCTAGAATACAAACATAAAAGGAAATATTTGTGATTTTGGGTTAGGCAAAGATTTTTTAGAGGACCCAAAATAAGTAAGTAATTAAAAATAATTTATTTTCAATTATAAGTAATTTTCTTATTTATTTTTATTGTATTTACAGCAGCAAAGGGCTTTTATAAAAAATATGTAAATAACAGTTGTGAAGCAATAATTTTAAAATGCTGTTTTTTTTTAATTGAAGAGGACTAAAACATTTTCCCAAATAATATATGCAAGTGACCAAGGAGCACAAAAAATATTTAATAGCATTAGACATGCAAATTAAAAGACTAAATTACCATTAGAAGGATTAAAATGTAAAAGACTGGCAACACCAAATGCTGGAGAAAACTAGGAGTCTCATACATTTTTGCTTGTGGTATGAACCGATGCAACCATGTGAAAAACAATTTGGCCATTTTGTCATAGAAGTTGAACATCCATTTACACAACAGTGCAGTAATTACAATCTCATGTATGTAACTAAGACAAATGAACAAATATGTTTACAAACACTTTGTATGTTAATTTTCATAATAGCATTACTCATAATATTCAAAACTCAGAAACAAACCAGAGTACCATCAACAGGAATATTAAGTGCTATATACATATAGTCATGAAATCTAATACAACACAGCAATTAAAAGGAACAAACTATTGACACATGTAACAACATGGATAGTTCTAAGAAATACTGAGCTGAGTGACAGAAGTCAAATACTGAAGAGAACATACTCTAAAACTATATTTATATGAAAATGCATATGAGTCATAGATTGCTCCCACATTGATTGAGGAGGAGACCATGAAAAGCATTATTTCCTAGGGTTCATCTTAAAATTCTACCTACTGCACTAACATAGGGTGATAAATATCAGACCAGTGGTTGCCTCTGGAGTGGGGGAGTAACTGAGAAGAGACACAAATACATTTGGGTGATGAAAATGTTTGGGGTCTTTATTTACAGTTTTCAAGACAGATTGAAGAGTACCCTTAGGATCTGAGTGTTTCTCTGTTTGAAAGAAAAAAAAATACAGAATAAAATAAGTTAATAAAATCCATTTATACACAAGTATGTATATGCTGAACATTGTATTAATAATAACATAATAATATATTTTAATCTTCACAATTACCCTATATGGTGAATATGATATTTATTCCCATCTTCCAGATTAGGAAACTGAGACTCATATATCTTAAGTAGTATGATTAAGTTCTGATGATTAATATATAAGAAATCAGTGTTGAATATTATATTTGTATAAATGTAGAGACAAATATCCTATGTAGCCTTTCTCTAGAAGGCTATATTAGTGGATACATTTGGATTTTATATTAGTGGATAACTTTCCTTTCAAAGATTCAACTTATTCTAATATATATGATAAATCTGATGATGACTGGGAATGGAATTATATTGATTGTTTAACAGTAGGTTAATTGACACATAAGAACGCAGATGGAGCTATGGGGTAGGTGAAAGTATAGAGTGTTCTGAATTGACAGAAATATATGTTTTTTTTTTACCAGTATGCCAAGTAATGCTTTTCTTGTTTCTGTTGTTCAAGAATTCTAGTTTCTTGTTAAAGCAACTATTTTCATATGGCCAACTTACCAGTTGTACAGGTTAACTGCATATACATTTACATAATAATTTATTTGCAAAGTACCGCAAGCAAGTTCTGTGAGTTTGTTCTGGGTCAAAGTTTCAAATGCTGATTATTGTTTATTGGGAGCTCAGAAGAGAGTCCAGGACTTGACAATGGTTATATTAGTTTTGGTTACCAGGGTGGCTACTTCATATCTGGAAGGTTCAGGCAACAGTTACTGAAATTTAATCAGCAATGCTTTCTAAATGTAATCTTTATAGTTAATCAGCAAGGCTGATTAACACAATCATATGTGTTTATGAGTATTGGACCCAATTCTTGCAAGAAAAGGCAATTTTATTGCAGAATACCATCAGCAAGTTAACACCATTAAGGCTTATTGGCATTCTCTCCTGCTTTGCAAGGACATCTGCCATGCATGCAGTGTGGTCCTTTCCGTCAACTTAGAACACAGGAATGTCATTACAGTCTCATAAATTTACTGAAAAAAAAGACAAAAGTTATTGGTGAAAGTGGAGAAGTGAAAAGTCATTTTAGTAGTCTTATTACTTTGTACTTGTGTGATAATTAATGTGATTATACTACTTCCTGCACAGATCTTGCTATTATGAGGAGGGGTAGGAAAGAATATACTCAGGTTTGGGGATGACCATTGTTTCAGCTGATGTTCAATTAAGAAAGTACAATCACTATGAGGATTATGGGATAGATATTTATTGCAAGAATTAGAGTTTGCCTAATTGTGGGAGGAGATGGGGACACAAGGTATGAATGGTAACTGAAAGATCAGAGAAAAGATACTCATTAGCCCTGACACAGAAGAAAAGGGTGTAGCTTTCTGGGAAACCTGAAAATTAGAAATATCTATATCCAGCTGCTTGATTAAAACTAAAGAAAGGGATTGATGTGGAAATTTAGATTCTTCATGGTTTCTGCCACTATAAGATTACAGCAAAGTTCCTGGTAGGGGCTTGTGTCAGGAAAGATAGCAGTAGGAGAGGAGAGTTGCATAAGTGGGAAAGGTGGAAGACAAATTGGAACTCATTCTTAAACCTACACCTGCCTCTTACCATCTCTGAGAATGACTTTCACAGAGTGAAGGTCATTAATTTTTGAGTCTCCAATTTTGTGTGCATTTACTTTTGGCCAACTCTATGCTGACACTTTAAAAGAAGAGCAATTATAGCCAACATAGTTTTTGGCAAAACCAAATCAACGATAGAATAATCTAGCATGCAGGAGGAGAAGGTCAACTTCTGGAAAGAACGTTGAGGTGATGGAAAAGCTTAGTTTAAGTGTATACCAGATCCTGAGAGTTCAGTCAGAAACTGGGTTAGCAACAAGGCATATGGAATTCAAATATGAGTGAGTTTAAGAGAGGTGTTCTTGGGAAAATATGACATTAGAGACAAGATAGATGTCCCAACAGTAAAGAATTATGTTTTAATTTGACAGAATTTAAGTTCATTTCTTTGAACAGCTCTTTTTTATGGTGCAATCTGAAAGATGCACCTTTCTTCCTCTAAGCAGGTGTGAACTAATCACATCTTAGGTTTGTCTCCAAGATCATTCTCTTCTATTCTCCACTTCAACATTTGTATTCCATGGCCTCATGATTGTATTCCCTTGTGAAAATTATATATCTGCACACATGCATACATCTCTAAACAATATTTAATCTGTTTGCAAGTGTCTCATTAATATTATTCTACTACAAAAGTCTTTCTAAAATGTTCTTTTTTTCCCTTAATATTTGATTTGAGATTTGTTTAAGTTGGTAAATGTGCTTTAATTTATACATTTTAATTGTTATATTATTCCATTTTATTTATTTTATGTATAAGCCATATATGCTGAATTATTCATTTTAGTATATTCTATTGCAGACACTCAGCAAAATAAAATTATCATTGTACTTTTATTGGGCATTTAGTTTGTTTCCAAGGTTTCACTGTTGTCTTCAATGCTGCCATAAACATTCTCAAACCTTTGACCTTGTGCATGTATAAAAGCTTTTCTGAGATGGGTAACTACAGTTCAAGATCTAGGAACAATTGATCTTGACTGTTGGATCAAGGATGTGTTGCTGAAGAATATGACATTGAGTAGGTCTGCAAGGATGATAGGCTTTGAGGAGCTGGAGATGGAAGAAGGACATCTGGAATGAGAGGAGCAAGAAGGGACAGGTCTTACAGAAAGCAGAGAGGAGAAACAGAGGGAGGTGCATACTGAGAGAGTCTGTTGTTGCTCAAAGTGTTGCCCTTAGTAAAGATAACCCTAATTGTGTCCAGATGGAATGTAGAGAAGCTAGAAACTGATCGTAAAAACTTCGAGATCCAAAAGATAATGCCTACAGTATGTGGAAAGAATAAAAGATTAAGAAAATTTTGAGAATCAACCCAGAGTCCCAGAAATATTTACTGTGGACAGAGCTAAATCTGAAGGCAGATTGAATACTCCCAAAGATGAACCCATGTGCCATGGTGAAACATTTTCTGATCTTGTTTCTCAAAATTAGTTTTGCTACATAAATAATGTATTTCAGATGTTTGCTTCTATATTCTCTCTTCCCCTAATCTTCAATTCATCCTGAGAACTAAAGGTTTATAGTTCATAGTTTTCATAAAGGATCTGTGACCTTTTATAAAATGTGGGGCATATTATTACCTATTCCTAAAACCTCACAGCTAACCACTCAAAGACAGGTCATTGGAATATTTCCCATTTTAAATATGTAAATATTGGACTGCCAGTTAGAGCTAAATAGTGTTATTTAGTGGAAGGTAAACAGACGAAATTATTTAGACCTTGGAGTGAACATTGGAGCTTTCATTCTCATGGAAGTGAGAACTCTAAATGTGAAACCTTGGAATTTACTTCATTTCAGGTGACCGTTCTACACTAATCGTAACCTTTCAAGCACCGTGACTGTGATTGGCTAGATAATAGACACATGACTTGATTTTGGCCAAAGAAGTAACATGCTCTAAAGTCTCTGGGAAAAGTTTCTTCACTCCTTAAAAACTCAAGGAAATTATCCCCTCCACTTGTTCTAGTAGTTGTGTCAAAAAGTGATGCTTAGAACGTTGACAGACATATTGCTACCATCCATATGATATTTATTAAGGATGTCAAATTGGAGAGTAGAACAAAACATGAGATATTTATGACCATGTTGATCAACTAATTAGCTAACCTTGGAAACAAATCTACTCACAGACTTCCTATGGTCTTTATTCTCTCTACATTTGAATTTCCATCTACTATCATTTCTTCTCAGATTAAAAGATATTTTATCATTACTTGTAGTGACAAGTTCTTTCAGTTTTCATCTTTTATAAAAAATGTCATTTAAACATTGCTTTACAAAGTAATTTTGTTGCATATAAACTTTCTGTCAACAATTTTATCTATTTTTTGGTTTGTTCTTTTTTTGTTGTTGTTGTTGTTTAGTTTTAGCACTTAAAATGTCACTTAAAAATAAGTGACTTCTGGTTTTGACTATTTCTGATGAAGAGTAAACAGAATCTGTTTTCTTTGTTCTCGAGTAAATCATTTTTCTTTTCTCCTGTGAATCTCGTTGAGGCTTGGTTTTAGGCTCTTTTTTGGGGAGGTAGATCAAGAGTAGGTCTGACTCCTATCTCTCATCATACACAAAAATCAAATAAAAATGGATTAAAGACGATCTGAGGCTGAAACCATGAAATTACCTAAAAAAAACCTCTAAGGTAACTACTAAGATAATTGGAATCCCACTTTGTGTGATATTAATATAACCACTCCAATTTTCTTTCAGCTGGAGCTTGTGCCACATATTTTTATATTCTTTTACTTTTATCTATGTCTTTGTACATAAAAGGTGTTGCATATGAGGGTGTTGATTTTGTATCAAACCGGACAATAGTTGTCTTTTAATTGGTGTGTTCAGCCTATTTACATTTAATGTAATTATTCACATTGCTGGGTTGAAATCTGCAATCCTTTGGTAGTTTTGTTCTATATCGTCGATCTTTTTTGTGTCTTTGTTCCTCTTTATTTTTTTTTTCTATCAGCTTTTTGTTGTGTTTTTATAAAACCCTTTTAGCTTCACTATTGGCTAATTAGTTATTAATTATGTCTATTTTCCTACTTTTATTTAGTTACCTTAGAGTTTACAATAAACATTGTTATCATTAATCTTCAAATAATATTATACCACTTCATATATTGCTTCATAATTTTGTAAAGGGATACTTTCAATTCCCTCCTTCTGTCATTTGTGTTACTACTGTAAATCAAAGGTTCCAAACAAGTGTCCTTATACAAGGGAATTGAAAGAGCTACTCTTGTGATACCAACAAACATTTGGGGAGTAGGAACATTATTGGATCAAAAGGTTAAAAGGGGCTATGGAAATTCCAGAGAATATAAGCAAAATTCAGTCAGGAAAAAAAAATTGGGCAATTATACAATTACAACACAAAAATAAAGATTTTAAAAATCAGCTTGAAAACTTAATACAGATATTACATATATATACTAGAATGTAAAATAAGCACAAAATTAATTTCTATAATTCAACATTAGTTTAGGAAGCAAGAGGATTAACCTGTATAAATATTTGAAAGAATATTTTCAAAAACTTTAAAATTTCCATTGAAAAGGTTTTATTAGGGAATGGTTTAGATTTCTTTTCTCACTTCAGACTAAGAAATGCCTGGTTTCCCTGAATAGCCTTTGAATTTTATTTTTTGCTGAGTATACTTTTTAACAATATAGACATTCTAGAATTTATTTTACCTTTGAATTAGATTGGTAATTGTTTTATTCATTTGATCCATAAAACACCACACTAGGCACTATAAATGATAAAATCCAATAACTTTACTTTGAATTAGAACACTTTACTTTGAATTAGAATGTAGTGAGGTGAGTGCTATTGTAGAGAGAAACACATTTTATAGAAATAATGCTGATATAGCACCTAATATTTCCTACTAAGGTGATATGTTACTATAATCTCATCATCAAACAGATTTAAATCACATCAATTGCTCCAAATATACCATTTATAGCAAAGTGATCCAGTTGAAGGATTCCAATTGCACATAGGCTTTGTGTCCCTTTTGTCTCTTTCAGTCAAGAACATTTACTTACTCTTTTCTTAATTTGCATGATGTTGAAGTTTTTGAAGATTATAAGGCCAGTTATTTCACAAAATTTTCCTCTATTTGAGTTTGTCTGCTATTTCTTCAGGATGAGATTCATGTTATGCATTTTTGACAAGAGTAGGGATGTTATGCCTTCTTACTGCATTCTATGAATGGACACACGATGCCAATTTGTCCCATTTCAGGTGAAACTAACAGTAATCATCTAATGAAGATGGGGTCTCCAGGCTTCTGCACTACAAAGACACTCAGTTTTTTCTCTATGTAAATAAGCATTTCATGGAGGGGTACTTTGAAGCTACATAATTATCACATTCCTCATCATATGATGAATTTAATTATTTATTTATGTCAGTGTAGATTCATTGGTCTTTATTTTAATCAATGGTTTATAAGCCACTAATATAATGATTCCTTTTGATGCTCAGGGTATTCCTGTTTTGATCAGTGGGAGATTCTTTGAACTAATTTTTGGGTTCTTTTGATGTGGCTGTATCTTTCTTTAGTCACTTTCTTATATTCTGGAATAACAAGATGTTCAATACTAATTTGTTTTTTTTCTTTTCCCCTAGCCTTGGCATCAACCATTTCTCCAAAGGAGCTCCAATTTCATTTTCAGTAAAAATTGGTATATAAGGCCAAGTTCTGAGGTGTGCTTACTAACTTTCAGCCCTTTCAGTGGACAAAGCTGGTAAGTAAATACATCCTTTTACATTTATTTCTCTACTTATTTACATTTATTATGTTTCAGGGGTCATACCCAAGAACCCAAAAGCAAATGAAATAAAAACAAAGATAAATAGCTGGAACCTAATTAAACTAAACAGTTTTTGCACAGCAAAAGGAAGAGTCAGCAGAGTAAACAGACAACCCACAGAGTGGGAGAAAATCTTCACAATCTGTAAATCTGACAAAGGACTAATATCCAGAATCTACAACAAACTCAAACAAATCAGTAAGTAAAAAAAAAAAAAAAACCCATCAAAAAGTGGGCTAAAGACATGAATAGACAATTCTCAAAAGAAGATATACAAATGGCCAACAAACATATGAAAAATGCTCAACATCACTAATGATCAGGGAGATGCAAATCAAAACCAGAATGCAATACCGCCTTACTCCTGCAAGAATGGATATAATCAAAAAATCAAAAAACAGCAGATGTTGCCTTGGATGTGGTGAACAGGGATTAGTAAAGAAGAAGTCAAACTGTCCCTATTTGCCGATGATATGATCATTTACTTGAAAACCCTAAAGACTCCTCCAGAAAGATATGTATATATATCTTGGGGGAAGAGTGGGAAGGGGACGAGGGATAAAAGACTACAAAAATGGTGCAGGGTATACTGCATGGTTGATGGGCGCACGAAATCTCACAAGTCACCACTAAATAACTTATGTTACCAAATACCACATGTACCCCAATAACTTGTGGAAAAAAACGTTAGTTAGTTACTTCCAAGGTACAATGGGAGTATGAGTATTGGGTAAATGCTCCTGTTGCAAAAGGAAGAAATTGGCCATAATGAAGGGGCTACAGGTCCCATGCAAGTTCAAAACCTATCGGGAGAGTCATGAAATCTTAAAGTTCTAAAATAATTTCCTTTGACTTAATGTCTCATGTCCAGGGCATGCTGATGCAAGGGGTGGGCACCATCCAATCAGCTGCCAGCACCACTAGGACAAACCAGGTGGAAGAAGATGGGATAACCATTCTTGCTGAGTCTTCCGGTTTTCATATTTTTCCTGTGCTGGATGTTTCCTTCCATTCCATCAGACTCCAGATTCTTCAGCCTTTGGATTGTTGGACTTATACCAGTGGTTTGCCAGGGGCTCTCAGGCCTTCAGTCACAGACTGAAGGCTGCACTGTTAGCTCCCCTACTTTTGAGGCTTTTTGGACTTAGATGAGCCACTACTGGCTTCTCTCTTCCCCAGCTTGCAGATGGTCTGTCATGGGACTTGGTCTTGTGAACCTGTGAGCCATTTCTCCCTAACAAACTATCTGTCATATATACATACATCCTATGAGTTCTGTCCCTCTGGAGAACCTGGACTAATACAGGAGAAGAAATAAGAAGAAAGAAACACATGAAAAGTTGTTCACCCTTATTAGCCATTAGTTAAATACAAATTAAATCCACAACGATATGTCAGTACACACCTATAAGAATGGAATAAAGAAAATAGTGATGTCACCGAATGTTGGCAAGAATGTGGAAAAACTGGATCACTTATGCATTACCAGTGGGAATGTAAAATAGTACAGTCACTCAGAAAACCAAAATGGCAGTTTCTTAAAAAAACTACACATATTAACTATCATACAACCCAGAAGTTTTCTGGGAATTTTCCCCAGAAAAATTAAAATTTATATTCACACAAAAATCTGTAACAAATGTTTACAGCAGCTTTATTCACAATAATCAAAAACTGGAAATAATTGGAGTGACCTCCAAGGAGTGATTGACTAAATGAACTAGTGCACCCATACATGGAATACTACTCAGCAATAGTAAGAAAAAAACCTCTAATAATACACATAGTATACTGGAGGAATCTTTGGATAATTTTGCAGAGTAAGGAAAGCCAATTCCAAAAGGAGCAGACTGTATAATTTCATTTATATAACAATCTTGAAATGACAAAACTATAGAAATGGAAAACAGATTCGTAGTTGTCAGGTATTAGGAATAGTGAGAGTAGAGTTGGGAGTGTGAGAGGAAAGTGAATATGGGGAAAACTAAAGTACATTAAATCTGTCTATATTACTTCTGTAAAATCAGATATATGGGATTCTACAATCAATTGAAAATATAGGAAGAGATCCAAGGACACAAAATGGAAGCCAGCCTTCAAATGCAGCTTCTCACTTACATATTCAGTCTAATTTTGAGCTGCGATTTTTTAATCCTAAGAGACCAGAGCTCTTGTTCTCTGAATACCAACCCATATGTTTCTGTGGGCAAGTCTTGTGTGTACTCCCTGCCATGTCTCCGTTCCAAACACACTTCTACAGTGATAACATGAAATATATAATAGATGATGTTCTCTTCTCAATCTCTGCTGCCTCTGAAATAGCTGACCTTAGTAACATCATGAATAAATTGCTGAAGGACAAAAATGAGTTCCACAAACATGTGGAGTTTGATTTCAAACTGGAGGGCCAGTTTCTGCTAATTTCCTTGGTCAAACACATGGACCTTGAGATCATCTCATCATAAGAGGTTGTGGAACTAGAATGTGGAGAAGTACACTGTCCACCAGCCAGAGCAATGCATATTCTATGATGACTGCATCAGTTCAATTAAAGGGGCAGAGGAATGTACCTTGACTGGTTCTTATGATGAGACTTCTGGGTTCTGATGCTTGGAAGAAAAGTTCGTAATGATGATTGTGAAATATACAGATGCTGTGAAAAATGTGGCCTGGGTGAAAAAAGACAGTTTGTCTTGTTTTTACTGAATTCTTCCATTGATCAGAGTACTGTCTTACCGGAGTAGAATTTAATGAGAAACAGGGAAAGCCCTACACTGCTGCAGAGATCATACTGGAAGTGTAGATTATATAGCTGTTGATAGCTCAGAAACTATATTTTGCAGTGGCTGATGAGATAAAATGTTAAATATCTACTCTACAGTCTCTATAGATAAAGAAGATGAAATGGGGGAATCCACAAATTGAGAAAGAAACAGAAAACAGAGCAATTGGAACTAACGAGGACTCCCATGCTGACCCTCTCTGACCACAAGGAAGCAATTTCCTTGGTTCTGTGGTCAAATGTTGAAGGAACCTGCAGTGCATCTTGGGACCACACAATTAGAGTGTGGCATGTTGAGTTCAGCAGTCTTAACTCAGCTTTGTCAGGAAATAAAGTATTGTATTTTCTATTTTCTACTCTGTAAATGTTTAGCATCTGGAAGCACAGACATGCATATAAGACTGGGATCCCCAAACCAAAGATAGTTTTTTGCTGTCTTTTTCCCAACTTCACATACAGGCCGGGTGACATCAGTAAAATGGTCTTCTATTCATGAACAGCAGCTGATTTCATTATATTTAGGTGACACTGTCAAGCTGCAGAATACAAGAAGTTTTAAGGCTCCATTCTGTGATCTAGCTGCTCATGAAGACAAAATTCTGAGTGTAGACTGGACAAACACAGGGATACTTCTCAATGGAAGATCAGACAATGAATTATATTCCTACATATATTCACCTACCACTTCCCATGTGGGGCATGAAAGTGAACGATAATTTCATTATAGATTCTTTCTATAAATATTGGTAAAGAATCGTGAAATTACATTGATGCAGATGCAGAAAGCAGCCTTTTAGATTAAAGTTTATATAATAGTTTCATCCTTTATAATAGTTAACATACCACTTTTTTATTTTATAATGGAATAGTTGGTGTTTAGAAAATATAAAATGTGGCCTGCATTTACTACCCTATATAAATTCTTGAAGATAAACTTGGAGTTTTTAATTTCTTTTTAAAAGTGTTAATTTGTATTAAGATTTTCTTTTGAAGTTCTATAAAAGAGTACATTACAAATACAAAAATAAAAACATAAACCTTAATTTTTAAAGAAAGTGTAGTGGTAAAGTTGTAGCACCTGTCTCCAGGTCCCACATTCTTAACATTGCACTACATAGCTGTCTGCAATGTTTTGTCCTGGCTGTTTTCAACAATTTTTTTTTAAACATAGTATTTTGTTTTGCTTTGTTTTTTATTATCTGATACTATGCTGATATTGCCTAGCATTTGTTTTTTTCTAGACAGCACTATAGCTGTCTGCAATGTTTTGTCCTGGCTGTTTCCAACAGTTTTTTTTTTTTAACATAGTATTTTGTTTTGCTTTGTTTTTTTATTATCTGATACTATGCTGATATCATCTAGCATTTGTTTTTTTCTAGATGTCCCTTGAAGTTAATTCCAGTACCAGACAACTACATAAAACTTCATGATTTAATGTCTATGTGCTCTGGGAATGTTGCGGACAAAAGGGTTTCATTCCAAAGAGTTTATGGATTTTAAATAGGGAAAAGATAAGGAAGTAGCTCCTGTGTGAGCCCATGTGAGACTGTTTATGATGGCCCTCTTTCTTCAGACTCATTCATGCCAATGCTACTTCCAAAAGGGAAAATACTCTGGAAGATTGCTTGGCCTTCTAACTCAATTTGTCAAAAATATTCTCAGCATTAAAAAAAAATCCATGATAAATTTTACTAGTTTCATTTGAAAAGAATGGGAAGTTAGAAAGAAACATATGGATTCTTTCCTTTCCCAAATCAAGAGAATTGGTTGGGTAATATGTCCTTTATTTTGTGAATTTTGTAATGTGCCCATCCCAGATGGCAGGAAGGAGCAGATGGCCTTTTTCGCCTTCGTTGATTTTACTGGGCAGGGGAAACTCTCAAATTACCAAAGAGATGAGGGGAAAGTTTGAGAAAAATTAGAGTCAGAAAATGCAAAACCAGGATGTATTAGGATTATCCAGAGAAACAGAACCAATAAAATGTATGTTCATATAGAAATATATTTATTCATTCTAAATAATTGGCTTACCCAATTCTAGAGGCAGGCAAGTCCAAAATCTACAAGGTGTGTTGTGGGAAGTCAGGGACCCCAAAGAGAGGGACCGACTGGAGCCAAGACAGAAGAACATAAACTGGAAGATGTCATGGATATTTATCAGTTCCCCAAGTTAATACTTTTATAATTTCTTATGCCTGTCTTTACTGCAACCTCTGAACATAAATTGTGAAGATTTCATGGACATTTATCACTTCCCCATCAATACTCTTATAATTTCTTATGCCTGTCTTTACTTTAATCTCTTAATCCTGTTATCTTCATA
This sequence comes from Homo sapiens, assembly GCF_000001405.40. NCBI lineage: Eukaryota > Metazoa > Chordata > Mammalia > Primates > Hominidae > Homo > Homo sapiens. The sequence continues at coordinate 84,447,004 of NC_000012.12, read as the reverse complement.
AGCTGAGACTATATGTCACCTCAGGACCACTATTGTACAAATGGATTGTAAAACATATGTGTTTGACCACTATGAAATCAGTGCACCCTGAAAAAGAACAGAATAACAGCGATTTTCAGGGGAGAAGGGAAGATAACCATGAGGTCTGACTGCCTGTGGGGTTGGGCAGAGTAGAGTCATATTTTTCTTCTCATAGAAAGCCTATAGATGTATGTGTGAGTAGAAAAAATATCACTGAATTCTTTTCCCAGCAAGGAATAACCCTGGGGAAGGAATGCATTCCTGGAGGTAGGTCTACTGACGGCCGCTCTGGAGTGTCTGTCTTATGCGGTTGAGATAAGGACTGAAATACACCCTGGTCTCCTGCAGTACCCTCAGGCTTATCAGGATTGGGAAATTCCAGCCTGGTAAATTTTAGTCAGACTGGTTCTCTGCTCTTGAACCCTGTTTGCTGTTACAATGTTTATCAAGACAATGCATGCACAGCAGGACATAGACCCTCATCAGTAATTCTAATTTTGCCTTGCCTTATGATCTTTATTGCCCTTTGAAGCATATGATCCTTGAGACCTACTCCCTGTTTGTACACCCCCTCCCCTTTTAAAATCCCTAATAAAAACTTGCTGGTTTTGTGGCTCGGGATTGCCATCACAGTCCTACCAATATGTGATGACACCCCCAGAGGCTCAGCTGTAAAATTTCTCTCTTTGTACTCTTTCTCTTTATTTCTCAGACTGGCCGGCACTTAGGGAAAATAGAAAGAACCTACTTTGAGATATTGGGGGCTGGTTTCCCCGATAAAGGTGGCCAGCAGGCAAAGACACAGGAAAGAGCTGAGGTTGCAGTTCAAGTCTTAAGACAGTTTATTGCAGAAATCAGGAAGAGCAGATGAAGTCTGACGACAGTCTGCTGGAAAATTTCCTCCTGCTGGGGTTTGGGGTGGTGATGGAATAGGATTTATCAAGCCTTTTTTTCTATTAAGCTTTCAACTAATTAGATGAAACTAACTCACATTATGTAAGGCACTCTGGTTTACTCAAAGTCCAATAATTTAAATGTAAATCCCATCCAAAAGCACCCTCACTTAAATATCGAGAATAAAGTTGGACCAAATATCTGTAATGTGGCCCAGCCAAGTTGACACATAAAATTAAGCATCACACAGAGAAATTACTTTAGGTTAGAGAAAAGAGCTAAATAATGAGAACACATGGGCACATAGAGGGAAAAACACACGAGTCTATCAGAGGGTGGAAGGTGGGAGAAGGGAGAGGATCAGAAAAAATAACTAATGGATACTAGGCTTAATACCTGGTGATGAAACAATCTGTATAACAAACCCCCACATTTACCTATGTAACAAACCTGCACATCCTGCTTATGAACTTAAAATAAAAGCTAAAAACGGGAAGGAAAACTGCAGAAAATTCTACTTTACTTAGAATAGTAAATCCTTAGACTGAAGGATTAAGATGAAAAGAGATTGCTAGGAATGCACAATGTCTTGTTTGTAGAAGATGCACAGCAGTGAACAAGAAAGATGCTTTAGGTTCTAGGACAGAAAATTATCCTCATTTTATCCACCAGGTTTAATTTTAAGCAGCAACATTATTAGCAAACCTATAAAGCTCTTACTGTGAACCAAACACTCACCTAGATATTTTACACATATTAACTGATTGAATAATTACAATAACTTGAGTAGCAGAATGTATTATCCCGTTGTTACAGATGAACTATCTGTAGCATGGAGAAGTTACATAAATTGCCCAAGGTCATAAACTTAATATATCTCAGACCTGGATTTGAACCTAGGACACCTAATGTTGGACCTTGTGTTCTTAACCACTATCTTCTAACACCCTTTATTATTGTAGCTGAGATTTTTCACTTGGCTTTGAATTCACTGCTGTAATATTGACAGTGCTAACACAGCATGCCCTAGTTTGCTGGAGGAGAACTTGTGGGGTAAAGTCAGAACCACCATGCCTGATCCTGTTTTCCAATTTGCCAGATCAGGACAATTACTGCTTGGTGTTATTAGGAATTAAAGATAAAGTAACCATCACAGTGCTTTGTTCGCAATAGAACACAACACTTTATTTCCTGTCTCTTCTTCCTGCCTTCCTTCCTGGTAACAATTTATTCCTCCTGCCTAATGTCTCTATAGATGTTAAGTGTTCTGAGAAAGGTGTGTATACTATATAAGTCAGAATTTCAAATCAAAGAGCTAGAGAACATTATGACCAGGGAATACCTGACATAGGAGTTATACATTGTTGAATGAATATGACTCACGTTAAGAGAGAATTAAAAACATGAATGGTATAAGTAGAAAAAACAAACTCAGCTTCTCCCATTATACTCTCACAACACGCTTCCGACACCATATGTGTGGGGATTTTTTCCACCAGCAAGCGAGCAATCAATTTTGTAGCGGAGACCAACCAGGTGTCTTCTACTCCAGTGCAATTCTGAGACTCTCTAACCTGAGATAGCATCACATCCCACAGGTTGAGGACTCAGAACCACAAGACAGCCCACATGTCAGACACCAGTCACAAATCCAGGCCTCCAGAACTTCAGACCAACTGGCTCAGCTTCAAGTTTGGTTTCCACAACCTCTTCATCAGGTTCCATTAATTTGCTATAGTAGCTCACAAAAAGGGAAGCAAAGAAATAACGTAGGGTGAGATCTGGAAGGATCCTGAGTGCAGGAGCTTCAGTTCCCATGGAGTTGGGGTGCACCCTCCCAACAAGTACATGAATTCCTCTTCACCTTCCTGTAAGCCTCCATCAGTTCAGCTGTCCAGAAGCTCACTGTAACCTCTCCTCTTGGGCCTTTTTTTGAGACTTCATTGTATAGGCATGATTGAAGCATGGATAATGATGTAGAAATGTGATTGGTCAAAAAGGGTGTGATCTAATACTAGTAGACTGAGTGGGAAAACCCAGCGAGGTCTGCCTGTTCAGATTCTTCTTGGCATCTCTGTACAACATTCTTTCCTCCTGAGTATGGGGCAGAACCTCTTCTGAAATCAGTCTGACTTACAATCAGGCAAGGTGGGTCAGAGAATATCTTGATGGCCAGCTCCAAGACATAAAGGCAAGGGAAGAATATATTTTAAGTTTCTATGGAAGGCCTTGGGTAGAAAAAGGAGCAGGTGAAAGGACGGTAGGAGAAGGTCAGAGAGATTCTATTTTCTGAGTCTTGCTTCTAAGGCCTAAAGTACCCCAACATTATAACCAGAGACTTCCACCTTTATCACTAAGAATCTGTTTCAAAGTTGTTTCAGGAATCAAAGACAAAAGATGCTTTCACAAAAGATATCACTTTAGTCACTTAGTAAATATCAAGGGCTATGGGAGCTATGAGACTGAAACCATGGAAGAAAACCAATACGCACAAATAATATCACATGGTATAAAATGAAGAAAAACATTATTTTTTTTAACCTGCAGAATCCTTAGCTCTTCCTTAAACTAAGGAATAATGTGATACTACAGGCTTTTGCTTATGGTTAAGTTAACATAAAATTTGCTTTGTAAGCACAACAAAGGATTAACCCAAAAGGTTAAACCTGATTATGTCAATATATTTATTTTACATTTTAGAGATTGACCCTAATTATGTCATATTTATTTTACATTTCAAATATTTTTTTAAATTTTATTACAGTTAAGCAGATATATAGGCTTATATATATACATGCACTATGTTTTGATAGATATGTAGGTAGGTACATAGATAGATAATTATCTCTAGATTAGTACCAAACAGTGGAATTTTTAATCCTTATCTGTTTGAAAGCAGCTTCTAAAAAAAAATTAGGCAAGACTGGAGTCATTTTCACCTAAAAATGCTTCTCAATTTTTTTCCTGACTGTGATTTTTTTATTCTGAATCTAAAGCCAAGAAGATAATTTACTTTTAATAAGAATGCTGCTTATTTCAACTAGATTTTTCATAGTACTTAGCATAACTGTATATAATCAATGATTTATAAAATTTTCATTTCTTTTTCATAGATGGATTTTTACCTTTGATTATATTAATAAGATAACAACTGAAATCTAAGATAACATCAGTGAAATTATCCTATTTAAAACAAATTACTTTTCTTTACTCTGTTATTTGGAACCAGCCTTTCCTTCTGTTTGGTTTAATTTGAAGTTGATTTATAGATAAATTTCCTTAAAATTTCTGTCGTATGGATACAAAATCTCTTATTTCATCAATGAGTTAGGATCATCACAGTAGATTTCTGGAAAATAGTTATGCATATATGCCTAAATTACCCTACTGTCTACAGTTTCTCTTACTGGCTTTTAATTCTTTATGCCTTTAACCCCTGTATATGTCTATCACAGTTAAGGCAGACATTCCACAACAATTTATGTTTCTTCTCAGTTAAAGGGAGATATTTGTTTGGTTTGGATTTTTGTTGTTGTTACAAGGAACAAAAACTTACTCAAATAAGCTCAAGCTAGTGTTTTTGTAATATGTCACTCTGGTCCCCACCCATAGACGGATCAAGATATATCCAGGCCTCCCATAGAGTGCAAGTGGGAATTTGAAAGCCATTAGGAATGGATATTTCTATTTATCATGGGCCAGAAGTTCTTTCAGTCATTAGATCTCTGTTCCTTTCTGTGTGCCTAAATTATTTTGTTTTTTTAATTTACAGCCGAATCTGAAAATTTTATGTTTTTTACCTCAAGTGTCAGTGGAAACAGACTTAGTCTCATGGCTTCCAAATTCTAAATTTCTAAAAGGTAAATCTAATTGCCCTAACTCATATTTTGATTAGAGCTTCAAAAGTCATAGGAAATGATGCAGCCTACATCTTCTTCATACTTAACATCAAAAGAGTTATGTCCTATATATTTTAAATATACATCAATTATATCTGTTCCTCTCTTGTCATGATTATGGGTGTTTCCCTATTTTAGAACCCCATTGCCTCTAGCTCAACTATTACGGTGCCTTCTACCTGATGCCATTGCCACAACTTTTAACTGATTTCATTGCATTTTCCAGGACACCATGAGTGTGATTTTTGTAACTTTTATGATTAAGGACTATCTGCCTGTGTAGGATATTGATGAGAATAATGGAGAATAGTAAGGAAGAATGAAAAATCATGGACTTTGGAATCAGGTAGACCAGATTTGCAATCATGGCTCTTTCATGAATTATTTGTCACTATGAAATTTCCTTAACTTTAAGAAGTTTAGATTCTTTATCTGAAAAATTTGTGGATTTTTGCAGTTAAAATAGAACGTAAAATAGAATCATTCAAGAATAGGACAAGAAACCTGACAAGATGGAATGTTTTTTCATGACTACCTGAGAACCCAGAAACTAGTCTGATTCTTGGTGTAATAACTAAGAACTATCCTATGTCAGCACACTCTGAATGATTTCAAAATGTGTCCTTCAGTAATTTTATAGCTGATATTTCACATAATTATTATTTTACAATATATTCTTCTCACAGTATTATTTGGACATGCAAATGAGACCTAATTACTAAATAGGACAAAACTATTATAGATATTTATACTAAAACACTATATTTATGGGTGCTGGAATGCTACTGGGGCTAACTTCCATATCTGCTTATCATTTTCCAAAAAAAATACTTTGAACCTAGAATGAAAATAGAGCTACATTCCGGGTTTCTCCAGTACGGATATGCTTTGTGCTATTTGTAGCATCTGAACAGTAATATGCTTGTGGTTAGAGAAAATTGTAGTGGCTGTCACCAGTGGGAAAGGTGGTATAGAGGAAATTAACTTGAGGCAAGGAAATAATAACAGCCTGAAACATGGATTTTCATTTTTATTTAGACAGTAATTTTCCCAGTCAATAATAGCATTCATGGTGCCATTTATTTGAGATTTGGTTTCAACAAAGTTCCCAATTACAGATGTTATTAATTTCCCTCAGAAGCCACAGACTACCACATATTGCATAATGTTTGATTTATCACTTTCAGAATATCACACAAAATTTTATTTTCAGTGTGGAAGAAGCAAAATAGAAAATCTTAAAAAATGATTGCTGTGAAAACTGGGTATTCTTTAATGCAAAACTTTGGTTTTAAGATCAAAATTAAATTTTATAGGAACCCAAACCTAAAAACACAAAGCTGAAAAACAAATTATATTTAGCCATTTAAGCTCCCATGTCTTGTGCCCTACATATTACTTGCCCAATTTATATTATCAATTTCAAGATATAACATTTAGCAATTAATAGCTGAGAAAGAGTAAGGGTACTCAAAGTTTGAAATAAGGAAACCAAAAATGTATACAGTAGAAATGTTTAGAATGATTTCTTAAAACTTCATTTTTTTAATAGCAAATGTTTACTTATATGTCCATAAGAACCCTATCCCCATGTTTTTCAGAAAAGCCAGGGTCTCTGTCATTCCTCAATTCCAAAGTCACATGTCTGTGTGCTACCATCTCCATTCAACTGTGTCTAGCTGTCCCTGGACAAGGTTTATGTCTAGACTAGACAATTAAGCAGCTAGCACATTCGCATAATGCAAATTGGCCTTCTAGCCCTTGGGTGAAACCAAACCAATATGACCCAAACTGATATGACTGCTATCACCCAAGGAATGGAAAGATAGTGAAAAAATAGCCTCAGGTAATCTGCATTACACAATTGGAATTCCGGAACGATGGACTGAATCTATGAAAAGAGAAATTCCTCCTGTCCTTGAAGTTCGTTCTGTATAATACAGTGGAAATATATAATGTCCTCATATTAAAAGGGAGATATCACTTAAGAGTTTTTCTACGTAAAGTTGGAGTGACTATATATCCCCCTAAATCAGGCTTCAAATGAAAGAAAATGTCCAGTGGAAAGAGAAGTTGCTTAGCACAAATCCATCAAAGTGAGCTCAAAATCCAGAAGGGAAAGGGATTTTTAAATACTATAAATGTTGTAGAAAGAGTTGTCAGACAACTCTTAGGAAATATTAGGAAGTCTTTTTTTGTCTTGGGACTCTTGGGAAGTCTTGGGAAGTATTGGGATACCTTTTTGCCATAATTGGAAATGTATAAACTGTGAAAAAGGATTGGTTGTGACAGAAGAGTTCAGCGAGAAAAAAATATATATAAAATGGAAATTATAGCAGCAAAAAAGACTGTGAGAAAATCTTACAACACCACCAAAAGAAGGATTCAGGATAATTTCTCCTGGTCTGGGTTTACTTAAACTCTACAGTGAGTGAGCAATTGAGCAAGCAAGAATGGCAGCAGATATACAAAAGAAAATTTAAATTTTAAAAGTTCCATAATAGGTAAGTGGAAGAGTTAAGAACGCCTAGGGAATTAGAGAGATCTAGTTAGTGACTAGCATCTTTTGAGCTGTATAACTTAGTCTATGAAGAACTAAAATATTTCACTTGCACTGTTGAAGTTAACCACCCAGAGAGTATAATCTTTCTGGGATTATGATTTGTCTGAATAATAAACTATTGAAAGAGGTGCAAAAGTAAAATATATAATATTGTGTTACTTCCTCCTCTACTTCTCCTATGATTTTACTGGGTCCTTATAATTGGTTATAATTCACGTTTTTAGTGCATCAACTTGGTCTGAATATATAGCTTCTCAGGTTGGCAGTAATGTTGAGTATTTAGACTGGATGGTAAGCCATGCGACTATTCCCTGTTTCACAGAAATTTTAGATGCTACATACATAAGGGAAAATGTGATTCACATTAATATAGACTATTCCATGCCTAATTTTCAAGTTCATAGCCAAATGACACTGTTAGTAAACACTTTGTTTTCTTCTGTTTAACCAAGTTGTCTTCCATTTATTAATTATACAAATGTTACTTTTGAAGTATTATAGATTTTCAAGTCTGCTTTTTGAACTCTGGGTTTCTTAAAGAAAATAAATATGTCTGCCTATTTTCCTTTTTAAGAGTGTGAAAAATAATATATATATACACACAACAGTGCATAAAATTGTATAATGCAGCATATCATATAACTGAAATCAATGCCATGTAATCACCGTCTAGGTTGGAAAGAAAATTGTCACCTCTCCAGAAGTCCCTCATAATTTCTTGTCTAAACACATATCCTCTCTCAGGAATAACCACCCTTCTAAGTTTAATGGCAATTGGCTTTTACTTTTCTTTGTATTTTTACCACCAATATGTATGTCTGAAAGATGTGCAAATAACACATATGATGGCTTTGATGGTAATTACTTTTTTGTTTTTATTCTAGTTTTCCTGCCTATTTGTATGTTTCTGTAACAGTGTTGTTTATTTCTTTAATCAGAGACACGGTCTCACTCTATCACTCAGGCTGGAGTGCAGTGGTGCTATCATAGTTCTCTGCAGCCTCAAAATCCTGTGCTCAAGGCATATTCCCACCTCAGCCTCCTGAGTAGCTGGGATTACAAGTATGAGCCAGTGCTCCCAGCTATTAATGTATCTTTGACCTTTTTATAAATGTACTCGCATTGCATATTTTATTTTGTGTTAGCATCACATGCAATGGTACAAGTTTCTAGGCAATTTCATTCAATAAAAAGAAAATGTTGCAGAAAAGAACACGTATCTAGAGTAGCTAGTGCCTCTAGGATTTAAGGAGAAGATAGAAAAATGAAAGAAGATCAGCACTTAAAAATAATTGAGTAAAGTTTCTCTGAGTTCAAGAGACTAAATCTAAGACCAAAAGAGCTTGGAAAATTCAGCATGAATAAATAATAAAGAAACAAAACAAATAAACTCCCCCCAAACAAAACAAAACAAGAACTCTAGCATATCCTGGTCAAATCAGTGAAGCATAACCATAAAGAGAAAAAAAAAAAATCTTATGTGTTTTCAGGCACAACAAATAACTATTAGTACTTATAAAGTATAAAATATTAGTCTGGCATTACAAACTTGATGATTATTAACTAATATTCACAGATGATGGAGAGGATATGGCCATAACCAAATTATGCAATATCCTTCCAAGGTATCTATACTGAAGGGGAAAGAAAAATCTATGCAAATAAACAAAATTTTAGAGACATCAAGCAGGCACTACACCTGAGGAAAACACTTGAAAAATAATTTCAAGAAAAGTCAGTCTTCAGTGGAATAAAAAAGTAGCAATAAAGACTGTAACAGATCTCCTGCAACAAAGCTTAAACACAAGCCTCAAAGAAGTCAAGCTTATTCACAGATAATTTACCTCTCAGTCATAAGAAAAATCATACAAGATCCAATATAAACGAAAATTTACTAAAATTGAACAAAATAGAAAATGTAATCTATGACTTAGGATGAAGTTAACAGCAATTTAGAAATGGTACAGGAATGACCAGTGACTTTGATGATATGGCAATATAAACTATCAAAACTGAAGCACAGAGAAAGAAAATGCTGAAAAATATTATATGGGAGATTCAATGAGCTGTGGAGCAATATCAAGTACTCTAAGAAATGTATTTGGAGACCCAGAAGGAGGGTTACAAATAAATATTTGAAAAAATAGTTTCTGGAGCGACTTCTGTCTGTTGTCCTTTAAAACTTCACGTTCTACCATGTGAATGATAATGTCTTACTTTTTACTTTCAGGTATACTAACTTTAGGGTGGGGCTTCAGCTTTACTAACTTGGACAAGGGGAATCTTGTCATGTTTTCACAGTCAACTTGGACTGCTGGCCACAGGCTGAGAGCCTTTTTTTAGCAAAGTTATTACCTTATCTTTATGCTTTTGGAGAGGTTGCAATTATACCAATTGTATCTCTGTGTTTAGAACATTATTGAACACTTGAAGAAGTAGACTATATGGATATCTGGAATTTTTCTATATAAATTACATGTTATTCATAATAATATGGTTTTCATAAGTACATGGTCTATGCCCCAAAGTGCTATGGCCAGTGTTTATCAAAATATTTTGCAAATGTTTATTAAGGTTCATCTATTTCTAGCCTGGAAGATATTCAGTGCCTTCTAGTTTACTTCTTACAATGGATCAGTTACCTTATTAGGACCAGTTACTTGCAGTGTCTCTATTTATGGTATCTGAGTTTAGATAGGAATGATGAAAATGTGGCAGGATTAAAACATCTGTGAAAGTTTTTCAAACAGAAGAAGCATAAAGCAAATGCAAATGTCACTATACGTGATTAAATCTGGGGAATGGTCACAGAATTAAAAAAGAAGGCAAATTGGGTTTGAGCATAGGGCATAGGGAGGACAACAGAAGAAGAAGAAGTTGAGAAGAAAGCAATAGCCAAATCATCTAGTGCTTTGTAGGGTAGTGAAATTGTTAATTTTAGGTGTCAGCTGACTGGATTAAAGAATGACCAGTTTCCTGAGAAAGCATTATTTTTTGGTGTGCCTGGGAGGGTGTTTCTAGAAGAGATTAGCATTTGAAACAGTGGACTGAATAAGGAAGATCTGCGCTCACTCAGTGAGGACTGGCACCATCTGAAGTTGCACATAGAACAAAAAGGCAGAGAAAAGGTGAATTAACTCTCTCTGTTTCCCTCTCTCTTCTGGAGTTGGGACATCCTTCTTCACTTGCTCTTGGACATCAGAAGTAGAAGTTCTCTGGCCTTTGGACTTCAAGACCTGCACAAGCAGGCGCCCAGTTTCTCAGGCTATCAGACTCAGATTGAGAATAATACCATCAGCTTCTCTGGCTCTGAGGACTTAGACTTGCACTGGACTATGATATTGGCTTCCCTGGTTCTCCAGCTTGCAGAAGGCCTAAGACTTATCAGCCTCCACAACTGTGTGAGTCTACCCCTGAGATAAATCTATTCTCATATGTCTATGTCTATGTCCATGTCTATGTCTGTGTCAAAGTCTATGCCTATATCTATATCCTTTTGGTTTGTTTATCTGAAGAACCCTGATGAGAGGAGGGATAGCATAAACCTCTTTAATTTATTAAATTTGTTTGGTGGGACTTTTGCCTCTGATTCGGATGGAATAGCTTACTTAGCCAAGGCTCCCACTGAGAGGTGAAAAAGAAGGCCAGATTTAGAAACAAAAAAAGACAAAAGAAACCAAATAATCCCCAAACAGATAGACAACTTTAAAGGCAATGGGGAAATAATGAAGTAAACAGGATTAGGGAAAACTGGCTGTCATTTCACAGCTGCGCTGTCACTGAGCATGGATGTGATTAGAAACTGGGCAAAGGGCTGATAATGAGGATTATCACAGGGAGAGGGCCAAGGGCTGCTGCCAGAAAATAAAGAATGCCTAGACATTAACTCTCAATAATAAAATGAAATTCAACAATAAAAATGGCACAATTTTAAATGGACAATTCACTAGAAATGATCTCTGAATGATAAAGTACGTGAAAAAGTTTTCACCATTATTATTCACCCAAAAAATACAAATCCACTTTGGGAGGCCGAGGCAGGTGGATCACCTGAGGTCAGAAGTTTGAAACCAGCCTGGCCTATGTGGTGAAACCTCATGTCTATTAAAAATACAAAAATTAGCCGGGTGTGGTGGCAGGTGCCTGTAATCCCAGCTACTTGGGAGGCTGAGGCAGGAGAATCACTTGAACCCGTGAGGCAGAGGTTGCAGTAAGCCGAGATCGCACTGTTGAATTTGAGCCTGGGCAACAGGAATGAAACTCCATCTCAAAATAATAATAATAATAATAATAATAATAATAATAATAATAATACAAAACAAATCTATGACAAAGTCAGAAAAGAAAAAATGATGGGGAGATTGTGTAGTAAATGGAACTCATATTATTGGCAGTATAAAATGTTACAACCACTTTAGAAAAATCTCTGTAAGTTTCTTATAAAATTAAAGCAATACTACCCTATGATCCTACCATTTCAATCTCAAGTATTTACCCAAGAAAAATGAAAACATGTGTTCACAAAATAATTGTCAAGAATGTTCATAGCAGCTTTACTCATAATAGTTTCAGATTGGAAACATTTCATGTCTATCAGTAGAAGAATGAATAAATATATGGTGGTACATTAATAAAATGGAACCACCACATAGAAATAACAAACTACTGATACATGCAACACCATGGGTTAATCTCTATAAACTTATGCTGAATGAAAGAATCCTTAATCAAAAGGATAATATTGTTTGATTCAATTTTTGTGACCTTATAAAACAGATAAATCTTATCTTTAGTGGAAAAAATTAAGAATTGCCATTACTTCCATGCATATGGGTCATGGGTTAATTGTAAAGGCATTAGGAAATGGTGATGGTTAGTTTTATGTGTCAACTTGACTAGGCTAAAAGATGCCGGGATAGAATAGGGATAGCTGGCAAAACATTGTTTCTGGGTGTGTCTGTGAGGGTATTTCTGGAAGAGATTAGCATTTGAATTGGTACATTGAGTAAAGAAGATTGCCTTCACCAATGTGGGCAGACATCCTCCAAACCACAGAGGTTCCAAATATAACAAAAAGGCAGAGGAAAGACTAATTTATTCATTTATTTTTTTTTTCTGAGACATCCAGCTTTTTCTGCTCTCCAACATCATAACCCCTGCTGAAGGTTCTTGGGCCTTTAGAGTTTAGGACTTACAACGAAAGATCCCTACTTCTCAGGCCTTTGGATTCAGATTTAATTACACCATTGGCTTTCCTGGTTCTCCAGCATAGAGAGACGAGATGGCAGGTCTTGAGATTTCTTCGCTTCTATAACCACATGAGCCAATGCTCATAATAAATATCAGTTTCTCTCTCTTTCTTGCTCTCTCTCTTTAATTTATAACAGCTCCCATTGGTTCTGTTTCTTTAGAGAACCCTGAGTAATAAAAAAATCTTCTGGGGTGATGTTAATATTCTACATCTAAGAAGTTTGTAAAATATATCACTTGAGACTGTTTCTCCCAAGCTTTTATAATTATAGGAATAGCTTGACTTATTTATTAAAAATACAGATTCCCATTTCTTTTTTTTCAGAAGACCCTTACTTAATAATTCTGGATTGCCATTCATCTTTTTATGACTCTAATGAAAAATTATTTTAATTTGAAAAATATTGAAAATTCTGCTTTAAGAAATACACAATACTTGCCTCCATGCTGTAAGCCTGGAAATTCTGTGGCCTCTACCAATTTTTGCCACAGGAATATATTTTGACCATTTTATTTACTTTATCACTAATATTCAAAGTAATTTTTCACAATAACGTTCATGTTTTTAAAATATGTGGCTTTTCATGGTCTTCTTTTCAAAGTACTAGTCCCTAACTATAGAAAATTATAGTGTTAGGGAACAAATAATAAAGTATGATTTTTAGAAATATTTTGAAAATAGTCAAGAAGATTTATTTTCAAACATTACTCTGCAATTACCAATACATTTTGATGTTATAAATTCCAGAATTTGTTAACAGCCACTTAATCATGTAGCCTTAATGCTTCTAAACATTTTTCCTTAACAGTAAAAAGTCAAAAATTAGTATTTCCCTATTAGTTAAGCATTGAATGATCAGTTCTTTAAAAGGACCATTTTCTAAACTATAAATGAAATTTGAGTATCAGTTAGACTGTTCTGGATTTTATTTTTAATTTATAACTTTTGAGCATCATGTGCGAGTGTTTAACAGAAAACATTTAGAATATAAACACTGTAAACAGGCCATTGCTTAATAAGGTAGATTTTCTGACAAGCTTGAAAATAAAGATTTTATTCTATTTCTCTTCCAAAAGTTTACCATTCTGTATTTGTGTGTGTGTGTGTGTGTTTGTACGTTCTGATGCAGACACACATGCACTAACAAAACTGATATTGTATGGATATTAATTGATTCTTTCTAGAGTTTGAATATAGTTGACATCTGCTTATTTAAGAAAGAAAGGGGGAGAGAAGGGAATCACTTGGTTAAATTTGTCTGCACTGTAATGTATATGGTCTTCTGTTTTTCACCTTCACATTCAGGATTGCTCCAACATGTTTTGATTGAACTTGCCTCAACCTCAAGACTCCAAGTGCCCTGTGACTTTTCATTCAGACACATGAAAGCTAGGAGTTGTCAGGATCACCTAGATATATGCATAGCTCTCACAAGCAACATTAAATGTTCAGGTGGGAGCAGGGGTTGGCTTATTTAATATTTTCCATCAAATATACATAAAAATAACCATTGTGGATGAAAGGCAGAATCAACCAGGCTATTACTGTAACTAGAGGGAATTTAGTGTCGCTATTAGAAAAAAAGATAAATTTTATAAATACTGATATATTACAACAACCACGACAAACAGCGTTTCTGGAGCAAATGGAATGTTTCCTACATGTTTAGTTTCTGCTGTTCTGGTCTTTATAAGCATCTCATTCTTACACTGACATAATATATTTTATTCTATTTGGCTAATAAAATGTTACTAGCAAAAAGGCAAAACTTTCAATAAAACTACCTTTTTGTCATAAAAAATATCAAATAGCCAGTTGGATGATTTTGTTGTAGATTTTTATACCAATTATTCCATTCTCAAAAGCAGGAATTTTGCAGAAGTTCAGATACACTTGTTTTACTTATTGTAATAGTTGAAAAGCGTTTATTAATGAAGGGAAGATTAAAAAGAAAATTATTCCTTCTCATTTTTAATTTGTTTTTCTTTGACCAATGAATAAGTCTGTTGGTCTTCTACATACTTCATAGTTTACATAATTATATTTTCACAAAATTAGAATCACCCACATTCCTTTTGAAGACAGTTGTATGCAACAAAATAAGAACTAATTTTGAAGTAAAACAAATCTACTTTAAGAAAATTTATAAAAATATCAGTTCTCAATCTCTCAATACCTGATTACTTCTGTGTGAAACAGTTGTAAACATGAAAGATAAGAACAAGAAAGAAAGAAGTTGAACACTTCTCACCAATGCACACTGGTATCGGCCACATTAATCTCTCTCTCTCTCTCTTAAATTTATCCTTCTAATAGGTCTTCCTTTTTCTATCATTAGAAGACTAGCCATAGTATTCCTGTGAAATCACAAATTCAATTCTTACTTCTCTATTAAACGCTGTAAAGTCTTCTCATTTCTTCCAGTTCTCCTTATTCTTCCTCAAACAAAGTGTATTTTTGTCTTAGGGTTTGCACTTCAGCTTTTGTCTGAACCTTGCATATTCTTCAACACGTTCACTTGGCTAATTGCCTTATATTCTGCAAATCTTCATGCAAATCTCATCTATTCAAAGAAGATTACCCTGACCATCCAATTTAATATTATACCTCAAGTATCTCCACTTTCTACTAATCAGCATTCCTCATTCTCTTCATCTTTTTTCACCTTTTTTTCAGTCCTTATCATTACCTAACATAATATAAAATTTACTCACTTTTAATATTTATTGTTTATTCTCTGAATATTATCTGTTTATAGCTGTTTATTATCTGTGTCTTCCAGTATGATGAAAATTCTATGCGAATACATTTCAATGCACTAACAAAGATGTTTATGTTGTTAATAATGTTGCCAAAAGGCAACTTGATGTCTTTGTTTACTAATATATTAAAATACAGTCTGGTAGTAGTGAATTCTCATAAAATGTTGGTTGAATGAATAAACAAATAAATAAATGAGTAGTTTATTTGTCTGTATTTGAGTATTACTCATGTTTTTAGGAGATTAATTCTTCTTGGACCAGCTATGTCCATGAGGTTTGTACAGAGGTAACGTCAAGGTCTCCTTCGAAGGAAACAAGAATTCTTTTTATAACAATGTGTATATATGTAAGTTAATTTCTAGTTTTTGTAACTAAAATATAAGCTCATAATTTAGGGGGATTGTCCTGTATTCTATTTCTTGCTCCATCTTACATAAATTGACTTTCTATGTGATTCATAATTTAGTCCTCCACACTCACTTCAAAGGGCATTCAAGGATGTTCTCACTTCCAGCTAACTCAATTTTATCCCGTTTTTCTGAATTGGATTTTTTTTTCCTGTCATGTTGTGTGACTCACTTAAGAGAAAAAATAAAATAAATAATAATAATAACAATATTAACTAACATTTAGAAGCAATAATAATAAGAGCTAACATTCCAAAAATGCTTACTATGTGCTTTGCATAGTTCTAAGTGATATGTGTAGATATATAGATACATAGTAACTCATTTAATTTTCACAATTACACTATGAAATAAGTTATACACTAGGATAGATTTTATATTGAGACAATTAAGGCAAACATTTTAGGTAAATTTGTTTAAGTTTAAAAATATTCTAAGTGTTATAGATGAGATTTATAATTTAATGTCTCTGTGCTCTTGAATGTCATGCACAGAAATCCCATCTGTCTCATTTTATAAGATGCACATCTTTGAATATTCCCTCTTTTAAGGACAGAAACCGAACAAGTAAAGAATTTTATTTTACCCAGGCTATGGTAATAGGCATAGCACCTCAGATCTGAAGAACAGAGTATCTTAGCAGGATGTTTTGCCTTACACTTTTATAAGGAGCGGTAGACAAGGTATAGTTGAGATGACTTAAATTTGGGATTGATTTTGCAACCAAGGAACGTCCCTGTGAGTCAACTAAACAAGAAATATTTATGTGTCTAGCTCGTTTAGAGGGAAAAAACAGTTCAGCTAAACATTCATCAGACAAAGAATGGGAAGTTAAAGGGTCTTTGCCTGTCTTTGTTAGGTTCAGAAAAAATGAGAAAGATATCTGTTCAGCCTTGTCACAGGAAAGCAGGGAGATATCTATATGTGTTATGACAACCATGAAAAAGAATGGGGAGTAAGTCTAAGTAGTCACATGAGGAAGGATAGTTCTTTGTGGTAAGCCATTTCCATAATAGGAAAGGTTGGGGGGATTTCTTAACCACTGCTGTTTTCAGGGCTCATGTGAAGTTCAACACTGTCAACTTTATGGACTTTCCATACCTCCACTTAACCTTCATTGCATTTGTCCAGTTTTCTTTTTGTATTATAGTTTGGGATTACAGATATCTCCTAATATTATTCAAACATTCTGAAAGAGACGGTGAAAATTTTTTCTTGATTGTGCCACTTAAAACTGGAATGTCTAAAAATAAATATTGTGTCTAACACCAAAGAAACATTTTAAAAAGCAGTGAAAGTATTTCCATAATACATATGTTACTTATTTCTGTTCTTTTATATACTGGTTTCTTTTTTTGGCACTTTTTAAAAATTTCCTGGAAACTTGTTCTCATAATGGCTCATGTAGAAATTTTATAATCATGTTAGTTGTAAGAATTGTGTTTTATTGTCTATAAAAATTCATTCATGAAGATACCCTTACTATTCTGTTAAGCCTTACAGAATCAAAACAAAATTTAAAATTTCAGTTAGTTATATGAAAAATTTATTACTGGAGTGTATTTTCTTTAAACTATTACCAAAAATATTTGGTATTTAATTTATGTTTTACAAATTCACAATGTAATTTGAGTAAATATAATTATAAGCTATGAAGTGAAATACAGACCTATATGAATTGGTTGGGATTGTTCATTTGATTATTGTTGTGTAATATATTACAAACATATTAAATACATGTTTTTCCATTATTTTTTATTATTTCAAAAAAAGCAACATTTTTGGTTTGGCTTCTTTATGGAATGTGTTATTTATCAGAATTCACAACTTGAACACTTAATTCATTATCTATAAGCTGCCAACTGTGTGAATGAACTTCTATTCAGACAAGAAAAGTCCAAGAAGGACTCAAAAATAATTATAATAACTTTGTAAGGACATTATGAAGCCCCCACTGACCATGTACCTCCCTTAGAATTGAACTAAAGAATCTGTGTTTTGCTAAACGAATAATCATGGTATTAATTATTTTTCATAAAAAGCTTCCTTATTGTCATTAAAAATGTGATTTTATTTCAGCATGTATTTTATATATTTACTATACCATAAGTGAACAATAAATGTGAGGCCTTTTGTAATATTACTGACCACCCATTTATTTCCACCCTGAGGGAGCTAAGCTGGGGGGCAAAATTACAAGGTATTTACATGTGAAGTAATGTAAGAAATTGATACCATATCCTTTCATCTCTATGAGGCTTATATACACTTTCTTACTTTGTGGGAATAGATTATAGCAAATGACTAATATTTATTTTTAAAAATAAATGGCTACCAATTAAAGTGATCAATCAAGTATGAGTCTCCAACATTAAAAATTATATTACCCAGAAATTTGGAGAAGTCACAATAATTATGTCATTATTTGAATAGTGTTTCTAAATTCAGTGCCTCAAACTCAGTGGAAATAAGTAAAAATAAGAAAAAAATGAGCAGGGTTTAGTGGAAAGAAAAAGGAGATGATTAAACAGCTGGAAAATCAGGTTAGTGAGTACAAACTAAAGAAATTAGATTCCCTTGACTTAGACAAAAGACAGCTAAAGAGATCTAATAATAGTATGAAATGAAGTGGTGTGCATAATTTGGTAAAGGTGACCAACTGTTTTGCATTTGCATGAGTGGAGAACCACACAACTGAAATAAATTGCAATAGGAATGAGTCAGACTATCAATTAGAACCTGTAAGTGATTAGTTTAACCACTGTATTCAAGTTTATAAAATATTCTCCATAGAATTTCAAAGAAAGAGGTATATGGACCATTTTGGTCCATTTGGGCTACTCTTAACAAAATACCCTAAACGGTGTAACTCATAAAAAACAGAAATGTATTTTTCAGAATTCGGGAGGCTGAGAATTCCAAGATCAAGGTACAACCAAGTCAGTGTTTGGTGAGGGCCCATTTCCTGGTTTACAGAGGGCATTTTCTCACTGTGTTCTTACACAAGGAAAGAGGCAAAGAACCTCCCTTGGGCCTATTTTATATGGGTAGTAAGCAACCATTCCTGAAGGTTTCACCCTCATGACACAATTCCCAAAATGTCCCACTTCCTAATACCTAATACCATCACCTTAGGGATTAAGATGTCAATATATGAATTTTGGAAGATATAGACATTCACACCATGGCATTCAAGGCCTTAACCCACCAAATTTATGTCCTCCTCACATGCAAAATACATTTGTGTCACCTCAATAGCTCCAAAAGTCTTAATTCATTCCATCATCAATTCAAAAGTCTAAAGTCCAGACTTTCATCTGAATATCATCTAAATCAGACATGGATGACACTCAAGGTCATCTCCCAGAATACCTCACCTCCTAATATCATTACTTTGAAAATTAACTTTTCAACCTATGAAGTTTGTGGAGACACAGTCATTCAGATCACAGCATGAAACTTTTAAAGATGATAGTCTATAATAATTAGTCATTTTGTCTTTCTATGTTTCCTCATGAATAATCAATATTAAAGTATATTTTTGTTATGATTCCAAGTTTTTGCTGCTATTTCATAATCATTAACTCATTTGAATTACAATAAAATCTATTAATTAGATGTGGCAAAAATCCATATCTCTTTTGCAGGTTAGAAGACAGATGCTCCAACTTCCCGGGATGCTCAGGAGTGTCAGCCTAGCTCCTGGGATTCTTGAAGCACTTGAAATCCTACTACATCATGCAAAATTGGATTTGGATTATTCAACTTCCAATTTTATTTTTTATTTTAATTTTATTTTTGCACATTGGCCAGTGCCTTGGAGAGCAATATAAATCAGTAAGTCTCTCCTGGCATTTTCCTGATCTCTGCTACATCATCTCAAAACCACAAAATTCAGATGTACAGAGTAACAAAACATTACTTGAAGTTGATATTAATATATAGAAAATAGAAAGTTCACATCACATTGTATCATATTAATGGTGAATAAAATAGAAGTTACTGACCCAAGGACTGATTTAATCTCTTCAAAAAATTCAGTGCAAAATACTTATGTGTTGTTTTGCTTAATAAAGCTTAACTTTTTCAAGAAATCATCTGATAGTTTTATTTTGTAAAATAGTTTAGTAAATTTTGATTTAACAGTCAGGGTCTTGCTTCTATTGCACTAGGAAAGAGTTTATTAATTAAATCACAGTTACTAATGTTGATGGTAGAAAAAATTGAAAATGTGAAATTGTTTATAGGGAAAATGTTTTACATAAGGGTAAAGTTTATTATCCATGTAATTAGACTAAAAATAGAAAAAGAAACAATTTAAGGTGATTAATTAGTTTAAAGCTTGGAAAATGTACACTATTCATGTATAAAATACATACATATATACATATATGTATAAATTTGTTATATATTTATGTATCTATATATGTATGTTTTATATATATAACAAATTCATACATATATGTGTGTATATATATTGAATTTATATATATATAACAAATTCAGAAAAAATTTTTACCAAGCAATTTGCTGCTGTCAAAAGTCACCTAGTGGCTAAAAAATTAATTTATATTTTCCAAGTTTACTTAAAAATGTTCTAAAGTTGTCTTTGATATCATTAGAATATTGAATGAAAATACCAAATATTAATAATTACAAACACTAAATGTTAATACATTTTGAAATTAAGCAAAAATTCTGTATCTGGAAAGAAATGTCTGCTCCAAGAAGGAAAATAGTTGGATTGGTTTGATTCTCTTCTTTGGGAAATCACACAAAAATATATGTTGAGATTTCATTTATTGATAAAGGAAAGAGCAGAAGAAATATACGCAGAAAAAAATAGAGTCAAATAGTTTTTAAAAAAATAATAATGATGGCAGAATGTAGAAGAGACTTGTTTGTAAGATGATAGCTATTAGACTGATCAGAAAAATCACCTGACCAGCAACACCTGTTGGTTGAACTATATGAGACTTTATTTTTTTGCTGTTCCAAAAAAAAAACCCAAATATTAGCAATGTCATTTGGTCCAATTAACAGAATTTCTGATGGACCCTACATACATTATCTTCTTTGGATAGCCTGTCGTCCTTATTCCAGATAATTTTCTCTGTGAATCTGTGATCTTTGCGGGAATAGTGGATGCAAAATTTATGTCTGAGAAAACACTAAGGAACAGCTGTGTATTTTGAAAAGGAGGTAGGAAATTTATTTTGAAGCTCTGTTTGCATAATTAACACACTTATTTCATGTATATTTCATGTTTTTTCAATGTGTCCTTGGGAAAGGGGTGCATTGTAAAAAGTAACTCCCTTTCTCCTTGGCCGTCACAGCTTAACTATGAAAGGAGGCCACTTGCCATAGCATATAGAAAAGACAAGTAGTAGGAATTGCTTAAAGTGTAGACTTTGGAGACAGGCAAACACAATTTCAGTTTCTTTTTCTTTTTTAATCCCATCACTCTACCCTTTCCCATCTTAAATAATAACACCATCAATCATACAAGCTAGATATCTATGGGTCATTCTTCGGTCCTCCATTTACCTTATGTTGTTTATCTATTTGTTCAAGAATTTCTGGCAAAATTTAACTCTAAATTTAACTCTAAATCCATTAACATAATTCTATTGTGGCTACTATACTACTACACAGCACACACACATACACTCATACACATACACATGGAAATAACTACAAATGTAGAGTGCTTCCTAGACCAACCATCATGTATATGTGTGGGTGCGCATGTGCACGTGCATGCAAGTGCATTTGTATGTGTGTATATATACACACCTATTCATATATATTTAATAATCACTGTAACCAAATAAAGTGGCTTTATTTTTCCTATTTAGAGTTGATGAAAATAATGCCCAGAGAGTTTATACATGGTACTCACCATCACATAGCTAATAAAGAATGTAACCAACATTTGAACCTAGGCAATTCTGCTGTAGTGTCAGAGAGTTTCTAACCACTAACCACCGAATATTTCTTTTTCTTGACTCGTCATGTTACCTTCAACATACATGTGTACATAGGGATTAATCACAACACACTCCTTAATTCCTCTCTATACTACCACATATCAAATTCCTCATAGAGGCTACATTGAGAATTTAAAACTTAAATAGGATAATTCCAGCTAATCAGCAGGCAGCTATGCAAGTTGAACCTTTTTAAATAGTCTGGTATAGAGATATAAGTGTCTAACAACCCACAGAATGACAAATGCAGGTGTTTCCAGTCTGGTAGTTTCTCACTTTGTGTAGGTGGTGACACTTCTCCTATTTTGTCTTTATGATAAGACAGAGAAGCTATAAAACCCTGTACAATGGGAAGGATACTTCTGTGCTTCCTCCATAATACATGCTTGCATTTACTACAACCTTAAATAAATTATTGTATTTAGCTATGTATCTTGACAATTTTCATTTATCTTCAAAACTGAAATCATGAAATGAGTAGTAAAATGATAACACTGGAATTGAAAAATGTACTCAGAATCTTCTCCCAATTTGGAGCCACCTACTTTACAGGCAGATATTGGTCAAGTGTTAAGGTATAAAATCATAATAAGAAATTATTTGGATCAGGATATCCTGTGAAAAGGGAAAAGAAATATATATATATATATATATATATATATATATGACAAAAAATTCTTAGATTTAGTTTTAATAATACTGTGTTGTATTACATTAAAGAGCCAACTGCTGTTTGGAAAGTCCTATCTTTTGTTGATAATGAAAAGCCAAACAACAAACAAATAAAAAGAAGATGGTGATTTATGAACTCTGTGATTTCTGAAAATTAATTGAGTTTAAAGATATTTTGTAATGATATTCACAGAGCTATCAAACATATTCTTCAGAGAACTAGGCCTACAGTACAATTTCTCTTTAGATAATTTGCCCCTTAAGTAAAAAACAAAGGTTAATTATCAAGCCATAGATCTGTCATTGGTGAAGGTGTATGAAAGATTTCCCTTTTCATAATTCTGCCTAAAAGTTGAATGATTGTGTGCATGGTATTTGGTCAATTAAAATATTCTAAGAGGCTGGGAAGTTGAAACTTCAGTTTCATAATTTTCAGATGAGCCATGGTCCCTACAAATACTAGATTGAATTGAACAAGGATCAAGAAAATTGCAGTGTCAAAGAACCAGCTTTACATTTGACAGATAAATTTGTACAGATAAATTTGCCTCCCTGCACTGGCACTAACTGAAATAAAGTGGCAGAAATTAACACTCATTCTTTTCTATTTTATTCATTTTTATTTTATTTTTTTGTTTACTTTTGTTTTCTCTTTCTTTTAACACTCATTCTTTATTCATATATTTCTGTAAGTCTTAGAAAATAAATGAAGAGTCAATGTCCCCATTTTAGGGGCTGTAGAACTTAGCTAAAACTCTGTTTCTAAGCCAAGAAGAAGAAGGCTGTTCACTTCCACTCTGATATTTTGGAGTATCAATAAAAGTTGATATGAATTTTTAAAAAATCTTTTGAAAGTTTATTAAAAGTAATTGAACTTGGAAACAATGGCTATGCTTTCTTAGACCCAAGAGATGAGAGGTGGGCAGTCTGAAGAATTATTTAGACTGTGAAACCCTGAAAAGAGAGGGCTGGCTGGACCTTGCCCGCAAGTAGATAGGGGTGAGGCCAACTGTCAAACAGAATTTCAAGCCATGTTAGTAAAAACAATCCAGTTGTCAAGACAATAATTGATTCTTACTATTTTTGCTGGAGGGATCTTGTAACACCTATTAAGTATATGCCATTAACAATACTTTATAGCCTTTAAAATGTAATCGATAAATTTAACAGTAGAGTTCACAAGGATGACTCTGTTCTGTTTTGCCTTGTCCCTTATCCTCTCTGAATGTTCTTAGATACTGATGATGTGTTAAACAATTCAACTGGTGCAAGAGCTCAGTACAAACCAACTCCCAAACGTTTCCCGATGTTCACCAGTCGTCTGTTTCACAGGTCACTTTCTCAAACATATCATCTCCTCCTGGAAGAGACAACCACTGCCTGAGGTCCAGTTTCTGAAACCCACCCCTAGGAAATACCACACTTATTTTTTCTCTCCTCAGGTGCTTTGTAATTTTGGATTTTGAATCATTTTTACTAGGTTTTTAAATTTTCTTTCTGAGATTTTCTCTGTCTATGAGTGTCCTTTGCATTTACTTTTGTCAGTTATTCCTGGGTGCTACCAAATTAGAAACTGTATAATGTCATTCCCTCAGCATGAAATCCTTTAATCATATTATCCATGACCAGGTAAATAATTTCCCTTTTCAGGTGCCTTTGTTGGCCAAGAAGATTTTTGGAAACATTTTTAAATGGAGGAATTAGATAGTCTAGGGTCTAGCATTATAACCCAGTACTTTTAGTTATCACAACTAATAAATGCCGCAAGTGTGACTATAGCTTGCAATGTTTTTGTGCAATTTTCTTTCTTATTTTAGCCTCCGGGGATTTTTCTTATTCTCCTATAAGGATGTCGTTGCATAAACAAATGTCTGCTACATGTTTTCCAGAATTTTTAGGTGTTTTGTATCAGAAATTTCCTCAGAGTATCTACTTTGGCATATTAATAGAAAAGTAAGTCCAGGTAGTCCTCTGCTTTTTGCCAATATAATAAACAAAAAATGCTGAGCTTTTAACTTCCTGAGAGAGAACATATGGCTCTGAAAGGATAAAAGACTACAAAAGTCAAAAACCTTGATAACACAAATATTCTTTACATTGGCCACAAATCTCATAAATCAACAAAGAGATAAATAAAAATATCTCACTGATGGAAAAAAATACTTGTCATTTATGTAAGATATGGATTTCTATAGTCAATAAACATAATTTTTATTTTTAAATGTGGTGCTATTTTTAACCTTTGAAATCTTTATAATCACTATATTTCCACTATGTAAATAAGAGTTTCATCATAAAGTAATATAAAGAAAAACAATACATCTCATTACACCTTTGTTTAGAAGACACTCTACAAAGAAATCGTTTATGTAAGCCAAGAATTTCTGTTCAACTATAAACACAAATTAAAATTATTGGAAAATTTCTATTAAGTTTGTTTAACATAAGATCTACATGAACAATTATTGAAATGTTACAACTCATATACTGCACATTGTCAAATACCTTCTCCAAATACACATTGCTTATTTGAGCACAGGATTAAGTTGTCATCATTCTCTTCTGTTTGTGCCAAACTAACCGACGTTCTTCACTTGGGTTGTTTAGTCTCTGCTGGGGAGGTCTACCATACTCTTATTAAAAATCTGTATTATTCACATATATTATATCACTGGGAATCTTTCTGAACTATTAGAGACCTAAATATTTTGTTCCTTAATTGCATTATGATTTATCATTTCTGCTTTACAAATGTGTAATTAAAAATTAAATGTATTCACACATCTCATCCTTCCTATTGGACTGTATATACCCTGATGATCAATATGAGTAATTTTTTCTTAATATCAATATTTTTTGATTGACTAACAGTTCTAAATTTTACAAATATTCCAGCTCATAGAAAATGTAGATATTTCATAAAGTAAGCACAATATGACATCAAAGTTGCCAAACATTATAAACATTACACTATAAATTCATTTACAATATATCAACTCTTATTTTCACCTACTTCATTATCATACTTACTTCTTATCTTCACCCACAAGAGTATAAACTCCAAGAGACTAGTGATTATCTAATTTGTTCACTGATACAGGCTACATTTATAAATTTCAGCCAATCAAAATACCTTTTTCATACTTAAATTAGCTGCTTATAATATTCATTTGGAAAGTCACATCTCACTGACTTGTAGTTCATGCTTTAATCAGGAAGGGTTTCAGTTCCTGATTCAAAGATACTGTTTTGAGAGCTAAAACTAGGCAAATGAATGTATCTCATTGACTTGGCCATGAGATTACTTCCAAAGATAGACTCCTGGCTTAAACTGGGCTGACTAGAAGTATTTAGTTTCAGTGTTGTCACTTTATGGAAGCAAATGGTTAAGCATAACTCCTCTTCTGCTGGATTAAAATTATGAAAATATGGCACAGAAACTTATTCAGCCATTGTGTTAATATAGCTACAAACCATCTTTCTAAAAATGGAGACAACACAGACAAAAGAAACAGCAAGTAAAGCAGAAGAAGTGTGTAATTTATTATACTAATACACCTCATGCATTACAAAATAACCTAAAACGCCATAATTATTGAAAAAATATATGATAGAGGAAATTAAACTTAGAAATATATAAGTAAAATTTAATTTCAATTAATTATTAAATATAAAGTATATATTTAAATAAGTATATGTTAACTTTCCCTTTAAAATGATTAAATATATTATTAGAAGTATGTTTACATATGTATAGAGATATAAAGATAGATGGGTTCAGAAAGTGCTCCCAATGCCAATAGAGCTTGCTTAACATCTGCAGTCCAGTTAAATAAGGAAATGATACAATCCCTTAATGTATCAAATTGGCTAAATATATCTATACTACTGAAAGTTCTCTTACTTGCTGACTCTGGAGAACTCTTTTTGCACAATGGCTTATTCAATGGGAGATAATGTGGCAAATATATAAGAATAGGAATTCCAGTGAGACTACAGATTCACATCCTATATTAGTCTATAAATAATGTCTATATGACATTATTTATGTAATATTAATAATGTCTATGTGACATTCAATTATTTATTTAACTGTCCTGTGTCTACTTTCCTCCTAATTAAAATAGAAATAAATATACCTGCTCCTAAGACTATTTTGATTATTGTAAGATAATAAATGGAAAAGATCAACCACATCCTCCAAGTACAGAAGGTCTCTAGTGTATGATGGTTTGACTTATGATATTTTGACTTCGATGGTTCTTAAGTGATACACATGCAGTAGAAACCATACTTTAAATTCTAAATTTTGATATTTTTCCTGGCTAGTGATATGCAATAAGATACTCTCTTGTGATGTTTGGTGGTGGCAACCAGCCATTATGTTTTTCATTTTCAGTATAGCATTTAATAAGTTACATGAGATACTGAACAATTTATTATAAAAAAGGTTTGTGTTATATGATTTTACCCAACTACAGGCTAATGTAAGGGTTTTAAGCACATTTAAGGTAGGCCAGGTTATACAATGATGTTCCATATGTCAGATGCATCAATCTCATTTTCAACCCGATAGTTTTTTTTTTTTTTTTTTTTTAGACGGAGTCTCGCTCTGTCGCCCAGGCTGGAGTGCAGTGGTGCAATCTCGGCTCACTGCAAGCTCTGCCTCCCGGGTTCACGCCATTCTCCTGCCTCAGCCTCCCGAGTAGCTGGGACTACAGGCGCCCGCCACTACACCCGGCTAATTTTTTGTATTTTTAGTAGAGACGGGGTTTCACCGTGTTAGCCAGGATGGTCTCGATGTCCTGACCTCGTGATCCGCCCGCCTCAGCCTCCCAAAGTGCTGACATTACAGGCGTGAGCCACCACGCCCGGCCCGCCCTGATAGTTTTAAACCCCTGACTGGTTTGTTGGAACATAATCCCATTGCAGGTCAAGGATCATCTGCATTGACCATAATTGATAGTATTCCTATTTATACCTGATATTATACAATCTAACCCTTCACAAATAACAAAAGGATAGGTACATAAAGATAATAGTATTATATGCATTTTAAGCTGAAATTTAAATGTACTTTTCATAACAGACTAAAATTTATGATAATATTTGTGTTAAACCTGAAGAAAAATTTTGTATAGAAATCATGAGTTTAACTGTAAATATAAATGTAACTGTAAATGTACTTCCATACTATCTGAACAAAAAGTAAGTAATAATATTTCATAGCATTTTGGAGTGCCTTTTTTTTTCTTCCTTGAAATTCTATAGTTTCAGTGACTGTATAAGGAGTGAGAGTATAGGCTCTGAAACTGGCTCCATCACACTAGCTGAGTGACCTTGGGTATGTTCCTTAAGCACTGCGTAGCTTAATTTTCTCATCCACAAAATGGTGATACTAATAGTAGCGACTTTATAGGGGTATTATGGGAATTACCTGAGTTAATAAATGAAAGAAAAATGCTTAGCTTTTATTAAAGAGCATGCATGTTTTCTTAAATAAAATAGACAAGTAAAGCACTTTGTAGAAATAAATAGAACTAGAAAAAATATTTTAAAATTCATAAGGAACCAAAAAAGAGCCCGAATTGCCAAGGCAATTCTAAGCAAAAAGACCAAAGCTGGAGGCATCACTCTACTCGACTTCAAACTGTGCTACAGTGCTACGGTAACCAAAACAACATGGTACTGGTATAAAAACAGGTACATAGACCAAGGGAGCAGAATAGAGAGCCCAGGAATAAGGCTTCATGCCTACGACCATCTGATCTTCAACAAAGCTCTTGAAAAAAGCAATGGGGAAATGATGCCCTATTCAATAAATGGTGCTGGGATAACTGTCTAGCCTGGTGCAGAAAATTCAAACTGAACCTCTTCCTTACATCATATACAAAAATTAATTCAAGATGAATTAAATATTTAAATTTAAAATCCAAAACTATAAAAACCCTAGAAAAAAATCTAGGTGATACCATTCTGTACATAGGACTTGGCAAAGATTTCCTGATGAAGACACCACAACTAATTGCAACAAAAGCAAAAATTGACAAATGGGATCTAATTAAAGTAAAGAGTTTCTGTACAGCGAAACAAACTGTCAACAGTGAAAACAGACAACCTATAAAATGGGAGAAATTTTTTGCTAACTATGCATCTAACAAAGTTCTTATATCCAGTATCTTTAAGGAACTTAAACAAATTTACAAGAAAAAACAACAAACCACATCAAAAAGTGGGCAAACGATATAACTAGACACTTTTCAAAAGCCAAAAAGCATATGAAAGAAAGGTCAATATCACTGATCATTAGAGAAATGTAAATCAAATTACAATAAGATACCATCTCACACCAGTCAGAATGGCTATTATTGACAAGTTAAAAACAAACAAACAAACAAACAAACAAAAACCAAAACACGTGCTGGTGAGGTTACAAAGAAAAAGGAGAACTTATACGCTGTTGGTGGTAGTGTAAATTAGTTCAATCATTGTGGAAAACAGTGTGATGATTCCTCAATGACCTGAAGAGAGAAACAGCGTTTGACCCAGCAGTTCCATTACTAGGTATATACTCAAAGGAATATAAATCCTTTTATCATAAAGACACTTGCAAGCAAATGTTCACTGCAGCATTATTCACAATAGCAAAGACATGGAATCAACCTAAATTCCCATCAATGGTAGACTGAATAAAGAAAACGTGGCACATACACACCATGAAATACTAAGCAACCATAAAAAGGAATGAGATCGTGTCCTTTGCAGGGACGTGGATGGAGCTGGAGATCATTTTTGTTAGCAAATTAATGCAGGAACAGAAAACCAAATAGTGCATTTTCTCACTTGTAAGTGGGAGCTAAATTGTGAGAACACGTGGACACAGAGGGAAACAACAGACACTGGGGCCCGCTAGAGGGTGAAGGTTGGGAGGAGGGAGAGGAACAGGAAAAATAACTAATGGGTACTAGGCTTAATATTTGGGTGACAAAATAATTTGTAAAACAAACCCCCATGACACGAATTTACCTATATAAGAAACCTGTGCATCTACCCCTGAACTTAAAAGTTAATAAATAGAAATTAAAAAACATTCCTACTCTTGTTTCCTATTAAAATATTTCTACACTATAATTCCACATATTTTCTGGATAATATATCATGCCTTTGTATGAAATCTACTTTTTAATTTTATGCTAATGCCAAGAATAACTTTTTTAGGAGAATAAAGAAACATTTAAATTTGAGACAAAACTAAACTTCATTTTAAAATTAGAAATGAGGACATAATGCTGTGAATAAGGATATTTTACAAATACCATATGTCCACAGATGGACATGATATTGTTCAACAGTAAAGTGTTTTTTCCCTCTATAAAATGTTCAGAGTTATTAGCATTAATAAATGTAACAAAGTAGAAATCATTTTTAAAGCTCTAGTGTGCTGTTTTATATTGTTGTGTAACCTTCTGACCCATTTGAAATGAACATGTAGGGAATCCATTTTAATAGCTTCTTCCTGTAGGCTTGAGGGATTCTATAGCTAGCACAAGTACTAAACCAAAAATGTAGTTGGGTATTTCCACCCATTTAAAGATCTCTATGCCAGAAAGTTTTGTGTTGAGTTGGCATCTCCTAGGAATACAAGTGAATAAACAACACAGAAAGAGGTAAGAGAACAGAAATATTTGTTCAACACTCTGCATGTTGTAACAACGTGCAACATCATTTATGATATGTTACCTTAGCCAAAAATGACATGATGTTATAAATCACTAATTTCTCAATTTTGAAAAGGAAGTTGGAAATATGGGATAAGGTCATGTTCAGTTCAGGTCATGAAAACTAAAAATGTGCAGGTTGGACTTTGTATAATGTTTTACCAAATCCCAGAGGCAGTTCAATATCATAGTTATTACTATTATTTTCTTCTTAGAAAAGAAAGGAAATGAAAACATTTTTGCCTGATATTTGAGGCATTATAAAAGGGCCTGGAAAAGTTTTATTTTTATTTAATACTTATAAAATTCCAGCTTAGTCTTTATTTCATAAGCTAATATTTCAGCAAATAAATATGAATACCTGCTTTTTTTAACATTCCCCATTCTTGATAATGCATTTTTTTAACCTATATTGATGATTCTAAATTTCTGCTTCCTGGACTTTATTTTAATCTTAAAGAATACTTCAAAACCATTATTGAAATAGACACATATATGTATATATATATTTATTAGTGTATATATATGAGTGTGTGTGTTTATATATGTGTATATATAAATATATCATTTTTAAAGGTAAGATAATATATGTAATAAGTTCTGAGGGATCACATCAAACAGCTGTTTTGACTTGGAAGGACTGCTCTGCTAGAAGAATGAGAAATACATGTGTTTGCAAAGGCTGTCTCCTGTCATTGTGCCAATGGAACTTCTTTAACCCTCAATAAGACTTCTATTTCTCTCACTTGATCTAGGTAGAAAAAAGTCGCACAGAGAACCACAGGTCATAAGATGAATTATCCAATAGAAGAGACAAAAAATGTATCCGTGTGTGTTTCAGGGGGTGTTTAATTGCCTAGAACAGTCTCCCTGATTCTCCTAAGTTCAGCAGGTTAAGGACTGAGGTTGGCTCCCTGTTATGGTACCTGTTAAAACTAATCTATCACCTTTATGTTTTGTATTCCGGTAAACAGCAGCAAGCCTATTGAATAAGGTCACTGGACCTTTATTTCAAAACTTGTAATATATATTCAAGATAAAATTTGTCATATGGAATTCTTGGGGCACTTTTCATCCATTGACTCCACAAATATTTATTCCCTGTTTCTTATATGTAAACCTTTTAAGCAATAAAAATGGGGCGATAGAATTGACATCCCCTACCTACAATGGAACTGATAACTTAAGTGAAAGAGACGGATAAATTAAAAATGCAATAGAATGAAACAAGAGCCATCATGAATATATACAAAGAGTGTAACAGGAGAAAGTGTGGCCTAGATGCAGGAGTCAGACAGATGGAGATAAATATATCATCTTTATGACAACCACTAGGTTGGAAGACATAGCTTGCTAACACTGCATCAAAGAATTACACTTACCCACCCAGGTACACACATAGCTGGAAAACTACAAACTCCCTCTGTTGAGGTTACCCCTGCAAAATTTATATCATGAAGAGACCCCTGAATCTAAAAAAGCAAAGGGCTAGGCTAAGCATGTCCAGCTCCTTTTTGTTAAATCTGAAATCA
Organism: Homo sapiens; assembly: GCF_000001405.40. Lineage (NCBI taxonomy): Eukaryota > Metazoa > Chordata > Mammalia > Primates > Hominidae > Homo > Homo sapiens. The sequence goes on along the minus strand of NC_000012.12, from coordinate 84,415,295 downwards.
GAAATATCACTCACTCCTCTGCCCACAGAGAGAAATGGATACCTGGTGGGAAAGGAGCTTTGAACTGTTATTCTAGTAAATTATTCCACACGGAAACTTGAAGAGCTATAATAAACAGCAGTTTACGAAGCGGTTTGACTCTAAGAATTAAATGACTGTAAGGTAGACCCTCTATGGGGATGCTCGAGCCTTACCTCCCTTCCACAAGTCTCATTACTCTAAGAACAAAGCAAAATCTAGGGAATCCTGGACTCTGATACCTTACCCTCACCAGATCACTTCCCAAATACAGCACAGGTTTATGTAGAATTTATAATCCTTATAATGCTCAATATTCTGGGACTTTTGACACATATTAAAAAAATACTGGCCACACAGAGCTTTGTATAATAATTGAGGATCTGCTATGTAACTTAAGAATAAAAGTAATGAACTGGAAAGTAATTCTTCTTATATAGTTTGCTTGATGAAGGAAATGCTTTATTTCGCTCACACTCCTAAATAAAGTGATTTAACTATATATTTAGTGATGTCCTCTTGAGGTTTATAAAAGCATATTTGAACCTAATAAATATTCTCTATTTTTGTCTTCCCATCTCTTTCACCTTCATAGAATTACAACTAAGACAGAATTTTGAATGAGGCATCGTAAGTGTTACTCTACATTAATGAGCAAATGGGGAAAAAATTCAACCCTGTTGTCTCTTAATTTAGTTAACTCTACAGATATCCTGCATTTCTACTTTTAGAGTACATGTAAATAGAACTTGGTTTACAATTTCATAAACTTACATAGCCTTAATGGTTTTATCTAGGAAAATCTCAGAAGAATCTTCCTCTGGCAGAGGCAGAGGGTCACAGCTATAGAGAGACAGTTCTTTTCAGCTAAGTGGATGTCGTCTTGTTTTTTAAGAATTACAGACCTAGTTTTGCTGATTAACCTCACTTCTGTCGTTGCATCTCCAGTTTGGGAAGCAACAGTCTTTCATGCCTTGAAAAAAACTCTCCTGGAACATTTAAATTAATAGCAGGGAAATTTGTTGTTCTTTAGTTGTTGGTTACCAGAGAGAGAGAGAGAAAGTTTAAATTTCATCTTCCGATAAAGCAATATCAAAGATCAATATGGCATTATAGAAACATTAAATTGTTAATATGGGTTATGTGCTAAAGTTTGCAATCTCAAAACCAAATAATTGGTCAGCAAAATGATTATCTTCATTTTCTTCAAAATTAGAAAATACGAACTAATTACTTAAAGTATTGTTGACACACTGACAACTGTTAACTCCATGTGAGACGTTGCCTCAAATGCACCTCTTCATTTAAAAAAATACTAAGATAAGCAAATTTGTTTAGGATTTATTCTTCCTTCTAACTTTACACTATTTTTAAGTTGTGAGTCATTGAGATTCTTGAACTTGTCAGTTTATATTTTCATCAAATTTTGAGAACTTTTGGCCAGCATTTCTTCAAATATTCTTTATGCTCACTCATTTCTTTTGAGTACTACAATTACATATGTTGCATATATTAGGCTGTTTGTTATTTGAAATTGTCATCACTTTCTGGTGCTCTGCTTTTATTCATTTTTTTAATCCTTTCTGTCTATGTTTCATTTTGGATGGTTTCTTTTACTATGTCTACATATCCAGTGTTGAGGGTATATTATATTTTATAATAGCTTACTCAAGTATAGTGAATGTCTGAAAAAGCAAACATTCTTAAAAACTTGCAAATTTACACTGAATGAATAATTCAATTTTAATACTTGATTTTTCTTGTCAAAATAATTGCTGACAATGTATATAGTAATATTTATTGAATAACTATGGGATATCATTTTAACAATATTCAAAAATATTGAGTGGTTATTATTGAGTGACTTATATGCCAGTTACTGTCTTTGGTACTTTCAAGTACACTACTGTGATCAGGTGATTTTCACAGCAAATTTGGAGGATAGTTGCCATTCTCATTTAACAGGAAAAAATGTTATCAGGGTTATGGCAAGTAAACTATCATAGCATTGGTAAACTGTAAAGCTAAAAGTAGACGCTTATTTACCTAGATATCTAAGTCCATGTTCTTTTTCCCATGAGTCATGACCTCTTCTAAGAATAAATAAAATTTTCTAAGAGTGGAAAGGTGAGGCATTCGTCTTTGAAAACTGACACCAAACATTATAAAATTAATTTATATCTAATAAATTAAAATATATTTTATAGCATAAGTTCTATAAATTAAAGCTTTTCAAATACTAGTCAGTTTTGGGACATGAAACAACATAACATTAAGAAACATTGTGTTAAAAATTCCAAATTAAAATGAAAATGCCATTTCCAAAGAAATCAATGGTCTCCACCAAATCCTGTGATTATAAAATGCAGAAATAAATAGTTTTATTTTATGTTCTATGATTAATATCAGCAGATACTTCTATGTCTGAATTTATTTAGTGATACAAAATAAAGGAGTATTTTTTTAAAATCCAGTTTACATTAGCCTACACTCCATCTTTGAAGCACCAACACGATTATGCAGTTAACTGGTAACTAAACCTTTAAAATACTTTGATATTGTGTTGGTGTTACAGAAATTTGTACTTGTGTTCATTGGCTAATGGATTAGGCATTTTCTTTCAGAACTGCAACAGTTGGGATAAAGAAAGCTAGACCAACCTCTTTTTTCTAACTCTAGAAACAACAACTACATTGTGTAATTTTAAGCATACCTCAAGGAAAAAAAGTTGAATGATATCTTGAAATATGTGTATCACTAGCAGATATATTTCTTACAATAATTATTTGCAGACCTAGGCTTACTTCTCTATTGAAAGAATAGTTTCCTTTGTTTTTTTTTTCTTAAATGGCAAGTTTCATGTTTCCTAATTCTTGTGATAACCACTACAAACCAAAGCAGATTTTTGGACAAGCACATAGGGAATACATTCAAATTGGAGGTTCTTTCACATTTATTATTTCACACTTAATTTTACACAGTTAAAATATTTAGATCTTCCGGTACACATTATTCACTGAGGATTTCATGGCATGCATCACATAAGTGGGAAAAAAACCAAAAATATTTTTTCAGGATTCCATAACTCTTCCTCTCAGTAATGAATTTTTACAAAGAAGAAAACCCCACCATTATTCTCTTATTTTCTCTAGGCCTTTTTTTCTAATATCTTTCATCACATTTCTTGTTTATATTTTGTCTTAGAAAATTAGAAAAAATTTCTGAAAGAGGTAAGCAATTTTTGTATTACTTTTGCTTGAAATTGGGCACATTTATTATATAAAATGACACTTTATCCTAACTCAAGTGGCTTACTTGAGTACAAACCATGAATGAGAGAACCTTAGTGTAAGATCTTGTTGAGATTTTGCTAACTCATCTATATCAGATGGGTAAAAAACAGAAACTAATTTACAATTTATGCTCTAAAATGTGTGTTGAAGAGATGTATTCATTTTTCTCAAAACAATAGTTCACCATTTTTTATTCCCAGTATCAAGAAATGTTTGAAGATGGAGCAAATGTGGAATTGCCTAATCAAAGGATGAGAAACTTTTACTAGAACCTTATTCAGAGTGATTTCTCTTTCTCTGAGATTGGTTCTGTGTTAGTCCATTTTCACACTGATATACAAAGCTACCTGAGACTGGGTAATTTATAAAGAAAAAGGGTTTAATTGACTCACATTTCAACAGGCTGTACAAGAAGCATGGCTTGGAAGGCCTCAGGAAACTTACAATCATGGCATCAGAAGGGTGAAGGGGAAACAAGCACATCTTCACATGGCAGCAGGAAAGAGAGAGAGAGAGATAGAGAGAGAGAAAATACAGGGGGAAGTGCTACACATTTTCAAAGTACCAGATCTCTTGAGAACTCTATGATGAGACAGCACTAGTGCTAAACCATTAGAAACTGCCCCCATAATCCAATTACCTCTCAACAGGCCTTACCTCCAACACTCAGTATCACAATTCAGCATAAGATTTGGGTGTGGACACAGAGCCAGACTATATCAGGTTCCATTAAATGTTATTGGACACCAAGTGGCTATTTCAGTGCTAAGAGCACCGTTGCTTCTTAAACATGCATCCTTATGTGACCCAAACTGAGCTAATCACATTAGCCACGCATCCATGACTGTGATTATGATTCAGAGCTCGTAACTCTAATCAAATTAAGTCAATCATAAACCTTTCTTTGATTTTCCAATCTATAACAAAGAGCAGAGGAGTCCTTTTCTGTTGGTAGTTAATTTGAAACATGAGTTATAGAAGCTATTGATGACCATTGGTGGAAAGAAAGAAGAAAATAAGCAGTTCAGAGGTAAAGAATAAAAAGGATGAGATGGAGGAATGATGCATGGCAGTGTTTCATTTCCTTCCCAGCTTTCATGAAATATTCCAATACTTCCCAATAATTCTCACCTTTACTCAGCTATCGCAATATGACTTGGACTGATTTGATAGTAAATGTGTCCTGACTAATAAACAATAGCAAATTCCCAATGTCTGGGGAATTTATTTACTTTCTTGAAATAACTACTTCATTCATTCCATAAATATTTATTAAAATCCTTCGAGAATGAGAATCAGAAAATATTTATAGTCATACATATCCTGATGCCTAAAATAATCTAAGGGCAGTTAACTCTGATCACTAATCTTGAAGCATACTCCATGCCAAGTGAAACTGCTATTATTATAAATTCAGTGGGGAAAGCAAAGAGGAAACACACTTGATTTTTAGGAATTTCAAATTTAGATTGGTTGTATCAGATGTCTTATTTTTAGAGATTTGATGCTCTGACGATTATAACACCTCCTTATTATCACTAGATACACCTAAATATTAATTTATGTTTATAACCTTTACTAATGCCAAACAAGCAGAAAAAAGTATGACTTATTCTGTGTCATTCATTGAATTGAAGGGTGCATTTAAATAAATGTGTATGTGTATTATTTCATAAAATTGAGCCTATTTTAGAAAACAAAACAAACAATAGCTTTACATGAATTTTTAAAAATTCAGTGATTAATTTGTTTTCTGTCCTGACTAAAGTCTTTCATAGAAAATAACTATTATTTAACCGTAAAATATTGTTTTAAAAAGCCAAAATTCCAGTTACATATGGCTATTTTTCTCAGACAATTACTCTGCATTGTAATTACTTCTAATATATTCTTATTATATTAAAAAAGACTGACAATGATTAAATATATGCAGAAATTATAAATTGAGAACACAAATTGACAGATTAGAGTTAAGCTCACGGTGCACAAATACTGACAATTTCTTCTATTTTTTGCATTTTATATCAGGCATGCTATATTTAGTACTGACATTTAATGTTTGGGTTAACAATATTTTTTCTGGCTGTGCATTTCTCCCCTGATTAGGACAGGAAAACAAGAATACATCACTCTCATCCTCTTTAGACAATTCCCCTGAAGCTGTATTTATGTTGGGATGGATTCAAAGTCACTCTCAACATTTTAAGAATTGAGTTTTTCCAGCCTAACTTATGGGTCTAAATTATCATTTCTTCATTTACTTAGCTTTGTACAAAGTCTGTTCTATAACTTTCTTTTTCCTTTGCAATTTATTTAATACTGATTATATAGTTTTATTTTATTCCACTTTAATAATTAAATAAACTACATCTATCTAGGGACATAGCAAGTGGGTGGTATTTATGTAAGTGCTTTCTTCAACTCCCCTGTTGTAATGGGGGCTTGACGTCTAGATACAGATTGGCTGGTAAATCAATTCCCAACACATAATTACAAAAAGTAGGAGTGACATAGAAAGACAGGGGGTGACAAAGGAGAGAGAAATAAATAGAAAGTTTTTAAAATTTGTTTTATTGTTTTTATGGTTATAATTAAATTGCTTCAAATTTCCAGTTCTTCCATAAGCCAAATTAGTATATTAGGGTATACCGTAAACAGGTCACAAATAGTTCTGCTATTTCTCCTTCCAAAAAACCTTGATTATATTGAATTTCTCCTACACTTGAATTTAGCAGTAACCTTGTTTTGGTTAAAGAAATATGTGTGGAAGGGAAGTGTGTCCCTTCTAAGTGGGAGCTCTAAGAGTGAGTGAATATCTCACACTCTTTTCCCTCCATTGTGGTTACTGGCAATGGCCCAGATAATGGCCATACCAGCCTGGTTCCCATAGTGAGGATGATAATAACAACAGGAAGAACCCACAATTAACACAAAGAAACACTGAGCACAGACAATCAAAGAAAATCATACTTCTTCATAATTCTTGCAGTCACTGATATTTGGGAGTTGTTTATTACTTCAAAAGAAGCCAGACTTCCCTGTGGGATATAACTGTCTAAACTTGAATGAAATTAAATTATCTCTATTATTTAATATGAAATGGCTGTACTTATAATTAACATACTAACACTAGCCAATATGGTTTTATAACTCTGTCATCTTGTAATTTTTAATTTATGATACAATATTTACTAAAAATCAATCACTTTTTCCTGATAGGGAGTAATTTAGAGTAAAGCAGAGCAAAGGCCATGTTTCCTTGACACACGGAATCATGATCTCTTTGTTGTTTTGTTTAACTTTTAATATATTTTTTCTTTCTGTATCACTGTATTCAAAATTTCTTCAGCTAAGTCTTTCAGCAATTACCACTTAAAATTTTAGCTTTCTTATCTTTTTATTTTTCTTGGAATCTTATCAGTTTTCACCATTTTTTAATCTTTTTACTTCATTGTAGTTTCTAGCTGTTTATTAATCTCTACTGATTTTACTCTTTAAATGTATTTTCTAGTTCTTTTTAAAAAAATAATTATTTTTGTAGAGACAAGATCTCACCATGTGGCACAGGCTGGTTTCAAACACATGGCTTCAAGTGATTCTCCCACCTTGACTCCCAAAGTGCTGGGAATTACAGTCATGAGCCACCATGCCCAACACTCTTCTAGATTTTTATTTCTATATTTCGCTGTATCTGTTTGCATTTCATCTGTTTGCTGACCTTTCATGTTCAAAGTGACATTTTATTTCTAGAACCATTTTTTTTTCAAATTTGTTTGAAATTTCTATGCACATATTTTGATTGCTATATATATTAGTTAGGGTTCTCTAGAGGGAAAGAACTAATAGAATATATAAACAGGAGTTTAGTAAGTATTAAGGCACAAGGTCCCACAATAGGCCAACTGCAACCTGAGGAGCAAGGAAAGCCAGTTCCAGCCCCAAAACTTGAAGAACTTGGAGTCCAATGTTCGAGAGCAGGAAGGGTCCAGCATGGGAGAAAGATGTAGGCTGGGAGGCTAGGCCAGTCTAGTCTTTTCAGGTTTTTCTGCCTGCTTTATATACTAGTCACTCTTGCAGCTGATTAGATAGTGCCTAGTCAGTTTAAGAGTAGGTCTGCCTTCCCCAGTCCACTGATTCAAATGTTATCTCTTTGGCAACACCCTCATAGACACACCCAGGGGATCAATACTTTGCATTCTTCAATCCAATCAAGTTGACACTCAGTATTAACCATCATAAGTCCACTCCTTGTCAACTTGAACCCATATACATCTCCTGAGATCATACATAATCTTCAAATAAAAACAATAATAAAATCATAATTATGCCTAACATAATACTACTATTTTTCATTCAACTGGAAATACACCAATCACCAACCCAATTACTGTTACATAAAGTTAACAATACTTACATCCTCATGTGAAGTCAACAAATCCTATGTCACATGATAAAGGATAAGGGAAATAAAATGAAGATATTTTCTTAGTACAAGCACAAACATGTTTTTAATAAAATAAGGAGAAAATACCCATAACAATTACAATCCTCATTTCTGCAGTTTGACATGTGGTCTTAGCTGGTATTGATAACTACCTTCTTCTACTTCCCATTCTGTACTCCCTTTGCCTGCAGCAAACACCTCAGCAGGTTGTGGTTATTTTCCTGGTGGAGTGATCCAAATGTTGATTCCTGAAGTGTCTGGGCCATTTGTAGTCCTATATAGATTGATCTGTTGTAGTTTCCCATTGACCTTAATCACATCATGGTAATACTAAGAGATGCCCTCATGGATCTCCTATATTCCATGTATACTCTTCCCTGACTCTCTTGTAGAGTACAGATTGATTTCATCTTGATAGTCTAGGTCAATCACCACAGCCAACACTAACTCCCTTCTTAGCCTGTTGACTTAAGGGTAGGAGGAACCCAAAGTGTCCAGGTGGCAAACTTAACTTCCAGTTTAATGGAATTGTTGTTTCTCCTGGTGGCCTCATTCCTCCATCTGGAACTAAGACCTCTAAACCAGCAGAATGTAATGTCGTGAAAACAAGAAGCAAAAATTTTGCTGATGAATCATTATGGGTGATGGTGAGTGGTGCCACTTCTACTTCCACCCCCTGATTCCTGAACCTGTAAATCCTGGCTATGGGAGAAACAGTACTATATATTGGATGCTGATTCAGAGCATACATGACCTTCTGGAGAACTTTGCCCCAGCCCTGCAATGTATTGTCACCTAGTTGGCATTGTAATTGTGACTTCAAAAGGCTAGTCCACAGATCTATCAATTTATCTTCTTCAGATTAATGGGAAACATGGTAAGACAAGTGAATTCCATGAGCATGAGCCCTCTGCCACACTTCTTTAGCAGAAAAGTGAGTGCTTTGGTCAGAGGCAATGCTGTTTGGAATACCATGATGGTGGATAAGGTGTTCCGTGAACCCATGAATGGTAGTCTTGGAAGAAGCATTGCATGCAGAATAGGCAGTCCTATATCCAGAGTAAGTGTCTATACCAGTGAGGACAACCGTCTGCCTTTTTTATGATGGAAGAGGTCCTGTATAATCAGCCTCCCACCAGGTAGCTGGTTGATCACCCTGAGTAATAGTGCCATATGAAGGGCTCAGTGTTGGCTTCTGCTGCTGGAAAATTGGGCACTCAGTAATGGCAGTAGCCAGGACAGCCTTAGTGAGTGGAAATCCATGTTGCTGAGCCATGCATAGCCTCCATCCCTGCCACCATGATCACTTTGTTCATGGGCCCACTGGGCAATGACAGGGGTGGCCAGAGAAAGAGGTTGAGTAGTGTCCACAGAACGGGGAATGGGTCATTCTATCCAATTGATTATTAAACTTCTCTTTTTATGTGGTAACCCATTGGTAGACACTCACATGGGATACAAATATCTTCACAGTTATTGACCAATCAAAGAGGTCCATCCACATATCTCTTCACCATATTCCTTTGTCACTAAATTTCCAATCATGCCTCTTCCAAGTCCATGACCATCCAGCCAAATTATTGGCTACAGCCCATGAATCAATATATAATCACACATCTGATCATTCCTTTTTCCATGCAAAGTACACAAACAGGTGTACTGCTTGAAGTTCTGCCCAATGGGAAGATTTTCCTTCACTGCTGTCCTTCATGGATGTCCTAGAAATGGTCTCTAGTGTTGCAGCTGTCCACTTTTGGGTGATGCCTTCATATCGTGCAGAGTCATCTGTGAACCAGGCCCTAGTCTTCTCTTCTTCTGTCAACTGATCATAGGAAACTTCCCATGAGGCCACTGGTGCAGGCTGGGGAAGAGAAGGTAGGGTACCAGAAATGGAGACCATGGGCATTGGAGCCACTTCCTCATGCAATTTAATTGTGCCTTCAGGAACTGCTTGAGCCTGATCACATATATATCACTTCCATTAGATGATGGAATGCTGCTGTGCATGATCCACTTTATGGCTACATGGGTTAGAAAGCACCCAGTTCATGTTAGGCATTTCAGGTCTCATGGTGACTAGACAACCCATACTCAAATGTTCAGCTTCCACAAAAGCCCAGTAACAGGCCAAAAGCTGCCTCTCAAAAGGAGAGGCATATACAGAAGATGGCAGGGACTTGCTCCAAAATTCTAGAGGCTCCATTAGATCTGCTGAGTCATATGACCCAAGTGGCAGAGTGGCTTGCACAGCTGCCTGACCTTCTTACAGAGCCTTCTCCTGTTCTGGACTCCACTCAAAACTGGCAGTCTTTCAGGTCACTCGATAAATGGGCTGGAGTAACACCCCCAAATGAGGAATGTGTAGCCTCCAAAATTCAAATAGGTCCACTAGGCCTCTTTCTTGTGCCTCTTTCCTGGTTATAGGAGGGGCCAAATGTAGCCACTTATCCTTCACCTTAGAAGGAATATCTCAAAAGGCTCCTTACCACTGGATCCCTAGAAATTTTACTGAGGTAGAAGGTCTCTGAATTTTAGTAGGATTTATAGTTCATCCTCTGGCATGCAAATACCTCACCAATAAGTCCAGTCTGTTTTTTACTTCTTCCTCACCGGATTCTATCAGCATAACGTCATCAATGTAATGCACCAGTGTGATATTTTGTAGAAGTGAAATGCAATCAAGGTATCTCTGAATAAGATTATGACACAAAGCTGGAGAGTTGATACACCCCTGAATTAGGACAGTAAATGTATATTGCTGGCCTTGCCAGCTGAAGGCAAATTGCTTCTGGTGGGCCTTATGAACAGGAATGGAGAAAAAAAGGCATTTGCCAAGTCAATGGCTGCATATGAGGTACAAGAAGATGTGTTAATTTGCTCAAGCAATGAAACCATATCTGGTACAGCAACTGCAATTGGAGTCACCACTTGGTTAAGCTTACAATAATCCACTGTCATTCTCCAAGATCCATTTGTCTTCTGTACAGGCCAAATGGGAGAGTTGAATAGGGATTTTGTAGGGATTAGCACTCCTGCATCTTTCAAGTCCTTGATGATGACACTAGTCTCCACAATCCCTGCTGGGATGCATATTGTTTTTGATTTAAAATTTTTCTAGGTAGAGGCAGCTCTAATGGCTTCCATTTGGCCTTTCCTCCCATAATAGCCCTCACCCTACCAGTCAGGGAGCCAATGTGAGGGTTGTGCCAGCTGCTAAGAATATCTATGCCAATTACATATTCCGGTACTGGGGAAATGACCACAAGATGAATCTGGGGACCCATTGGTCCCACTTCAAGTCAGACCTCAACTACAACTCCATTAATTACATGACATCCATAAAACTCTACTTTAACTGGAGATCCACAATGACATTTTGGGTCCCCAAGAATCAGTGTCAACTCAGAGCCAGTGTTCAGTAGTCCCTGAGGTATCTGATCATTTCCCTTTCCCCAGTGCACAGTTGCCCTGTTAAAAGCTAGAGTTCTCCTTGGAGACGAATGGGACAAAGATTAATAGCATAAAGTGTCAGTAGTGTAGTGGGGTCCTTCCTCAAGGGGACCCAGCATCCCCTTTATTCAGGGGATTCTGGGTCTGTAAACTGGCTCAAGTCTGGAAAGTAATTGAGAGGCTGTGATTTCCTTCTCTGTTTTTATAATTCAAATTAGTCTTTAGTCCATTTGACCTAAAAGTTTTCTGCTTATACAAATTAAGTAGGAATGCAGTAGGCTTTCTATCAATTTCACTTATGGGATCACGGTGATTACTTAGCCAATGCCGGAGTGCTACAAGAGTCAAACTATTCTGATTGCTGCTTTGCCCCTGCTGTCCATTACGGAAGCTCGTCCACCTTGCCTTTGATGGTTGATTACCAGCCCTTGGCCCCTGCCATCTCGGGATCCAATTATTCCCATTGGATTTAAGTTTTGTAGTTGGGTGACTGTGATTCCCACAGTTAGATCAGACACACAGAGAAGAGCAATTACAGGGCCCCCCAAAGATGCAGGTGCTGACCTCGCAAATCTATTTTGCAATGCATTGTTAAACTGTACATCTTCTGGACACTTTCAGCTGGGGTGAGTAGGTCTAAAGTGACTAATCCACTCCACCATTCCAATCTCCCTAATCCTTTGGGTCCCTTCCTCTACATTAAACCAAGGGAGATCAGGCATTTCCAGCTCACTCACAGTGGGCCATCTTGCAATTCCTATTTCAGCTTACCAAGCAAATAAACTATTAGAACCCTTTTTAACTCCCCAAGCTGCAACATTAAATGCAGAGTCCCTACTTAGTGGGCCCAAATCATTAAATTCAGCCTGATCCAACTATATGTTCCTTCCACCATTATATTACACCCTTAGTATATATTCCCATGACTGTTTTCCAAATTTCTGCTTATATAAATTAGAAAACTCAAGCAGTTCTTTTCAAGTGTAGTGCACCGCCTCATGGGTAACACTCTTAACCTCACCTCTAGTGGCCTGCCTGGACTTTAGTCTAATTATAGGTTTAGAAGCAAATGGGGTGTTGGGGTGGATCCTGAGGAGAATCAACATTATCTTGCCTGGCAACTTCCTCAGGCGGGACCATCACTGTTGCCTTAGGCAGTGCAGGGCTTATCTCCTCAGACAAAGGTGGAAAGGCTGATGGCAGCCTGGGTTGGGGAGGAGATGTTGCCACTACTGGGGATGGGGAAGCTGTTTCTTCTGGCAAAACGGTTCATCAGAGTTTACAAACTCAATGTCCCCAGCTTCATCATGGTCCCCCCACACATCCCCATTCCAAGTTGCAGGGTCTCATTCTTTTCCAGTCAATACCCTCACTTTAACAGTAGACACCTGGCAAAGCTGTGCATGCACCTTTCATTGCACATCAGCCACTTGCATGATAAGATCTTGTGTCTGTTTTTCCACAATTTCAGCTCTTTCTCTACAGGAGATAAGGCTCTTATTCAGGGCAACCTTAGCAGATTTGTAGCTCAGTATCTGTTTCTGAAGCTGGGAGTTACAATCCTGAGTTCATCATTTTCTTTCATCACTTTGTCCACTGAACTAGGAGCAACCAACCAGTTTCATTAGGTTCCTTGGTTCTCCATATATGATCAAATGTATTATGTATAGAGTCACTAAACTCCTTGCCTCTCATGAGTGGTGAATCAGGAGTCTCAAATGTATTTATTTTGCATAACTCTCTAAACTGTTCATGCCAAAGACTATCAGTGTCCTCCATACTATTAGAAGTAAAGTCCTTAGCATTTTTGGGTCTAATCATATTAAACAGCCAACTCCAGAAACCCCAAAACAAATGAAAGAATGTTATCCTTAATATTCTGTTCCTTTATAACCACACCTGGTACCAAATCTTTATTAGTCAGGGTTCTCTAGAGGGACAGAATTAATGGGATATGTATGTGAGGAGTAAGCAGAGACAGCCTGAGTCCCCAAACTGAAGAACTTGGAGTCAGAAGTTCAAGGGCAGGAAGGGTCCAGCACGAGAGAACGATGTAGGCTGGGAGGGTAGGCCAGTCTTGTCCTTTTATGTTTTTCTTCCTGCTTTATGTTCTAGCCATACTGACAGCTGATTAGATTGTGTCCACCAAGATTAAGGGTATTTCTGCCTTTCCCATCCCATTGTCTCAAATGTTAATCTCTTTGGCAACATCCTCACAGACACACCCAAGATCAATTCTTTGCATCCTTCAATCCAATCAAGTTGACACTCAGTATTAACCATCACACTATATATTGTGTTTTTTTCATTTTCAATAACCACAGTCCTATAAGATATATATATATAAATTTATTATTATTGTTATTTCTTTATTTAAATAAGGTAGTTGCCTTCATGTGTGTTTGCTAATATTTTACTATAAGAACAGTGTTATATCTTCATCTGGAAGATGCATATGAGACTAAACTGGCATAATCTTTGTACAAAGAAGATTTGCATTTGTTTCAATTAGACAACAGGTGACATGCCTGAATTGGTTGCATTTTAGCTCTCCTCAAATTTCTTGTCATCATATAAGAATACCAGGTTCAGAAATTGGCTCAAATTTACTAATCCAATATCAATAATAGTCTGAGTAGCCAATCTCTGGAAAATTTCTCCCATCAACTTATATCTGGGCTTGTAGATCTGGTGCCAGCTTTCAAAAAAGTATTATATTTACTTCAGGAGTGTTCTTGAAAAACTCTTCCAATTCTTACAATACCACCAAAGCCTCAAAAATTGCATCTTTTCAGCATCTAGTTGGTCTTCAGTGGATGATTTCTTAAAGCATTCCCTCACCATCTACAGACCCTAGATTCTGTATTTTCACAAGCTTATCCCTTAATGATTCGAGAAGTAGGTGGATCTTTGAAGAACCTTTGAGAAATACTGCTGTTAAAATGTAAGAAATTTATTTTGATAGCTATCTAAAGGGAGTTGGGGTGATCAATAACAAGTTAAAATTATATATGTCTATATATTTGTATATATATATGTGTATATATATATTTATATATATATATATACTATATATATATTGTATATATATATTTGTTCATTTTATTTTGTATTGGTTTCTTGGGTTTTTTTCCAGGTTTTATTTTAGATTCAGGGGTACATGTGCAGGGTTGTTCCTGGTATATTGCATGATGCTGAGGTTTGGGGTATGAATGATCCCATCACCCAGGCCCTGAGCACACTACCAACAGTTAGTTTTTCAATCTTCCCTTGGTCTCTTCCTCCCCTCTCTAATACTTCTCAGTGTTTATTGTTGCCATCCTTAGATCCATGATTACTCATTGTTTAGCTCCCACTTCTAAGTGAGAATATGTGGTATGTGGTTTTCTGTTCCTCTGTTAATATGCTTAGAATAATGGCCTCCAGCTCCATTTATGTTGCTATAAAGGACATGATATTTTTATGACTACATAGTATTCCATGGTATATATGTACCACTGTTTCTTTATCCAATAAACTGTTGATGGGTACCTAGGCTAATTCCATGTCCTTGCTATTTTGAAAAGTGCCATGATGAACATACAACTGCATCTTTTTGGTAGAATGATTTATTTTCTTTTGACTATATACCTAGGGATGAGATTTCTGGGTTGAATGGTAGTTTTGTTTTAGTTTCTTTGAGAAATCTCCACATTGTTTTCCAAAGTGGCTGAACAAATTTACATTCCCACCAACACAGTATTAGCATTCCCTTTTCTCTGCAGCCTCACCAGCATCTGTGTTTTTTTCACCTTTTAATAATAGCAATTTAGACTGGTGTCAGGTGGTATCTTATTGCTCTTTTGATTTGTATTTTTCTGATGATTAGTGATGTAGAACATTTTTTCAGGTTTGTTGCCTCCTTTTATGTGTTCTTTTGAGAAGTATCTGTTCATATGTTTGATGTGTTTGGGCCAGGTTTTTTGTTTTTTGTTTTTTTTTACAGAGTGTTGCTCTGTCACCTAGGCTGGAGTGCAATGGTGCAATCTCAGCTCACAGCAACCTCTGCTGCCCGGGTTCAAGAGATTCTCCTGCTTCAGCCTCCTGAGTAGCTGGGATTACAGGCACGAGCCACCACGCTGGGCTGATTTTTGTATTTTTAGTAGAGACAGGGTTTCAGCATCTTGGCTAGGCTGGTCTTGAACTCCTGACCTCGTGATCCACCTGTCTTGGCCTCCCAAAGGGCTGGGATTACAGGTATGCATCACTGCGCCTGGCCTGGCACAGTTTTTAATGAGATTATTTGTTCGTTATTTGTTGGATACTCTAAGTTCTTTATAGGTTCTGAATATTAGACCTCTGTGTGATGCATAGATTGTGAATATTTTCTCTGATCCTTTAGGTTGTATCTTTACTCTATTGATGGTTATTTTTGCTGTGCAGAAGCTGTTTAGTTTAATTAGATCTTACTTGTTAATTTTTGTTTTTGATTCAATTGCGTTTGAGGACTTAGTCATAAACCCTTTCCCAAGGCCGATGTCCAGAATAGTGTTTCCTAGGTTTTCTTCAAGAATTCTAATAGTTTGAGGCCTTGCATTTAAATCTTTAATCCATGGTGAGTTAATTTTTTGTATATGGTGGAAGGTAGGAGTCCAGTTTCCTTCTTCTATATATCACTGGCCAGCTATCCAAGCACCATTTATTTAATAGGGAATCCTTTCTCCATTGCTTATTTTTGTTGACATTGCTGAATATCAGAATGGCTGTAGGTTTGAAGCTTTTTTTCTGGGTTCTGTATTGTGTTCCATTCGTCTATGTGTTAGTTTTTGTATCACTACCATGCTGTTTTGGTTACTATAGCCTTATAGTGTAGTTTGAATTTGGCCTTTGGGTTTGGCTTTGTTCTTTTTGCTTAATATTGCTTTGGCTTTCCAGTTGTTTTTCTGTTCCATGTGAATTTTAGTTGGAATTTTAGTTCCATGTGAACTTTTTTTTTTCAATTCTGCAAAAAATTACATTGTTAGTTTGATAGGAATCGCACTGAATCTGTAGGATGCTTTGGACAATATGGCCATGTTAATGATATCAATTCTTCTGAGCCATAAACGTGGAATGTTTTTCCATTGGTTTGTCATATATGATTTATGCTGTATGCTTAGGTTTTTTCATTTGTTTGTTCGTTTGTTTGTTTGTTTGTTTTTTGGTGGCCAGTGTAAACGGGATTATATTCTGGATTTGGTTCTCAGCTTGAATGTTATTGGTGTATAGAAATGGTACTGATTTTTGTGCATTGACTTTGTATTCTGAAACTTTACTGAAATAAAAATATTATATTTTAGTATGATCACTTTGATATCACTCTATGAAGTAAAGGGAATAGACAGATTGGAGGGAAACAATTGACTCCAAGTTCAGAGAGAGACATGTGGAAGGTCTGAGCTAAGGTAGTTATGTGGTGAGAAAGACTTACATGCTTTAAAATTTAAGAAGCATAATTAAGGTGACTTAAGGACTGTTAAGTTACGAGAGGTCAGAAAATGAAAGTGTGAGATTTGGACTTTGTTTCTTGTTTAATTTTTGTGGATGCTGGTTATGTTCCCTAAAATAGGGAAGGCAGAAATTTTGATACTTTTTATTGGGGTTAGAGATGGAATAGGAGTACTTTACATTTGAGGACTCTGAATATCTGAGGATGGTTAGAAGGCAATTTCATATACCAGTTTGGGAGGTAAGACGGAGAAATGAGTTGTTATATACATTTTGAAGATATTTATATTGAGAGAGTACCAGAAACGACTGAAATTAATTAGGTGATCCAGCAAAATTGCAAAGAAAGGGAAGGAGAATGGACAAAAACATGTTAGAGTACAATAGTATTTAAAATGGTCATAAAAGCAGAACTAGTGAATATTGTCATGCTAAATATATATCTAACCACAAAATAAACCACACTAAGACAATATTCTGTAGTAGGTTTTGTTTGTCCAGTTTTGGACAATCTGGAAACTAGTCTCTGTGTCTAGATAATGATTTACAGCAGCATTATCAGCCATTATTGTGTATCATAATAACTTACAGAGCTTTGAAGAGATACACATTCTTGGACCTCATCTCTGGAAACTTTTAATCAGAAGATTTTTGATACACAGCCAGGTTTGCAAATCACAATTTTATACTTACCAAGGCAATTTCACATGGAGTTAAAAATTACAGCTTTAACTTATAATGACTTATATTGTACTATAAATATATATACTGCCATTTCATTATTTTAATCTTTTTACATGAATTATTTATAATTAAGTGTCCCAAGTATTTACATGTTGCTTCTGAAATCCAATTCAAACATTTTATACTTATGATAAACTTAAAAAAGAAACTTCTAAGAAATACATTTTATTTTCTTTCTGTTTTGATTTAATACTTTTAAATGTTTAATGCTTTATAGCTCAAGGTAAATACTTAATATTTCAGGGTGAATATTAGAGAAAGAAAAAGAGAGAGAAAGATATGTAAATATATAGGAAAATTGGATTACCATTCTTTATGCATATGTTTCATATTATATGTTAGTTATACTCAAGGGGCATTTTTTATTCAGAAATCCACTAGGTGGCATTATAAACTATAATGTTTTAATAATGCATTGATTAAACACTTAATAAAATTGTGTTATAAAGCACCTGTTCATAATTTCTTTCAAATAATCTCAACTACATTTTCTACCTTTATGTTAGATAGCAATAATTGAAGGCTTTTGTTAAAATTAGGACTTATCAAAACTTTTATTGAAAATCTATAAATTTGCTGGAATATGTATACAATACTGAAGAACGCAGTTTAGGGAACATTCTTATAATGTTATATCCTTATTCTCCCGAGATACATTTAAATTCTCATAGGCTTTATATTTCAAAATCCCACCTGTTTTTAATGAATATTATCTGAAAAAGGAAAAAAAAAACAATGAAAATAGCTTAGATAGCAAAATGTTGAGAACATTTATTAATGAAATTTGGCATGTTTAACTTGAGGCTAATCTGATCCAGGAATTTTTTTTCTCATTTCTACTTAAAATTGTTAGACATTCAGACTCTGTCTGCTAAAAACCATAATATTAAACTTTTGAGTCACCTGAGGAGTCATTTTAATCAGACATCCAATTGAAATAATTTCTTGTTCCTTATATAATTGAATTTTGGTTTAGGATTTTCATAGAAAAATTAGTTGTGTAATGCTCTCTCAATGTGGGTAATGAATGTGAAGCTTGTTGGAAATTACTAGAAAAAGAGAGGAGAGAACCTTTGGAAGACAGACTAAATATAAAGTGGATAGAAAAGTAGGAATCTATATTTGTGAAATATGGCCTTTCAAAAAATAATGAAAGCTGTGGAAGTACACTTCTGTGACTTGAAATTTCATTTCTGCATCTCTGAGGGAGGCGGGAATTGAAAAGAGAAGGACAAATCAAGTGCCAGCTACATTTGCTGGCAAGAATTTCATGTAAAAAGAGCTGAATTGAAATCAGCTAGTGTATTGGGGAAGTGGTTTTAGAAATGCCACAAGGTATATACAAAAATGTTTTACTTAGTTATACCAAACTATGTAATTTATGAATGCTACTTAATTTTTTCTTGTTTCATATGGTCAGGAAATTTTTACATATTGATTAAGGAAAAGAGTAGAAGGCTGATATTAATCATATGTTTAAAGCAATGCCTTCATGGAGTAAAATTAATTAACGTACTCCCAGTTTAATAGTACTCTTCTGTACCCAAGCATAACATGCAAAATTTTAAAAGAGTATTGGGATGTGTGGATGAATAATAGATAATAATATTTGTTTTGCTAAGAAATGTGATAGAAGAGAGAGATGATAATTGGGTAAACATGGTTTAAAAATAAGTAGTAGTATACTCAGGAGATTTACTTAATGGTATAAAATAGGAAATGCCATGCATTTGTGTTCCTCAATGATGGAGTAAATCCATTTCAATTCAGATAAAATATAAATGTTAATGAAAATATGCTGAAAGGGAGCAAAAGGAAACAGAGGGTAAAAATGAAACTGCAAAGACAATTTGAAGAAAATTAAACATAGAAAAGAAAAATATTGCACTATCAAGTGAACAGAAGGACAGAAATCACTCCCTCAAAAAGAAAAAGAATCACAAAATAAGAAATGAATGCATTTTCCCATATGTATTAGCTAGAATATAAATCTGGTTTTTAGGTATATATTTAAGACACAGCAGTTTCTGCAACTAAATTTCTTTATGAACACCATCACAGCCACCTGATCTGCTCTTCCATCAGTGCCTCTGTCTTGGCTAACTGATACAGTTCATATGCTCAGCCCAAAACACTTGATTTATTCCTTAACTACGTTTTTTCCACACCACACATTTACTCTGCCTGTAATGCTAGATTTCGTCTTCAAGTTATATTTATAATTCAGTCACATTGAGAGGTGAAGCCAGCTAAGCTTCTGGGTCAGGTGGGGACTTGGAGAACTTTTGTATCTAGCTAAAGGATTGTAAACACACCAATCAGCACTCTTTAAAATGGGTCAATCGGCAGGATGTGGGTGGGGCCAAAGGAGGGAATAAAAGCTGGCAACCCGAGCCAGCAGCGGCAACCTGCTCAGGTCCCCTTCCATGCTGTGGAAGCTTTGTTCTTTCACTCTTCACAATAAATCTTGCTGCTACTCACTCTTTGGGTCCACACCACCTTTAAGAGCTGCAACACCACAAAGGTCTGTGGCTTCATTCTTGAAGTCAGCAAGACCAGGAACCCACTGGAAGGAAGAAACTCCAGACACATCTGAACATCTGAAGGAACAAAATCCGGACACACCATCTTTAAGAGCTGTAACACTCACCGTAATGGTCCACGGCTTCATTCTTGAAGTCAGCGAGACCAAGAACCCACTGGAAGGAATAAATTCTGGGCACATTTTGGTGACCCAGATGGGACTATCACCAATCATTGAGTACCATTGGACCCCTTTCACTTGCTATTCTGTCCTATTTTTCCTAAGAATTAGGGGACTAAATAGCAGCCACCTGTCAGCCAGTTAAAAGTGACTAGCATGGTCGCTGGATTAAAGACACAGGTGTCAGGCTTTCTGGGAAAGGGCTCCCTAACGACCCCTGACTCTTTGGACTTGGGAGTGTTGGTTTGCCTGAAACCAGCTTCCGCTTTTCCTGTACTTCTGGGCTGAGCTGAGGGTCCACAGAGAGGAAAGCCACTCAGCTCTGGAGTCCCGACAACAAGTTGGTTGACCCTGTGGCCATGAGTGGAACTCTCAAAGTCATGTAACCCAAGCGAGATTTGCCCTTCTATCCTATCTATCCTGACCCTTGCCTCCTGGGTCCTAATGCCTGTCAGACAAACTTCCTCTTGCCTCTCTTCTCCAAGGCTAGTACCACTTCTAAAAGCCACTCCCTGTCTCTGGTGCTTTTCTAGTTTCTCTTATAATAGTGATTTCTACTATAAACTTAAGGACTCCATTCCCTTCTTTAGTCACCTGGGCTCACTAATCAGAAAGACATGATTTTTGCCCAAAGCCCTGTTGGTGGGGCTATATCTTAACTGGAATTTTAGGATCCCTCCTCACACTAGCAGGCCCAACAAGGCTATTCCTGAAGCTAGGATATGGGGAGCTTCAGAATGATATCCTTCCTATTCAAGTGAGGACAAAAGGCTCCATTCTTCCAACCCTGGAGATCCCTTCCCTTCCTCAGGGTATGGCACCTCCGCTTCATTTTTTGGGCATAACATCTTTATAGGACAGGGGTAAAGTCTCAATACTAACAGGAGAATGTTTACAACTCTAACAGGTTTTCGAGAATGCATCAGTAAGTGCCACGAAATCCAATTTTTCTGGGTCCTCTTTGTGGTCTAGGGGAACAGGCAAGGGTGCAAGTTTTCGAGAATGCATCGGTAAGGGCCACTAAATCCAACATTCCTCAGTCCTTGTGGTCTAGGAGGAAAACTAGTGTTTCTGCTGCTGCGTCAGTGAGTGCAACTATTCCAGTCAGCAGGGTCCAAGGACCGTTGCAGGTTCCTGGGCAAGAGGAGTTTCTGCTGCTGCATTGGTGAGTGCAACTATTCCTATCAGCAGGGTCCAGGGACTGATGCGTGTTCCGGGGGGGGGGGGGGGCGGCGGGGAACAAACAAACCAAAACCATGGGTGGTTTTGTCTTTAAGATGGGAAACACTCGGTCACCAACAGGATCACCCTTGAAATGCATCCTAAGCCATTGGGACCAATTTGACCTGAAAACCCTGAAAAAGAGGTGGCTCATTTTTTTCTGTACTATGGCTTGGCCCCGATATTTCTCTGATGGGGAAAAATGGCCACCTGAGGGAAGTATATAAATTACAATACTATCTTGCAGCTTGACCTTTTCTGTAAGAAGGAAGGCAAATGGAGTGAAATACCTTATGTCCAAGCTTTCTTTTCATTGAAGGAGAATCCACAACTATGCAAAGCTTGTAATTTACATCCCACAGGAGGACGTCTCAACTTACCTCCAGATCCTAGCCCCCCTATAGCTCCTCTTCCTATTAATGATAAACCTCCTCTAATCTCCCCTGCCCAGAGGGAAACAAGCAAAGAAATCTCCAAAGGACCTCCAAAACCCCTGGGCTATCGGTTATGTCCCATTCAAGCTATAGGGGGAAGGGAATTTGGCCCAACCCAGGTACATGTTCTGTTCTCCCTCTCTGATTTAAAGCAGACCAAGGCAGACCTGGGGAAGTTTTCAGATGATCCTGATAGGTACATAGATGTTCTACAGGGTCTAGGGCAAACCTTTGACCTCACTTGGAGAGATGTCATGCTATTAGATCAAACCCTGGCCTTTAATAAAAAGAATGCATCTTTAGCTGCAGCCCAAGAGTTTGGAGATACCTGGTATCTTAGTCAAGAAAATGATAGAATGACAGCTGAAGAAAGGGACAAATTCCCTACCAGTCAGCAAGCTGTCCCCAGTATGGATCCCCATTGGGACCTCAACTCAGATCATGGGGACTGGAGTCACAAACATCTGTTGACTTGTGCAGAATTAGGAAAAAGCCCATGAATTATTCAATGATGTCCACCATAACTGAGGGAAAGGAAGAAAATCCTTCTGCCTTTCTCCAGCTGCTATAGGAGGCCTTAAGAAAATATACTCCCCTGTCACCCGAATCACTTGAGGGTCAATTGATTCTAAAAGATAAGTTTACTACCCAATCAGCCACTGATATCAGGAGAAAGCTTCACAAGTGAGCCCTGGGCCCTTAACAAAATCTGGAGGCACTATTAAACCTGGCAACCTTGGTGTTCTATAATAGGGACCAAGAGGAACAGGCACAAAAGGAAAAGCAAGATCAGAGAAAGGCCTTAGTCATGGCCCTCAGACAAACAAATCTTGGTGGTTCAGAGAGGACAGAAAATGGAGCAGGCCAATCACCCAGTAGGGCTTGTTATCAGTGTGGTTTGCAAGGACACTTTAAAAAAGATTGTCCAAAGAGAAACAAGCTGTCCCCTTGCCCATGTCCACTATGCCAAGGCAATCACTGGAAGGCACACTGCCCTAGAGAACAAAGGATCTCTGGGCCAGAAGCCCCCAACCAGATGACCCAACAACAGGACTGAGGGTGCCTGGGGCAAGTGCCAGCTCATGTCATCACCCTCACTGAGCCCCGGGTATGTATAATCATTGAGGGAGAGGAAATTTACTTCCTCCTGGACACTCGCATGGCTTTCTCAGTGTTAATCTCCTGTCCCAGACAGCTGTCCTCAAGGTCCATTACCATCTGAAGAATCCTGGGACAGTCTGGAACCAGGTATTTCTCCCACCTCCTAAGTTGTAACTTGGAGACTTTGCTACAGATAGTGAGTATGCTTATCTAATCCTACATGTCCATGCTGCAATATGGGGAAAAAAAGGACTTCCTAACCTCTGGGTGAACCCCCATTAAATATCACAAGAAAACCATGGAGTTATTGCACACAGTGCAAAAACCCAAGGAGGTGGCAGTCTTACACTGCCAAAGCCATGAAAAAGGGGAAGGAGAGGGGAAAACAGCAGCATAAGCAGCTGGCAGAGTCAGGGAAAGACCAGCAGAAAGGAAAGAGAGAAAGAGACAGAAAGTCAAAGAGAGAGAGAGAGGAAGAGACACAGACAAAGAAGGAGTCAGAAAGATGGAGAAAGGAAGAGACAGAGAGGCAGAAAGTCAAAGAGAGAAGGAAAGAGAGGAAGAGACAGACAAAGAGGCAGTCAGAGAGAAAGAAAGACAAAAGGAAAGAGAGAGAGAGAGGAAGAGACAGACAAAGAAGGAGTCAAAGAGAGAGAAAGAGTGAGATAGAGGTAGTAAAGAAAAAAACAGTGTGTCCTATTCCTTTAAAAGCCAGGGTGAATTTAAAACCTATAATTGATAACTGAAGGTCTTCTCCATAACCCTATAACACTCCAATACCACCTTGTTGTCAGGGTAAACAAGGGCATAGCCCAAAAGCACTGAGGCCACTGACAACCCATAGCCTTCCTATCAAAAACACTTAACCCAGCAGGTTTCCTAACAGGGGATCTAAATCTTAATTAATTACCATACAAAGTCTGATCAGACATAGGAGGAACTCCCTTCAGGACAAGATGATAGATGGTTGCTCCTAGGCAATTAAGGGAAAAATACACAATGAGTATTCAGTAAGTGATAAGGAAACTCTTGTAGAAGCAGTTAGGAAAATTGCCTAATAATTGGCCTGCTCAAACATGTGAGCTGTTTGCACTCAGCCAAACATTAAAGTACTTACAGAATCAGGAAGGAGCCATCTATACCAATTCTAAGTTAATAAGGACTGAGCAAGTTTTATTAATAGCAAAGAAAAATTAAAATCCCAAACTTACAAGGTTTTCAACAAAAGTAAAGTTTTCTAAAAGTTAACAGTGTAACGTGTATTATCCTACCACCACAAACTCTCAAAGGATTTCTCAGACAGTTTGCAAGAAATAATGAAATCTGTCCTTACTCTACAATCCCAAATAGCCTCTTTGGCAGCAGTGACTCTCCAAAACCGCCAAGGCCTAGACCTCCTCACTGCTGAGAAATGAGGACTCTGCACCTTCTTAGGGGAAGAGTGTTGTTTTTACACTAACCAGTCAGGGATAGTACGAGATGCTGCCTGGCATTTACAGGAAAAGGCTTCTGAAATCAGACAATGCCTTTCAAACTCATACCAACTTCTGGAGTTGGGCAACATGACTTCTCCCCTTTCTAGGTCCTGTGACGGCCATCTTACTATTACTTGCCTTCAGGACCTGTATTTTTAACCTCCTTGTCAAATTTGTTTCCTCTAGGATTGAGGCCATCAAGTTACAGATGGTCTTACAAATGGAACCCCAATGAGCTCATCTAACAACTTCTACCAAGGACCCCTGGAGTGGCCTGCTGGCCCTTTCACTGGCCTAAAGAGTTCCCCTCTGGAGGACTCTACAACCGCAGGGCCCCTCCTTCACCTCATCCAGCAGGAAGTAGCTAGAGCAGTCATCGCCCAATTCTCAACCACAGTTGGGGTGTCCTGTTTGGAGGGGGAATTGAGAGGTGAAGCCAGCTGAGCTTCTGGGTCAGGTGGGGACTTGGAGAACTTTGTATTTAGCTAAAGGATTGTAAAAGCACCAATCAGCACTCTGTAAAAATGCACCAATCAGCGCTCCGTAATATGGACCAATCAGCAGGATGTGGGCAGGGCCCAAGGAGGGAATAAAAGCTGGCCATTCGAGCCAGCAGCGGCAACCTGCTTGGGTCCCCTTCCATGCTGTGGAAGCTTTGTTCTTTTGCTTCTCACAATAAATCTTGCTGCTATTCACTCTTTGTGTCCATACCACCTTTAAGAGCTGTAACACTCACCACAAAGGTCTGCAGCTTCATTCTTGAAGTCAGTGAGACCAGGAACCCACTGGAAGGAAGAAACTCCTGACATATCTGAACATCTGAGGGAACAAACTCTGGACACACCATCTTTAAGAGCTGTAACACTCATTGCGAAGGTCCTCAGCTTCATTCTTGAAGGCAGCAAGACCAAGAACCCACTGGAAGGAATACGTTCTGGACACAACATCTTATTACTTCTGATGCAATCACCATGATTTCAGTGGACAATATGTCTCATGGGGATTACAGTTTTATCCTCCTCACAATATTCTTGTTTTCACTATTGCCACCTCCCCAATACACAACACAGCAGCTTGATTTAAACTGATAATACCTCCTCTGAACACTCCACTGTCTTCCTGTCTCATACAAAATGAAAACCAAAGTCATTTTAATGGCCTCAAAATTACTCAATCTTCCTCCCTTCACACACTGAAACACATAACTATGACCCTATCTCCTAATATTATGCTTCTCATTTTAATAAAATGAACAAACTTTTGATAACACTTACCAGAAGAAAAAAAAACAGAAAATAAATAAAGAAAATGAATGTAATCAGAATACAAGCAATATTAAGATTTATTATTGAAGTATATAGTCAACTTTATGACAACCAATTTGAAAACTTAAAGGAAATGGATAAATCTCTCATAAAATTAAATGTATTAAAACTGGCTTAAGATTTCTGGTTTTGGGGCTGACATGTAAGAAACTTGGAAGTCACCACTCCACCCTAAGAACAAGAAATAAGCTGAATAAACTGAAAAATTAGCAATTCTTCTTACATCCATTAGAGAAATAAAGTCACATGGCAAACTACTGCCCTCAGAATTAAAGAGACAGAAAGATGGGTACAGAGAATCACTACATACTGAAACAGAAACCCACAAGCAAACACTTCCCTACGAATTAGTAACAGGAGGAAAACCTGAACTGTAATTGACAAATGGCTTAAAGCTCAGTATAGTTGAGTCTGAGAGTTAAAAACTCTGGGGAGTGGCAGACACCTCTGAGATTTACCTCTTGGATATCTTCAGTGTTCACAGTAAATACATAAGAAAAATTCCCTTAGGATTTCAGTAGGTGGAGGAAAAAATAACCATTTTGAAATACTCCATAGCATCTGTTCTTCTTAACAAGACCCGTCCTCAAGAAAAACCATTTTACCTTAGCCTAACCTCTTGGAATTTCATCAGTACCTAACCAACCAGAGAGAAAGTTAATGTCGAACTTTAGATTCCTCTAACCTTCGATGTGGGGGAGAAATACTCAATTTCATCTTTTTTCACCCATCCTGTTTCTCCAAAGGTATTGGGGGAGGACTGAGAGGCAGTTGTAACATTCACATCTCAGAGACACAAACTCGTTAAAACAGAGACCTAATCATAAGGCCAGAAAATGCTTCCCCTTACCCCATACCTTACCACCATATAACTATAGATCTATTACAGAGTTCCTTTTACCCAGTTTGTCATAACCAATTTTTAACTAAAAATTACAAGGCATACTAAAAGAAAAAAAAATACCCGGTTTGAAGAGACAGAGTTAGCATTAGAACCAGACTCAAGCATGATAAGGATTTTGAAATTCTCAGATCATGAATTTTAGCAACTATAACTAGTATGCTAAGAGTCTAATTGAAAAGATAGCATGAAAAAATAGATGGGTTATGTAAGCAGAGAGAAAAATTTTATGAAGGAATCAAAAGGAAATGGTGGGATCAAAACCATTGTATCAGAAATGAAGAAAGTCTTTGATGGGCTCATTAATAAACTGGACACAGCTGAAGAAAGAATCTCTGAATTTGAGGATACATCTGTAGAAATTTCTAAAACTGCAAACAAAAAGAAGACAAAAAGACTGAAAAAATAGAACAGAATATCCAAGAACTGTAGAACAACTACAAAAGTGTGACTATGTATACAGAGGATATCAGAAGAAGAGGAAAGAATCATAAGCAATATTTGAAGCAATAATGAATAAGAATTTCCCCCAAATTAATGTTAGACATGAAGCAATAGATCCAGGAAACTCAGAAAAACACCAAGCAGATTAAACACCAAAAATAAAATTTTATTTGTAGGTATATTATATTCACAGTGCAGCAAATGAAAAATAAGGAAAACATCTTGAAAGAAGCCATAAGAAAAAGAAAAAAACAACAAATAGAGGTGTAAAGATAAGCATTACAATTGCTTCTCATCAGAAACTATTCCAGCAAGGGATCGAAGTGTAATATTTAAGGGTTGTGAGAAAACATAAACAATGACCTCTAATCTGGAATTCCATACCATGTGAAATTATTCTTAAAAAGTGAAGAGGAAATAGACTTTCTTATTTCAACAAAAATTGAGAAAATTTCTAGCCACAGACTTTCATTGCAAGAAATGTTAAAAGAAGTTCTTCTTAAAGAAGGAAAATAAAATAGTTTATAAACTCTGATAAACATTAAAAAATGATGTAGAAACATAAGTTAAAATAAAACAAAAGCTTTTATTTTTCTTCTTCTTTATTGATCTAGCACGATTTGTTCAAAATTAAGAATAGCAATAATATATTTGATTATATATTATATAAGTATGTACATATTATATATATGTGGAAAAATTACAGCAATTATACAAAGGATAGGATTAATATATTATTATTATTTTATCATTATGCAGTACTTCCCCAACCTGCAAAGCGGTGTAGTGTTATTGAAAAGTGGATTTGGATTATTCCAAATATGTATTGCAAATTGTAAGGCAACCATAAAAAGGTGAAAGAAAGTACGACTGTCAAAAAAAGTTTTAAAAAGTCCAGAAATGTGAGAAAATAAACCATATGAAATATTCAATTAAAACTACAAAGCGTAGAAAAAGAGTGGAAGACAAAAAAGGAACAAAGAAAAAAGGCAATAAAAGAAAACAGTAACAAGTATTATAGATATTAATCCAATTATATAAATAATTACCATAAAAGTTTAAGTATACCAATTAAAAAAAAGACACTGAGAGTAAATCAGAAAGCAAGAGTAAACTCTTCGTTTTTAAAATAAGAAATGCATTTTAAGTATAAAATGACACAGATTAAAAGTAAATGTATGAAGAAACAGATACCACACTAATAGTAATCAAAAGGAAGCAGAGTAACTGTACTAATTTCAGACAGAATAGCCTTCAAAGCAAGGAAATTTATCATTGATAAAGAGTGGCATTACATAATGATAAAGGAGTTAATTCTCCAAAAGACATAACAATCCTTAATGTTTATGCACCTAACAATAAAACTTTAAAATATGTGAGGCAAAATCTATTAGAACTGCAAGAAGAAAAAATCATTATTATACTTGAAGAGTTCAATATCCCTCTATCACAAAATGACAGACCTAGCAGACAAAAAATCAATAAGGACAGAGCTGACCTCAGAAGCAATATCAATAAACTGCATATAACTGAAATTATAGTACATATAGTACTTGCAGTAGTTGATAAAACTACTTTATTCAAGAACAGTAGAATATGCATTTTTCTCAAGCTCATATAGAACATTCACGAAGACAGACTACATTAT
Organism: Homo sapiens; assembly: GCF_000001405.40. Lineage (NCBI taxonomy): Eukaryota > Metazoa > Chordata > Mammalia > Primates > Hominidae > Homo > Homo sapiens. Next base: position 84,386,627 of record NC_000012.12, on the reverse strand, counting down.
GTTTTATAAAGCATACCTTACTAAATTTAAAAGAATAGAAATGATACAATGTCCTCTCTCAGACCACAGTGGAATGAACTAGAAATTAATAATAGAAAGATACATGAAAAATCCCAAAGTATGTGGAAATTAAACAATACATTTTTAAATAATACATGAGATAAAGACAAAAATCCAAGAAGAAATTAAAGGTATTTTGAACTAAATAATAAAGCAAAAATTATCAAAATGTGCACAATGGAACAAAAGCAATGCTTAGAGGGAAATCTATAGCATTGAATGCATATATTAGAAAGGAGAAAAGAGTTAAAATCACTAATCTAAGCCTCTACCTTAGAAAACAAAAAATAACTTTAAATTAAATTTAAAGTAAGGAGAAGGAAAAATCATAAATATTAGAGCAAAAATCAATAAAATTAAAAATAAATCAATAGTTTAAAAAACTAAAATATAGGTTTCTGAAAAAATAAAATAGATAAATCAGGCTAAGGAAAAATAGAATAGATACAAATTGCTAGAATAGATACAAATAGATCAAAAATAAAAGAGAGGACATCATTACAAATCTCATAGGCATTAAAAAGACAGTAAAAGAATACTATGAACTAATCTATGACCACACACTTGATAACCTAAATGAAATAGAAAAATTTCTTAAAAGACACAATCTGCCAAAACTCGCAGGAGAAAAAACAATTTGAATAAGCTATTTCTATTAAAGAAATTGAATCAATAATTAGTAGTCTTCCAAAATGGAAAGTACAAGAGCCAGTTGAGTCTACTAATGAATCTACTCAACATTTAAGGAAGAAATTGTATTAACTTTTTACAATCTCTTTGAGAAGATAGATGCAGAGGAAATATTTTCTAACCCCATTTTATGTTGCCAGCATCACTGTAACACCAAATTAGATAAAAGTATTATAAGAGAAGAAAACTATAAATGAATATCTCTCATAAACATAGGACTAATAAGCCTTAATAAAATATTAGCAAATCAAATTAAACAACATATAAAAAATCTTACATCATGACCAAATGGGATTTATCTAAGGTATGAAAGTCTGCTTTGATATTTGAAGTCAATTAATGTAGTCAATCACATCAACAGGCTAAAGTAGAGACACCACATAATCATATAAGTAAATACAGAAAAAACTTTATGAAAAAGTTTCATGATAAATAATCTCAGCAAACTAGGAATATAGGGAAACTTCCTCAATTTGATAAAGAATGTCTACAAAAAAACTTGCAGCTAACATCATACTTAATGGTAAGAAAGAAAAAGCTTTCCAAGTAAGATCAGGAAAAAGGCAATTCTATTTATTCTCATCACGTCTTTTCAACATTGTATTGACAGTCCTAGGGAACTACAAATTAAAACAACGAGATGCTATTATGCATCTTTTAGAATAGCTGAAATCCAAAACACTGACAAAACTAAATGCTGGAAAGGACGTGGAGCAAAGGAACTCTCAATCATTTCTAATTGCAAATGGCAGGGCTACTTTGGGAGATGGTTTGGCAGCTTGTTACACATCTAAATATTCTCTGGCCATATGATGCAGCATTCATTCTTCTTGCTGTTTATCAAAACGATTTGAAAAATTTTGTTCACACAATCTGCACACAGAGATTTATAGCAGCTTCATTCATGATTGTTCAAACTTCAGAGTAACCAAAATGTCTTTCCGTAGGTGAGTGGACAAATAAACTCTGCATACCTACATAATGGAATACTACTCAATGTCAAAAACAAAATAAGAAGAAATGGAAAAACAGGGAGAAAACTTAAATGCATATTACTAAGTGAATGTCAACCTGAAAAGGCTGTATGTGTGTGTATACTTATTGGATGATTCCAAATGTATGACATTCTGGAAAAGGCAATACTATGGTAATAATAAAAAGATCAGTGATTGCCAAGGTTTTGTGAGGAGGGAGAGAGGGTGGAGGACAGAGGATTTTTAAAGCAGTGAAACTACTCTCTATGGCATCATCTCAGTGGGTACAGGTTATTATATATTTGTCAAAACCCTGAGAGTGTACAACACCAAGAGTGAACTCTAAGTTAAACCACAAACTTTCGGTGACAATAATGCCTCAGTGTAGGTACATTGTCTGTAAAAAATATAATTTTGAAGAAGGTCCATAATAGTGGACCATAAACTAGACCATAATAGAGACAAAATCTATCAAAGCCTCTGAGATACAGCCAATGTGGTGCTAAGAGGAATGTTCATAGTATTAAATGCCAACATCAAAAAGCCTGAAAGAGCACAAATGGACAATCTAAGCTCACACCTCAAGGAAATAGAGAAATGAGACCAAACTAAACCCAAACCCAACAAAATAAAAGAAATAACAGAGATCAGAGCAGAACCAAATAAAATTAAAACAAACAAGCAAACAAAATACAAAAGATAAATGAAATAAAAGCTGGTTCTTTGAAAAGATAAACAAAATCAATAGAAAATTGCAAGTTTAACCAAGAAAGGAAGATAAAAGATCAAAGTAAGCTCAATTAGAAATGAAACTGGAGATATTACAATCGATACCACAGAAATAAAAAAGATTATTCAGGGCTACTATAAACACCTTCATGCACACAAATTAGGTAACCTAGAGGAGATGGATAAGTTCCTGGAAATATACAACTTTCCTAGATTAAACCAGAAAGAATAGAAACTCTGACCAGACCAATAACAAGCAGTGCGATTGAAACAGTAATAAAAAAATACCAATAAAAAAATTCCAGAATCAGATGGATTCACTGCTGAATTCTATCAGACATTCAAAAAAGAATTGGTACCAATCCTACTGAAAGTGTTTCAAAAGATAGACAGAGGGAATCTTCCCTAAATCATTATATGAAGCCAGTATCACCCTAATAACAAAACCAGGAAAAGACTTAACCAAAAAAAGATAACTACAGATAAATATCACTAATGAACATAGATGCTAAACTCCTCAAGAAAATACTAGCTAATGGAATCTAACATCATATCTAAAAGAAAATCCACCATGATCAAGTAGGTTTCATATCAGAGATGCAGGGATGGATTAACATACACAAGTTAATAAATGTGAAACACCACCTAAACAGAATTAAAAATAAAAATTATATAATCATCTCAATAGATGCAGAAAAGCATCTGACAAAATCCAGCATCCCTTTCTGATTAAAACCCTCAGAAAAATCAGCATAGATGGGTCCTCCCTTAAGGTAATAAAAACCACCTTTGACAAACTCACAGCCAACATTATACTGAATGCGGGAATGTTGAAAGCATTCCCCCTGAGATCTGGAACAAGAAAAGGATGCACACTTTCACCACTTCACCATAGTACTGAAAATCCTAGCCATAGCCATCAGACAAGAGAAAGAAATCAAGGGCATCCAAATCAGTGAAGAGGAAGTCAAACTTGCTGTTTGCCAATGACGTGATTGTATACCTAGAAAACCCTAAAGATACATCCAAAAAGCTTCTATATCTAATAAACAAATTCAGTAAAGTTTCAGGATGCAAAATCAATGTACACAAATCAGTAGCACTGCTATAAACCAACAGTGACCAAGCTGGGAACTTAACCCCTTTTACAACAGCTGCAAAAACAAAAACAAAAACAAAACAATTTAGGAATGCAAAGGAAGTGAAATATTTCCACATGGAAAACTACAAAAAACTGCTGAAAGAAATCATAGGTGACACAAACAAATTGAAACACATCAGTGCTAATGGATGGGTAGAATTAATATTGTGAAGATGACCATAATGCCAAAATCAGTTTAAAAAAATCAACACAATTATCATTGAAATACCATCATCTTTCTCACAGAACTAGAAAAAGAATCCTAAAATTCATATGGAAAGAAAAAAGAGTTCACATAGCCAAAGCAAGGCTAAGCAAAAAGTATGAATATGGGAGACAGTGTGGTGATTCATCAAGGATCTAGAGCCAGAAATACCATTTGACTGAGTAATCACATTACTGGGTATATACCCAAAGGATTATAAATCATTCTTCTATAAAGACACATGCACACGTATGTTTATTGCAGCACTGTTCACAATAGCAAAGACTTGAAACCAACCCAAATGCCCTTCAATGATAGACTGGATAAAGAAAATGTGGCACATACACACCATGGAATACTATGCAGCTATAAAAAAGAATGAGTTCATGTCCTTTGCAGGGACATGGATGTAGCTGGAAACCATCATTCTCAGCAAATTAACACAAGAACAGAAAGACCAAACACTGCGTGTTCTCACTCATAGGTGGGAATTGAACAATGAGAACACATGGACATGGGGAGGAGAACATCACACACTGGGGCATGTCGGGGGGTTGGGGTAGGGGAGGGATAGCATTAGGAGAAATACCTAATGTAGATAATGAGTTAATGGGTGCAGCAAAACACCATGGCACATGTATACGTATGTAACAAACCTGCACATTCTGCACATGTAGCCCAGAACTTAAAGTATTATTATATATATATATATGGAGGCATCACATTACCTGACTTAAAACTATATTACATGGCTATTATAATCAAAAGAGCATGGTACTGGTATAAAAATAGGCACATAAACCAATGGAACAGAATACGGAACCCAAAAATAAATGCAAATAGTTATAGCCAACTGATCTTTGACAAAGCAAACAAAAACATAAGGGGGGGAAAGGACATCCTATTTAAGAAATGGTGCTGGGATAATTGATAAGCCACATGTAGAAGAATGAAACTGGATCCTTATCTCACCTTATACAAAAATCACCTTGAGATGGATCAAAGACTTAAATTGAATTCCTAAAACCAGAAAAATTCTAGAACATAGCATAAAAAAACTATTATAGACATTGGCTTAGGCTTAGAGTTTATGACCAAGAACCCAAAAGCAAATGCAACGAAAACAAAGATAAACATATTGGACTTAATTAAACTGAAAAGCTTCTGCACAGCAAAACAAAACAAAAAAAAGACCACCCACGGAGTGAGAGAAAATATTCACAAACTATGCATCTGACAAAAAAACTAATATCCAGAATCTACAAGGAACCCAAACAAGTTAGCAAGAAAAAAACAAATAATTCATTCAAAAAGTGGGCTAAGGGCATGAATAGACAATTCTTAAAAGAAGATATATATACAGCAAACAAACATATGAAAAAATGCTCAGCATCACTAATTATCAGGGAAATGCAAACCAAGACCAAAATGCAATACCACCTTAATCCTGCAAGAATGGCCATCACTTAAAAAAAAATAACAAAAAATAATAGATGTTGGCATGCATGTGGTGGAAAGGGAATACTTTTACACTGCTGGTAGGAATGTAAACTAGTACAACCCCCTATGAAAAACAGTATGGAGACTCCTTAAAGAACTAAAAGTAGAATTACCATTTGATCCAGAAATCCCACTACTGGGTATCTACCCAGAGGAAAAAAAAAAAGTCATTATTTGAAAAAGGCACTTGTGCACACATACTTATAGTACTACCATTCATAATTGCAAAAATATGGAACCAGCCGAAATGCCCATCAATCAAGTGAATAAAGAAAACGTTATATATATATATATACACATATATATGAGACTATATATAGTTGTATTCAACTAAGCCATAAAAAGGAATGAAATAATGGCATTAGCAGCCACCTGAATGTAGTTGGAGACCATTATAGTAAGTGAAGTAACTCAGGCATGGAACACCAAACATCCTAGGTCCTCACTTACAAATGGGAGCTAAGCCACGAGGATGCAAAAGAATAAGAATATATAATGGACTCTGGGGACTCTTGGGAAAGGGTGGGTCGGGGGTGAGGGATAAAAGATGACACATTGGGTACAGTGTACACTGCTCAGGTGATGGGTGCACCAAAAACTCAGAAATCACCACTAAAGAACTTATCCCTGCAATAAAACACCCCGTTACCCCCAAACTATTGAAATAATAATAATAATAATAACAGTAACGACTGGATCTATAATTTGAATATATTTATAGATCCAATCTTATTTTTACAAAATAATAAAATATTCTGTCATTAATGTATAATCTGTTCCCTTCATACCTACAAAGATTTTCATTATCTTCAGTTGTCATGAAAAATGTCCTGAAAGAGTCTTCTGCCTATTTCCTCTTGGTTTACATTTTGTCATTCATGGACATATATGTTTTAAATCTTTCATGGTATGAATGAATACGAAAGCACCAATGAAAACATTAATTCCAGGAAATGTGGTAAGTGCTTTCTGTGCATCATCGCGTAATCTTCACAATAACCATACAAGAGGTGTATTTTTTTTTACTTCTCTTTGTATGGATGAAACCTTAGTCCTACAGAGCAAATCCTAGAGTACTTGCTCAAGCCTATATTTGTACATTTATAAATGCATAATGAAATGTATAAATGCACAAAGAAGTGTTGCATCACCTTTCTATATATGTGAGAATACAATAGGGACATTTCTCATTTGATAACAAATGGACATGATAGTCAATGTTCTTCATGACAATATCAATGTCATTTGATATTTTTAGAAGTGATTCTCATTTTTATTTATATTTTATTATAAAAGTAATAAGCCTTTAAATACACATGTTATAAAGCATAATATTAAATAAACATAATAAAATTAACATTTGTGAACTCACTTTTTAACTTATAAATTTGAATATTTTCAATATTTAGCACCTATTGATGTGCTCTTTTTTAATATTCTCATCCTGCCTCTTCCACTAAATAACTATGCCAAACTTTATCATATCATTTGTGCACACTTTATCTCATTTGCATATATTTACCACTGTATTCTTTAATTTTTGTGTGTATTTGAAGTTAATGTCCATATGGTCTTCTCTCAGTATATTACAGATCTAAGATCTTTCCTCTTCTGTCTGTATAGATGTTCTTCTATTTTTTATTTCCACATAATATTCTTTGTGTGAATAGACAATAGTGTATTTATCCATTCTACTTTCAGTAGACTTTATTATTTATTTATTTTATGGTGAAATGATTAATAGAAACATTTTATTTTTCTTACAGTCAATTGTTTTCTGAGCAGCCAATATCTACCAATAGATACTATTTCTTGTCCAGCTTCTTCCCTTTGAGCCACACATCCATTAGCTATAACTTGTGAACTACAAATTATCCTATTGCAGTTGACAGTTTTACTCCTTATTTTGTTACTGCATAACAGAGATTATCATTATCTTCACCTACTTTTCTGTTGTTTTGTGTTTTGCGGAAGGTTCTACTTGACACATTGAGAGGGGATGGAAGACTGTTACCTAGTATCTGTGCCCGCTGGAACGTAAATTTTCTCAAAGTAACAGGGCATAATAGACACTGAGGGATCTTGCATGAGAGTTTCAATACCTCAGCTCAGAACTTACATATACATTCATATATTGCTGACCAGAGCTAGTCACATGACCCTGACTAACTACGTGTAACAGAGCCTGTGGGGGAACAGATAGAATACTTGCAGAGCATTACTTTATCTGCCATAATCTGTATACTCTTTTAGGTTTTCTATGTAGACAATCACATTACCTGCAAATAATGAGATATTTGTTCGTTTTTTTCAATCTTTACACAATGTATTTATTTTTCTTGTCTCACTCTATAGGCTATGCTGTTATAATACTTAAATGAGAGAGTTGTGGAACAGTGGAATATGGACAGGCACACAGGGCCTGCTAGAAAAGCGTGTATTGTTAGAAATTGCATGGTAACAGATATAAAGGTTTATTTGCCTGTTTCACTCTGGTACCAATACTGGGCAATCTGTCAGAATAATGTCAGACTGAAAAAGAAGGAGAGGAACTGTGATCCTTGAACTGTGAGTCTTCAAGAATACATACTTAGAGAAGCAGGAGTTCATTCTCTAATGTTATCAGAGACTAGGACAAAGTAGAAATATGATGTGTTTCACCCTTAGCTTCAGTCCTGTTCTGTCAGCTCGGTATCTGTAGCTGGAGGATCACCAGTCCCTCAACTTGGTAATAGGGAATGGGGGTAAGATCAAGTCTTATACATAAAGTGGCATGCTAGGAAGTTTTGCCACATTTATGTTTTTCCTACATAGAAAGCACTGATTTACCTTCTAGCATGATAATTGGCTACAAATTATCTGGTCCAGTTAGTCCTAGATAAGTTTACTCTTCCTGTTCCAGTGTGCTGCAGAGTATTTTGCTATCTTTTCAGATGTTAAAAAAGGAATAGCTTTTGCTGTAGAGTTTTGGCAGATCATTTGATTAGAACACCAGCATTTCTTTTAGATCTTTATTGTCTGTTGCTTTTTTAAAAATATTGTGAAGTAGTATTAAGTTTGATACAATGTTTTATGGCATTTAACAATATGGCTTTTAATTGTTAAATGTAGAATTACAGTCATTTATTTTATAAAATCAAACATCTTTGCATTCTTTGGATAAAATCAATTCTATCTTCTCATTTTTACACATTTCTGAGTTTAGATTTTCTTTTTTTTAATTATACTTTAAGTTCGAGGGTACATGTGCACAACGTGCTGGTTTGTTACATATGTATACATGCACCATGTTGGTGTGCTGCGCCCATTAACTCGTCATTTACATTAGGTATTTCTCCTAATGCTATCCCTCCCCCATCCCCCCACCCCATGACAGGCCCCAGTGTGTGATGTTCCCCTTCCTGTGTCCAAGTGTTCTCATTGTTCAATTCCCACCTATGAGCGAGAACATGCGGAGTTTGGTTTTTTGCCCTTGTGATAGTTTGCTGAGAATGATGGTTTCCAGCTTCATCCATGTCCCTACAAAGGACATGAACTCATCCTTTTTTATGGCTGCATAGTATTCCATGGTGTATATGTGCCACATTTTCTTAATCCAGTCTATCATTGATGGACATTTGGGTTGGTTCCAAGTCTTTGCTATTGTGAATAGTGCCGCAATAAACATCTCAAATATATTTTTATTTATTCCTCTCTTAATAGTGCATTTATTTCCTTTCTTAATAGTGGTTTCTATTGTGTTTCGAGAGAAGAGAATGTTGCATTTACAAATTAAATCTACATTCTTTGAATGTAGATTCAAGTACAGTCAACCTTTGATTGCTGGAAAATGTAAAATGGATTTTTTGAGCAGTTCATATAGAAATATGTCTTTGCTATCTACGTTGATTCTAAAGTTTTCCTATCATCAAATAATTTCTTATTTGACACAAACTTATTTTATTATTGTTTAAAATTAATAATTTAGATTGTAAATTTGACAATCATGAACAGTTCAGGTAAGAGATAATCTTACCCTATATTAAGCAAGTGTTTTCAAGTATAAAGGAGATATATGTAAATACAAGTTTGTCATAGAGGGGCATTTAGCTTGCAGATATGTCTATTTGTGGAAATAGTCATTCAGTTTTTATAGAAGAATAACACAGGCAATAACAACATTAAATCATATAATTGTTACTCTGTTTTATTTACATTTTTATTTAAGCTGAGGTTCTTAAGTCTGACATTTGGTATCCTTTTGTTTGATAAGCCTTCTGTAGCAAGGTTTTTAATTGCTAGGGTCCTCATGCTGAAACCTATGCAGAGATGTTTTAACCTGTCAATATAAAATTGTCTCTTTTTTGTGGAATAAGACCTCTCAACCTTCAGTATACACTACAAGGCCAAATATCTATGGAGAATGAGACTTAAAGCTACTTACTTATTTTTCAGTAGATGACACTCAAAGTCTGCCACACAACCAGAAAAATTGAGGCTGAAGAGTCTACATTTGTTACAGAGGCATCAAATCATAAAGACCTGTATCATGACCTCTCCTTACTATGTTGTGCCCATTCTATATGTGGTCTGTTACTGAAACTATACTCTTTTATCTCTAGTTCAAAGTCCTGACAGAGGATCCAAAAATGTTGGAATTTTGAGAGAATCCACGTCTTTTTCCATGAACCAAGTTTTAAATCAACCAAGAATGACACTAACATGATGAACATAGGTTCAGGAGGTTAACTTAAAATTATGTTGTGGTCACTTTAAATAATGTTTCCTTTTAGTAATATAATTAAAACAGTAGTCATAATGGCAATTGAAGTGCAATAAAATGAGAGTGGAATTACCATTGTGGTTGAACTGCAGATGTGTTTATATTTGATAATAAACAGAGATTTCTATAAGCCTGAATTGATTAAATGATTATAAAAATAATTTCCCATAAAATCAGTCATTTCATTTTAATCACTGTCTGTAAGCTCATTCTGGAGAAAAGCTTTTAATATATATCATCATTTCTTAGCCATTGCTTAGAAAATAAATGTAGCTCATGTATTTAAGTATTTTCAGAAAATGCAATTTCGAAGCAAATAAAAACTCATGGCTTTAGAAAAACAAAAGGGTTTGTATGACCATTTACCAAAAAATAGAAAACATAACTTTCTAAAATCAAATAACATCTATGATTTTGTGTCATCCATTCCAATTTTTAAAAAATTATCTTAAAAATATTACAGCATATTTTGGCTGATATAAAATCTCAAATCTCAAAGGTATACTTTATTCACGTTACTTTTTTGTTTGTTCAATCACCATGGCTACTCATATTCAACTCTTAACACCTGCAAGTGAATCAAAGCCAACTTTTAAGATGTTTTGGCATCTTACATCTTCATAGGGGAAAAGAGAAAGTAAAACTCTTTTTTTCCTGACCTTAAATTACAATTTACATCAATAATAGCATCAGATAGCCAAGCTATATTTTTTTCCTGGTCTATTTCAATTTCAATGATTCTTATCTTCATGAGACTCTACTTACAAAGATAAGTTGAATGTGCATATAAAGGCAAATAATTTTGCTAGTGCTTCAGGACCCATTTGCTGATTTAACTGTAATAAACTGTGGCATATCTTTTATGATTACTTACACTAGATGGCTGAGTAATGCCTCATCATATATTCCTGAACTGTTTAAGTAATCATGTCTGCTATTGTAAGCTTTATCTGAGACTAATGGACTGCAATGTGAGTTATGAGCCCTCAACTGAAGGTTTTGCTAGAATATGAGACTTAACTTTCTTGCCACAAAGGTTACATGATATGTGAACATTATAAAAATATGTGTGTATGAACACATGACTATTGGCTGATAACCTTGGCTTCTTTTCTGATTGAGTAAAGAAAAAAGAAAGCACCTCATATAGTAATAAAAAAGTTTATAAGTTTTACTCATCAATAACAGAAAACATCTTTTTTTTTGGAAAATAAATGAATTTAGTTGATTACTTAAAATCAAAAGCTTGAGAAATTTGGCATTATTTTTTAATTATATGAATATTTATTTAAACAAGTCCGGAAATACTATTCATTCATATTTTTGCATCCCTGGTTTTTAGTGCCTAAAAACTGAGAATTTTGTCAAAATTTCTATATTATTCAAAAACACATTTATTCAAGTGTGTCCCTACAGCACCTTAGGAGACTTGAAAATTTTTTAACAACTGTTAAAACCAAACTAGTGTATTTGATCAAAGGCATCTGATTCTAGTAACTATATACAAAACGAGGTAAAAAATGAATAAATAATTTTACTCTCATTAGACATAACCATTTTGATGTCTGTAGTGTTTATCAAGTCTGACCGCTTTAATGACCTTAAGGTAAAGGTTTCGACAGTGTACTGTAATTGACTAACACGCATAATAGTAGAAGAGCAAAGCAAGGGGTAGAAGTAGCATTCAAAATCGCTAAATATAATATTTTTTATCCTAAAAACAACATACTTCTTATATAGTGGGCTGCAGTTAAAGAGGATTTAGGGATATTCTCTGTTTTGAAATAAAATTGGAAAAAAAATTAGAGTGACCATTGAAAAGGTCAGGATAATGGCTTTTTTGAATTGTATATATTTTACAAAGTGGAAAGTCAGGAAGACATTAATAGTGATACAATAAATTTGTTATTGAGAATGGTCTACATAAAATTTATAACCATGAAAAATAGCATTTTTTAATGACAGATTGAATAAATGTGTTAGATGTTAAGGACATATTTATCATGCTCTAAAAAAAGTTTAATTTAAATATTTTTACATATTTACATATTTCTTTCTCAATTGAATTTTAGCATAAAACTGAATTATACGTAATATAGAGAGAAGGAATTCATTTGAGGGCAGGAGAGGTATTTTACGTTCGTGTAACTGAGGATGGAACACATTATTGTGCACTTTCCTAAGGAGACTACAAAGAATTCTCATATCACTAAGGAATGAAAAAGGGATGCTATGACAATTAACTAGTTTGCCTACCATTCAACTTCTCTAATGTTCAAAAAATTTGTCACAGAGGACTACAAACTAAAGGAAATTGAAAATATTCATCTACTTTACTTTTAAAAATTTCCACCTATGCCAAGAGTATAAAATTATTATAAATTTAGATAACTTGTTTCAGCAATAGACCTTAAAATGTGTCTCAGAAAAATAGGAGTGGTGAGAGACGGCATCCCTGTCTTGTGCCAGTTTTCAAAGGGAATGCTTCCAGTTTTTGCCCATTCAGTATGACATTGGCTGTGGGTTTGTCATAAATAGCTCTTATTATTTTGAGATACGTCCCATTAATACTTAATTTATTGAGAGTTTTTAGCATGAAGCGCTGTTGAATTTTGTCAAAGGCCTTTTCTGTATCTATTGAGATAATCATGTGATTTTTGTCTTTGGTTCTGTTTATATGCTGGATTACATTTATTGATTTGCGTATGTTGAACCAGCCTTGCATCCCAGGGATGAAGCCCTCTTGATCATGGTGGATAAGATTTTTGATGTGCTGCTGGATTCAGTTTGCCAGTATTTTATTGAGGATTTTTGCATCGATGTTCATCAGGGATATTGGTCTAAAATTCTCTTTTTTAGTTGTGTCTCTGCCCGGCTTTGGTATCAGGATGATGCTGGCCTCATAAAATGAGTTAGGGAGGATTCCCTCTTTTTCTATTGATTGGAATAGTTTCAGAAGGAATGGTACCAGCTCCTCCTTGCACTTCTGGTAGAATTCAGCTGTGAATCCATCTGGTCCTGGACTTTTTTTGGTTGGTAAGCTATTAATTATTGCCTCAATTTCAGAGCCTGTTATTCGTCTATTCAGGGATTCAACTTCTTCTTGGTTTAGTCTTGGGAGGGTGTATGTGTTGAGGAATTTATCCATTTCTTCTAGATTTTCTAGTTTATTTGCGTAGAGGTGTTTATAGTATTCTCTGATGGTAATTTGTATTTCTCTGGGATCAGTGGTGATATTCCCTTTATCATTTTTTATTGTGTCTATTTGATTCTTCTCTCTTTTCTTCTTTATAAGTCTGCTAGCAGTCTATCAATTTTGTTGATCTTTTCAAAAAACCAGATCCTGGATTCATTGATTTTTTTGAAAGGTTTTTTGTTTCTCTATCTCCTTCAGTTCTTTTCTGATCTTAGTTATTTCTTGCCTTCTGCTAGCTTTTGAATGTGTTTGCTCTTGCTTCTCTAGTTCTTTTAATTGTGATGTTAGGGTGTCAATTTTAGATCTTTCCTGCTTTCTCTTGTGGGCACTTAGTGCTATAAATTTCCCTCTACACACTGCTTTAAATGTGTCCCAGAGATTCCGGTATGTTATGTGTTTGTTCTCATTGGTTTGAAAGAACATCTTTATTTCTGCCTTCATTTCGTTATGTACCCAGTAGTCATTCAGGAGCAGGTTGTTCAGTTTCCATGTAGTTGAGCGGTTTTGAGTGAGTTTCTTAATCCTGAGTTCTAGTTTGATTGCACTGTGGTCTGAGAGACAATTTGTCATAATTTCTGTTATTTTACATTTGCTGAGGAGTGCTTTACTTCCAACTATGTGGTCAATTTTGGAATAAGTGTGATGCGGTGCTGAAAAGAATGTGTATTCTGTTGATTTGGGGTGGAGAGTTCTGTAGATGTCTATTAGGTCTGCCTGGTGCAGAACTGAGTTCCATTCCTGGATATCCTTGTTAACTTTCTGTCTCGTTGATCTGTCTAATGTTGACAGTGGGGTGTTAAAGTCTCCCATTATTATTGTGTGGGAGTCTAAGTCTCTTTGTAGGTCTCTAAGGGCTTGCTTTATGAATCTGGGTGCTCCTGTATTGGGTGCATATATATTTAGGATAGTTAGCTCTTCTTGTTGAATTGATCCCTTTACGTTTATGTAATGGCCTTCTTTGTCTCTTTTGATCTTTGTTGTTTTAAAGTCTGTTTTATCAGAGACTAGGATTGCAACTTCTGCCTTTTTTTGCTTTCCATTTGCTTGGTAGATCTTCCTCCATCCCTTTGTTTTGAGCTTATGTGTGTTGGAAGTTCTGGCCAGGGCAATCAGACAGGAGAAAGAAATAAAGGGTATTCGATTAGAAAAAGAGGAAATCAAATTGTCCCTGTTTGCAGATAACATGATTGTATATTTAGAAAACCCCATTGTCTCAGCCCAAAATCTCCTTAAGCTGATAAGCAACTTCAGCAAAGTCTCAGGATACAAAATCTATGTGCAATAATCACAAGCATTCTTATACACCAATAACAGACAAACAGAGAGCGAAATCATGAGTGAACTCCCATTCACAATTGCTTCAAAGAGAATAAAATACCTTGGAATCCAACTTACAAGGGATGTGAAGGACCTCTTCAAGGAGAACTACAAACCACTGCTCAGCAAAATAAAAGAGGACACAAACAAATGGAAGAACATTCCATGCTCATGGATAGGAAGAATCAATATCTTGAAAATGACCATACTGCCCAAGGTAATTTATAGACTCAGTGCCATCCTCATCAAGCTACCAATGACTTTCTTCACAGAATTGGAAAAAACTACTTTAAAGTTCATATGGAACCAAAAAAGAGCCCACATTGCCAAGACAATCCTAAGCCAAAAGAACAAAGCTGGAGACATCACGCTACCTGACTTCAAACTATACTACAAGGCTACAGTAACCAAGACAGCATGGTACTGGTACCAAAACAGAGATATAGACCAATGGAACAGAACAGAGCCCTCAGAAATAATACTACACATCTACAACCATCCGATCTTTGACAAACCTGACAAAAACAAGAAATGGGGAAAGGATTCCCTATTTACTAAATGGTGCTGGGAAAACTGGCTAGCCATATGTAGAAAGCTGAAACTGGATCCCTTCCTTACACCTTATACAAAAATTAATTCAAGATGGATTAAAGACTTAAATGTTAGACCTAAAACCATAAAAACCCTAGAAGAAAACCTAGGCAATACCGTTCAGGACATAGGCATGGGCAAGGACTTCATGTCTAAAACACCAATAGTAATGGCAACAAAAGCCAAAATTGACAAATGGGATCTAATTAAACTAAAGAGCTTCTGCCCAGCAAAAGAAACTATCATCAGGGTGAACAGGCAACCTACAGAATGGGAGAAAATTTTTGCAATCTACTCATCAGACAAAGGGCTATTATCCTAATCTACAAAGTACTCAAACAAATTTACAAGAAAAAAATAAAGAACCCCATCAACAAGTGGGCGAAGGATATGAACAGACAATTTGATTATTATCACTTAACAAAACACATTGCGTTAATAAAAAGATGATATATAACAGCTATAACTATCAAAAACTTGGAGTTTATCAAGTGCAAAAAAGTCATTGGCACAGAGCAATAGAAATGTGAATTTCTGTTCTTGTAATGAACTAATTTAAACTCCATATCCTTAGTTGGTTTCCTGCAGATTTTCTTTGGCACTCCTGTTCTCAAATGCAGTGATGTAGTTTTAAAATGAATGTCTGTGGAAGCTGTTGAATGTCAAAAGGCCGGCAATTGAAATTGATAGAGATCCTTTTGAAAGGGTCAAGAGTTAAAATTTCATAATGCAACTTAAAATAAAAGAGATTGACAGAAACTTATCCATCCAAATAGAAAAATACCACAAATAAAGGCCAGACAGTCAAGTCCAAAATGGACCTAAAATAATGGTCCAAAAGATAAAAAGAAAAACAATTAGATTACCTTCCAGTAAGCAAATTTTAAGATTATTAAGACAATGTGTGTTTGGAAAGACTTTAGTGAGATCTAGATTTTTCAAATTGCAAATTTCTAAGGGGAAGAGAATGATGAACATAAGGGAGATATAGTTCAAGAGGTAGCAAGTGAGAGAAGGAACCTCTTTGACTGCTTTCTTGTTCGTACTTTTCTTTAGTGGAAAAGTTCTGTCAGTAGATGGACTAGTGTAGGGCAAATTCTGTGTCACTTTTTCATTTTATATTTTTCTCCTTTTTGAAAAGAGTTGATTTTTTTTCCTCACATTTTCTCCTTTGGTATTCTACTAATTTTAGAGTCTACATAGGATGTTTCTAGATTCAGTTGGAAATTTTATTTTAGAATCAGTTAAAAAATTGGTCAAGGGAATAATTCTCAGTTTCATGTATTAGATAAATTTACATTAAATGCTAGCCAAATTAAGTAATTTGCCGGGAAGCTACATCATCAATATTAAATGGATAATACATTAAGTATAAAATAATAGTTTTATTATACTGCTTAATATTTTCATAGTTTTCTACAAAACTATGTAGAGTTTGAGGTTAGATAGCAGGTATTATGCATGTAATACAGTCTAAATTTGTGGGATTATTTATATATACTGAACATACAAAATGTGATATTTTGATATATGTGTACATTTTGAAATGACTACCACAATCAAGCTAATTAACATGTCCATCACCACAAATACTAACCTTTTTTTGTTTAGTGAGCACACTTGAGATCTACTCTCCTTACAAATTTCAAGTATGCAATACACTTGGATGATTTAAATGTTTTATTTTCTCTTTAAATAACAGCACCTCTTCTAGATGAAATTTATATGGCTCCTTGAATATAAGTTATTATATTATAAAAGCTTAATACAATTATTAACTTTAATGAAAATAATGATATCATTAAAATAGACAATACCTTTTATATAATTTTTCTCTTATTTAATGCTTAATTGAAAATAAAATAAAACAACATGCATGGATAGAATTTGATGATGATTCAACAATCTATTTATTAAGTCATTTATTATTTCAGCATGTTGTTTCAATCCTAATTGTCATATTGCTTTCCTGAATAATCTGAAGTCTCACCACTTCTAAATATTAGCAAAGATAAATTTCATCATCACTTAGATGCCCATAAAAGTTAACTGCTTTTATAGTAGAATGATTTATATTCTTTTGGGTATTATTGCAGCACTATTTACAATAGCAAAGACATGGAACCAATCCAAATGCCCATCAATGATACAATGGATAAAGAAAATGTAGTACATGTACACCGTGGAATACTATGCAGCCATAAAAAATGAGATTATATCCTTTGCAGGGACACGGATGAAGCTGAAAGCCATCATCCATAACAAACCAACACAGGAATGGAAAACCAAACACCACATGTTCTCACTCAGAAGTGGGAGTTGAGCAATTAGAAGACATGGACACAGTGAAGGGAACAACACACACCAGGTCCTGTCAGGGGTTTGGGGGCAAGGGTAGGGAAAGCATTAGGATGAACACCTAATGCATGTGGAGCTTACAACCTATATGACAGGTTGATAGGTGCAGCAAATCACCATGGCACATGTATACCTATATAACAAACCTGAACATTCTGCACATGTATCCTAGAACTTAAAGTAGAAAAAAATAAAAAAGAAAATAGGAAATAAAAAAAATTAACTGTTTCAGAATTGAGTTTTTAAGATGCCATCTAGTTTTTAAACACAGAATTACTTAAAAGTTATAACTAACTTCTTGTTTTTAATTCTGATTTATAATTTTTTGTTGAAATATTCCAATATAATCTTTTTTTATGAAGATCTACTGTCATAAAATTAGCCTGTCTAAAAATGTTTTTAAAATTTTGAAAAACATAGTTCTAAACAGAAATTAAAGTGAAAATGAGGCTAAAATTCAATTGCTTCTTTATAAACCTTGTCCCTTGAGTTATATCATATTATCTTTTAAATGTTCTTCTTAACAGTACAGTCCTTCCTTCATTTTTCTATCACCGTATTTTATTTATTGTATTATATGGTCACTGACTATCTGAAATTGAAATGTAAGTAGAATAAAGCCTCATATTCTTTTATTCATTAATAATTATCCACTCTGTGTTTTATTTAAATTACCCCATGATGAAGAAGTCCCTATTAGAGTTTGATCTGCCAATTCAAAGGATACCGTAACCACCACTCTTTTTTTGTTGTTGTTTACTTTAAGTTCTGGGATACATGTGCAGAACATGCAGGTTTTTTACATTGGTATACATGTGCCATGGTGGTTTGCTGCACCTACTAACACGTCATCTAGGTTTTAAGCCCCACATGCATTAGGTATTTGTCCTAATGCTCTCCCTCCCCTTGGCCCCCAGCCCCCGACAGGCCCCAGTGTGTGATGTTCCCCTCCCTGTGTCCATGTGTCCTCATTGTTCAACTCCCACTTATGAGTGAGAATGTGTGGTGTTTGGTTTTCTGTTCCTGTCATAACCAACACTCTTAAGCTATTGCGTTACACAAGAAGAAATTCGTGGAGTACGCTGATTGAATATTTATGTAGGAAAACTGCAATATAGGTACACAGCAAGAAAAATGAGATAACTTTTCAAATTGTAACCATTATCTTGAAAGTTATAGATGAAAACATATATAATGGTTTTGCTGTTGCCCACACAAAAACAACAAAATAATGTATTAAATTGTAAACATTCATAGAAAATTATTCTTTAAAGCTTACCTGAACTTTTTCCTGTTTATTTTTTATATTTACCTATTCTGAGCATAGAAGTTATAATCATTTCACAATAGTTACTCTAATTTTATTCTCAGGATAAAAACAAGATTGATGTGGAGAAATTATTAAATATTTTCCTCCATTAGTTTCCCAGCTTTGAAAAAGTTTCTAAAAATACTGTTCATTTTCTAATGAAAATAATAAAGTTATACATACTAATTGATGAAACTTTACAAACTACTAAAATTCAAAAGCAAATAATAATAGTAGTAATAGTAATAATAATTTGACAACACAGAAACAATAATCAGTAATGGGGTTACATACTTTGTTCTCTTATAATGAATTTAGATGTAGTGGAGATAATACTGTATATGCCATTTTTATGCTACTTTTGTTCATTAAAGATTCTTCCTATTCATTTCATTTTTTATCTTATCTTGTATCAGAGGGGGATTATTTTGTTATTTGTATTTGTTATAAATTTTTAGTTGTAATGCCATAAAGTATAATAAATTCTCAGTTAAGTGGTTAACAACAAAGGTTCTGAAATTAGATTTTGGCGATTTGAATCCGAACTATATCTTTTACTAGCTATTTTATGTTGAGCAACTAATCTAACATTATTTATGGTTTTTCATCTATTAAGATATGGAAAATAACATTATCTATAGAAAGTCACTGTTTTGAGGATTAAAGTAATCCTTTCAAAATCCTTAGCATACAGCAAATGCTTAATAAGCTTTAGCTATGTCTCTTTCCTTATCCTTTTCGTCTCCTTTGTCAACTACTACCACTGCTACAATGATGACTTCTTTGAGGTCAACTGCTATTACCAGACCTAAAACTTTATTCTAATAAACAGCAAGAGTCAAATTTGAGGGTCAGACAAATTTGGATAAAATCTTTGCTAGGCTTTTACTAACTATGCGGATTGGGAAAATAACCTAATCTCTCTGAACCCCACACTTCTCATTTCTAAGAATGGGGATAATGATACAGCTACAAAGCTGTCATTTTTGATGTGCATTAATATGGCTTGCAAAACTCCTGGCACATATTAGGTACCAAATCAATATGTCTGTTTCCTCTCCCAATTTTTACTAGTTTAATTCAATTACTGAAGTCTAATTTTGTTCCAATTTTATATAATGATTATTAATACATACCATAATTTATGTTTACATTTTAATGAGGAAAAATAGGAATTTCTGAAGGTCCTGTTTATAACAGGAAGAAAGATAAGAAACACTGTGAAAAGTTTTCTGATGTTGCACAATTATTTTTAATGATTCCATTTCTAAATATTTGTTCTGATATCCAGAACAAAGCAATTTGAATTTATAAAAGAATGTTAATGTCTTAGTTTATTGTAGTTTTTGTCCATAATTTTTAGAAATGCATTTATGTGATAGTAGTGTTTGATTAAGTTGCATAAGAATGACCTTTGTTCAGAGTTGCAATCAATACAGTATTTTTATTTCAAAAGAAATTTCTAAAGTCATGTTAAACTTAAACAGTGCAACCCTTTCCCAGGGGATTAAAGATGTCTCCATCAAGAGTTATAAAATATTTTTTAAAATATTACAATACTAAGCAAGATTACTTATTTTCTCTCTGCAACATTTAAAAACTTTCATATTTGAAGAGTGCACTTTTAAAATGAACATGTTTATAATTACACTGAAGGTGTTGGAAATGATGTTGGTAAAAGCAAAAATCTGGAGGCAAAGGTGGCAAGAAAAACTTTGAACACTTGTTCAAATAAAAGGTATCGGCTTTGTCTGAAAAGCAGTTCTTGCACAGGATCTATATAGAACTTTCCTTTCTGAAATGTTTGCATTTTTGACAGCCACAAAGCCAATGCAATGAAATTCAATATGCGTAAGTTAAGAAAACTGGGCCAGGCGCAGTGGCACATGCCTGTAATCCCAGCACTTTGGGAGACTGAGGCTGGCAGATCACAAGGCCAGGAGATCAAGACCACCCTGGCTAACACGGTGAAACACCGCTCTACTAAAAATACAAAAAATTAGCTGAGCGTGGTGGAGGGCGCCTGTAGTCCCAGCTACTCGGGAGGCTGAGGCAGGAGAATGGTGTGAACCCAGGAGGCAGAGCTTGCAGTGAGCCAAGATCACACCACTGCACTCCAACCTGGGCAACTCTGTCTCAAAAATAAATAAATAAATAAATAAATAGATCTAGAGATTATGAACTCACTAGTTCATGACAAAATGAATTATTTTAAAAATATGAATAATTTTCATGAAGTATTATCAACTATCATTTTGTTTCAACATCATTATAAAATTTCTATACACTTAAATAGGTGTTTTGTCTATTGACTTTACATTTCAAACATTTTGGAGGGTATTTTTTTTACACTATAAGCTCATTATTTTCTTCTGTAGAGCAATTAATATAGGTTATTACCACAGTACGATTCTGACTAGTCCTTGAATTTCAGTACTTTAGATGTTAATATGGTTTTGCTCTGTGTCCCCACCCAAATCTCATCTAGAATTGTAATCCCCATGTGTCAAGGGAAGGACCTGGTGGGAGGTTATTGGATCATGGGGGTGGTTTCCCCATACTGTTCTCATGATAGTGAATGTGTTCTCACAAGATCTGATTATTTAAAAGGGTTTGGCAGTTCCACCTTTGCTTTTTCTCTCCTGCCACCTTGAAGACGTTCCTTGCTTCCCTTTCACCTATTGTCATAATTGTAAATTTCCTGGGGTCTCCCCAGCCATGCAGAACTGTGAGCCTATTAAAACTCTTTTGTTTATAAATTTCCCAGTCTCAGGTAATTGTTTATAGCAGTGTGAAAATGGACTAATACAGATGTCAATTATATACATATGTATTTTTTTCCAATTTTGGCATGAGAAACATAGTACCCCAGTAAAGAACAAAAAAATGTAGATAATGGAAAATTATTTACAACTGAAAAGACAAACATAAAGATAGAAAGTAATGTAATTGCCTGTAATCCCAGCACTGTGGGAGGCTGAGGCTGGTGGATCAGGATGGTCAGGAGATCGAGACCATTCTGGCTAACACAGTGAAACCCCGTCTCTGCTAAAAAAAAAATACAAAAAAAAAAATAGCCGGGCGTGGTGGCGGGCGCCTGTAGTCCCAGCTACTCGGGAGGCTGAGGCAGGAGAATGGCATGAACCCGGGAGGCGGAGCTTGCAGTGAGCTGAGATCATGCCACTGCACTCCAGCCTGGGCAACGAGCGAGACTCCGTCTCAAAAACAAAAAAAAACGAACAAACAAAAAAAGAAAGTAATGTAATTAAGGTCTCAGCTAACAAGATGGAACATTGATTTTTCTTCGTTATTTAATATGGTACACATAATTATCAATACATATTTGCTCATTTGAAATAAAAGTATTAAAAGTACTTCTGTTGAAATTTCAGTTATGTTTAATAAGACTAGTTTTATAATGAGATAAGATGAGCAAAGTGTTTGGGGGTTAGAGATGTATTTTATTTTAATTTAAGGAGAAAATGTATTTTCACAAGAAAGGGAAATCTATCATTTATAGACGAAGCTGTTTTAAAAAACTAAGAATTAAATACACTAAATATCTGTGTTTCTGAGAAAGTCTGATATTCAGATTCCTAGAGCCCTTACTGTATAGAGTTTCTCAGCCTCTGCATTATTAATATTTTGCACTGAATAATTCTTTGTTATAAAGGGGTGTTTTAAATATGGTTTTTCAGAGAAACAGAACCAATGGAATAGACAGATAGGTAGATAGATGATAAAGAGAGAGAGACAGATAGAGAAAGAGGAGATTCATTATGGTACTTGGCTCACACAATTATGGAGTCTAAGTTCTAGAATTTGTCCTCTGCAAGCTGGAGAACCAGGAAAGCCTGCATTGTAACTCCCTCTCTGAGGTCTGAGAATGAGAGGATGGAGGCACTAGTGTAAGTTTCGAATCTGAAAGCTAGAGAACAATTAGCTATAATGTAATATTGTTACAGGATTTCTGGGGTGTCGTTTTCTGACTGGAAACCTGTGGCCAGTGGTGCCTTTGCTTGAGTTTTGCCAAGGCCCACTGTATTCATTCTGCCCACTTGGCCTGGAAGACTGTGCTCAGCTGGAGCACTACCAACCTGGAACCCACGCCTCCAAGAGAGACTACGAGTCAGGCATGGAGTGGTGAGGGGTGTATGAGTGAACATGGGGTCTGGTTATTGTGCTGTCAAACATACCAGCTGCTGCCACAGGGCAGGCAGCTCCAGGTGCCAACATGGGTGCCTGCTCTCTGCGAGGCTACAGCTGGACCAGGTACACTGCAAGCAGCTTCCCCTACTAGCACCAGGGAATGTGTTGGTGCCCAGAAGCTTAGAGATGCCAGGAACACAGGGTCCCAAAGAGAGAGTTACAGCCTTGGCTTGGGGAGCTCCCAGATCTCCGCTCCCTGAAGGGCTGTAGCTTTTATCTCCTTCTCTTTGCCCACAATGTGGTGAGCAAGGGACATGTTTCAGGCCTGTTTGTGTTACAGCTCTTTTAGCCTCGCCCTTTGGCAGGTCCCCAGTTCTTGTCCTGAGACCAGGGAGAATGAGGTATGCAGACAAGTGGAGGGTAAGCAAGATGAAGAGGAGCTTTATTGAGTTGATAGAACAGCTCAGTCTCCCACAGGGGTAGCCCCTTTCCACAGCCAAGGTGTCCCGATCAAGTATTCAGCTCCTAGCAGAGAGAGTAGGTCTTCTCTACAGGTAGGTTGTCCCAAGTGTTCACTCCCACCAGAGAGGCTAGCTCTTCTCTGTAGCTGGACATCTGTTGTCTTCAGCCATTGGCAGAGAGGGTAGCTCCTTTCTGCAGCTGGTCACCCCATCATCTTCAGCTATCAGCGGAGAGGGCAGCTCTTCTCTGCAGCTGGTCATCCCGTCATCGCTCCTTCCTCTGCTCTGTCCTAGCCGGACCTTTTATAGGCTTCACACGGGAGACAGTAGCTGTTGATGGGTCCATGGGTGGCCATGGGCAGGCCGGGAAAAGGCACCACAAGTCCCCACTCCAGTTGGCGGGACTGGCAGCCCAGCCCCCAGCCTTCAATCCCTCCCTGGCCTGAAGGTGGGTCCTCACCCGGGACCGGCCCCTTCTGCCCAGGAACCCTTCTGCCTCCTGCCAGCATCCATGGGGCCCAAGCTGCTTGAGCCAAGGGACACCTGCAGGCCAGCACCGAGATTCCCTCAGCCACCCCCTTGGATTCACCCCATGGTAGTTAGCACCCAGTCCAGAGCAGGCTGAGGAGGCAAGTCACTGGCGTGTCAGCATTGCCCCGAGCATGCGCACATCCAGCGGGCTGTGACATAGCCCAGACTTGGCCCCAATCCTGTTCCAAGATTGGAGCTGATGCCAGGAGCAGGAAGAGACCAGGCAGTGGAAGCAGACACCTCTGGGCCTGCAAGGTCGGGGTTGGGGCGGGGGGGCCTTCCCAGGCACCCAAGGGTGCTGAGAGGCTCAGGTTCACAGTACTGACTTGGGTGGCTACAGCTGTGCCCAGGGCAGGGCGGGTGGCAGGACTCCTGCCTGCTCTGGCCTCCAAGAGCACAGGGAGGCCCAGGTCCACAGCCTTCACTTGGGCAGCTACAGCCGCACCTGGTGCTGCTGTCTGCTCCTGTCTCCCGCTGGCTCCTTGGAACATGCAGCCCTGGCCACGTCCCCTTGCAGCCTGGGGCAAGGGCTCCAGGTCCTCGCTGTGCCTGAATTGGCATCCAGGGCAGGGGCAACATTGCTGGGAGCTCCCCTTGGCGCTGGTACTCAGGGGCGGCCCTGGCCTACCCCTGGCCTGGCTCGCGGGCCCTCCTGGGAGCACCCGGAAGCAGATTGCAAACCGCTGGCCCTGAGCCTGGCCATCTGGAGTGTCAGGTTCAGCGGTCACCCCAATGCAGGGCGGCACCACGCAAAGCCTCCTTCTAAGGTGCAGGAACCCAGCGCCCTCAGCAGGGTGAGTGAAGTGGCTACACCACTGACCAGGTCCCCAAAGCGGGCACCGCTCCCACATCCCGCCCTGGGCCCCCAAAGTGCCGCCCCAGTACCTTGCCCCAGGCCAAGGCTTTCTGCCTGATGGCACTGCTCCCCCACTGGCAGATGACCTTGTCTAGCCCGTCACGGTGGTCCCCTGGGCAGCAGGCTGTGGGGGTGCTGTCTGCCTGCTCCCCAGGCCCTCCCCGCAGTGGTGGCTTGATGGCAGTTACACTCTAGTCGGCCCACCGCTGCCATCAATATCTGAGGCCGAGAGAAGATGGATGACCCAGATCAAGGAAAGAGAGTGAAATCACCCACCCTTCTGCTTTTTGCTTATATCAGGGCACTCAAAAAATAGATGATGCTGGCTCACATTGATGACGGCAGATCTTTGCTCAGTCTACTGATTCAAATGCTAATCTCTTCTAGAAACAGCCACAGAAACATCCAGAAATAATTTTTTACCACTTATCTGGGCATCCCTTAACTTGGTCAAGTTGACACATAAAATTGACCATCACAAGGAGTGTCCTGCTCATTGTAGAATGTTTAACAGCATCTCTGCCCTGTACTCATAGATGCTAATACCACCACCCACCACAATCTTGACAGCCAAAATTGTCTCCAGACATTACTGATATTTCCCATGGGGGACAGTATTGCCCTAGTTGACAACTTTTTAATACACAATAATGGATACATGTTAAGATTATATGTAAGATTATAAGATTATATGTACCCATTATTCTAGTTTTTTTTTTTTTTTCCATTTGGGGCTATTACAAGTAAAGCTGCTTTGAACATCTGTTCACAAGTCTCCCTGTGAATATAGTTCTTTATTTATCTTAAATAATGCCTAGTGAATTTACAGAATACTTTGTGTGGAACATCATCTTTCCATACTGGTAGTGCTGAATGGTCCTCATTCTGATGTAGTCTATATGCTTCATTGCTAAATTATCTCTTATGTTCAACCTTAGAACCTCTCTGAATTTATATCTCTTGCAATTGCTTATAAGTTTCTCTTATGAATGGGATCTTTTTGTTACAGCTCGTCCATACTTGATGGAGGGAAGTTCACTGTGTTTTCTCAGATCTCTTCATGTCACACTCAGGCAAAAAGAATATTCCTGTTCCTCCTTTGCAATGTTGAGACATAATAAACTTTACTTGGCTCACTAGGCCCTTTCTATCTACATGTGTTTTTTGTGTGTATTACAGATATTTTTATTTTCATGCTTTTTTTAACATAATTTCAACTTTATTTTAGATTCAGGAGATATAAGTACAGGTTTGTTGCATAGGTATATTGCATCATGCTGGGGTTTGGAATATAAATGATCCTGTCAGTCACCCAAGCAGTCATCATTGTACACAATGGTTAGTTTTTCAACTCTTACCTGCCTCCCTCTCTCCCCCATCTAGTAGTCTCCAGTGACTATGGTTTCCGTCTTTATGTCCATGAATACTCAATATTTAGCTCCCACTTATAAGTGAAAACATGTGGTATTTTGTTTTCTGTTCCTGTATTAATTTACTTAAGACAAATGATCTCCAGATGCATGCAATTGGTTGCAAAAGGCATGATTTTATTATTTCTTATGGGTGTATAGTATCCCATTGCATATATGCACCACATTTTCTTTATCCAATTGACCATTGATGGGTACTTAAATTGATTCCATGTTTTTGCCATTGTGAGTAGTGCTGCAATGAACATGCAAGTGCATGTACGTGTCTTTTTGGTAGAATAATTTGTTTTCTTTGGGGTAGATATCCAATAATAGGATTGCTGGGCCCAGTGGTAGTTCTGTTTTAATTTCTCTGAGATCTGTATACAAAAAGAGAAAAACAAACTCTTTAGACTCACATCCAAAAAAATATGTCTGAAGTTCTATTACACCGGATCCATTTTCAGATTTGTCTTTTTTCTTTCTTTTTTTTTTTTTTCTGGATCCGCGTCTCAGATATCAATGATAGCCCTTCTCTCACCCCCACATTGACTTCCTTTCTTCACCAGAAAGCTGAAGAACCAACGTATGAATCTGTGGTCCAGCAGTTGAGACAGATCACAAGCCCGATTTGTGAGCACTGGCCATCATCACCCTTAAAGCTAAAGAATGGGCATTGAAAAGCAATGCAGAAGAGCTTTACATTACTGTGACCTTAATTGCCAGAGGCAACAGCCAAAGGCCTTGGGGAAATTATCTACCTGCCACTTTCCTCTTCTGTGTCTTGCATAAGTGCATCTAATGTCAGAAAAAAAAAAAAAAGAAAAAAATATATATTTTCAGGGTCTTGGCTTGAAGGGAGTCTCAATACATTTTTATAGTTTTCCAATTTCTCCAAAGATGAGAAGGGAATTCTGTTAGAATCAATCCAGATACCATCCCAATTTACCATCTGTGTATTGAAAGAGAAGCCTCAGAACCTCACTTGTACAGATTTCAATTAATGTTGAAGTATTTAGGGGTTGTAGAATGTTTTAAGTGAAAAGGGAAAGTCAGATTTTAAATAGGAATACCTAAAACTATGTCACAAAAAAGTGGTGTGACTCTACAACACATGTGGAAAAAGTTTACTTTCATGTTAATTTTTGTCAGAATATAACTGAGGTCTGAGGGCAGTTGGTGGGTGAGTGGCGGGTAGCTAGAAAAACACTCGAGGAATTGTAGGCAGTTTTGACATGGCTTTAACTCTTTCCCTTATGCTCCACCTACTAGGCCCAGGTTGCCCTCTGGGAAGGAACACGTGCTGATAGGGTGGAGCCCTGAATCCATAACCTACAGCAACAATACAGAGAGCAACAGCTCAATACTAGGATCTCAGCTGTGCTACTTATGATTATTAGGGCCCAGAATAGGCCAGAGCCTAGGTATGCCCACCATCTCTGCAGGAGGTTGTTAGTAACGCTCTCAACCGCCTTAATTTTCAATGAGACCCCTTGCAGGGCTGCTGTTATGTTCTGCCAATTGTCAGGGGTAAAGGTACAACACTGTGTTCCTAAAAGGACACAGGTGCCTCCTTGGGCAGCAGTTATAATGTCTAAGGCCATTCGGTTTTGCAACACCACCTTTCTGATTTGATTAACCTCATCCGTTAACAGGAAGGAGGTCTCAGCAGGATCTTCCCAATCCCAGGTAGCTCCCATCTTTGTTAACCGATGCAACAGTTTTATTATATTAGCTAAATGGAGCACAAATGCCCACCAATATCCCAGGAGGCCTGAAAAGTTTGCAGTTGCTTCACCATGGTGGGCTGGGGATATGCCTGAATCTTATCAATGATAGCCTCTAAGATGGCCTTTGTCTTACCCGACCTGATAACTCCCAAGAATTTGGAAGATAATCCAGGCCCTTGGACCTTGGATTCATCAACAGCCCAACTATATGATTCCAAGTGTTGCTTCAAGAGGGGGGCCACTGCTTCTAAATCTGCAAAATAATACAAGGTTAACATAATATCATCAATATAATGGAATAGGCAGACCACTTCTGGACATTGCCAGGTGGCTAAATCATAGCAAATAGGCCATGACATATGGTGGGGCTATGCACATAGCCCTGCGGTAACACTGTGAAAGTCCATTGTTGCCCATCCCACATGAAGGCGAACTGTTCCTGGCTCTCTGGAGCAATGTCTATGGAGAAAAACGTTTTGGCCAAGTCCACTAAATAGTGATACTGTCCCAGTTTTGTTGTCAAACGGTCCATCAAATTCATGATTGATGGTACAGCTGCATGCAAAGGGGGTGTTACTTTATTCAGTTTCTGATAGTCCACCGTCATCTGCAAAGTTCCATCAGGCTTTCTAACTAGCCATACTGGAGAATAGTAGGAGCTGTGGGTGCCACGCACTATCTGCACCTCCTCCAGCTTTTTAATGGTTTCAGTTATCTCCGTATGCCCACCTGGCAAATGGTATTGATAGGTGGAAGTAAACTATCAGGGTTGTGGCAGGACCTGGGGCTGGTGATGTGTATGTCCATGCAGCATCAGCTTCACCATATGCAGTGGGAGTCTGAATTCCCTGGCCATGGTTTGTAATGTCAGGCCATGTAAAATGTCCACCCCCAGAATGTATTCCAGAATGGGAGAGGCATACACATTATATAAACAGGGAGCCAAACAGCTAAAGCCAAGGTGCAGAGATACAGGTTTCACTTTTACTGAATGGCCTCCATAACCGTTAATGTAAGCAGGTTTGCCTGGAAACTTACCCAGGTTCCCATAAACAAGGCTGCAATCTGTGCCAGTATCCACCAGTGCCAACACCTGCTGTACATTGGTGGGGGACCAGTAGATCACTAATTCCGCATGTGGCCTCCGGTCATCTGGTATCCCCCCAAGCTGGGCATCTTGGCCAGTTCTCTAATCAAACAGAGAAGGCTCTACATTTCCACCTGGCTGCAGCAAACAGTCTTTGAGCTGAAGAACCCAGGTGGGACTGGGTCATGCAGCAATGTCCTTCTCCTACTTGGACATTTTCTGAAATTGCTGCTCTGAAGACAACTGTCTCCACAAAGTTAAGAGCACTTCATTGGGCTACATATTGAGTTTCTCTATGTCAACCCTGGCCAAAATCATATATATCCACATCCGTGAGTGTGTCACTTGTTTCAGCCCCCTTTTCTCCGATGGAAGGGCCCCCAGCAGATGGGGCATCTTCCCTTTCTTTACAGCGTGGACCCCTCAGTCCCATCAATGGCCTTCTGCTTCCCCGAGGGCCACCAGCCATAGCAGTTGTCACTTCATGTATGCGACACCCTACGTATGGGGTAAGGACAGCAGCTAGGGAGCCAAAGGCACTCAGGGGTACAGAACCCAACATGAGATCCCTCATGTGGGAGGCGAAATGTTCATCATCTGGCCCCCGGGTATTCAGGTCAAACGTAGCTGACCGCACACCTATCTCCTGGAAGACTTGCACCAAATCAGCATACGACTGCCATTTACCCAGGGTTTCAGGTTTCAGGTATTTCACAGGCGTCATTCCACACAGTCCATATGGCTGCCCATAGCCACTCAATCAGGGTATGGTCACCTTGTACCAACTGCCTGCTCACCTGCAACTGCTGACAGAGGGAGGAGTGAGTCATAATAGGGGCCAGTTTTTCTATCTCAGAGGTGGAACCGGGTATACTATCTGCTCCCTTGTCCCACAAACGAAGCACCCAGGTGGGCAGAGGTTCCCCTGGATGTTGGCATCACTGCTGTCTAATTCACGCAACTCAGTTGGGGTATAGGCAGTATATGAAATGTGTTGCCTTATGATGGGGGGTCCCTGAGCCTGCCCTTGGGGCCCCAATGGCCATTTATAAACTACCTTCTGAAGGACCACTGGGCGAGCCTGCAATGAGATTCTTCCTCCTCAGTATCAGATCAAGTGGGGGTCTCTGGCTGAGATGATGGACCCAGGCCTGCATTCACAGCAGCCTCTAATTCTTTTCCCAAGCTCTGAAGCCGGGCCTCCAGGAGCCCCACCTGTGCTTGGAGGTCCTCATTCATAGCAGCTTCTAACTCTTTTTCTGAGCTGTGTAGCCTGGGCTCCAGGCGCCCTGCCTGCGCCTAGAGGGTGGTTACCTGCATCCCTCAGGAACTGAGTGTGTACTTCTTGTAGTGCAGTCAAAAAAGCTCGTCCAATGCTTCCAGCAAAAGCTCGCTCCTTCTTGGTGGTGCTCTGTGCTTCCAGCTGCTTCAGTGCCTTCTCCATGCTCACTGGGGACCCATCTACTGCCAATCAGGTTTCCACCAGAGCCCATCCAAGTAGCAGAGCTGTCTCCAGGTACCACAGTCCATGTTGTGGCAACAAGGCTGACCCAGAATCAGTAGGGACTGAAGGCTCATTCACCTCGAGATCCTGGTCGTGACACCAATTGTCACATTCTAACTGAGGTCCAAGGGGAGTCGGTGGGTGAGTAGTGGGTAGCTGGAAAAACACTCAAGGAATCACACAGTTTTGACATGGCTTCACTCTCTCTCTGGGTGCAAGTGAGCCATATGTACAGTGTTAGCAGGGTAATTATACCTTTTACAGACAATAGTGGCTCCGAGCCAAGCATGAGCTCATGTGGGTGATCACCTAATGCATCTCGTGTGGTGCGGTTACATAATGTGCGGGGCTGTACACCTGCACTCCAAACCCACTGAGTCATGCTGAGCCGGAAGGCCACTTCAGCCTACTCCTGACCTTATAATTTTGTATTTATAATTTTATATTATTTTCTTTTTTTTTTTTTCAAATGGAGTCTTGCTCTGTTGCCCAGGCTGGAGTGCAATGGCACGATCTTGGCTCACTGCAACCTCCACCTCTCAGGTTCAAGCAATTCCCCTGCCTCAGCCTCCCAAGTAACTGAGATTACAGGCGCACGCCACCACACCCAGCTAACTTGTTTGTATTTTAGTAGAGACGGGGTTTCACCATGTTGCCCAGGCTGGTCTTGAACTCCTGTGCTCTGGCAATCCACACGCCTCAGACTCCCAAAGTGCTAGGATTACAGGCATGAGCCATTGCACCCGGCCTATTTTCTTTTCTTAAGGTCCCTCAAATCATACAAATTTTAGTTCTCATAAAAAACTTGTTTTCGCTTCTCCTTTCTACAAATTCAAATATGGATATTGAGAGTAAGTAATTGGCAAGAGTTTTTAGAAAACATGTCTGGATGGGTGATGTATATTTGAGAGTTTTCAGCATGTAGAGGAAGTTTAACACCATAAGCCTGTATGATATCACCAAGTGAGTAAGTATAGATAGAAAAAAAGTCCAGTGAATGACCCCTGAGGCGCATCAGAAATTTAGAGGCCCTGGAGAATTTGGTGTTAGAGTTACTACAACAAGATGAGAAAGGACCAGTAAAAGATACTGGAAAGAAAAAAACAAATAAAGTAGGAGAATCAAGAAGTGTGATAGTTTAGATTCTAAATGAAAATATGCATTTCTAAGAGGAAGTGATCAGCTATGTCACATGCTGGCTAATATCATTAAAATCATTGGTGAAGATAAAAACAACAAAACAACAGAAAACATATCCCACGTTTACTTAATTCCAAGCAGTGTTCTAAGAATGTCAGATCTTTAAAAATTCATTTAATCCTCACAACAATTTCATGAGTTAAGTATTATTTCTCATTTTGCAAATGAGAACTCTGAGACCCTTAGAGACTAAAAGACATGCTCAAGATCACACAACTAGTAAGTAGAGGGGTCGGGATTTGCACAAACTCTAAGTCAATATGATTAACTATTCTTTTATTTGACTATTTCTTTGTCAGTGTTTGGGAAGGAGTAAAAACCTTTTTTTATGCTCTTTCCATGAGCTTTGTCAATGATTGTTTTAGGCTTGGATGCATTTATTGTTTATGGGATTCTGTTTATTTGGTATAATTGTGGGCAATTTATTTATCGCATAAATTAATAACTTACATGAATTCATAAAGGGACTCCAACATATGTGAAATTTTTAAATCCAAGACTAGAAACCATTATTCTTCCCACTTCACCATCTCTTCCATTATAATCATATATCTAAATTTGAGGTTTAATTGTCAAACACTGACAAACCACTAAAATGTGAAGAAGAGCAGTAACTGAGCCGTTGGTGAAAGTCTGGACACACCTATTTCTAACTGGGAGATGGCAGTGGCTGCAAAGACCATCCTCTGACTATCTGGACAGAGGCTCTTGAGATCATGTGGTGTATTTATCCTCTGAGTTACTCCAAAACCAGTCCTGTAGGAGTGGTCTTCAGCCCTGTTGCAAGAGATTCTCCCAGCAGGGATCACACCCTCAGCAGAGTCCAAACCATAACTGAGATTTCCTGGCAAATCCCTTGTGTGAAGAATCAAACCTTCAGAAACCCTGCAGGAGAGAATTTCCATTGATTTCAGCTGTGCCTAATTCGCCATAAAAGTTTAGAGAAGATAGTAAATTCGTTAGTGTTAGTGTTTTGAGATATCCTCTTACTGTAGAGGACCAAAAAACAAACAAAAAACAAAAAAGAGGAGAAGGGGAAGAGAGGAGTAGATGCAGTAATTTCTCTTTGGAAAATCTTTGTCCTTTATGCCACTTCAGATACCTATGACAACAAAGATGAGCATGAGTGGCAGGGAGAACTTACGTTTTGCTGTAAGTTTTGGTTTAGTATAACAAAACCAATCACATTCAGCTTATAAAAACAGGCATAGAAAGACTGAGAATCAGACACCCTAAAATTGCTCAGTGGAAACTCTGTGATGTGATGTGACAGAGTGTCACTAGTACCTGAGGTGCAATCTGTATTTATAAACAGAGTTTGCTACTTGTCACAAATCCAGAAAACAAATACATTTGTTATACTGTGATGCCATTAGAAAGAATTGCATTTGATCATCTGCCTTGGTCTTCTCTGAACAATTTCAACTGAAATAAAAGCACTGCAGTAATATTTGTACTAAAAATCCCACTGGATTGATAAAAGATAGTGTCAAAAACCTGTTTCTTTGAAATATTGGGAAGATTCCCAGTGGGGTTGGAGGTTTGTGGAAATCCTAACTTTAACAAAATGATGGAGAAATCACACGTTTACTAGAAACAATAAATCAGGGGAATAAACCTCACTTAATTAAAATGATGTATAGAGCCTATTAAAATTTGTAAAAACCCGTTATATTAATTGTGCCACTGGCTCACCCGCTAAGCAGCCAGTGGAGAGGTTCATTTGAAGAAGAACTAATACTCCTGGCCAAAGCCCTGTGAGCTTTCAATTGACAGCCAGCACCAACTTAATAGCCACATGAATGAGAATCTTCAAAGTGGATATTTCAGCCTCCAGTCAAGCAAAACTGCTGATGCCCCATGGAATAGAGATAAACTTTTACTTATATAATCCAATTTCTTTTCATTAATTTACTTTATATTATTTTAAATCTATTCTTTAGAACAGAGCTACCGAAATAAATATAATGCAAGCCTCATTTATAATTTTACATTTTCTGGTAGTCACATTACAAAGAATAAAAACAAACAGGGGAAATCAGTTTGACAGAGAAATTTGATTATCTTAATATATCAGAATTATTATAATTTCAGCATGGAATAAAGATAACAGTAATAAACCCTTTTGTGGCCAGGTGCGGTGACTCACGCCTGTAATCCCAGCAATTTGGAAGGCCAAGGTGGGTGGATCACCTGAGGTCAGGAGTTCGAGACCAGCCTGGCCAACATGGTGAAACCCTGTGATTGCTAAAAAAAAAAAAAAATTAGCCAGGCATGGTGGCAGGCGCCTGTAATCCCAGCTACTCGGGAGGCTGAGGCAGGAAAATCGTCTGAACCTGGGAGGCAGAGGTTGCAGTGAGCCGAGATAGCCCCATTGCACTCCAGCCTGGGGGACAAGAGTGGGACTTCATCTCAAAAAAAAAAAAAAAAATTAAAAAAATATATGGTTAATTTTATTTAGAATTACCCTCTACTCAGGCCAGTTCTCACCTTATATTCATGAGTGCTGTTTCTTTATTCATAGTGTTGAATATGGGAGTAATGAAACATTTCAAAT
The DNA here is from genome assembly GCF_000001405.40 of Homo sapiens. NCBI lineage: Eukaryota > Metazoa > Chordata > Mammalia > Primates > Hominidae > Homo > Homo sapiens. The sequence continues at coordinate 84,352,311 of NC_000012.12, read as the reverse complement.
TACAAAAATGATCCTGAAAAGAGAACAATTAATAAGAGTGGATATAAAATAATTATTGTGTTTGCTCTTGCTTTTCTTTGATGGGCTAAAGATGGGGATCTTTTACGAAGAATGAGTATTATAAGATAAAAGCTATATAGAGACAGAAAGAGACTCCTTTATGTCTCTATTTCCTGGCTGTGGAGTCAGGCCTATCCACTTTTGAAGGGCTCTCTTCCTCACCAGTTGTGCGACTTTGAACTTGCTGATCAAATACATGTAGCCCCCAGTACCTTTATATGTGTAACTGGATTACTAATATTTACTTATTATGGGGGTAATTAGACAAAATAGGATTATATGTAAATATATATAATCCTATTTATATTTACACCTGTATGTGTGTGTGTATATATATATATAAAACATAGATATAAAGAGAGAGAGAAAAAATGCCTGCTTCATAAGTATTCAATGTATGGTATCTATTTTTCTCCTTTTCCTTCTCCTCCCACTTATCCTCTCTCTTTGTTAAATGATATAGATTAATATTATAAAGATAACAAACACTCTGATATACATAAAATGTAGAAGTTTATTATATTTTAAAAGCAGATAATGAAGATTTAGACTTGTTAACCATTTTTATTTTCTTATTATTCTATTACACACTTCTAAAGTTTTAACTTAGTTGAATAATCTTAGTAATTGAATGACTAGGTCATCTAGGGTCTACAGAACTAATAACAATTATCAAAGACAATTGTTCCTAAAATGAGACCAACTTTTAGGAAAGCCTTTTCAAAAGGTAATTCTTGGATTGATAGTATTTAGTTGATTGTAAAATCCATATCATTAACATTCGTTAATTTTTACTAGAAATATCTGTGTTTTATTTAAGTATAGAGTAGCATTTAATATTAAAAGCTTTTATGTAATTAATGGTTCTCCACAAAATTTCAAGTAACTGGTCAATACATAACCTGTGTGCTTTTCTTTAAAGATACCTAATTTAACTCGTATTATTGGTTCATTAACATTGAACTCATGATTAATAGCACTGTAACTCACACCTAAATGAAGCTTAGCTAACACATGTATTTTTTCACAAAGTATTTTGGCCTTAAGAATGGGAGATTTCCTTCAGCACTATACTCGAGCACCATTTTAAAAAACAGAAACACCAAAAAAAGCAAACAAAAAATGAAAGAAGAAAGAAAGAAAAAGAAAGAAAGAGAGAAGAGAGGAAAATGAAAAATGTGAAAATGTGGCACTAAGAAGACCAAGAAAAGAAAGCTACTTTACAATACGAGAGCTGAAACAGGAAGGCAAAGAGTCACTTTGTTCAACCTCAGTTGAAAACTCATTAGGCAATTCAAAATTTTTGCTTTTCCTCTGAAATCTGTGAATGACCACTAAACTGCTATTATAGATATTGGGGTTGTAAATAAATTTTAGCAAGTAGAAGCATTTGCAAATATGAAATACATGAGTACAGAGGGGTGACTACACTACAATGAAATTCTCTCTTCAATGGATAAGTCTTTTAAAATTTACTGCAACTTGATTCTATTTTCCAAGTCTTTATATATTAAAACTATAAACTGCATGTCCTAGAAAGAATGTAAATCACAAATACAAAAAGAAACTGTCACCTTTTTTTGGCATTCACTGTGGGAACTGGTGCAAATTTGCATAATAATAAATACAGACCAATTTTGATGTACCTCAAAAGACATCTAGTTTAGAAAATTTGTTCTCTACCATAAAAAAGGTTTTCCTTGTACCACAATGTCCTGCAATTCTGAACAACAGCAACTAAAGAATAGCTTTTCTTTTTTAATTTTCTTGTTTCAGAAATGCAAGTTACTACCCTAAAAGTTTATGTATGTCCTCAAAGTAAATATAATTAGAAATATCTTTGAATTTTGACTAAATCATGATCTAGTTTCAAGCTTCATTCCAGGGAATAATGATGCATGTGATACCACATTTTGTAGCCCTTTCAGTCATAGACTAAAATAACACAGATGTTGCCAAACTCAAAAATAAAGACAGAAGGTACTCTGACTATGTGATGAGGGAGTACTTCCCAAGAGAGGAAATATTAACTTGCTGAACACTTTTTTCTGCCTACAAATTTAAATTTTTCTTTTGCGGTCTAAGATGGGCTTCTCAATCACCATGCAATTCATTAATGAGTTTCATCCCATTTTGTCCTATCTTCCTAAAGTCATCTGAAATGGATAAATTGATCAAGCAGATCAATTTTGAAATTTTCTAAATTCAGTGAAAGATGATGGACAGTGCCTGGAGAATTTCTGAAGAGCGCTTTCACTTTCATAAAAAATAATGTTCTCTGAAATATTAATTAAAACTTGAATATTCCAACAGTAAAACAGATATTGAAGTATGGCTCATTATTTCTTTCACACTATAAAGTCAAAAAAAGGTACTTTTCTAACAGTAATCACATTTTTAAATTAATGGCTGTACTATATCTTCAAAAGAAAAACTACATATTTAAACAAAAAATATAAAATAAGAATGTGATTTCACTGAAATAGGGGGGAAAATGATTACTATATTGCTAAATGTGCAAAGTTTAGATGAGATTCCGTGATGTGCTGGTGAATTTTTAACAATTTGTTTTACACACACACACACAAAATCTCTTAATTTGTAGTATTTGTTAATTTTCATTGTGTAAGTACTCCCAGCAATACTAATTTTAAGATACCAATATGTCAGTAAATGAAGCAGAGAAAGGAAGAGACAGGAACATTCAGCTCTCACAAGCTGTTAAAATCTAACTCCAGAACACTATTGGTTATATCTCTAAGCAATTTTTTATGAATATAAATTATCCTCAAACCAATAATAAAAGTATATTCTTAAGTAATATGGTTTATCTTGTATTACATACAGCTCTTGGGGGAAAAAAGCCAGTTTTTTTGAAACATAATTGACCTCAATTTTTATTTATTCTGAATATTTTATTCATTATTGAAATATTTTAATTCGCTTTAACATTTAAAGATATAAACCACAATATATAAATATCTACTTTTATACATAAATAATTACTATTTATGAGCATAAAGTTGTGCATCAGCCCACTCTCACTCAGGACATCTGAAATCCTAACTACAAGATATCCCACAACCGCTTCTCCCACCATAGACATTAAATAGACAGGGAGATTGGCCCAGAGAGTAGACAGAGACAGAGCTCCAGCTTGCATGGGGCCCAGGGGTGTTGTGCATGGGACAGCTGCAGTGGAACATGATCATAGGTGCTTATATCTCAAAGCTGTCCATCTAACCCCATCTAACTGCCAGGCCAAGAGAGAGCAGGGCTGTCTTACCCACAGGACTGAGGCGCATCTTTTCTGCAGGCACTTCTGCCCAATACCTGCACCCCAAGGTCCTACCTGGTTGTTCCTGCAAGAGCAGAAGCACTGCACAGCCTCTGCCATCCACCTTGGTTGCTTTGCTGGCAGCCCTGCCTGAGTGCTTTCCTGGTGGCCTGAAAACATTTTGTGTCCCTCAGCACAGCCAGGGCATGACCTTAAGAGCCAGAAGACAGAGCTCTGGGCCCAGTCCCAAAGCCCCAGGGCTGCAGTACATAGCTCAGGAGTGCCAAAATGAGATCTGTAGCCGGCACTCAAGCTAGGGAGGAGCCTTCACTCTCAGAACACTGTGAGGGGTGAGACTTGGGTTCCTGGGCTGGCATGGGAGCAGGGTATGCCTCACTCTGTAGGGCTGGTTTAGGAAAGGTGTGGCCAGTCTGCCAGCCACAGCTTCTGTCTGAGGGAGCCCTGAAGCCTGGAACACCTAAGAAAGGAAATGCAGGCAGTGCCAATGATGGGAGTAGGCTCCCTAAAACCTGGGAGCAGATCTGGCAAGGAGGTTACCCCTCTTCCCCACCACCAAAATGGAGCACTACTGTGACTTCACTGAAATACAAAATATCTGGCTGAGTAAAAGCCTATCTACCAGCCATTACTCTTAAGTGTCTCCTACATTAGTCTTAAACAGCAAAAATCACAACACCAAAAATATTCTGCCATTATACATTTCCTGTGAAACCCAGGGCAAGAACCTAGCCACAAATAAAGATCACATACAGAGCCTTGGCCCTCTGAAAGCACACAGAAATTAAGCTAATTGACTATACTCAACTTACACCACAGCTTAAACCTCAAAGTAAATAAAGAATATAAATACAAAAAAAATTGCATCCAAATGACAGAAAAGCCAATAGGACAAAGGAACACCAGAAAGAATCAGCGCAAAAACTCTGGCAATCCAAAAGCTCAGTGTCCTCTTACCTCTAAATAAGCATATTAGCTCCCCAGAATGATTCTTGAAATAATAGACATGGAATTCAGAAGGAATGGCAAGGAAATTCATCGAGATTCTGGAGAAAGTTGTAACCCAATCCAAGGGATCCAGGAATCCAATAAAATGATCCAAAAGTTAAAAGACAAATTAGTCATTTTAAGAAAAAACAAAACCAAATTCCTAGAATTGAAAAATTTACAACAATAATTTTTTAACAGAGTTGGTAGCATTAACAGCAAACTAGACTAAGCTAGGGAAATGATCTCACAACTTGAAGACCAGTTCATCAAATCAACTCAGTCAGACAAAAATAAAGAAATAGTAATTTTAAGAAATAAAACCTCTAAGAAAGCATTATGAAAAGAGATCTAATAAACAACTCCTTGGCATTTCTCAGACAGAAGGAGAAAGAATAAGTAACTCTGAAAATGAATTTGAGAATACAGGGCACAAATATTTCCCCAGTCTTGCTAGAGAGATTTATATGCAAATTCAAGAAATACAGAAAACCTCCATGAAATGCTATACAAGGCGACTATCCCCAAGGCACACAGTCATCATATTTATTAAGGTCAATGCAAAATAAATCACATCAAAGGCAGCTAGAGAGAAGGGTCAGATCACTTACAAAGGAAACACCATTAGGTTAATAGTAAATGCCTCAACAAAAACCTCAGAAGCCAGAAGAGATGGAGGACCTATTTTCAGTGATCTTAAAGAAAAGAAATTCCAACCAAGAATTTCATATCCTACCAAATAAAACCTCATAAGCAAAGGAGATATAAAATCTTTCTTAGACAAGCAATCACTAGGGGAATTTATTTCCTCTAACCTGCCTTAAAAGAGGTCCTTAAGAGAGTGATAAGCATGGAAATGAAAGAACAATACCTGCCACCACAAACACATTTAAGTACACAGCCTACTGACACCATAAGACAACCTCATAATCCAGTGAACAAAATATACAGTTAACAACATGAGGAAAGTCTCAAAATCTAGGATATCAACATTAACCTTGAATGTAAGTGGTCTAAACATCCAACTTAAAAAGTTATGAAGTGGTAACTTGGAAAAAAAGACAAAGCCTAACTGTGTGCTGGCTTCAAGAGACCCATCTCACATGTAATGACACTCACAGGCTCAATGTAAACAGAAAGGGAAAGATTTATTATGCAAACAGAATACAAAAAAAGAGCAGGAGTCACTATTCTTATGCCAGATAAAACAGACTTTAAACCAACAACAATCAAGAAAGACAAAGAAGAGCATTACATAATGGTAAATGGTCAATAAATAAAAATGTATATATATATATATATCCTAAACCATAGCATTCACACACTTGGACCACAGTGCAATAAAAATGGAAATCAATACCAAGATGATCTCTCAAGGCTATGCAATTACATGGAAATTAAACAACTTGCTCCTGAAAGACACTTGGGTGAACAATGAATTTAAGGCAGAAATATAAAGAAAATATTTGAAACTATTGAAAATAAAGATACAACATATTAAAATATTTTGGATTCAGCTAAAGTATTGTTAAAAGGAAAGTTTATAATGTTAAATGCCTACATCAAAAGTAAGAAAGTTCTCCAATTAACAATATAGAATTGCACCTAGAGGAACTAGAAAAAAATGTACTTAAAGATAGCAGAAGACAAAAAATAAGTAAAATCAGAGAAGGACTGAATAAAATTGAGATGCAAACGTCTATACAAAAAATCAATGAAACCAAAAGTTGGCTCATTGGAAGAATAAACAAAATGAATATATGGCTAGCTAGATTAACAAAGAATTAAAGAAAGAAGATCCAAATACACAATTAGAATTGAAAAAGATGAGATTACAACCAAATCCCACAGAAATATAAAAAATCCTGAGACTATTGTGAACACCTCTATGCACACCAACTAGAAAATCTAGAGAAAATGGAGAAATTCCTGGAAACAGATAACTGTCCAAGATTGAACCAGGAAGAAAGGAACAGACCAATAATAAATTATGAAACAGAATCAGTAATAAAAAGTCTACTAGCTATAAAAAGCCATGGAACAGATGGATTCACAGCCAAATTCTTCCAGACATACAAAGAAGAGCTAGTACCAAACCTACTAAAATTATTCCAAAAAATCAAGAAGCAAGGAGTCTTCTCTAACTTGTTCTATGAAGCCAGCATTATTTTCCTACAAAAATGTGGCAGAGACCCTATGAAAAAATAAAACTTTGGGTCAATATTGGTGATAAACATAGACCCCAAAATTCTCAACAAAATGCTAGCAAACTGAATCCAGTAGCACATCAAAAAGTTAATTCACCATGATCAAGCAGGCTTTATTCCTGGAGTGCAATGTTGGTTCTACATTTTTCAAATCAGTAATTGTGATTTACCACATAAACAGAATTACAAACAAAAACCATATGATCATGTTAATAAATGCATTAAAAGTTTTGGATAAAATTCAACACCTCTTCATGATAAAAACACAAAAACAAAAAAACCTTGAGCAACTAGGAATTGAAGGAACACACTTCAAAATAATAAAAGGTATTTACATCAAACTCACAGCCAATATCATAATCATTCCAACAAAAGCTGGAAACATTCCTCTTGAGAACTGGAACAAGACAAGGATATCCACTCTCATCACTCTGATTCAACATAATACTGGATGTCCTAGTCAGAGAAATCAAGTAAGGAAAAAAAATGCATCCAATAGGAAAATCACATGTCAAACTATCTCTTTTCACCAATGATATGATTCCAAAACTAGAAAACCTTAACAGCCCTGCCAAAGGGCTCCCAGAGCTGATAAATATCTTCAGTAAAGTTTGAGGATACAAAACCAATGTACAAAAATAAGTAGCATTTCTATGTACCAATAAATTTCTAGATGATAGCCAAATAAAGAACACAATCCCATTTACAATAGCTGCTAAAAGAGAGAAATACCTAGAAATACATCTAACCAAGGAATTAAAATACCTCTACAAGGAGAAATACAAAACACTGCTGATAGAAATGAAAAATTACACAAATAAATAGAAAAATATTTCATCTTTATGAATTGGAAGAATCAATATTGTTAAAATGGCCATACTGCCCAAAGCAGTTTTCAAATTGAACATTATTCCTAGCAAATTATGAATGCCATTTTTCACAGTACTAGAAAAAAATCCCCAAATTCATATGGAACCAATAAAGATCCCAAATAGCCACAGTAACCCTAAGCCAAAAGATCAAAACTGGAAGCATCATATTACCTGATTTAAAACTATACTACAAGGCTACAGTAACCAAAACAGCATGGTACTGATACAACAACACACACACACACAGACCAATGGAAAAGAACATAGAACGAGAAATAAAGCTATGCACAGAGAACAGAGAACAAGAAATAAAGCTACAAAGTCATTTGATCTTTGACAAAGTCAACAATAACAAACAATGGGGAAAGGACTCTCTATTCAATAAATGGTGCTTTTATAACTGTCTATTCATAAGCAGAAGAATAATACTGAACCCCTACCTTTTACCATATACAAAAATTTACTCAAGAATTATTAATGAATTAAATGTAAGACCTCAAATTATAAAAGTCCCATAAAAAAAGAAAAACCTAGGAAATACTCTTTTCAATATTGTTCTTGGCAAATAATATATGGCTAAGTCCCCAACAGCAAATTCAACAAAAACCAAAATTGATAAGTATGACCAATTAACTACAGATCTTCTGCACAGTAAAACTATCAAAGACATACACAAACAACTCACAGAATGGGAAAAAATATTCACAAACTGCATCCATCAAGGTTCTAGTATCCAGAATCTATAAGAAACTTAATTCAACCCAAAAATTACTCCATTACATGAACAGACACTTCTCAAAACAGAACATATGCAGCCAACAAATATAAGAAAAAATGTTTATCATCATTAATCATCAAAGAAATGTAAATCAAAACCACAATGAGATACACAACTGTCACAATGACTTTTCTTAAAAAGTCAAAAATTAACAGATGTTGGTGAGGCTGGAGAGAAAGGGAACACATACACTATTGATGGAAACGTAAATTAATTTAACCACTGTGGAAAGAAGTTTGGAAATTTCTCAAAGGACTGAGCTGAACTACCATTCAACTCAGCAATCCCATTATTGGGTATATATTGAAAGGAGAATAAATAGCTCTGCCAAAAAGACACATGCACTTGTATGTTCATCGTGGCATTATTCATAACAGCAACAAAAAAATAGAATCAATGAAGGTGCTCATCAATGGTGGACTAGATCAATAAAATTTAGTACGTGTATACCATGTAATACTATGCAGTGATTAAAAAAATAACAAAGTCATGTTGTTTGTAGCAACACAGATGCAGCAGAAGGCCATTATTTTAAGCAAATTAATGCAGGAACAGAAATAATACATGTTCTCAATTATAAGCAAGAGTTAAACATTAAGTACACATGGACATAAAGATGGGAACAATGGACACTTGGGAATACAAGAGGGGAGAAGGAGGGGGCAAGAGCTAAACAACTACCTATTGTATACTATGCTCACTATCAGGGTGATAGGTCCAGTCAGACCCCAAACATCAGCATAACACATATATGTTTGTAACAAACCTGCACATGTTTCTCCTAATTCTACAATAAAAGTTGAAAAAGAGGGAAAAAAAGTAAAAACATTAACAACAATAGCAAAACAAAAATAAAAGAGCATATTATGATCTCATATTTACACACGATTTAATGAAAGGGGGTTATGTTTGATTGCTGTGTTTGATACTAAATTGACTGTCTTACAGGACAACAGCAATAAACTTACATTGAAGAGAAATTATTTGAACCTTTACATACCATTATCTATACAATAACATGTGAATCCAATAAATTTGGGGTCTTTACTTAGTAGTCATAGTGCAGATTCCTGCTTGTCTTTGGAATTTTCTAATCCTATGACGAGAATTGATCTAAATTATATGCATTTTTCACTTTAAACAAAATTTGATATGTTTAACTTTTCATGAGGTGAATTCAAATATGCATTTAGATTCAAACTCTATTACAAATATCAATAAATTGTTATCAAATATAATTACTAAGTCTGTACCAGGTATTTATTTGTGTGCTAGATATACAATAGTGGCCACAACAGAAATCTGTATCCTCGTCAAACTTAAATTGTAGAAACAGGAGAAAACAGACAATTAAGCAGGATACACAAGCAAATTCTATAGCATATTAAAAGGTGATGTGTGCTATGAAAAATAGAATCTACTAAAAGATAATGGAAATTTGGAATGGGGAATAGGAGAGGAGCAGATTTCAGAGACAAATAGAACAGTCACGGTAGTCTCATTAAATTGGAGAGGTTTAGCCAGGTAGAAATAAGCACACCTGGACCAAAAACTTAGTTTCTAATACCATTCTTCAATAAAAGAACAGGGGATCCTTAGAAAAGTGCCTAATTCTAGGACTGATGCAGTGAAAATACAAGATAATCCTGAAGCATCTTGTAGTAATAGAAAGTAAAGAATGAACAAAAACAAAATAGTAAGTGCATGTCAAAGAAACACAGATGCCAACGTTTAAGAGACCTCAATAGACAAAGCTAAAACAATTTGAGCAATAAAATATACATGTAACATTGAATTATAACCCAAAGTATCAGATAAATATGCATGTCTATAATGATATCAATAAATGATTGAATAGGTAAATAGATAAGGGATAATGAACAAAGAATTCTAACATTTATATATAGATATAACTTTTCTAGTACATTGAGCTTAATTTCTGGCTCCCTTGAGGGTAGCTTGAATTGAATAATTTGTTTCCAAAGGATAGAGTATGAAATGGAAAATTCTGTAACTTTATAATAGAGGAAACTGACATACCCTATCTTAACCATGCAATGAAGGGTGACAGCCTCAACGATATCATATGGATATAATTTATCCCCTAATATGATGCAATAATAATAGCACTTTACCTCTGTGGTATTTTTTTCCAAAAACACATGAGGCAGCTATATTTGAGAAAAATACTTTAAAATCTCAAATTAAGAAACATTTTATGTAGTATCTAGAGTACTCTTCAAATTGTTAAGGTGATGAGAAACAAAGAAAATATGAGAAATACACATAAAAGAGAAAAATAAGGTGGCATGACAACTAAATGAAACCTGGAATTTTGAATTGGATGCCCAGGAAGTAAAAGGACTTTAGTGTGGGTACAGATAATGCCTGGAAATTAGTTAATAACAATGTACAGATAGTGATGTCATAATTTGACAAATGTATAAGATTATTTGAGATGATAACATCTGGAAAAACTAAAATTGGATGAGGAGTACAGAGGAACACTTTATGTTATCTTTGAAAACTTTCCATACAACTGAAATTATTCTAAAATAAAATGTTTATTTTTTAAAGGTGATATTTGAGTGAAATAAGGGAGTGACCCTTGGGAGTATTGAAGCTGGGGGTGTGGATGGAAGTATCACAGCTAAAGAAAACAATCAAACAAAGGCTGAAAGAGAAGATATGCTATTTCTCAAAGGGCGTAAGTCTTGGTGTGTTTGCCTGAGTATGCACACACATGCACACTGCATCTGTAGAAACTTCTGTGTGTGTTTGCAAGATTGTGGATGTGTGTTTTCCTTTCACAGTTTATGTCAGATACTATTTTTTTTTGCCCTACAAATACACTTACGACTTTATATCTTGAGAAAAGACTTGTTCTTCACAGGAAGGGGAATATCACACACAGGGGATGGTTGTGGGGTGGGGGGAGGGGGGAAGGATAGCATTAGGAGATATGCCTAATGCTAAATGATGAGTTAATGGGTGCAGCACACCAACATGGCACATGTATACATATGTAACAAACCTGCACGTTGTGCACATGTACTTTAAAACTTAAAGTATAATAATAATAAAATTAAATTAAAAAAAAAAGACTTGTTCTTTAGTGGAATCAAGGACAATGAAAGAAAGAATAGGTATGAGTATTTCCATACTCATTTTTACATGGAAACTTTATGTCATTGTTTCTATCACATATAAAACAAAAACATTTTGCTACACTTTCTAAAATGTCCCAGATCTGTCTTTAATACATGAACATTTTTTAAGGAAATTTTTTGGTTATGATTCCAGTTCCCAACTTAATATGAATCTTTACTTTCAAGCTGTTATAATTTGCTTTATTTTTATTTGCCATGCATATAATTAAATCTTCACATCTTGATCATTTTCTAAGTATGAAAAAGTCTTAGTATCTTCCATTAAGAAATTGACAATTGTGATATATTTCAGTGATTTTAGTGATTTCCTAGGCAGCTAATGTCTCATCATCATCCCAAACTCAAGTTTAATCTTTCTGCTGAAGTTCGTCTTTGTTACAGGTTGTTTTCCCCAGGAAGTAAATTCTGAGATGGAGACTTGTATGTGGAAATGTTATTACAGAATGCTTTTAGAAACTAGAACTCTGAAGGGTTTGAGAAGCAGGGTTGAACAAGGAAAGATATTGAACAATGATGCTTTGCAACAAAGGCTCTAGTCTATTTTATGGAGAGTTCTGGAACTGAAGTGATCCTTCAGAACTGAGGGTTGAAAATAGAATGTGAAATATTCATACTTTCATTGACATGTCATTTTTTCGATCTTCTATTTCTGATAAGAATCTTCTGTCTGCTTTTACTTTCTTAAAATCTAGGTGTATAATGATAAAGATAGGGCACTCTAGTCAGGTACAAATTCTAACTCCCATCAACTACCTGTATGACATACTGAATTAGTTTCTATCTCTTGGATCAATTTTGTGACTTTAAAAAGTAAATAATAATTTAATTTTTAGATTATGGAATCTAAAATTGTCTGAAGGTACCTAAATAATCATGGATGAAGTAAAATAAAGACATTGACTCTCGACAACGTACAATCTGAGAAGAAAAGTAAGTAGATATATAAATAAAATAAGACTTAAGGTAGGTGCTGGATTCATGGCCCTTAATTGTTAAATTCCTTCTGTCTGAAACCTTCCCAATAAAATGTACATGAAAATGACATGGTTCTAAATGTATATTTTCAACATTTTTTTTGTTTTACAAAACTCTTGGACAAAGGGATGATATAAAACTAAAAAATACAGAATCAACTTCTTAGCCTACTTTATGAACCACTCCTGTATTTTTTTGTCACGTGAGCTCATACTTACACACAGGCATACCTCCTGTCAGGAATTTGATGTCTTCCTAAAGCTGAAAGTTTAATGTTTTTATTTATTTTTTTCTCATCTTTAAAGGGTATTGTGCCATTTTGTCACCTCTTGAAAAATAGCACTACGGGTTTCTCTTCACAGGTGAGAGACTTTATCCAGGTCATTCAGCTTTTATTGACTTCCCTGTCTATTCTAGCAATTTATGATATCTTAAACCTGAGCTTTATCCTTGTAAGTGTGATGATATGTTTAAAAACAAATTAAAAGAAAAAGTCACATGTTAATTTTTGTATTTTTAAAGGACATCCCTATAGTCTTTTACTCTAGGTTCTACTGCATAAAATACCTTTTTTTATTATTAATATTATTATTTTCATTATTATTACCATGTTCTTCTACTACATTTTTTTTAGGATAAGGATTATAACATAGCTTTTTATTTATTTATTTTTGGCAATTAACATAACATCTGGCACAGAACAGATGCAAAATAAATTTGGACTGAAACATATTTAATTGTGCTTTGATTCTTTTTTTTTCTTTCCTGTTTCTACATTATTTTTCTGCTCCCACCTTTTTCTTTGACCACTTTTCTTCTTTCATAGGAGAAATAGCAATGTGCTATTTTGTCATCTACTAAAAAATAATAGCACATCATGGTTTTGTAAACACTGGATTGAGAACTCTTTCCAGGGCATTGAGCATTTATTGACTTTTAGGTTTAAATTAGTAAGTTATGATGGCCTTAAACCATTATCTTTCTCCTGTGCTCATCCCTATTGTTTATCTGTCTTTGGTTTTTCTTTTCCTTTTCAAGAGCGTCTTTTATCATCACCTGACAGCAAGATTCAATATATAGCAGAGAGCAATTCCTTTAGTACCTAGATAACAGGGAGTCTAATGATGATTATAAACGAAAACATATACAAGTTAGTGAAGTATGAAACAAAAAATAAGTATAACATCAATGAGATATTCTTGTACACAAATATTGTCTAATGTATTGAAAATTAAATTGATTATCTTCTGCCCATATATGGGATGAGCATACAATTTAATCTGTCTTGTGACTTGTCCAGATCATATGTTAATTTCTCAAAGTATTGTATAGATTGTTGTAGAATTCTTTGATTTAACTTGCAAATCTTTTTTCATCTCACTTATAATTTATTATTTGAATTAGTTAGTGAAACAGTAGCATGTCGGAAAAATACAAAATGGTCTGTGAAATGAAAAGGACGTTAGAAATAAATGGTGCTGGTAGCATAACAGACAGCACTATGTCCCATTTGTGTTTTAGGCAAATACTTTGGCAAATACAAGCAGGCTACGTATGTTCTTACCCATGAGAAATTGTTAAATCAATTGAGACTTGAATGAATTTGAGCAGGAGACTGTATTGATGACTTTTTATATGTATCTTTCTAATTTTGTTAGGATGATCCCGAATGTTGCTTTAAAAACAGAAAACCAACAACAACAACAACAACAAAAACAGAACTCCCTACCTAACCCAGCCCAGTGTAATAGGTTAGCCATTATCTTTGATTAAAAATCTAGCTTTTGGCTCAGCAGGTGGGTCACACTTGTAATCTCCAGCATTTTGGGAGGCCGAGGCAGGTGGATCTCGAGGTCAAGATATCAAGACCATCCTGGCCAACATGGTGAAACCCTGTCTCTACTAAAAATACAAAAGTTAACTGGACGTGGTGGCACATGCTTGTAGTCCCAGCTACTCGAGAGGTTGAGGCAGGAGAATCGCTTGAACTCAGGAGGCGGAGGTTGCAGTGAGCCAAGATCACGCCACTGCACTCCAGCCTGGCGACAGAGCGAGACTCCGTCTCAAAAAACAAAACAAACAAACAAACAAAAAATAGCTTTATTTCTGCCACACTCTTCTTTCTCTCTTTCTCTACTTTTTAAACGTGGTATTCTTTTCCAATAATTGGCATAAAAATGTTACTTCCTATAGTAAAAGGCCTTCAGATCATCATGGTATCCAGAGGGGAAAGTTAACTTAGGATGAATGAGGGTAGAGGGTTGATTTATTTAGATTTGTATACTTGTGGATCAAACATACTAAGAACAGTAATCTAACCTCACACTTAGGTTTTAAAAAATAGGATGTTGTCTAGTACATTTGTATTTGAGAATTATCAGTGGATGTTCTTTTGTGAGAAAGTAACACATTTCTTCACTGAAAGTGCCATCTCTCTAGGAAATGGAAATGTTTTTGAGGCTTTATCATTTAAGCCTTACTTTGAGAGAAAATTCATTTTGGCAGTGACTCAAATACCAACTCCTGTATGCAGTACACACATCTTTTTTGTTGTTTTATCCACTTAATGTATGTGAAGCCTGAGGCTGGAAGTAGGACATATAAATATACACAAAAATATGCCCTTCCTCTGCTCTTGAAGAGTAGGGAAGTTGAAAATATGGGCAGACTTAACACAAGACTATCACAAATAATACAAAACAATATACAGCAATATACAGGTATTGGTCTAAAGTGTTATGAGAATTTAGAAGAGGACTAGATGAATTCTGGCTGAGGGAAAATATTACATGGTGGCAGAGGGATTTTAGTTGTTGTGAGTAGATAATATCTTATTGGAAAGTATGGATTTAAGGAGGATTAATATACTGGGGGAAAGGTCTTATGTAGGCTCCGAACACTGAATAGAGAGATCAAATGTGTATGTGGGGGATTTTGTTCAGTTTGATTAAAACTAAAATTCAGTGAGAAGATTTATAGCTATGACTGTGTAGAGAGAGCTGTGGAAAGATTTTATCAGGTATGATACGAATTTATGGCACAGCCATTTAAATAGGAAGTGTTACTAATTAGGAAGGTGAATAACTACAGTTAGATATTTCTTTGACGTATAAAGATTGAGAAAGAGACTTTGTGACAAATATTTACAAATATTGTAAGATTTTTGACTTCAAATATGCAATGCTAATTTTTAACTCTCATCTCATATTACAATTCAGTTAATTTGCTGCGGGTTTGGGTCTATTGGCAAAGGTACCAAAAATCTTTGATTAGTTACTGTATTTTATTTGGCTTTATCATTTTGTTTGCATTTAAAACAAACTTCTAGTCCTCAAGAGCACTGAGATGTGTGTCTACAGAAGGAAAAGAAGCATTCTCTCTTAGAACGTTTCAAAGTCCAGTTGTATCAGTGTCTTCAGGATTTAGTTCAGGAGGGGTTAGGATAAATTGCTGGGAACATTATCTTCCTACCTACTTCAAAAAAAGCTTGGTTGAGTTATCTAAAAAAAGCATGTGGGTGTAACTCTAGAAATTGCTCTTGTCTAATCTCACTGAGAAGTGATTTTGTTGTGGTCATCTTAGTCATCCACTGATTTCTCTCTCTTAGTTGTTACCAAGCTATTTCTAAAAGGAGTTTCTGTAAGTTTTGCCTTCTTGCTTCCCAACTCTTTTTAGGCTTTATAGAATGATGATCTCAGAAAAAGAATACAAATATTTTGTTTCTAAAAAGTACCAGTAATCTGTATATATGCTATAAAATATTTTTAGCCAAAATTTTACATCTCATGACCTTGGAAAACTATAGCCTAAAAACGTGTCTCTAGGCCCTGTTATTTCTTATGGTGCCATAAATAGGAAACGGCAATAAAAGTTTTAATAAAGCAATGTGTGCTTTTCAGAGATCCTAGATCTACTGAATTTACTTTCAAGGTAAACGTGAGCAAAAAAAGTAAAAATGTTTGTAATATATTCTTTAGCATTTCAAAAATGCATTCATCAAATACACAATAATGTATGAGGGGTAATACATCTTTTAGCATGTATTTATTTGACAATTCAGTTGAAAGAAATAAAGGAAACACCATACACCTTAGTTTAGAACATTAAATAGTCAATAGTATTCAGGAAAATATAATAACTATTCACTTATATTGGCTTTCTCTTAATTGGCATTATTTTGGAGCAAGGTTATTACCAACCTAGGCTAGCACTCTTATTTCCCTCTAGCTTCAACCCCCACATGCCTATGTTTTGTTGTTGTTGTTGTTGTTTTTGAATTGGACTGATTTTTTAAGACTTTATCTTTTAAAGCAATTTTAGGTTCACAGCAAACTGAGAAAAAGGTACAAAGAATACCCCATCCCATATTTCCCCTACCCCACACATGCATAACCTCAATTATTGATATTCCCCACCAGAGTGGTACAATTGTTACAACTGGTAAACTTACATTGACACATGATCACTCAAAATTTATAGTTTACATCAGTGTTTACTCTTGGTGTAGTACATTCTATCATTTTGGAGACATTTATGATACATATCCACCATTATAGATTTATACAGAATATTTTCGCTGCTTTAGAAACCTCTGGGCACTACCTATCATTGTTTCCACCCCTGACTCTTGGAAATCACTAATATTTTTACTGTCTTTACACTTTTGCCTTTTACAGGATGTCATATAGTTGGAATCTTACAGTATGTAGCCTTTACAGGTTGGCTTATTTCACTTAGTAATATGAATTTAATTTTCCTCTATGTATTTTCATGGCTTGATAGTTCATTTTTTTTAGCACTGAATAATATTCCATTGTCTGTATGTATAGTTTATCCATTAACCTATTGTGTTAGTCCATTTTCATATTGCTATGAAGAACTGCCTGAGACTGAGTAATTTATAAAGGAAAGAGGTTTAATTGACTCAGTTCAGCATGGCTAGAGCGGCCTCAGGAAACTTACAGTCATGGCAGAAGGCAAAGGGGAAGCAAGCCATCTTCTTCACAAGGAAGCAGGAAGGAGAAGTGCCGAGCGAAGGGGCAAGAGCCCCTTATAAAAACATCAGATCTTGTGAAAACTCACTCACTATCATGAGAACAGCATGGGGGAAACCACCCCCATGATTCAATTACCTCTACTTGGTCTCTTCCTTGACACATGGCAATTACAGGGATTACAATTCAAGATGAGATTTGAGTGAGGAAACAAAGCCTAACCATATTACCTACTAAAGTACATCTTGGTTGTTTCCAACTTTGGACAATTATGAATAAAGCTACTGTTAACAGGACCGTGAAGGTTTCTGTGTAGAGATAAATTTTCAATTGTTGGTTGATGAAATGCAAGAGAGAATAATTCTTGGATTGTATCGTAAAAGTATGTTTACCTTTTAAGAAATAGCCAAACTATCTTCCAAGGTGTCTGCACCATTTTGCAATTAAGATGAGTTCTTGTTTCTCCGCACTCTTACCGGCATTCGATATTGTCAGTGTTCTGAATTTTAGCAATTCTAATAGGTATGTAATGGTATCCTATTGTTTTAATTTGTTTTAACCTGATGACATATGATATGAGACATCTATTCAAGCGCTTGTGTGCTATGTAACTTCATTGGTGAGGTGTCTGTTAAGGTCTTTTCACCATTTACAAAATTGAGTTGTTTTCTTACTTTTGATTTTTAAGAGTTCTTTGTATATTTTAGATAGCAGTCATTTATCAGATATCTCTTTTGCAAATATTTTTCCCAGTCTGTGGCTTGTTTTCTTATTCTATTGGCAATGTCCTTTGCAAAGTAAAACATTTTATATTTAATTAAGTCTAGCTTATCGATTCTTGTTTTCAAGGATTGTGCCTTTGGTATGTTTGAAAAGTCATTGCCAAATCCAAGGTAATCTAGATTTTCTCCTTTGTTATTTTCTAAGAGTTGTATAGTTCTTAATTTCAATTTAGGTTTGTGATTTATTTGTAGTTAATTTTTGTGAAGGTTGTAAAATCTGTGTCTAGTTTTTTTTTGTATGGATGTCCAGTTATTCCATTTGTTAAAAAACAAACAAACAAACAAACAAAAACGTGTATTTGTTCCCATTGTATTGCTTCTGTTACTTTGTCAAAGGTCAGCTGACGATATTTGCATGAGTGGATTTCTGGGCTTGATATTCTGTTCCATTGATCTATTTGTTTATTCTTTCACCAAAATCATACTTTCAGGATTACTGTAGCTTTATATTAAATCTTGAATTAGGTAGTGTGTGTCCTCCAACTTTTTCACCTCCTTCAATGTTATATTGGGTATTCTAGTCTTTTAGTCTCTACATAAGCTTTACAATCAATTTGTGGCTATCTACAAAATAACTTGCTGCGATTTTGATTGAGATTGGATTGAATATGTAGATCAAGCAGCAAAGAACTTACACTTTGGCAATATTGAATCTTCCTGGCTGTGAACATGGAATATCTCTCCATTTATTTAGTTTTGTAGTTTCTCTCATATAGATCTTGTACATATTTGATAGATTCATACATAAGTATTTCATTTTTATAAGAGTTTAAGTGGTATTTTGTTTTTAACTTCAAATTTCACCTGTTCATTGCTGGTATACAGGAAAAAATGATTGACTTTTATGTATTAACCCTGTATCCTGCAACCTTGATTTAACTGATTATTGGTTCCAGATTCTCTACATAGATGATCATGCCATTTGCCAACAAAGAGTTTTATTTCTATCTTTCCAATTAGTATACCCTATTTCCCCTTTACTTGTACTTTGCATTATTTGGACTTCCAGTATGATGTCAAAAAGGAGTGGTTAAAGGAGATGTCCTTGCCTTCCTTGCCTTATTCCTAATCTTAGTAGGAAATCTTCTAGTTCGTCTTCACTGTAGGTTTTTGGTAGATATTTTTATCATATTGAGGAACTTCCCCTCTTCTCCTATTTAACTGAGAGTTTTTATCATGAGTAGGTTTTGAATTATGTCAAATCTTTTTCTATATTTATTAATGTCATCATGTGAATTTTATTCTTTAGCCTATTCATGTGACAAATTATTTCAACTGCTTTTTGAATGATGAATCATATCTGAATAAATTCTACTTGTTTATAATGTATAATTCTTTTTACACATTATTATATTTTATTTGCTAATATTTTGTTAAGTATGTTTGCATGTATGTTTGTGAGAAACATTACTTCATAGTTCACCTTTCTTTTAATGTCTTTGTGAAGTTTTGGAATAAGGGTAATACAGGCATCATAGAATGAGTTAGGAAGTATTCCCTCAGTTTCTATCTTCTGGAAGAGTTTGTAGATAAAACTTGATACCATATCTTCCTTAAATTTTTGGTAGAATTCACCAGTGAACCCATCTGTGTCTGTTGCATTCTGTTTTGGAAGGCTATTAATTGTCTATTTAATTTCTTAAATATGTATAGGCCTATTCAGAATGTATATTTCTTTTTGTGTGAGTTTGGCAGTTTTTTTCTTTCAAGGTATTGGTCCATTTTACCTAGGTTGCCAAATTAGTGGGAATAAGACTTGTTCATAATATTTCTTTATTGTCTTTATAATATTTGTGAGATTTCTAGTGATGTCCACTCCTGTTGCTGATATTAGCAATTCATGTCTTCTTTTTTTTCTTAGCTATTTTGGCTAGA
This sequence comes from Homo sapiens, assembly GCF_000001405.40. NCBI lineage: Eukaryota > Metazoa > Chordata > Mammalia > Primates > Hominidae > Homo > Homo sapiens. The sequence goes on along the minus strand of NC_000012.12, from coordinate 84,332,316 downwards.
GCCTCACCTACTCATGAATTGTATTGTAGTCATGAATTACCTATTGTATGAATTGTTCATCTAGGTGTTTGTATGTAGACAAACTAGCAATTTCAAGATGAATCAATAAATACTATAATTTGTGATCTAACATTATACATACACATACACAAACATAAAATAAGCCAGAGACAAGAAGAAAAAGAAAGAGAAGGAAAGGAGGAAATAAATGAATGAAAAATTTTTTTGAGTAGCCTCATCTTAGGATAAAAGGTTTTAAAGACAAAAGCTAGGTTCTCTCATGTAAGCATAGTATTTTGTTATAATGCAAGCCTTCATTCTTTTTTAAAAATTATCTTCTTATTTATCTGCCCTCTGGTACATTATTGGGATTCCTCTCAAGCGCTAAAATAATTAGCATGATGATATCTCAAAATATTTATTAACTATAATTCTACACAATGGTATTAATTAGTACAGTTTATTTAAAATATCCCCCTCAGTTCAATGGGACTAACAATATTGAAATCAATTCTTTCAACGTGGTTGTTGTAATAATCATAATTAGACATGGCAGGGCTCAGTTTAATCATGTGCTTCTTTGGGGACACACTGGCTTTCAGTCTTTCTTGATAAGCACTGTATAATTAATAGAAGTGGTTTATTGCCAACACTCTTTGGGAATTATTCAAAAACATTCTAATGAGGGACTCTTACTAAAGGATGAAATTAAATTAGACAATTACCTTGTTTTACTAATTGTTTTCTTGACTCTCAGAAAAGTCATTTTAATAAGTCTTTTCATATCAATTCATCCAACTTTTTTTGACCAACTGCAGCTTGTGTAAAAAGATTTTGGAGGGCATGATAAGACAGAATGATTTTTCAGTCCTAAATTCTTTAAGCATTTTGAGAAGACGGCAGGCAAACAGAGCTGTGAAGAACTTCCTCAAGAGTTAGAAAGTAAATGTCCATTATGCCCTTTTGAAATCTGAGATGGGGGAAAAAAGCTCAGGGGCATCAGAAAAGACAAATGTAAGCTGTGAGTGGATTCACAGAGATTATCCTTCAAAGGTACAGGATGTAATTATATTTGTTGACTAAGTACAGAATGAGAAGAACATGGTACCTTTTATTTGGAAAACTGAAATATGAATCTAGCTGTCGGAACAAATTTGATAATTTTTCTTAAGTTTTATGCAGTAAGTTGCTATGTAATTACTCTAACTGTGTCATTGTTAAATGACATTTAGGACATTTTTCCCTTATGTGGCTAAAGGCTTTGCATTTCTAACACTATAAAATAAATATTAACTATAAGCCTAATTACTATAACAATAGTTGGATTAACTTATGAATTGGCATGGATAAGCATAGCACACTTATGAATCTGAATGAGTCAGAAAGATATTTTAGCACAGAAGTATAAGGGCCACTTAAAGTCTGCAATATCCTAACTGACTTAAATGACATTGACATTCACAATATTTAATAGAAGTTTTTCTATGGTGACCTTTCACATGAAAATGGTTGTACCTTTCTGTAAATGATGGAATTAGACTGTGCATTGAGGAAATGGTTCAAATCTCTTTGCTTATAGAGATATAAGGGTAATGCCATTAATTGTTTCAAATAATGTCCCATATTGAATACACTTCAATGTACTTGTAGTAGTCGTAATATCAGCTGTGCTAACAAATACTTTAATTCATAATAAAATGATCTACTTAAAAACATTCTGCATCGGTTCCAAAAATTGCATGGAGATATAAAAAGTACTATTTTTTTTAATGAATGGATCAAACTTAAAGAGAAATTGTATAGTAATTACTAGTATATTCATGGATAAAATTTCAAAAGCAGAATTTAACAAACATTAACTTTAGATAATTTTTTAAGATAACAATTTTTATACTCTATTTTTTTATGGCCCCTGCTTTTTCTTAACTCAAAACATCCAAGTACTAGGAAACTGAAAGTTCCATTAATTACGTGTAATTGCAAATACAAATGGCTAACATCCCCAGGAGTCAGACTACCTGGTTACGTCTTGAAGACAGAAACAACCTTCTCCATCTGAATTATTTGACTGATTTTACAACCACTCATTTCAAGGAAGGAAGATAATGGGGCTATTCCCTGTGAGTGACTTCATCACTTCACTCATGTTAAGCTATTTTATAGCTTGGCAACAGCCCAGAAACCTAACCGGAGGAATATTGACAAAACTCCTGGTGCATGTAGAACTCCCTGGCTGCATTCAAGCCTTTAAAACACAAGAGAGTGTGTCAAGCATGTGGAAAAAAATGTTTTTGGGTTATCCAGCCACTCACTATTTCTGTACTTCCCTGTGTTTGTATGAGTGTAGAGTCATTTCAATTATATATCTAAAATATGCTGTCACTTGTGGCAGTAAAACCTGCAAGCTAATGTTAAAAGATTATAGTTGGTTTTGAAAGCCTTATTGTAAATACCACAGTTCTCAAAAATTAATTAAAATAATGATAAATGTGTATCTTTGAAATAGGTATTAAAATGACAGTGGCCTGCTTCAGGAGATGTGAAAAAAATCACCTACATCCTAAAAGAATAATTTCCAGAAATACGAAGGTATACAACATTAAAAATTGTTAGGACTCAAATAATATATCAGCTTCTTTAAGACTGATGTAGAGGTAATATCTGGAATTATACAACAAGATTAAATTTTACATACTGATGAGGGCACAAAAATAGTATTCTAATCTTTTAAATAACTGTTACATTCTAGCATGAGAACAATTGTATATTAACTGTACCTTTTCTAGAATTCTTAGAATTGATTACATTTATACAACTGTCTATTTATACTCGTGTTAAACATAATGTGGAGGTTCTGAATAATAAACTATAAATTATTTTACTTGGTTTCAGAATTTAAGAATATATTCCAATTTTTTTATATCCTGTCTATAGAATTTGGGATAAATCACTGAATTTCTTTGAATATAATTTCTTTTATCTGCCAAATAACAGAAAGAACTAATACAAATATATCTAAACATTAATATCTGTCATTTGATCCAAATACATCAATTAGAAAAATGAACAGAATTGATTTAAAAAACTTGATTCAACTGTATGAATTTGAGAAACTCACCTTATATTCAACAACGTGGATGGTTCAAAGTAAAGTCACGGAAACAGATATACCATTGAGACACTAAATTTAAAAAGTTCCTGTATTAATCACTGATAGACTTTAGGGTAAAGATAATTACTAGAGGAAAAGAGAGACATTTCATAATGATAAAAGGGATAAATCTATTAGTAAGACATAATCTTATCTTCTTATCTTAAAGTACAGGGTTAAGAATTCTAAGCTGAGCAGGTTTTTATTTTTTTTTCTTCATGCCACTTTACAATGCTAAGGCATGTCTTCCAATTTGCATTATTTGTGACAAGAATTCTGGTGCCATTCTTATCATTGTTGAATTCATGTTATGTGTCTTTTAGCTCTGGCAGCTTTCAGAATTTTCCTATTTGTATTTGATTTAGGTGTCATTTTATCATATTTATTCTGCTTGAAATTTTCTGATACCCTGGGATATAGAGATTCATTTCTACCATTTTTCCTTCATACATAAATTTTTTGCTCTATTTTCTCTTTTCTACTTGTTCTATAATTTAATATATATTATACTTTATGTCGTTGATAACTAAGTTTATAAATCCTTAGTCTAGAATTATTCAGTTCCAGGATTTCAATTTGATTTATTTTTATAGTCTTCAGTTTCCTTCAGATATTCCTCATCTGTTTATAATTTCCATCTTTTACTTTGGGTTATAATTTTCTAATTCCAATACCTGGGTCATCAGTGTTTTGGAATGCACTTGTTTTGACTCTGAGTTTTATTTTCTTGCTTTTTAATATCTCTTTTAAGTTTGTAATGTATGGAAGAAATGATAAATAGAATAACAGTGGAAATTAATATGTACTACTGTTTTGCTTTGTTTTTTTGCTGTTGAAAAAAAAAAGCATGTTCCCTCTTATATCTGCTGGTTAAAGTGAGGAGGTGATTATTCACATTTCACCAGGTATGAATTAATTTGAGAGTGGGTCATAGTTTTAGGTGACTGAGCTCACCTGTTATGCTGCTGCTCCAGATGGTAGCATCAGCATTTTTGTTCTGTATTACTATTGAGCCTTGAACCAGGAAGGAATGGGGCTTCTACTTACCTTCAGATTCATTAGTAGCATGGCCTCTAGTTTTAAAGATGGTTAAAATACACAAATGCCATGGTAATTGATTCTTTTAGTCCCAATTTCCTTAATTTAACATACAAAAAATGGAAAAATAGATAATATTGAGAGATTGCATAACGATTTAGCTGGTGAAAACTAAAACAATGAAAAACAAAATCAACCCAAAGTCATCCTTATCTGTGGCAGTATCTCTGTGTGTGTGTGTGTGTGTGTGTGTGTGTGTGTATATATATATATATACACGCACACATGTATATATACATATATATATATATAAATTGTTGTTTCACACATAGTACTTTCCAAAGTTAACTGGAAGCCTCCAATAGAAATTATAGAGTGTTAAATAAATATAAGTTATAAATAAATATTCCCCATATATAATAAAATGTTATAGTATGAAATGGCATTTGAACACAATTGCTTGGATTTGTAAGATACAGTAACTACATTTCTCCTGAAAAATTGTTCATATTTTTAATGCTAAGCAAACAACCTTTGGCATCTCTTTTTGTTTGATTTTTCTTCTTGTAAGAACTTGCACATTTTTATCTGAAATCCAGCTCAGATGTAATATTTTGTTTCTGCCAGCAAGCTCACCCCCATTTTTTGCCTTGAACATAAAATAATGAAACTTAGAGATTTATGAGCCCTAAGAGTCTTTTTAAAGAAAAAACTTGCTTGTAAAACTAATAAAGCAAGGTCAAGAAGATAGTATTATTCTCATTGATTCAATTATTAATTATTGAATTTTTTAACTATAATTTTTTGTAATTTACAAATATTTCTAAAATATTCCCATTTCTCCCAATGCATGCTGAAGAACTATGTGAGCTAGACACCTGCTGTGAAAGCAGCTGATTATGATACAGAAATATAGAGCAGGTGCATATCTCCTCAGTGAAGGACAGAAATAGCACTAAAAAGAGAAATAATTTTTTTTTTTTTTTTTTGAGACGGAGTCTAGCTCTGTTGCCCAGGCTGGAGTGCAGTGGTGCGATCTCGGCTCACTGCAAGTTCTGCCTCCCGGGTTCACGCCATCCTCCTGCCTCAGCATCCTGAGTAGCTGGGACTACAGGCGCCCGCCACCACGCCTGGCTAATTTTTCGTATTTTTAGTAGAGACTGGGTTTCACCGTGTTAACCAGGATGGTCTCGATTTCCTGACCTTGTGATCCGCCCGCCTCAGCCTCCCAAAGTGCTGGGATTACAGGCGTGAGCCACTGCGCCGGATCTCCACATCTTTCTATTTCTACTATGCAAAGAAAAAGTAACATAAATGTATGTATGTGTAAGTTATTCCGCTATGGAAAATGTATTGAGCTAAATTTTAAAAACGTTATCAAGCATTTATGCTTTGCTATACTATATATAATACCTCTGCACAAAAACATGTTTTTGCAATATACAACAAACTGCATCTAGTATTTTAGAAAGAACCTGAAACTGTAGTTTAAGAGTTCAAAATCCTACTCTACACTGGCTAAGTGACTTAACTTCCATTCATTTAAAATATCAATAATATGCGTTTTTTTAGTTTTATTTTAGGAAGAATGCATGAGATGTATGTGCAGTGTGACTGGCATATAAATTATGTTTATGAATACAAATAATTATATTAGGAAAATCAGAGGATTTTTTCTGAACACATTCATAAACACAAAACCATAAAGGTACAATTTTGCTCTGGCATTGATTTTTTGTCTGCCTCAGCTTCTTCATGACAACTCTAGAAATATTTAACCATCCCACAGAGTTTTCATGTGGATTACCCAGTAGGTGGTTTTGTGCTACTCTATTAAGTGTATTCAAGTGGTGATATTTACATGCGGGAATAGTTTTCAATGAGTGACCACAGAACATAGAAGAAAGGGCTGAAAGTTTTTCCTATGGGTCAAGGAATTTGACAGCTTCCCTTCTTATTTTTTATAGGGGATTTCCGTATATTAATCCTGTTTATATTGTGAGCACACATTTTATTGAAACAGGTTGAAGTATTCATGAATGCATGTATTAGGTTAAAATTTGCTTTTGTTTTGATTTGCACTGGGGAAATTTGAGAGAGGTTAAGGATTTATTATACAAAAGAATTGTGGAAAGGTCACTATATTAGAAGATGTGTGAGGCTGCTTAGTCTTATGGAAAATGGAAACTATTTTAATGAATTAACCAAAAGAAAAATTAATACATTGTGATGCTGCAAAACCAGATATAGGATGAATTAAAAAATCAAAGTTACATGCTTCTTCTCTACTATTTTGTCATAAATCCAGAAAACTTTCATCGGTGTGGTCAAAGGTAAGAAGTATCAATAATCTACATGTACTCACCAAAGCAAACCTCACTCTTTGGGTTGTTTCTCATTAGCTGGATTTCACCGAAGGATATTGAAAGTCCAGTTTTTCTTAACCATTCCTTTAATCACATCTTGGAGCAATTCATCTTGCTTGAGTGTTTCTTTAGTGGGCAGCTCGTTAATTTTCATGACATCTTCTATTGCTGAATAGCTCTCATTATTTACAACAGAACAAAACTACCAATGTTTTAAAAATTTTCCAAAATATATTTCTCTGTCATCTCTGTCACCTCTTCACTTCTTTTCAAATATCTATCTACCTAAATATCTGCCTAAAAAGAAATATTTATAAGTACAGATATCTATATTGATCTATATAATGTCTGTACTTATACATTACTACATCTATCTATCTATCTATCTATCTATCTATCTATCTATCATCTATCTATCTGATTGTGAGACTGTCAAATTAATTAAAAGGAAAATTTATACACAAAAGAGCAAAAAGCTATAGTCAATAAGTAAATATTTGACCGAATGAATGACACTTGAGACTATTAATAAATTGGATATTGACGGCTTTATGGTAGCTACTTAGTAAGTTCCCCATTGTTTAATTGTGGTAGATCATAGAACTTTGCTGAAAACAACATTGGCAAGAAAACTATTAATAGTACTCATGATATTATAATCTCTAAGAACACAGTAATAAAATCAATGATTTCTGTTAAGAAACTTTCTGTGTGTGGTATGGTCTCAGAGATTCTGAGCTGATTCTACCTGTTAACAGAGTCAGTGTTTCCGTATTGTCTGGGTGTCTTCCAGATTAAATTGCCTGTGCCTGGACTATATTAGCGATTCTATAGTAGCAGAATTCCATCTGGAGAACATACGTATACTTTCTTTCTTTGCAATTTTCACTTGGTTGTATTTATTGAACTTATAGAAGTGCTGAGTGAGTCATGGCAAGCAATCTGTCAAGTAAAAGATGCCATCAGCTTGGCTGAAGTCAGCAAAGAGACTCAACATCTTTATAAGCAAGTGGCTGGTAGGCAACAACTTTGCTTCACAATTGTGTATGTAAGAAATGAAATAAATGTTATTAGATGCATGAAGTTATAGTTGTTACAGATGTTTACTCTTTTTATCTAACGTGGAAATGCCTTTTAGAACATTTCTTTAAGATGTCCATTCAGACAGTCTGTATGTTCCCAAAACAAGGCTAAGTAAAACATTTCCATTGCTGAGTGATTCCAATTTTTCCTCTAACTTACCTTTTAAATTATAAATTTTCAAAAAAATAGATAAAATCCAGCCCATCTGCCTAATTTTTCAAAAGAAGAAACTAAGAATTAAGCATCTTAGATAACATCTGTGGTCTCCAGGTATAAGTGCCCTCACTATTAAATTAGAAGTTGTACTGACTATTCATAACAAATTACAACTCTATGATTCTGTCATTCTAAAATATTATGCTTGTCAGTTTCTAAAAAAAGAAATTTTTCCAATTTTTTCACCTGACATGTGTCTTTTGCATTTCCCTAGCACTGATGTCAGCACTTTACAATAACAAAGTGACTCTCAATGGAGAAATGGGGGCAATTTTGCCTCTTTGGGTACAGTTTGCACTGTCCAGAGACACTTTTGGTTGTCACGACTGGGAAGGTTTGGTGCCACTAGCATCTAGCAGGTAGAGGCCACAGTTATCTGACCCAAATTGCCAATTGTTCCTAGATTGGGAAACAGATGTAAGCCTACACAGATTAAATTTAATTGTTCCTAAATTAAATTGTTCCTATATTGGGAAACTGATGTAAGCCTACACAGATTAATCTAATTATTTTAACATATACCATACTTTTAAGTAGAAGTCTTATTGTTTTCTACATTTGTATAAGAGTATATAAGAAACTGAGAAAAAGGGGCTTGAGCAGTGTCATAGAGGTAGAAATGGTTGAACGAGTTGAACCCAGATCTACCTAAATTCATAATCAATGCTTGATCTAATCTATGCACTGGTACTTAAGACAATGCTGTCTTCTCATGGCAAAGTTACCAAGAAGTCAGTGGTAAATCATTCCTCACCTTGTGCCAAGACAGTTAACCAACACCAGGGGAATTGTAGAATGCCCTTCAGCATGTTGTTTTCCTTTTAGGTATAGGGCATTTGGCTACCTGTTCTTTTATCTGTCACGGCATGACCAAATGTGATTCAATGATTTCTCTCCTTTCCACCTTATATTAGGTCTGTCAGTGACTTCTCTCACATTTCTTTCCTTTTGACTGGGTGGGAGGAAAGAAATGAGGTGTGAAAAGTATAAATCTTCTAGAGTTTACATCAGTCTGTGGGTAGCAGGTGTTCACACTTTGTCTTGAGTATTGATGCACTATTCTTCCTATTTATGAATTGTGTGGATTATTTGTTCCAAATCTGCACAAGGAATATGGCATGGTTTGAGAGGGTCCATGGTCAACTAATAGTCATAACTCTGAAATTTTTCAAACTTATGGAGTAAATCACCTTTTATATAATAAAATTTTAAAAACTCTTTTCCTGCTCATTTTTTAACTAGTAGTGTACAAATTTGTTGAAACATTTGCTTACTCTTTTGTTCTAACAGCTATGTTGGTGTTATTTAATCATTCTTTTTTCTTCTTTTACTTATTATACAACCTGTTCTAATTGTATCTTTACAAATCTCCATATACATTTTTAATTGTTAACATGGTTAGCTGCTTAAGAAATATTTTTCTATCTAAAAATATTTTTAAATGCCTCATTTATTTTAAAATTAACACCTATTATTTCAGTAGTTTCTGGAAAAAACACTAATTGCTACCAAAAACACAAAGGGCACCTACATGTCATCCTAAATTTGCTGTGAAAATAGTTGGCCAAGCAATGATTTATTAAGTATTCACAAGATGGCTGTGAATGTGGTTAAGGGCAGAAGATAAATAGACGAACAGTACAATTCATCTTCCCTAGAGAGATTACAGTTAGTGAGAAAGACCAAAAGTGACATTTACAACAAACTTTATACAGCACACACAAACACACACATTCTGTAATTAGAAAATGGGTATATTTAATTTTGGCTGGGTGTAAAAGAAAAGGATCTATAAAATGCAACATGAACTATAATATTACTAAGTAGATTGTTCAACTAAAATAATACACTGTTTTTTAAACTTTTATTTTAGATTTAGGGGTACACGTGCAGGCTTGTTATATAGATACACTTATGTAACAGGGGGTATGTTGTACAGATTATTTCGTCACCCAGGCATTAAGCCTGGTACCCAGTAGCTTTTTTTTTTCTGCTCCTCTCCCTCCTCCCACCCTCCACCATCCAGTAGGCACCAATATCTGTTGTTCCTTTCTTTGTGTCTGTGAGTTCTCATCATTTAGCTTCCACTTAAAAATGAGAATATGCAGTATTTGGTTTTCTGTTGCTGCGTTAATTTGCTAAGGGTAATGGCCTCCAGCTCCATCCATGCTCCTGCAAAGGACATGATCTCATTCTTTTTATGGCTGCATAGTATTCCACGGTGTATATGTACCACACTTTCTTCACACAGTCTATCATTGATGAATATTTAAATTGATGTTATGAGTTTGCTATTGTGAATAGTTCTGCAATGAACATATGTGTGCATGTGTCTTCATAATGGAATGATTTATATTCCTTTAGGTACATACCCAGTAATGAGATTTCTTGGTCAAATGGTAGTTCTGTCTTTAGCTCTTTTAGAAATCACCACACTGCTTTCCATAATGGTTGAACTAATTTATACTCCCACTAATAGTGTATGTTCCCTTTACTCCACAACCTCATCAGCATCTGTTATTTTTTAAGTTTTTAATAACCATTCTGACTGGTGTGAGATGTTATCTCACTGTGGTTTTGATTTGGATTTCTCTAAAGATCAGTGATGTTGAGTCTTTTCTCATATGCTTGTTGGCTGAATGTATGTCTTCTTTTGAAAAGCGTTGACATCAAAAGCAATTGCAACAAAAGCAAAAATTGACAAATGTGATCTAATTAAACTAAAGAGTTTTCTGAACAGTAAAAGAAACTATCAACAGAATAAACAGACAACCTACAGAATGGGAGAAAATTTTTACAAACAATGTATGCAAAAAAAGGTCTACTATCCATCATCTATAAGGAACTTAAACAAAATTACAAGGAAAAATAAACAACCCCACTAAAAAGTGAGCAAATGACACGAAAAGGCACTTTTCATTTTTTTAATTATACTTTAAGTTTTAGGGTACATGTGCACAACATGCAGGTTTGTTACATATGTATACATGTGCCATGTTGGTGTGCTGCACCCATTAACTCGTCATTTACACTAGGTATATCTCCTAAAGGCATTTTTCAAAAGAAGACATACGTGCGACCAACAATATGAAAAAAAAAAGGCTTGACATCACTGATCATTAGATACCATCTCACACCAGTCAGAATGGCTACGATTAAAAGTCAAAAAATAACAGACGCTGGCAAGGTTGCAAAGAAAAAGGAAGGCTTGCCCATGCCTATGTCCTGAATGGTATTGCCTTAGGTTTTCTACTAGGGTTTTTATGGTTTTAGGTCTAACATTTAAGTCTTTAATCCATCTGGAATTAATTTTTGTATAAGGTGTAAGGAAGGGATCCAGTTTCAGCTTTCTACATATGGCTGGCCAGTTTTCCCAGCACCACATGTTAAATAGGGAATCCCTTCCCCATTTCTTGTTTTTGTCAGGTTTGTCAAAGATCAGATAGTTGTAGATGTGTGATGTTATTTCTGAGAGCTCTGTTCTGTTCCATTGGTCTATATCTCTGTTTTGGTACCAGTACCATGCTGTTTTGGTTACTGTAGCCTTGTAGTATAGTTTGAAGTCAGGTAGCATGATGCCTCCAGCTTTGTTCTTTTGGCTTAGGTTTGACTTGGCAATGCAGGCTCTTTTTTGGTTCCATATGAACTTTAAAGTAGTTTTTTCCAATTCTGTGAAGAAAGTCATTGGTAGCTTGATGGGGATGGCATTGAATCTGTAAATTACCTTGGGCAGTATGCCATTTTCATGATATTGATTCTTCCTATCCATGAGCATGGAATGCTCTTCCATTTGTTTGTGTCTTTTTTTTCGTTGAGCAGTGGTTTGTAGTTCTCCTTGAAGAGGTCCTTCACATCCCTTGTAAGTTGGATTCCTAGGTATTGTATTCTCTTTGAGAACTGAACAATGAGAACACTTGGACACAGGAAGGGGAACATCACACACCAGGGCCTGTTGTGGGGTGGGGGAGGGGAGATGGATAGCATTAGGAGATACCTAAGGTAAATGACGAGTTAATGGGTGCAGCACACCAACATGGCACATGTATACATATGTAACAAACCTGCATGTTGTGCACATGTACCCTAGAACTTAAAGTATAATAAAATATATATATACATATATATATACACACATATATATGTACACATATATATATACACACATATATATGTACACATATATATATATATAAAAGAAACATAAAAAGGAGGATGGGAGAAGGATGGATAATAAAAAGGATTATTTATCTTTTATCACAAATTAAAAAAAAAGAAAAAGAAAAAGGAAGGCTTATATACTGCTGGTGGGAGTGTAAATTAGTTAAACCATTGTGGAAAGCAGTGTGGAGGTTTTTCAATGACCTACAGACAGAAATACCATTTGAGCCAGCCATCTGATTACTGGGTATATACCCAAAGGAAGATAAATCATTCTACTATAAAGACATATGCACACATATGTTCATTGTAGCACTATTCCCAATAGCAAAGACATGAAATCAGCCTAAATGTCCATCAGTGACAGACTGGATAAAGAAAAATTGGCACATATATCCTATGGAATACCATGCAGCCATAAAAAGAGAACAAGAACTTTTCCTTTGCAAGGACATAGATGGAGCTGGAGGTCATTATCCTTAGTAAATTAACACAGGAACAGAAAACTAAATACTGCATGTTCTCACTTATAAGTGAGAGCTCAATGATCAGAATGCAAGGACACATACTGAGGAACAACACCTATTGGTCCTATTGAAGATTGGAGGTTGGGAGGAGGGAGAGGATCAGGAAAAAACAACTAATGGCTTAATACCTGGGTGATGAAATAATCTGTACAACAAAGCTCCACAACACAAGTTTACCTATGTAATAAACCTGCACTTGTAACCCTGAACTTGAAAGTTAAAAAAATACAAACTAAATATTATAGCAAGGAGAACATTGTTAGGTAAAATGCTTTCAAAGACTTCATCAGTTCTATGATTACATGTATATTCATTGTTTAATCTTTATTTGTTTAATATAGCTACCTTATCCCAGTAGGTGCTGAATAAATTATGTCACCTGACAAAAACAAACTGTCTATTCATGTAATTCACCAACTTACTAAAGGAGTTGTTTGATATTTTTTTCTTATACATTTAAGTTTCTTATAGATGCTGGATATCAGACCTTTCTCAGATGCATAGTTTGCAAAATTTTTCTCTCATTCTGTAGATTGTCCATTTACCATGTTGATAGTTTCTTTTGCTGGGCAGAAGCTCTTAAGTTTAATTAGATACCATTTGTCAAATTTACTTTTGTTGCAAATGCTTTTGGTGCCTTCATCATAAAATCTTTGTTCATTCATATGTTCAGAATGGTATTGTCTAGATTGTCTTTCAGGGTTTTTATAGTTTTGGGTTTTATATTTAAGTCTTTAATTATCTTGACTTCATTTTTATACGTGGTATAAGGAAGGGGTCAAGTTTCAGTCTTCTGCATATGGCTAGCCAGCTATCCCAGCACCAATTATTGAATAGGGGGTCCTTTACCCATTGCTTGTTTTTGTCAGTTTTGTCAAAGGTCATATGGTTGCAGGTGTGTGGCCTTTGGGTAGGTAATGTATTATTGCTTGTGTTTCAAAAACAAATTTTAAAAACCACTAAACAAATAGAAAAGCCGTTGTTTTGAATCATTTTTATGATGAATTCAATAAAAAGCACATCAATATGAGCAAGATCTTACCTCGTATGTATGAGGTTGGTATATCAGAAACTCTTCATAATATTAAGATAGAACTCATTATCTCTCCTTTTCTGTACAGATTATTATCTCTCAAAGCACCTCATTCCATTTGGAGGTAGCTGTTTCATTTAGCCTAGAAATTTTTGTAATTTTATTACATTGCATTTTAATGGGCCCAAATAAATTGACTTGTGTGTTACATATTTTTAATTAAATTTTAATAGATCTGAAACCAAATTTAAAATCATGTAATTTTTCTATGGTCTCTCATATAATAGCTAGTTTATATTTGTATTTATTCAGATCTAATACAGTACCTAGCAAAAATAAGCACTAGATATATGGTAATTTATGCCTATATATTTTCTGAAAAATTATAATGAAACCCTTCAAGCAATCTACAATTTACAATAGAAATTGTAATGATGGTCATATTCATGAATATAATTTTAAATGTAAAATGCCTTTGAAAACAAGAATTTTATTAAAAGAAAGCACAGCATAGATGCAAAATTTTCAGAAATGCCAATTTGTTCAAACAGTATCTTCAATTTTTTGCTGAAACTAGGCAGACTTCCTCTTCATCTATTTCACCAATGTGTTCATTAACTTTACAGATAAAGAACAAGTTTTTAAAGCACAGTGATTAATTAAAATAAATGGACTCTCCTGCCCTGTGTAAATCTGGAATTAACTTGGTAATGTACAAACAGTGAATGAAATCTGAAACATTTCAATAAAATTTGAAAGAAAATGTTTATTTCAGTTATAATTATTATTACTGCTGACCTAGTTATCTTCATAATAAGTCAATATTTCAAAGAGAAGAAATAGTTTATTTCTTGTGAAATGTAAAATGAAAAATTTAGACTTTAAGAATTTTCTATAAATAATGTGAAATGCAATGCTAATGCATCTAAGTTCAATTTATTTTTTAGCCATTATTATGGATAAACCATTTTATACGAAGATGAGTTTTACTTTAAGAAATGTTCTTGAATTGTTTTTGATACTGCCTTCTGAATGTTCAGTTTTCTCTATTATCTTTTTACTGCAATTGTTTTAGTTGCAATTTCGGGATCCTGGATTGCATAAATACCTGTTAACTTCTTTAGTCTGTTTTGGTTGTAAGTTTTAGGCTGTCTTTTTAATTTCTGTTTTCTTCAGTTCTCTGAATATTGTATAGTTTCTCTAGTATCAGTTTTGTTTTGTTTGATATTTCATTTTCATGTTACAGTTTTTTGTCAAGTTTTTCAGAAATCATTAATTGTTTTAAATTTAAGAATCAAGCTTGTCCAGGAGCTGCTCACGGCTGTAATCCTAGCACTTTGGGAGGCCAAGGCGGGAGGATCACGTGAGGTCAGAAGTTTGAGACCAGCCTGGCCAACATGGCGAAACCTCATCTCTACTGAAAATACAAAAATTAGGCGGGGCGCAGTGGCTCATGCCTGTAATCCCAGCACTTAGGGAGGCCGAGATGGGTGAATCACGAGGTCAGGGGTTCAAGACCAACCTCGCCAACATAGTGAAACCCCGTCTCGACTAAAAATACAAAAATTAGCCAGGCTTGGTGGCGTGTGCCTGTAGTCCCAGCTACTCGGGAGGCTAAGGCAGGATGATCACTTGAACCTGGAAGGTGGAGGTTGCAGTAAGCCGAGATTGCTCCACTGCACTCCAGCTTGGGCAACGGAGTGAGACTTCTTCGTCTCAAAAAAAAAAAAAAGAAAGAAAGAAAAGAAAATCATCGGGCGTGGCGGCGTATGCCTGTAATCCCAGCTACTCGGGAGGCTGAGGCTGGACAATCGCTTGAACTCAGGAGGCGGAGGTTGCAGTGAGTAGAGATTGTGCCATTGCACTCCACCCTGGGCAACAGAGCCAGACTCCGTCAAAAAAAAAAAAAAAAAAAAAAAAAAAAAGCAAAAGTGACAAACTACTCTGTACTTTGTGTTCTTCATTCTTGAGTGGACATTGCCAACCGTTATACTTCATTCTAGGATGAGTTGGTGAAGAGTCTTTCATCATATTGAGCTTTCTCAAATACCAAAATTCAGATGCTTCATCCTGGGCTATAATTCCACCCTAGTCCTTCCCAATCATGTAATCCCAATTGTTTGTGTGTATTTATCTAAGAGGTAGAAGCTTGCCTTCTATTCTTCCTGTGAGGTAGAAGCTTGCCTTCTATTCTTCCTGTGTGCATAAATGTTGGGGTGGTGCTGACAGGTGTTCTGCCTTTTATATCATGGCCTCTATCTCTTAGTCAAGAAATGCTGTGAAATTCATAACTGATAAATAACCTCTTTTTTCTTGCATCAACCCTTTCAGAGCATGTCCTAGTCTATGGCTTCCAGTAACCTGTATTATCAGCCTACACAATCAGTTCTTTTTCTTCCAGATTTTGCAACAACCATCTTTCTACTAATGGTCCCCCACTGCTGTTGTGTTTATTGATTTGAGTTTATATGTCTTTCACAATAATTTTAATTAGGAAACCAGATAAATTCAGTTCAAAATATTGAAACAGGATCCCTAATTACCTACTTAACATTCGTTATTTTGATTAGTCTGAATCCTTGGCAGGAGATGCTATCTTACTCATCCTTTCTTTCTTATTATAGCATCTGGCACAGTGTTGAGCTGAGTTGGCACTAGTGATGTTCACTTGATGAATTAATGTTTCTCTGCAAAATGACCCTGTAAACTACTATTACTTCCTACTTTTTAATTTAATAATTTAATTTAATGTATTAATTTAAATTATTATTAGTTATGAACTCAAGATACTGGAAAGTTGGAAATTAAAGCAGGTGAATAAAATATAATTTCAATGTAATGGCATTGTTTTTATTTGCAAAGAAATTTTTATTTTTGAAATTTGAAATTTATAGAAGTTTGAACTATAGTGTAAAAGGGCACAAAGAAGAAAATAAACATTCCATATAATGTCATGTTGTCAAAATTTATTAAAATGTCAGTATTTTAAATAACTATATGTACATGTATGTAGGTATATTCACATACATACATAATTTTCTTTAAAAAATTGAGAAATTAATTACATAATAAATTGTAATCTTTTTCACTTTATAACATTGTGATCATTATCTCAATTAAAACATCATTTATAATTCTATAGTATTTAATCATATCACGATAATTACTTAATTTGTATCTTTGCCTCTAAATTATTCTATTTGGGGGGAAATTGTTGCCTGTTAAGTTATTCTCAAATTTTTACTCTCTCTTTGTAATAGCAATAAATGTTTAATATATAAAAGCCTGTAGCCATGTGACTTTGCAGTGCTTCTCAGTAAAGAGTTGAATATAATCCCTTTCCTCCTCATTTCCTTTGACTTGTGCCTCGGTTTTGTGGCTTGCTTTGTTTGAACAATGGACTATAAGCAAAAATATAATAATGTAGCTCCCATAATTCCATTGGATTGTGGGAGGGACCCAGTGGGAGATAACTGAATCATGGGGGCGGTTTCCCCCATACTGTTCTCCTGGTAATGAATAAGTCACAGAAGATCTGACAGTTTTATAAGCTCCTTTCTCTTGGCTCTCATTCTTCTCTTGTGTGCCACCATGTGAGACGTGACTTTTACCTTCTATCATGATTGTGAGGCCTCCCCAGCCACGTGGAACTAAGAGTACATTAAACTTATTTCTTTTGTAAATTGCCCGGTCTTGGGTATGTCTTTATCAGCAGCCCAGTAGAGCTAGGTACAGTCAAAGCTGTCCTGCAGCATTATGTGCATGAAATAAATGCTTAATTTTATAAATGCAAGTTTGGGGCTGTTTATTACCAAACAAAGCTTGACCAGTGCAATTATTATATAGAGTATTGCATCAACAATATCTGTAGACTTATCTTTCTGTAGGTTAATTTTTCCATTCTAATAAATATTGGAATATTCATGGGATACAGCTACATTCAAATAATTTGAATTTGCATTTTAAAAGGTACTCATATTTTAAAAATATTTAATTTGAATTTCTAAATTCTATTCTGAAATATACTTAACCTGTTACTCCATATATACATATATACATATATGGAGCAAGATATATATATATATATATATATATATATATATATATATATATATACACACATATATCCATATATATATGGATAAGAGGATAAGTATATACCCTCTTACTCTATACCTATATGGAGTAAGAGGATATATACTTATCCTCTTATTGATATATATGTGTGTGTATATATGTGTGTGTGTGTATATATATAGTAATTCTTCTGGATCATGGCAGAAAAAGAGTGGGATATTAAAATGCATGTATATAACATGATCTACCAACTTATGATGGCATATTAAATGAAAGTTACAATATATTACCTGTAATATTTAATAAAGAGCTTTTTACTTTTTTGTCTAAATAGGAATTTAAATATTTATTTTGAAAACCCAGTACACTGTATAGTTTGGAATACTCCTTGGAAAAAATATATTTTACACAGATGGCAGATTTTATTGTCCCAATGCTACTATTCATTCTCAGATTGATGGGCCCTGAAATCTTTAGAGAATATAAAAATATCCTTGTTATCCTTGCATGAAATAATTTAAACATGTCTCATATTCTTAGCAAAAAGGACTGTAACTGCACACTGTGTTCATCAGAGGACCTATTATTTGTTAGAGATTCCATGAATATCAGTAGAGTGTTAATTAGGAGTACCAGAGTATTATACCACTAGCAGGCTTTATTATGTCTTTACCTGTGTAAACCTCAAATTTAGGTAATTCTCTTTTAAATATACCTAAAGTACTATGTATAGTATAAACAGAACAAGAAGTTATTCAACCATAGAACTATAGCAAAGCTGCTAAGTCAGGTCTAGATGGTCTTTTGCTTGGTCTCAATCCAAATTATTAAGCAACAGGATAGGAAACAATAAAAGAGACATTAAATAACCATTATTTGTCAGCTACTATGCCAGGTGCTTTACAAATATTTTCGTAACAGCTGTTAATTGTTTCCCTCTACAGATTATTTCTCTCTCCTTTTAGAAAGGATGTTTTCCTTACCCTCAAGGGTTTAATTATAGATGAAAACTCATCACTTTGCTAATAAATATATTTATTACAGCTGGATGTGAACATGTTGATAAGTGATGCTCACAATTTCCATATCTTTTTTTTTTTTTTTTTTGCACAAGAAAACCACTCTCCCTGTATTTCTCTTCCATTCTTTCCAAGTGCTGAAACTAGATCATGGTGTTGTAAGAGCAATGACCACATAAGTGACAACAAGAGAGGATGACAAAAAAAAAAAAAAAAAAAGGGAAAGAAGCTGGATCCCTGAATGGTTCTATAGAAGAGACTACAGATTCTCTCAATCCCTTACTTATTTCTTCACAGCTGAGAAAAAAATAAATCCTAACCTAGTTTAAATCACTTTATCTTCAGACTTCTTCTTTTCAGTGATATATATGCTAAAAACACTGAGGAATCTTAGCCACCATTAACACACACACACACACACACACACACACACACACACCTCTGAACTATGTGGTGCTGGCTTAAAACTTCAGAGGCAGATAGTTTGGCAGGCTGAAAAGTTGGTGACCCTCATTATGCAATTGCAAAACATTTGGTTAAATTATTGTGTGATAAACTTGAAGGCAGACCACATGCTCACCAAGCCTATAGCAACAGGCGAAATGGGTGAGAATCCAATAATTTGAGGTCTCTCAGAGGTTTGGAAAAGCTACTCAATTATAAATAGCAGGAGATATTATTCTTATTCAGAGATTTTCTCTGAGGCCTCTCCTTAAGCATTTCAGCCAGATCTTGTGATTTAGACCCATGGCAAAAATTCATTAAAGAGAGGTGTTTTGGGTGACTTATTGCTTTGCGTGACTTCATTAAAGCCGGTGGGCAACAGATGACTCACACACAGAAGCCAGTAAACAAAAAAGAATCCACAAGCTTAACTATGATGTCAAGAAGAGATCTTTAGGTTTGGTTACTCAAAAGTGGAATTTTTCTGGAAGCAATTATACTAGAAACTCACTATATAATTTTCTTGCCAGAGAAACAAGCCTAAATTACATAAATACCTGTGATTGTTTCATTTCTATAAAAGCTCCTGGACTCTCAAACTTGCTGTAGCAGGAAGTAGATTTCAAAAGCTCACCACCCCCTGGAAAAGGCACATGTTCCAATATGCATTTCAGTGTGGTTGTGAAGAAAAATTATGTATCAGTCAATGTAGACTGTGTTTTGCTGCATAATCAAAATCTCTATGGCATAAGACTTCAGAAAGTTTTATTTCTCGAGCCTACAATGTCTGAGGTGAGTTCAAGCCTCTTTCCTGGGCTGATGGCCTCTATAATTTAGCATTATACTTTTGTACCCCCATATTAACATACGATTATACCATCACAAAGGTGCTTTCATATATTTTATTGGCCAACACAAGTCATATGATCATAGTTATCTTTACAATGGCATGTGAGACCAATTCATTCCTACGCTTGTAAGTAGGAAGCAACTTGCTAATATTGAACACTAACACTATCTACCCTAAATCACTAAGAAACTACATCTCCAAGAGCAAAACCAAGAGACATAAAGAACAAGGCACAGGAAAGTAACTTCCAGAGAGAACCAAGTACAACCAGATGGGCTAACCAAATAACTTACTTTACAGACAGAACAGGATTCTCCTTGATTCCTGCCTATTCAAAATTGATAATTGAACATGCTCAAATTCTTCCTTTTTCCAAATGGTAGTGTTTATTGGATTGAACGAGGTCCAATTCCACCATTGTATATTCAGTGTGAGAAGGTAATTTATTTTTTATGTATACATCAGTTTTTCAGGATTACATACCAATTAAATGGAAGAGAAATTGCATTACTTAGAGATACTGGATTTTGAACTGGATAAAGCAATTGCTTAGAAATTTGGATTTTCTTCATTGTAGAGAAAGTCAATGTGTTTTATGTAAGGGAAGACTGATCTGCATGGATACTTGTTGGAACAGAATTGCAGATGATTACAGGGACAGTTAACTGTCTGAAATCTATTTTAAGTGTCCTCTTTTTTGACAGAGCCTCTAAAGTTTTAATCGGGCATATGACCATCTATGTCCTTTTGGATCCTCTGGAAAGCAAATGCCAGGGCAGAATTTGATGTAAAAGAGATTTAACTTCCAGGTTAAGTAGAAAAGTGTTAAAAGTTGGCAAGGAGCACTTTCTGACCACGATACAGTGTAATATCTGTGAAAGGACAAATAGAGGTAAGTTGATTGGGTAATAAGAGTCTTGGAATTTAGTATAGCTTTGAGAAAGTATATGCCAAACCAATAAGCAGTTCCAGAAAAAAAAAAAAAGAGGAAGGAAGAAAGAAAGGAAGAAAGGAAGAAAGAAAGAAAGGAAGGAAGGGAGGGAGGGAGGGAGGGAGAGAGGAAGGAAGGAAGGAAGGAAGGAAGGAAGGAAGGAAGGAAAGAAGGAAGGAAGGAAGGAAAAGAAATGCCTGTTATTGAAGTTGCAAGTTGAGCAGAAATGTTTTAGCATGCTAACAAACTCAGTGAATAGCTCGGTACAGGCCAAAGAGAGCATAACCTTGGCTGAAATGCTACAGTGAATTAACTGGATAAAGTCAGACAACTACACCTATTATACTATCTTCTCTTTTTTTTATTATTATACTTTAAGTTTTAGGGTACATGTGCACAATGTGCAGGTTAGTTACATATGTATACATGTGACATGCTGCTGCGCTGCACCCACTGACTCGTCATCTAGCATTACGTATATCTCCCAATGCTATCCCTCCCCCCTCCCCCCACCCCACAACAGTCCCCGGAGTGTGATGTTCCCCTTCCTGTGTCCATGTGTTCTCATTGTTCAATTCCCACCTATGAGTGAGAATATGCGGTGTTTGGTTTTTTGTTCTTGCGATAGTTTACTGAGAATGATGATTTCCAATTTCATCCATGTCCCTACAAAGGACATGAACTCATCATTTTTTATGGCTGCATAGTATTCCATGGTGTATATGTGCCACATTTTCTTAATCCAGTCTATCACTGTTGGACATTTGGGTTGGTTCCAAGTCTTTGCTATTGTGAATAGTGCCGCAATAAACATATGTGTGCATGCGTCTTTATAGCAGCATGATTTATAGTCCTTTGGGTATATACCCAGTAATGGGATGGCTGGGTCAAATGGTATTTCTAGTTCAAGATCCCTGAGGAATCGCCACACTGACGTCCACTTTACTATCTTCTCTTAAGGGAGATCTGAATGGCATATTTCCATGGTGGCCCTAACAACCTATCTAAAAATTACCTTTTTATCAGTTTCTCTTACAGCTAGGTGAGGCTGTATATCTTATTTCTCTCAATGGAGTAAAAGAATTAATTTGCAGCCAGGATCGGTGGCTCATGCCTCTAATACCAGCACTTTGGGAGGCCAAGGCGGGCACATGGCTTGAGGTCAGGAGTTCGAGACCAGCCAGGCCAAAATGGTGAAATCCCATCTCTACTAAATATACAATAAAAAAGAAAAAAAAAAAAAAAGGCTGGCCAGAGGTGGCAGCAGGAACCTGTATTCCCAGCTACTCAGGAGGCTGAAGCAGGAGAATTGCTTGAACTCAGGAGGCGGAGATCGTAGTGAGCCGAGATCGTAGTGAGCCAAGATCATGCCACTGCACTCCAGCCTGGTCGACAGAGCCAGATGCTGACTCAACAAAAAAAGAAGTATTAATTTGTTCCACTTAAGTACTTAAGTATAGCATTTTATAAGGAGATTGCTTGCTTTTCATTTTCTCTTTTTTTCTCCATTGTATAGGCTAGAATTTGGATGCGTTTATGTGAAATAAAGATTCTAGGTGATAATAAATCAAAAGAAATCTGAGCCTCTATGACTCTCTGGTGGACTACTTCCATGTTAGATCAACTTCCCACTCCTGAACCAACTGCCCATCTCTAGGCCATCACACAAGGTATACTTAACCCTGTATCTTGTTTGGTTAGAGATCTTGGAGTCTCTTTGTAGTAGCAATTAAACTTACCTAATACAAAAAAAAAAAAACTCCAATACCTAATACAAAAAAGATTATCCCAATATAGGAGCAGAGGTAACTGTAATTCAGAAATATATTCCTTAAGTTTCTATCAATAGAACTAGTCATCAGTGGAACTAGTAATCAACAGAACTAGTACTCAAATTCAAATTGTAGAACAAGCCCTGACCAGAAATTGGTTTAGTGTTTAAAAATCTTTCCTACATTCAGACAAGCAGAATTCAAATATTAGCTCCAGTATTTACTAGCTGTGTGATTTGTGGCAAGTCACTAAAACTCAAGTTTACTTCTACTTTAACATGGTTATTATAATTGTACCTGTTTTATAGGGTTATGAAGATTAATCAAATAAGTAAAGAACATAGTATTCTCAATATAGAACTTAAATGTTAATCATAATTATTGCTGTCCTCTCTTTCTATATTCCTTCCATTATTCTCCTTCTTACCCAGCTATTTGAACCCTTATTTATTTGTGTCCCATTTTTTGTAGGTACAAGTTGAAATCACAAATACAGTGGCTAACATTTTGAAGCAATACCATTTTAATGCTAAAAAAACTATTTTTTATCTGTTTACTTATATATTTTATTTTAATAAGGTACACAAAAACATGGAACAGACTGTGATAACTTGGTGTATATACTAAGGTCATATTTTAATAATTTAAAATGTATAGCATTGAAAGAAAAGTTGAAGGATTATGGAGAGATACCAAGAAGAAACTCAAAGTGTTGCAGAGACAAATAAAAATTGTACTAAACATAAATGAATTATCAACAAATATAAGGACATTTGTAAATAAAATATGACCAGAAACTCAGACAAGCCACCAAGAAACTTAAAGAATATAAACTGTACTTGTCAGAGTAGAAAAGGTGTAGTCCATGAGGAAAAAAACATAGTTAAATAGTTATAAGGTTAGGAAAAGCAATGGTCTTTTTTAAGTGAGTGGTCGTTCAAACATTTCTAGTAATGTAAAACTGAGATGGGAAATCATAAATAAATGCCATTTGAGACAAACAGTCAAATCTATCAGAATCAATGTGATTTAAATATATTTATTTAGGTAAAAAACTGGACTCTAAGAATACTGATATAGGGAAAGGAGAAGATAAAACACATGCACATTTTGTGCCAATGAGTTTTTGGAAGAACATATTTGAAAAAACAGTAATTTTAATGAGGGAGTTGGGCTGAAAGTGCATTTGGCTTCTAAGGAAGAAGACTGGAACTGACTTGAGGTGTTTCTATTTAGAAACAGCATGTTCTGGCCCTAATTTGTATACACCATCTGTGATTAAACATGCAAATACCTATTAGCTTTGGAAGGTTAACTAGACTCTCTTGATCGAAGTTGTTTTCCACTAAATTGCTGCTCTGTATGTCTTATACCATCTGAACATTTACACATTTACTTTTTTATTTTCTTGTCCTCTATTAAAGACAGATCTTAAGTTCTATTTCTGTTCTAATTTGTACATAATGCAGCTATCATTATCAAAAATATATATTATTTTTATTTTGGTTATGTGAGGTGTTGCAAAGTAAGCTAAATTGATCTACCATCTTTGTCTCTGTCTCTCTGGGAAAAAATTGACTATTTCTCACATGTGCAAGGCTAATCTCACCATCTCTGCCTTGTATCCGATCACCTCCTCCTTATTTCCTCCACTAAGACTTTCTTATCATTTAACCATGCTTTAGTTTTGAATTTAAAAAGAAAAAATAAGAAAACAGAGAAAAAAAAAACCCCTTAAATCCACATTCACATTGACTGTAATCATCTCTTTCATTTACACCCAAGAATTGAATTAACTCTTTGATTCACACTAAGCCTTGTTTTTAATTTTTCTTCTATTCATTTCTGAAACACTTGAAACCTGGTTTTTACACTGAAGTGTGTGCTGAAACAAGTCTGGTTAAAGTTGTGAATGGTCAGTCTGTACGAATATTGACTTTCAGTTATTTTGCTTTGTTCCTTTTCAACTTTACACTGTTGACCACTTTTATTCTTCACTTGCTCTTTTGTCTTGAAATGCTGGATAACACACTTTCTCCTGCATATACTCTACTGCATCTGCATCATGGCCTTTTCCATCTGCTCAGTTCTTATCTCTTGGTGTTCCCCAGTTTTCATTATCCACCACCATGACTTCTAAAGACCCCCCCTTTTTTTGGTGAAAACACACATGTCAATGATTTTACTCATTATTCATATGCCCGTGAGTGTCAATTTTTCTATCTGCCTTGAGTTCTGTCCTGAGCTCATATTTGCCTATTAAATTCTATAATAAAAATTCTGATTTATATATACTATAAGACACACTTAACTCAATGTGTCCTCATATAAATTTATGAGACTTATGTGCGGCCTATTGCACTAAGTGCACTAAGCAGGCAGGTCCCAAACTGACTTATTATCTCCCATCTACCACAAAATCTGTTCCTTTTCCGATGGTAGCAATGAAGAATATAGTAAACTAGCAGTGTCTCAAGCCAGAAATCTGGATTTAAGTGCTGGTTAGTCTTCTCTTTCATCCCTGCATTGAAACAATGACTGAAGTCATCCCCATTTTCCCTGTCTCCTTCCATACTACTTATTTCACATGGCAGTCACTGCTCACAAGATTAATTCCACACCCTTCTAACTGTACTTTATTTTTCTCTTTGCCTTTTTCCCACTCTTTTTTGTCCTCCATGTTGTTGTCAGAATGTTTTTCCTATCACTATGATTATATTTTATTTTGCAATCTTGCCCCTGTATCCTCTCTCACATTATGTTTCAGTATCCCTAACACTCACATTCCTGGTTTTTAAATGTCTTAAACATCCACAATCTCAACACACTTTCCATCATATCAGAACCACTGCATAGCTCTCTCTTTTGCTTAGAACTCCCCTTCCAATTTAGTTGTCCTAACTTGCCTAATTTCTAATTTTCCTCAAAAGTCAGCTTAGCTCTGTCATCTAGAATATTCTCTTTAACCCTCCATAGCAAGTCTAAATCTTTTTAGATACGATAGCACTGCTATGGTTTAAATATTTGTCCCCTCCAAAACTCATTTTGAAAGTTTATTCCCATCATAACAGTTTAAGAGGCGGGACCTTTAGGAGGTATAGATTAAGAGAATAGAATAGATTAACGCCATATTGCAGGAGTGAGTTTGTTATAAAAGGGAAAGTTTAGCCCCTGACCCCTTTTCCTCTCTCTCTTGTCTCTTGGCCTTCCACCCTTTGCTATGGGATAATGAAAAAAGATGGCCCTAAACAGATGCCAGTCCCTTGATCTTAGACTTCCCAGCCTCTAGAAATGTAAGAAATATATTTCTATTCTTTAAAAATTATCCAGTCTGGGATATTCTGTTATAGCAGTACAAAATAGACAAAGACATTCACCATCTCAAACATAGTATTACACTGTGTTGTAAATGCTTATTTACGTTCCTGTCTGTCCCTCTAGGACGACATTCTTTGTAAGCTATATTTTGCTACTAGCAGTTAATTTAGTATTTCCTATTATAAATGATTCATTCAGAACACTGATATTAGTGTCAGATGTCCTGGAATCAATATTGTCAGAAAATATATAATATTCAACACATTGATAAGCTCTCATCTACCTCATTTATATTATTTTAAAAATGAGAAACACAATGATACCTACAAATAGTTATTAGAAAGAACAAATGACCCACTGCATAATATAGACCTACACATAGTCCAACAGTAAATGCTTAACTTTGTAAATGTTATGCAGTAGTTGTAGTAGAATAATACAGAAAATTATTCTACAAATTAAAGTAGGAAATTTTAGGAACAGCATATTATCATAGATATTAGATAAATAACCATTTTTAATTAATAGAATACATAATAATTTTGCAAGAAAACCTGCCAAGTAGCTGGAAATCAAATTTCCCATATAGACTTAGAAGAGTGTATCTTGTCTCACACCGACAAATTCTACCAAAATTGTAGACAAATAGTTTTAGTGCCATGCGGTGGGACTGGAATGAGGATATAAAGAATAGAGTGGAAGTCATAATCATATTCCTGTTTCACAAGTTTGCTATAGGTATTGAATACGATAAGGAAAATGTATTCTGCACTCTATATGAAAGGTTTCATGTATAAGTATCTGGTGTGTTTTTCTCTAATTTGTTCTTAAAGTGTCTGTCTTTCTAAGTGGCCATAAACTGTTGCTTGCCCTGAGGGAGCTCCAGAGGATGTAGCTATGGCTGTTTACAGTGACGTGCCTTTAATAAGACACCTCTTTATCCTGTCAGGCGGCCTAATGTGTAAGCATCTGGCCTGTGACCAAGCGTCTCTCTCAAAGGAAACTTGTTTATATTGTCAAATACCCTGTGGCTTTTGCCTGACCTGTGTTCAGTTTATTCCTACCAAGATAGCTACTTTCTAGAAGAGCCCTGACTGAAAGGAGAGTTAAGTTTGAGTGTATTGGTCAGATGAAATATGGAGGAGGCAGTGAAACAAAACACATGAAATAACAGAATCAGTACATTACTTGCAGTTCCCAGGGAGAAAACGGCCTTATGACCTCATGCTCACAGAGCCAACGGGGATGGGGAAGCTATCCAGGACATGCATGTTTAACCAGAGGGTAGGGAGCGCGCGAGAGAGCGAGCGAGAAGAGAGGTCCTGTAGAACAAAGGCTTTCAATGGGATACAGGGCATTACCAAATCAAGTTTCCTATGGAACTTCTTATTTTTTTTTATTTTTATTTTTATTTTTTTTAGACAGAGTCTCGCTCTGTTGCCCAGGCCGGAGTGCAGTGGCACGATCTCGGCTCACTGCAAGCTCCGCCTTGCGGGTTCACGCCATTCTCCTGCCTCAGCCTCCCAAGTAGCTGGGACTATAGGCACCCGCCACCACGCCCAGCTAATATTTGTATTTTCTTTTTAGTAGAGACAGGGTTTCACCGTGTTAGCCAGGATGGTCTCGATCTCCTGACCTCGTGATCCCCCCGCCTCGGCCTCCCAAAGTACTGGGATTACAGGCGTGAGCCACCGCGCCCGGCCCGTATGGAACTTCTAATTGGTGGGTTTAATGCAAGCAGGCATGAGTTCCAAAAGGTCACCTCGTGACTGAGAAGCATTATCTGCTGCATAGCCCATGCAGGGTGTGGGTGGCAGTGGGGTGAATCAAGTAGGTTTTATCTAGCTGTCTGATACGAGTGTGGTCAATAGAAGGTGGTTGTACAGGGCAGACATCTGCATCAACCAGCTTGAGAAAGGGGGAGGAGGTGGAAAACTAGAAACTTTGGTAAGCCTGTCTTAGCCCTGCTTCTGGTGTGAGAAAGTCCAACTTATCTTTAAAATGGATGCTGAGGCACCATAAAATTATAAGAATTTACTACAATATAATTTTTACTTATATTACTGTTCTCTGTCTTTTACTAACTTACAGTGGTTATGTTTTTCTATATGCCTTCTTTCACTAACTTATTTTGGTATATTTTTCTATACCCTTCTTTTGTGTCTACTTTTTGCTATCACCAAAACCTGATTATTTCCACAAGCCTTCAAATAATCTTTTTTTTTTAAAAAAAATAACTGTTTAGAATTATTTAAGACTTCCTAGAATATAACACAGCTGTTTCACATTTTCTTCCTGTCTATCCCTTGCTATTGTATTAGCAACATAAAAACACATTCTTCTAACAATTCTTAATCTTTGACCATAAAGTTATTGTCTCTGCAGACCCCTTCGATCTCGCCATATTAGAAAGCGATATTATATATCAAACTTCAACAAAAGACCTTTAACTCATGTATAATGTCTGCCTCTCTCAAGCTATTATTCATTCTACATTTTCTCAGACTAAGTATCTACTCTAGAATCAATTGTCATATTTTATAACACCAAATATATGTTATTCGATGAAGTAAAATCAAGATATGCATTAAGTCATTGCTATGTGCACTGCTCATGAAACAGAGATAAGAGAGTTAGGGATATAAAGAGAGTTAACATAGCAATATTGGGAATATCGTTATTTTAAGGATATTAGCCTTGGATAAAATTGGATGTAAGGTAGGGAGGGGCTGATGATAGTAGAAATTGAAATAACAGATTATATTCAACAGACTATAAAAGCAGGAGGAAATGATATTTGTCTACTTTGTTCATTGCTCTTTTTGTACTTTGCATTCATTCCTTTATCCTCAGTGTTTAGCAGAGTGTCTGGCACATAATGGGCATGGAATAAATATTTTTTAATTAACTTGTTTCCCTTAAAGGGTATAGGTCAAAGAGGATCAGAGTGTTATATGGCCCTTGGAAAAAAACAGATTTTAATGATCAGAGATGCAAAATTAGAAAATCCTAGGTTCCTAAAAAGCTAATAATTATGCACCCTCTCTTACCAAACTCTCATCCCACTATGGAAGAAAAACAATAAATGATAATACCCCACTCCTTTTGTTTTTTTTCTGTTATCATGTATTCTGAATGGCGAGAAAGTCAGAAATACAATTTGGGTACATATTACAACTGATTTTGAATGCAGATTGTAGACTCTTTACCCATTTATAAAGCAATGGAAAAATAGTAATGTTTATTTTAAGCAAAGTAAGATCATGATTTGAATTATACTTTGGCAAGAAAATTATGGTAGGAATCTGCAGGCTCATTTGAAGGGGGAAAATAGAGGGGACAAGATCATTAGAGAAGCATGTCAAAATATGATTCTTCCTACCTCAAGGGTAGGAAGAATCCCAAGAATCCCAAGTTCCAGACTTAAATATAGACTCAAATACTGCCACATTCTAAATCAAGTCACTGAACCATCTATTCAGGATATGCTAAGAGAGTATGAAAGTGGTTCTACTAGCAATAGTCTGTCATCTTCCATTAGACAATGTAAGAAAACCAGAGCATTTACTAAGAATTTAATGAAAGTGAAGAGTGAGGCTTTCTTACTTCATATAAGAGCTATTAGCATATTATATTATATGTCAATCATTTCTATCAACTCCAGTCCAGTGAAAAGGTATTCAACTAAACAAATTTGGAAATCTTTTAAATAAAGCTTTACAGATAGAGTTGAAGTTATGTTTTTAATTTCCTCCACAATCTCACTTTTTTCCTTTCCTTTTCAAATTTAAGTACTATTGCATCTGTTTTTATCATATTGCTTATGCATATGACTATATATGCACGTATTTGCATACATACAAATACATAATACATATAGAAACAGTAAAAGTAGATTGTTTCAAATGTATAAAAATAAACTTGCTGTCATAATATATGTTTTTAAACATGTTTTAAACAAAATTATTTTTAAGATGTATCCATCTTGGTAAATATAAATCAAGTTCATTTATTTTGCCTTCCACTTGACATGCCATAGTGTGAATATTTTATAATGTATTTGTATTTTCCAGTATCGAAATCTACTTTATGGGGTTTCTTTACTCTAGGATGTATTGGCAGCAGGGATTTTGCTGGGTCCTATGTGAGCATCTTCTACGGCTTTCTTTGCTTTTTATACTTGAAAGGATACCTATGGCATACATATATTTTTTATAATGTTGAAGTTCTACTTCTGCATTTTCTATTTCATTTTATTAATTCATTTGCCAATGCTTAGCCCATATACCATAATCCTTCAATTTTATAGCTTAATATTGTCCCTTAAATCTTTATGTCATATCTTCACTCCTTATGCTGCCATATTATGTTGTGTTGACTATCATTGGCCTTTAAAATTTCATACGAATTTAAAGAAGATTTTTCAGTTTTCATGAAAAAAATCCTTAGTGGGTTTGATTTTATTGCTTTAAATTTTTATGTTAATTTATAGGTAATTGAAATCTCTTGAATATTAGACATTTGTATTTATAAATATGATATGTCTTTACACATTTCAGTCTTATTTTAAAACATTCATTAAAAAGTATAATTATATCCATAAATATTTTTCCTATTTTACTATTCCAAAGTACTAAAAAATCCTACCACTGTGTTATTTTAAAATTATATTTTCCAATTAGTTTTCAGTAGCATATAAAATTGTTTTTTTATATGCATATACATCCATGAGACTGCTGTGTTTAGGTATAATTTTAATAAGCAATCGAAAATTTTGTTAGATTGTCCATTGCAAATAAGTATATTATCGTCTGATGAAGAAAAATATTTCTCACCTCTACTTCTTGTATATACTATTATAAATACAAAACCACCCATGTAATATGAAAAGCAGTAAAAACAATTATGATATTTTTACTTTTACTGAAACTAAAGGAAATATTTCTAATAGCTCTCTATTTACTAAAATATATGCTTTTTTTGTTTAATTTTGATCTTGTGAAGGATATTTGCTTCTATACCTTCTTTGCTAACATGTGAATTTTGTTAATAAATAAATGTTGAATATTTATCAGTTTTTGCATGTGTTGAAATCATTATCAAATTTTTATATTTTTATTTAAAAATAAGGTACATCTTACTGCTAGATAAAATATTCTGGCTTCAAACATCCATTCCATTCCATTCCAAACATCCATTCCATTCCACGATTCTCCACAATATATGCAATTTATTCATGAGTGAGGCTGTCTACATTATTTTCATTCATACATCTGTGCTTTCACCATTGCAGGAAATTTATTTTTTGCTCTCCTAAAAACATGGGGTACTAGGTCAAATCCTCTCTCTTCTAAAACTTCACCTCACTCTTTAGAATCCATACTGATGCCAGTTTCTTTTTTTAAATTTCTAATTGAAACAGAATTGTTGTACATGTTTTGGGGGTGCATGTGATACTTTGATACATGTATATAATGTGTAATAATCAAATCAGAGTAATTAGAATATCTAACGCCTCAAACATCCTCGTGCTGGAACATGTCAATTCTCTTTTGGCTATTTTTAAACATACAATAAATTATTAATGATAGTCATGCTACTGTACTATCAAACCAGGTTTTCTTAATTTTTGTTGCCTTTGTAGACAATTATAACATTGAAGAATGTAGGCCGGGAGCAGTGGCTCCAATCTGCAATCCCAGCATTTTGGGAGCCTGACAGGGGCGAATCTCTTGAGTCCAGGAGTTCGAAACTAGCTTGGGCAACGTGGTGAAACCCTGTCTCTACACGCCTGTAATCCCAGCACTTTGGGAGGCTGAGGCGGGCAGATCACGAGGTCAAGAGATTGAGACCATCCTGGCCAACATCGTAGAAACCCCGTCTCTACTAAAAATACAAAAATTAGCTGGGCGTGGTGGCACACGCCTGTAGTCCCAGCTACTCCAGAGGCTGAGGCAGGAGAATGGCTTGAATCCTGGAGGCAGAGGTTGCAGTGACCCGAGATCTGCCACTGCACTCCAGACTGGTGACAGAGACTCCATCTCAAAAAAGATAAAATAAAATAAAATTAGCCAGCCATGGTGATACAGTGCCTGTGGCCCCAGGGACTCCGGAGGATGGGGAGGGTGGATTGCTTGAGCCCAGGAGGCGGAGGTTGCAGTGAGCAAATTTTGCACCACTGCACTCCAGCCTGGGTGACAGAGCAAGACCCTCCCCCTGACCCCAAAGAAGAATGTAATGTTTCAACTTAAATAAGCCAATTTTCTTTTTACCACTGCTGGAAAGAAATAACCTTGCCTAAAGTTGTTATCTCATTGGTGTCTAGCACACTGTGGCATAAGATTGATAATCACAATGTGATGTTTGATTGATTGAATGGATAATTGATTAAAGAAGAACACATGGAGATAGAAATATAATAGTAAATATGGAGAAGACATGCATACATATACACGTACACACAGACAAATAGAGAAAGCAAGGTACATATTGAGGAGAACGGATGAAAAGTGGCATGAAATGTTTTTAAAAAGCTTGATATTGACAAAGGCAAAAGGCAAAGTGTAGATGAGTATTTTAACAGATATTACATGTTGTTTGAAAGCAACTGTTTTGGGAAAATTTGATGTTCTATTAAATTTTTCCTCTTAAATTATCACAATTTGTCCACTTTTTTAAACCAGAGATCATAATTCAACAACTCTACTGTGAATGCAGTGGTGTTATAAAACGGTGATAAAGAGTACTGAATAGACAACAGAAGATCTATATTTCTATAAGATCTGTATTTCTAAGATCTATATTTAAAACCAAGTTCCACCATTAATTGTTTGATCCTGAGCAAAACATGAAACAATTATCTCTTCATTCTTTTTACATTTCTGTGAGATGAAAATTTTGCCCATAACAACATTTATTAAATCACTCTTATCTTTCTATTTATCTATCATCTATCTTCCTATTTGTCTATCTATTGTATCTATGTATCTACACTAGTGTAAATACACTAGTGTAGATACATAGGCATGCACGTATATATACATGTATATATGTATACACATATTGATATATATGTACATGTCAATATATATATACACATACACACCTATCTACCTGTCTACACATATACACATATTCATATACATACATATATATACACATACATACACACCTATCTACACATACATATATACATATGTATACATACACATATGCATATGTATACATACACAGCTATCTATCTATACACACTTTTTTGTGTGCATATATATACACACATCACATACACATATATTCACATTTCCAAATCTTTCTCTAGACATGTTTATCTATAAATACACACACACAGAGATTCTGAAATGTATATATATATATAGGTATATATAAACACACATATAGTTTCTAAACTATTGCCTATTGTATTATCCCTTGTAAAATTATAATGTACCAGAACTTATAATTCCTATGAACATATTTATGTAAGTTCTGAGAATTCCTGCTGTAGAGAAACTTGTTGGACCATTCAGTCTTACATTTTGTAAAGGTACTTGTGAAAAACTAAATGGACTATGATATTTTCAAGATAACTTCCTTAGTGTGATTGTTATTTGGTAATTCTAACCCTAGCGATCTATTTAAACAGAGAATAATTAAAGAACTGCAAGAATAATATCCCACAGAAAATTATCTCATTGACTGCAGCAATTTAAGCTGATAATTCATCTTATGCCAAGAGTTTTCATGTTGAAGATCAACAATAAAATAGAATACTAGAATATCAAAAGTTGCCATGGGTGAGATAATCTAAAATTCTTGGGCATGAATATTACTTGGAGAGGAAGCCAATAAGTTTATTCATGTACATACCTTAAGAAACATCACAGGAAGCCGGGCGCGGTGGCTCACGCCTGTAATCCCAGCACTCTGGGAGGCCGAGGCGGGCAGATCACGAGGTCAGGAGATTGAGAACATCCTGGCTAACACGGTGAAACCCCGTCTCTACTAAAAATACAAGAAAATTAGCTGGGCGTGGTGGCGGGCGCCTGTAGTACCAGCTACTCAGGAAGCTGAGGCAGGAGAATGGCGTGAACCCGGAAGGCGGAGCTTGCAGTGAGCCGAGATCGCGCCACTGCACTCCAGCCTGGGCGACAGAGCGAGACTTCGTCTCAAAAAAAAAAAAAAAAGAAAAAAAAAAGAAAAGAAAAGCAGCACAAGAAATATTCAATATGTACAAATCATGTTCAGTGATGTTTTTACCTTTGTTCTTTGGAAACGTGCAGACATTTTTCTATTTGTGCATAAATAATTATTTGATTTTCAGCATACACCAGAAAACTTTTTTAAAATATGATGTTAAAATATATGCAAGCATATATTATTTTTAAATTAAATCAATTCAGCAAAAGTAGAAAAAAGTTTAAGTGACTTGATTTTTATGAAATATCTTGAGCTTTAATATTTGAGATAAAACAAACAAACAGAGTATAGAATGAAAACCTGACTTGGAATTCCCAAAGAGATTTTATGGCCACTTTCAGAATTAGTGAAGCAATGTTAATTTTTTTTTTTTTTTTTTTTTTTTTTTTGAGATGGAGTCTCGCTCTGTCGCCCAGGCTGGAGTAAAGTGGCGCAGTCTTGGCTCACTGCAAGCTCTGCCTCCCCAGTTCACGCCATTCTCCTGCCTCAGCCTCCCAAGTAGCTGGGACTACAGGCACCTGCCACCATGCCCGGCAAATTTTTTGTATTTTTAGTAGAGTCGGTGTTTCACCGCGTTTGCCAGGATGGTCTCGATCTCCTGACCTTGTGATCTGCCGGCCTCGGCCTCCCAAAGTGCTGGGATTACAGGCGTAAGCCACCGTGTCCGGCCAGCAATGTTAATATTTTTAAAGAAAAGGCTTTTTATTTGTTAAAAACACATTACTAGTACTGATTTTTAGCATTTTGTAGATTTCTTTTTTGTTATCATACGTAAAAAAAAAAAAAAAAAACATAAATGACAAACCTATAGCCAACATCATACCCAATAGGCAAAAGCTAAAAGACCTCCTTGAAAACTGCAGCAAGACAAGGATGACTACTCATAGCACTCCTATTCAATATAGTACTGGACATTCTGGCCAGAGCAATCAGACAAGAAAAAGAGATGAAAGGTATAAAATAGGAAGAGAAAAAGTCAAATAATTTCTCCTTACAGGTGATATGATTCTATACCTAGAAAAACCTATAGACTATCCCAGAAGGCTCCTAGAACTGTAAGTGACTTCATTAAAGCTTCAGGATACAAAATCAACATACAAAATCAGTAGCATTTTGATACACCAATGATATCCAAGCTGAGAGACAAAACAAAAATGCAATCTCATTTACAATTGCCACAGAAAGAATAAAAAAAAAAAGAAACTAGGAATACAATTTACCCAGGAAGTGAAAAATCTCTACAATGAGAATTACAAAACACTGGTAAAAGAAATCAGAGATGACACAAACAAATGGGAAAACACTCCATGCTCATAGATAGGATAAATTAATATTTTAAAAATGGCCATACTGCCCAAAACAATTTTTAAATTCAATGCTATTCCTATCAAACTACTAACATCATTTTTTCACAGTATTAGAAAAAATGATTCTAAAATTTATATGGAACCCAAAACAGAACCTGAATCACCAAAGCAATTCTAAGGAAAAAAAAAAAAAAAGTCAGAGTCATCACCTTACTTGACTTCAAACTATATTACAAAGCTATGCTAACCAAATAAGCATGGTACTGGTATAAAAACAGACACATAGACCAATGGAACAACATAGAGAACCCAGAAGAAAGCTACACATCTACAACTACCAGATCAACAAAGTTGACAATAACAAACAATGGGGAAAGGACTCCCTTTCAATAAATGGTGCTGAGATAACTGGGCAGGCCATATGCAGAATATTGGACCCCTTCCTTTCACCAAATAAAAAAACTTAAGATAGATTAAAAACTTGAATGTAAGGTCTAAAAGCCATAAACATTCTAAAACTAAGGAAATATCATTCTGGACATGAGCCTTGGCACGAATTTGTGATTGAATCCCCCAAAGCAATTACAACAAAAACAAGAATTGACAAGTAGGACCCAATTAAACTAAAAGACTTCTGCACAGCAAAAGAAACTATCAAAGAAGTAGGAGTTAAGTATTGCATACACATGGACATGAAGATGGGACCCATAGACACTGGGGACTGCTTGACAATGGAGGGTGAGGGGGAGTCATGCATTGAAAGGCTACCTATTGGATGCTATGCTGACTATCTTGGTGATGGGATAATTGGTAGACCAAGTCTCAGTGACACGCAATTTACCCATGTAACTAACCTGCACATGTGTTCCCTGAATCCAAAATAAAAGTAGGAAAAAAGAAAAGGAAAATAAATCAGAAAAAAAATGATGAAAACAGAATAAGAGATATTTTCATAATTTTACTGAGCAAATAAAATACTTGTGAAATTTATGAATAATGATGAAACAACAACAGATGAAAAGTAAGATAATAGACTTGACATTCTTAGGTTAATTATCTAAACCATAATTGGCAATGAACAAAAGGAATTTAGAGTTTGAAGACCTCACATCTCCTCAACAGAAAAGATAGAATATGCTGTGTTTCAACAATAGTGCTTCCTACACTCAATTTTTATCATGTAACTACTAGTTTCCTATCCCATTAGATTATAAGCTTTTTGAAGATAAAGAATGGGTACAATAGTTTCTTATGTTAGCCAACAAAGGTAATAATGAATTAAACAAATACTGACCTTTTTGATTTGATATTTCTGGGATATCCTGTGGATTCTCTATGTCCTTGAATCTACCATATTAAATAGTACTTGTATTATTTAATAGAATCTTGGTTTGTAATTATTAAATGTGTTATATTCCAGAATGGTTGGTTCAAATTTAGTCTTACTTAGTTTTAAGAATTACACTTTAGGAACTATATTCAAATTGAAATGTATGCAAGGGAAATAAATGGTTATAAAATATACAAACCATAATTGTTGGAAGGTGAGTCAGCTGTCCTGAAAATGGCTGAGTCAAAATAGGAAGAGTGGTAGGATAAAATGGTTGCCTTCAAATATCTGGAAAGCAGACTAACATAAGTGGTATCAGATACCACAGATATTGTTAGATCATATTATCTAGAGGGTTAATAAGTTCCATGAAAGACAAGGATATACTTTTCAATTGTCTGCCTCAGAAAGTAGAGAACTTCTATCACTGGTGGTCTCAAAGCATAGCCTGACAAAAGCAGACATTTGCCGAGGAATTAAACATCAGAAAGTTAAGGTTTTTTAGTATTTCATCTAACCCTTATATACTATAAATCTTCATTTGTGGTTAACCTCAGCAAATTTGCTCTTGGCATCTAAAAGAAAGTGATAGTTTTACTAGATAAATGTTCTGTTCATTCGTTGGTGTCAAACTATGAAATCAGCTTGTTCTTTCTTTGCATTATCTGTAAATAAAATTTCTCTGGGTTGAAGTCATTAATCTTTTCAGCTGTGCTGTAAATCTGACATCTCAAAAGGGTTCTTTCATTTTGGTAGAAATTTTATT
Organism: Homo sapiens; assembly: GCF_000001405.40. NCBI lineage: Eukaryota > Metazoa > Chordata > Mammalia > Primates > Hominidae > Homo > Homo sapiens. The sequence goes on along the minus strand of NC_000012.12, from coordinate 84,294,734 downwards.
TCATCTAACACATTGAAAAATGAATTCTCTATCACATGGTGAAATATGTAGTTTAATAATGCATCAAATTGTGTGTCAGCCAATAGATCTTTTGAACCCTCCGTTTGCCTCTACTTGAATGATTTTGGCCTTTGTTCTGTGTCATAAAAAGGGTCTTAACATGTGGAAGAAATCATCATAAACTTGAACAAGATTTTATTCTTATACACATAAACTTGAAGAAATTCTTGACAATGACAGGGCTATCAAAGGAATTTGGCATCCATCTGGGAAGGATCTCCTGAAGTCCCCCTCACCTCACCCCATTTGACTGATCCCCAGGCAAGTTGATTGGTGCCAACTTAAGTAAGGAGTATCTGGCCAGTAACTTTCCATAATGCTGTCAATCAAGGATCCAGATGCTGCCACCACGGCTGTTACTCTTGCTGGGGAAAAACAAAGCAAATGTGTCAACTAAGTTACTCAGACCTGCAGCTGTGCTATTCCCTATGCATCCATTGTACTTTTATTTTACGTCTGAAGAAAAGTAAAAAGAATCAGAGTTTCAAAAATCATGTCGAAAACATGGGACAGTCAAAAGTGCATTTACTTACCAATTACATCTCTTAGCTTAAAACAATATTTTCAGCCCTTGCTAGTGCTCAGTGTATTTGACCAGCATGTATGATACTGTTTTATTGTTGTGAAGGTCATGTTTCTTCTTTTGTGGTCTTAACAGCATTTCCCAACGTCATATTTAGTGAAATGCAAAGCCAGACCTAATGCATCCTCAGGCTTTGTATGATGTTAATACACTCAAGTTTCAATCTTCATATGAAAATAAAATAATACAATCAGTGAGATTGGATAAGTGATTTATTGTAATACTTTACTAGAATGTTTTCCAACTAGGTTGAGCTGATTAACAGACCCTGATGATAAGCTTTCATATGATTATATACATCATAATTTACCTGGCAATCTATCCCAAAATACTGTCTTGCTAAGTCACATTAAGGAAGGTAAGCTATGAACCTATTCTAAGATATGTTTTAATGGGGATGGATAATTAATCCTCATTTTGGGAAAATGGGTTGCAAACTAAATGAATTGTCAAATTTTATGTGTAAATATCCATTTATATACATATTGAATTTACAGGTAAACCTCCAAACATTCTATCCTTACATCAACAAATTTTAGTCCAGGCATAGTGGCTCACATCTATAATCTGAGCAATTTGGGAGGCAGAGGCTGGAGAATCACTTAAGCCCAGGAGTTCGGGACCTGGGCAGTATAGTGTGACCTTGTCTCTACAAAATATAAAAAAATTAGCGGGGTATAGTGGCACAAGCCTATATTCTCAGCTATTTGGGAGACTGAGGTGGGAGGAACACTTGAGCCTGGGATGTCAAGGCTGCCGTGAGTTCTTGCAGTGCCACTGCACTCCAGCCTGGGTAACAGAGAGAGACACTGTCTCAAAAATAGTAATTATTATTATTATTTTTAAAATTCCTTAAAACAATTGGATTTATCATAGGAATTATTCTTCAATAATTCAATTTCTATTGTATTATGTTGATCTATATTTCAATAGTTTTATGAGTATTTTAAAATGTAATTAGCTGGAAGATGCTTCAGAGACAATCAATAATATATCCAGTACTGTTTTTTCTTTCTATTTTATTTTAGAGTCACACTTGTCTAGTCTATTTTATCATTAGCATTCACATTGCATACCTATTATGTAGTGGAAGAAGAGCAAATGATTTATTCCTTCTTCTTGAAAAGCTAACATTAAATTGTATTAATTTTTTTAAATCTCAACTTTTTTATTTTTAACTTTTTTATTTCAAATACAGACTCTCTGTTCATTTTTTGATGGCCAATAATTTCTCCAATAAGAAAACCCAAAACTCTTTGAAGCATCGTGCTTGATATGCAAAAGGCCTAAAGGCCTATGTTATATAATCAGTCCTATCTCTACACCCTTCCCCTTTTAATCTATTCTCTACCCTGACATTTCCCAAGAGTATATCCTGTGTCAAAATATATTCAGTTTAAAAAATTAAACCAAATCTCTAATTCATTAATGTAATATTGTGAAATTTCCAAAGGAGGAGAGGATATAATATGCAGTTTTTCTTAACCTTATTTGACCACAGAAACCTTTCAGTGATGAACATATTTCTTTTATAATACTTTAAGAAACACATTGCACAAAATGCTTCAACAACATTTATGGCCGTTTTTTTTGTGTTGGACACTATGCAAAGTCATGCTTCTGTGCCTGTTGTAGGGAAAACCTTTGCTTTTCTCCTACTGGTCAAAATCTGTGTGTCTTCCTTCAAGGCTCAGTTCCATTGTCGGTTCTTTTTCAAATATTCCCCTTACTTCCACAGGCTATGCTAATTTACTACTCTCATTGGATCTTGCATAGCTCTGTGTTTTTCTCTATCTTAGTTTTCATATTATATCACCATTGCCATATTTTATCAAATCTAAGGCATCATTGGCTGTGTCTGGTTCTAAAATTTCTAATCCTCAAAGGAAACAAAAATCACTGTTGATATTGTTAATATGATATATAATGTTTCATTCTACTTATAATTATCTTATACTAGTATAAATATGCCTTTAGGCTTAAACATATATTTAATCATGTAGCACTTTTGTGTGTACATAAAAGGAAAACATAAGTGAAATAAACTTCTGAAACTGTTCCAAATTCTGCCTCAACTTTTACTAAATTATGTTTCAGCTTGAATTGTCAGTGTTTGATATTCAGAATCATTCTCTGTCATCAAGAGGATTTAGTAATTTGTTTCTTAAGACAGTGCTCCAGTATGGCCTCTGAGATTTTCTTCCAAGACACAGCCTCCCATTTTGTAAGTTTTGATGCAGATATCTTCTTAATCATACAACCAAATTCCATGCATGTTGAAACAATAAAAACGTGACATTGACAGATTGACAAACTTTGATTTTAATACAGTATTGATTGTAACATACATCCTAATTTTAAATGTTACAATATGAAAAATATGCACCTTATAATTGGTGACTTATAGGATTTTTCCGTTTCCCAAGACCTTCATTGCAGAACCTTATCATTTTCAGAAATATCTACCAGTACTCTCAACCCCTGTAGCTCTGACACGTGCAAACATTGTTAACACAGTTTTGAGAATCAATATGTTTTGTTGATTGCCTTTGTAAAAATATCCACTACTGAGTTCTATGACATGTATTTATTAAATACCTTTGATGTTCTAAACCAGAAGCTAAATGATGAATAGATGTGTGTAGGTTTGGACTAGTTAAACAATTTCTCAATGAGCAATTTCTCACTGTCTTTAAGAGTTACTCTTGGTAACAGGAAGTTCATAAGTACTGAACCAATGTGCTTTTTAAAATGAAAGAGTCCTGTCCAAGCTCTATTTGAAGTAAAGAAGTCTGAGTGTTTACAGTTATTCATCAATTATGTTTTATATATATATATAGTGATGAAATATATATATACTGTTATTTATCAATTATGTTTTATATGTGTGTAAATATATATATATATAGTGATGAAACAATAGCATTATCTACTTCCTGGTAATTTTCATTCATACTGACAGAAAATTTTCTGTATAAATTCAACTCAGAAAATAGTTTGACCCATTTATCGGAACATCCTTCCCATATATATGTTAAAAGCAAATAGAATTTGCTTCCTAAGATGTAAGTCTGTTTGTGTGAAAAGATGGAGAATTGACTGAAGTAGCTGAGCAGTCTTTATTGCTAACAGAAAATACTAACTTAAAAAAAGTTAACCTCATGTAAATAATATAATTCAGCAATCTCTTAACTTGATTTATTTACTGATAATTTGACATGCTATGAAAATCTGTCTGGGGTCATTTCCAAATTCAAAACAGAAAGTAAAGTCTGTAAAATCTACCTTCTAGGCAGATTTTTTTTTTCTTAAAGGCATCGTTTCTTACCAGAAAGCCACAGCATCTATTATGGGCCAAAGTATCATAATCCAGAAGTTTGGGACATTTTGGTTCTTGGGTTAAAATGCTATTTATAATTTGTTGTCTTTTTTTGTTGTGGAATATTTAAGATAACTTTTTAAATGTTGATGAAACATTTCAAATAGCATTTAGGAAACATTCAGTTTGAGACAAGAAGTATTTACTCATAAGTCTGCCTTCATTTAATGTTCATGAACAAGTGTGCTGCAGGATTTATTTACTGAATTTAATATGAACAAAATATGGCTGGGCATCAAAAGTTTACATAGGGATTAAAATAAGGGAGTTATATTTAGAAAGCTGTGTGAGGGAAGATAAACTTTTTTTTTCTCTTTAGCAAACATTAATGTCTTAAATGAAATAAAGATGAATAAAAATAGTAAGTTAAATATTGCAATCTACTGAGTCATATAAAATACTTCCATTCAAGGGAATAAAAATAGCAATGAGACTATTGTTTGGAATCTAAATAAAAATAGCTTTGATTATGTTTTACACATAATGACATTGTTTTTCAATTCTGTTTCCAGAACAGAACAATAAAAAATTAGTTTACTATAATTTGAGTATTGTCATAATAGACAATCTACGTGTGTGTTTGTTTGCACATGTTTGTAAGTTTGAACCTAGCAGAACTGAGTAAAGCCAAAAATAACATTATACTCATACATTTTGAATATAAAAATACAGGAGTTTAAACTAGTATTAAAATTTCCAAAATACATAGCATCATTCTTTTTTTATTTAATGAAATATATTATACTTCACAATTTTGCAAAGTGTTTTTTTCTTCTCTTGTAGTAAGCACTAAAATTATTTCATTTGATCATATAATTTGTTATTGACTAGTTGGTACAGCAATACATAGTGCTCAAATTCCTTTGATGAATTTTGACAATAGCCTCAATTATTTTGTGAGGCAAAGGTGATAACTGCTACACTACAGAAACCTTAATATCAATTATTTCTTAATTATAGCTAGCACACATATCAAATGCTAATCACCAAAAAAAATTGATTAATTTTAAGTTCTGTGTTATTCTAAGCAGCTAAAATGTTGAGTAACTGCATCAAATATTTTAAATGAAAATTTTCTTCTAAAAATGCCAGCATTTTTTCCTGCAAATACATCATGATTTTCTATATGAAGTCACAATAAAGTAATTTAATTTAAATATTTGAATCATTTCATTAAAACATGTAACTTCATAAAAATTTTAAAATGTTCAAAGAGAATACAAATCTTGACTTTTTTTCTGTATTTCCATTTTTATGTCATTTAATTATGGAAGAAACCTGAAAGTATAGTCTAAATATATATATATACACACACACATATATATATGTATATACACACACACATACATTTTTTTAATTGCAGAAGCCATTATTTTTTAATGGAGCAGAGCTGCCACAATGCACAAATCCAATGCTCCTATTCGAAAGAGGATTCATCTGAAACCTGATTTATTTATTGCTCATTCCAATATCTTTAAGTGTACCTTCTTAGCTATAAAGCTAAAAATAAACTAACAAAAAATAGCAACAATTAATATAATACACATGCACACACACAAAAAAGTGTACGTTTCTAAATTCACTTGTAGGTAGATTGTTTCAGGATAATTTCAATTCTATACTGTGATGTACATCTGTGATTTCTGATTCAGAATTGAAATGTGTTTGGGCAGAGAGAAGCATGGTGCAAGGCATTCGTTCATTGATACAAATTTTAGCAAGACTTCCTGAGATGCTGGCTTCCTGAGGCCTCAGCAGCATCTTGGTCAGTCATAGCAGGAACAGCATGACCCTGGAGGCTGAGGATTATTGGAGGAAGCTTCATCTAGAACCTACCACTCTAGGACTACAAAAAATTTGTAAGCCATCTTGGACTTAGTTATACTCATTTCTGCAAGAATTGTTTTCTTTTGTCTGCAACTGACCTGTTAGGAATGGTTTTAGCTGTCATTCTCAAAAAAAAAAATAAGCCTCTGTGACTGGTCATCTGACACTTCTTTAGATACAAAGGTAGTGAGCACTCATCTAGTATTAGAGAATGGCAAATGATCTAAATTATATTTTTAACTGGATCACCCTGTCTGCTATACCAAACAAAAGGCCAAATGTATCAAGGAACAAGTAGAGACACAAGTTAAATGGCAATTGCAGAAGAGATTATATTATCAAAAGTCATTCTATGATGCTAATGCCAGCATTATTTTAATACTAAAAACAATTAGAATAAATCCACAGAACTATATCCTCATCAACATAGTTACAAACATTCTTAATATAGTATTAGCAAATCTAATCCAACAATGTATAAAAAGGATAATGCATTGCGGCCAAGTTAGATTTATTCCAGTAGGTAAGATGAATGTAACTTTTGAAAAATCAGCGTGCAAGATATGTGTGTAAGATGGATGTCACTATTAAGAGAGTAAAACAGAAAAAAAGACCATCTCAATAGATGCCAAAAAAGTATTTGTCAAAATTCGACAATAATATATATTTTTAAAATCTCATGATATTCTGAAAAGAGGGGAAACGCATCAATATTTTAAGGGCCAAATATGAAAAGATTTCATTTCAATGCTGGCCACTTGAAATCATGGGAATGGAGTGAGTTGCCCGAAGATACTATGTAAAATGAGAAGTGAAGACCTAGGGGCAGTTCATCTGTCAAATTTAAAATCAAGTAAAATATGGGAAACTGTGAAAAGGAATTTAATAGTGAACAGATTTACTGAAAGAGAGCAAAAACAATGTTATTTTTGATGCTTAGGTGATCATGATGATGTGCGTGTGTGTGTGTGTGTGTATGTGTGTGTGTGTGTGTGTGTGTATGTGGTTTTCTTTAGAAGAGATGGTTAAATACTGGCAAACATCTTATTGAAGGATGACTAAATTGCGATATGGCAATTAGGTCATTACCTGTCTTTGGAAAAAGTAATTTAGGTAGCATTATAGGGTCAGGATGCCCACTGAGTGTTGTAGGTGAGGAATTTGAGCCAATATACATCAACTGTTCTACCAGCATTAAGAATTTTGGTGGCAAATAGTAGGCTCAATTGTGGTGGCTTCAGAAGGGCCTCTGACTCCTTTGAAACCCTTACTTAATATAAGAAAGAGAGGCAAATGTTTATTTCCTGAGAATAATGTGTCAATGGAAAGTAAGAGTTTATGAATACACAAGAGAGAAGGGCAATTATAAAAACACAATCTCGAAAGAGTAAGAATGGCAAGAGATCAGATGGTGGTTATAATAGTGTTGGTAATGAAGATTTAAAGTTCCTTTGTCTTTAAAAATATTAAGTAAAATAACTGTACTTGTACCTTTTTAGCATGGTTTTTAGAGAGTTGTATGTTTTAAAACTACTTAAAATACAGTAAAAAAAACTGTACAGATAAATCATTGATGAGACAGTGTTGGGCATTTTATAAACTTCAAATTAACAAGCAAGGATGAAATGTAAGTAGAACAATAACTGAGAATAGATCGATTGTTTCATCAGAGACACTGCTGTCTTGGGTTTTCTGCAGTCTTTTTCCAGGTCACAGAGCACATCAATAATTGTATTCTTTTAGAATCAGGAAAAGTGTTTTAGAATCATTGTAGATATTAGAGCTGTGACCATTTTAAGCCTACAAAGAGTACTCTTCCATTTTATTCTAAGATGTGCTTCTAAAAGCCATCATTTTTTATGAATGTTAATGTGCTAATAGGCACTGCCCTTTACCGAAAAAGTCTCAATTGAATTAGCATTACGGGTACTTTGGCAGTTATTTAAGAATGAAGAATATATTCTGTGGCCTAAGTATATTAAATTTGCTAGATGGGATTTTTGTTTCAAAGAAGCATTCTAAACCACTATTGTAACACCTAGCATTTTAAATATTAATGCCTTAGGTTTGGAGACAGTTCGTATAATAATTCGACGTAAGAAACAGAAACTATTAAAGAGAAAGATCACTTTTCTACCTACAGATCTTTTAGGTCTGATATGCTTTGCTTTGTTAAGAACATGAATGTTATTTTTCTATTGTTTACATTTACTTGCACCATTTTTACAATCACTATTCAAAGATAAACAAATAGAATAATTTATTTACTCTCATTATTTGAAGTCTAGAGGGTTGTTTATATTTAAGACTTAGTCATTTTAATTAAAAGTCTTCTTGCTGTCTTAGTAAATTCTGAACCAATAAATGAGCTCAAATTAATTTATAAGCATGTTTTTAATTATTCCAATTGAAAAGATGCTAGAATATCATGAATTTAAGGAGCGAATGCCTCTCTGAGGTAATTCAATTTCTCCTATACCACAGCTATAGAGTTGGAGGCATAGTAGGTATTTCATGACTACACATGGCAAAATAAATCTTAGGATAAAACATTCAAAGAAGAATGACAGAAAGTTAGAAGAAGGGAGGAAGATGGAGAGGGGACAGTAGAAAGGAAGAATAAGGGAATGGAGAGAAATAGGCCATTGGGTGAATGGGATTCTTAATATAAATTATCGTCCCTCTGGGTACCCTGAGCAAAAAAAATAATGACAGCAAGTTATAAGGATACATGGTTGTCTCCAAAATTCCAAGGATATGGACACAGCTGTGTCTCAGGAACAAACTGGAACCAGGGACTACAATACTTGCCAGGTTCATGAGTTTGTGACCAATCTGGAGACTCTTACCCAGGAAGGCCTTTGTTTAAGATATAACGTTCTGTAATTGCCCCCTTAAAATTCTTAGCCTGGTGCAGTGACCTGTGCTTGTAATCCTAATTACTCGAGAAGCTGAAGCAGGAGGATCCCTTGAGACTAGAAGTTTGAGACCAGCCTTGGCAACACAGTGATACCCTGTCTCTATATAAAATAAAATAAAATAAATGCTTAAGCATTTTATCTTTGAAATTGCACAGTATAAGTGAATTTTGATAGGACACAAGAGCATGTTAGGGCTTGAAGCCTACGTGCTTGTGTTGTCCCACCTTCCACTTCCTCTTCTCCTCCAGGCTACCCTCTCCTTGTTCTCTGGCACCCTGGCCTGCTTGTATTACCCCTCAGCTGCCCAGTAACCCCTGCTACTCCTGCCCCCTGGAAGCCTTGGCCCCTGCCCTGCCACTTATTCTGCAGATTGAGGCTTTCCTATACCATTAAGTCAGTACACCTACTAAGTGTATTCCAGTGCAGAGGTTACCATCCTTTGGGGGGCTTGTCACTGTGGGCTGGGGCTATGGGCTTGTAGGAAAGAAACATTGCTTTTTCCCTGCTCTCTGGGTCACAGTATCTCTGTCCAGTGGCTGGCAGAAAGAACAACCCAGAACTTCTGCTTCAGTAGGTACTTCTGAGGGTCCTTACTTGCCTTGCAAGTGTCATTTGTTCACAAGGGAGCAAAACATTACGAAAATTTTTAAAACACAATGACAGGTTAAAAGAGAGACTACCAAGAAAAAGTAGAAAAGTTTGTATTTCAGTGCCTTTTAATAGCACTTTTTTTCCTGCTTTTTAAACTAGAGTGCTCATGTTTTCATTTTGCACGGAGCCCACAAATTATGTAGCCAGTCCGGATACTAGCAGTACTTTTCCTATTCACCTCATCATTGTTACTTTCTAAATATCTGGTTTATTCTTCAATTTCTGGAAGTCAACTCATCCTCTGATATTCTAGCCCATATGGCAAACATGCATGTGCACTCACAAACACACACAAATATGATTTCTGGGGGTATTTTAGTTGTCATATAAGTCACTAAGAAATAATTTATTTCTTAGCAATAAATTCCCAGAGAAGAGATTTTTAATTGTCTTTGGTCAAGCTTAAAAATGCCTGCTTCCACTCTAAACACAAGAATTTTGTAGGTGGAAGAAAAGTTCTCAGAAAAAAGTGGAAAAATTATGTCAACTATATGCATCATAAAGGAAAACGCAGGCTGATAGGGTATTCATTTGAATAGGGATTTTCAAAGCATCCATGTAAAATTGCATTCTATAAATTAAAATGGTGATACACTAGACAAAATTCAAAATGAACCTACTATCTTCTAAAAGATATCAAAAAATTAAAGTAATAATAAGCAACTTGGTACACGTATAGGAAAATTGTACCTCAAAACTATGAGTATAGGTTAGTATCATGCCCTTGCTCCCCAAATATACACTAAAACCAAGACCACCTGTGTAAACATAACTTATCTGTTTACTGTAGGAAATATAAAAGTACAAACAAATACAGACCTTCACTGTTTGCTTTAGAATATTTGTATAAACCAGTTTAACCAAGCAACCAATTTTCTCATCTAGGCAAACAGCTTTCTTATTTGGATAACAGTTTTCTCACCTGGAAAAAAAATAACTTTTTTTTATCAAAATTTATCTCAGACCCTTATCCTACTACAGTATATGTCCTCTTATCCTAAAGTATAATTGTGTGAATTAGCTCAATTTGAAAGTTAATTACCTTGAAATTCTTATGTTGAACAATTTGTATCCAGAAACCCAAACCTATAAATACCCTTCTCTAACTTCTTTTTTGAGGTACTACTAAGACTTGTCAAGATAATGATCTTACTAGAGAAAATTTATATTTAACTCAGTTTTGCTTGAGCAATAGATATCTTAGGATATCTCCACGGGTTAGGTAAGTCAACAATCTTGAAAGTTCCATTTCCAACAAGCCAAACCTCTCCACTGCCATGGCTCAAAACCCTTGAATTGGAATGAGCAAGGTTCCCTGAGGCTTCTTAGGCCTTCTGCTTGGGGACCTCCACATTGTGGTGACAAGGCAGGTCCCTCACTGTGTCTTAGCTCCAATTTATTTCTGTTGAGCTCACAGATGTCTTCATCCCTTTGCATAGGAAAACTTGAAAAGAATGTTAGTAGGACAGAAACAGGCATACATCTAACATTTTCATCTCTCAAACCAGTTCTGATGAAAAATAAAATAAATATTTTCATTAGAGTGGCTTCTTTAAAAAAAAAACTTTGCCTTTGAAACTTATCAAAACAGTATAAAAGCTTTCTACGTGTTGCCTTCTTTTGTTTAAAAAAATTCTGGAATTAGAAAACATTTCATTTTAAACATTTTATTATTTGAAGACTGGCTTTATGGCTTTAGTAGTTCTGCAGTTAGAGGTGGCCACATTAGTTTGGGGGTCTGAGATACAAAGTACATAAGCAATATAGTTAATTAATTTTTACCAAATTCTCAAGGGATCATTTTAATTTAAGTCCATTCTTCCCCCAAGTTAGACTTAATTCTTACATGTGTTCACTCTATAACTATTATTTATGCGTTGATATTTCTAAATGGCCAATTTTACCAAGTATAATTTAAAATTTTAGTACCTCCTTTGGAGAATTGCCAATGTAAGCCAAATTGTTTTCTTGATAGGAACATTCGAACTAAGTGGAAGCAAAGATTTGAACATCTAATGATTTGTGTTTTTTATTGTTCTGAGGAAGCTTATACTCATCTGATTGAATCCTATCATTGTAATTACTTTTCTCTGGTTTAATATGTTCCCTATATCTCCTCATGACTCAGGATCATGACCCCTCTTGTAGGTCAGAAATTATTGAGGCTATATTACATCTCAAAGATTAAACTCCCTTCAGAAAAGACCAAGCCCGTTACGGTTGAATTTAAACTCTAGTCTCAGTCTGAACTGAGATTCGGTGTTAAAGACATTCCAAAGCCTCGATAGGATACTGAGAAATTTACGGAGAAATTTAGATTTGTTCTAGTAACGAAAATTCCAGACCTATAGCAACTGGTTTAGATGTTAGTTTGTAGGAGCTTCATATGAAAACTATTTAAAAGTGAGTCTGGGAAAATTCTGAGACTCGTCTGAAAGTTCCCAAATTGCCCAGGACATAGATGGTTTAAGAAAATATGTAGACGAATTCCAGAAGATTGTTTTCTACTTTGTTTCCTCAGATGTTTTGTAGTCTTTATTTATTCTAACAGCAAAAGCCCTACTCACACTAGGGTTAATTTTGAGATGCGATCCATTCTATGAGCAGAAAAAGGATAAATTGACAAAAGATGGGTAAAGTTATGTCCATAAAATGATTTTTCTAACTTAATTTAAAATTGGAATCATTGATGTACGTATTAAGAGTTGGAACTTTGATCTTTTTAACTTCCATGATCTCAGAGTTTCTACCCTAGAATAAATTTATCCAGATGAAATTATGTCAGTCATTGAGGAAAGAATGAAAAGAAATGTATTTTGTAAAAATTAATGTAGTAAAAACTAAAATTGTAACTTAGTTAAGAACAAAAAGGTTATGAAAATGCACTTATCTTTTTTCTTCTTATTATTATTTTATAAATGGAGTCTTACTATGTTACCCAGGATGGAGTACAATGGTGCTATTATATGTCACTGTGACCTCAAACTCCTGGGCTCAAGAAATTCTCCCACCTCAGCCTCCCAAGTAGCTGAGATTTCAGGCATAAGCCACCACACTAGGCCAGTAACTTCTAAATATGTAACAAGGTGTGTATAAAACACATGGGTCATGCACATTTTCAGATAATTAAGCCATTTCAGAACTTTAGAAACCAGAGTTTAAGTGTTTTATTATAAAATATCTTACTATTCACCTAACAAAATCCAGACATCTGTGTTTTGTCAGCATTCAATTTTCTATTTTCATAAATTGTCATATTCAAAGGTATCGGGTATTTTCCATTTATTTTTAAGAAATATATATGTTCTGTGGTATAATGTAATATTGGACACATGTTGGTATTCTGATTAAATCTTTTGTTTACTGAAAGATAAGCATTGCTCATACCTTAGAATACCCTAGAATATATATTTTTTTCCTAAAAAAATTAAATTTATATAAGTGTATAGACATTAAGAGGACAGGTTCTGAACTCACACAGTCGGAGTTCAAATCTTGACACTTAGGGCCGGGCGTGGTGGCTCACACCTATAATCCCAACACTTTGGGAGGCCGAGGTGGGCGGACCACGAGATCGAGAGCATCCTGGCTAACACGTGAAACCCTGTCTCTACTAAAAATAAAAATAAAAAAAATTTAGTCGGGTGTGGTGGTGGGCGCCTGTAGTCCCAGCTACTCAGGAGGCTGAGGCTGGAGAATGGCATGAACCCAGGGGGCAGAGCTTGCAGTGAGCTGAGATCACACCACTGCACTCCAGCCTGGGCAACAGAGCAAGACTCCATCTCAAAAAAAAAAAAAATTCTTGACACTTAATACTTCCATTATGTTGGACCTTAATCAACCTCTCTGAGTCACAATATCCTAATTAGTTAAATAGGGTTAAAACACATAGTATTGTTAGGAGCATTAATTGAGCTAATATAATGCAAACTTATAATAGAACTTGAATTAACATGTAATATGTATTTTGTTATTGTTGTTGTTATTTATTACACATTTTATGTAAGAATAGTTGTTAAATGAAATTCAAATATTGTACCCCCTACAAAAGACTGCAAATTTTCTCTTGATGATGTAGAAATAACTCAGGATCTTTTAGAACTATAATTAACATTTAGGATCTGTTGTTTTGTTATAACTATACAGATGATATTTGTAGGAAAAGAAGTTCTGGGAAATTAATGTCAGAGTATGAAAGAAAAATATGACCTTTCTCAGAAGAATTATGTTTCTGGCAGCCATAGAGAATATTCCCTGAAGATCATGCCCTGAAGAAGAAGCTCTTCAGTTTATTAATATATAATACCTCCACAATTGCCTTACATCTTGGATGTATTGTTAGGGTGTCAGATTTTGTATTAGATAGCATTCACTAAGTTCCTCTTCAGTACTGTAACCTTGGTATCTCAGTGGCTTACCATCGCCAGTGTTAATTTTTGATTCTCAATGTATAGGATTGCAAGTCACTGTAGATTGGCTTTAGCTTACTTCTGTGTCTTCTTTGATCTAAGATCCAAACTGAAGGAGTATCTTTTAACTGTTACACCTACGTTTTATTGTGGTAGGAAGGAATGGGCATAAAAGAGCTGAAGAATCATGTGATACCCCTTAAACTTTCTGCTCTACATAGGTACAGTATATTTTACAACTGTTCACATTCAATTGGCTAAAGCTGTTCTTAGAGCCGAGGAATGTCACTGGGGCGGGGAAGTAAACTCCATCCCTCCAGGAAGCCTCTATAAGTCATAAGGCAATTCACTGAGATGTGTAATATGGGAAAGAACAGCAAATAATTTTAGAAAAATTTTACAATTTACCACACTTAAATCATTCTTTTCACTGTATATCTCTTATATGCAGTAATGTTTTGCTTTGTTATATAATTTGAAAATCAGTTTGTTGAATTGCTAATAAAACTTGAAAATCTATGAAATGCTAATGGTTAATTGTAAAGTTATTCTAATATTTAAATTAAGCACTCTATTTCAACACTGTTTAACTGTTAAATGTCAAAATATGAAATATGTTGGTTTTTTAATCTGCTTCTCTTTGTCAGTAATTTGAAAAGTTTATATTTCATTTTAAGTTCCAGTGGTTACATTTATAAGTATTCTTTTGTTTCATTAGAAATGCTGATTGACTTCCCAGAATGAACTGTAAAGAAATTATTATAATGGCACCTCCTCAACCACCCATCCTGCTTTCTATTACCAGAATTCGACATGGATTGTGATATGGTTTGGCTCTGGCTCTGTGTCCCTACCCAAATCTTATCTCATATTGTAATCTTCAGATGTCAGGGAGGAGTCTGGTGGGAGGTGATTGAATTACGGATGGGGGGACTTCCCCCTTGTAGTTTTCATAATAGTGAGTGAGTTCTCATAAGATCTGGTTGTTTGAAAGTGTGTGGCACTTCCCATCCTTGCTCTCTCTCTCTCTCTCTCCTGCCTCACCATGGTAAGACATGCCTTGTTTCCCCTTCACCTTCTGTCATGAGTGTTAAATTTCCTGAGGTGTCCCCAGCCACACAGAACTGTGAGTCAATTAAACCTTTTTACTTTATAAATTACACAATCTCAGGTAGTTCTTTATAGCAGTGTAAAAATGGAATAAAACAGAAAATTGGTACTGGGAGAGTGGGACACTGCATAAAAATACCTGAAAATGTGGGAGCAATTTTGGAACTGGGTAACAGGCAGAGGTTGGAACAGTTTGAAGGACTCAAAAGAAGACAGAAAAATGTGAGAACATTTGGAACTTCCTAGAAACTTGTTGAATTGGCTTTGTCTATTGTAATATGGACAGTGAAATCCAGGCTGAGCAGGTCTCAGATGGAGATGAGTAACTATTGGGAACTGGAGCAAAGGTAACTCTTGCTATGCTTTAGCAAAGAGACTGGTTGCATTGTGCCCTGCTCTAGGGAATCTGTGGATTGTTGAACCTGAGACAGATGATTTAGGGTATTTGGCAGAAGAAATTTTTAAGTAGCAAATCATTCAACAAGAGGCCTGGCTGCTCCTAACAGCATACAATCATATGCATTTACAAAGACATGGTCTGAAATTGGAAACTATGTTTAAAAGGGAAGCAGAGCATAAAAGTTTTAAAAATGTGCAGCCTGACCATGTGGTAAAAAAGAAAAACTTATTTTCTGGAGAGAAATTCAAGCCACCTGCTGCAGAAACTTTCATGAGTGAAGAGGATTCTAACATTAATGGTCAAGACAATGGGGAAAATGTCTCCAGGACATGTCACAGACCTTTGTGGCAGCACCTCCCATCACTGGCTGGAGGGAAAAATGGTACTGTGTGCTGAGCACAGGACTCTGCTACTCTGTGCAGCCTCAGGACATGGAACCCTGTGTCCCAGCCACTCCAGCTCCAGCTGTGGCTAAAAGGGGCCAAGTTACAGCTCAGGCTGTTGCTTCAGAGGGTGCAAGCCCCAAGTCTTGGTGGCTTCCATGTGGTTTTGGGTATGCCAGTGAACAGAAGGCAAGAGTTAAGACTTGGAAGCCTCTGCCTAGGTTTGAGAGGATGTGTGAAAATGCCTGAATGTCCAGGCAGAAGTCGGCTGCAGGGACTGGAGCTTTCTTTGAGAACCTCTATTAGGGCAGTGCAGAGGGAAAACGTGGGGCTGGAGCCCCTTCACGGAGTCCCCGCTGGTGCACTGCTTAGTGGAGCTGTGAGAAGGGAGCCACTGTTCTCCAGACCCCAGAATGGTAGATCTACCTACAGCTTGCACTGGGCCCCTAGACAAGCCATGAGCACTCAATGTCAGCCAGTGAAAGCAGCCAAAGGGGTTGTACCTGGCAGAGCCACAGGGTTGGAGATGCTCAAGGTTTTAGGGGCTCAACCCTTGCATCAGCATGTCCTGGGTGTGAGACATTGAGTCCAAAGAGATCATTTTGGAGTTTTAAGATTTAATGACTGCCCTGCTGGGTTTCAGACTTGCATGGGACCTGTAGCTGCTTTGTTTTAGCCTATTTATCCCTTTTGGAATG
Organism: Homo sapiens; assembly: GCF_000001405.40. Lineage (NCBI taxonomy): Eukaryota > Metazoa > Chordata > Mammalia > Primates > Hominidae > Homo > Homo sapiens. The sequence goes on along the minus strand of NC_000012.12, from coordinate 84,278,313 downwards.
GGAGAATTTACCCAATGCCTGTAGCCCCATTGCATATTGAAAGTAACTAGCTTGTTTTTGATTTTACAGGCTCGTAGGCAGAAAGGACTTGTCTTGTCTCAGATGAGACTTTGGACTTGGACTTTTGAGTTAATGCTGTAATGAATTACAACTTTGCAGGACTATTGGGAAAGCACAATTAGTTTTGAAATGTGAGTTGTACATGAGATTTGGGAGGGGCCGAGGGTAGGAATGATATGATTTGGCTCTGCATCCCCACCCAAATCTCATTTCCAATTGTAATCCCACATGTCAAGGGAGGGGTCTGGTGGGAGGTGATTGAATCAGGGGGCAAAGTTTCCCCGTAATGTTCTCATGATAGTCAGTGAGTTCTCATGAGATCGGGTTGTTTGAGAGTGTATGGCACTTCCATTTTCTATCTCTCTCCTGCCACCATGTGTGAAGGTCCCCGCTTCCCCTTTGCCTTCTGCCATGATTGTGAGTTTCCTGAGGCCTGCTGTCATGGTTCCTGTAAATCCTGTGGAACTGTTAGTAAACTAAACCTCTTTTCTTTATAAATTACCCAGTCTCAGGTAATTCTTTATAGCAAGGTAAGAATGGACTAATATGATATGTTTATGTTACTCCACTGTCAAATGCCCTTAAATAGACTTCCTTTTACTTGATATATAATTTTAAAATCATACATTCATAGTTTAAATATTATTAAATATGAAAAAAACAGCATTTTATATTACTTCCTACCAAATTTATTTTATGTTGGGTCTCTTTCTGTTGCAAGAAACAGAAAATTTGGATTAGAAAGAAGAATTATTTGGCTTAGCAGCCCTTCTGTTACTAAAATCTGGAGCTCAATTAATGTGTTTAAGGTTCTTTCTCAATTTCCCCTTTTTGATTTTACAATGTTGAATTTTTCACAATTCCCTTCTTCTCCTGTGGTTGCAAAATGGCTGCAGTGACTGGGAAGCTTACATATAATCTAATTAAAAAGAAAAAAAATATTCTTGCAATCAAAAAAAGTTGTCCTCTGTGTCTTAAACAGTGATTTTTCAACCAGGGGCAATTTTATACCCATGAAGCTATTTGGCTAAATTTAAAGACATTTGTCTGTGTCACAATGGACATGGAGTGCGTAGATGCTACTTGAATCTAGTGAGCCGAGACCAGGAATGCTGCTGAACATCCTACAGTATGCAGGATAGGCCCCTATGGCAAATAATTATTTGGCTGAAAAATCTCAATAGTGCCAAGTTTGAGAAACCCTGGTCTAAGGTAAATGATATGCTTATACCTTGCCAATAATTGCAAGTAGGAGAAAGATATGGTCTTAAATATAAACCTATCTGAGTGGGATTAACTCTCTTACATCATGAGAAAGCAGGAGATGTGGCCACAAAAACACCGAGTTCAGCTTTGCCAGAAATGATTATTGTTCAATAGGCATCTACTACAATACTTTTCCATCTTTACTTTTTGAGTATGTATAATTTTTCTATGTTTTTATGGTTTAAAATATGTACACTCTATGCTGTAATCATTTCCATAGTTGTTTTTGGCAGTAGTTCTACTTTTACTCAGAGTCAATAATTCTGCATCTTCTCTATCACATCCTAATAATAAAGTTTATCCACTAATTGTTTGTTCAATATACAATCATGGGGTAAAATCTCTGAATTCTTTGGATTTGAAAATAGCATTTTTACCAAAACAGTAGTGCATTAGTTATCTCTTCCTGTACAATTAGCCACAATAAAATATATTAACTTAAAATGCCATCCATTATTATTGCTCATGAGTTTACAAACTACATGCTTCTGATGATCAAGATCAAGTTTCAGCTTAACCTCAGCTTCAAACCCATTCTTACATCCACTAATCTGTGATGTGAGGGCTGGGACTCTGCAAACCACATTCTGTTCTGCCAGTTGGCTCCCTGTTAGGCTCTGCCAAATGGGATGCTGGAGGGCGTCTGGAAGTCTGGAAGAAGAAAAGATTGCTCCCACCTGTTTGCTTCCCATTCTTGACAGTGTCCTGACAGCAACGCTTCTTCATCCTGGGAGCAGTGATTTATTTTAACCTGAAAAACCAACTTTGTCTTGCCCCTTCAGATAACCCTGGTGAATCCGCATAAGTTTGGGAATGCACATCTATCAGAGGTCAAAATTTCAGGGCTGCCTGGCATCTCCTCCAAGCTTCTAAGTGGTGATAACCCCAACCTCTGCCCTAAGGGTGGAAGCCAGTCTTTTTACTATTCTGATTTCATTTGCTGAGCATTCTTTTCAATAGGAATACAACATTTTTTTTTTTTTTTTACTAAATATTCTCTACTAAAATAATTGGTGTCATACTGTCTTCTGACTGGATCCTAGTTGCTACAGTTACTCCTTACCATTCTGAACTGTTGTTGAGATTTTCTTCCCACAATTGCTCCCTTTTCAAAAATCACAATTGCATTACTTTGTAAAGGGAGGTAAAGGAAAGAAGTAGAAGTTCACTTCCCTTCAAGAGGACAAGACTTAACAGAATATTGTCACAACCCTAATAAAATTCCTCACTAGTGTTCAGTTTATTATTGAATCAATCCCGTTAGTAACAGATTACTGATCAAATATTCCATTTGATGTCCCTCTTTCACTTTCCACAAATTTATGCAGCCTCCTGTCAACTATTTACATCAGAGCCAAACACCAAGTAACTGGGCCTGCAAAAGGAAATTGATATGCCATTTACCAGTTTTGCTGCTACAAGTGATATCTTTTACGTTGTATTTCATGTAAGAAATAAGTTCCATTATCTTTCTGATATTTAATGTATGACATGACTAGAAAATGCCTTCACTCAGAAACTTGCCAGAGTCTCTTCCTAACACTGTTTTTGATAGCTTGTTTTTCTCTGGGTGTCACACAGTTTAAAACTGAGATATAGAGTCCCAATATTTTATTGTGTGGAGATTTGATAAATATTCGCAATGACATTTCAGGACTATTGGCAGATATGGGCAAAGTGAAGAACCGTGCCAAAGTGCAACACTCTTTAAACAGGTCCTGGATGCAGTCTGGCATTGTCTAATCACTTTCTTAAGCCACCATTTTAAAATTGTTATCGCTTTCAGCATATTTATATTTTCTGAAAAATAGAATTCTTACTGTCTCTGAATTTGGTTAGGAAAGTATGGCTACCTGTATTAGGGTTCTCTAGAGAATTAGAACTAATAGGATATATTATATATATATATATAATATATTTTATATATATATATATCTCTTCTGTGGATTTAAAACATGGAAGCACAGTACTGATAGCTTTTGTCTTTCCAATTTATTTTTGTTGTTGGTTTTGGTTGGAGTGCTTAATAGCATCCACATATATATGGTACTGTAGTCACATCTCCAGTATTGGAATCACAGTCCCTATACTTCAAATCATCCACATTTTTCAGAGAAAAGAGTCAATTTCCCAAATTTTCTCAATGAAGTGAGGCCAGTTTTCTACCCTAAAGGAGATAGGAGTGATAAGCTGGTAAATATTTAACAACTTACTTTCTAGAGGGAAAAAATAGATGAATAAACCCTCATTTGTAGTATTTGCTGATTTTTATGGTGTTAAAATTCACAGCATGTTCTGCTTGAAGCTATCAGTGTATTGTCACTAAACACAGAGTTGGGACAAAATCACTCTCAAAGGGAAATACAAGTTGGCTGCAGCACATCACTGTCAGACATAAAACAGTCAAATACTCTAGTCCAACTTCAAGGCACTTCCCTACCCATTAATCCAAACTAATTCCAGGATAGGCAGCTCTGCCTGTTTCGGGAATCAAATGATAGTCTTCAAACTTGTGAACTGTACATTTGATTAAGCCATACTTATTGATTAATCTGTTAGGGATATTTTGTTCTAAAAAACATTTCTGACATTTATGCAGCCAAAAAACACATGAAAAGATGCTCACCATCACTGGCCATCAGAGAAATGAAAATCAAAACCACAATGAGATACCATCTCACACCAGTTAGAATGGCAATCATTAAAAAGTCAGGAAACAACGGTGCTGGAGAGGATGTGGAGAAATAGGAACACTTTTACACTGTTGGTGGGACGGTAAACTAGTTCAACCATTGTGGAAGTCAGTGTGGCGATTCCTCAGGGATCTAGAACTAGAAATGCCATTTGACCCAGCCATCCCATTACTGGGTATATACCCAAAGGACTATAAATCATGCTGCTATAAAGACACATGCACATGTATGTTTATGGCGGCACTATTCCCAATAGCAAAGACTTGGAACCAACCCAAATGTCCAACAATGATTGACTGGATTAAGAGAATGTGGCACATATACACCATGGAATACTATGCAACCATAAAAAATGATGAGTTCATGTCCTTTGTAGGGACATGGATGAAATTGGAAATAATAATTCTCAGTAAACTATCACAAGGACAAAAAAACCAAACACCACATGTTCTCACTCATAGGTGGGAATTGAACAATGAGAACACATGGACACAGGAAGGGGAACATCACACTCTGGGGACTGTTGTGGGGTGGGGGGAGGGGGGAGGGATAGCATTAGGAGATATACCTAAGGCTAAATGACGAGTTAATGGGTGCAGCACACCAGCATGGCACATGTATACATATGTAACTAACCTGCACATTGTGCACATGTACCCTAAAACTTAAAGTATAATAATAATAAAATAAAATAAAATAAAAAAACAAAACAAAACAAAACAAAAAGAAAACATTTCTAAGAAGACATATTAATACCACTAGCATGCTTAAACCTTCTGAAAGAGTATCATATTACTTTGGGTATTTCCAAATACAGTATTTGATTACTTAATGTCACACATTGCTCAGAAACAGATAGCAATTATTGTAAAAAATACATATAGATCTGAATGTTTTAAACATGACATCATAATTGTTCATATTATTTCTTAAATTTATTTCTTACTTTGCAGTAACTCAACAACAGATTCAGTGATTAAAATGCATACACATGATATTCAGCAAAAGCTTCTGATAGAAACCCTAAAAAGTTGAATATTTGATGCTGATTATTGAATGAATCAATGAAATGAACAAATTAAACATTTTTGACTGTTTTTCTCTGATTTCTTTTTGGTTCTCTATCCAAAATTCTATTCTCTTCCACCCTTCCATTAAACTCTCCACCCATTCTCATGGTTTTCCAAAGCTTTTGTAAGCATATACTTGATGTGTTTATGAGCATGTGTCTCCACTCATGTTTATAGACCTTGAAATAGTTTCTTTTCTCCTTTTACAGATGAGAACATCATTTTTTTTTAGAGCATAAGGATGTAATTTCTGAAAAATGAAATGAAAATTTTAAAAGATTATAAGGTAGAAAAAATAGATGCAAAAAATAGATGTCCTAGTGAAAATAGAAGACATTTTCTATTCTAAATAATAGTGATTATAGAAACAGCTTTCAATTGTTCTATGATTATTGTTGTTTTGTTATGATCGCAGCCCAATTACAATGTACTATAGTAGTCTACCTAATCATTAAAAAAATTGCTTTTTATAATAAAGACAACTTAAATATTCATAAAAATTCCCTGTGAACAAACCATTTTTTTTAACTTGGAATGTAGTTGGCAGTGTTTAATTTTTTATATATAAAACATTAAATTTTGTTAGAAAATAGTTGTGTTTCTAAATACACGTAGTATCTAATATGACTAATTCTGTTAACAATAGTTAATTTCGAAATACTTCCTATATGCCAGATACTGCTTTAAGTTTTATTTGTATGTGTGTGTACAGTATATGTGTGTGCGTGTATGTGTATTCTTGTTTAATCCCTGAATTAAATTCTGAATTAAAGCCTGCTTTCAGATGAAGATATTGAAGCATGAAGAAATTAAGTCACCATGCAGGTCACATGCTGGTAAGTAATGAAGCTGAAATTCAAGGTCAAGCAACCTGTATCTTAGCCTGGGCTCTTCAGAGTAGCACTACACAGCACCTCTATCTCTAATAACAAGTGATCAGCTGGGATGGTGAAAATATAAAACATAATGCACTAAGAATTAAATAGATTTTAGAAACAGTTAGATTCTATACCATAAACTTTAGTTCTTTTCTTTTCTTTCTTTCTTTTTTTTTTTTTTTTAAGATAGAGTCTTGCTCTTGTTGCCCAGGCTGGAGTGCAATCAATGATGAGAGCTCTGCTGACTCCAACCTCCGCCTCCCGGGTTCAAGCGATTCTCCTACCCCAGCCTCCCAAGTAGCTGGGGTTACAGGTGTCCACCACCATGCCAGGCTAATTGTTTGTATTTTTAGTAGACCAGGGGTTTCACTATGTTGGTCAGGCTGGTCTTGAACCCCTGACCTCAGGTGATCAACCCACCTCGGCCTTTCCATGTATTTCTTTATTATAACTGCCTCTTTCAAATAAATAAGATTAAATATTATAGGAATTAAGAATTTTTTACAAAACTCATATTAATGTACACATAAATCTTGTAGACTAATATAAAAATATTGTTTAATTTGTGTTTTACTTACAGAATTACTGAGGTATTGTTACCCTTTTCTTCAATTAACAACATTTCATTTTACAGCATATATATATGTTCTTATATGTTACGGCATATTAACATACTATATAGTTTGATTATGTTACACTACATAATATCTTTAATACTTCTGCATTAATTTATATTCCATCACTTATTTATGATTAGTGCAGTCATTATAATAGTCACTGCAATAGTTTTCCACATGGCAAGACTGATTACCACCTCCACCTTACATCATTACAATTCACATTTTCAGTGATCACTTCATTTTCTTCATATGCAGAATTCTTTCACACATATTAAAGTACACCCTGATTTTCATCTAGGGGCCACTTTTCCACTACTCACCTAATGTAAATGCTGGAGACTCCCACATGCATGAAAAACAGAAGGAGAGCACTTGCTGCCTGTGGAAGAGCAAGAGAGGGAGAGAAACCAATAGTGAACAAGATTTCAGCCAAATGTTTGAGGAGTTCGCTCAATGTCGTGTTTGAGCTAGCGTAGGAAGAAGCTGCAGACACTGAGGTTCCTACTCTCTGGGATCTTCTCTGCAGACCTTTTTGGATCCAGTGAGAAAGATTGTGAAAAAAGATTGCTTCTCTTAGAAGTAAAAGCCTGGGGAGAGGCTTTTCCTGTCAGAAGGACAGGAAGTTTTTCCCATAACCTTGTTCCCCACAGAATAAAGGCAAATGGCCTGCTGTAGCAAAGAAGAAAGATAAAAAATGTACCCCACTACCCCTGAAGAGGATCAAGGCATTCTCTACCTTCTAGACTTGAGATAGAAGGCAGAGTCTGGCTGCCTGCCAAGCGTACTCGCTATAAGGAGAATGGGCAACATTACTGAACAAGCTTCATTCCCAACACCCAAGGATTTAGGGCTACCTAAAACTCACACTTCAGTGGGAAAGGGGAAACAATTCCGACCAAGAGAACATTAACATTTCTTCCAGTTTGCCTCACTTTAGACAAGTTTCTTCATGCCTCTAGGCGCCTGATCTTTCACGTTAGAAATCTTGTAATTGCCCATTCTTTTTCTACCCACTTTGATATGTAAATCTTTTTTAAAAGCCTCTTAACAACTTTAATTCCTATGAATGTCTTTCGCACGCACCTGGGAGTTATCTCTTTGATAATGTCTTTGAAATGTAATCATTAAGGAAGGGAGTGCCACAGTCTTCCAGCTTCCGTGGGAGTTTAGGAGACTAACTCTGGTTAGGACATCCTTCTTCAAGTTGTAAACTACCTTCTATCATGAATATAAAAGAAAGTTTACTTTTCCTTTGTGTAAAGCCATTTAACAAGTATAAATGGCTTATGATTGCGCCCTCCAATTCAAGTTCTCAGTAACTCTTGCATCCCCTTTTCCAGTGGAGTTGAGGTCAGAATATTTTCTGATCTCTCTCCCTTATTGAAACAGCCTTGAATAAAGTTTTCCTTACCTGTGTAACTTTATCCAGTGTAACATTTACTTTGACAATCCCTGTTCGAATGGAAAATGGATTATAGAAGAGGGGGCCAAAAGATAATACATTTTAAAGTATCACAACATGTTGAATGCCACTTACTGAACAGAATAATAACACTCCCTATGTTTCAGTCTCTGACTTACAAATTGGGAATGAAAATGAACTATGAAATCTGTTTCAAACATTAAAGGAATATAAATTGTGAATCTAATTGGTGTATGTTAATCAATAGATACATTTCGTTTGTTTTTAATATTTTCCATTGGGAATGCTATGTGAATGTTTCTGAACAATTTACACATTAACTTGTCTCCTTCATCTCCTAGTCTTTAAGATGAGGTCCAACCTAAATCCAAATTCTATTACAACTACAACTATATACTAAATCAAATGCTATCTTTTAGTTGATTCTGAAGGAAACCAAAATATTTCTTCCCAAACTATACTTCATTGACATATTTGAAGACGGCCGTTCAGAGGGCCAGTAGACAAAATTAGCCCTGAACATCTTTTATGGGGGAGATTTGCATCTGTAGAGAATCTGCACTGATGCAACCAGATTTACTCTGAGGCTTTCTCTTATATCTAGGAAAGATTAACTGAGAGTCTCACATGGTTACTTATCTGAAAGAAACATTTTCCATCTATTGTCTCTGAGGGCTGCTATCTGTGAGGTCTCATCTATATAACAAGACAACCTTTGCTAGCCAGGCCTCTGCTTCTCTCCCTCCCATATCCTGTCTTACCACCATGACTTATTTGGGGCCATGCTCCGAGCCCCCATATTCTCTACAACTCTAAGATGGTATACAAGGGTCAACCATTTTACCTTTTTGGGGGATCTTCTTTTGTAAGACTCTTGTGGCACATTAATAATTTTGTATGCTTTTTCTTCTATTATTCTGCCTTTAATCAGTTAGTGAACCTTCAGAGAACAAGAGGAAAATTTCCCCTTAGCCTCTACAATTCTCACTTGGCTTTCTTTTTAGGCATAGATAGGTATATTGAAGAAGAATCATAATTTTATATTCTTAATTCTTTGACTACTTGATCAATATGTATTGCTAGTGTTCCTAACAATACTGCGTGGAACTTTAGAGGCTATCTATGGCAATTGTTTTCTGCTGAAACCCATATTTCAAGGAATTATTCTCAAGTCCTTCCAATTTTTTTGAATGCTCTTAACACAAAATTCTAAAACTAAATGTAGACGACTGTTGGAAAAGCCCATGTTACTGAAGCCACCAACTAAATTCAGATGTTCAAAAGGCCAAGCCATTATGAGATGATGCCAGAGTTTTGCAGGGCACAATAATTTAGGTGTATGGGCACAGAATCAAAGTATGTAAAAATTCCCCAAATGACCTTTCATTTTCCTTTACAAATACTTTGAAGTTTACCTATTGTTTCTACTTTCAAAGCACATTCTTCCTGCTGCAATTATGGAATTGTTTTCAATAGTATTGTCGTGAGTAGATTTTTTTTACACACGCAATTTATTAATAGCTAATAATATAAAATGAGACCATAAAGAGTATAATATGTACACATATTTTCTGATTATTCTTTCCTATATAGTTTTATCTTGTTATGTAAGCCATTACTGAAATGTATTGAAATCCACTAGAGAAAATTTATCATCTCATTATTACTACTCTTTATTAGTGGTTTCCTTGTATAACAAAAGGTACAATGTAGCAATAGCTTTTAAAAGAACAATATGTAGAATTCTCAGTTGAGTTTGAACATATTTAGAAAAATATTTCATTTTAAACTTCTGTTTTTCTCATTCACTTGGATTTTTGTCACCCAATTTCTAATATCCATGCTTAAATATGTGACTTTAACATCTGGCTTACCAGAAGTAAAAAATAAAATTGACGTTTTCTTCCTTACATGTAACCTGGTTTTATTTATGGTGATTAAAACTGAGCAAACTATTATTATCCACTAACAACCAAAAGTATTAAAATATGTGAGTATATATACCTTGAATATACTTCTCCATTTTTGCCCTCAACACCCCTCCAAGGCATTCTGTTTGCTGCTGCTAGAGTGATGTTTCAGCAAGTATCTGAATAATATTTCATTTTATAATTATAAATGTTTCCATGGAATACCCATCAAACAGGATAAAATCTTAGCATTTTAATGTGTACAGAAGCCTTCAGGACCTACTGATTCGTGAGACATGGCTGACACATAGTAAGAGATGTATACATCTAAATTCTCTTTCCTGTAGACTTGATCCAGTCTATAGTCTAGGGGTGGCTGGAGGAGCAGCAGTGTAAAGGCAGGGTTTTGAGGGCAAAGTGTTCAGATGGGGTCCATTATTTTGGCCCTGCAGGTATCACCATTGCTGTCTTGTAATGCTTTCTCAACCTCTCTTATATACCTCATTCACAATCATATTTTAATCTCCACAGTTACTTCCTTTCTTTTCAAAAATAATAGACAGATGTAGCATAAATATAACAAACTCTTTCAAGATTTTTTTTCCACTCAGAATACCCCTCCTCCTTTGGTTTCCCTTGCAAATTTATTGCAATTTTTTTTCCTGATTTTATCTTGTCTCTGAAGTCTTTCTTCACTAGCACCCTGGAATTATTCTGTACAGCAAACACTTTTCTCTGCATTAAACATTATTCAATCATTTTTTAATATTACTGAATATATGAATTGTCTTCTAGGCCTATCTTTTCCACTAGTCTGTGTACAACTTGAGGGCACGATAATGTCTTATTTATTTATGTTTCTTTGGCACTTAATACAGTATTTAGCAGATATTTGGTGTAGTATTTAGCAGTTATCTACTGAAGCTGAATTTGGAGGTGCAAGTGTATGTGTGTGGCATTAGGAGTATATTAATAGTCACATACATGACAGTAAGAAATTTGATATATTGAGGGGCAGGGAGAAGTGATGGTGGTGAGCTTTAATAATCTTATCAAAATTTTAATTAAACCAAAAAAAGGAGAAAAAGATTGATTAAAAAGAATATTGAGTTAGTTTCCAGTAATTTAGGATCCTGTGAATTAACAGTTTAGATAATTCATCCCATACATTTCAGTTGATCAAGGTCAGATGTTTTATTTTCCTTAACTGCAACAAGTATATTTAAGTACCAAGGTATCTTAAAGTAGTGTTACTAGATAAAGGTTAAATAGTTGAGGAAATGGATTGACTCATGTCCTGAAATCTTTTTAGAGGAATATTGTCAAATAAAAATCAAGAAAAAAGTTAAAAAATTTCATCTGATAAAGCACATGCAATTTTTCCAAGTTCTTGTTACTCAGACTCTAAATCTGCCTTTTCATTTAACACCTTCCTTTGCCTAGCATCAACTTATTTCTAGCAATCAGTTACTCTGCTGTATTGAATTTTCTCTTGAAATGTGAAATATATCCATCCACTCTTTTCTTCTCATGCTATTACCTGTTTTATTCCTTCTCATTCTGTGCAATTCAGCAGTATTTTTCTGCTTTTCTTGCTCAATTACTCCCTAAAAGAATTTGAAAATCAATGTATGTATTCACATGCTATTAAGATAACATATAAAATTTTTCATCAGGTTTCAACAATTATAGAGAAATTATAATGATTAACATCATAGAATAAACTGTTACAACACTGTTTAAATGTTACCAATAGTTTCCAAATACTATAACAGCTTACTACTCCCCCCCATTCATTTAAATGTCCATGTAAATAACTTTCTACACAATCAGAAACTCTACACTGTTGCTTGAAATTATGGTTGAATTTATTGAATTCAAAATTACATTTTACTTTTCCTATGAACTTAAGTTTAATCTAGCTTTATGCTTTAAAATAAAAAACTATGCAAATTTAACTATTTAAGAGCTTACATCCTCCATGTATATATGTATGTATACACAGATGGTCGGCAACTTACCATAGTTTCATAAGCTTTAGACTCCATCCATGAGTTTTTTTTTTAACTTTATGATGGCATAAAAATGGTATGTATTGAGCAGAAATTTTACTCCAGTATTCAATAAATTACATGAGATATTCAACACTTAACTATAAAATAGTCTTTCTGTTGGATGTTTTTGTCCAACCATAGGCTAATGTAAGTGTTCTGAGTACATTTAAGGTAGTATAAACTAAGCCATGATGTTTGGTCAGTTAGGTGTACTAAATGCATTTTCAACTTAAAATATTTTCAACTTGTAATGGATTTATTAGGAGGAACCCTGTTGTAAGTCGAAGAGCATCTGTACATGTATATGTCTATATCTCCTTTGCAAATGACTACATTCATATGGTTATTGTATAACTAACCTTACTATCTTTGGTCAGTTACTTTCCCACATTTGGAAAGGGGAGGGAGCATTCTGTAAGGGATTGCCCCCTGTGATGAATGACTCTATGCTCTCCTGTTGGCAACAATCCTCAGCCTTAGGTTGTGTTGAATGCATAAACGTGCACATATACACACAAACAAAAGAGCTCATCACACATACTAGAATCGATTTTTTAAAAAATCATTTCCTTTTTAAACCTCCAGAGAATCCTACAAAGCCATATGTTCAGTTATGCACTGAGATAAAAGTGTCAAAAGATTGAGAAAGCATGTTGAAATGGTTGAATAGTAATCAGTTTAGTGATTCCATTTATAGCTTTGTTTTGAATAAATCTAAATTTAAACTATTTTATTGGTAAAACAAGCACATCATCACAATTTAAGCAACATTCTTCAATAAAGAGTATTTTATAATAGCAGTATTATTTGCTTAATCACATAAAAACTAATGTGTCTTTGATAGCCTTTGAATAACTGTTATTAATCTTTTTTGTTAAAAAAGGCATAGGACTTTTAGAAAATGTGCATATTCTAATAGTACCTTAAAACTTTTATTTATTTTTCTTAAGTGGAAACAGACATGATCTCTCAGAACCTGAAAATGAGAAAAGTGTGTTCTTTAAGACCAAAATTATAAAATCATTTCAAAATTAATCACGAAAAAACATGCAAAAATTACTATAAACAACTGGAGGGACACCTTAGACGTTGACAGATAAGCAGTAAGAGTGAATAAAATATTAAAAAGTGAGTCAATCCACTAAGGGTGTTATTGCTGCTGGAAAATATCAGAAGGACATTCACTGAGGCAAGAGCATTTCAAGTTTCATTCAAAGAAATACCTCTTAGAACTAAAGACTCTGCCTGGCTTGTCCAAATGGCACACAAAGCTGTTTTATAAACATAAATTACAAGGACTTTGTACCAGGAATAGGGCCATACAAATGTTTAGTTCTTCATTTTGCCAATTTAATGTAGACAGTCATAACCATCTATTTAATTTTTGTTTTATTTATTTATAATGAGGTTGAGCATACTTTCAGATACTAATCACTGGTCATTTGTACATCTTCTTTTGGCCCTTATATCTTCTTCTCCTTCTCGTTCTCCTTCTCCTTTTCCTTCTTCTTCCTTTTTTTTTGAGACAGAGTTTTGCTCTGTCTCCCAGGCTGGAGTGCCATGGTGTGATCTCCGCTCCCTGCAACCACTGCCTCCTGGATTCATGTAATTCTCCTGTCTCAGCCCCTTGAGTAGCTGGGATTACAGGTACCCACCACCACTCCTGGCTAATTTTGTATTTTTAGTAGAGGCGGAGTTTCACCATGTTGGCCAGGCTGGTCTCAAATTCCTGACCTCAAGTGGTCCACCCACCTTGGCCTCTTAAAGTGCTGGGATTACAGGTGTGAGCCACTGTGCCCAGCCTCTTCTTTCTATTCTAAAGTTATGTGTTTATCTTAACTCTATTTATTTGGTCTACTTTTGGAATTGTAAGAATGATTGTCCCTATATCCATTGTATGTTACACACTGTGAAAATATTTTCTTTTAATCTACCAACTGATTTTAAATTTGTTTATAATCCCTTTGTTTATAATCCCTATGTTTATAAACCATATTTCCATTCTTGGAGGATCTTATTCTTGTTATATGTCCACCAGTTGTATATTCACCCTTGATGGAAAGAGCTACTGCCATTGGGCAGAGACGTCAGGCCTCTAGTTATAAAACTACGCGTTTACTCATTAGACCCAGGTAAATTTACTAAGGCAAAGACAATCTTATTAAATATCTTGACAAATGACTGTATGGCTCTCAACAACCCTTAGCTTCATGTCGTGCACGATACTGTTCTTTTAACTGTTTTACAGTCATTAGTATGTTTAACCAGCACTCAATAAATATTAAATAAATAAATAATACTTGAATATGCTACTAAATGGAAATCCCAGCTGAATAAATGTCCCTGACAATACATGCAAAAATTTTGAGGAATTATTTAATTATTTCATTCTTTTGTCTACTCATCCTTTGTAATCATGGTGTTTAGTTTCAAATACAACTTAAACTTCCTGATTAAATAAAGTTGATGAGACTAAGTAATAAAGAGTGAGAAAATAATTGAAAATAACAATAATGTAATTAAATAATATAGAACCAAATTAATAAATCCCCTTATAATTCTAAGATTGCTCTCTGTACTTTCTAGAAACTATAGCAGAAAAAAAAATGGATACATTTAAATATCACTGGCTCCATCACAGCATTTATTGGAATTTTTTTTTGAGTGCAGGATATTGTTCACTGACAAGTACTCTAATTCAAGTATCAGGAAACTAGGGCCAAAATATTAATTCTATTATTGCTAACTTATAAAATTAAATTCACCCTCATTAAGATTCAATTCCCTCTGCTTTTACATAAATATGAGTAGTTACAGAATTGCTGTGGGGATCAAAAGGTGCTATGGAATCATAGGCAATTCCATTAATTCTGTCATTTAAGCTGTAAACACTTCTTAGAAATGTTTGGACATAGTGTTCTATACCATAAGTTTGCCTTACAAATTGAGTTCAGTCACCTTTGTTTTATGTGTTAGCAAACAGAGGCTTGGAAACATTATTTAAACTGTTTTATTCATTTATGTCACACCTCTGCTAAATTATATCTTTAAATGAACTTCAGCATGTAAAAATAAAATAAAACACTATAAATTAAATTATATGCCTTCCATATTTCAAATACTTTTCAGTACTTTTCTTTATATGAAGCAATAAAACACAATCAGACCAATATGGGTAACCATCTTATTTTTAAAGTATATGTAAATGTGAAATAGGTGACATATTACTTCCCAAACTAAAAATACAGAAAGTTAGTCAAAATAATCAGAGATCAACTTTTAGATGCTTGCTCTATATTTTAAGAAACAGTTCTTTATTATTGCTATAAAACATCTGAAATACACGAATGTTTTGCTTTATTTCATAGCTAATCTTTTTGAAATAATAGAATTCACTTGCTATCTCTAATTCTCACTTCTCATTTCACCTTAATAATTTGGCTTCTTATCACTCTAGCAAGATGCTATCCAGATGATTTATAATGACCTTATAATTGATAAATTAATGTGCATCTTCTCTGTCTTCATAACTTTTTATTTTTTATAGTATTTGTCAGCATAGCCTTTGTCTTCTGTGATGTTTTTCTCCCTACAAATCTGTAATGTTACACTTTTACACTCTTTACATTCAAGAATAAGAAAAAATGAATTCATTATTTTCATTCCCGAACCTCTGTATCATTTTTCTTTTCTCATAATGGAATCACAATTCAGGTCAGACAGACTCAAGGCACTGGAGGCATAGTCTACTGTTAATTCCACATCATATGATTGATTTTTTAATAAGAAGCCCTGTGTACGATTTTAAATATACTAAAATCTTTCACTTTTCTATTTGATGCTCTCCAATTCCACTTCAAAACATAATCAAATTCTTTATGCTAACTTAGAAATCTCCACCCCGTTCCTATTCCTCTTGTGATTCAATCCCTTGCCATTGAAGTTCCAAACATAAAGAACATCTTCCTGTCTTTTGAAATCACCAGGTTTCTGTTTTTTCCTTCTCAGTAGGCCTTTGCACTAACTGTACTCACTCTCGGGATCACTCTTTCCTTTTATTGACATGTTATGGCTACATTTTTCCCATCATATCCCATTTTCCATGTCATCTTCCCAGAAACACCCTCTCTGACCAGGCTGCTTCAGAACAGAAGCTCCCCCAAGAATGGGGAGTGGGGAAATTCTCTGATTGGAAACTCAGAAAAGTATTTAATGACAGCTATGAGCCAGGTACTTTCCTGTGACCAGGCACTATGGTCATGAATGTGTGAATTAATATGTATTCATTGCCTTAAAAAGTATTTAATGTATTCGTTGCCTAAAAAAAAATATTTCCTATCCTAGGAAAGTGCCTAGCACACAGCTTTCATTAATACTTTTTAAGGCAAGGAATACATATTAATTCTAATTCACAAATATCTTCACCCACAACTTTTTTCCATCCTATAATTTTCAGACTATTGTTGCCTCTTCCCTTAGAAACCGATTACCTGTCAGCTATTTCAAATATAACTTCTCTGATCCTGTTACTTCCATTCTTAAAAATCTGCATGGACTCTCCACTTCTTAAAAAATGAGCCCTATTCATGGCTTTCCATGATTGGTTCTATACTTGCCTGTTCTGTGCTGTGCTACTTATGTCCTCTCTGCACTTTTTTTTTTTTCTAACCTCTCTTTCTTAAAAGTAAGATATAGGTATAGCAAACCACCACAGCACATGTTTACCTATGTAAAAAACCTGCACATGTACCCCAGAACTTAAAATAAAAATAAATAAACAGAAAAATTTGCTGAAAGGAAAGAAAAAGTAAGCTATTCTATTCACTCATCTAGATAGACTGGTGTTACCTGTTTCTTGAATATATCATATAAATTTCGTCAACTATAGTTTTATATTTTATTTCCTAAATTCAGGCCAGTTCAAAACTTTACCAGCTAAAATTATACGACTGCTAGTCTCATCTTAACTCTTATTTTTAAAATACAGACATCAAGTCTCTGAGTAGAATTCATGTCTCTCTTCTGTAAACAAATAAGAATCACTTTCCCGTAAGCACAAAGCAAATATCTCACATCAGTTGCCCAGTTACCTGTTGCTACACAAGATTACCAGCTTCTTTAGAATGGAAATAAATTCTTAGTCCGTTTTTAATCCTGCGTTTCATTTAATGCAATATTTTACACAGAAAGAAATTCAATAAATAGATATTGAATTAATATTTGCATGTTTTAAACTTCATAATATTAATAGTGTGGTTTAAATTTATTCATTTCAGGAATTAATTCACAAGGTATATAAAATGTACATTCAAAATTGCCAATTAGGGAGGAATTTCTTAAAATTATAGCTGCCTTTAAATTTCAAAGTTAAAACTAATAGTCAAAGATAATTAGTCTTACTATTTTACATATGGATATTCTGTCCATTTTATATTTTATTTCATTTTTATTTTACATTTTAACTAATGCTTTTCTCTTCCTGTATAGTTTTCATTTCACTTTTTGTTTGTTTGTTTTCATTTAGTATTCTTAGGGCATAAAACTAACTGTTGAAACTTGCCCAGTTTAATGCCTTTTAATTCAATTATAATTGCAGCGCTTTTTTGGAAGTATTTTTTTTTATCATTACTGGCTCTGAATATCCTGCTTCTTGTGAAACATAAGCTGTGAAAAAACCTAGCAATTCATCTATAATTCAATATGTGTTCTCCTGGGATTCACATTCTTATTTCTTACATTAGGTTTCATAAAATTCAGTTCTAAAAAAGAGTGAAATAAAAGTACATATGTATCTAAAAAATTAAAATACCACATTGCACACACTCATTGGTGTCTAATATTGAATTGTGTGAAATAATTTATTATAAATGTATTTTAATAAATATATTAAGTATTTATAATATTTATTTATTTATTATTATTATATATAATAGATAATATAATATATTACAATAGATAATATAAACACTAAATATTTATAATATTTATTATAAATACTTAAATTTCATAATTATTTACTGTAATTAAATCTTTAAATGCAGTAATGCAAATTATGCAGCCTTTAATAAGCTCATAGATTATGCATGGCTGCCATTTTAACAAGGTTTTATGTAATGGTTCAGATCCCATTAGGAAAATAAAAGACAATTTATCTTATTCTTGTTAATTTGAGAATTGAGAAGAAATTTTGGCTGATTGCTTTTCTAGGATATGTCATTCCTTACATGAGATTTAAAACTTTTGTATATTGAGAAATGTAAACCATTCACTATTTAGTTTCCTTATCTCATCACTCCAAAATATATTACCTATGTCACATCTCTAATTAATCACAATAAAATGGGATTGATAAAGTAAGCATTATTTGATGGTTCTACCTACAGCACAGAAGATTTTTCTATCTATTCAATTTTTCTGTAATTTCCTAAGGCAAATATCTTCTGTAGAATACATTAGGAATCAAGCAAATAATCACACATTTTGAAATGTACACTCTAGTTTAAATGACTATAAAATATTTTAGGGTAGTGCTTCTTTAAAAATGTCAATAAAAGGGATAATTCCTTCATATCATACACTTTTTTATGAAAATTTTTAAATTTTATTCCCAGTTTGTTTGAAAATTTCTCATTTGAAAAACGAAGGTTGTGAAACTTAGTGTTCTTCCTGAACAGCATAATATATGGTGGAAAATATGTTTTTATATTTAAAATACTAAGCACTAAAACATAATAACCCAAATTCAAAATGAAAAGCAAAATGAGAATTAAATAGTTTTTATATATTTTTGAGACAGTAATACAACTATTAGTGTCAAGCAAAGTACTGAACTATATTTTTTCTTTGCTTTATTAAATACCTAACAACACTAGAATAGAGATGTAGAGAAATTTAATATTTAGCCAATTTCTAAAATAAATTCCAAAACATAGATTTAATTACACATCTACTGCAGATAAAATGTTAACTGTTAACTGATATACAATTATACTTTTCTGTCCCTTCTAATAAATATGCATATATAAAATTCTTTTTACATATTGAATCAATTGTTATAAATGTATGCAATTGATTCAATGTGAGCAAATATATATTTAAAAAAATAAAGAAAAACCTATTATTCAGAAAGACTTTGTAAATTTTCAAATCTTTAAATTCACGTATCTCTGTAAGAAATAGTTAATTTTTTCTCTCACTATTTAATACAGATTATCAGAAAAAAATTGTTTTTGGCTTAGTTATTTCACAATTTATTAATTCATTTTAAAATGCCTTGTAACACCACATCAACAGAATGATAATAAAAGCCATATAATTTTCTCAATAGATGCAGAAATAGCATTTAAGAAAGTTGAGCATATTTTTATGGTAAAAACTGTAAACAAATTAGGTGTAGAAAAAGTGTACCTCAACATAATAATTGCCGTTTATGAAAAGCTCATAGCAAACATCATACAGAATAAGCTGAAATATTTTCCTCTAAGACCAGGAACAAGAAAATAATGTAAATGCTTGACACTTTTATTCAACATGGTATTTAAAGTTCTAACCAGACAAATTAGACAAGAAAAACAAATAAGAGACATCCAAATTAGAAAGGAACAAGTAAAACTGTCTCGGCAAATGATCTAACTTTATATACAGAAATCCCTAAGAACTTCACCAAAAAACTGATAGAACCAAAATCACATTCAGTACATTTCAGGATACAAAAGCAGCATACAAATATCAGTAATGTTTCTCTACACTAACAAGAAACTATCAAAAATGGAAATCAAGAAAAACAATCTCACTTACCAATAACATAAAAAAATACTCAGGAATAATTTAACGAAGAAGGTGAAAGACCTGTGCACTGAAAACTATAAAACATACATGAAAGAAACTGAAGACACAAATGAATGGAAATACATTTCATGTTCATTGACTGGAAGAATTAATATTGTTAAAATGTCCTTACTACCCAATATGATCTATAAATTCAATGCAATCTCTCTCAAAATTTTAATGACACTTTCCACAGAAATAGAAGAAAACATTTCTAAAATGTTTATGAAACCACAAAGACCAGAATAGCCAAAGCAATTCTAAACAAAAACAACAAAGCTGGAGGCATCACAATAATTGATTTCAAAATATACTAAAAAGTTATAATAACAAAACTGCATGGCACTGGCATTAAAACAGGCACAAAGACCTATGGCAAAGGCTAGAGAGCTGAGAAATAAATGTATGTTTCTATAGCCAATAGATCTTTGACAAATATGCCAGGAACACATAATTCAGAAAGGACAGTCTTTTCAATTAATGATGTTGGAAAACTTGGTACTCACATGCAGAAAAAATGAAACCGGACCTTTATATCACCCCATATACAAAAATCAACTCAAAATGATTTAAAGACGTACATGTAAGACATGAAACTCTAAAACAACTAGGTGAAAACACAGAAAGAAAAATTCTTGACATTGATCTAGGCAATGATTTTTTGAATATAACCCCAAATCAAGGCATCAAAAGCAAAGTCAAAAAACAGGATTGCATTAAACTAAAAAACGTATGCACAAGAAAGGAAACAATAAACAGAGTAAAGAGGCAATTCATGGAAGGGGGAAAATTATTTGCAAACAGTATATGCAACAAGGGCTTAATGACCAAAATATTTAAGGAACTCAGCTTGATAGCATGAAAACAACCCAGTTAAAAAATTGGCAAAAAACCTGAATAGACATTTCTCAAAAGAAGACATACAAATGGCAACAGGTATACAAAAAACAACAAAAAAAATTCAACCTCACTAATCGTCAGGGATATACAAATCAAAACCACAATGATTATTATTTCACACCTGTAAAAACAGAGATTATCAGAAAGAGGAAAGATAACAACTTTTGAAAAGGATGTGAGTAAAAGGAAACACTTGTATACTATTGGTAGGAATGTGAATAAGTAGAACCATAATTAAAACCAGTATGGAGGTACCTCAAAAAATTAAAAATAGAATTACCATATGATATAGCAATTTCACTTCTGTGCATGTACTGAAAGAAAATAAAATCAGTGCCTAAAATAGACATGTGGACTCCCATGTTCATTGCAGCATTATTCACAATGTCTAAAATACAAAATTAATCTAATTGCCCATCAATGGAAGAATGGAATTTTAAAATATGGTATACACACAATGGAAAATTACTCAGCCTTTAGAAACAAGGAATCTTGTCATTTGCAGCAACATGGATGAACCTGGAGAACATTATGCCATGTAAAATAAGGCAGGCATAGAAAGACAAATACTGCATGATCTCACTTATACATAGAATTAAAAAATGTGGAGCTCATAGAAGCAGAGAGTAGAGTGGTGATTTCCAGGGGCTGAGGAGTTGGAGAATGGATAGGTTTTAGTCAAAGGTACAAAGTTTCAGCTGGAAAAGATGTATAAATTCTGGACATCTGTTGTACCACATGGTCACTATCGTAATAATGCATTGTAAACTTGAAAATTGCTGAGAATGTAAATCTTAAATGTTCTCACCACCACTCCCCCTACCCTCACACACACACACACACACACACAAAGGGTAGCTATGTGATGTTAAGGATATTTAAGTAGCTTGATTATAATAAACATTTAACAGTGAGTGCATATATCAAAATATCACTTTACCCACAGTAAATATATACAAATTTTATTTGCCAGTTATACCTCAATGAAGCTAGAAAATTTGTTTAAACTCTACTTATAATTATAATTAAGAATAAAATGCTATAGCTGTTTTCCTCTCTAAGTCAATATTTATTTGGGACAATTTTGTTATTGAGTTCACAGCATGCCGAAATGGTGTTTCAGAGACTTCATCTGGCCAAGAAAATTTATATTTTGTTTTGGAGGCTGATTTTTTTTTAATCAAATACATTAGTTACTCCAATTTGGTTTTCTCTCAGCTTTTTTTCTAGGTTTACTATTAGCCATATTTATATACAAGTTCTTTGTTTTATTTTAGGATATTTGTTATTTCTAGAGTTTTTCTCTCTACTATATCTTTGAGGTACTTGTTAAGTAGTAAACGTAGTATTGGCTAAACTGGTTTTCATACACACACAAACACACACAAGTATATGTGATCTTATTCTCATTAACAAACCTAACATTTAGCTAGAAAAATATAACTATAATTATGATTTTGAGTTATATTTACTTTAATGTAATATGTTTGATATCTTATACAAATACAGTATGTCTCCTCTGAAAATTTCCAAATCCCCATGACTTTGACTTCAATGTTGATAATCCTGACAATTTTTATATGTGTAAGCAAGAAGGTAAGGAAAGTCTATGTAAAGAATTTACAAATTTGAAATATTCATTTAGCAAATAATTATTTAGACTCTCTGCTAGGAATTAAATTTGAAATGAATAGCAAGATAGACATGGTCCTCTCTTCAAGGAGCTTACAATATAAAAGAGAAAGCAGGCAATGAAAACATAATACAAAAAAAAACGTGATGCTGTGGTAGCAGAAGTAGTAGATACTGTAGGAGCACCTACTTCAACTAAACAAAATGGGGAACCTGATAAGTAGGCAAAAATTCCTGAAGTGCATGTGGAGAGCATGACTTTTCAGCAGATATCTGAAAAAAAATAAGATTTATTCAGGAAAAGAGAGCAGGAGATTATCAAGGAAGAGGTTATAGTTGGTGAGAAGATTTAAGGATGAGAAAGATGAGAAGAATCAAGCAACAGGAGAAGAGAATACAAACAATGGAATGATGGACAATGAAGTCAGAGAAGTACGCAGGAACCAGGGCTTGAATGGCTGTATGAGCCATTTTAAAGACTGGCTAATTCTGGGGAAGCCAATTTAACTAGGGTCTTCCATATGGAGATTTTCATTTCATGTTAAACTCTCAGTCAGCTTACATTCAAGTAAATAAATTGTGGGGGGCAGTGCGCGGGGGTGGAGGGATGAGGTGTAAAATTTAGGCAAGAGTATGATGAATACTTTTATTGTAGTTTTTAAGAAAGAAGAGAATAGTTCAAAAGTAGAACAAGCTTAATGGAGATCCTAAAGATTGAAAGGGACAGTGCAGAAAGAGAATCATACCTGCTCCTCAGATTTGGCTTCATATGGCAGGATGAATTGTATCAAGGACCTGAGCAGACATGGAGAAGAACTATATTGTGGAAGAGCAGCAGAAACAGAAAAAAAAAAATAAATAAGGAATGACAGGTTGTTACTCATTGACAGAGTATATTGGCCTATGAGCAGAATGCAGGAAAGAAAAAAAAATTAAGAGTTCTCGTATCCTTCAACTTAAAATGACAGACATATTTGCTGTTATCTGTTCCTCTCGACTCATATTTTGTCTTAATGTATATGCACAGCTGTTGTTTCTGACCTGAGAGACGATATGTTCAGCCAATCCGTCCATGGTTTTAAAGATTTTGTTCCCACGGTTGTCATTTGTCAAGCTTTTAAACTAGTAAGTGTAGTTACAAACACGTTTTAATTCCTTGTGAGATAATTTCTTAGGTAAATTAATATTGTATTGCAAAACATTCTAATATCTGTATAAATAAAATGTTTGATAATCAAAATCTTCGAGCTATTTCAAAATCATTACCATGTATGTTTAAAAAACAGTGTATTTAAAATCATCAATGTTTTGCTTAAAATTTTAAAAATAAAAATAGCAGAGAATAATTTTATTCTAGCAAACTGCTTCAAATGGTGTTAAACTGGCACTTTGACTTATTTTATAAAATTGATTGTTTAGAATAACGGAGTTTTGTTTAGTAATGAAATATTTCTTATAGCTTTCAGGAAGTATTAGAAGG
Organism: Homo sapiens; assembly: GCF_000001405.40. Classification (NCBI taxonomy): domain Eukaryota; kingdom Metazoa; phylum Chordata; class Mammalia; order Primates; family Hominidae; genus Homo; species Homo sapiens. Next base: position 84,254,500 of record NC_000012.12, on the reverse strand, counting down.
TCTCCATGAGCACAACATGCAGGTTAATTACATATGAATACATGTGCCATGTTGGTGTGCTGCACCCAATAACTCATCATTTAATATTAGGTATATCTTCAAATGCTATCCCTTCCCCCTCCCCCGACCCCACAACAGGCCCCCGTGTTTGATGTTGCCCTTCCTGTGTCCATGTGTTCTCATTGTTCAATTCCCACCTATGAGTGAGAACATGCGGTGTTTGGTTTTTTGTCCTTGCGATAGTTTGCTGAGAATGATGGTTTCCAGCTTCATCCATGTGCCTACAAAGGACATGAACTCATCCTTTTTTATGGCTGCATAGTATTCCATGGTGTATATGTGCCACATTTTCTTAATCCAGTCTATCATTGTTGGACATTTGGGTTGGTTCCAAGTCTTTGCTATTGTGAATAGTGCACATGTACCCTAAAACTTAGAGTATAATTAAAAAAAAAAGAAAGCCATCATGAGTAGAAGGATCTTTTTAAAGAAGAGTTTGGGGTCTAGAAAAATATGCTGTTTCAAGGAGGCAAACTTTCTTAAAAATAAATGGCTGTCTTGGTACCCAGCCTTTCCATATGCCTCTCCCCAAACACACTCCCATTACATAAACATTTCTGGTCATACTCAAAATTATTTTAGAGGTTTATGAGCTTTAAATAACTCATCATAGCACAAATTTGAGTTTGTATCCAAATCATATCTAAATTAATTAGCTCTTTGAATTTGTAAAGGTTATTTACAATTTTTAAGTTTCATTTTATTCAACTTATAAGAGGGGTTGATAAAAACTACTTTAAAGTAAGAAAAATGATTAAAATGCTAATTTAATGAGTTAAAATATAGAAAACCTTAGTCTCTGCTTCATACATAATAAACTATCAAGAAATTATAATATTAATTATTTTATTATCACTGTGACTTTTTTCTGCCCATGACTAATTTCAGTTTAAAATACATATTGGAAATCATTAAATTATTAAATAGAAAGTGGTCATAATGGTTTATTGAAAAATTGAATCTTCATGGTGTGTATAAGACATCAAGCAAATTCATCATTTGAACCTGACATTTGGCTGGGAAACCAACCGTACTGTGAGAAAAGCATTTGCCCTTTATAGCACAGATATTAAAAAGTGAAGATTGCTTCCAAGTCCCACTAAAAAAATAAAGAAATCAGTGGAAAATATCTGAAAATCTAGCTGAGAAATCTTAATTTTGTAAGTATCCAAAGAAACTATATATCTATATCTAGATTTAGATCTATGGATATGTCATAGTATATTCCATAATGTGCCCATTATTTACTATTAACACCACCTGACTGCCATCTAAAACTAGAAACAATGCTTCCTAGAATCCCTTTCCACACTAGGTTATGGGATAGAGTTTGCCAAGGAGGAACAAGTCGAGTAAGATTTGAAAGGCAGAAGTGACAAAGAAGATACTCTGCCGCTCAAAAGGTCATAGAAGCCAGATGGAAAATTTTTGCAGAGCCCTCCAGAAGATCATGTTGTGACTTGATAAGCTTTGCAGAATTCCCTCAAGAACGCCCCTTCTTCATAGTGACAGATAGAGGGAGGAGCAATTCAGCCAACTTCTTCTATACTCTCTTGGCTTCCATATTCTCATTATACTCTGGCTTCTATACTCTTGGTTCTGAGATTTGGCTGAGGTCTTAGTGATTGAGTATGATCTTTCAGACCTTCACTGACCTAAGCTTCTCCCACATTCTTGTAAGCTATAATTTGTATATTAAATACCTTATTTTTTGATGCTAGTAAAGATTCAATTTTCCTGAAAAAGCAGTACAGATGCACCCTCCTGACACATGATGCATTACCATGTACATATCACATTGGCATTCTAATGATGACCATGCCTGATATGAATTTTAGGCTGCGTGCATCATGTAGATAGTTTCATGTGCCACTGCAACAACAATAACAATCATCCTCAAAAGATGTATTGCATTCAGTGTACTAAAGTATTTCATTACCACGGTTAGTCCTCAATTTATTTGAAGAGGTAGAAACTCTGTATACCTTTAATTTACAAATTAGAAAATATTTTTTAAATGTGTTTTGGTAACTTACTCTGACTTGGTCATTACACATTCTATGCATGCAGCAAAATATTACATGTACCTCATAAAATTGTACAAAAATTATGCAACAATAAAAAAATTCCTAGCAACCGTAAACCATTCATTAGAGAGACATTATATTTTTATGCTGATAGCAGAGTTAAATGTTAATAAAATAAATAATCTATAATTCAAAACAATTGAATTTTGTCTTTCACTGCAAATTGGTCATTTCCTTAAAAATAGGCAAATCTATGTAAATAAAACTGTTTTCCCAATTTGAAATCCTTTCTATAATAAGTCAGTTTAAAATAGTTAAGGAGAGCAGTAGTCTGCGGAGATTCAACACCTGTTCCTTCATACTGACTGTGTACTCTTAACAACCACACTATCCTCCCCAGCCTTAGTATAAATTATTGTTTTACTTGGAATGTGTGTTTTATTCCACTGGATCAAAATGTAGATAACTTAATTAAGACACAACTGTTGGTAGTGGCTGTGTTTCCCATTTCCTTATATTTCCTTCTAGAAGAGGCTCTCTCTGCCTAAATAATGAAGTGTTGATATTCCACCTTTGGTGATTCAACAGGATGGATAATTATTTTCATGTGTTTGGTGAATAGCCAGTGTTTCCAAATGGTTTTGTAACCATAATCTAAGTAACTTTTTAAAAAAGGTACAATCCTAAATTGGAGTTCATTGAAACACCAGGTTTTCTTAACATTTTAAATAAATACTTTTTATCTCCTTTTTTATTGATTCACAGTTCTCATAACATCAACTGAAATTTGAAGACCTGTCTAGAAAAGTTGAGTTTACTCAGAAAATTGTTGCATTAATGACACAATCTACTTTTTTATATTTCCTAAATAATGCAAAACCAGTGTGAGAGTTGCTATCTCTTTGCCCTGCCTCAGGCTCTGGTACTTTCTTCTCATTAGAATACAACTAAAATTATTTCAAGTGCAAATCCATATACAACTAAAGAAAATGTTTTCTGGCAAATTGAGTTTTAGTATTAATAGTATTTTTTCCCTAATTTCCCATAAAAGTCACAGTGCCTTAATTATTTAGCCTAAATTTGAGATGAACTAACCTTCACAAATTTAAGTTATTTTGGAAAATATAATGGACAAGTTTATGTATTCAGACTTATGGGAGAACTTTTTCAGCAGCAGCAGGATACTTGCTTTTCACAGGAAATTGTTATAGCTTCCTAAAATAGTGCAATATTTGGGGGTATTTTTTTCTCAAAATCTTGATAACATATGACCATAGTAGCATACAAGTATTTTTCTAAGTATATAAACACAAATAATGGTTGAGCTTCACATCATTTTTTTCTGACACCACAATCTTAAAAGTATATAATCTATAGTGTATAATTTAGAAATGAAGAAAATGACATATAGGTGCTTTGATTATCTAAGTTCTTATGGTCAGAAATAGAGTGGACTGGAAAGAAACAAAGAAATAGGTTACAAATATTTCAGTAATTAAGTCAATATTTCAGGATTCTCTTTATACTCCTTTGACAAGCTACCTAAATATGAGTGTTTTCTTCTCTTCTACATTCTTATTCCCATTCTCCCATGCATCCTTATCTTTCAAATTCCATCCATTTATCATCCCTTATCGTCTAGTCAATTTGCCCTTTATGTATAACCTAAGTTCTAAGTATTTTCACTATACATATATCACCTAGGCATCCTTTGTCTATTAAAAAAATAGAAACTAAAATAAATTCTTTGTTTTAATTTTCAGGGTTTGTTTTTTGTTGTTAGTTTAGATTTATTTTTTAGAGTCCATTCTGTTTTCAGAATTATTCATGTATCTTGTGTCACCTAAGAAGTAAAATTAGAATGTGCTTATAATATGTGAAAATAGTCAAGCATAGTAATCAGGGTAGAGATGCCACTTAAAATATAGTATTATTTCATCATTTATCATTTGTAAGGATTTTTTAACGTTAAATTACATAGTTTCTGTGCAAATAAAAAAAGCAGAAAGATAATATGAGAAAACATTAAAATATCATAATAGCTCCAGGATTGCATATAGAATGAAAGAATTAAACGTTTCCACTAAAACTTTTAGCATGAACAGGTCATAAATGAGCCAGAGCACTGAAAGCAAGATCTTTCCAGCTTCATTGCACTAATTATTGATATTTCACAGAAAAGAGCCTTTACAATGACCTAAATATGCAAATCTGAAACTTGTCTCATCTGAATAAAAGTATAGAAAAGTCTTTGTTTAGATATTGCTTTGTTAAATTCATATTAAAGTTATGTAATTTAAAAATGACTCAATAGTCTTTATACAAACTTGAGTTTAAATTTTATTTTTTTTGGAATCCATTTTCTTTACAAAGTTTTTCACTGTACATTAACTGAGAAGCCAACATTTGCTAAGAGTTGATGTTAAGTATTTTTACCACACACAATTAACTATGTGAGATGATGAATATGTTAGCAAACTTGATTGTGGTAATCACTTCACTAAGTGTGTGTGTGCGTATAATCACCTTAAATATATATAATTTATATTTGTCAATGTAGAAAAAGAAAATGTCATTAACATTGTGAAAAGGTTGGGTTTTTGAGGTATTCACATTTCCGATCATCTTTTTCTTCTTCACTTTTAACTGACTTTTTTCCCCCAATTGGGCAATGTGGAAACAATATCAAGTGTTATGTGGTTGGTGAGAAAGGAGGCTTCATGGCACAGAAAGTCTCAGGCCACATACAATAAAAAAGGCCAGAGTGATGGCACATGAGAAGAAACTCCTGGGAAATCAGCATAGAAGCAGAACATGCCACCACCCCATATTAACATTTTAATTACTACTGTAACAGATTACCATGAATGTATTAGCTTAAATCAGCACACATTTATTATCTTTCCATTGCGTTAAGAGCATGACATTGATCTCACTGAACGAAGATCAAAGTGTTGGAGACATGTATTCCTTTCATGTATTGTAGGGTATTCTGTGCTGTTTCCTTTTCCAACTACAAGAGATTCTCCTTGTCCCATGAGCCTCTTCTTCCATTTTCACAGCCAAGAACATTGGGCTGAGTCCTTCTCACTCTACCCAATCTCTGGCTTTCTCCTCTGATTGTCTCATCTCATCTACTTTTAAAGACCTTTTTGATGATATTCGTCCCACCCAGATAATCCAGGATAATCTCACTATCTGAAGATCAGATGATTCACAACCTTAATACTCCTCTGCAAACTTAATCTGCAAACCTAATACCTCTTTGCACTGGAACCTACCATATTCACTGGTTCTGAGGATTAAGACATGCCATCTTTAGGGTCATTATTCTATTCAACACAGTTTCCTATTCACGGCCTTCAAGTTAAGTAAGCTTTAATACTGGCTGCAGAAAAAGAGATGGAAAAATTACAATAAAAAAATGGGGATAAAATGAGGATGCTTATTCATTGATTCACAAATATTGATTACAGTACTATTTGTGATTCAATGCTTTTCTAGGTAGTAGAGATTAATAGAAAATCAAAAGTGGATTCTGTTTCTGAATGTATATGTTTTAATTGAAGAAACAGAAATATGAACAACTAATTACAAGATAATTCATTAATTCACATGTGCATTTTATATTCATTGTATTTTAGGTACAATAGAAGAAGTATGGTAATAAAGCTGTTGTTGGAAAAGAAAAAAGGAATTTTAATTAAATATTCTTCTAAAGTTCAATATTTACAGCATCATTTTAAAGTGAACTATATAACCATATTGCTGTGGCAGTTTATCAGTTAAGGCCATTTATTAATGAAGTTGGTTTTCTTTCCAGATATTTTAAAGCACAGAGATCCATTTAGTTATAAAAACTGAGATGTATCTGGAAACTATGACCTGAACACTCTTTGTGACTGGAATTGAAATAGAGCAAGGAAGAATTATCCACAACAATTTAAGTACATCTACTTCATACCCTTTTTATATGAACTAATACTGAACTATCCATATGATTGAAATACAAGATTTTACCTATTTGGGAGGATGAGGAAGTTAATGATATGGAGTAAACATATCCTCAAGCTTTTCTGCCTATACCAGAAGGTCCTTACTTCTTGAGCTACTGAAAAGTTAAAGTTACAATATATAATATATTTTATATTATTGAAATAATATAAATAACATAAACGATGGACAAATAATATAAACAACTCAAGTTCTCACCTTCTCTTGGACATTCCTTTGTCAGCCTTTTTTTTTTCTTACTGATTCATTCTGTAAATATTTAGGAAATACTGGCTGTGCTCCAGACACTATACAATAGTCTTAAGATATAATAAAAATGATGATGGACAAGATTCCTGCTGAAAGTCTAGTGGTAAAAACAATTAATCAAGTAATTAAAATAAAATATGTTTGCACAAGTCCATAATGCAATGGAAACACAAAATAGGGGCCCCTGACGTAGCCTATAATTTAGAGGGTGTTTTGCATGTAAAATGCAAATTTTAAGAATAATGAAAAGATATTATTAGAGTCAGTAAAGTTAAAAAAAAAGATAGGTAAGAGTGCTATTTACCCAACTATTCTAGAAACAAAACTCCAGGAAATTCTATCTACATGCAAGTTTTGAAGTGAGAATGCAGGGGATATGAATTTTGCACAAGTTACTTTGTATTTTTATTTTTAGTATGGAGATAAGGATATTACCAATCCATAGGATTTTTGTTAAGGACCAAACAAGAATACATATATAGCACAAAGTGTGCCTGGCATAAAATGTGTTCAGTAGACTTTAAGTATTATTAATATTATTAATGTATTTAGCTACATATCCCTTTCAAGCTAGATGGACTAAGATAGATCTAAGAAAATAGGTGTGCATTTCAATGCAAATTTTATGAGAGTGAACAAAGATAGGAAATTCTCACCTTCCATTTGTAGAAATAAATTGTCCAGGGTGGAAGTATTCACAGATAAACAAATACATTTACAGAGGAAGAAAAGAAATGAATATTTTCCTTATAGAGGTAGGAAAAATAAGTTTGTATGCAGTGTTTTGATATATGTAGCTCCATCCAAATCTTTCACTAGGGATAATTGTCTGAAAACTATTCCCGAAGACTCAGCTTCATTCAGAATCTGGCATGTTAGTGGCAAGTGAACTTGGCTCAAATCCAAATCCTATTTAGGAAATCCTAATTACTTTATTCTGCTTTCTTTTCTTTGAACTGATTCTTACCCCCCATCAACTAGTGTATTAATCTGTTCTCATGATGCTAATAAAGACATACCTGAGTCTGGGTAATTTATAAAGCAAAGGAGATTTAATGTACTCACAGATCCACATGGCTGGGGAGGCCTCACAACCACGGTGGAAGGTGAAAGAGGAGCAAAGGCACATATTGCATGGCAGCAGGCAAAATAATGTGTGCAGGGAACTATTCGTTATAAAACCATCAGGTCTAGTGAGACTCTCACTATTACAAGAACAGCAGCATGGGGGTAACCACCCCCATAATTCAATTACCTCCCACTGGGACTCTCCCATGATATTTGAGGATTATCGGAACTACAATTCAAGATGAGATTTGGATGGGGACACAGCCAAACCATATCATTCCAGCCCTGGCCCTTCCCAAATTTCATGTTCTTACATTTCAAAACACAATCATGCCATTTCAACAGTTCCCCAAAGTCTTAACTCATTCCAGCATTAACTCAAAATCCAAGTCTGAAGTCTCATCTGAGACAATGCAAATCCCTTCTGCCTATGAGCCTGTAAAATCAAAAGCAAGCTAGTTACTTCCTAGATACAATGGGAGTACAGAAATTGGGCCAATACACCTATTTCAAATGGAATAAATTGGCCGAAATGAAGGGGCTTACAGGCCTCATGCAAGTCTGAAATCCAATAGGAGAGTCATTAAACCTTAAAGTTCCAAAATGATCTCCTTTGACTCCATGTCTCACATCCAGGTAATGCTGATGCAAGAGGTAAGCTTCCACAGCCTTGGCCAGCTCTGCCCCTGTGGCTTTGCAGGGAACAGCCCTGCTTCTGGCTGATTTCACAGGCTGGCATTGAGTGTCTGAGGCTTTTCTAGACACAAGGTGCAAGTTGTCAGTGGATCTACCATTCTGGGCTCTGGAGAAATGTGGCCCTCTTTTCACAACTCTACTAGGCAGTGCCCCAGTGGGGACTCTACTTGGGGGCGGAGTCCATGAGGACTCCACCTGTGCAGCACACCTCTGCCTGGACATCCAGGCATTTCCATATATCCTTTGAAGTCTAGGCAAATAACACAAATAATATGTTATAGTCCTGGAAGTTGGAAACGAAAATCTCAGCTTTTGAGTCAAATATTCTACTCATAAGTACCTGTTTTTACTTTGAAAATAGCTCATCTCCAGACATGATTCCCTGATTTGCAAAATGAGAATATTTTCATATAAGATCTGCATTATCTTTCTGGATATAATTGTGTGTGTGTGTGTGTGTGTGTGTGTTCATAATATAGTAATACTGGCTTTAGATAGATATTATTTATAACCACTCTTAATGAAATAATACTTATTTCCTACTCTTCAAGGTGCTTATTAACCCAAAGGAAGGTTGCTAGAGTGACATGAAATTACTTATTTATTTATTTGATGTGTCTTTTTTGAGAGTTCAGTAAGCAGTTATTGCCGGACATTTTGGCAAAAGAGGTTTCTCATTAGTTTCATATACAGTATGTTTATGGTGATTTTAAATAATAAGAGACAGTTGGTTTACATCTTCCTAGATGTAGGAAGATGTACTTACAATGGAGAAAACATTGTAAGTGCTCTGAACTAAGCATTAACAGTTGTCCTTGACTCTAAAACTTGACCTAGTGAAGGGCCTGATTATTTACTGACAAAACACATTGAAGTGACTTGCCTCTGTTATTTAAGAATATAAAATGCTTCCCTTGAATTGCCAATAAAAAACAAAACATTTTTCATGTTTTGGTGAAAAATGCACATGTAATTGGCTCTTTCACAGGTTTTAAAGTTCAAATTCTTGAAAAATAAACACTTGAGTGTTTATTTTTGATATGATGCAGCATTTAAAATCCAAGACATCTGGACTCTGGGTGGTTTATTAATCTTTCTCCCCACTGTTATTGCTCCTTTATCCTATAAGTATATATAAGTTCCTTCTTTTGGTAGTATAATTAAATAATTTCTTATACTTCCACATATTAGTATGTAGGTTTCTCACTTGACATTTGCCCTCTCATTGTTATTTCTCCCATTCTTTCTTTTCAACCTATTTCAGCCAATATATCCCAAGCTGCAGGACCTCATCTTAAAGGGTGCATCACATCACTGCTCTCTTGACAGCACCCCAACCACATTGCTCCATACTCTTCTTACCACTCTCATTCCACTACCTCTTACCTTTTGATCGATTCTATAATTGTACACTCTGGTCCAGGAATCTGAGCTACTGAACTTGCTAAGGACAAGAAAAAATGGCATTGGAAATATTTACAAACATATAACCTCCAGTCACATTGGGTCTTATTTATTTTACCAATCCATTTACTTGTTCTTAATCAATACTTAATCATGTAGTCCATTCCTTTTCTTCTGTTAGCTCTCATGTCCAATGGTCTAGCTCCCCAGCTGTCAGTGACACACACACACACACACACACACACGAGTAAAAAGAAAATTTTGTCATTATGACTACATAACACTTGAGTAATCTTCCTACCATAACTCTTACTGAAAATCAATTTGTGTTTGCTTTAATTGCATAAATGCTTTGATTTCATGGATAGGAATGTCAGTGTTCTGTAAGGCACAACTTAACTTTTTAGATACTTCTATTTGTTAGAATGTTCCTTCTAATGACATGAAATCTAAATTAATATATTTATACTATTGTATTTAAGTAATATGAAGTTGAATATTTTTGCTTTACTTATTTTCAAACTTTTGAGAATAAACATTACTTTTAATATTTTACTGTGTTCACAAAACTTTTTGTCTTTTTGTTTGTTTTTTATTTTTCTTTCATTATTAGGTGTTTTCAGACAATAATTTTTCCAAAAGTAATGGTAAGAGATTTCAGAAGACAAAACCAACAAACCAACAAAGACAATCTTTCTTAAATTCAAAATGTACTCAAATCTAAGCTTTGTATTAATTCAAAAATAAATGTTAACTTTGTAATTCTTAAGAGTTCAGTTATATTCTAGTTCATTAAAATGACAGGTTTGTTATTGAGATTTACTAATAAAATCATTCTTCCAATGTAAGTATTCTTTTTACATTAAATGTACACCTACATAAAAATCATAAATTGATTTCTCAAAGAACATATAAAAATCTATATTCATTGGCAAGAGAACATATCCTTTTTTAAACTGCATTAGCCCTCTACTTGCTAAGACATTGTTTAAAAAGTAGCCTGACTATTATAAAATCTTTTTCAATTAAAAGCAGTATGCAGCTGGGCTTGGTGGCTCATGCCTGTAATCCCAGCACTTTGGGAAGCTGAGGCGGGCAAATTGCCAGAGGTCAGGAGTTCGACACCAGTCTGGCCAACATGGTGAAAACCCGTCTCTACTAAAAATACACAAGAATTATCTGGGTGTGGTGGTGGGAGCTTGTAATCCCAGCAACTCGGGAGACTGAGGCAGGGGAATTGCTTGAACCAGGGAGGTGGAGGTTGCAGTGAGCTGAGAACACACCACTGCAGTCTAGCCTGGGAGACAGAGCGAGACTCTGAAAAAAAAAAAAAAAAAAAGCAGTATGCAATCTGTAACAAGCTCCCCAGGTATGTAGAAGTTTTCTTTCAGGTGGTAATGGCAACTACAGAAAGAAGCTTTGTGATATGACTAAAACATATGTTAGTCTTTGTTCAAGTCAAAATGAATATTTTCACAGAATACGTTGCCGCATAAGAGAAAAAGTATATAGCAGTAAGATAAATGAATACTAGAATAATTGGAGAAAAATAGTAACTCAAGCGCTTCATCCTAAAAGTAGTGATTGAACATGGATTGATGGAGGAAAGAAGGAACTACACACCATGAGAGATGGAATAATATAGGCAAATATATAGATATATAGTATGAGAAACAGCTTTGATGAGTTTCAAGAGCATAGAGAAGACTGTTCCAGTTAAAAGGCTGGTGGTTCTAATTCAGGAATAAGACAATTATAAAATTGTATAATTACCAGCATTTGTATAATGCTTTTGTTTTCAAAGCAATTTCCATTACATTTATCACAAATTATTTTCAAAATGACCTTGTTTAGTAATCATACTAAGCATTGCTATAATTTCTACAAAAGCTATGTAAGACAGATTATGAGGGTTATCGGCAAATTCATTGTGCTGTGTTTAAAACATACTTATATAAATATAACAAATGTGAGGAGTTTGAACTTTTAAAACACTGAATGGTATGAGGAAGACCCACATGCTTTTGAACGAAATCACAAAAATTACAATGGAAAGACTGCATTATTGCAATTTCAAGAGTTTGATTTCACCCAAAATTCAACATGCCTGAAATATAACCTTGCTTCTTATAGATATGAGATATAATGTCTTACGTTAAAAATAATAGCCCTGAAATTCTTCTTGAAAACTTTTCTAGATTTAAAGTAAGTTATGATAGAATTATTTTCCCTCTATTTTATGTTTTTTCATAGAAGTGAGACTTGTAATTTTAAGTTTATATTTACCTGTTAAAAGAAGAAGAAAGAAGTTAGGTCATAATAATCTATATTTTTCTGAAAAACTGTGACCAAATAATTCATGTTGTGACAACCCGTACAACAGACATCATAAAGGGATGTTTGGAAGCCCTTCTGTGAGTATCTACAACCTTAATTAGATTTTTAAACAGAATCTGAGCCATCAGTTACTGAGGGTTTGAAAAATGTTATGAATGCATCTCTTATTCTTATATACACACATGCAAAGATATTTGTGCAATGCCTATTTAAAGCTATATAATTTTGAAAATAATATAGGGAAAATCAGTACTATAAATTGTATTTCATCTCTCCGAAATTCATATGTTGAAGTCTTACCTTACTCCTGATGTGATAATGGTATTTAGAAATGGGGCCTTTAGGCTGGGCACTGTGGCTCACGCCTGTAATCCCAGCGCTTTGGGAGGCCGAGGCGGGCAGATCACGAGGTCAGGAGATTGAGACCATCCTGGCCAACATGGTGAAACCCCGTCTTTACTAAAAATACAAAAATTAGCTGGTTGTGGTGGTGCTCGCCTGTAGTCCCAGCTACTCAGGAGGCTGAGGCAGGAGAATCGCTTGAACCCAGGAGGTGGAGGTTGCAGTGAGCCAAGATCACGCCACTGCACTCCAGCCTGGCAACAGAGCAAGACTCTGCAAAAAAAAAAAAAAAAAAAAAAGAAAAAGAAAAAGAAATGGGGCCTTTAAGAGATAATTAGAGTTAGATTTAGATGTGGTTATAAAGGTGAAGACCTCATAATGGGACTCAGTGCCCTTATAAGAACTGGAAGAGACACAAGAGCTCTACCATGTGAAGACGATGAGAAGGCTGGCATTTGCTAGTCATGAAGAGTCCTCACCAGGACCCAAATCTGCTGGCACCTTAATCTTGAACTTCCTAGTCTCTAGAACTGTTAGAAATAAGTGTCCATTGTTTAAACCACCCCAAACCACCCAATCTATGGTATTTTATTAGAGCATTTTGAATTGACTGATATTGTCAGGCAAAGTAGAATGAAATTGGTTTCAGGAGGATCAAAACGACATCTGTGAAAAATGACTTTCTGAATATCACAGAATACTTGCACAAGTGAGTAACTTAAAATGATAATATACAATGTTATTATAATTGTTCACTAGTAATATGTGGATTTAGTGAATAAATTATTTCAAGTTTTAAACAACTTATTTCCTGATACCAGTTTTTTGCAAAGGCAAATGGTAATTACAAAATAAGAACTCTAAATAGCTTCTTATAAATCATGCAAGAATTTCAAGTTCTTGAATACCACTATTTGATCATTGTTTAGTGTTTTACTTTCTCTGTATTCTGTATAATGTATAATATTAAATAGCTTATGTCATTCTAAGAAATAAGCTATTTTGTAGGAAATATTAGTGCAGTTAGACATCTGACTATAATAACACTTTTTGGCAATACTCTTGTGAATAATTCAGTAACTAACAGCTTACTAACCTGAAAGAGATATTTTCTTAAAAATTGAAAACTGAACAAGATTTATGCTCTTTTTTGCATCACATTTATTTTTATTAAATAAATGCAATAATTGCATGGCTTTTATCATTTAGAAAAACATTTCTCAACTTAAGAATTCCAATTATGCTGCAGTAAGACCCTCCTAAAGAACCTTCACCATGGAAACAACTATAAAGCCATCATATATTAGGAAACAACCTGAAGACTTTAGATATTAATAGAAGCAGGCAGATACTGGAGAATAGTATACTCTTAGAGGAGAAAAGCAGTATAAAGTTATCTCCTCATTTCTGTGGCTTTTATCCTGGAACTAATTGCATTTTCAGTGTCAGGAGTATCACTGGTAGAAAAACCTGTAATCTAAGTTGGGGAAACAGAAGACTGTTGGCAGAAGACCATCATAACAATAATTGTGGGAAACTCAAAAAGAAAAGAGGCAGAGAAAAGATGCCCAAATTATGTCTTCCTATATTTTTCACTGATATCTGAGCCGTGCATACATAGAACAGACTCAGAGTAGTTCACCTAGAGGCAAAAATTCTGAACTGTTGCTGAAGCTGCCTTTTGTGAAAATAGTTTATAGTTTAAGCATAAGCAAGAAAATCACCTGAAAAAATAAAAGAAACAAAATCATCAGAGAAATATGTGAACCCAAATAATTATAACTTAATATTCATAATGTCCAAAACACAATCTAAAACTACATGACACACAAAGAATCATGAAAATGGCATGCATTTCCAAGAGAAAAGAAAAAACATAGTCTGCATAAAGGTAAACTATATATTCAAACTATCAAATAAAAGTTTTAAAGCAACTATTATTAGTGTATTCAATGATGTAATATCAAATAGGCTCATTAAATGAAAGAAATATATAAACTCTCAGGAGAAATAGAAATGATAAAAAGGACAAGATAGAAATTCTAGATAGACTGGATTAAATAATATAGGAAAGAAAATCACTCTGGAGTCTTAACATCCAATGAAAGATGACAATTACATTTTAAATGAAGTAGAAAATAGATTAATAGAAAATATTCCAGGTAAATAACAGAGGGAGAAAAACAGTCTCATCAACTTTTAATGTAATATCAGACACACGTGTAATTAAAATTTTAAAAGGATAGTAGAGAGAGATCAAAGCAAAAAAATTTAGAAAATAATAGATAAAATATTCCCAAACTATAAGAAAGTTATAACTTTATAGACACAAGAAATTCAGCAAATAGTTAGAATAAACACCACAGAAAACCACTCTGAGAAATCCCATAGTCAAATGGTCATAAACTAAAAAATAAAAGCAACTCTCAAAAGCAGCTAAAGAAAAAATGTGACATATTTTATACAGAGGAACAATGATTTGATCAATGGCTGATTTGTCATCAGAAACTATAGAGGCCTAGAAAGAGAGTGAAGAAATATCTTTAATGTGACAAAATTAAGGAATTATCAACCCAGAATTTTATATCCCCCAAAAATAAAATTTTCTCATAAAATTAAACTATGAGAAGTTTTCCTCATTATACTAGCACTAAACAAATATTTAAGGAAACTCTTTTTTTTATGAGATAAAACTATAAATTTTATTTTGCTTCTCAACATAAGCTCCGTCAAGTTGAAGACACTTTTATAAGGGATGATACCAGCCATTTAGTTCATCCTTGAAGAACTGAGGGTGCTGGGAATTTAACCATGTCAATGCAGTCGTTTTTACATTATTAGCTGAAGAAAAATGGATGCTTTTTAAATATTTTTTTAAGATTGTGAACAAAGAATTCCGAAGGAGCCAAATAAGTATTGCTGAAAGACAATGATAGCAGATGAAGAATATAATAGATCCACAGGAAGAAATGAAAAAGCATCAACACAATAAATATCCAGGCAAATAAAAATAATGTTTTTCTTCTGTGCTTTTTCCCATAATTTGTTTTATAAATTATATAAGTATTTAAAGTAAAAAATTGCATTCAAATAAGTTTTAAAATGCAAGAAAGGATATACAGGACAAATAAAGGAAGAAAACAAGAAAGTCAAGTAGAAATCAAATAATAAAAGTTTGACCCAAACCCAACAATAACAACAATCATAGTAAAAAGTTAATGGACTATTCAGGTCAATTAAAGGACAGTGATTATCAGAATAGATTAGAACAATAACTAGCCCATAAACAAACAACAACCAGATATATGTTTCTTAAGAGAAGCAGATTTTAAATATAAAGTTTGAACTTTATATGTAGTTCATATACGTAGGCTGAACGTAAATAATATTGCATAAGAGGGTTGTAGTGGTTATATTAATATTACATATAATAGATTATCAGACAATATATTAACAAAAATAATAAAAGTGTTAACACATAAAAATAGAAATATTAAAAAATTATGTATATAACACAATCTAAAAACAAAGCAAAAATTAACAATTAACTCAATAAGTAATGCAATAATTGTAGACTTTAACAGTCTCCCTCTCAGCAATTTTCAAGTCATCTAGATAAATAAATCATATGAGAGCTTCACAAAACTACTACCACATTGAGTTTCACATTTATAAGAAATTATATATAACAACAGGTGGTGCCCATTTTACTACTACCAAGGTAGACAGTATGTTACATCATGAAGCACATTTCAATAAATTGGAAAACAGTATATTCTCTGACAAAAATGAAATTAAATTAGAAATAATTAACAAGATTATAAGTAAAAGTCACAATTTAGAAATTAACATTTTATTGTAAAATAATTTGATCAAATTACTTAATGACAGAGAAAAATATTAAGTTTTAAGATTTATGCTGAATATAAGACCTATCAAAGTGTATACCGAATATAAAACCTATCAAATATTAAGTATTTAAAGTGTATACTGATATAAAACCTATCAGTGCTCACAGGAAAGTCTGTGATATTGAATGGTTACATTAGAAAGAAAGAGAAAAAAAGACCTAAAATCAATAAGCTAACTGCTCACTTTAAGAAATGAATAAAATAATAGCACATAAAACCCAAAATAAGTAGATGGAAAAAATAATATAAGAGCACATACCAATGAAATAGAAAATAGACAAAAAAAAGCCTATTAATGAAATAAAAATTGAATCTTTAAAGTTAATTAAATTGATATATCTGTAACACAGCTATTCCTGACAATTAAAGAAAAAAGATACATAACCTGAAAATCAGAAACAAAAAGGGAATATCCATGCCTATTTGATAAACATTATAATGATAATAAAATATTATGACACAATTAGGACAATACATTTTACAAATTAAAAAGGCAAATATATAAAAGTCACAAATATGATTGACCCAAGAAGTTGTCACTCTATCCTCACAATAAGTCAGAAAGCTAAACAAACTGATAATTAAAGATTTTCTTGGATCCATGAAAAAATTGGAATTTAATGCCAATTGGACACCTAAAATCTATAGAGACAGGCAAATACAAAAAAAAAAAAAAAAAAAAACTACCGATAAGATTAGCTTACTTTGAGCAGAAGCAGCTGAGTCCATATACTAATAAAAGCCTTTGAGTGGCAGTTTTGATGAACTGCTAGGTACTGAGTGTGAGAGTGACAGCATGAGACTGACGAACTTCTGGGGACCACAGTATTAGGGAATCCTCTACACTTTTGTGGGTTTTAATGCCTTGAACCCAAACAGATCTTAATGATGAAGAACCAGGAAAAATCCTCTTGTGTTCCTGGTAAAGAGATGGGAAATATAAACATTCTGAAATAGGCTTAGAACATTCTCTATAACAAAAGCTTTATATGTAGGAATACAAGACTGTGAGAGATTTATGCATTCAAAGTTGGATTTATCAATCCAACTCCAGCATCTCTACTCTTCCTGCCTCACCAAACAGAGGGACTGAAAAACACTTGTTAACATTACAGACCAGGTACATAGGCCCACAAAAAGACTGAGATTTAATCATAAGATTACAGATCACTTACCTTACCCATGTCTCATCTACACGTTAACAGACTTTCAGGATAATTGTGGATTATAGCTGGAGGAGCTACAAGATACACAGTCCTTCTAAAGAGGAAAGATAATATATGAGACAAAAGCAAGGACACTGAGGTAAGTTAAGGCATCTGGCACCTACATGCATGGAAAATATGAAGCAAATATTAAAATAAGAAACAAAGTCCAAATTCTAACCAGATTAACAGTACACTTCACACTAAAGACATTTAACTTAGTTCTTGTTACATAACATACCCAGCTTTCAATATGAAATTGCAAGGCATTCTAAAAGCAAATAAATAAATAAATAAATAAGAAAAGTCACACACAGTCTGAAGACATAAAGTAAATATTTGAAGTAGACACTCAGGTATAATAAAGATATTAAAATTATCAGACAGAAAATGTCATGAAATTAAATTAATAAATGAGGGTTTCTAATGGAGAAAGTCGACAATATGCAATATATAGATGGATAATACAAGTAGAGAGATGGAAGTTCTAATAATCAAAAGAGAGTGCTAAAAATAAAAAATACTAACAGAAAAGAAGATTAACGGATATATAATTCTATCTAAATAGAAAGAATAAATTCTAGTGTTTTATAGAATTGTAAGATAACTATAATTAACAATTTATTGTATGTTTTCAAATAGCTAGAAGAGTGAATTTTGAATGCTCGCAACCCAATGAAATTATAAACATTTGAGATAATGAATTTGCTATCACCCTGATTTATTACATTCAAAATATGTATCAAAATAATACATTGTGCCTTATAAATATATACAATTATTATGTGCTAATTAAAATAATAATAGAAGCACAAAAAATGTAGTGAGGAACAAGAAACATTTGATGTGCTCAATACTAGCCAGGACTAGCCAGGAATGAATCACTGAGCTACGAGATATTTTAATAAAAACTTACTAAATTGAAATGCAAAAAAAGGTAAAGAAGGTAATGAAGAAGGTAAAGAAGGGGAGAAGCAAGAAGGGAAGGAGGAGGGGGAAAAGGAAAATAAATAGATCAGCACATACAAAACTGTGGGCAATTTCAAAATGTGTAACATACACATAATGATAATATTTTGAAGGAAAGAAAAGGCAGTATTTATCAGAAAAAATATTTGAAAAAACAATGACTGAAAATTTTTCAAAATTAATTCCAGACCCCAACTATAGATCAAGAAATCTCAGAGAACATTGAATAAGCTAAATATAAAAAAAAATCTACCCAGAATAATAGCATATTAAAAACTACAGAAAATCAAAGACAAAGAGAATATCTTTAAAAAGCCACAGAGAAAACAAACAAAAATATCTCACTCATAGAGGAACAATGATAAGAGTAACATTAGATTCTCACCACAAACCTAGCAGACAAGAAAAGAGTGGAATAAAATATTAAATCTGTTAAAACAAAATAAAAATTAATCTGGAATTATAAAAACCCTGGAAGACAACCTAAGTAATACCATTCAGGACGTAGATATGGGGAAAGATTTCATGATGAAGATGCCAAAAGTAATTGCAACAAAAGCAAACACTGACAGATGGGATCTAATTAAACTACAGAGCCTCTGCACAGCAAAAGAAACTATCAACAGAGTAAACAGACAACCTACAGAAAGAGAGAATTGTTTTGCAACTATGCATCCAACAAAGGTCTAATATCCAACATCTATAAGGAACTTAAGCAAATTTGCAAGAAAAAAACATTAAAAATTGGGCAATGGACATGAGCAGACCCTTTTCAAAAGACATACATGTGGCCAACAAGCATATGATAAATAGCTTAACATCACTGATCATTAGAGAAATGCAAATCCAAACTACAATGGCATACCATCTCGCACCAATCAGAATGGCTATTACTAATAAGTTAAAAAATAACATATATTGGTGAGGTTGTGTAGAAAGAGAAACCTGTATGCATTGTTGGTGGGTGTGTAAATTAGTTCCACCATTGTGGGAGACAGGGTGGAGATTTCTCAGACCTAAAGACAGAAATACCATTCAACCCAGCAATCTCATTACTGAGTATATACCCAAAGAAACATAAATTATTCTATTATTATGACATATGCATGCATATGTGTATTGCAACACTGTTCACTATTATAGTGGACACTTGAATACTCTGTTTTCATAAATTTATAGACCCTACAAACAGAAAATCAGACAGGAAAGATATAGCTGACTTGAATAGCATCATCAATCAACTTGGTCTAATTGGCAAGCACAGAATACTCCAGCCATCAACAGATGTATACATATTCTTCTTGAACTCACATAAAACGTTCACCAAAATATACCATATTTTAGGCCATAAAAACACACTTTAATAAATTTAAAATAAATAATGTTCTAATACCACAAAATAATTAAACCAGAAATAAATAACAAATGATAGCTAGAAAATACCAGAGATTAAACAATACACATCTTAGTAACATATAAGTCAAAAAATAGTCTCAAGAAAGAAAAAAAATTTAAAATAAATAAAAATGAAAATAAACTAATCAAAATTTGTGGAATGCAGTTAAAACAGTGGATAGAGGGACATTTGAATATTAAATATAAATAATAGAATAGAAGAAAGATCTAAAATAAATTATTTTATCTTGCACCTTAAGAAATTAAAAAAAGAGCAATTTAAGCATAAAACGAGCAGAAAAAATATGTATATATATATGTGTATATATGTATATATATATGTGTAAATATATACATATACATACCATGGAATACTACTCAGCCATATAAAAGAACAAAATGATGTCATTTGCAGCAACTTGGGTGAAATTAAAGGTGATTATTCGAAGTCAAGTAACTCAGGAATGGAAAGCCAAAGACCATATGTTCCTACTTATAAGTGGAATCTAAGATATGGGTATGCAAACGCATATACAGTGGTGTAATGGATACTGGAGATTCAGAAAGGAAGATGGTGGAAAGAGGACGAGGGATGAAAAACTACTTGTTGGATACAATGTACACTATTTGAAGGATGTGTACACTAAAATCCCAGACTTCATCACTATATAATTCATCCATGTAAAAAAACCCACTTGTATCCCTAAAGCTATTGAAATAAAAAAAATTAAATTGGCAAAGCCTGACTGACAGCACCTCAGCCAGTTGAGTGATCAAGGTCAACATTACAGTCATAAATAATATTGATAGTATGTGTCATTATTATGAGGTGATAAAAAAGGTATTTTACCTCTGTGATCTTCTTCCCTAAAACTCATATCTCTAGTATACTCATGAGAAAAAGACAGAAAAATTATAATAGATTGACCTCTTATAAATGCCTGACAAGTACTCCTTTAATCCCCAATGTAATCAAACGTATAAAAAGTAAGAAAACTCACAGGCAAGAGATGCTTAAGGAGAAAGGAAAACTACAAGTAATGTATATTGCATGTGGTATCCTGAATGGCAATCTGGAATAGAAAAGAAACATTAGGTAGAAATTAAGATGATCTCAATAAGTTATATACTTATTTAAAACAACTGCATCAATATTGGTTCATTAAATGTAGCAAATATACTAATTAATATAAGATATTAATAATAGGGAAAGTGACTGTGGGATATAAGGCAGTTGACTATACTATCTCTTCTCTTTTCCTGTATATATAAGACTGTTCTAAAAAATAAAGTACTTTGAAAATGTGTATATATATAATATCCAAACATGCATATTATATCACAAAGAATGATAGTAAGTTCCTAAATTTAATTCAAACAGAAAGAAATGGTCATAACTTTATGTTTGGAGAATGTATAGGCACACAAAATAAAATTTAAATTAATCCAGAAAACTTAAAAATTTTATATTTTCTAATGATTGTAGTTTTACATAAAAGTTACAAAAATTGTACAGAGTTCCATATATTTTTCAACCAGTTTCCCCTCATATTTACATCCTAAAAGTATAATAAAATTTTATTTATTTATTTATTTATTTATTTATTTATTTAGAGACAGAGTCTCACTCTTGTCACCCAGTTTGGAGTGCAATGGTGAGATCTCAGCTCCCTGCAACCTCCACCTCCCAAGTTCAAGCAATTCTCATGTCTCAGCCTCCCAAGTAGCTGGGATAACAGGCACCCGCCACCACATCTGGCTAAGTTTTGTGTTTTTAGTAGAGACAAGGTTTCACCATGTGGCCAGGCTTATGTCAAACTCCTGACCTCATGTGATTCGCCTCTCTCATCCTCCCAAAGTGCTGGGATTACAGGTGTGAGGCACCACACCCGGCCCTAAAAGTAAATTAAATTAACAAAACTAAGAGTCTTTCATAAGTGCTAATATAGTACTAATTCTACTGGACACTTTGTTCTGATTTTCCATGGTTTACCTCTGTTTTTTTGTTTGTTTGTTTGTTTTTTGTTTTTTTTCCGTTCCACAATACAGTTTGGGTTTTTACTTTGCATTTAATTTTTATGTCTCCTAGTCTGCTTCAAAATCCTTCAAGAGAGTTCTTCATCTTTTCCTTGTGTCTCGTGACTATAGCATTTTTAAGAGTATTTATGAGTCATTGTGTAAAATATATTTCAATATGGTTTGGTCTAATATTGATTTTTTTGCAAGAATATCAGGCAAGTAACATAATCATTCCAGTGAATCATATCAGAGTCCAAAATATCTATATGTCGTACTGCTGGTGCTTCCAATCTCAATTGCTTGGTTGAGGTAGTGTCTGTCCTGTTTCTCCAACTTTAAAGTTACTGCTTTTTTTTGTTTTTTGTTTTTTTTTGCCTTTGTAGTTGATACATATGTTAGAGGAGATTCTTAGAGATTAATGAAATATCTTGTGTCCCCTAAACATTTGCTCACTAATTTTATCATTCATCAGTGGATCTTACCTGTGACGATGTTCTAACAATTACTTTTAATTTTTAATTTTTTTCTCATTTTGTATACATTATTAATTGGAATTCATCTGTAAATAAGAATTATTGATTATAACAATATAGACACCACTTTACTTATTTTATTATATGTGCTATAATAATCATGTTATGTACATGTAATACCATTGGTTAATTCCATTTTAGGATCTTCCCACATTCTCTTTGATACAGTAAAAACTACACTTTGTGGTATATCATTAAATGGATTTTGAGAAAAAAAAAGTCATATATTCACCACCACAATTATAATACAGAATGGTTCTGTCACTCACAATTATCCCTGTGCTGCTTTTTATAGATGAGCTATATCTTTTCCTTCATAATCCTAGAAAAGTTCCTATCATTTTGTCTTATCGAAACTGTATGTAAATCAAACTATATAATTCTGATTTTATTTCTGACTTGCTTCACTAGGAAAAACTTAAGAGTCATCATTTTGTTGCACACACCAACTTTTTTTTTTAAGTGCTATGTAGTATTCCATTGGATAAATATGCCACAAATTTGACTCTAAAATTCATCTTGGAGGGAGGTGGAGCAAGGTGGCAGAACAGAAGGTTTCACTGATGCCCCCGCCCCCACACACCAGCAAGGACACCAATTCAACAACTATTTACACACAAAAAACAACTTCATGAGAACCAAAAATTTGGTGAGCCCTAATAGTTCCTGGTTTAAGTTCATATCGCTGAAAGACACTGAAGAGATATAGAAAAAACAGTATTGAATCTTTGCTGCCACTCCTCCCCCATGCCCCATCAGTGGTGGCTTGATGCAGAGAGCCTCTCTGGGCACTATGGGAGAGAGAGCACAGCAACTGTGAGGCATTGAACTTCAGTGTTGTCCTGTTAGAGCTGAAAGGAAAACCAAACCAAACTCAGCTGAAGCCCACTACAGGAGGGAGCATTTAAACCAGCCTTAGCCTCAGGGGAACCTCTAATCCCAGTGGTTCAAACTTGAGTTCTCACAAACCTCCCCACTAAGGGCCAATGCACTCTGGGTGTCTAAGGAAACTTGAAAGACAGTCTAGGCCACAAAAACTGTGACTCTTAGGCAAGTCCTTGTGCTGAACCAGAGCCAGAGACAGTGGAATGGGGAGGCATGCAACTCACCAGGACATCAGCTGGGGAGACTAATTGTAGTGCAGGCCTCATCCCTCCCCTAAACCCAGGATGTACATCTTGTGGATCCAAAAGAGACCCCCTTCTCACATGAAGAGAGTAGAGGGAAGAGTGGGGAGAACGGTCTTGTATCTTGTATGCCAACTCAGCCACAGCAGGATAGAACATGTGTCAGAGTTGTGAGGACTTCTTTCTGGGCCTTGCTACTGGACAATATTTCTAGACACATCTTGGGCCAGAAGGGAACCTGCTGCTTCGAAGGGAAGGACGCAGTCCTGGTAATATTCATTCCCTGCTAACTGAAGAGCCCTGGGGTCCTGAATAACCAGCAGTGATACCCAAGTACTATGTGGAGGTTGAGCCTCTGAGACTTGCTAGGTTCAGGGGAGACTCAACGCATTCCCAGCTGTGGTAGATATGGGGCAACCAGACTCCCTCTGGTTGAGAAAAACAGTGGGAAAAGTAATGGAAACTTTGTCTTGCACCTTAGGTACTGGCATGGCCACAGAGGGGTAGAGCACCAGGGGTCCCTAATTTCAAGACTTGACACATTGATGGCATTTCTGGACCTGCATTGCTTCTTGAATGCAGTGGGAATGTCACTACCCTGAAAGGGGAGTCTCAGGCCAGGCAGCAATCATCACAAGCTGACTTAAGAGGCCTGGGGCCTAAAGGAAACTTTGGTGTTAGTCTGGCAGTACCCCCCATGGCCTGTGGTGGTGGTAGCTATGGGGTGAGGCTCCTCTGCCTTTGGAAAGAAGAGGGAAGAATGGGAAAGACTGTGTCTTGCAGTTTGAGTGCCAACTTAGGGACATTACAATAGAATACCAGATAGACTTCTAAGGTTTTTGACTCTAGTCCCTGACTCACAGACAGGACCTCTGGACCCACTTGGGTCCTGGGGGACCTCGCCATCCTAAAGGGAAGAACACAGGCCTGGATGGCTTTGCCATTTGATGATTGTAGAGCCCTGGGGCTTTGAGTGAACATAGACAGTAGCCAGGGAGTGGTTACAGCATGCCTTGGGTGAGACTCAGTGCTCTTCTGTATTCAGGTCTGACCCAGCACACTCATAGTGGTGGTGGACACTGGGGTGCTTGTGCCACTTTACCTAGAGCTTTAAGTGGCTCAGAACAGAGGGAGAGACTCCATTTGTTTAGGATAAAGTAAGGGAAGAGAACAAGAGTCTCTGCCTGGTAATACAAAGAATTCTCCCAGATCTTGTCTGAAACCATGGAGGTAGTACCTAGAGCTTTAAGTGGCTCAGAACAGAGGGAGAAACCCCATTTGTTTAGGATAAAGCAAGGGAAAAGAACAAGAGTCTCTGCCTGGTAATACAAAGAATTCTCCCAGATCTTATCTGAAACCATGGAGGTAGTACCTAGAGCTTTAAGTGGCTCAGAACAGAGGGAGAGACCCCATTTGTTTAGGATAAAGCAACGGAAAAGAACAAGTCTCTGCCTGGTAATACAAAGAATTCTCCCAGATCTTGTCTGAAACCATGGAGGTAGTACCTCTACAAGTTGGCAAGAACCGCAGCAGTACTAGGCTTGGAGTGCACCCTAAAGCAGATATAACTCTGATTACAACACTCAAGTCCTTTTGAATATCTGCAAAGCCTTCCCAACAAGGAGGGTTACAAACAAGCTCAGACAGTGAAGACTACAAGAAATACCTAATTCCCTAATGACCAGACACCAAAGAACATCTATTAGCATCAACACCATCAAGGAAAACATAATCTCACCAAACTAACTAAATAAGGCACCAGAGACCAATCCTGGAGAAACAGAGATATGTGATCTTCCAGAAAGAGAATTCAAAATACTTGTTTTTAAAAAACTCAAAGAAATTCAGGATAACACAGAGAAGGAATTCAGAATACTATCGGATAAATTTAATAAAGAGATTGAAATAACTAAAAATTGAGCAGAAATTCTACAGCAGAAAAATGCCATTGGCATACTGCAAAAGGCCTCAAGAGTCTTTTAATAAAATGATAAAGCCAAAGAAAAAAATAGTGAGCTTGAAGTCGGGCTATTTGAAAATACACAGAGGAGGCAAAATAAAAAAGAATAAGAAAAAGAAGCACTCTTACAGTATCTAGAAAGTAGCCTCAAAAGGGCCAATATAAGAATTATTGACCTTAAAGAGGAAGAAGAGGAAGAGATAGGGGTAGAAAGTTTACTCAAATGAATAATGATAGAGAACTTGCCAATTCTACAGACAGATATAAATATCCAAATACACAAAGGTTTTATAACTCTAAGCAGATTTAGCCCAAAGAAGAATAATTCAGGGCATTTAATACTCAAATTCCCAAAGATCAAGGATAAAGAAAGGATCCTAAAAGCAACAAGAGGAAAGGAACAAATATAATATACAACAAAGCTCCAATATGCCTGGCAGCAGGCTTTTCAGTGGAAATCTTAAAGCAAGGAGAGAATAAATTAATAAAAGAGTGTAGTTGGATTGTTTATAACAGAAAGGATAAATGCTTGAAGGGATGGATAACCCATTCTCTATGATGTGATTATTTCACATTGCATGCCTGTATTAAACATCTCACGTACCGCATAAATATATACATCTACTATGTACCCACAAAAAATTAAAAATTAAAAAACAAATCAGAATTAAAAAAAAGAAAATGCATCTTCGTTTCCTGTTTTGGTAATTATGGATGAAGCTGCTATAAAAAGTTATGTACAAGTTTTTGCAGGAACATAAACCTACATTTTATATCTATGCATACCTAGGAGAAGGATTGCTAGATTGTATAGCATGCGTATGTTTAAATTTAAAAATTTTTCTGAATTTTCTCAATATTTAAAAAAATGCCAAAATTGTTCTTCACAATGGCTATGCCTTTTTTTTTTTTTTTTTTTTTTGAGATGGAGTCTTGCTTTGTCGCCAGGCGGAGTGCTGTGGCACGACGTTGGTTCACTGCAACCTCTGCCTCCTGTGTTCAAGCGATTCTCCTGCCTCAGCCTCACGAGTAGCTGGGATTACAGGCACACGCCACCACGCCCAGCTAATTTTTTTACTTTTAGTAGAGACGAGGTTTCACCATGTTGGCCAGGATGGTCTCGATCTGTTGACCTCGTGATCCACCAGCCTCGGCCTCCCAAAGTGCTGGGAGTACAGGCGTGAGCCACCACGCCCGGCCTGGCTATGCCATTTTTTATTCCCACAAACATTAAGACCATTTTTTATTCCCACAAGCATTAAGAATTACAGTTGTTCCCTAATCAGTATTATATATTGCCAGTTTTCTTTTATGACTTATAGTCTGTGTTTAGTGGTATTTCATTGTGATTTTAATTTGTATTATGTAATGACTAATTAAATTGAGCATCATTTAATATGCTTATCTGCCATGTGTATATCTTCTTTTGTTAAGATTCTTTAGCTGTTTTGCCCATTTTTTTTTGTTTATTTTTGTCATTTGTTTTACTTTTGAGTTTTGAGAGTTTATTTTATATTCTGGATACAAATCTTATGTCCGATATGTGATTTGTAAATTTTTTTTCCCTCTATGACTTGTGTTTTCACACTCAACAGTGGCTTTCACACATCTACATATTATTTGTTTAGTTTAGTTGTTGTTGCTGGTATTTTTGCATGTGAACAGAAATCACATACACTTCAAAATTGAAATGTGGGTATGTCATTTATAATGAATGAAACCCAGAACATCCTAATAATTCAGTGGATCATTATTTTTAATCAATGAATTAAGGTGTTTATACTTATCAAATTATAGTTTCATGTTGATTTATTTTATTAATGTAGGAAAGAATGTTTCTACATATGACTTTTTAGTTACATGACTAAGCAATTCATTTTATAGCCATAAGACCTAATTTTCTTATGTTAAATATGGATAAAAATAATCTCTTAAATTTGTTTGTGATTCTTATAGACAATAGAGAAAGGGAAAGCAATGTGTAATTATAAAACCCTATATAAAGGAAAGGTATTATTGTAATTGCCATGATTATATTGTTATGTGAGAAATTAACAGCTAGGAAAATGGTAAAATGTTAGTGGGCCACATCTGGCTTTTATTACAGGCAAATACAACAAAATATTCATACTCCTAAAATAGTTTTTCTTTTGTCTGTAGAAACAATATTTATTTTACATTTCTTATCATAGCCATTTTATTGCTTTAGAATTTCTGAATGTGCTTTTTCAGCTATTATAAATACTTTGCATGGAATAAATACTGAGGCTTGGGGGAAGGTTTGGAAAAGGAGAAATCAAAGTCTGTTACACGAGTTTTGTTATGTATTAGATAGTTTAAAAAGAAAGTCATTAAAGTTGACAGTTTTCATATCAGTCATCCATAGTTTCATAATACAAAAGAAAATAAGATTTAAAGTCTATTATTTTTTATTAAATCACATCCTTAAAACTCCTCTGGATGCTGCTAAGAAAATATACATTTTATAAATTTTTAACTGAAAATTTACTTAGACAAGTAATTGCAGCTAACCTCAGAATGATCAAGCTTTGTAGTTTGACAAATTGTCCTAAAGGCAGCCAAATAGGGAGGTAAGAGAACCAGTCTCACTTGCCAATGGATTCTGCTGTTTTAAAAATATATACAAGGTTTCCAAAAGCTAAATGGAGGAAGTCTATTTATAACAATTATTTTCATATCATCATTTGAGTTTTGATTACTCACAGGTATAATAATCTTATTTCAGATCTTGACTTTTTTTATTCTGTGCTTTGAAAAGGAGATGCACTTCGAAATATTTGAGGTGATGATGCTGAAAACAGTCAAGAAGAAATTTAAGACTCAATGGTAGACCAAGACAAATAAGAAACCCCACAGAGAATTTCAAGTTAATGAAACAAACATATACATTTCAAAAGCATTGCAGTAGCACAGAAAAAGAAGCATCATATCTGAAATTATAGTAAGATACTTGCATATACACCAAGTAGTTTGGAAATTTATTAAATGGAAATGTTATATTTACTTTTCTTAACATGAAAAGTAAATTTTAAAATTAGACGTCTTTTGGAGGTCTAATTTAAAAAACATTTACAAAATAGGATAATGTATGTACAATAACAACATCAAGTAAATTTACTTATTGTATATTACAAAATGTCAACTGGAAGAAATTGTGGAAGTGGTGGGAGGGTAGGTGAAGACCTTTTGAGTTTAACTAACAAGATTCATATCTATGTCTGAGTTATATATTGTCTGTTTTGTTTGTCTTTTGCACGGGAAAATAAAATTAAAATCTTGTGGACAACTCTCATAACCATTTCAAAATCTTCTTGGCCCCATCTCACACTCTAGGAACTGTTATAGCAAAGAATTCCTTGCAGAATCTCACTAGCCTCATGCAGGTATAATTGAATAGTACATCATCTGACGCTTAGCCACATACTCCCTGCTTCCTGCCTTGGAGCTTCCTTGAAACTGTAGCACAGATAAATTTGAAAATCTGCCCAATGCTCACATGTTTAACTTACGAATGCGGTACAGTCAAAGCCCATGATGGCACATTTGAACAATGAGGTATGAGAACAGATACATAAATATGGCTTCAATTTGTTCCCTCAGATGGACAGTT
Source organism: Homo sapiens (assembly GCF_000001405.40). NCBI lineage: Eukaryota > Metazoa > Chordata > Mammalia > Primates > Hominidae > Homo > Homo sapiens. The sequence continues at coordinate 84,225,553 of NC_000012.12, read as the reverse complement.
CCGGGATGTATTATGTAAGTCCTCTTACAAGATGCTCATGAGCTAAAGCACCAGTTTCTTAAAAGCATTGGTCAAATCAATATAGCATTCTTGTGTTTGCTTTTCCACTTTTCCCATTATACTCCCCATATTCTGCACTTTAGCTCCCTAAGATAATATATTTTCAAGCTCTTCTATGAGAAAAATTTAGGCTAAGACAGGTGTTCTTTCTTTTTTGAGTGTGTGCCTTGTGGAAAGAATTCAGTCTTACAGATCTTTTCATACATATTGACCAAAAACATTTGATCATGTTGTTCTTTAGCAAGCACAAAAGATAATCAAATTTCTAATTAAAACACAATAATTTTATTTCTTTTGTAGTACAAATATTGTAATACCATGAAATGACATCCCTAAATATAATTTTAGAAGTTGTTAATGTACTACATTAATTCCTTATGTTGAGTTCTTAACTTTTTCTGTAACAAGAGATTCACTGTTAAAAATGTAATGTGCAACAGTAGTAATTATTTTATTTTGAATGAGATTATACCATATCCTCTTTAAGTGAGATTTATATCAGATTATCTTTAAATGACAATTCCTTTGGCGATTAAACGACTGTTTTCAAAATGTCCTTTTTGACAGATGTTTTCAAAAAGACATCTATTGTATGAACAATGAATTCCTTTTCTGCCTTATAATGGCATCATTAGTCCACGAAAAAGTTCCACTCTTTCAAGTGAATATCTTTCTGTTAGATAGACATATGCATATTTTGACATGTCTACATTATTGTAAAGTGTCATGTATTTTCCCTTTATAAAATACATCTGCTTCGAGTAAATAATGCAAAAAATATATAGAAACAAGGTACTGGGAATTTAAGTTCTACATCTTCAAGTTATTGTGGAATTATTTCAGGTTTAGGTGTAACTGTTGCAATCAGTCTTCCAGAATTTATGTTACCATGGGGATGTCATTACTGTGTTTTCATTGATTATAAAGGATTCTCAGCCTACCATAACATCATAGGTAGTAAAATTTTCAATGGAGCAATTGTTACTATTTAAATGCCAGTTCAATATATTCAGTCACAAAATGTGATGCTTTTTATCTCTCTCTGTTTCTCTCACATACACACACACTGCAGCATATGAAAACTGAAGACACTGGAAAACCGTAGTGGAGAAAATGTATTCGCCAATACAGAATTTTCTCTGCATAAATAATATTTCAATGGTAGTTAAAGAAAAGCTTAGGAGACAGGGAAATGATATAACCACATGTGCATATTGCTTGGAAAGAAATACACAAAGTAACAGATTCTGTCAAATCAATTTATATTTCAAATCAAAATCATAAGAAAAACCTCACTATGAATCTTAATCAGCACACAGAACTATTGCAAAGCATTCAGTATATCGTGGTAGCCACGGACTCAGAGGAAAAGAAAAATCATTTTTCCATGTGTTGAGGTTATCTATCAAGGAACTGAAGAAATATTTTTTTCTCAAAAATGCATTGTTGCCAAAAACTAGACACTAATAAGTAGGTGTGCTTTGCAATAGCATGACTACACTTTTACTAAAAAAATGTCATCTTGAACTCACAAGATGTAGTTTGAATGAATATTGATCACTAATATTCTATATGTATCTGTAGAATTATTTGTAATAAAATAGTTTTTATGCCTTGATTTATGCTTTTTCCCACCAATTCATGCATATATTGTGGTTTAATCTTCAATTAAATTCTTCTTCAATTAGAAAAAAAACTTTTTAATAAAAATTTTGTTTTTTTCAATTTAAACTATTTAAAAGGAAGAAAAAAAAGACCGGGAGAAAAGCTTTAAAATCAGACTAAAAATACCCAAGTTACTTATATTTCATTATTCATGTGACATTGTCACATGTGTCAAGCAGATCAGAAAGCCAACACAAAAAGATCTAGAAAGGACTCAGTCTTGTCAATTGCATTCGTGTTAAAGAAATAATTTATAAACGTGCAATAGGAAAGGAGACATGTCAGGAGGAGCAAGGGTGAAGAGTGATTCAAGCATTTCTGTTTCAGAACTTTGAAAAAAATAATTATTTCTACAGGATTTATTTTTAGCTTGTCCTCTTGAAAATCATTTTGTGTAGCTCTTTTATTTTCACAATTTTCAGTGCCTAGAAATTATAATTATTATATTGTTAATATATTTTTCTCTGATTTTAGTTACATGTATACATATTTTACAATTGTTTTAATGTATTCCCTTTAATAAGCTTATTCTAATTATGTGTACATAAACATGGGTATAATAATAAATATAGATTTCTATTTTGTAAAATATGGCAGATTAGATAAATACTCTGAATAACATTCACATTAAAACAGCTAAAAATTGTACAAAAGAAGTGAACATTTCATCTTAAATACATTGCTAAACTACTAATACTATAGGGGAACAACATAAGCCAAATCTAAAGTTAAAAAGGGAATCTTTTGAAGCAAGCAAAGTCAAAAGTTGGCTTTCTGCCTAGAGGGCTTCTGCTGACCTTCATGATTCAAGACTTGGATTTGGGAGATGTGTGTCGAGGGAGGGATGGAGGTAAAAGAACAAGACATAATTTATAGATCTTGCCTAAGTTTGAATAACTAATAGAAGACTAATATAAAATATGGATCACAAAAACCAGGAGATAGTTCCATTACATAGGAGGAGAAAGAAATGCGTCTTTATAGTCGCAAACAAATGTTGAATTTCTGAAAAGGAAAATAATGATTTGTAAAAAAATGATTTGTCATAACAAGACAGACCTTATCTAACTACGGTACTCAATTCCACCCAATCTGTGTTGTTCTCCAAAATCTCTAGCAGAGAGTTTACTTTAAAGTAGACTTAGATTTGTAGTAACCCATATGCCTGTGAGAAGTAAAAGCAAATATTCTTTGTATTCTCTGAAGGGAAGGTCTCGAAGATTCTCACATTTAGAATATAGCCAAAAAAAAAAAAAAAAGAAAGAAATCACAAGGCCTAAACAGTACAAAGGCACCAAGAGACATCAGATGACAAAAGTAGACTTATTAGGATGTTAGAATTATAAGACAGAAATTATTAATAGACATATTTACTCTGTTTAAAAACTAAAAGACAGGCTTATGGGGATAAAACAGATAAGGGGACTTTGAAAATACCCAAGCAGTTATGGAAATGAGCCCACAAAATCCCTACATATAAAAAGTGTTAGAAGCAAAATATAGAAGAATTTAACATAAAATTAAGTACAGTTTAACTGACAACTTGTGACTAAAAAAATATATGAAAATATACTGTAATGGAATAAATAAAATGAGAGGATTAGAGAAAAACATTTAACAAACAATAAGTCAAGTTCCATTAGGAGTTAAAAATAATAAGAATCATGAAATATTCACAGATACATGGGTTAGGAGTACAAAGATATAGGAATTAATATAGTGGAGTATTGATCTAGGAATAGATGAATAGACTACAGAGTTTAGAAACAGGCTAATGTCTATCTGGAAACATTAAAAATGACACCTGGCATAAGAGGTCAATGGTGAAAAAGTCTTATCTAATAAATGGTGAACAACACCAAAAACCAAATGTCCACATATAATAGTTTAATTACAAAAATGTGAAAAGAAAATTGAATACAACTAACACAACCTTAAAAAAAAATTCCACACACACACACACACACACACATACACACACACATATATATATGCCATATATATACAAGCCTGTTTAAAAACATACCTAAGACTGACTAATTTATAAAGGAAAGAGGTTTAATGGACTCACAGTTCCCCATGGCTGGGGAGACTTCACAATCATGACAGAAGATGAATGAGAAGCAAAGTCATGTCTTACATGGTGGCAGGCAAGAGAGCATGTGCATGAGAACTGACATTTATAAAACCATTGAATCTTGTGAGACTTATCCACTATCACAAGAACAGGATGGGGGAAACCACCCCCATGATTCAATTATCTCCACCTGATCCCTCCCACGAAACATAGGGATTATGGGGACTATAATTCAAGATGAGATTTTGGTGGGGATGCAAAGCCTAACCATGTCAATATTTTATATATGTGTATCAATATGATATATATTGATATATAGTGTATATATGTATATATGTGCATGTATATATATACATATATATATACATGCACATATATACGTATGCATATGCATATATATACACATGTATACACATATATGCATGCATACACGTATATATCCATATATATGCATGTATACAAGTATATATATACACATATATACATGTATATATATACTTGTATACATGCATATATATGGATATATACTTGTATGCATGCATATATATGCATGTATATACATGTATATGATGAATATGATATTAAATTAGAGAACACAAATAAATATAAAATATATGAGTAAATTTTACAATTCTAAAATTTAGAATATTTTCACATTAAAGACATCATAAAGAGAGTTCAAATAGAAGCCATAAACAGGAAAAAAAACCAGATATTTGCTACACACATTTGACAAGGAATTTGTATCCAAAGTTTATATTATCTCACACACACACATGCACACACACGTGAGCGTGTGTGTGTATACACATTCTTATAGCATTTTAGACAAAGACAAACAATCCAAGAGAAAATGGATAAACTCTTCCTTCCAAAGGAACCTGAAAAGAAAAAATTAAAATGTCCAAAAGTATCAGAAAAGTTGTTTCAGTTAATTTATAATCAGAAGTAAAAATACAACCACAATACATTTCCATTGTAAACTTAATAGATTAAACACACACACACACACACACACACACACACGTCTAAATATTTCAATAGTTGGTAAGCAAGTAGAAGAGAGAAATACTGCTGAAAAATAATTTGACAATACATTATTTCTAGATGCATGTTTCTTAGGACACATAACCTAGAAGGGAGGGTGGTCTTAATTTGCATAAGAGGAAGTATGATAATTTTCATGAGAGTTAAACCAGTAGCAATACAAGTCTGTAAGCCAGAAAAAACATCTGTCCAAAGGAAAAGTAAACACATGTCTACACACCATACATATTATGTCTATTTTTCAAATAGAATGAAATAGAATAAATTAATTTAGCTACATTGCCATGAATCTTAAAATACTATTAAGGGAAAAATCAGAGAAGAAGATATAATAGTATATCATTCAATCTTTATAATTTAAAAATTATGTAAATCTATGTAATCTACAGTGTAGCATAACAAGCTCACATGGCAAAATTGGCTTTTCACTCAAAGATGAAGGATTCAAGGAAATAATAACCTCCAGCAAATGAGTGCTTGTAATGAAATGGTTATGTGCTCTTTGAAAATGGGTAATGGCTCAATAAAATTTGAATTATTGCTCTACTTTATACCTCCACATATATTAGTAAAATTGTATTGTTTTTTCAATATTTAATGAAAATCAAAAAATATATTCTTATGTGAAAATTTTAAGAGCTTCCATATTTAAACGGGAAAAGCAGGCTAGAGGGGAGAGAAGGAGGGTATGGTCACATTACTGAATCCACACGTTACAATCCACAAGGAACAGATAGAAGAATAGTCAATTATAGATTAGTCTTGCACTTAGTAAATTAGCATTTTACATAAGATAAGGTGAACATAGAGTAGCTCTCTGTAGAGATATTCAAAATGTTATCTGTAGCTATCGGCTTGGAAATCAAAGGAAAAAGAGTTCCTTGCTTGAGTCAGCTCTCGGCTTAATATTTTTTCCTTTTGATATGTGAATTGGAGTCCTGAGATTTTATTTTCCTTTTGCAAACTATTTTACCTTTGGGTTTGTGGTAAAATCAAGTATATTTTTGAACTGACTTAATATATACATCCACATTGATTATATAGAATTAGAACATAGCTTTAATGGAAAATATTAATTTTCAGTAGCAGAATGATATGGTTTGGCTGTGTCCCCACCCAAATCTCATCTTGATTTGTAGTTCCCATAATCCCCATGTGTTGTGGGAGGGGACCCAGTGAAAGTTGATTGAATCATGGGGTTGATGCTTTTATAAGGGGCTTTTTTCCCTTTGCTCTGCTCCCATTCTCTCTCTTGCTGCCTTGTAAAGAGGTGCCTTCCACCATGATTGTAAGTTTCCTGAGGCCTCTCCAGCCATGCTGAACTGTAAGTCAATTAAACCTTTGTCCTTTATGAATTACACAGTCTTGGGTATTTCTTCATAGCAGTATGAGAATGAACTAATATGCAGACTATGTAATTAAATGAAGATAAAGGAGAGTTAACTAAAATTGCTTGCTACAGTTTAACTAAAGTTCTATAGAAGAAAATAGACTAAGTTGCAATAAATGCTAATATTATAAATCTTTAAAGCTTCCAAAATGAAATGCAAATTGCTGCAATTTTTTTTTTGATGACTATAGAATTAGAACCATATAGGCATTTCACCTATATTCCTAATGCTTGAAGTTCAATTAAATTTAAAATGTGTGATGCCAAATACAGTTTTTATTAACTTTTAGGCCCATGAGTATTTTATTATAAAGTTAAATTTATCTACCTTTTAGATTCATTTAGTGTTGGCTAATTTAAAAGTTGTTTAGGGAAAGTTTTTTGAAGTCGAGGAGACTTGTGCACTTTTTAAAATCATTATTCATAAATCATATCTTTCTCCTGTAAACAAACTCAACATGTGTGTATGTGTGTTTAAGTAAAAGTAAAATAAAATTCAAAGTGAGTATGAATATACTTTATGCCAATTATTCAAAATTATATTTTCACTCAGGAATAAGTGCACTTACTCTCCAGTTTTCCACATAAAAAAAATTTGAAATATTTATGATGTGTTTCATTTATAGACATATCATAAAATTCATTTAGACTCTAAGAAAACAATTGAGAAACAAATGCAAGCTATATTACACAACATAGAAGCATGTGCAAATAGAACCGTGTGAGCCAAGATCCAAGAAAAAAAATTCTTTATATTATGTAAGGGCAAAAGTGTTTTTTTGCATTATATAGCAATGGAACTCACTCAATTGACCCTGCAATATAAATAATTAAAGAAATCAAATTCAAATACATTTTAAGAAAAATATTTTTGATGAATAATTTATCTTCTTTTTTTTCACAGCCCTTGTCCTTGTGTCTATATTCAAACCACAGTTTTACATACTTGCATAAAAATTAAGTATTCTTTATTAAAAGTATTTTTCTAATATATAGACACTTCCATCTACAGTTTATTAAAATAACTTTTCCTATAAATTAAGAATTTTATACAGTAGTATTAATTGTTATATATGTAGGGATTAGTTGCATAATTCTTAAACTTTGCAGCAAAAGTTTTGTTGGAACAATATCCATAGTAAGAAGACATGAATATAAAAGCACAGTTTTTCTTTCTGTCTCTAATTCATTTTGTCTTTCATAACTTTCATCTCTATATCTGAAACTGCCTTTGCAAAAATTACAGCTGAGGAAATTATGGCAGTGAAAGAGATCAGACCTAATCAACTGACTCCATCTTGCTTCTAACCTTTAAGCTGTCCTTATTCATTCCTGGGTGAAGCCCCAACTAACCTTGGGAAGGACTTTAGTTTATGGTTTGACTCTGAAACAAAATTGATAATAACCTTTCCCAAAAAGAACCTGTTCTTGCATGGGGACAAGCCTGTCTTTGTAGGACTAACAAATTAGCCAGAAGATTAGAAATTATGATTTAGGGGTCATGCAGCCTATGGCTGCAAGAGTCTGAACCTCTACAAATTGCTCCTGGGAATAACATCACTACTGTAAAACCTAAGATCGGTGCTGGAGATATTTTGTAAACCCTGCACCCAGTGGATCAGCTAACACCACTCAGACTCGTAATTTGGCTCAACCAGTTCTGTGATTCCACTGAGGAACAGAAGACAGCAAGAAAACCTCACGTCGACTTCCCTTATAATTCCATCTTCAGCTTGACCAATCAGCACTCAGTCCCCACTTCCTGAGCCCCTACCAGCCAAATTATCTTTAAAAATTCCTATCCCTAAATGCTTGGAGAGACTTATTTTAGTAATAATAAAACTCCGGTCTCTCACACAGTTGGCTCTATGTGAATTACTCTTTATCTATTGCAATTCTCCCGTCTTAATAAATAGGCTCGGTCTAGGCGGCAGGCAAGGGGAACCCACTGGGTGATTGCAAATTCACACCCAAATGTGCACGCACAAGTACACACACTTAAACACACAGAAAATACTCCGGAAGGGTAGAACATATACTCTAGATTGCACATTTGAGGAATAAAGTATACTTTAATTCCATATTCCTTTTAATATTTACAATACGCATGTGTGTATTTGTTGTTTGCTTTATTTGTTTATAGGAATCACTTAGCTCAGGGGTACCCAATTCCCAGACCTCGGACTGGTATCGCTCAAGGGCCTGTTAGGAACCAGACCCACGCAGGAGGTAACAGGTGAGCCAGCATTTCCGCCTGAGCTCTGCCTCCTGTCAGATCAGCTGTGGCATTAGATTCTTAGAAGACAGCGAACCCTATTGTGAACTGTGCATGCAAGGGCTCTAGGCTGTGCACTTCTTATGAGAATCTAATGCCTGATGATCTGAGATGGAAAAGTATCATCCCAAAACCATAACCCCCAAACCCATTCATGGAAAAATTGTCCTCCACGAAATCGGTCCCTTGTACCAAAAAGATTGGGGACCACTAACTTAGATGGTCATTGGTTAGGGACTGAAAATAATTAATTAAGTAAACTTTTTATTTGTAGGTGGGGTATGCTATGGTATTAACCACCTTAATGACTCCTATGGGCATATTAGGAAACTTACTAATTCTTTCTTTCCCTTATGGGCTAAAATAAAATCTTTACTGCAAAACAAATATTGAAAGAACAGTGATCTAAAATGTAAATTACCCACACTTCCATAAATTAATAAAACCAGCTTATTCATTTTTCCACTGTAGCTTCTAGTTTTTATTCATTTGCATATTTTGTATTATATATTGTAGAAGTGTTACAGAGATAATTTATTTCACATGTCATGTTCAGGAGGTTTCTGGTAGTCCTAGTTAACTGGCTTCCCCAAGGGCCACTTCTCCTGTTCAGTCTGATTTGCATCTAAGTTGTCTTAGATACCCTCTGATGCTCAATTTATTCTCCAACACTCACAAGACTGATAGCAGAAGCAAGCCAGTTGCATGGGTCAGATACAGTCAAGAGGTCAAAATGACGGCTTGATCCAGAGGGTCTCCATACGAAGGCCATTCTCTGAGTTTGGGGGATTCTATGCCCTTTCTTATACAGATGTCCCAGGCTTAAGACAATTTGATTTGGGGATTCTGAATTTACAATAGTGCACGAAAGCCTTATACATTCAGTAGAAAACATACTTCAAGCACCCATAAATTCTGTTTTTCACATTCAGTACAGTATTCAATGTATTACATGATGTAGTCATACTTTATTATAAGGTAGGCTGTGTGCTAGGTGATTTTGCCCAACTGTAGGCTACTGTAAGTGTTCCAAGCAGGTTTAAGACAGGCTAGGCTAACCTATGATGTTCAGTAGGATAGGTGTACAAAATGAATTTTCTTCTTATGATATTTTTCAATTTATGGTGGATTTATCAGGACATAACCTCATTTTAATTCAAGGAGCATCTGTACTTGTATTCAGTCAGGGTTAGTTACTAGGTGTTCCTTTTATAAAGGGAGTTTAAGTTATTCTTGTAAGGGTAAGCTTTGTTTTAAGGTTTATTTATGTTGCATCTGTGTTGAGGTGGTCTTGTGTCCTGGAAATCCACAGACCAGTGTTGGAAAGCCCTAGGCCATGTTGCACCACATTGATAGCAAACACATAGTTTTGGGCCTGAAATATGCTTGAGTGAGTGGCATGGCTATCATTAGTCATATAGCTGTGATATGTTTCTTATACTATACTACACTACATTTTTATTTAATAATATAAAACAAGGCATTTTCCCATTCATCTATAGATTTTTCTGTTCATATATCTCCTATTCCTGTTTTATCCAGTATCCTAATTAACATAACTAAAATGAACATCTTGTTGCCTTCATGCACTAATCTTTTCCAATGTTCTTACCAAAATATATACATACATACATAAAATATTCTTACATAAACACATAGAATTTTACAAATCTAATTTTATGGAATGGTATACTATTCCTGACATTTCTCTGCACCTAAATTTTCATTTATGAATACATCATGAGTATTATACAGTGACACAGATATTTTTTAATGGCTCCATAATATTCTATAGTGTGATTATAATACAGTATATTCATATTTCCTTTCTTGATGAACATTCTAGTTCTTTTCAGAATTTCTTCCTTGTCAATTCTGTTGCTCTAATTCTTCTTGTTTATTTGTCCTTATGTGTAGGTGCATTTTATCTTTGTTGAAGATAGAAAGCCAGAAAGGATATTACTGAACCAGAAGGGCATATGAATATTACAATGTTTATGTCCAGAATATTTTAGAGACACATTACTACAACCGATGTGTGAGAGTACTCTTTATTTCATTGGGGTATCACAATTCTTTCTGATTTATCACAAATACATTTTTTAAAAGGTTCAGGTTGTTGTTTCTTTGATTGTTCTATATCAGTTTAAGTACTGCGTTACCAATGCCTGTAAGATTTTCAGTTTTATTATTTGGATAGCTTAATTAAATCATGGGTATTTTTTCTATTGCATTTGTATCCTTTCATTATAAATGGATATATGAATTTAATAAACTATGTATAATGTTTCATCTCTTACATATGTTGCTGATATTGTCAGTTTATTGCTTCCCTTTGACTTTATCCAAGATGTACAGACTACCCCAACTCTCCTACTATTTTCTTTTTACATTTTAATGTATTTGGAACTTCTCATTTTGTGTGTTATGTTTTATAATTCTTTTGTGATATGGTGAACCAAGTATGGCCACAAAAGGAGCCACACAAGAGGCTCAGGAAAACAAAGTTCTTAATACTCACAGGACCTAGAGACAAGAGGTACAACATGCCAAGCAAGGTCATGTGAGAAAGACACCAGGATAATCAAACGCCAGATGATAGGAGCCAGGGGAAGGTTTAGACATCTGTGTTTACTGGAGTTTCCATGGGAAAGGCAAAGCAGGGCAGAGTGAGTAGTTAGGATTGGGTAGTTTGAATAATTTTGGTCAGCTTTAGAATATAGGGGTGGTTCCTAGTGCCTGGTACCTAGTCCTGGAATAATAAAGGCAGAGAAATATTGTCTCCTGGGATATACAGGCCAGATAGAGGGGTTATGTTTCTAGAGTGGTTAGTTTGCATATCGAAAAACATGCTCAAACTGAGCCCTTTGTTACCCTTAATAACTGGTTAGCCGCGCAAAAGCAGTGTCTCTGAACGCTTTATAATATGCAGGAAAATTTAAATATTTGCAGTACAAGTTAATTGTCTAATTTTGTTTATCCAGTTTAAACTATTTTGGTATATAAGGACTTCTTCATTATATATACTCAATCTTATTCTTCATTTGTTGTCTATATTTTGTAGAATGGTTATAGTAAGTAGTAGTATCATGTAAAGCAAGTTACATTTATTTTTTAAATAATCCTTCAGTTTGCATATTTATTGGTTCACCCATGTCCTGCATTTATCTACATTAAATTAAAATATTATAACATGTGGTATGACTGCTGTATTTATAATATTTCTAGATACATAATTTTAGTCTTAAATATTTTACTATTTGTAAAGAGAAAATAAAGCATTAAATAAATATTCATTTGTTCTAAGTGAAGGAAAATAAGTAAAGAGAAAACACAACAGGCAGTCAAATAGGAAATATACAATGAGATGACAGAAATAGACTCACATTTATAGTAATATCTTTAGTTTATATCACCATCTTGCTTTTTGTAATTAGTTGTCACATCAGATTTTTCTTCTTCATTTATCAGGAATTTTTAACAACTTATTTTATTCTTCCACTGAGTCTTCAGTTGTACTTTTTAATTTAATAGTGAATTAGGAAATCAAATTTACATGTTTACTGATTGCAGTCTATGTAGAAACATTATTTTAACATTTCACATAAACATAAAACACCTTCAACAACAAAACGTAATTTAAACCCATTGCTTGTGCTGTTGGGGTTATATATTTTTACAGTATACATGCCTTATTTAACTCACAATACAGTATTATAATTTTTGTGTTTAACAATTGTATTTCTAATAAAGTAAGAAGAAAATGTTGCTAGTTGTATTTATGTGCATCATTAAAATTTCTGGTATTTTTTTTTCTGTAGATACGTTTTTATCTGGTATCATTCCCTTTAGCAATGTAAAAAATTCGAGTACAGTTCTGTACTCAATGAATTCTCTCACATTTAATTAATTTAGAAATGTATATATTTTATGCTCACTTTGAATATATTGGGATGATTATTTCCCTTTAGCATTTTAAAGTTGTCATTCCATTATCTTCTGGCCCCCATTTTTGGGTCATATCTGTATATCTTTACGCACTTATAAGTTATAGTATTTCTCTTGCAGATTCTATGATTTTTTTTCTCTTTTCTTGCCTTTGGCTTACAGCAGTTTAACTACTAGTTTTGCATTTCTTTGAAGTTTTCCTTCCTATATGGGGTTGTAGATCTTGTTTGATTTGTCAGTAGATGTTTTTTACTTATTTGAATAAATTTTTAGTCATTCTTTTTTCAAATATATTTTTATATCATATTCTTTCTCTTCTTTTCCTTGGGAATTCATATGACACATATGCTAAAATGTTTGCTATTTTCTGTCATGTCTGCAAGACTATGCATTTGTTGTTTTTCAGTCATTTTTTTCTCTGTTCTTCAAAATGGATGGTTTCCATTTATTTTTAGTTTTACTGAAATTTTATTTTGTAGTCTCCATTTGCTGTTAAACCAAGCCCAATTTTTTTTTTACTTCATATATTATATTTTTAATTCTAAAATTTCTATTTGGGTTCTTTAGTTTTTTTTTTAACAGTGTTCATTTCTCTACTGAGATTCTTCATTTTTTTTGTTCATTACGCATATTTCTTCCTTTAGGCCTACAACATATTTATTGTATCTGAAAGTATTTGTCTATTAACTTCAATACCTAAGTCATCTCTGAATTTGTGGATTGGTCACAATTTATTGATGAAGGTTCACCTTTTATTTGCTGCCTTGCATAGCTAGTCCTTTATTTATTGTAGGAGGGATATTGTATATGTATATCATAGGGTATGGATTATGTAATTTTTATTTAATGAATGTTGACAGAGGTTTGAATAAGGCTTGGTAGGCAGTTAAATTACTGGCAGATCCTTTTGATCCTCTTGATCCTCTTAAATTTCCTTTTATTGTTTGTTAGGGCTGATGTAATGTTTTTTGTTTTTAGACCCGTTGTGTTACCCTTACTCTCTGGGCCACAAGCTGTGGGTTGGACAAGGTCACTCTAGATTATGGTCCTTCCACTTAAGGCATGGTCTTCTTGGAGTCTCTACTGAATGATGGCGGTGCTCAAGAAGACTTTGCATTCTGACTGGCCCAGAAGTCTAATGATCTTTAGCCCTGCATGATCACGTGCATTGCTGTTCAGCTCTCAGGAAATAGCAGCCATTTTCTGCTAAACCTTGCAGAGGCATGCCCTGAACGTGCTCAGCCCAGCCCTTGACAAAGACAAAGAAGAATCTCCTTAGCAGAATTCTGTAGAGAAGATCCTTCTCATTGAAACTGTTTCCTCATTGTAGATAAATTGCCCTACAAATACAACCACTGAAGCAGCCCTGAACTCTGATCTTTGCATCATTAGCTCAGTGATGGCACTATGGCCAGTATACGCCTGTCAACCTCCATGTGATATGATCTATAAAGTCTGATGTAGTGTTATTTGAAAGTAAAATTACATTAGTTGTAAATGTATGGTGGAAACTCTAGGGTGAGCACTAATATTTTTTTCAAAATAATTATAACTGATAAGTTAAAATAAGACAAAATACAATTATATAGTGTTCAGTTAAAAGGAAAAAAAGGTAGAAAAGAGTTTTAAAAAACAGAAACAAATAACAAGTGAAACAAATAGAAAACGATTACAAATTTGATTGATATTTAGCCAAATGTGTACTAAGGTAAATAATTTCAAGTGCTGTCTTGACTTCTGTGTGCTTCACAGAGCCCCCAAAGGCCTTACCATGAGTTCTTCTGCTCTCATCTGATATGCTTTTCACCTACTTAAAAAGGCAGTCCATCTGTCTAGCTCTGGTATCCGCCAGAACAGCTGCACTGCACCTGGTACTAACCTTAATGGGTCTCTCTTTTCTGCAATTGCACCAAATTAGTTAAACAAGCGAATTAGATTTTTCTACCATGTCTTAATCTGGTCACACTGCCATAAAAAATTTCCATGAACTGGATAGCTTATAAACAACAAAACCTTATTTCTCACAATTCTAGAGTTGGAAGGTCAAAGTTCAAGGTACCACCAGTTTCTGGTGAGGGTCCATTTCCTGGTTCATAGATAGTGTCTTCGTGTGTGCTGACATGATGAAAGGGGACAGGACAGGCAGCTCTATAAGGCCTCTTTTCTAAGGACATAAATCTCATTCATATAGGTCTGTCCTTACGATCTGATACCTCTCAAAAGTTCTACATTATAATATGATCATATTGTTGATTAGACTGTTAGCATAGGAATTTTGAGAAGGGAATACAAACATTCAGTCCATAGTACATGGGAACCAGGGAGCACCTGAAACTTGTTACTACAATGCCTAGCTCCGAAATAACAAAATATTTGATTAAACCACACACTTCTCAGTAAAATATGGGCCAAAGAGGAAATTTCAAGTAAAATACTTAAATATTTGGTACTAATGGTAAACTTTTTGATGTAACAGTTTACATACTGTTTCAAAATGTATAGGGTTTGTTGAAAGCAGTGACTGAGTTCTTAGAGTAAAAAATTATAGCATTAAATACATTAGAAGAAAAGAAATAACTAAAATTAATAACCAAGATTACACCTTAGGAAATCATTATATAATGACCTCCTTTTTTTGTTTTTACAGTTTTGGCTTAAAGTCTATTTTATCTGATACAGACTGAGTATTACTTAACCAAAATGCTTGGAACCAGGAGTGTTAATTTTTTGACTTTTTTCAGGCTGGACACCATGACTCATGTCTGTAATCCTAGCACTTTGGGAGGCTGAAGCAGGTGGACCACTGGAGCTCAGGAGTTCAAGACCAGCCTGGGAAACATGGTGAAATACCGTCTCTACAAAATAAAATAAAATAAAATAAAAATAAAAAAATTAGCCTGCCAGCTGTGGTGGTGTGTACCCATAGTCCTAGCTACTTAGGGGGCTGAGGCAGGAGGATCACCTGAACCTGGGAGGTCAAGGCTGCAGGGAGCCAAGCTCACTCACACAACTGCACTGTTGCCTGGGTGACAAAGTGAGACCTTGTCTCCAAAAAAAAGAAAAAAAGAAAAAAAAGAAAAGAAAAGTTAAAATTTTGATTTGATTTTTCAATTTTAGAATATTTACATTATATTTACTCAGTTGAGCACCCCAAACAGAAATTTGAAATGTTCCAATAAGTATTTCCTTTGAGCATGACCTTGAAGCAACATGTCAGTGCTCAAAAATATTTAAGATTTTTGAGCATTTGAATATTTTATTTACAGGTTCAGGATGTATAATTACAGCTGCTCCTGTTCATTTTTGTTTCAGTTGGCATAAAATATCTTTTCCATTCCTTCACTTTCACTCTCTGCATGTTCTTACAGATGAAGTAAGTTTCCGGTAGTTAGCATATAGTTGGGTCTTGTGTTTTTGTTATTATTTTCGGTTTTAAAAAAAATTCTGCCACTCTATATCTTCTAATTAGGGACTTTCATTTTTTTAAAAACATTAAGTTTACTATTGAAGTAGGTAAGAACTTACTTCTACCATTTTGTTAATTGTTTCCTGGTTGTTTTGTGTATCATTTTTTCCTTTCTTCTTATAGTTACTTTTGTAGTTTTCTTTGATGCCAAGCTTTGATTGTTTACTCTTTCTGGTTTGTGTATCTGCTGCAATTTATTTCTTTGTGGTTACTAACACTAGCATAAACAATCTTGTAGTTGTAATAGACTATTTTAAGCTGATAACAACTTAACTTTGACTGCATAAAAATACTCTAGTCTTTTGCTCTACCCCCATTATTTATATTTTTGTTGCCTTAATTTACACCTTTAAATATTTTGAGTTCCTTAACAACTTAACGCAACTGTAGTGATTTTTTACCATTTTGACTTTAGGAGGACAATTTTATGCTAAAGCAAGCAGAAAAAAAAACAATAATAATTAGAGCAGAAATTGGTAATAATATAAATAAGGAACCATAGAGAAAAAAATTAAATCAAAGCTGATTGAAACAATAATAAAAGTGATATGCCTCTAGTCAAGCTAGCCAAGAAAAATGGAGAAGACACAATTATATATATCAGAAACGAAAGAGAATCCCATGGCCATTAAAAGAATAACAAATTTTATGAATAATTTTATACCCATACATTTGATAACTTACATAAAGTTAATAAGTTTCTAAAAGGCACAAAGCTAATACAAGGAAAAATAGATAATCTGAATAAATCTATGGCAATCAGGAAATTTAGCCAGTAATTTTAAAAACTATGCTTTCCATATTTAAAAAATATGCTTTCCAAAATGAAAGCATAAGGCCAAAATGGGTTCACTGGTGAATTATAAGAGAATAAATGGTGACAATATTCTATGATCTTCTTGAAAAATAAAAACAAATGAGATATTTTCTAATTCATTCTGTGTGGGCAGCATTATCCTAATAACAATATATGATAAACATAATATCAGGAAAAATTCACAGTTCAATATCTCTCATGAAGATAAATGCAAAATGCCTTAACAAAAACTCTAGAAGAGTGAATGCACAAATGTAAAAAGAATTATAAAATGAAGCCAAGTGGGATTTATTTCAGGTAAGCAAGGCTAATTCAACATTCAAAAAATCAGTTAAGGTAACCCACCACATCAAAAGTCTCAAGGAAAATATATTATATGACCATATTAATTAATATAGAAAAATCATGTGGCAAAACCCAATGTCCATTTTTGAGAAAAAACTCTTAGAATTTGAAATAGAGATAAACTTTCTCTGCTTGAAAAGGAATATCTACAAAAAAAGTACAGCTAACATCAGACATAGTTGTGAGAAATAGCATGCCTTTTTCTTAAGACTGAGGAAAAGGCCAAGAAAAAGGTCCCCATTCAATACTTCTTTTAACATTATATGGAAGTACAAACTAGTGCAACAAGATTGGGGAGAAAAGAAACATATAATTGTCTTAATTAGCAGATGGCATGTTTATAACAATTGTAGAAATCTCAAATAATTAGCAAGAAAACCCCCAAAGATAAAAACCCTGGAAATAATAAGTGAGTACATCAAGGTCACAGAATTCCAATTTATTATGCAAAAACCCAATGTTTCCTTAGATATCCACAATGAACAATTAAGAATTGTAATTAAAGTGTGAGGTTCTATGGTGTAATGGTGAGCACTCTGGACTCTGAATCCATGGAAGAATTGTAATTTAAAACATAATACTATTTACATTAACACAAAACAAAGAAATAATAAGGTATAGAACTAATAAAACATGTACAGCATCTATATGTGGAAAACTACAAAACTCTAGTAAAAGAGATAACAAATATCTAAATAAATGTGAGCTATTCTGTGCTCATGAATTAGAAGATTCAGTATTGTTAAGATGTCAATTATTCCCTAATTGATCATTCCATGCAGTCATACACACACCAAAAAAAAAAAAAAAAAATCTCAGGAAGCTATTTTGTGGATATTGGCAAAGTGAATCTAAAGTTTATATGGGAAGGCAAAAGACCCTGTATATACAGCATAATACTAAAGTAGAGAAACAAAGCTGGAGCATTGACACTACCTGACTGAGACTTACTATGACTCTACTGTAATCAATACACAAAAAGATTGGCATAAGAAGAGGCACATAAATCAAAGGGACAGAATAAAGAGCCACTCAATTAAATGCACACAAATGTGTCCTCTATTTATCTTTAGCAAAGGGAAAAAACAATTCACTGCATGAAGGGGAGTCTTATTATTTGGTGCCAGAATAATCAGAAATTCATATGCAAACATAAATCTAGACACAGACCTTATGACTCTTACAAAAAAGAACTCAAAGTGGCTCATACGTCTAAATGTAAAATACAAAGCTATAAAATTTCTAGGAGAAATCATGGAAAATTTGTTTAACCTAGGTTTTTTGAGAAGTTTACAGATACAACACCAAGATTAACAGTCAGTGAAGGAGAAAATTGATGTCAGACTTAATTAAAATAGAAACATCTGATTGTGAAGGACACTTCGGAGAATAAGAAGACAAGCCAATGATTGAGAGAAGGTATTCGTAAAATATGTAACTGATAAAGGATCTATAGGTAAAATGTACAAGGATGTCCTAATAGTTTAAACATACTATCTAGTGAAAAAAATGGACAAAAGATATAAGCTAAAACTTCATTGAACAAGATACAGTTGTGCGCCACGTAATGACATTTTGTTCAACAACAGAATGCATACACAATAGTGGTTCTACAACATTAAAGTGGAGCTGAAAAATTCCTATCCCATAGTGACATTATAGCCATCGTAACACGGAAAACCAAGTCACATGTTTGTGGGCATGCTGATGTAAGTAAACCTATTGCACTGTCAGTGATATAAACTAAATCATATAATATTTTAGATCTATTTAGATACACAAATACACTGTGTTACAGTTGCCTACAGTATTCAATACAGTAACATACAGTACAGGTTAGAACCTGGAGCAATAGGATATACCACACAGCCTAGGTGTGTAGTAGGCTCTAACACATAGATTTGTGTAAGTACACTCTATGATGTTCACGCATAATGACTGAATCACCTAACAATACATTTCTCAGATTGTATTCGATCATTAAGCAATGTATGACTTTGTATAAAAGGGGAACAAGCATATAAGAATATTTTCAACATCATTTGTCATTGGATATTGCAAATTCAATCAACAATGAGATATCACTATACAGCTATTAGAATGGCTAAAACAAAATAACATTGGGAGCCCCAGGTGGGGGGATCACAAAGTCAGGAGTTCAAGACCAGCCTGGCCAACATGGTGAAACCCTGTCTCTACTAAAGATAAAAAAAAAAAAAATTAGCCAGATGTGGTGGCACGCACCTGTAATCCCAGCTACTTGGGAGGCTGAGGCAGGAGAATCACTAGAACCTGGGAAGCAGAGGTTGCAGTGAGCCGAGATCGTGACATAGCACTCCAGCTTGGGCGACAGGTAGGCACTTCATCTCAAAAAATAAAAATAAAAAATAACAACAACAACAAATCTTGATGTTACCAAATACTCGCAAAGATGTAGAGCAACATGACCTCTCATTTATTGTTTGTGAAGCTAGAAGATGATACATGTATTGTTGAAAAACAGTGTGGCAGTTTCTTTTTTTTTTTTTTTGGATTTTCTATTTCTTCAGTTTTATTTATTTATTTTTTATTTTAAATTTGTTTTCTTTATTAAAATACATTTTTAACATATTTACTATGGAAGATAAATATAACAGGTTTAGGGAAACCATTCTTCAAAGGGCTTGTAGAGACAAGAATGATTCCCCCCCGGGGGGTATTTATTCTTTTTTTTTTTAAATTATACTTTAAGTTTTAGGGTACATGTGCACAATGTGCAGGTTTGTTACATATGTGTATGTGTGCCATGTTGGTGTGCTGCACCCGTTAACTCGTCATTTACATTAGGTATATCTCCCTCAATTCTCCCTCAACCCCACAACAGTCCCCAGTGTGTGATGTTCCCCTTCCTGTGTCCATGTGTTCTCATTTTTCAATTCCCACCTATGAGTGAGAACATGTGGTGTTTGGTTTTTTGTACTTGCAATAGTTTGCTGAGAATGATGGTTTCCAATTTCATCCATGTCCCTACAAAGGACATGAACTCATCATTTTTTATGGCTGCATAGTATTCCATGGTGTATATGTGCCACATTTTCTTAATCCAGTCTATCCTTGTTGGACATTTTGGTTGGTTCCAAGTCTTTGCTATTGTGAATAGTGCCGCAATAAACATACGTGTGCATGTGTCTTTATAGCAGCATGATTTATAATCCTTTGGGTATATACCCAGTAATGGGATTGCTGGGTCAAATGGTATTTCTAGTTCAAGATCCCTGAGGAATCGGAGTGTGGCAGTTTCTTACAAAGCCCAAAATTATTTTCCCACACTAACCATCATTCATGTTCATAGGTATTTATTTACTAGAAAACTCATGCCACACGAAAACCTGCACACGAATGTTTACAACAGCTTTTTCTTAATTCTCAAAAAACTGGAAGCAAACAAGATGTTTTTCTGTAGGTAAATGGATAAACAAATATGGTACCTATAGTGGAATATTGCTCAACAATGGTAAGACATGAGCTACATAGCCATAAAAATACAAGGAGAAAACTTAAATTTATATTGCTAAGTGAAGGAAGCCAGTCTGAATAGATGCTAATTATATGACATTCTGAAAGAGGCAAAACCATACAGACAGTAAAAAGATCAATGGTTCCCAGGGGTCTTGGAGTGGGTATGGAATGAGGCTCACATAGGTGAAGCACAAAGTATTTTTACTGTATTGAAACTGTTTTTTATGCTACTATAATGATGAACGCATGGCATTATGTATGTCAAAATTAAAAAAAAAACTTTACAGTACAAAGTAAAGCCTAATGTATGCATTCCTTTTTAAAAATATAGGAGGCCTGGGGATCACAGAAGAAGTGCAGACTGTCACACACACAAAATTAACTGTATGAAAAACTGACATTAGGGTCATTATAGCAGGCCCTAATCCAATGTATGAAACAGCCACAGTGGAGGAGATGGAAAGAAAACATGCTGACCTAAACACTGGAAATTAGTTGAGTCTATGACCAAAAGCAAAGGGAAATGCATACAATCACTGTGCTCTCATTGATAATGTTCTTTCTCACTAAGGTGCAGGTTAAAAATTCTGGTACTACTATACATGTATACTGGGATGAAACAACTAAGAAGCTGGATGCTGAATAGTGCGAGCCCAGTTTTTCACTGTCGAAGTGGGAGTTACAGATAGGTAAGTGGAAGAGACTAGAATTATCCGTGTGTTAATAGAATTAGAGATATCAGAAAGAAGTCAATTTTAATAATATAAATACAGATGGATGCATATATAAATATTTGTAAATATGTGTATGTATATATGGGTTAGTATACACACATATATTTATTTACTTTGTTAATTGAGAGAGCTTAAGAAAAATAATGAACCTATAGATACAAGCACATCTGAAACATAGACCTTGATTTCTAATATTATTTGCTAATAAGAGGAATAAAGTCTCCTTTGATAAATGGATGAAATAGTCAACATAAGACTGGAGCATCTTAGAATTCCAGCATATAAGGAAGGGTTCAAAAACAACACAAAGAAACACCCATAAACCTGGGAGTAAGTCAAAGGGACACTGGAGACAGCTGAGAGAACTCCCAATGGCCAAAGCTGGAACCTTTTGAGCAACAGAAAAGTAATATTGGATTTTAATCCAAAGTAAAATAAATAACCTATCTGGACTGATATAAATAAATAATTAAACAAATTGATAAATAGGGGTTAGGAGACAAATATTTTATTCCAAGTAATTTATGTGCTTTGTTCACCCTGGTAACCATAAACTCCTTAAGTGTGGGCTGCATGTAGTGACCTCTTCTTAAAGAGAATAGTATGGGAAGGGGAGGAAAAAGATAAGCTTTAACAGTTTAGAACCTGAGAAACTATCACAGTCAAGTTTATTAAGGGTAACATCAACAGTCATAAGTTATGTGGCTAGAATACACGCTTGCTATGATGTACTGAAAATGGCATAGTGATCTTCTTCCCTCAACCATAAGTCCAATCTAATAATAAAAAATAAGCAAATTCCACTAGGAAGGCATCATACAAAATATCTCACTAGCATTCCTTTTAACTGTCAGGGTCATCAAAAACAAAATCAGAGAAACTCTCATAGCTGAAATGAGCCTTTGAAGACATGACAAGTAATTATAATGTGGTATCAGGAACTGGATCCTGAGGAAAAAGAAAAGGATATTACATAAAAAACTAAGAAATATGAATATACTATAGACTTTAGTAACAATGTGTCAATATTGGTTCATTAATAGTAACAAATGTACTATACTAATATAAGATGTTAATAATAGGTGAACTGGATGTGGGTTTTAGGAGAACTTTCTGTATTACCAAAGTTTTTCTGTAAATGTAAAATATAAAAGTTGTTCTATGGGCTGAGTTGTATTCTACCTCCCTCAAATTCATATGCTGAAGTCCTAACTCTAGTACCTTAGAATGTGACCACCTTTAAAGATAAGGCCTTTAAAGAGGTAAGTTAAAATGAGGTGATGATAGCAGGTCCTAATCCAACATGACTGATAGCCTTATAAGAAGAGGCACCTTGGACACAGAGGAAGTCCATGTGAAGAAACAGGGAGGGGAGGTTCACCTGCGAGCCAAGGAGAGAGGCCTCACAAGAAACCAAACCTGCCAACACCTTGATCTCAAGACTTCCAGCCTCCAGGTCTGTGGGAAAATCAATTTCTGTTGTTTAAGCCACAGAATTTTGATGTTTGTTATGACAGCCTTAGCATGCCAATGAAGTTGGTAAAAAGATATGAAATGTAAAACTATTTACTTCAAGTAAGATCTCTTCTCACAGTATTTTTGTTTATTTTTGTTCTCACAGTATCTGTGTTCATGTGGCTGTCTTTGCAGAGATCGTATATGTATGTGGTTTACTGCTACCTTTTTTTCTTTTGTTTTTCCTTTTTGAGTATACTCTGTGGGACTTAGATCTAATGATTTGTTTATGATTTTAATTCCTGCTCAAAAGTGTACGTATGTGTATGTGTGTGTACATTTTCCATATCTAATGATTTTTGCTGTGTATAAAACACAGATAACCCTCAATCAAAGAAGCCTTCCCTGACCTCCCAGTAAAAAATCTCTATGTCCTTTTTCAAAGTATAATTTTTCTTCTTAAATTGATAACCAGCAGGACATGGTCGCTCAAGCCTGTAATCCCAGCATATTGGGAGGCCGAGGTGGGCAGTTCCCTTGAGGCCAGGCACTCAAAACCAGCCTGACTAACATGGTGAAACCTTATCTCTAATAAAAATACACAAAATTAGCCAGGCATGGTGGCCCACACTGTAATCCTAGCTACTCAGCAGGCTGAGGCTGGAGAATTGCTTAAATCCAGGAGGCAGAAGTTGCAGTGAGCCAAGATCACACCATGGCACTCCAGCCTGAGGGACAGACTGAGATTCTGTCACAAAAAAAAAAAACAAAAAAAACCCTCTCTCTCTATGTATGTGTGTATATACACATATATATATAACCATATAATATAATTATTATGTTCAACCATATTAGAATAAAATTCTATAGAGTGAAAACATTTGTTAATTTCATTCCTTATATTTTTCCAGAACCCAGGGTAGTGCCTAGGGCATAGTGAGTACTCAATGAGTGTCAGGTGCTCTATATTTCAATAAAAAAATTTTTTATATTGGTATCTGCTAGACGTTTGCAAAAGAATGCTCACTCACTATTATAATGTAACTGCTAGTGCTTGAATGTAGTGGCTGAATTTAAATGAAAACACTAAAAGTTTATATTGCTTTTCTGAAAGCAATTATTTTGTAAAAATTATAACCGATTTTGTTTTTATTTAACATCTCAATGATTTCAAATTTTATCCTCTGGTGATATGTTTAAACTTTTAAAAAAACAAACAAAACATCTTACCTAGTTTCTACACAAATTGTTTATTAAGAATATTTTGTTTGAGAAACTAGGAATTTTAGGCATTCTTTCCTCCTTCTTTCTATTTAAGCAATTGTCTCTCATTCTGTAGCTTTTTCCAGAGAATTTTTTTATTATATTACTGAGAATAAATGCCTCAAATTTTGCTCTGTCTTCATTGAAATAATTGCCATTAAGGCAGTAAACCAATCAGTTGTTTTATTTCCATATTTATCATGTCCACTCTGTACTATGCTTGGTGAAATTTAAGTAACAGAAAAGTTACTTTTAATTACATTACAAATGATGTTATAAAAGAATATATATTCCTAAAAAAGATAAGTAGTGGGTAATAGAAAGAATGTGAGAGTTTTAAATGTATTCTTTAAGAGATGGATAGATTATTTTGGGTCAGCACAATGAGTTTAAGAAAAACAAGAGTAATCCATCATTGAAAAAATATTTTACTTATTTCTTTCCTCCTCCAGTCATTTCCTTTTCATTCATTATTAAATAATTGAACCTCTTAAAATGTGGGTTTCAAATATAAAAAAATGAAATATTTGATCTCAAAGAGGTTTTAACTAAAATTCATTTGAAATAAAATGTGTTCTCAGAAAACGTGATACTAACAGAATAAAGTACATATAATTGAAATATACTATTATAGAATAATCTATAGAGATGCACCTTGGTTTACACTGGGGTTACAATCCGATAAACTCATTGGGAATTGAAAATGTTGTAAATTGAAAGTGTATTTCCACTGATAATATTTTCAAATTAATAAAGGTTTATATGGACATAACCTCATTCCAAGCCTGGGAGTGTACTGAATGCATATTGCATTTGCACCATCTTTATGTCAAAAAATTACGAATCAAACCATTGTAAGTCAGAGGAGATCTCTAGCTGAATAGAGGAGGAAGAACCTACTAATGAGAATCAGGTGTTGAAGAATGGGTAAGTTTTATTTAAAAAAATGCAGATGGAAAGGAAAATGAGATGGCATTGACAATATGTACACATATACAGAAATATGGAATACTACATTATATTCTGAGTACTGACACTAATTCATTACACCTGGCTCATAAATTACATGTGGTATGACATGCCTATACCATATAGATAAGAAGACAAGTCATCAGGAGCTTGATGTACCATGATAAAGAAGATGAGGAAATGGACTTTTGCTGAATGCCATGGTGAGAAGTTGGAGATGGGTAAAGGAGTCTCAGTGCTGCATTAAATGAGAGACAGTTATTCTCAAATTGATGCAGCTTTAAAACTGTCATATACATTATCAAAAGGTATTTGAGCTTTCCTTCATTAAAATATCAAATGACTTTCATGTATTTTGAATATATATTCTTTATAAGAAACTAATAAAGTTATTTTATTATTAAGATATCCTAGATATTTAAATTGCTCACATTTCAAATATCTGTTTAATTTTGTCTAGTATAGAAGTTCATATATTATAAGCAAGTTTTTAAATTGAATTTTAAATTTATGAAGGTCTTCTATTAGGTTTTCTACTAGCTACTAATTTTTGAATGTCTATATAATAAGTATTCTGTTGATTTTTTCAAAAAATAAACAAAATAAGGCTACAGAGAGAAATATACAGATTTAAAGAATCTTCATGCATTCAAAGCAACAAGTGAAATAGAAATAATTAACTTATAATTTACAAAATAAGCTAAAATCAAGTATAGTGAGCTAATTATAATTTTAGTGGGCATAGTCAACCTCCTGTAACAAATACAGTTTAATTTTTCAGGTGCATTTACAACTGGAAGTTCTCTATAATGAGATATTAATACATTTAATCTTCCTTAATAAAGATTAAAAATGTCAAAATTTTAAGTCAAATTAACAGCCCTTGAGGCTATAAAAACCAACCTACCAATATCAATTTTTTAAAATCGTTTTCATAAAAGTGTTGTAAATAGAAATAAATCTGTTAAGGTAGATACAAAGTAATCACGTGTTAATTTTTAATTTTATAGTAATTGGTGTGTAAATAATTACAATTTTTTAGTTTTATCTAAATAAATCTAAAGACTAGTTAAATGTTTAATTTTTCAACAACCTGTTCCTCTATCTTCTTATTTGTTTCAAAGTTGCTTGATAAATGACAAACTGAAGGACATATAAATGTTTTATTACACATTATGGAAGAGAATTATCAGTTTTTACAGAAGAATCTGAGGCTGACAATGACAAAACTGATTGTACAAAATCATAACTTCAGCTAATCAATTGAGGGTAGACTTGCATGCTAGTCTCTTTTTTCTTTCCTAATGGCGATAAGAGAAATAACTATTAGATGCAATTCATTTATTACAAACATTGCAATACAAAGGAATCAAAAGAGAAATAATAGTATTAATATCAGCAGTACTTTAAAATTATGTTTATATTATTTTCAAATCAGTCCTTCCAAAATACAATATCAATTTGTGTTTTTGGTTTCAATTTAAACAAATAATGTACAATTTTTAACCCCAATTTAGAAAGTTTACATATTTTTATTTCACATTTTAGATAACACTTTTTTTCTCAAGATATTAGATTTGGTAACTGAGATGAGGACTAATGAACTGATTAAACTCAGACAATTTCTGTTTTAAAACTCAGATCCAAGATAAAAAAAAAATTGACCGTAAGATTTCATTCTACTCCTCCACATTTTTTCAAAGTACAGAACAATTTTTACTTAGCTCGATTTGACAGACTGTCCCTTCTAGGAAGCAGGTAAGCAGGTGTTTCAAGGTCAGAGCTAAGGATTGTTGGCAGAAATGTGAGGGGAAGTCCACAGAACACCAGCCAATAGGCATTTGGCTTCTATCCCTCAGTTTCACCACCACAAATTTCATTCACTGATAATTTTCTAAAGGTGAACTTATTACTGCCTCTGCAAATCTTTATAAATGATTCAGGTAAGTTTATTTCCTCTCCTTTGCTATTTTACACTTTAGCGTTGCAAATGGGGATTTCTGCTAAGTGAACAGTCTTTCAAAGCACTGACCGAATTTACTGACATTAAAAAAATTCATTTATGACATATTCTTGGCAGGTTTTCTGGTCTCCAGTTAAAAGTAGTACTCCTACTTAAAAATGGCTTTCAAACCATAACTTTACCAAGAAATGTAACATTTCTTTCATTTTGTCATTTTTTTTCATTTTTTAAAATTATAATTTAAGTTCTGGGATACATGTGCAGAACGTGCGGGTTTGTTACATAGGTATACACATGCCATCGTGGTTTCCCGCACCCATCAACCTGTCATCTACATTAGGTATTTCTCTTAATGCTATCCCTCCCCTAGCCCCCCAAACCCCAAAAAACTCCAGTGTGTGGTGTTCCCCTCCCTGTCTCCATGTGTTCTCTTTGTTCAACTCCCACTTATGAGTGAGAACATGAGATGATTGGTTTTCTGTTTCTGTGTTAATTAGCCGAGAATGATGGTTTTCAGCTTCATCCATGTCCCTACAAAGGACATAAACTCATCCTTTTCTTTTTCTTTTTTTTTTTTTTTTTTTTTTTCATGAGATGGAGTCTCGCTCTGTTGCCTAGGCTGGAATGCAGTGGTGCCATCTCGGCTCACTGTAAACTCCACCTCCCAGGTTCAAACGATTCTCCTGCCTCAGCCTCCTGAGTAGCTGGGACTACAGGCAGGTGCCACCACGCCTGGCTAATTTTTGTATTTTTAGTAGAGACGGGGTTTCATCGTGTTGGTCAGACTGGTCTCAAACTCCTGACCTCGTGATGTGCCCGCCTTGGCCTCCCAAAGTTCTGGGATTACAGGTGTGAGCCACGGTGCCTGGCTGAACTCATCCTTTTTTATGGCTGCATAGTATTCCATGGTGAATATGTGCCACATTTTCTTTATCCAGTCTATCATTGATGGGCATGTGGCTTGGTTCCAAATCTTCGCTATTATGAATAGTGCTGCAGTAAATATACATGTGCATTTGTCTTTATGGTAGAATGATTTATAATCCTTTGGGTATATACCCAGTAATGAGATCGCTGGGTCAAATGGTATTTCTAGTTCTAGATCCTTGAGGAATCGCCACACTGTCTTCCACAATGGTTGAACTAATTTACACTCCCAACAGTGTAAAAGTGTTCCTATTTCTCCACATTCTCTCTAGCATCTGCTGTTTACTGACTTTTTAATGATCACCATTCTAACTGGTGTGAGATGGTATCTCATTGTGGTTTTCATTTGCATTTCTCTAATGAACAGTGAAGATGAGCTTTTTTTCATATATTTGTGGGCCACATAAATGTCTTCTTTGGAGAAGGGTCTGTTCATATCCTTCGCTCACTTTTTGATGTGGTTTATTTTTTCTCGTAAATTTGTTTAAGTTCCTTGTAGATTCTGGATATTAGCCCTTTATCATATGGATAGATTCAAAAATTTTTCTCCCATTATGTAAATAGCCCATTCACTCTGATGGTAGTTTCTTTTGCTGTGTAGAAGCTCTTTAGTTTAACAGAGCCCATTTGTCAATTTTGGCTTTTGTTGCCATTGCTTTTGATGTTTTGGTCATGAAGTCTTTGCTCATGCCTATGTCCTGAATAGTATTACCTAGGTTTTGTTCCAGGGATTTTATGGTTTTTGGTCTTATGTTTTAGTTTTTAATCCATCTTGAGTTAATTTTTGCCTAAGGTGTAAGGAAGGGTTCAGTTATAATTTTCTGCATGTGGCTAGCCAGTTTTCCCAACACCATTTATTAAATAGAGAATCCTTTCCCCATTGCTTGTTTTTGTCAGGTTTGTCAAAGATCAGATGGTTGTATATATGTGGCATTATTTCGGAGGCCTCTGTTCTGTTCCATTGGTCTATATATCTATTTTGGAACAACTATCATGCTGTTTTGGTTACTGTAGCTTTGTAGTATAGTTTGAAATCAGGTAGTGTGATGCCTCCAGCCTTGTTCTTTTTGTTTAAGATTGTCTTGGCTATCTGGGCTCTTTTTTGGTTCCATACGAAATTTAAAGTAGTTTTTTCTAATTCTGTGAAGAAAGTCAATAGTAGCTTGATGAGGATAGCATTGTATGTGTTCAGGAATTTATCCATTCGTTCTAGATTTTCTAGTTTATTTGTGAAGAAGTGTTTGTAGTATTCTCTGATGGAAGTTTGTATTTCTGTGGGATGAGTGGTGATATACCATTTATCATTTTTTTATAGTATCTATTTGATTCTTCTCTGTTTTCTTCTTTATTCATCTGGCAAGCAGTCTATCTTTTCTGTTAATGTTTTCAAAAATCCAGCTCCTGGAATCATTGACTTTTATAAGTGTTTTTCATGTCTCTATCTCCTTCGGTTCTGCTCTGAACTTAGTTACTTCTTGTCTTCTGCTAGCTTTTGAATTTGTTTGCTCTTGCTTCCCTGGTTCTTTTAATTGTAATATTAGGGTGTCGATTTTAGATCTTTCCTGCTTTCTCTTGTGGGCATTTAGTGCTATAAATTTCCCTCTAAACACTGCTTTAGCTTTGTCCCAGAGATTCTGGTACTCTGTCGTTGTTCCCATTGGTTTCAAATGACTTCTTTATTTCTGTCTTAATTTCATTATTTAGCCAGTAGTCATTCAGGAGAAGGTTGTTCAGTTTTCATGTAGTTGTGCAGTTTTGAGTGAGTTTTCATTTTGTCATTTTTTAAGTGAGCAGCTTTTGTTAGAACCAGATCAGCCTATTAAAATGTCCAAATAATGTTCAAGAATGAGGATAGTGACTTGTAATGGTCATGGTCACATCTTTTGTATGTAAGAATTTTAAGAAAAATAATGGTAGATTTGTTCCTTGTTTTTACACATAAGGCAAATTTCTCATAAACTTTCTCAGAAAGTTTAATTGAAGGAGTCAATATACAGGTAAAGGAAACAGAAAATTAGCGTGAAAACAATTTGTCTGAGATAAATTTTGGGTGTAGAGATGATACAGGCAGGTAGGCGAGCCCCCAGATTGAGGAAAGAATACAAGACTGGGCCGGTGGTGTTGAACGGCAATCTTTTATGGAACTGCAACTGCTCCTTTTGGAGCAAGGATAACTCATAGGCAGTGTGCCCTGAACTGCACTTCTAGGCTATGGGCAAAGTATTTATATCTACTTAGACCCACTTTCAGTTACATGCAAATAAAGGGGCAGGGTATCCAGAAATATCTACGAAAGTTGTGGTAACTTATGGGTTGTTGTCATGGAAGAGGGCAGTAACTTCCTGGTCATTGCCATGGAATTTGTGAACTGCCATGGCACTTGTGGGAGTGTCTTATGCTAATGAGTAACGAGGGCTGATTGAGATCACTTTCCTCACCATCTGCTGGTTTTGACTAGTTTCTTTACCATATTGTGTCTAGATCAGATCTTGTTTTGGTCAACAGGGTTGTGACCAGAAAACACATCCTGCCAGTCTCCTATTTCAGATATACTTTTTAATGATTATTATATAAAAATCAAAATTATCTTAAGCATAGAAATATGAAAATATGATATTTTATTTATTTATTTTTTAGTAATTCCAACTTTTCTTTTAGGTCCAGGGAGTATACAGGCAGGTTTGTTACATTGATATATTGTGTGATGCTAAGATTTGGAGAATGATTGATCCCATAATCCAAGTAGTGAGTGTAGTACCAAATAGTTAGGTTTCAAAACCTTGCCCCTACCTGTCTTCACCTCTAGTAGTCTAGTTGTCTATTGTTCCTGTCTTTAGGTTCATGAGTGCCCATTGTTTGCTCCCACTTATAAGTGAGAACATGAAGTATGTGGTTTTCGTTTCCTATGTTAATTTGCTAAGGATAATGGCCTCCAGCTGTAACTATGTTGCTGGAAAGGAAATAATTTTTTATGGTTGCATAGTATTCTATGGTGTATATATATATATATATCACATTTTATCTACCCAATCCATTGCTGATGAGCAGCTAGGTTAATTCCATGTCTTTGCTATTCTCAATAGTGCTATGATAAACATATAAGTGCATGTGTTTTTTTGGTAGAGCAATTTATTTTCTTTTGTATGTGTTTCCAGTAATGGAATTGCTGGGTCAAATGGTAGTTCTATTTTGAGTTCTTTGAGAAATGTACAAACTGTTTTCCACAGTGGCTGAGCTAGTTTACATTCCCACCAATAGTGTATTAGCATTCTCTTTTCTCCACAGCCTTGTAAGCATCTGCTGCTTTTTCACTTTTTATTAATAGCCATTTTGACTGGTGTGAAATGTTATCTCATTAGAGTTTTGATTTGCTTTTCTCTGATGATTAGTTACGTGGAACATTATTTTCATGTTTGTTGGCCCTTGTATGTCTTCTTTTGAAAAGTGACTTGTCATGTCCTTTGCCCATTTTTTAATGGGGTTATTTGTTTTGTACCTGTTAAATTATTTAATTTCCTTATAGATTCTGGATCCTTTTTTGAATGCATAGTTTGTAAATATTTTCTTTCATTCCATAGGTTGTCTGTTTACATTGTTGACAGATTTTTTTTTCCTGTGTAGAAGCTCTTTACTTTAATGAGGTCCCATTTGTGAATTTTTGGTTTTGTTGCAATTGCTTTTGGCATCTTTGTCATGAATCTTTGCCCAGGCCTATGTTCAGAATGGTGTTTCCTAGGTTTTCTTCTAGGGTACTTGTAGCTTTAGGTTTATGATTAAGTGTTTAATCTGAGACAGAGGTTGGAAAAAGATGGCCAAATAGATGGCTCCACTGATTCGTCCCCCTGTAAGGTCACAAATTTAGCAACTACCTACACAAAAAGACACATTCATTAGAACCAAAAATCAGGTAAGCACTCACAGTATCTTGTTTTAACTACATATCACTGAAAGAGGCATTGAGGAAGGTAGGAAAGACAATCTTGAATTGCTGACACCATCCCTCCACCATCCCCTGGCCGCAGCTATGTGTCACTGGGAGAAAATCTGTGCACTTTGGGTAGAGAGAGTGAAACAACTCTGAGATGCTGCATTGAACTCAGTGTTGTCCTGTCAACAGCAAAAGGCAATATCGAGCTGAACTGAGCTGATACCCACCCACGTAGGGATCGTTTAAACAGGCTCTAGCCATAGGGGAATCACTCAAACCAATGGTCAGAATGTGAATTCCAGTAAGCCTTACCACCCTGGGCTAAAGTACTCTGGGGCTCTACAAAAACTTGAAAAGCAGTCTAAGCCTCAAGGACTGAAAATCCTAGGTGAGTCCCAGTGCTGACTACGCTCAGAACCAGTAGCCTTAGGGGGTACTGAGACACCAGCCAGGGTGGCTGAGACAGTGTTGCACCACCCTTTCCCCAAACTCAGGCTTCACAGGTTGTGGCTCCAAAACAAACCCCTTCCTTCTGCTTGAGGAGAGAAGTAAGACTAAAGAGGAATTTGTCTTTTATTTGGACATCAGCTCAGCCACAGTAGAAGAGGGCACCATGCAGAGTTGTGAGGCTCCCTTTCCAGGCTCTAACTCCTAGATGACATTTCTAGACATATCCTGGGCCAGAAAGGAACTCATTGTCATGAAGGACATGAGCCATCACCTGTTGACCGGAGAGCCCTTAATCCCTGAATAATCTGCAGTAATACCCAGGTAGTATGCCAAGGGCCTCGGGTGAGAAACTGAGACTTTTTGGCCTCAGGTGAGACTCAGCATAATCCCAGCTGTGTTAGCTATAAGAAGACACTCTTTCTGCTTGAGAAAAGTGGAGGGAAAAGTAAAGGAGACTTCGTCTTGGACCTTAGGTACCATCTCAACCACAGCAGGGTAGAGCACCAAGCAGATTCTTGGGCTCCCTCACTCTAGGCCTTAGCTCTTGGATAGCATTTCTGGACCATCTCTGGGCTAGAGGGGAACCTAATGCCCTGAATGTTGAGTCCCAGGCCAGGCAGTGTTCACCACAAGCCAAATGAGGTTCCCTTAGGCCTGAAGGGAATATTGGCAGTAGCCTGGCATTACTTACTATGGGGCTTCACTTCCTGTGGAAAGGGAGGGAAGAGAGGGAAGGACTGTGTCTTATGGTTTGGGTGCTCGCTCAGCCACTGTACAATAGAACACAAGGTAGACTTGTAAGGTTTTTTATTGCAGTCCCTGGCTCCCAGAATGCACTTCTGGACCTGCTGGGGGCCCAGAGGAACTCACTGTCCTGAAGTGAAGGACACAAGCCTAGGTGGCTTCACTACCTGCTGATTGTAGAGCCTCTGGGCCTTGAGCAAACATAAGACAGTAGCAAGGCAGTGATTACAGTGGGCCTTGGTGAGCCCCTGTACTGTACTGGCTTTAGGTGTGACCCAGCACAGTCCCAGTGTTGGTGGCCACAGGGGAGCTTGTGTTCCCCTACCATCATCTACAGGTGGCTCAGAACAGAGACAGACTCCATTTGTTGGGAAAAGTTAAGGGAATTGAAGAAGAGTTTTTATTGCCTGGTAATACAGAGTATTCTTTCAGATCTTATTCAAGACTATTGAGGTAGTATCTTTAGGAGTCTGCAAAAACCACAGGATTACTGGTTCGGGGGTGCTTCCTAATGCAGATGCAATTTAGACCACAATACCCAAGTCTTTTTGAATTCCTGGAAAGACTTCCCAAGAGGGACAGGTACAAACAAGCCCAGAGAGTGAAGACTACAATAAATACCTATCCGTTCAATGCCCAGGCACAGACAAACATCCATAAGCACGAGACCATCCAGGAAAATGTAACCTCACCAAATGACATAAATGAGGCACCAGGGATCAATCCTGGAGAAACAGAGATATGTGAACTTTCATAGAGAGAATTCAAAATAGCTGTTTTGAGGAAACTGAATTAAGAATTCTATTAGATAAATTTAACAAAGAGAATGAAATAACTAAAAAATTGAGCAGAAATTCTAGAGTTGGAAAATGCAGTTAACATAGTGAAGAATGCATCAGAGTCTCTTAATAGCACAACTGATGAAGCAGAAGAAAGAATTATCAAGTTTGAAGCAGGCTATTTGAAAATACAGCCAGGGGAAAAAAAGAAAAAAGAATGAAAACAGTGAAGCATACTTGAAAGAGCTAGAAAATAGCCTCAAAAGGGCAAATCTAGCATTATTGGCCTTAAAGGGGAGGCAGAGATACACAGGTAGGAAGCTTATTCAAAAGGATAATGACAGAGGATTTCCCAAACATTAATAACAATGGCCACGATTTGGAAACAACTCATTTGTCCATCAATAGGTGAATGGATAAAGCAAATGAGGTACATATACACAATAGACTACTATTCAGCCATTAAAAAAATTAGATCCTGTTACTTGCAAGAACATGGATGGGACTGGAAGTCATTATGTTAAGTGAAATAAGCCAGGCACAGAAAGACAAACCTATCTTGTTCCCACTTATTTGTGGAAGCTAAAAATTAAAATAATTGAACTCATGGAGATAGTGAGTTGAATGATTAACAGAGACCACGGAGGATGGTGAAGGGTTGGAAGGGATATGGGGAGGGTTAATGGGTACAAAAACATGTTGAAAAAATGAATATCACCTAGTATTTCCTAGCACAACAAGGTGACTATATTAAAAGAATAATTGTATATGTGAAAATAACTGAGTATAATTGGATTGTTTGTAACACAAAGGATAAATATTTGAGGTGATGGATGCCCCATTTACTCTGATATGATTATTTCTCATTGCATGCCTATATTAAAATATCTCACGAATCCCACAAATATATGCATCTACTATGTACCCCCAAATATAAAAAATAAAATTACAACAAAAAATGTGCTTAATCCACCTTAAGTTGATTTTCATATACGGTGACAAAAAGGGGTCCGGTTTCCAGCTTCTGCATGTAGCTAGCCAGGTATCTTAGCACCATTTATTGAATAGGGATTTCTTCCCTATTGTTTGTTATTGTTAACTTTGTCAAAGATGAGATTATTTTAAGTGTGTGGCTTTATTTCTGGATTCTCTAAGCTGTTATATTGTTCTATGTGTCTGTTTCTGTACCACTACCAGGTCGTTTTGGTTACTGTAGCCTTGTAGTATAATTTGAATTCAGGTAATGTGATACTTCCAGCTTCTTTCTTTTTGCTTCCGATTGCTTTGGTTATCAGGCTTCTTTTCTGTTCCACATGAACTTCAGAATTTTTTTTCTAATTCTGCGAAGAATGATATAGGTGTTTTGATAAGGAAGAGCATTGAATCTTTAAACTGCTTTGGGCAGTAAGGAAATTTTAACGATATTGACTCTTCCTGTCTATGAACATGCAATGTTTTTCCATTTGTTTGTGACATCTCTGATTCCTTTCAGCAGTGTTTTGAAATTCTCGTTGTAGAGATCTTTCACCTCCCTGGCTAGCTGTATTCCTACCTATTGTATTCTCTTTGTGGTAATTGTAAATGGGATTGCATTCTTGATTTGGCTGTGGACTTAGACATTATTGGTTTATAGAAATATTGCTGATGTTTGTACATATCTTTTGTACCCTGAAACATAGCTGAAGTTGTGTATCAGTTCTAGGAGCCTTTGAGCAGAGACTATGGGGTTTTCTAGGTATAGAATTTTATCACCTGTGAAGATAGTTTGACTTTCTCTCATCATATTTGGATGACTTTTATTTGTTCTCTTGCCTGCTTGCTCTGGCTAAGACTTACAGTACTATTTCCAATAGGAGTGGTGGGAAGGAGCATCTTCATGCTGTGCCAGTTCTCAAGCGGAATGCTTCCAGCTTTTACCTTTTAATGTGATGTTGGTGGTGGGGTGGGGGGCAGGGTTTGTCGTAGGTGGCTCTTTTTATTTTGAGGCATGTTTCTTTGATGCCTAGTTTATTGAGGGATTTTAACATGAAGGGATCAAATTTTATTGAATGCCTTTTCTTCTTCTATTGAGATGATCATGTGTTTTTTTGTTTTAATTCTATGTAATGAATCACATTTATTGATTTGTGTATGTTGGACTAACCTTGCATCCCAGGAATGAAGTCTATTTGATTGTGGTGGATTGGCTTTCTAATGTGCTACTGGATTCAGTTTGCTTGTATTTTGTTGAGGATTTTTACATGTATGTTCATCAGGGATATTGGCCTGAAGTTTGCTTTTCTCACTGTGTCTGCCAGCTTTTGATATCAGCATGATGCTGGCCTCATATAATAAGTTAGAGAGGAGTTCCGTTTCCTCAGTTTTTTGTAATATTTTCAGTAGAATTGTATCAGCTCTTTTTCATTTGTCTGCTAGAACTTGGCTGTGAATCCATCTGATCTAGGGCTTTTTCTGGTTGGTAAGCTTTTTATTACTGATTCAATTTTGGAACCTATTATTGGTCTATTCAGGGTTTCAAGTTATTCCTGGTTCAGTCTTGGAAGTTATATGTTTGCAGGAATTTATCCATTTCTTCTATATTTTTTAACTTGTGTGAATAGATATGTTCATAATATTCTGTTTTTTTTTTTCCATGAGGCAAATGTTAACATCTCCTTTGCCAATCCTGTTTGTGTTCATTTTGATCTTCTTTCTTTGTTTCTTTATTGTTCTAGCTTGCAGTCTATCAATCCTTTTTATCCTTTCAAATAACCACTTTTCATTCTGTTGATCTTTCATATGCTTTTTCCTGCCTTATTTTTTTTTCCAGTTTAGCTCTGACGTTAGTAATTTTTTTCTGCTAGCTTTGAGGTTTGTTTGCTGTTGTTTTCTAGTTTTTCTGGGTGTGATGTTAGGTTGTTAGTTTGAGACCTTACTAACTTTCTGAGGTGGATATTTAGTGCTATAAACTTTCCTCTTAAAAGTGCTTTAGTTGTGTCGCAGAGAGTCTGGTATGTTTTGCCTTTGCTTTCATTAGTTTCAAAGATTTCTTAATTTCTGCCTTAATTTTATTGTTTACTCAAAAGCCATTCAGCAAGATTTTTAATTTCAATGTAAATTGTATGGCTTTGAGATATCTTCTTGCTATTGATTTCTATTTTTATTGTGTTTTTCTGAGAATGTGGCTGTATTCACTTCCAGTTTCTGAGTTACCTTGTAATTTTGTTCTCTGCACAATGGGTGACTACAACTGTTATATTTAATTTGCAATATTTGGGGATTTTCCAGGTACTTGAAAAAATAGATTTCTGATACTGTCCCATTGTGATCACATACATTGTATGATTTAAATAATTTTTAATTTCTTGAGACATGTTTTATAGTTCATTATATACTCATCTTAATGAGTGTTCCATGTGTGGTGTGAAAGATTATGTGTTCTGCAGTTGTCGTGAGGGTTAAGTATTACATAGGACAATTAGGATTAATGCTTGATAGAACATACATTCTTATGAAGCTTTATCAATTTTGGGAAGAATGGTGCTGAAACCTGTAAAAGGTGCTGTGAATGAAACCTGTGTGTGTGTGTAAATGAAGTATATATATATACATATATACACACACATACACATTCATATTTATACTGAGAGAGCTAGAATCAGTGAGGTAATAAAACATTGAATAAGAATTAACGTATGGTAAGAGAATGATTTGAATTTTTTTGTTTCTGAGTTTATAAAATCTACTGAGAAAACTTCCATATTATTCATTATTTATTTATTTATTGGATGGGAAAAAACCCTATCTTAATGAAAAGTAATTATCCTTATTACTTTTGATGTTGCCCAGTGAACATGTCTTTTCTTTTTCAATTTTTTATTTCTATCAGTTATTGGGGAACAGGTGGTATTTGATTATGTAAGTAAGTTCTTTAGTGGTGATTTGTGAGATTTTTGTGCATCTATCATGTGAGGAGTACACGCTGCACCCTATTTGTACTCTTTTATCCCTCGCCCCCTTCTCTCCCTTTCCCTCAAGCCCCTAAACTCCATTGTGTAATTCTTATGCCTTTTCATTCTCATAGCTTAGCTCCCACTTAGGAGTGAAAGCATACGATGTTTGATTTTCCATTCCTGAGTTACTTCACTTAGAATAATAGTCTCCAATCTCATCCA
The DNA here is from genome assembly GCF_000001405.40 of Homo sapiens. Lineage (NCBI taxonomy): Eukaryota > Metazoa > Chordata > Mammalia > Primates > Hominidae > Homo > Homo sapiens. The sequence goes on along the minus strand of NC_000012.12, from coordinate 84,187,599 downwards.
CAGATAGGTGATAGATAGATAGATAGATCAATAGATAGATAGGTAGATAGATCACAGTTTCTTTATCTACTCATTGATTGATGGGCATTTGAGTTGGTTCCACATTTTTGCAATTGCAAATTGTGTTGCTATATACATGCATGTGCAAGTATATTTTTCATTATCTCAAACTATGTGTTCTTGAAAATTGTTTTTCATGAAAAACTGAAAATGTTAACATAAAATCTCAGCCTGAACCAATGATTAAATATAATGTTTGAAAACTAGTAATTTTTTTTTAGTGTGTGGTCAATTTGATTTTATTATTTTGTTAATTTTCATAAAGTTTAGTTTTTTATAATTCTGACATTTTAATGTATGTTTACACTAATATTTTATTTTATATTGTAATTAATATCTTTTTATATGTGATTTATACCAACTTTGTCATTTTTAATTTGAATATTCTTGTTCTTATAATTTGTCTTTTATAAAATGCATATTTTATTTTAGCCAGACTCTGATTTCTACATTAATTTTGTTGAAATTAATTGTGGGTTTCTGTTTGTTTTATTGACCCACTTCAATTTTTATTTTTCTTAAGTTATACTATGAAACTTGTGGTCAGTTTGGTTATTCTGTTGGTTTTCTGGCATAATAATATTAAAACAGGGTTGGTCTCATTTTTGCATACTAGAAATCATTTAGCAAAACACTAAGTCAATGAATAAAGGTACACCATACTTAGAAAGTCATTATTTAACCATAATTCTTACTCCAGTAGTAAAAATACTAATACATAAAATTAATGCACTTTTATTTGTAGTAATACATACATATTTTATTTACATATGCATGTTTTTTCAACTAACAGATTAGGTAGAACATTATAGCCTACATTAATAGAATATAACTACTAACTTGGCAATGATTCCTACATCTTGTGGTTATGGATCTGGTCTCCATCATCTTTATCCTACTATACTCTCTCTGACAGTCTGTGATACAAGATAGATTTAACAGCCTGCTTTAAACCTTTGGAATGTGTTTTTCCAAGCACTAGTACCAGCATCTAAGTCTACCTCCGCAGCAAATTCTGGTCAGTATTTGATTAATTGTTTGGCTCACAGGTTGATTAGTCAGCCTCTGCTACAGGTATGTCTCATATTCTAATGCTATTTTATGGCTTCCTAATTATTAAAATAATTTTCTTTCTTTTATACAACTTATGTTTTATTCATACTGATTGACAAATAATTTACCTTATTTAATTTTGTATGACATTTTGTCAAGACCTCTCTGTACTTCATAAACCTTCAGCAGTATGAAAAATTTGTATTGTGAGACCATGGCTAGTATAAATAACTTTTATGTGTACATTTAAATCAAGTAAATTAGGAGAACCATTATTGCCAAGGAAATGGATTCTGAAATGCAATAGAAAAAATATTTCTCTACCTATCAAAAGTTAGATTTAGACTTGATTGTTTTGTGTAGATATGTGGTATACATACATATTATATATACTGTATTATATATCATATGTAAATATAAAACATATATAATATATACATACTTCACAAATTAGTTCATTACAAAACATTTGGAAAATATAAAGAAAATATTAATATTTTAGGTACCTGTATCTAATCCTGCTTTAATTCTTACTGGAAGTGCGGCATTGGGAGAATAATTAATCCCTTATAACATTAAAATGGAAATGATACTAGTACATCGCTCATGTAACTACTAAGAGGCATACATTAATATTTTAATACTTGTGCACCCAAATAATAATTATTAAAATTTCCTTTTAAAAATTCCTGTCATTAAAAATTACATTTTGATTATATTAGGACAATCTCAAGATAAATTGAGTTAGTTTCCTCTTTATATTTTTTCTATTTTTTTATAGTTTCTGTTTCTTATTCTTTTCCTTACATATGCTAAGGTCTTTCATAGAAGCTATTAATTTATTTGCTATATCAGTTGTTAGCAAAGATTATATATTTTAAAATCATATTGTTTAATAAAAAGCTTAAATATTTATAAGTATGTGGTAATTTATTCTTACATATATATTTATGTGTGCATACTCACATTTATTTCAATTTTTTCCTTAGATAGAATTTGCCATTGATTTGTCACATATTTTAAATATAACCATTATTTTTTACTGCATTAAATATAAAACATCAACATAGTGATATTATTAATTAAATGTAAATAATTAAATTTAAGCCAAGTTTAATAATTAATAACTTGGCGCTAAGACCAGAATAGACAAATATATCAATAAAGGAGAATAGAACCTGAAATGATTTATAGAAGAATAGCCTAAATTTAAAGTGGTATTTTATCAAATAAATAATAAAAATATTTTAAAATTACAAAGTTTCCATTATGTCATCTTCTTTTATTTTTAAATAAGTTAAACAATTTTGTGTTTGTTTCCTTAGTTTATTTAAATAGGTTTCTACATTTATTTGTGTGTTATGTATTTCTGTAAGTATTATTTTGCTTTTTACATTCTTGTGTTATAGATTAAGGGGAAAATGCTTACTACTATCTCACCAATGAAAAACCACATGACATCCTAGAAAATAACTTGAAACCCAGCTCCATATTTTATTCTTCATGGTTTTCTGTAATAACTATGCCCAACAGAAGTTTCTGTGATAACATGAGTGTTCTGTATCTTCCCTGTCCAGTACAGTAGTCACTAGCCACATGTGATGACTATTGAACACTTGCAATGTGACTAACATGACTGAAGGTCTAAATTTTAATTGTTTTTATTTGAATTAATTTTAATTTCAGTGGCCACCTGTGGATTGTTCTATTGTGAAAATATCTGGATTTTTGTAACATTACTTCCACATTGCTTTTTCTTACTCTTCTGACATTTTGTATACATCATCCCTAATTTGATATCTGGCAAATTCATAACCGTGACCTAAGCATTGTAATTATCAAGTATAATGATCAATAATTGCTATATATACCAGTTAAAAAGAAGGCAGGCACATATACTGTGATATGTAACTACTGGTAATATAGAACAATGTCCTCAGTGGACTGTTAAGAAATAAGAACTAATTGCTCAACAGTATAAATAGTAAAATTTTATTTCTGTAAATAATAAGCATTTATGTGCATCTGTGCTTGTGTTTCTGCTTTTCTATGTGATTTTCAATACATTTTAAAGGATGATTTTAAAAGGCACGTATTGTCACCGTTTGCTGATGGAAAGTTTGGAATAGAACATAGCATGATTTCTGCCTCTTGGTAGCTTTACTCTGTCTAATGCCCTCCTCTTAAGTGTGAGTGGAACCTGCGGCTTGTTTCCAACCAACAGAATATAATAAAAGTGATGAGATATATGTAATTATGTGCCTGTGTTACTCTTTATAATAGCATATAAAAGGTCATGTCTGATTTATCCATAGTAGCTAAGCATAGCAGCTAAGCATACTACACTGTGTATGCATACTACAGTGTAGTATGCATAGCAGCTAAGCATACTACACTGCAGTGCATGTAGGAGGTTCTCAATTTATTGAAAGAGTGGATAAATAACAAGCACTGTTTGACTAAATAAATGTTATTGAAAAATTTTTAGCTTTTAGCCTTGTGAAGAGGCTGTTTTCCTCACTGGCTTTAAATAATCAAAATAATCAAGCTGCCGTGTAGTGAACTTCCCCTTGGAGAGGACCACATGTCAAAAAACTAAAGGCACCATCTAGCCACAGTCAGCAAGTAACTGGGGCAGGCATGCTGGTATCCTGCAATAAACTACAAGTTACCACAAGCCATGTGAGCTTGGGAAGAGATCAAAAAATGGAAAAAGAGTAGATGAGTCTAAACATGCAAGGCATGTGAAGGTCATGTATTTAAGCTTAACAAGTCTTGAATTTGCCATATTGGCAATAGATAAAAATAGAAGGCTCTTAGCTGGGAATGTACGTTAAGAATATTACTGATGAAAGATGAAGAATGTCTAATGACTGTACCAAGCAAGAGGGAAAACTACTGTCTCCTGCAAAAATAACAATGAGATGGTTAAGAATCTGAATCTGGAAACTGAATATGGAGAAAGGAAAATAAAGAATGTTATGGAATTAAATTTGTGCTATTATATGCCAGAATAAACACTCAAAAGCTAAGTTCGAGCTGACACTAGAGTAACATCCTGACACAGCTCTTGTCCTGGTGTGCTAGAGTTCTCGATGAATCTACTGGTCTTGATTCACTGGCAGGAGCAGTGACTGTGTTAGTATGCGTATCTGAAACATGGCCTACCTAGATCCCAGAAGGTGTGGGTTGGGAGGCATCTTTCCTCATACTCATCAGGGAGTTGGTACCTGCTATGGTGTATTATAAGCCATTTCTCTGTTTTTCTAGGCCTACTAAAATGTTCTGCCTGGGGAAGGAAAAGTTCCCAAAGCAGCCTATCATCATGAAAGCCAAATTCTTCAGCAGAAGAGCTGAGAAGATTAAAAGCGTTTATGAGTATGGGGCTAGTCTTGGTTACTTAAAGTCACATGGGGGGAGGTTTATTAAATGTTAACAAATGCTTTTTAAAAATAGCTGATGTAGAAAATTCTGTCACTTACATTATCAAAAAATAATGAAGTACCAATCTTTTAAAGATGTATAGATCTTTAAAAGACAGAAATGACAAAACTTTATTCAAAAACATAAAAGATGATAAACATAAATGAAAATCTGAAAATCGAATTCTGTTCATATATAAGAGGCTTAATATCATGAACATTACAGTTTCTCTAAAATACAATCTACAGAGCCAATCTAATTCCAAAAATGTTGATATGGTTTTAAAATGAACTTGTCAAGAATAATTAGAATGGGCATAACCAAAACAATTTTAAAAGAACAAGGTGGATGAATAAATATATCCCTACCAGGATATATTATGTAGTTATACTAATTGTAGTAAAGTATGTTGACATTGGAATAGATAAATGGACCAACTGGTCATAATAGAGAGCTCAGACACAGATTCACACAATTGTGGAAAGTTTATACGTGACAGAAGATTTAAGAATTCAGCAGGAAAACACAAATGGTGATGAGACAACTAGTCTTCTTGTGAAAATAATAATAAGCAGATCTCAATGTTGCTGAAAGTAAACTCCAGGGGTATTAGATAATTAAATGTGAAAATAAAGATGTTAACTACTTAAAAAGGATATATACGGAAATATATCAATACCCTTGTAGCAACAAAAAACTCCTAGAGATATTGAAAAAAAATAGGCTAATGAATTTAAATATACCAAAATGAATATATTCTGTATATTATAAGGCAGCAGTCAAAAAAAACATATTTTATCATATATAACCAAAATAGAATTAGTGTCCATGAAATGTGCTAATAAATAGAAAACATTTTTAAGTCTATTAAACCTAATAAGCACCACATAAATGTTAGTTATAAGTATCATTCTTTTATGAATATATAAAGAGCTTCTTAAAGTCATAATACAATAATCTAAGAAGCATCATATTTATATAAAAGTGAGCAAAGAATATGAATAGCAATTTGCAAAAAGAAAAATAAAATGGCTAATAAGTATGTTGCAATCTCATTAGTAATCAGGGAAATACAGATATCATTTCTATCCAGTAGACTGGGAAAAATTAAAACAATTTTATTGCATCTTATCAAGACAGGGTCACATTCTGTCCCCTAGGCTGGAGTTAAAGTGTGTGACCATAGCTCACTTTAGCTTAGAACTCCATGTGATCCTTCTGCCTCAGTCTCCCAATTAGCTGGGACTAAAGGTACACGCCACTGCCCCTGGCTTTTATTATTATTATTATTATTTTTTTTAGAGATGGGTTCTCACTCTGTTGCCCAGGCTGGTCTTGAACTCCTGGCCTCAAGCAATTCTTCTGCCCCAGCCTCTCAAAGTGCTAAGATTAAAGGCATGAAGCTGGCAAAACAATTCTTAATAATAGTTGTTAATAAGGTTGAGGGGCAATGGAAATCTCATTAATTACAGGAAATAAAAATAGATTCAACCACTCTCTAAAGCTATTTAACAAAAGCTTAGGAAAACTGAAAACTAACATATTCTATACCCTAGTGATTTTACTACTAGTAGATACTATATATAGCTTTAATACATCTGCACAGTGTGACATTTATAAGAATATTGCTGCATTTTTCAACATTTAAAAATTAGAATTAATCTAAATATTCTGTAAAATTCAAATGGACAAATGATGTTCTGTTTATACTCTGGCATATCACAATTAATAAACTAGAGATACAGATATCAACAGGAACAAATTTCAAAAACATAACGTGAAAAAATTCAGGAGGTATATACGATGTCATACCTTTTATACAAAATTTTAAAATATATAAGCCAGTGTTATATATTTGTAAATAATGAAAATAAGTAATAAATATAAATAATAAACATCAAATTCAGAAAAGCAGGTACTCAAGAGATGAAAGGATGGTCATGTGATCAGAAAAATATACATAGAGAGAAGTCTATATATATAAGTAAATATATAGAGAGAAGTCTTCAATTTTTAAAGCTATAATTTATTTAAAATAGAAAAATAAATCTGAATTAAACACAGCAGAGATTAAGATCTGACCATCCATACAAAAATAAATATATATGTTATATTTTTCGAATAGCTAATGTATGCTTAAAATATTTTATAGTAATTACAGAAGAAAAGGGTTGATAAATGTAGAAAGATAATACAAGCCTAACCTTGACAATTGTTAGATTTGTTGTTAGGGAGAACAGACAAGCAAGGTCAAAGAAGATTGGGAGAATAGGACAAGAATTCTGTCATAAACAGGAAAGGGGGATTCAAGAGAAAGAAATTTTCTGGAAAAATAATACATTCAGCTTGCCAGGAAAAAGTTTCAGGTACATCAAATATCTATAGTTAGTAATTCATACCATGAGTTGAATATAAAGACAGATAGGATATAAGATGCAGTTCTGGAAGTTATCAATGTAGAAACTATACAAATAGACGAGAGTAAGGGAGTAATTGAAAAGAAGCAAAACTTTGAAAATTATTATTTGTCTATGGCAATCCAAAATTGCCAACAAAATTAGACATAAACGCAAGAATAAATAAGAAAGGCATTATCAAGATAGAATTTAAAGAATGCGCAACAGTGTATGGATTTGTAGGAGTGGGGCAAGTTGGTTGAGAGAAAATCAAGGGAGAAAGAGGATTCAAGAATAACTAGAAGATCACATGCCTAAGGATACCACTTTCTCTAGTAATTTTTATTTGTGGGCCTCCTGATTATTCCTTCTTTTATACATTAAGGCAGCAAGTAAAGCTTTGAAATCCAACTACACAGTGACAGCTTTATAAAATCCAATGTGAAGGAAGGGTTACTCTGACACCTTCATACTTCAAATAAATTTGTTTCTAGTAGAAGTAAAGAATTTTGTTAGCTACATATGGCTTTACACAAAAAGTGCTGCAGATACGTAGTAAAGCTATTCTGTGGTTTTGGCATCTAATAGAATAGCATTTATTTCTACTTTACCTTCAGTTTTTACTTAAAATATTACATTTTCGTTTCTATCTACTCCAGTTAAATTTGTTCTGACATAACTCTCTAACTAAAGGTGGCCACATGAGTTCTTATGGTTTAACAGTAATGTGATAACATTTTTACTCTTTAAACATAATATTTACTAACATGAATAATCAGTTTTGACAGTAAAATAAATTTGTGTATGAAGAAAATACTCTTTTACTAAAAGTTAAATGTATTTAAAAGTAATAGAATATCTCTCTTAAAAAATTTCATATTGTTAGTCCATGACATAGACGCATATGAGAAGTGCAGACTTCAGTTCTGTCAATGTTTGAAAAGTTATTTTGAAAATGCCCCAGTTCCAAGACATAAGATATGCTTGACAATATGAAGTTAACATAGTACAAAATGCACACCTGAATATGTAAGGAAATAAGAAAACTTTCCAGAGGATGTAAACAGTAGAAAATTAGAAACCACTGTGATAAGCCCTTGCAGAAAATCTGGTAGGCCTGAGAACTTTTGATGATTTCAGAAACCTAGAGACTTGAGTTATAATATTGCTCAGGGATAGGAGATGGAGTTGGAAGCCTTAGATCTACTTCAAGTGGTAAATGGGCAGACAGATCCCTCATAGAACATCTAGAAGTTTAAAAATTGAATTTAAATGTGCAAAGTGTCAAGTATCAGATTGTACAGAGGACACAAAGACATACAAAGGAAATACAAAAGAGGGTTAAAAATAATATAATAAGGGTCCAACGTAGTTTCTGAAAATCTAGAAAATAGTGAGGGATGATGGACATGAAGCAGAATAAAACAAAACTTCCACCCCTAGATTCATCATAGTAAAACTGCAAAATAAGAACATCTTAAAAACAGCCAAAGAGGAAAGAAAAAAGAAAAGGTAATCAACAGAAGAATTGCAATAAATTTTCAAAAGAATGAGAAGAAAAATTGAATTATAAAACTAAAATAGAAGACAAAAGGTTAAAAAAGGAAACATAGCATAAATTAAGGTGGTAAAAATATTTCATATGAATTTCAATTGTCATATATCATAATCATACATAAAATATTCACAAAAATATAAGTTCACAGAAAGGTATACTGAAAAGGGGGAACTTTATACTTGAAAATTACTGAGTGAAATATAAAGAATAATTATCTTAAATTTATTTTATAAAATATATGTATCCAAAGAAAAAAGAGGTTACTACATATTGAGAAAGTGAATATATATATTTCAAAACATTTATCAAACTACTAATGTGCACTAATTAAAAATGATATTACAATAAGTGTGTGAAAAATACCATAATAGTGGGAGATTTTATCATCTTTAAATAATAGTTGATAAAACTAATAAAAATATGCAATTTGAAAACATACTTAACAAACTTGATCTAATGGACAGATATAAAACATGTCACAGAAGCTGAAGAATATGCATTATTTTCTGAATTACATTTGACCTTTAAAATTATGTATTAATTTCAAAAAGTACTTTCATCAATTTTCAAAGAATCAGTGTCATATAAACTGACTAAAAAAATTAATAAATGTAATTTAGATATTTAAAAACTGATATTATAAATAAAAATTGAATAAACACAAAAGAATTCTTAGAAAAGCTGTTATTGTGGAAAACAACTAAAGCAATAACCAGAAAAAAATGTCTAAACATTGCTTATTGACTCTTTAAAAATGAAAGAAAGTGTAGGAGCTATTCATCTATTTCAAGGTGTAAGACAAAGAAAAGGAAAATACCCTCAAAAAAATAGAAGAAAGGAAATTATAGAAATAAAAACAATAATAAATGTAGATCAAAGCCAGTGAATAAAACTCATCAAATAAACAATTGTTTTTGAGATTTGTTTACTCGCACAAAAAAATGTAAAACAGAGAACTTAAGTTTAGAAACGTAATTATAGACCAATCTCAGTAATGAAAACAGATGAAAAAAAAAAACCCACTAAAACACTAAATACAATCACAACAAAAACCCTAAATCTAAAAATATAAAATAGAGCAAATTCGGAAAAAAAAAACCCTAAAAAGTAGCAAAGCCATCACCATAGTGGTTTTCTCCAGATGTGATGAGAGAAAAAAAATGCTTTCACACTAAATGATATTAATGGACCCATTAACAGAGCAAAAGAAAGAGACCAAGTAGTTATTTCCATATGTTCAGAAAAAAAGTAATTAGATAATTTCAAAATTTGTTGAAGATAAAAACACTTTACAAATCAGCAGGTTAATCAGTTAAGTTGCTAAAGTGACTGCCGTAACCCTATATGTATAGTTTATAGAGACCAATATGAAACCATTTTTTCCTCTCATCACATCTGGGAAAAATCATGGTCATGGCTTTGTTGTCTTCTAGATTTTTTTTTTCTAAATTTGTTTTGTTATTTAGATTGAGGGTTTTCTTGTAATTTTATTTAGTATTTTTGTATCTGTTTTCATTACTGAGATTAGTCTGTAATTACATTTCTAAACTTGGGTTCCACATTTTACATATTCTTCTGTGAGTACACAAATCTCAAAAAAAAGTTTATTTGTTGAATTTTATTCACTGGCTTTGATCTACATTTATTATTGTATTGCTATAATTACTTCTACTTTTTTGGTCTTTTTTTTTTGTTCTTTTTTTCGTTCTTTTTTTGTTCTTAGTCTTACACCTTGAAATAGATGATTAGCTCATATATTTTCTTTCTTTCCTTTTTTAATACTCTATAAACAATGTTTGAAATATGATACATATGAGATAAAATTTTAAAACTTCCCTTTAAAATAAACAACAAAAAAATTAGAGAGAATGATCATTGCCACTGATTCTACCTAATGTTCTGCAAGTGTTTGCTAGTGAAAACTATATATATATATGTAAATAAAGGTTCAGGGAGAAAATCACTGTTTACTAAGATATCTCAATGTGTTCTTCATTGTCTTACACATTTTGTTGCTAATATAAATGATGTCTTTCTAAGTCATATTTTCTGTTTTATATGGGTATATAAAATGCAAGGAATTTCTGAAATTTTATCCCTTTTCATCAACTTTCTATATTGTTCAAGATTTCTCAGTATGCAGTGTTAGGTATAGAAAGTTTAAGTTATAAATTCTCCCCAAAATAATCTACTAGGATTTCTCCAGGTTTTTTAAATAGCCTTTGAGATAATCAATCTAGAGTGTATTTGAATGAATTATACAAGAAGAAGCTTCATATTCTTGAAGATAATTAAATTGAGAGACTACCCAGAAAATAATGGACACCCATTATCTATTTTAACATATATTTTTTTCAATTTAGCAGAAATATCTCTGAATATAAGTGAATATTTCCTGGGCTTTCTTATAATTATAGGCGATTAAGTTCTGTTAAGTGGGACTTAAGTGTTAATGGAAGTGTTAATGGTATATGTTACATCTAGTATCCACACTTAATGGCAGAGAGAATGCTTCTCTCCTCCTAGTTTCTCTTCTGTGTCTAGAATTTGAATTCATTTACTGGGACCGAAGCATGAAGAAGAAACCAGGTATTGAGTTTGCTACAAAAACAAAGTAGTAATACCCTAGGTCCTAATGCTTGTGGAGCTGATTTACTAATTCTGAATCTATCCATTACCTATTTATGTGTGAGAAAAATTTATGTTGTGTTTAATCCACATAAATTTTGAAATTTTATTTTTCACTTACTCACAACTGAATTATATCCTGTGTAATACAGGTGTCGTACCTTATAAGAAATGAAGGGCTATCACAAGATCATCATAATGAAGACAGCATATTGCTAAATTAGAAATTAGTAAATTTGCTAATGTATTACCAAAATCACATAGATCCTTAAAGTAGACCTACAATAAAAATGAGAAATACGTATATTTTAACAGTCACATTATGTATCAATGGGGAACACATGTCTAATCAATAAATGTGCTAGGAAAATAGTATTCCCAGTATTACTATATACTATTTCAAACAATGTTAACTATATTTTGAAGACTGGGCCTTATATCAGATGAGGGGAAGCAAATTATTTGTTGAACACCTTGAAGATATGAGGAATACTTGTTTTTTAAGTTAGAAGGCTGAAAGTTTAAAGACAGTGATATTTTACTTCTGTCTCATTGTTCATTGTCCTATATTACATCATTTAGATAAGTTATTTATTTAATTTGAGTATTATTTCTTAAAGGGTGAATTTGTCTATCTATACCCCAATGGCAAGCTATGTTATGCAAAACATTCATCCTCATAAATAATAAAGTAGTGTTTTTATGCAATTGTTTCAGATCAGCAATTATTTTAACCTAATATACCTTTATATTTTATATATATCAGCCTTGTCTCACTTGACTTGATTACTGAGACTTCTCCTTGAGAGATTGATGATTTCTTCATTTCTGTTTCTGGAAACCTAAGGGCTAGGCTCCAGATTTTAAGGGATACACCAATGTAGTTAAAGATATCCTGTAAACACCCTTATTTGAGATAGCCCCCACACACTTTTCTGAGGCAGTCATACATTTCTTCTTTTTTTTCTTTTTTATTACTTGAAAAAAATGTCCTGCATATCTGGAGCAAGTCTTACATTTCTGGATAAACATTATAGTTTACTAAGGGCCATATTAATCCCAAAATTCGATTTTCTTTTCAATGAATAGTAAGGATAAGATGATGGATTGACACTGTATTTATCTATAATCATTACAGGAGCTTATGGGTAAAGAATATAGGTCAAGTGCCAAAATTCTCAATGAATATAGGAAGTTTTCTGAGAGGTGTGCTGACACATACAATTAAACACAGGAAATATAATTTATCTATCAGTATGATGAGTAAATGCAATAAAAATGGACAATGACCATAAACTATTTTCATGTATAACCAGAATGTTAATAACCTTTCATAACAATGTTACACATTTTTTTTAAATGAAAATACATGATGGAATAGAAAATACTTGGTAAATTCAAAGGTTGAAATTATGGGTAAGCCTATTCCTTAACTGTTTTTAATTGTATTTAAGGCACGTGTATTATAAAATATGAAAGTAAGATCTGTAAATCTGAGAACCAAAGTATTTTTTAGGAAATTTTGGTTAGGATAGAATATCTTATGGCTGACTACTAGGTGTCCCCAGTACATGCTCTCCCTTCTTCCAAACACGTGGAATATTATCTGCTCTTCAAAATATTACATTTTCAGCCTTCTGTAGCTCCACAAACCCATGAGATTAAGTTTTTTTCACTCCTATAGTTGTTGAGTTTAAGTGATGATTACCACTTCCAGGACTCAACTTGAAAAGATTTGCAATGCATTCCTGTGGCCCTCTCTCTCTTCCTTCTGTCTGGATGATGGCACAACCTAGATCAACACCTTTTGAATCCAAGATGAAAGCCAAGTTTTGAAGCCATCAGTACTACCGTATCGAACCTGGGTCCTATCCATTAGGATTAGTGGAAGTAAATTTTTATTTTTTATGCACTGATTTAATGGTCCCTTTCTCTTTTCTGGTTAACAGAAGCTTATCTTATACTCTAATTAATAAATATGTCAAAACTTATTGATGGCAGTGGTGGCCCATCTGGAGCAGCTGCTGTAGGGATGCCAGATGCAGCAGGGGAGGCGTGGCTGGGGCTGCAACTTCCATGGACCTACCAGGGGCCAGGAACAACCTGGAGCAACGTTCTCTACCAAGTTAGCAGGGCTGGAGCCCCGCATTCCCAGGCACAGCTGCAGCCACCCAGCCATGTCTCCAGACCTGGACATCCCTACACTCTCGGCCAGGCCCAGGAAGCCCCTCTCCCTCACAGGCTTGAAAGTGCCTGCTCCTGCTGTCTGGCTTTTCCCCGCTCCCTGCACTCAAATGGGGGTGGAACAAAGTTGTGGCCAAGCTGGGAAAGCTGTTGTGACCTGGCCAGGTGTGTGCTCATCCTGGGCAATGCTGACACACCAGCCCCCTTCTGCCTCCACCCCCTCCAGACTTTGGGCACTGAGGAGCATGGGAGGGAGGTTGAGGGAGCATGAGGGTGGCTTGGAATGGGCCTACAGGCGACCCTCAGCATTAACAACCTAGGAGTTGTGGATGGCATGTTGATAGCAGTAGGAGGCAGACAGATTCCTGGGTAGAAAGGGGCAGGTCCCAGTGAAACGCCACCTTCAAGCCAGGGATGGCCTGAAGCCTGGGGCCCGGGCTGCCAGTTCTGGGTGGAGTCCACAGCCCAGACTGAGAAATTATGGTGCTTTTTCTGGGCCCACTCGTGGCTATCCATGGACCAAACAGCACATATTTCCTCTCTTCTAAGGCCATAAAAACCCCAGACTCAGCCAGACTCAAACAGATGTTGGAATGACCTGCCTGCAGAAAGGAGCTACCCATTTCAGGTATCCTGAGAGTTTTACTGTCACTCAAAGAAGCTCCTCTCCACCTTGCTCACCCTCCAGTTGTCCACATAACTTATTCTTTCTGGACACATGACAAAAACTTGGGATCTGCCAACTTGTGGGATTGGAAGAGTTATAACATAATCAGAGCTGAAACAGCACCTCCCCACCCCCGCCCAGTTGCCACATTGCAGGCAAGGAGGAGAGACATTCTGCAGAGCTTGGAAGAGCCCAGACCTAGGGCTTCCCCGAGCCAGGGCTGTGACACCCTCTTTGAGGCTCTGTGGTTTCTGGCATCTCCAAGCTTCCAGGTGTCACTGTATTCCCCTCATCCAGTTGCAGTGCCTGAAGCAGAAGCTGTGTGTGATACATCTGGTCCAGCCACAGCTTGCATGGAGCTGGCACCTATGCCAGCAGCTGGAGCTACCTGCCCTGCCACAGCAGCCGGTGTGCCTGGCTGTGCAGTGGCTAGACCCTGCACTCACTTGTTCACATGTGCCTTGCTGCTCTGGCCCTGGCTTGCCCTTGGCAGGTGTGAGATTCAGGCCAGTAGCTTCAGCTGAGTGCAGCATGCCCAGACAAGGGGGCAGAATGAGCCCAGCAGTCACAAACAATACTCAGGCAAAGGTGCCACTGGCCACAGAGGTATCTGGCTGATGAAGCAACACCCCAAGGATCATGTGACATTATCACTTATTAACTATTTACTGACAGCTTAAGCTAACGTGACAATACTTTAATCCTTAATTATTATTTGGCTTCAGAATACACTCACCGTTAGATTCAGAATATTCTCCCCACATATCTTTTATTTGCTTATTTGAAACTTAAAACTGAAGCATTGCATTGTAATATTTCTACCTGAAAATATTCTGTTCGACTAGCTGGAAATGGGCTATAAAATCTCGTGAGGATTTCTTTAGGCTGACAATATAAACAGAACAGAAGTTTCTAGTCAGCACAAGAATAAAGTTCTCACTATTAACCGCATTACTATTTGTTTATATTGGATTGCCGCTAAAATAACCCTATTTCTAAAACTATTTTCCACTTCTGTTAACCTTTCCTGTACTTTTCTTGGAAAATGAGCAATGTGTTATGCATGAAAAAGCCACTGCATTAAGGATAGAAGTAAAGTTTCAGATTCCACAATTATTGTAGATAGAGTTCCAATGACTACACCTAAAATCACTCATATATTACAGTGTAATTCAACAACTGAATTGTAGAGGCTTTTGCAAGGAATAAAAATGTTGAAAAATATATATTCTCACCTAAAACAATTTACAATTTCTGAGAAAGGCTAAAGTCCTGTTAAATATTGGTTAATGGTGCATTATACACGTGGAAATACATATACACTCCCAGTTCCAAATAGATGCAAATTGTGATAATTTTCACATGCCAGAGAAATACCAAGCAAGTGTAATAGAGGAAACAGTCATTTCCTATATGCTGTACTTCTCATTTACACTTCTAAATATTTGTCTAATGATTTTTTTAACACTGGATGGGGAGCTCCATGAAGGCAAGGAACTTATCTGATCACAAAATTCTCATTGTCTAGCATACAGCAGCTGATTAATAAATATCTGTTCTCTGATGATATATTCTCCATAGCAACTGCTTTGCTTTTATTCACAATCACTGTAAATACTGAAATTGAATATATTGATTGCTTTTTTTTTTGTATTGGCTACTAGGACACTTGAAATTGGCTATATGAACCACTCCAGCAAAGAATAAAAAATTGTGGATATTTTTTGGTATACTCTCTCCCTTGTCTCTTAATGTCTTCCCTATTGCTTTACTTCTTCACCACTCTGCCACTTAAATTTACTTATTTAATACATAGAGTCTCTATACTCTTTCTGGAATGAAGTGCAGGTATATATAAAAATTTAAACAAAATAAACACACAAAATCAAACTGGTTTTAGAAATACCTTGGCAGAATACAAACAAAAAATAGTTTATCTTCAATCACTGGCTTCAACTGAACTATATTCAGTCTCTCAATGAGAATCTTGGAAGACCTCATTGCTCCCCAGTCATAATTATTATAAAAGCCCAACACAGCACAATGCAATTTAAGATTTTGATTTTTAATTTAACTTCCACATTCTCCCCTTTCTATCTTGGATATTGGCCTGGCCTTTGCCTGAGGTTCTTGAAGTCAGGGGTTGGGGGTTGTGGAGTTTCTTTCTCTCTTCTTCCTTTTCTTGAGACCCATGGGATGGTAAGAATCTTGTCAAAACTTTTCCATGTAGAAAGTTTTGTAAGTTTTGAGTAAAATTTTACCCAAGCACTTTGAACCAATAATTTTTAAAAATGACTGAAAAACAGAGTTAGTTCTGCTGTATTCTACACATGGTGAACATCTTAAAGCAATGTATGAGTGGCAGATTACAAAAAATGGGTCATGATTCTTCTCACCCATCTTATGCAAATCCCTTTCAAATGAAATTCTGCAGTCCTTTCCATTTAAAGGTAAAACCTTTCTCCATATATTGAATCTGAGAGACATTGAAACTCGCTTATTCCAGTAGGATTTCTCTTGGGAACCTGGCTGAGACAGCATTTGAACAAGCTCAGGCTACCCTGATAGATGATGAGAGACATATGGCTGGTTGTTCTTACTACTCTAGCTGACACAATGCCAACCATCACATATATAAATAGGGGCATTGTAAGCCCACCTCTCTCAGCCATCCTGCAACTAGCTGGCATCTGACCACAGATGCATTAGAGAATCGAGCCAGGAACAAAAGAAATTATTTGCTGAAGCACAAATTGCCAAACCACAAAATTGTAAGTTAAATTGATAGTGCTTGTTTTAAGCCACCATGTTTGAGTTGGTTTGTAAGGGAGCAATAGATAACTGATACACCGCATATAGATTTTCCTTTCCTATCCTTATTAATCTGCCACAAATGTCTGGAGCAAGTTTCCCAGGTCAATACTATTTTTTTTTAAATCTGGTCTAAATAAATGTACCATGTGATTCTTGACTGGATCCTGGTTTGAAATAATCAGCTGCAAATGATATTATTGGACTTCCCCCAAAAATGTGATTTTGAGAAGTATTTATGATAGTCTTTAAGTTTCTGAGAGATGCATACTGAGCCATTAAGATATTTATATTTACTTACTTTCAAATAATTCTTTAAAACTTTAGATAAAGCAAATAAAATACATTTATATTTCTTAAATCTAGATGTTGTATAGCATTATATCATTTTATATAATTTATATGTGTTTGAATTTTGTCTTAATAGAATACTTAAACAAATAGGTTGTCCTTACTTTCTGGTGAATGACATTTACTGATAATAAATTCTGAGCTATATCCTAGCTTCTGAATTTCCAATGTGGAACATTCTCACAAATCTGCTCCGTCTCACTCATGTCCAAATGACTTAACATGAAATGCTGAGACCTGCAGATTGAATAAAATGACATATTCAACCATTTTTGGTCTCAGCTAGTAAAATCTTTCTATATTATATAGTATATCAATTTTTTATATTCAAATGGCAGATAGAAGTATATTAAATATACCAAATTCTTTGTTTCTGTAAGCCTAATTTATCACATGACTCCCTTTTCCCATTCCAAATAAATTACCTTTATAGTATTAGCTAATACCAGGAAGAATCTAATTGGTATTAGATAATACCCATTGCAGCAATAATCCTTAGTCTCAATACTATCAAATCATCAAATAACTACAAAAATCTTAGTATGCATTGAATTTGGATTAGGGAATGTAATGTGATGGGGATAATATTTGCATCATGTACTTATTTTAAACATGAAATGTGATATGTATTCAATATTTAGCCCAGTGATGGAAATATAAACACTAAACAATGCAATTATTATTATGTTTATGCCTAATTCAACACCATGTGGTCCCTTGATTCATTGAAACAAATATTAATTAGTAGCTACTATGTACAGGCAGTACCTGAGAATTTTTTGGAAAAAACTGGAGTAATAGAAACCTTATGTTCTCAAGAAGCTTTTCATGAAAACTTACATACCAAACAGGGTAAATTAATTTTAGAGTAATGCGCCAGTAGAATGCTATGAGGTTACATTTGAGAATATACATCTCAAACCCTGGAATATAAACTGATTTTCTTCCTTACCTACCTTATCCACCTCTTTGTTGAAGTGCCTCTGTGAGGCATAGGATTTGTTGGGTCATTATTAAGCTGAGAGCAATAATCTTAGTAAAGTTGCTTGGAAAAGGTAAAACAGAACTGAATGTAACTGTGCAGATGAATTCCTCATCCTAGACTGGGAATTACAGGCAAGAAAGTTACAGATTTAACTACAACATTTAAATCTAGATATGATTAAAATTACTTGTAATAATGAAAACATCTTGTCCATCTTAGAATCTGATAATAGAGTAAATCCAAGAATTTACCGAATGTTATGAATTAGCACAATTATTGAGCCCAAATGAATAGATTGTTAATTTTGTATGAATTCATAGAAAGATATAATCTAAGTTCATAAGTTAATTTAAAAAATGCCTGTTAAGTTGTGTTTGCATATGCATAAATATGGTAATCCTACATAATCAAATTATAATACAGATAACATAAAATAACAAAATAACTTTAGATTATATAAAATATTTATTGGCCCTATGAATTGCCTTTATTTTGATCTTCATTAATATGTGGATAACTTCCTGTTGCTCAAAGGCAAGGGAAAATATTCAATGAGAATTAGAAATTTTAAAGGGATTGAGAGACAGGAAGAGAGATTGTACTTAGTAAAGTCAGGTGATAGAGAATAAATCGTTGAAAATCACTGTGATTGATGAATGGTAAAGATGTTGCTAGAACACTAATTCATGGCTAGAAAATCATGTGCTTTGTTAATACACATGAAACTTGAAAATGAAATAAAACTGTAGTGCCACATTTATAGTAACTACTTCATGACTTTATGGTCTTAGAAAACAGCAGTATGCACAATATCTGTTAGTATTTCACATCAAATATTAATTGTCACACTACTTCCTAAAAAACTGTTATTACTTGTCTGCATAAAAATCTACTTTATATCCATTCAGTTTTTCCTCTGTGACAAAAGAAAATTTAAAAAGAAAGCTTTTTGGACAATATGTTATTAAAAGTTTCCATATATTTAAAAAAGTCTTCTCTTGCAATGATTTTAAAACTTGGGGGTAAGTTGAGGTAGAGAAAAGAAGAGAGATATTTGATTGTACACGTTCAAGGATACCAGATGTCTATTTGTTGAAAATTTGTCCACATCAAATCTTCTACTCACTGTGGCATAAAAAAAATGTGAATAGGCAATTAAATACCATTCATCATTTTCCCCACAAATGGAAAATATTTCCAGGCTCAGGATATAGTGCCATTTCATGAGTCTGAATACAAGGGAATATTTTGTCTAATAACTACCAGATTTGTCATCAAATACACTCTTCTGACTACACCATTCAGATTGCTATTCATGTTGGGGTAATGATAAAGTGGAAACTTTCTAGCACACTCTTTTTTTTTCCATCCAACTTTTTACCCCTCACTATGTGTTCTGAATTCTAAAGACAGAGAAAACATTATGATTTTCCAAAATAATAGCACAGAGAAATAATTTACAACCTTTTTTCTAAGATAAAATGGTTGCCCCATTCTCTAAATAGATTTTATTTAAAAGAAAAATATCCCTTTGCAACCCATGGAGTTGTGCAACATTAAAATTGGTTTTGGATAGTAGTGTCTATCCATATGTTAGCAAGTAAGGCACTTATGCACAGTGAGTAGATTTTGATAAGAACAACAACAACAACAAAGAAATAATGAGTTTTGTCTCCCGGATGACAATTCATCAGCTGAACGGTTGAGAACAGCAGTTCAGCTGACAATTCATCAGCTGAACTAGTACACACTTACATAACTGTGAGTTATGTGAGTAGCTGTGAGTGTGTACTAGTTATCACAGTTGAACACAACTACAATTTGATATATTTTTAAGTACTGAAATGGTCTTTGTCCCATACAATATAAAACAAAAGAATTTCCATGTGTCTAGTATTCAACTAAATTTGATGTCTAGCATTTGCTATTTATTTATTTACATATTTTTCCTAATTTGATCTGAAATATCTTTACTTTTTTGGAGCCCTCTTTTTCATAGATTATGAATCACCCAATTTTCTCAATCTGTGAAATAAAAAATGCACCATTTGCAACTCAAATTTCCCTTTATATTATGGCTTAATTGATAAATCATAAAATTAGTATAGTATTAGAGGTATAAAATATAACCGTTTCCCTCAAGCTGGGAGAGCCTAGAATAACCATTAAATGCAATCATATATATATATATATTTTTTTTTTTTCTGGTCAATCTCCCTTGATGACTTTTGATTTCATCCAGCACTATCAATATTTCTTTTATAAACTTACCTAAAAGGATTTATCAGGAAATAGGTAACCCCATTTGTCTCTTCTATTCTGGGTTGATGAGGGTGAAACCAGCTTTGTCTAATATATGTAAGTGCAAAATAGCTTGACTGACCCAGAGAATTCTTCTGTTATATTTCTGCCAACTCCATTCATCAAAATGTTTCCATTTGACACTTCCACCTGCTGAGATTGATTGCTCTATTCCCACTGCTGTTTGGAGAAGTCCTGCATCAAAGCCAAAACTGGAAAAGTCTGCCTGACAACCTAATTTCTTTCTTTCTTTTCTTTTCTCTCTCTCTCTCTTTTTTTTTTTTGGTGACCCTTATGACCTACTTTGTTTCACTGCCACAGACACTACGTGCAGTAATCTTTTTCTTACTTCTCACAGATTTTCATTATCCTAATGTCTACCAGGAACAAGAGAGAAAATGTAGCCTTTCCAGGGGAAGGGCATAAACTTTTTGGAGTAGATTGCATTTCTCACCTATTTATCAATCTACCATCCATCCATCCACTCATCCATTTATCCATGTATGAATCCATCCAGATAATCTTTGTCCATCAATAAATTCACTCTAAATACCTTTGCAAATTTTTTAACTCCCTAAGCATACAAGAGATTGTTTTAATTTCTGGGGGAAAAAGACGAGAGAGAAATTACTAATCAACTACCACCACAAACTACTAACTGCATCAATCATCCATATATAAAAATACTGCTGCTACCCAAACATAAATTCCTTGCTTATTATTCCATTATAAAAATGGATTAGCCCTGCCTCCTCATGACCAAATAAAACCCATTATATTATGTGACTCAGAACAGTGTGCAAGAAAAAGTAAATTTTACATGAGATTAACCAATGGATATTATTTTATTAGTAGCATTCTATAAAAAGCTAGAAAAAGGATTAGTGTCCTAAACGAGTATTCTAAATTTCAAGTCACAATGACAAGTGCAAATACTACTTGTTTGTTTCTGAAAAACTATTTACTTATCTGTTATTCTTCTGTTTACATAGTGAGGAATTAGGCATCCCTTGGCATAGATGAAAATTCTGCTCCCTGTCACTCAGTAAAGACCCAGCTAAATCAAGCTTAGACATTTTTAGAAAATAAAACCAACACATAAAATAATGGTAAAAGTTAAATAAAGAATCTCCTTACTATTTACAAGATGCAAATTAGCACTTGTAGAAATTTATCTGGTTAACTATACAAAATTGTTTGTTTAAAATGCTCCTATAAAACCCTTTGCTATTTAAATATTTTTGCCTAGATATTCTTTTATGTCATATTTCTATGACACGTATTTTTGCCAAAGCTTTTTAGTAACTTTTTAAAAAAACCTGTTTCTAATCTCTCTCATTAAACAGTCCATAGTTAGGTTATTCAATGTTTTCATTGTCTTAAAGTTTGTCTTATTTAAGTAATTTTTTTCTTTAGATTGCCAAAGTGCCTTAAGGATGATTAGCCTTTAATCTCTATTGATGGCAGTTCAAAAAATAAATGAATATATTAGATTCTAATCATTGCCTGTGAAATATAATGTTTTCTCTCATAAAGCTCTACAAATTGATATTACTTTTTCATTATTTGATGATTCACATTGGTTTTCAGTGTAAACATTTTAGTTTACATATTTAAAAACCTGCAAACATTTTCAATATTCCTTCCTAATTAATTCAATCTATTCTATGGGCCCTATTTACTAGATAATCATAATATAGCCAATTCAATGTTATTCAGAGCTACATCTTTTTGGAAGCTTAATCTTCATTGCTAACTGCTCAATCAATATTTTCCTGCCATTTCGTCCTTTTTATCTTCTTTCCAAATGATATTTGGATATAAGGGTGGTCTACATAATACCAGGATATATACAATACGTGCAGTTTTATTTCTGCTCACTGGCCTCCAATGACCCTATTAGACCTTTCCTCCTTCCACTCTTCCCCTCCTTCACTCTAGCCATAATGGACTCATTGCTAATGTTTGTACACTCTAGGCATATTTCTCCTATGGGACTTTTGGATTTGCTCTTTTCATACTTCCTATGCCAGGTATACATGTAAGTGGCAGAATGATATGGTTTGGCTCTGTATCCCCACCCAAATCTCATCTTGAATTGTAGCTCCCTTAATTCCCATGGGTTGTAGGAGGTAATTGAATCATGGGGGTGGGTCTTTCCTGTGCTGTTCTCTTGATAGTGAATAAGTCTCACAAGATCTGATGGTTTTATAAAGGGGAGTTTCCTTGCACGATCTCTCTTTTTGCCTGCTGCCATCCATTTAAGACGTGACTTGCTCCTCCTTGTCTCTGCCATTATTGTGAGGCCTCCCCAGCCATGTGGAACTGTGAGTCCATTAAATCTCTTTCCTGTATAAATTACCCAGTCTTTGGATGTCTTTATTAGCAGCATGAAAATGGAGTAATACAGTTTTTATATATATGTGTATATATATATCCTGCAAACCTTTATAGAATTTCTTCCTAAGTAATTTGGTCTCTGCTATAGGCCGTATTTACTAGATAGTCATAACCTAGCCAATTCAATGTTATTCAGAGCAACATCTTTTTGGAAATTTAATCTTTATTGTTAACTGCTCAATCAAAATTTTCCTGCCATTCCATCCTTTTTATCTTCTTTCCAAATGATATTTCAACATAGGGGTTGCCTACATAATACCAGAATAAATAGGATATGTGCGGTTTTATTTTTGCTCACTGGCTTCCAGTGATCCTATTGGATCCTCCTCCCACCACCCTTCCCCTCCTTGACTCTAGCCACATTGGCCTCATTGCTAAAGTTAGTACACCCCAGGCATACTTCTCCTATGGGGCCTTTGCACTTGCTGTTTTCATGCTTCCTATGCCAGATATAATGTAAGGTGCTCTCTCACTACCCTTAGGTTTGTTCTCAGTTGGCATTGTATTAGAGAGTCCTTCCCTGGACAGACTATAGGATACAGGAGCAAATGCTCCCTCCCTCAGCCATTTTTGCCAATAAGTACTTAATGATATCTGGCAATTTATCTATTTACTTCTTTGTTTATTGTAAGTCTCCCCCCAAAGATGTAATTTCCATGAAGGCCAAGAATTTCATTCTATATTTTGCTGTATCCATAGCATCTAGAATAGTGTGCAGCACATAGTATATGTTCAGTAAATGCCCATTGAACAAATTGATAAAAAGAAAGACATAAAAAATTAAAAGGATTTGAGACAATTTTGTTCCCACTTCATCTGCTGTTTATGTCCACAGTCATATTATGTTCTGTTTATATCCTGTTCCATAACACTTGCCCTCAGCTGTGCTTCTGGCCCTTTCAGTTGCTCTTGACCTATTTCTGATGTGCTTCCATGATGTCCTAGGGAGGCAACACTCTCCCCTGCAAATGTGCAGGTTCTTGCGGGGCCAGGACTTCCATAAGGGTCTGGCAAGAATCTTTGTAAAGTAAATCTTGGAAATGGATGTAAAGTAAATCTTGGAAATGGTTGTAAAATTTTCTCTGCTCTGAGGTCTTCCCTGACATATCTGCATCTTCTATCACAAATCTCATCTCACAGATACCAGCCCTGCCAATATCACCTTGACTCTTTTTGCCAGAGTTTCCAAAAAGTAGGTCAGAAAGAATTCATATCTCGTCTCTGAGTGGTAATAAAATGTAATTTGTTAGCAACAATTTTCTACTCTGTGCTTTTAATTATTTGTGTCTTTCTTTCTATTCGAAGCTCTGCACTTCAGACTCTGTTTCTAGTCTATTTCTATGGCTTGAGTTGCATGAGATACCTCCTGTGCCACTGTTATAAACATTCTATGTAGCTCCAAGTGATTTTTGTCACTTATAGCCTTGATAATACAGAAGTATACGTTATTAGGAGGTAGTGTCTGTTGATTACATCAAACTTAAAAATTATTTAAGCAAATTATTCTTTCTCACAGTTTAAAACATGGTAGTTTAAAAAGCAAACACCGGGGTCCATTAATTACTAATTATAATTTCTATGCATGTATAATTTTGGGTAAACTATTTGTGCTTTGATTTACTCATCTGTAAAATGAGTTTTTAATGTTATTAACTTTTCAGAGCTTCTTCAAAAATTAATTAAGATGTATATATAAAGCTCTTAGCCTGGTGCCTGGAGCATAATAAGCATGCAATAAATTTTGATTACTATTTGCTAAATATAGATATACACATATATATGTGTGTGTGTGTGTGTGTGTGTGTGTATATATATATATATATATATATATATATATATATGAAAAAGTTCAGATGAAAAATTCTCACGTCTCTTCCCATTGTACCACTCATCACTGGGGCAATCTTTAGGGGAACACTGAGTCACAGCCCAATTTTTTCTGGCTTTCTTGTCCCACAGTAAAAACAAGCACACAGTAGTATGCATCTAAAGTCAACTTTAATAAATAGGAATTATAAGAGGCATAGTTAAATAAAACTGCTGGAGGCATACATGTAATGAAAATGAAAAGTTAAAAGATAACGATGTATATAAAGGTCCATATGCTTCTTTAGTTCCCCATTTTGGAGTTACCGTCTTTCCACCAAACTTCGTGCTTCTCCAAATATTGGGGAATAAATTGATCATCCAGTTTAACTGTAGCTCCGGATGTCTCTCTCTCTTGTCTGACTGTCTCTAACTCTCTCTTTGTATATATATATACACACACACACACACACACATATGTATATGTGTGTGTGTACATTTTTATCATAAGGCTGCTTAAGTGGTTGGTAAAAACATAAAATATGATAACTAAAATGTGTATGTGTACATTTTTATCATAAGTCTACTTAAGTGGTTGGTAAAACATAAAATATGATAACTAAAATATGTGAGGTCTCTTAAGTACAGCAAGGTTGATTTCCTTTTTTATTTTCTTTATTATACATTTTTGAACATTTGGGAGATGTGTTGAGAAAGTTAATTACCCCATCCTCGTCCCACTGCACCAAGGAATCCTCTGTTAACAGCCTGTGCACATCTTTTCTTTCTTTTATTACAATTTTGAAAAGCAATTTTCTCTTTATGTTTCTTTTTTTTTGTACTTTAGGTTTTAGGGTACATGTGCACAACGTGCATGTTAGTTACATATGTATACATGTTAAATGACGAGTTGATGGGTGCAGCACACCAACAGAGCAAGGTTGATTTCTTATCTTACCATGGTTCAGGTTTTAGAGCAGCGCATCTACAATATTATTAAGTTATCTTGGGTTAGAAATATAAATATGTTAACTACTATAGAACGCCATGTATAAAAATCATTTTTGTTTATGTATTTTGGGCATAATTGCCACTGTAGATTATCAAGAGAAAGCCTTAGTCATAATATGTTTTTAATTGGCCCTTTGTAAATATTAGAATAGTAAGACTTCACTAAGAAACAAGTCTCAGAAAAAAAGCGCTTCAGAAATTCTTCTAATATTTCCATTTAGTGAAACATGATTGAAATCAGTTAATGGTGATGCCATCATTATGCTACAGACCTGTTTCAGAATTGCAACAGATGTGTGTATACCAGAAAGAAAGAGAGGGCATCTGTGCTGTGCAGAAATGTATATTTTCCTTTGAAATTCTGAGTGTGGTCTAATTCAAACTCTGTTATGTTTTTGTGTTGTGGCACGATGTCGACACTAGAGTACAATATTTGGAAAGCTATTGTTTCCACAGCTTGCACTGATTTATGTTTCATTCTGTTTGAAGGCCTTTGTGGTGGCCCAAACCAGAATGTCATATGTACCAATGTACTGGAGGATTGTTTTTCACTATTTTAAGCCACATGGTGTTAGATCATCTAAGTTTGTTTTTTTAACTGGACTTGAATTATGATTTACAAAAGAAGTTGCAGGAGGCTCAAATAAATGAAGGGAATTCCATGTAAAGCTGCAGGCATGAACGCATCTAACCTTCCGAAGACTGTCAAAGTAATAAAGAAGTGTGAAAAAGACCAGGAAACTTCGCTTAATAACACATTATTTGGGGCTGCCTTTAATGAGTTGCATGATTTCAAAAATTATTTTCATCCTAAAAATAAATTAACATTCCCACAATATCAGTTAATTTTCTTTTCCGTTGAAATGGAAAAGTCTTTTTTTCCATACTTACAATATAAATTATGAGCAATTCTTTTGGGAAGCAAAGACAACTCATTCACTAAAAAACTTAAAACGTCATTTTGAAGCTAAGAGGGAGGTAAGAAACCATCTAGATAGAGTTCTGAATTTCCAAAGGTCATATTTTACATAATTTACTAGTGGGAAATTCACACCCTCTTGATAATCTTATGGATTCAAGTAGTTAGATCAATTAGTCATTTTACTGTGGTGATTGACTTTGCTGAAGAATCGTTTCCATGAACCGGGAGTGTCAATTCATAGTTACCAATGCCTTTTACCTAAAGATGTTTATTTGACCAAGCCCTATAGTTCTACTCAGAGGATTTTGCATGCACAAAGCGAGCTTTCCATGCGATAAACCAGATAATTGCTTTTTAATTCAGCTAAATAATTAGTTGTCGGCCGGGCGCGGTGGCTCATGCCTGTAATCCCAGCACTTTGGGAGGCCGAGGCGGGTGGATCATGAGGTCAGGAGATCGAGACCATCCTGGCTAACAAGGTGAAACCCCGTCTCTACTAAAAATACAAAAAATTAGCTGGGCGCGGTGGCGGGCGCCTGTAGTCCCAGCTACTCGGGAGGCTGAGGCAGGAGAATGGCGTGAACCCGGGAAGCGGAGCTTGCAGTGAGCCGAGATTGCGCCACTGCAGTCCGCAGTCCCGCCTGGGCGACAGAGCGAGACTCCGTCTCAAAAAAAAAAAAAAAAAAAAAAAAAAAAAAAAAAAAAAAAAGAAAGAAGAAATAATTAGTTGTCAGTTTTAGGTTTTAAAATATTTCCCTTATATGTCTGATTTATTTTTTCAATACCAAAATCTATGATTGCTTCATGATCACACATCTATAAGTATGTACTAGGCATAAAGCATGATATTAATAAATATATGCTCTTTTAATAAAGCCAGATGAATTAAGATGAAATGTTGCATTGCACACAACTTGTTACGGTTTCATGATATATCTCAAAATAGTGTTACACTCAAAGTGCTACATTAAAACCAAACTGCCTTCCAATTTATTTTTATTGAATTGGAATCAATACTAATAATGAAAATAGTTGGACAAATTGTATGGGTTTAAGAGAGTCAGAGGAGAATTATATGTCAATAAAAATTATATGTCAATAAACATCAGCATGTGAAATTTATTCCATGCTCTAACTTCAATTTATCAAGATATTATAAATTCAGCTTTGTTGTTATCCAGCAACTGAGCATGTTAGCATTTTAATTCATTAAAATTTTTAAAAAATGAATTGTTAGCATATTCATGAGTATATTAATATGTATGAAATAATCATATAAAAATAATCACTACAAAATATTGAAAAGTATACTAAACAATGTTAAGATTTCTAAAATTAAATGTTTAAAATGATATGTCTTCATAATCATGATTCATCAGTATTAACATTTCAAAATGCTTTAAAAAATCTATAATATACATTGAACACCTCAAAACCTTAATTATTTAATATGTGCCATGCCTTTGTTCCTTCTTCCTAAACAAAGTCAGAGAGAAAAAATTGTGGTTTGTGTATTAAAATGGTGAATCACAAGTCTGGGGAATTTGAACTTGGAGATTTATTGAACTAAAACAGAGGAAAGCAGCAGCCATAATACATCAGTCTTAAAACAACAATTAAAACATAATGTTTATAAGTCCCCACAAGCCTTACAAATAAATCTGTGTTAAAGCATTCTTACCATAAAAGGCACTAAAGTCTTTTATGAAATGCAATGTTCAGTGAATGGGGGATCAGAAACAATAAAAGAAGTTTAAAATTGCTCTTACTTTATAATCCGTTGGCCTTAAATTTTTGTTAATGAGTTTCACCGGCCCTATAAGTTGAGTGGAGCTTGTGCCTATATTTTGGAACAACAAAACTTAATTTTTATGTTTTCTAATTTAGAGATATTAAGCCTCTAGTTTTTCTGGTAAATGAATCTCCCTGCGCTGCACTTTGACTAATGAATGAATTTATTTGTATGAAATGTTTCCCCAGTGCATTATACGGAATTTTTTTTGCAAATTATATATAAATAAGGGTTTGATGCATTTGAAAAAAACCAAAATGTTTTAATTATGAACTCTTAAATTTTTCTCCTCAATATTTTTGAGAGTTTTCAGATTTTCTACAATAAACATGTATTGCTTTAATAATTAAAAGTCAACCCAATTTTAAACTGAAACTAAAAAAAAATTCTAATAGAATATGTTCTGGCTGCAATAAATGCTTCTGTGTGACTCAAGAGGAGAAGTTTACTTCTTGCCCTGACAATGATTAAACTCTCAGCTTCTGAATCCCAATTGTTTTGACTGAAAAATGTGTGGATTGTCCTAGGTGATGATCCCTTCCATTTGTAATTTTTTTTGTAGATTATAATTCAACTGAATACTAATTATAGAACACGTTTCCTGGCTGATGATTCTAATGTGAAGGTACTTAAAAAATACTTTTATAAAAAAAATTTTCAGCCAAGTATAAATGGTAGTCCATTAGCCCAAACTCAAAATGTCCATGAATCTTATATTTTGTAGATGCTATGATAATGAGGAATTTGAAAAGTGGAAAACATTAATGTCTTGAAGAATAATCCTCATGTTATTTATCATTTTTTATGTATATGTTTTTTTCACCATCTAATAATTTTTTTCATTCTATTTGGTCACGTTAATACCACTGTATGTACAGACATGTAAGAATACTTACATGTAAAATCCAATTATATAAAGAAAATATATTTTATAAATTATGGATGAGACAGTAATACGTACCACAACTTTCTAAACATGCAGTATTAAGAACAGAACTAGCTAACCCATGATCCTAGGAACATGATAAGAGACATATAAAACAAAGATGTCCCAAATGAGCTGCCTCGGCTTAGCCTAGCTTATATCAGGGGGCATTCAGGTGCCCAAAAATGTATTTATATTTTTAAAAATTCTAATAAGAAATTATAAAAGAAACCTATACTGTGTTGTTAAATAATAAAAGCACAGTTAATATAACCTTCTTTAGGAAAACCCCAAAACGTTAACACCTGATTTTCCAAAGTGATATATTTAGAGATAATTATTCTATAAAAGAAATCATATAATTCATTTCTTCTCCTGTATTTTATAACACATATCAATTCATCTATCATTTGAATGCCTATGTGTGCTAACATCTGTACTAATCTCTTTAAGTGAGTCTAGAATGAAATAGATATAATTTTGTCTAAAGAGGAGATTCAATAGGACAAAATATAATCAAGTATACTTGTTTGTATATTGCAAAGTATGGCATAATCGGCTCCATAGTAAAAATATAAACAGAGCAAAGAGTGATATATATATATATATATATTTCTATAGAAATATATATTTATATTTATGTAGAAATATATATTTATATTTATATAGAAATATATATGTATTTCTTCATATACACTCTTTGTAAAATAATAGAGGTGTAAAAATAGCGTAAAATGAAGCTGTAATATCCTTTGGGACTTTCATGTTAAACGTGGTGAGTTAAACATGTAAAATTATTTCTATTTCTCCTGAAACTAAATGGCATTAAAATAAATCTTTAAAGGATAAACTTACAAGAAAAATAGAATAGAAGAACAGACAAAAGTGGCTGAAATACATTAGCAAAGGGAAGCCAACCAGGCACAGGAAATAACCAGATAGGAATCTACTTAAATGCTTTTTAGTTATTTTCACTTAAGTGTGAAGGGCCTGGAAATCATCATTAGACATTCAAAGGAAGCTACTCACACAAAACTGGGACATGGCAACCAAACCAAAAATCCAAAAATAAAAAGTAAAAATAAAAAAGAAAAATTCATGGAGCAGATAAAAACTTTGTGTGTGTCTCTCTGTGTGTGTGTGTGTGTGTGTGTGTGTGTGTGTGTGCATGTGTGCGTGTATCAGGCCAGAAGATTTAATATCCAAATTCTAAGATTTTTTAAAAAAGAGAAAAAGAAGGGGGAAATTATAAAATAATAATATTTTAAAAACTATTGCCAACTAAGAAACAAGATACTCTAGACTGGGGGCCAAGAGAGATTCTTACAAAATTACTGAAAATGCAAACACTCACATATTCCAAGTACAAACATATGATTGCCAAATTTCAGAACATCAAATGAGATGGGTGGGAAATAGATGCAAATATAATAAGTTTTCCTCATTGTAATAGAAAGTCAAATAGGTATTTTTTAGAATTAAAAAGTGCTGCAGTACAAGCCAATTATTAAGATAAATGGAGATAACTAAAAGAAAGTACAAAAATCACTAAAATTGGAACTCAGGATGAGGACATAGCAAGGTGTTGTAGAGATTGCTTAGTCTTACGTACCTTTTGCGCTACAGTCATGCATTGCTTGACAGTGGGAATATATTCTCAGAAATGCATCCTTAGGCAATTTCATCACTGTGTGACCCTTACAGAGTAAATTTACACTAACCTAGATGATATAACCTATTGTTCCACGGCTACAACCTGTACAGCATGTTACTCTACTGAATAGTGTAGGCAATTATAACATAATAATAAGTAAGTGTATCTAAATATATCTAAACATTGAAAAGATACAATGACAATATAGTATAAAAATTTTTTAAAAAACAGTATTCCTGTTACAGGGCGCTTAACATGAATGGAGATTGCAGGACTGAAAGTTGCTCTGAGTGAGTCAGTGAGTGAGAGATTAATGTGAAGGCTTAGGGCATTTCCATACGCTACTGTAGACTGTATAAACACTGTACACTTAGGCTATACTAAATTTGTTTTTTAAATGTTTCCTCCTTTAATAATAAGTAGATATTAGTTTACTGTAAATTTTACTTTACAAAATTTTAATTTTTGAATATTTTGACTCATGTAATAACATATAGCTCAAAACACAACATTGTTCAGTCATACAAAAGTAATTTATTCTTTATATACTTATTCTATAAGCAATTTTTGTTAAAAACAAAGACACAAATATGCCCATCAGCCTAAGCCTACAAAAGTTCAGGATTACCAATATCATTGTCTTCCACCTCCACATCTTGTTCTACTGGAAGATTTTCAGGGGCAATAACAAGCATGGAGTCGTCATCTCCTATCGTAACAATGCCTTCTTCTGGAATACCCCCTGGAGGATATACCTGAAGCTGTTATACATTAATGTTTTATACGTAGGAATATACTCTAATACAACAATAAAAAGTATGCTGCAGTAAATACACAAACCTATAACATATTTATTATCATATTTGAGTATTAAGTACTGTACATAATTGTTGTATACAATGCTTTTATAGGGCTGGCAGTGCTGTAGGGTTGTTTACACCAGCATAACCACAAACATGTGAGTAATGCTTTGCACTATAACCTTATTGAGAGGTGACAGCGTGCTGGCAGTCCTCACAGCCCTCGCTTGCTCTCGGTGCCTCCTCTGCCTGGGCTCCCACTTTGGTGGCACTTGAGGAACCGTTCGGCCCGCCGCTGCACTGTGGGAGCCCCTTTCTGGGCTGGCCAAGGCTGGAGCCCACTCCCTCAGCTTGCAGGGAGGTGTGGAGGGAGAGGCACGAGCGGGAACCGGGGCTGTGTGCGGGCTTGCGGGCCAGCTGGAGTTGCAGGTGGGCGTGGGCTTGGCAAGCCCTGCACTCGGAGCAGCCGGCCAGCCCTGCTGGCCTGGGGCAATGAGGGACTTAGCACCCGGGCCAGTGGCTGTGGAGGGTGTACTGGGTCCCCCAGCAGTGCCAGCCCACCTGTGCTGCACTCGATTTCTCACCGAGCCTTAGCTGCCTTTCCATGGGGCAGGGCTCGGGACCTGCAGCCCGCCATGCCTGAGCCTCCTACCCACTCCATGGGCTCCTGTGCGCCGGAGCCTCCCCACGAGCACCACCCCCTGCTCCACGGCGCCCAGTCCCATCGACCACCCAAGGGCTGAGGAATGCCAGCGCATGGCGCGGGACTGGCAGGCAGCTCCACCTGCAGCCCTGGTGCAGGATCCACTAGGTGAAGCCAGCTGGGCTCCTGAGTCTGGTGGGGAGGTGGAGAGTCTTTATATCTAGCTCAGGGATTGTAAATACACCAATCAGCACCCTGTGTTTAGCTCAAGGTTTGTGAGTGCACCAATCGACACTCTGTATCTAGCTGCTCTGGTGGGGCCTTGGAGAACCTATGTGTTGAAACTCTGTATCTAACTAATCTGATGGGGACGTGGAGAACCTTTATATCTAGCGCAGGGATTGTAAACGCACCAATCAGCGCCCTGACAAAACAGACCACTCGGCTCTACCAATCAGCAGGATGAGGGTGGGGCCAGATAAGAGAATAAAAGCAGGCTGCCTGAGTCAGCATTGGCAAACCGCTCGGGTCCCCTTCCAGACTGTGGAAGCTTTGTTCTTTCGGTCTGCAATAAATCTTGCTACTGCTCACTCTTAGGGTCCACGCTGCTTTTATGAGCTGTAACACTCACTGTGAAGGCCTGCAGCTTCACTCCTGAGCCAGCCAGACCACAAACCCACCAGAAGGAAGAAACTCCGAACACATCTGAATATCAGAAGGGACAGACTCCAGACGTGCCACCTTAAGAGCTTTAACACTCACCGCGAGGGTCTGTGGCTTCATTCTCGAAGTCAGTGAGACCAAGAACCCACCAATTCCAGACACATTATGACAGCTGTGATGTCATAATGTCACTAGGCAATAGAAATTTTTTAGTTCCCTTTTAATTTTAGGAAACGACTGTAGTATATGAGATCCATTGTGGTATATGTTGACTGAAACATCATTAGGTGGTACATGAATGTATTTGACATTAAGAGTAAGTAAATATATCCCTTCATTTAAAATAAAATAAAATATTTAAAACAAAATAATAAGTAGGTTGGAGTTTTTTCTCGAAAGAGCTTTAAACTCAGGGTTGCTAGTTCAGAATTGAAACTAAGGAAGGTTTTATTGTCTGTTAGGCATCAGCACCATTGGTGGAGCCATTTAATTTTTCCCCACTCTCTCCCTTTTTTATTCTGGTCATATGGACTTTATTATTATTATTATTATTTAACACAGGGTTTCACTCTGCCACCCAGCCTGGAGTGCAGTGGCACAATCTTGGCTCACTGCTACTTCTGCCTCCTGGGTTCAAGCAATTATCATGTCTCAGCCTCCTGAGTAGCTAGAACTACAGGCATGCGCCACCACACCCAGCTTATTTTTTTATAGAGATGGGGTTTCGCCATGTTGGCCATGCTGGTTTCGAACTCCTGACCTCAAGTGATTCACCCACTTCGGCCTCCCAAAGTGCTGGGTAGGCATGAGCCAGCCGGCCTTGGACTTCATTATTTTTGAAAAGAAAATTAAATTTTTATTTTAGATTTGGGGCTACATATGGAGGTTTGTTATATAAGTTTGTTGCATGAGGTTTGGGCTGTGATTGATCCCATCACCCAGGTAGTTTTCAGCCCTTCTCTCACTGTCTCCCTCCTCCTGTTAGTAGTCCCCAGTGTCTATTGTTTGCATCTTTATGTCCATGTGTATCCAATATTAGACTCCCACTTATACATCAGAACATGCAGTATTTGGTTTTCAGTTTCTGTCTTGCTTATGATAATGGCCTCCGGGTGCATCTATGCTGCTGCAAAGAACAGAGTTTTTTATGGCTGCATAGTATTCCATGTTGTAAATGTGCCACATTTTCTTTTTCATGGCTGCATATATATTCCATGTGTGTACATACCATATTTTCTTTATACAATCCACTGTTAATGGGGAGCTGGGTTAATTCCAAGTCATTGATATTGTGAACAGCACTGCAATGAACACAGAAGTGCATTTGTCCTTTTCATAAAACAATTTCTATTTTTTGAGTATATACTGAGTAATAAGATTGCTGGGTCAAATGGTAGTTCTGTTTCTGGTCCTTTGAGAAATCTCCAAACTACTCCCACAGTGGCTGAACTAATTTACATTCTCACCAATAATGTAAGCATTCCCTTATCTCCACAAGCTTGATAACATCTGTTGTTTTTAACTTTTTAATAATAGCCATTCTGACTGGTATGACATCTCAGGTATCTTATTGTAGTTTTTATTTTTGCATTTGTCTGATGATTAGTGATGTGGAGCATTTTTTCATTTCTTTGTTGGCCACAGGTATGTCTTTCTTAGAAAAGTGTCTGTTCATGTCCTTTACCTACATTTGAATGGAGTTATTTGTTTTTTGCTTGTTGATGCATAGTTTGCGAATATTTTCTCCCATCCTTTAGGTTGTCTGTTTACTCTGTTGAGTTCCTTCTGCTGTGCAGAAACTCTTCATTTTAATTGGGTCCCACTTGTCAATTTTTGTTTTTGTTGCAATTCCTTTTGAGGTCTTAGTCATAAATTATTTCCCAAGGCCTATATCTAAAATGATATTTCATAGGTTTTCTTCAAGGATTTTTATAGTTTAGGTCTTATATTTAAAGTATTTAATCCATCCTAAGTTAATTTTTGCTTATGGTGAAATGTAGTGGCTCAGTTTCATTCTTCTGCATGTGGTTAGGTAGTATTTTCAGCACCATTTATTGAATAGGGAATCTTGTTGCCTATGTTTGTTGATTTTGTCATGTATCAGATGGATGTAGGTGTGTGGCTTTATTTCTGGGTTCTTTATTCTGCTCCATTGAACTGTATGTCTGCTTTTGTACCATTATCATGAGGTTTTGCTTACTGTAGCCTTGTAGTATTGTTTGAAATCAAGTGATGGGATGCCTCTAGCTTTGTTCTTTTTGCTTAGGATTGCTTTGGTAATTCAGGCTCTTTGTTTGGCTCAATATGAATTTTAAAATATTTTTTTCTAATTCTGTGAAGAATGGCATTGG
Organism: Homo sapiens; assembly: GCF_000001405.40. NCBI lineage: Eukaryota > Metazoa > Chordata > Mammalia > Primates > Hominidae > Homo > Homo sapiens. Next base: position 84,152,215 of record NC_000012.12, on the reverse strand, counting down.
TGGTTTAATAGGAAGTGTGTTGAATATGAATTGCTTTGGGCATCATGGTCATTTTAACAGAATTGATTCTTACTACCCATGAGCATGGAATGTTTTCCATTTGTTGTGTCATCTCTGATTTCATTTAGTAGTATTTTATAGTTCTCATTAGAGAGATTTTTTTCACCTCCTGGGTTAGACATATTCCTAGGTATTTTATTTGTGTGTGTGTGGTTATTATAAATGGAATTGCATTCTTAATTTGGCTTTCAGCTTGAACGTTATTGGTGTGTAGAAATGTTGCTGCTTTTTGTGCATGGATTTTGTATCCTGAAACTTTACTGAAATCACTTATCAGTTCTAGGAGCCTTTTGATGAAGTTTTCAGGGTTTTCTGGTTATAGAATTATATCATCAGCAAAGAGAGATAATTTGAATTATTTTCCTGTTTAGATGCTTTTGCTTTCTTTCTCTTGTCTGATTGTTCTCGTTAGGACTTCTAGTACTAAGTTGAATAAGAGTGGTGAGACTAGGCATTCTTAACTTTTTCCAGTTTTCAACAGAAATGCTTTAAGTTTGTGCCCACTCGTGATGTTGGATGGCAGTTTGTCATAGATTACTCTTACTATTTTGACGTATGTTCCTTCCATGCCTAGGTCATTGAGAGTTTTTATCATGAAGAAATGTTGGATTTTATTGAAAGCTTTTTCTGCATCTGAGCTGGTACCAATCCTATTGAAACTATTCTAAAAAATTGAGGAGGAGGGACTCCTGTCTAACTCATTTTATGAAGCGAGCCTTATCCTGATACCAAAATCTGCTAATGACATCACGCAAAATGAAAACTACAGGCTGATATCCCTGATGTGTAGTGCAAACATCCTCAACAAAATACTAGCAACTCAAATCCAGGAGCTCATTGGAAAGTTAGCTCACCATGACCGAATAGGCTTTGCTCCTGGGATGCAAGGTTGGTTCAACACACATAAATCAATAAATGTAATTCATCAAATAAACAGAGTTATGTGCACTTTAAATTTATACTGTTGGTAAAGAGGAGATAGCGAGGAACTGGATGAATCCAACTGAAAGAAACAATTTAAATGTATAGGCTACTACACATCTTCTGGGACAATGTTTCTTTATCCTTTACTCACATGCTTTTCAATGTTTTTGTTGAATAAAATATTCCTCTGCAGTCTATTCAAAGCACATATTTACATGGCTCACTTTTAATATGTTATAACCTCTTGTGATAAGGAGAAATAGATTAATTACTTCAAACTATAATTTACTATATATACTAGAATTTTTATACACAGTAAAATTAATCTACAAAATCATCCTTAATTCTAATCATTAGCAAGCTTCTCTTAGAAACCAGTCTAAGGTAGTTTGTTTTCTCTTGTGCTAATTTTGAGTTTCATTTTTGACAACAAGTCAGCTCTTTAATACTGATATGAAAACACCTAATTAGACAAAAAAGGTATGAACTATCCATCCACAGCTAAGATAATATGCTGACATCTTAGAACTATGAGGCTGCTTGCACAATAATAAAAAGGAAGGAGGCAGTGGGTTTTTAAAAAATTATGAACTTTCTCATAGTTTGCATTTAAAAAATCTAATTTCATACTGTTGAATAGTTGAAAGAGCAATACTAAAGTTTCTAAAACCAAGCGCCAGATGCAGTGGCTCATGCCTGTAATCTTAGCACTTTAGCAGGCCGAGGGGGGAGGATCACTTTAGCCCAGGAGTTTGAGACAAGTCTGAACAACATAACAGAATCCTGTCTGTACAAAAAAAAAAAAAAAAAAGATAGTAAATTAAAAAATTAGCTGGGCATGGTGATGCATGCCTGTAGTCACAGCTACTCAGAAGGCTGAGCTGAGAGGATCACTTGAGCCTGGGAGTTTCCAGCTGCAGCGAGCTATAATGGCACTACTGCACTCCAGCCTGGACAACAAAGCAAGATAGGTAGGTAGATAGACAGATGGGTAGATAGGAAGGTAGGTAGGTAGGTAGATAGATAGATAGATAGATAGATAGATAGATAGATAGATAGAGGTAGATGGCTTTCAAAATAAATAAATATAAAGACTGCGTAACTGAATCATACAAAATGATACTTCTATGTAGATGACCATACTTTGGCATTATAACAAGATCTTAGAACATGCAGAGATAAGTCCACATCTCCCAGATGTTTATCTAGAACCTATAAAATTAGATGCTGGTATAGAAAGGAGGCATATCTCACATGGTTGGAGAAGGAGAGTGAGAGAGCACAGAGGGAGGTGCTTGCTGCATCCTTTTTTTTGTTTTGTTTTGAGAGGGAGTCTCACTCTGTCGCCCAGGCTGGAGCGCAGTGGTGTGATCTCGGCTCACTGCAAGCTCTGCCTCCCGGGTTCACGCCATTCTCTTGCCTCAGTCTCCCGAGTAGCTGGGACTACAGGTGCCTGCCACAACACCCAGCTAATTTTTTTTTTATTTTTGTAGAGACGGGATTTCACTGTGTTAACCAGGATGGTCTCAATCTCCTGACCTCGTGATCCACCTGCCTCGGCCTCCCAAAGTGCTAGGATTACAGGCATGAGCCACTGCCCCCGGCCTGCTGCACACTTTTAAACAACCAGACCTCATGAAAACTTACTCACTATCATAGGAACAGAAAGGGGGAATCTACCCCCATGATTCAATCACCGCCCACCAGGCCACTCCTTCAACATTGGGGATTACAATTTGATATGAGATTAGGGTGGAGACACAAATCTAAACTATATCATTCTGCCCCAGCCCCTCCCAAATCTCATGTCCTTCCATATTACAAAATACAATAATCCCTTCTCAACAGTACCCCAAGTCTCAACTCATTTCAGCATTAACTTAAAAGTCCACAGTCCAAAGTCTCATCTGAGATAAGGCAAGTCCCTTCACTTATGAGCCTGTAAAATCAAAAACAAGTTAGTTTCTTCCAAGATACAATGGGGATACAGGCATTGCATAAATACACCTGTTCCAGAAGGGAGAAATCAGCCAAAACCAAAGAGCTACAGGCCCCATGGAAGTCTGAAACCCAGGAGGGCAGTCAATAATTCTTAAAGCTCTGAAAAGCATCTCCTTTTACTCCATGTCTCACACCCAGGCCACACTGATGAGAGGAGGGGCCTCCCAGGGCCTTGGGCCTCTCAGCTTCTGTGGCTCTGGAGGAAAATCTCTCTTGACTGCTTTCACTGGCTGGCATTGAGTTCCTGTGGCTTTTCAAGGTGCACGGTGCAAGCTGTTGGTCAATCTGCCATTCCGGGGTGTGGAGGATGGTGGTCCTTTTCTCAAAGCTCCACAAGGCAGTGCCCTATTGGGCACTCTGTGTTGATGCCAACCCCACATTTCTTTTCCATACTTCACTAGTAGAGGTTCTCCATGAGAACTCTGCTCCTGCAATAGAAATCTACCTGGACATCTAGGCATATCCATACATCCTCTGAAATCTAGGCAGAGGCTTCCAAGCCCCAACTCTATCCCTCTGTGCACGCACAGGCTTAGCACTATGGGGAAGCCACCAAGGCTTACAGCTTGCATCATCTGGCGCAGCAGCCTGAAACTTATCTGGGGTCCTTTTAGCCACAGCTGGAGCTGGAGTGGCTAGAATGCTGGGAGCAGTGTTCTAAGGTTGCACAGGGCAGCAGGGCCTTGGGCCCAGCCCACTAAACCATTCTTTCCTCCTAGTCCTCTGGGCCTGTGGTGGAAGTAGCAACCACAAAGTTCTCTGAAATACATTCGTCATTTTCCCCCTTGTCTTGGCTATGCACATTTGGTTCCTCCTATGCAGATTTCTGCAGCAAGCTTTAATTTCTCACCAGAAAGTGGGCTTTTCTTTTCTACCACATGGTCAGGCTGCAAATTTTCTAAACGTTTATGCTCTGCTTCCCTTTAAATATACGTTCCAGTTTCAAATAATCTCTTTGCTCATATATATGAGCATACACTGTTAGAAGCAGAAAGGCCACCGCTTGAACACTTTGCTGCTTTGAAATTTCTTCCACCAGATACCCTAAATCATCACTCTCAAGTACAAAGTTTTGTAGATCCTAGAGCAGGGGAACAATGCTCAGAGTCTCTTTGCTAAAACACAGCAAGAATGACCTTTACTACAGTTCCCAATAAGTTCCCTATTTCCATCTGAGACCACCACAGCCTGAACTTCATTATCCATATACTTATCAGTATTTTGATCACAACAATTTAACAAATCTCTAGGAAGTTCCAAACTTTCCCATATCTTCCTGGTCTTCTGGGACCTCCAAACTCTCCCAACCTCTCTGCCTATTACCCAGTTCCAAAGTCACTTCCATATTTCCAGCAATGCCCCACTTCTTGGTACCAATTTTGTGTATTAGTCCATTCTCACATTGCTATAAAGAACTACCTGAGACTGGGTAATTTGTAAAAAAAAAAAAAGGTTTAATTGACTTATCGTTCCACAGGCTGAACAGAAAGCATGGCTTTTGAGGCCTCAGGAAACACAATCATGGTGCAAGGTGAAGAAGAAGGGGGCACATCTTACATCGCCAAAGGAAGAGGGAGAGAGAGCAAAGACGGAGGTGCTACACACTTTTAAACAATCAGATCTTGTGAGAGCTCACTCACTGTCATGAGAACGGCAACGGGGAAATCTATCCCCATGATTGAATCACCTCCAAGCAGGCCCCTCTGTTTAACACTGGAGATTACAATTCGACCTTAGATTTAGGTGGGGACACAAATCCAAACCATATTAAATATCATGGAGCAAGTTAGTCTAGATGATATCACATTTGTATAAGGCCATGATATAGTGGCCTTATTTTCATATTTTTAGTATTTCAGCAAATGTTTGAATTTATTTAAGAGGTATATTAAAAATATATGCCAAAATAAAAACATGCTCAAAAGGTTTATATAGCTTTTGTAAAATATATTTACTATGGCAAAGAGATTTATACAAATTTTAGTAAAAGGAAAAAAATATTTCATTCCTAGAAGACTTCTCAAAATTTTTAGTATGGGAGACAGTATTGTGAGTCTGCATGTGGAAATACAATACGATTAGTTGAACATGAAATCGTATCTGTGTGTGTGTGTGTCCGTGTGTGAAATGGTGCACGCACACCATTTCAAAGGACTGTTGGATGTGCAAAACTTTTAAAAACCTCTAGGGGACTGTTTTTAATTTTTTTTTGTTTCAATAGCTTTGGAGGCACAAGTGTTTTTTGGTAGTGTGGTTGAATCAAACAGTGGTGAAATCAGGTTTTATTGCACCTGTCACCTGAGTAGTGTACATTCTGTCTGATGTATAATTTTTTTAAAAAATTCTTCACCCTCCTCTCATTAATTATCCTGCCTTCTGGGTCTCCAATGTTTGGCATACCACTCTATGCCTTTGCATACCCATAGCTTAACTCCCACAAGTGAGAACATGTGGGATTTGGCTTTGCATTCCTGAGCTAGTTCACTTAGGATTATGACCTCCAATTCCATCCAAGTCTTTGCAAAAGACATTATTTCATTCTTTTTTATGGCTGAGTAGTATTCCATGGCATGTTTCTATATATAGAAATATAAAAAATATGTATGTATATTTTTCTTTATCCATTTATTGGTTGATGGGCACTAGGTTGGTTAAAGGAATATACATCATTCTGCTATAAAGACACATGCACACGTATGTCTATTGCAGAAGTATTTACAATAGTAAAGACATGGAACCAACCCAAATGCCCATTAATGATAGACTGGATAAAGAAAATGCAGTACATATACACCATGGAATACTACGCAGCCATGAGATAATGTCCTTGGTAGGGACATGGATGAAACTGGAAGCCATCGTCCTCAGCAAACTAACACAGGAACAGAAAACCAAACACCACATGTTCTCACTCATAAGTGGGAGTGGAACAATGAAAACACATGGACACAGGGAGTGGAAAAACACACACCAGGGCCTGTTGGGAGGTGGGAGGCAAGGGGTGGGAACCTAGATGATGGGTTAATAGGTGCAGCAAACCAGCATGTCACATGTATACCTATGTAACAAACCTGCACTGTTCTGCACATGTATTCTGAAACTTGAAGTAATTTTTTTTAAAAAAGAAAGTACTCTAAAGGTATAAATTATGTATCCTTCCAAGCTTTAACTATAGTATGAACAGCAGTAGTTTGTATTAAATGTAATACAAAACACACATTTAGTGTAGAAATATATAATTTAGTGTAGAAATTATCTAGTTGACAGCGGAAAATGTAAGATAAAATTCAAAACTTATCATTTTAACTTTAAGATATGTAAGGTAGAGAACACAGCAAGACTCTTTTCAGGCCCTAAATTGTTTAATTCTAGGAAAAATATGTAGATAAAGCAATTTAATGCTGTTATTTTAAATAAATCAGTGATGGTGTGATTTATTTTGTTTTCCACTTTATTAATTCTTAAAAAAAACAAATAAATACCGTAACAGAGAATGCTGTAATATATTAAAATGAGAAAATTATTTTAAAAATGAATCATTTTTCTTCTTATCCTCCAATTTCCGTTTCTACTACTCAACCAAGTAATCCCTGTTTATTCCTTAATATATATCTTTGAAACCATTTTTCTCTGCTCAAGCAAACACACACACACACACACACACACACACACGCCTACATATTATATAAAAATAGAAACACTCTATACATATTACACTTTTCTTTTAATTTTACTGACAGTAATACATAATACATTCCTCCCAACTGACAGATAAATATGGAGATAGATGATGATGATTTAGATTGGTGCAAAAGTTTTCCAGGTTTGGCAATTAAAAGTAATGGCGAAAACCACAATTACTTTTGCACCAACCTGTAGATATATACATCTTATTTTTTAAATAGTTGAACAATATACTCTTGGGTTTTTTTAGTATGCAGCATAGTATAATGGTTAGGAGCTCCGATTTTAGAGATATGTTTCTTGCGATTTCATCTATATTCTACCATTTCCTAGCTGTACATAGAGGAAGCAATCACAAAATTAGGCAAAAATTCGATTAAAAATAAAATTAAGGTACATAAGTTAAAAATGTAAGTATAACTCTTTAATCACCATATGATAAAACTAGAAATTAATAAAAAATTTAAAGCCCTTTCATTGGAAATTTTAAAAGATTTCTTTAAAGCTTTAAAGTAAAAATTCAAAAAAAAAATACAGACTTTTTAATATGGGAGCCTCACATGTTATACAAAAATCAACTCAAAATGGATCTTGGTTTTAAATATAAAGCATAAAACTACAAAACTTCTAGACAATAACATAGAAGGAAATCATCAGGATCTAGGACTAGGAGAAGAGTTTTTAGATTTGACACCCAAAGCATAAAACATAAACACAGATATTAATAAATTGGATCTTACTGAAATTAAAAAAAAAACCTTTGGCTCTGCAAAAGATTTTAAGAGGTTTGAAAGACAAGCTACAGAGTGAGCGGCAATATTTTCAAACCACATATTAGACAAAGAAATAGAAGATATGTTACAAAAATACTTCTCCAAATCAATGATTTTTTAAAAAAGCAAGCAATTCAATTAAAAATTGGGGAAAAAAACCGTAAAGCAAATTTCACCAAAGAACATATATTGGCCACAAATAAGCCCATGAAAATATATTTAGTGTCATTATCTATCGGGGAAAGGTAAATTAAAGCCACGAAGGGATATCACTATACACTTATCAGAATGGCTACAATTTTTAAATGGCAAAAGCATGAAATGTTGATAATAATTTGGAGAAATTGAATCATTCATCTTTTTCTGATGGAAAGGTAAATTTGTACAGCTACTCTGAAAAAGAACATTATAATTTCTTACAAAAGTAAATATGTACTTACCTTAAGCCCCAGCAACTACACTCTTGGAAATATATCCCAGGTTAATGGTAACTAATATTCAAACAAAAACCTGTACATGTATGTCCATAGCAGCTTTATTCATAATAGCCAAAAACTGGAAACAACTGAAATGTCCTTCAGTAGATGAATGATTAAACAAACTGTGGTACATCCACACCATGGAAAAAATTACTAAGACACACAACCTGGATTGATTACAAATGAGCTAAGCTATAATGATTATAAAAAAGAGCAATCTCAAAAGTCTACATATTTTATAATTCCATTTATATAGCAATCTAGAAATGACAAAATTATAGAGATGGAGAAAAGATTAGTGGTTGACAAGGTTTGGGGAAGAACAGGGAGAAGGTGATTGTGGCTATGAAACAGTAGCATGAGGGCTTTTGTGAGAGGACTTTCTGTATCTTAACTGTAGAGATGGATAGAAGACACTACACATGGAATAAAATGCACACAACTAAGTTATACTCACATAATAAAATGAGTGCATATTAAACTAATGAAATCTGAATACGTTTGTTAAATTTTATCAATGTCAATTTCCTGACTGTTTTTATTATTGTGCAAGTTATTACAGGTACCACTGGGGAAATTGAGCATATGGCATATGGGTACTATGTGTATTATTTATTATAATTTCATTTGAATCTACAATTATCTCAATGTAACTTTTTAAAGAAATGTAAAAAAAACACTATATATCTTCAAAATTCACATAACCTAAGGAAGGGAGGCGTGTTGATTTAATTACATTTTCATTCTGTCTTATATTGATGTCCTCTTGTGCCACACTATATTTCTCAGGTATCAAGCTTACTCCTAACTCATGTTATTAAACTATTTTATGGCATTAAAAAATAGAAAATCCAGAAATATCAATAAAGTTTTTTATTATACACTAAGCTAAAGTGATTGAATAAACACTTGCAAAGAAAAAATACACGCACACAGAAATGCACACACATTATATATGTATATATATAAAATTTGAATTTTATTAATCAAGATTTAGTGAACTCATAGCCAAGTCTACAAAATTTATTAAGAAAAAATAATTATGTTTAAACCCAATGTAAAAGTCATTGAGGGACTTTGCTCTTCTTTTTAATATTCTTCTAAAATCCATCCTAGGTTTCAAATGAAAAATTTCATAAAGTTTAACTAACTATATTTAATCTCGTTTTTCTATTATTTGTCATCAGTTGAGATATTTTCTATGCTATAAATCTAGTTCACTGCTACTAACTAAATGCTAATATTTTATAAATGAACACTGAAGTGGTATAAGGTCCCCAGAAAAGATTAAATTACAAGCTTTGAATAAATCACGCAGATTGAAATAGTGTCATGAACCATGCTGGAATGATTTTAATATACCTGAAATAGTCTTTATGCTTTTCTCATTATGCTGTGTCATAAACCCTAATATAAAATTTCCTAGAGCTGTGACACAGTCATGCTCCCTGAAACTCAAGGTTCTTTTAAGGCAGAGCAAGTCTAAGGTATGGCTTAGAAAATAAAATTTGACCCTTTATTGATTGTACATGTTATGATAAAAATAGCAAAGTTATTTTATTATATTAATATTGTCCTATGTGTCTTAAAGGAGATAATAGTGTTAAAACTATATCTGTGCCCTCAAAATGAGTCCATTTTCTCTATTTTACAGAAATAACTCAAGATTAATGCTTAGTTTTACACTCATGTCCATACAATTTAATATGTATGACATCCCCTGGGGTTTAGGCATAAGTTCATAGTTTTAAGTGGAAGGTATGAGAATTCATAAGGCAAAGGGAGGACAAAGTGAAAAGAATGACCAGAAATGGTAAACATATATCTGGAATAAGACTCATATACATTTCTTAGGCAAGTGAGGCCAGTTTTTATAGGGATGTCTAGTCACAAAGTATACTACGGAGGCTTCAGAACTAAGACGGTACATTCTCTGCAATGATTAGGACAAGGAGAATAATCAAAGTATGAGGCTTCCCAGATTTTGCTAATCTCTTATCCATGCAGCAGGGAAAAGTGCTTTTTCAGTTCAAGCTTTTTGATGTGTGGGTTTTTCTTTTAAGTAGCTGTTCTGGACCAGAGGTAGCCTAACAAGGAGGATATACAACCACAAAATTTACTGTTTACATTGACCTAACAAAAATGAAGGAGAAGTAGTATGTGGGAGTTTCTAGTATCTCAGACACGAGTAAGCTCAGGTGATATTTTAATATTGCATTTTGGTGGCATACAGATGATGGGGCAAAGGAAAAAAAATCACTATTTTCTCTCAGGTCTCTTAGCTTAGGTTATCAAGAATACAAGAGGTTAAGGCAAAAACTTAAATAGTATCACTTGTGGAGATGGGTAGCAAAACTGAAGAGACGTGAAGGGAACAAGGAATGGAGATTCCAAAAAATGGAGAGCAAGTACAAAGGACTGCACTTCTTGGCTGGCCACCGTATCACAAAGAACATACTTATCAGTCCTGTCAGAGCTACAACTATAGCTCAAATAGCCTGCGGTATGGAGAAGGAGAAAAGTTATGTAATTTAAACTACCAACTCTTTCCCATCTCTGTCTTTCCTTGAGCAAAATCTTCCCTTATGTGGCATCAATTCCTATGCATTTCAAGTTTGTGCAGTCTTTCCTGACAAGCCATGGGGAAGACACAGTTCTACAGGTCCAATGCCCATATGCCAGCAGAGAAGTTTCTTCTTATTAATTGGGGCTTTGTGTGGGGACTTTTTCTGTTTTGTTTTGGTGGCAATGGAAGCAGCCTAGATTGTTCATAGGAGACTTCCTGTTCTAGGATTTGGTTTCATTCCTGTTCATAGGAGGCTTCCTGTTCTAGGATTAGGCTGTCCCATTCAGCTAGAAAAATAAGCTGTCTTGGACAGACAAGTAGGGAGTTTGTGGAGAGAGGAGAGAATGTGGCATTGCTGAGCAGATCTGGGTTGGGGCAAAAACCCAAATTCAATACATTAGATTGGCTCCAAAGTGGATAGAAATAAGCCACACATGCCTATGTATCTAATTATTATTTATTTAATTTGATGTTTATTCTTATGTGTGTTTTGATAACAGTATCTTAAATGGGAGGATCCATTTCCAGATAAACCTAAAGTGGATATGTGCATTTGCCTCCATTGATATTTCTTTTTTTCTTAATAATTCCTTAACTTTGCTTTTGGTATTATATTTTTGTATAGATTTCTTCCTTAACTTCTTCCCATTCTTAGCATCCTTTGATGGATTCATTTCTTCTGTCTGATCTTAATAAATCATGTATTGTTCTAGGGCTCAAAACTAAGACCTATCATCTTCCCTAGGCTTACTTGTTTCCTATTCTTCTTTTTGAATCTGGTTTCAAATACCATTGGGGATGAATCCCAACCCCAACTTCTTTTCTGAACTCTAAACTCATATACTAACTGGTGATGCTGCGTTTTCACCCTGAGGTCTACAATGAAATGCTTGCAGGGTTTTTGTTTTGTTTTGTTTTTGTTAAATACCTTCCAAACTTTCTTCTTTCCTAATGATTTGCATCTCAGAAAATAGTAGTGTCATTTACTCAGTTGCTCAGTCCAAGAGACCTTGATATCATTAGTGACCTGTATTTTCATACACTGCATCTTATTGACCAAAAATCTTATTGCCTTTATTACAAGAAGATATGCTGACATTACACTTGTTACAACGTCAACTATTTCTTGCTAAGTCCAGATTCATTTTAACTCTGTGATAGTCTTATAAATCTGGCGTGATCTCAGAATATACTCCCTATAGTGCAGCCAGATTTCAGTTTCAAACATAAATTTGATCATGCCACTTCCTTGCTCTCACCTCTTCAGTGGTTTGCTAATCATTAGAGAATGAACTGTAACCTCTTCATTAGGTTTGTTGGAATGACCATGTGTCCTGATTTTCTCTCACCTGATTTTCCAACACTCTGTCTGAATGTCAGAGCTGTTCTGGCCAGATTGGATTCTGTTTTCCTTCAAATATCCCAAGTTATTTCATAACTGAATACCATTGATTGGATTTTCTCTCTGACTGGAATGCTCTCCAAGTCAAAATTCCAGAATCATTCCTTATTTTCATCTGAGCTGTGCCTTAACTATCACCCCCTCAGTAAGTTATCCATATACTCCAGTTTGGGTTATTCCTAGTTTGTGGATATTGTATCAGAATCTTGGAAAAAGCAATATTGGATGGATTTTAAAAATAGATTTTGTGAGGTACAGTTGACATGTGAACACATAAAATCAATGTTCCTATTTATTTCACTTAGCACTATTACTTTGAGATTCATCCTTGATGTTGTATATGGAAATAGTTTATTCAATTTTATTCCTGAATAATGTTCCACGTATGGAATTGCCAAAGATTTTGTTCATCACCCATCCCACTGCTGACAGAAATTTGAGATGGCCCCAATTTTGCCTGTTAAACAGATCAAAATGTTTTGAATATTCATGTACAACTTTTGTATGAACGGATGTTTACATTTCTCTTCCAATATTTCTACTCTTCTTCTCTGAGAGCTGGACAGCTGGGTCACATAATGGGTGTGTATTTAAATTTCTAAGAAACTGACAAACTGTTTTCCAACATAGTTGTACCATTTCACATTTTCGCCAACAGTCTATGAGAGTTTCATTGCTCTACTTTTGACAATATTTGGTATAATCAATCACTTTAATTTTAGTTATTTCAATAAGTATATAGTGGTAACTTATTTTGGTTTAAAGTTTTATTTACCTAATGAGTAATGATGTTGAACATGTTTTCATTTGCTATATATGTATGCGATATATATGTTCAAAAATAATTTGATATATATGTTCAAAAATAACTTGAATATCTGTTCAAATGATTTGCTAAAATGTTTCAAATGTGTCATTTCCTAGTTTTTGAGGTTTTAGTTTTAGAGTTCTTTATATATTCTCAGTATAATCTTTTTCCAAATATTTGATTTATAAATATATTCTTTCAATTTATGCCTTGTCTTTTTATTCTCTTAAGAGTTACTTTGGGAGAGTAGAAAATTTTAATTTTGGAGTAGCCTAAGCTTAATTATTTTTGATAATATGATATAATTTTGTTATTATGTCTAAGAAGTCTTTGCCTAACTCAATTTCACAAAAAAATTGTTATATGCTTTCTTCTAGAAGTTTCATAGCTGTAGGTTTTCCATTAAATTATTAATTTTGATTTGATTTTTATGTGGTATAAGGTATAAATAGATTTTATATTTAATATGAATAAGCAGTTTTCCTAGCAACAGTTTTTGAAGACTACTCTTTCTTCAAGAATTGCCTTTACGCTGTTCAGAAAACCATTTGGAACTATTTTTAAACTCCTTATTCTGTCCCATTCATCTGTTTGTTTTTTTTGATGCCAATACCACATAGACTGGGTTACTGCAGATTTATAATGAGTCTTGAAATGAAGTAGTATATGGCCTCCAACTTTGTCCTTCTTTTTTAACAACTGAGTTTATGGGCATTTTGAATTTCCATGTGCATTTTAAATCAGTTTAAATTTCAGAAAAAAAATACCTTCGGGGATTTTGATTGTTTTTGTCTTGAATCTAGAGATCAAATTTGAGAGAAACGGTATCCTAAAAATATTGCATCTTCCAGTTCATGATCACAGTATATTTTTCCATTACTTAGGCTTTAAAAAATCCCTTTCAACAATGTTTCTCATTTTTCAGTGTATAGGTTTTGCATGTCTTATTCAGATTTATCGCTAAGTAATTAATACTATGATGCTTTGGAAAATAGTATGGAATTTTACTTTTTTTGAGACAGGGTCTCACTCTGTTGCCCATGTTGAAGTTCAATGGCACAATCATGGCTCACAGGAGACTTGACCTCCTGAGCTCAAGTGATTCTTCTGCCTCAGCTTCCTGAGTAGCTGGAACTACAGGCATGCATCACCACACTTGGCTAAATTTTAAAAATTTTGTAGGGACAGGATCTTGTTATATTGCCCTGGCTGACCTTGAACTCCTGTACTCAAACTCCTGGCCTCAAGCAACTCTCCCATCTTGACCTCTCAAAGTGTAGAATTTTAATTTCAATTTCCAAGTGTTTATTGCAAATATAAAGAAATTTAATTGATTTTTTGTGAATTAATATTTATAGCCTGTATCCTTAATCAGTGATCCATTTGGCCCATAAAAGTTTTCATGGAGATTCCATATGCTTTTCTACATAGATGTCCATGTCTTCCATAAATAAACATGGTTTTACACTTCCTTTTCAGTATGAAGGTTTTTATTTTTAATTTTTTTGCCTTATTGCATTACATGGAATCTCTGAAGAATGTTGAATAGAAGTGATGACAATAGACCTCCCTATATTGTTCCTGATCTTAGAGAAAAAGATCTCAATATTTTGTCGATAATATGATGTTATTTCTAGGTTTCTTTTTAGATGCTATTTTTTAGGATTGAGGAAGAACCTTCTATTCTAGTTTGCTGAAATTTATTAGCCTGAACAAATGTTGCATTTATCAAGTGATTTTCTGCCACAGACTGGATACAATATTTTAAGGCACATGTCATACAAATTACTTTTATTCAAATATATAAAGAACCCTCAAAATTCAATGATAAGAAAACAACGCAGAAAAAATGCTAAACATTTGAAGTCACTTAAAGGACAAAAGGAGGTATATGAATATACACAAGAAAAGATGTTTGATATCATTTGTCATTAGAAAAATGTCAACTCAAATTGCATGATACACCACTACACATCTATTTGAATAACTAAAATTAAAAATATTGAACTTAAATTTAATTGTGTATATAGAGGAATTTGAACTGCTGATTGAAATATTCACTTTTGCATATGGTTTGGCAGCTTCTTAAAAAGTTCAAACATGCAGTTACCATTTGACCCAGCCGTTGTATTCTTAGGTATTTACCCAATCAAAAGGAATACATATGTTCATACAAAGATCTGTAGACAATTGCTCATAGAAGATTTATTTGCAATAGCAAAAAGTAAAAGCAAGCTGTGTGCTCATCAATGGGTGAATCATCAGCAAACTATGATATAGTCATGCAATGGAATACTACTTGGCTATAATAAGGAATGATATATGCTACAATAAGATTTAATTTCAAAATAATTATGTTGAGTGAAAGAAGCCAGTCACAAAAGAGAGTACATTATCTGTTCAAACCTCCACAGACGCAAACGAATATTTACTGACAGAAAACAGATCAGTGTCTGCTAGGAAAGGGGAAGGGTGTGGCTGGTGAGATAAAGAGAGTGCAAGGGAAGCATTACTAAAGGGCTAAAGAAACTCTGGAGTTTTGCGTATGCTTTTTGTCTTGGTTGTACTAATCGCATTTCAGATGCACAGTCATACCAATATCCTCATCATCATTCTTTGGATACCTGATAATGATGACTCAGACAAGTGTTACCTCTTTAAAATGGCTAGAACATTTGAGCAGCTGATGACTTTCAAGAATATACACGGCTAAACATTTTATAGCTGAGGCTCCAAATGTAACGTATCTAAAAGTGTAATATATTAAATTATGTCATGAAAAAAATCTGTGGAAGGTGTCACAGGAGATGCATATGAGAAAAAAATTATCTTCAAAAAATCAGAATGAAATAATTATTGAAATTATTTTAAAACTTCAAAATCCAGTACTAAAAGAAATTAGTCATTTTTCTAATCAAATTTAAATTAGTTAAATTATTTTAATCCATTTAGAAGCTGCAAGCTAGACTGAATAGTTGTTTGTGTAAATAATAACAGTTGGGACATAATCTCTCAGAAAACAATTTCATTTTAGGTCACACTTATTGTAAATAACTAATTAATAAATTGAGGAAATATCTGATACTGAAAAAAATCTATAGAATAAGAAAGTGGAGAAAGGCTAGAAGGAACTGGCAGATGTGAAAAAAGAGATATAGCTTTATAGCATATTTATGACAACCTATTCTTTATCACATGTGTGCCATCTTTTTAAAATGTATTGTTATCCTCAAAAGCCTATATATGTCTAGCCTCTACAAATCTAGGTAGCTGTTGTAAACTGCTGTAGTTGATGGGTTTACATGAAACAACACTTTATTTACAGCAGGCAAATAGGTGGTTTTCATTTTCTTCAATTCATTTATTCTCATAGTAAGTTCACTGATATAACCATGCCTGAGGCATAATTTTCTTTTAGTGAGTATAAATATAAAATTGTCTAATCAGCTTTTTAAAAAGTATTCCTTTTACCAAACTGGAAAATAATGCCTATACATTTTAATACATATACTTATGCATGAAAAGCCCTTAAATCATGTGTATTTCTTTCTTCTATCTTACATTTAATACTAAACTCCAGACTATAGATGATAGTAAAATAATAGTACAAATGCAAGCACATATGTTAATATTCAGTCTTGCAAACCTTAAATGTTAAAGAATAGTCATTGAGATTTCATGACATGTGAGTTAATCTTAAACAGTTGGAATTGAGTTGTTACAGAGGAGAGAATACTAACTCAATATGGGCTACTAGGTGGTTTTAAATGGAATGTTTAAGTAATTCCAAAAATGCTTTACAATCTAAAATTAAAGCTTATGTTTGTCACACGTGCAATCTTTGAAAGGATTTCTGGACCTCCTGTGCCCAGAATTAAAGGATTAAGGACACTTAAAAATCATTTTATAAAATATAAAAATAAAAGTGGAGAATATTAATAGGATAAATCAGAAACTGGACTAGCAACTGAACTCTTCCTACTCACCTACAATGTCCTCACTGAATCATTGTAAAGTCGACTGGTCTATTAATTTATGTTTTTGTGGTTTTTTTTTGTGTGTGTGTGTAACAAACTGCATATGTACTCCTTGAATCTAAAATAAAAGTTCAAAAAGAATTATGTTTAAATAAGGAAATGTTGTGGTTTAAAAATTATGTAGCATAATATCAAACAAGTTTTTCTACTTTTAACACCTAATTTCCAGATATAAAAAACAAAAACTGTAGTGTATAAATTGCGGAATCAAGATTACTTTAAACGTCTGGATTTTCATAAAATTATTCAAGGACTTTCAAAAAATAGTGCCTATTTAGCCAATTCCAAAGGGTTAATTAAAATGCAAGTTTGCAAAAAGTATAACAGAAGAAAGGATGAGAGCTCTGTTTTATTTACACTTGGCATGATATCTTTCCATTATGCTATATTATGTAGTGTTTGCCTTGATATTCCTAGAGATGTGTATACAGGTTATTTCTATTAGTAATTTGAAGTATGACATAGAGGTTAAGCATATGCATTCTGACTCACACAGCCTGGGTTCAGTTCTTTTTGTTCCACATTCTATCTCTATGATGTTAAGTTAAATTAACCTAATACTTCCCACTTTCTCACATGAAAAAAAGGCAAAATAATGGTACTTACCCCATTGCTTAGTTTTTGATGATTAAATTATGTAATATAAGTAATGTCCTTGATATGCTTCATGAAACAATTTTAACATATAATAAATAATACTGTAGCTTAAATAATGTAAATAAAAAGAAAGACATAGTTTTTTCGGTAAATATCTTTATGTTTAGCTGGAGAAAAAAATAGTTGGGATAGAAATAGTTGCAAGTAGAATAAACAAACCAAATCCCATAAACTGGCTCAATAATAATATAGTAAAGTTGACATTGTTAGTGTACTATATTATAGACAGAGTACATGAAATGTCACACAGTGAAAAAAGTTATCAGGTACTTAACACACAAATAATTAATTAATTTTATATTGAACTAGTTGATAGGTCAACTCACAATTTTTCTTCTGCAGGTTTCCCCTCTGTCTTACTTGAGATCACCAATTATCACTCCCTGTCTGAGCTAAAAAAAATTTAAAAATAGCGTATATTTTACTTCTCTTTTTTCTTTTCATTTATATACATCATTTCTTCTTTCTTTCTTCCTCTGCACCTATAATGTCCAAGATATCAAGAAACGTGACCTAGATTGTTAATTCTTCCACAAAGATCACCAGAAAATATTTTTATCGAGTTGAGTTTTATTAAACTTATTGCAACGAGGAAGAATGCCATCTTAAAAGAATTTTCATAATGTCTCAGAAGTTAGGGAAAGAGATGTATAGAGTCTGGGGTCTAGGCTCAAGTGGGGTTAGGTGGCTTCTTCAGATGCTCCCTGATGTATGATGGGGTTACAATCAATAAATCCATTGTAAGTTGAAAATATTGTCAAAGCCAGTTACCATATTTTAAATTTATGATAGGTACATCCTCATGTAATTTGATTGTATATTAAGGAGCCTACTGAATATGTATTCCTTTTGCACCAGCATAAGGAAAAAAGATTGTAAGTAAATGCATCTTAAGTCAGGGGCCGACTGAATTGTGAAAGGGCAAAATGCACGTAGTAAGAAAGGTGTGACCTAAAGTGTAGAAATTTAACATGGTTATAATCCTTTATAAAATGAGGGATTGTGTGTGTGTGTGTCTGTGGTGTGCCTTGAACTTTTCTCCCTACCACCTCGCATTTAGCATATAGCACATATAACATATAGCATAGTGGAAAGATATTTATGCCAAGTGTAAATAAAACAGAACTCTCATCTTTTCTACTGTTATACTTTGCAAACTTGCATTTTAATTAATCATTCTAGAACTGGCTAAATATGCACTATTTTTTGAAAGTTCTTGAACTGGTTGAAATTGGGCAAAATTCATTTTATATTTTAAGATCAGGGGACTTCATGGGGCAATAATAAAGCAAGACGTTTGCCAACATAAGAAAGATGTTATCTAAATGGAAGAGGGGTTTGCCCACATTAGAAAACTGATCAAATACATTTGTTTGTAAGGATTTCCTGATGCAAAGAGGCAAATGGTTAAGGTAATTATTGGTTTAGAGCATTACTTTCCTTGTAATGAATTTCCTGGAATAAATGGTTAAGTCATGTTGATACAGGTGGTCTTAATTCTCAGTCAATTGTATCTCCTTCTTTGAAATCTTCCTTTTCTGCTCTCTAGTTATCATTTATATTATTTCTCCCTTTCATCTGGATGCTTAAAATTATTTTTACATATGGTTTTCTAACCTTCCATTAAAACTACCTTTATAGTATTTTCTCTAATTTGCTAGAAAAAAATTTTAAATGGCACCTTATTCTGCAATTTTCATAGTCAAATCTTGGAGTGTCTCCAGTTTTGAAGTTACCAACAAGGATAAAATCCAGGCTATGACAATAGTCCTCATTATTTGGCCTTGGTTTGTTTCTCCAATATCTTCCTTAGTCAAACATCTACATATAATTTTTGCCCTAGTCATACCAAACTTAGAACTTCCTCAAACTCCGTATTAATTTCAGGAAGCTCTGCTTTTTGGATATTGCTAGTTTTCCCTAAGATAATGACTATTTCCCCCAAGTGTTAACTACAAATCTTTCAATCCTGAATAACTGCTAATCTTTCATAATTAGCAGGTCTCTAAAACACATTTGACAGTAGTTACGAGATGCTGAGATATCCATAAATGCATTCTAAATTCTGGAGATGAAAGTGATAAAATCTATCCCTTACTTTCACTCCTCAAGTCTATATTGGTATGACATATTTAAATATTAATTTTGTATTAAAATAAACGGCAGAATGGGTGTTTCAATGTTACATAACACATCAACCTGTTCAAAAAATAAAAATAAAAATTTGCCCTGGAGAAAGGAAGTGCTAGCCTTTTTAATGGCTGCATAGTATTCAATGGTTTATAAGTACCATATTTTCTTTATTCAGTCTACCGCTGATGAACATTAGGTTCATTCCATGTTTTACTATTGTGAATAGTGCTGCAATGAACATATGGATGCATGTGTCTTTATGGTAGAACAATTTATATTACTTTGAGTACATATCCAAGAATGGGATTGCTGGGTCAAATGGTAGTTCTGTTTTACGTTCTTTGAGAAATTGACAAACTGCTTTCCACAGTGGCTGAACTAATTTACATTCCTACCAGCAGTGTATAAGCATTCCCTTTTCTCTGCAATCTTTCCAGCATCTGTTATTTTTTGACTTTTTAATAAAAGCCATTCTCACTTGTGTGAGATGGTATCTCAATGTCATTTCGATTTGCATTTCTCTAATGAGTGATACTGGCCATTTTTTCACATGCTTGTTGGCTGCATGTATGTTTTCTTTTGAAGAGTGTCTATGCATGTCCTCTGCCTACATTTTAATGGAGTTATTTGTTTTTTGCTTGTTGATACATAGATTGTGAACATTACTGACATTCTTATCTAGAGTCTCAGGAATTTTAAGTAGTTCCTTAATTATTGGTAGAATTGTGCTTATTTTTTAGTTGCACTACCTTTTCAGTAGGTCTTCAAAACCAAAACTGTAGAAGTTAATAATACTAATACTGCTAAAAATAACAATATATCTATTCTGAGGTGACACATAATTAACTTCTAAAGTAATAATATAGAGAATCAGTGCTATCAGTTCAGGAAAGGAAAACATTAAAAAAACACAAAATACAAAAACATCAGTGCACTGATAAAGGTATAGGTTTCTGTGATTTTTGAGTTGGATGAAATATCCCATCATACCTTTCAAATTAGTTAATGTTTGTTATTTATTTATGTATGAAACTTAAATGGAAAGTTAATTTAATTCTTTAATTGTAATAGAATGGAATGGGTATATCATTAAATCAGACTTAGTTAAAACTTATACCACAAATACAAAGATTTAGTACAGATAAAAAATTTGTACAACAATATTTAAAACAGGCTTTCACAAAAACAAACACCCCCATTCAGGGATTTTTACTTTTATCATAGGCCCAGACAGTAAACATAGTCCATATGTCTTCTGCTTCTCCACACTTGTTGCACACCAACCACTATTTGATATTTAAGAAGCACTTTTTATGATGAATGCGATGTGTGCATTAGTCTTCATTCATTTCTGAGAAATAGATTCCATTTCTCAAAGGTTTTTGCAAAGCTCACATCCTGTTAGGCATATGGAGAGAGTGACTCACAGAGTAACTGAAGTATATGAAAAAGTATTACCAAACACTGTGTCTCACTGGGGTCCAAATTTTTTTTCGAATCTAAACAGTACATATCAAACAGATGGAGTGTAAAAACAAATCTTTGCCATGGGTGGCCTTATCATTACAGTCAAAACAATCCACATATATGGATGAGAGATATGTATCCAATAACTCTTCTGTAACAACAAAAATGATATTCCAAGGATATTTCCCAAAATAATTGTCCAGTTTCTTTACGATGTCTCATTCATTTTCAAAATAATTTGATTTATGTACTATTATTATTTTTTGAAAACAAATGACTTACTAAAAAATCCAGCATTAGTCATATTATTAGAAACACACTGTCATCTGAGTATCCTAGAATAGGGGAATAGTTAAGAAATTTACATTTCATCAAACTGATAGATTCTTGTTCAGCCATCTATCATAATTATTCTATTAAAACCATGTAGAAAAATGCAAAAGTGTTTATCATGTAACATTTGGTGGAAATAAACAAATACACAGTTCTATGAATACTTTGATTATAACTGAAAAATGTGCATGGAATTGTATAAAGACTAGAATGCATTATAAAAAAATGAAAGAAAGTATGCTTTGTTGTTTGGAGCAATATAATCTTTTTTCTTCAAAAACAGTTTACGTTGCTATAGTCTTCTCTGTATTGTAATCAAAAGTGTAGTGAAATTTTATTTAGTAGATGACATCTGCTTGGAACTTTACATCAGCCTTATAAATAAAAAATTATGAGATCTCTATTTCCAATAACTGCTTTTTTGCCTGTTACAATGGGATTTCTTGAGGCATTAAATATTTTTCATTGTTTGTAACAATCAGTCTTTGTAAACCACTCTGATGAATGCTATTGCAATTTGCAAAAGGCATTTATTAGAAATAGCAGATCTCATAAATTTTTAATTATAAGGCTGATGTAAAGTTCCAAGCAGATGTCATGCACTATATTGTTGGCTTTGAAATGCATTACTTATTTGATGGCCTTCAAATGTGGCAATTTATTAATTTATTTAGTTAATGTTTGCAAAATCCTGTGATTGGCATTAGTTAGAATGTGCAATAATAACATCTTAAGCTTTTTTATAAATTTGGTATTGTACAGCATTAATAAATCAGGCCACACTTTTTTTGTTTTTCAAAAAGTGTGAAAGAAATAATACTTGGAGTGTTTATTTTTCTCATATAAAAGGAGTAGTATGTAATTAAGCCCAGTCGAGAATCCAAATTAGTGAACTTTTCATTCTAGCATGTTCATGCTTCCTCTTAAAAAATATTAAGTTACTGTGGTTGTCCCTATGACCTTTGGCACGTGGTGTTACTCCCATAGATATGTTATGTTACATCTCAAAGAGACTTTGAAAATGTAATTAAGATTACAATCTAATTAAGATTACATAAATTAGGGAGATTATTATGGATTATTCAATGTCTGTAATGTAATCACATAAGCCCTTAAAAGTGTCACAAGATCCTTCAGGTGTTGCTTCGCCAGCCAGAAACCTCTGTGGCCAGTGCACCTTCTGTCTGAGTATTGGTCGGCCTGCGTATTGCTCATGCCCCTGGGCTCATTATGCCCAGTCAGCCCTGCAGGCTACACCAGGGTCGTGCTACGGCCTGGATCCTACACCTGCCAAGTGTGAGCCAAGTGCAGAGTGGCAAGCCGCTCCAAACAGGTCACTGCTGCCATCAAAAGTATAGCTCTTTCTCTGACTAGTAGCAAAACTGAAATGAGAGATTAAAAGCATGAGAAAGACTCAACCCACAGACCCACCATTGCTGACTTGATGGTAAAGAGGACCACGTGGGGAACGCATAAGGGAACAGAAGCTGCATGCACCCACGTCTGGACAAGGAGAATGCAGTGGCGCCTGGAAGCTTGGAGACACCAGGAACCACAGAGCCTCAAAAAGGGTGTCACAGCCCTGGTTCAGGATGTCCCTAGGTCTGGGTTCCCCAAAGGGCCATAGCTCTTCTCTTCTTCTCGTCACTGCAGCTTGGTCGAGTGGAGGGGGTCAGTGAGGGGGGTGGGTTCAGACCTGTTTGTGTTACAGCTCTTTTAGTTTTGCCTTTCATCAAATCCGAGTTCTTGTTCCGTGTCCAGGAAGAATGAGGTACACAGAAAACTGGAGGGTGAGCAAGGTGGAGAGGAGCTTCACTGAGAGCCAGAAGAGTTCTCAGGAGACCCGGAGTGGGTAGATTCTATCAGCAGGCAGGTGGTCCCATCGTCTGCCAGTCTGTCTAAGTCTGGGGTTTTTATGGGCTTCAGAGGGGAAGAAGTGCCTGCTGATTGGTCCATGGGTGGCCATGGGCTGTCCCGGAAAAAGCCACAAGTTCTTACTCGGGGCAGTGGAACTGGCAGCTCAGTCTCCAAGCTTCTGACACTCACTAGCTTGAAGGTGGGGCTTAACTGGGGACACACCCCTTTCCACCCAGGAGCCTGTCTGCCTCCTGCTGCCATCAACCTACCCTCCATGGTGCCCATATTTCCCAGGCTGTTCCCGCTGAGGGGTGCCTGCAGGCCCATGCTGAGCTGCCCTCAGCCCCCACCT
The DNA here is from genome assembly GCF_000001405.40 of Homo sapiens. Classification (NCBI taxonomy): domain Eukaryota; kingdom Metazoa; phylum Chordata; class Mammalia; order Primates; family Hominidae; genus Homo; species Homo sapiens. The sequence continues at coordinate 84,128,682 of NC_000012.12, read as the reverse complement.
CAGCTCCCTCTCATGCTCATTGGTGTCCCAAATCCTAGAACGGGCCAAGGCGGCAGGGGGACTGGTGTGTCAGCGCTGGCTCGAGTGCGTGCACACCCAGTAGGATCGTGACAGCACTCGGGCTCAGCCTCAACTTTGCTCCAAAATCGGAGTGGGCACCGGGAGCCGGGAGAGGCCAGGCAGTAGGAGCAGGCACTTCAGAGCCTGCAGGGGAAGGGGGCTTCCCGGGCCCCCTAGCGCAGGCATGTCCAGGTCTGTAGCTGAGACTAGTTGGCTGCAGCTGGGAGGGCTGGCCTCCCGACCCTCCAATTCAGAAAAGGGCGGGGATCCCTCCTGTTCCTGGCTCCAGGTGGCTCTGTGGAGCCCCTGCGCGCCTCCCCCACTGCAACCTGCGTCATGGCAGCAGCTGCTCTAGATAGGCCACAGCTGCCATCAAAAGCATAGCGCTTTCTCTGGCTGGTAGCGAAGGAAAAAGAGATTAAAAGCACGAGAAAGACTCAACCCACTGACCCACCGTTGCTGGCTTGATGGTAAAGAGGACAATGTGGGGAAAGCATTCGAAGAAAATCACTTCTGCCAACAATCAGTGAGTTTGGAGGTGGACCCCGAGACTTAGCTGACAGCCCCAGCAGATATAATACGCTGATTCAAGTTTAATGAGACCCTGAGAAGAGAATCCAGTCAAGGTGCTTTAGACTTCAGACTTTCAGAAGTTCAGACCTTCAGAACTGTGAGATTATAAACAGGTATTGTTTTAAGATACTTATGTTTTGTAAATTGTGGTAATGGCAGCAATACAAACTAATATAATACTTGTCCTCTTGACCTTGCATAAGGTAAATGGAAAGGTGGGTAAAGTTTGACTTAACTGATTTCTACATTTCTTTTCTCTATGTTTCTGCCTCTTCTTGTTTCCTTTCTTTCTAAAGCCATCCCAGGACAACTATCTATGATAGACCTCTACCAAAGATAGCTTTTTCAAGATGAGTGCACCTGTTCCAAATCACGTCAAGCAAAATTTCCTTTTTCTTTAAGTCTGGCTGATACTAAAGATTCTCTAGGTTGGAATTGCTTCCTAAACGTCCCCACTGGCATTTCCATTTCAAATTTGTATACAAGAATAGACAGATGAAAAGTAATAAATCTGAAGTGGTGAAAATTCCATCATTCTGATAAACAGATGGAAAAGATACTATACGATGGGTGGATAATTTCCAATATGTCCTTAATTACTCAAAGTGTGGTTTATGGACCAGCAACATCAGCAGCATCTGGAAACATGTTAGAAATGCCAAATCCCAGTCTCTAGCTCAGAACAACTGAGTCAGAATCTTGTATTTTAATAAAATTTTCAGGTGCTGCATACACAATAAAGTTTAAAAAGTGCTGCTTAAATTCCATTATATGGGTGAACTATTTCTTTACAGTTTAGAATAATCGTGCTAAAAATGCCCTCTCACTTAAGCAAGGGCATGCATAGAATTATGATGTCTCCTAAGGTGCAATTTCAGAATCATTATTTATACTAAGGATTGGAATCCAGGCAGGCTGAGATCTAACTATTTGAATAACCAGTCAGCCACTATACCATGATTGCTTTTATAAAGCTTTAGTTTCTAAATTGTCAAACTATCACATGTATCAAAACCTAGAATTCTATCTCCCAATTACTATTCTGTATCATCTGAAGAACCAAACAAAAACATTTTTTTTTCAAATAGTTCCAGACCTTTTCCATATATTACTTATATATGAAGTATTTTTTTAAGATTTTATTGTTTCATATAAACAGCCCTGTTATCCTGCTTGAATGAACTTTTTGATGTTTTCACATTTCATCTGATTGAGAAGTCACACATATTCCATGAAACAATCTAAAATTTTAATTGAACCATTGAACCACTCATTACAGTAAGAAAATTTTGTTATATTTAAGATGATTGATCATCTGTATTAATCAATTTCATGTTCCAGATTTTTTTTTTTTTTGAGACAGAGTCTTGCTTTGTCACCCAAGCTGGAGTGCAATGGCATGATCTCAGCTGACTGCAACCTCCACCTCCCAGATTGAAGTGACGCTTCTGCTGCTTCTGCCTCAGCCTCCTGAGTAGCTGAGACTACAGGCACGCACCACCATGCTCGCCTAATTTTTGTATTTTTAGTAGAGAAAGGGTTTTGCTATGTTGGCCAGGCTGGTCTTGAACTCCTGACCTCAGGTGATCTGCCTGCCTCAGCCTCCCAAAGTGCTAGGATCCAGATATTTTTCTAAGAACTGCATATGCATGAAATCTGAGTTATTTCTGACACTGATGAGTTATAAACTATTATTGACCTTGTTTTACTGTTAGGTAAACTGAGGCTTAGAAAATTGAAATTATATTTTAAAGATAATAGTTCAGCTAGAAATGGAAGTCAGACCATTTATGTAACAGCACATATTCAATATTTGATAACAAAATGCTTTTAATCAAATAGAGGCTCCAACTCTTAAAACCTCAGTTAAAAAACAAACATTAAAGAAATTCTTATGGAACTTGAGGAAGTACTAATTATTTTATCAGATTAGGGTAAAATACTTTAAAAGATAAACAAAATAAATGGAAGGAATAAATTAAAATAAAAGGAGATATTAATAAACCTCACCTCAGAGGTTGATTATGAAGAAAAATAATTTAATGCATGTAAAATATTTAGAAAAGCATCTGAAAAAAATGTAAGCCTTAAATACATTGTCATAATTCTTGCTATTTCAATTATTATTACCACTGCACCAATCTCACTGTGTATGTACTATACCAATCTCATTAAATAGTAAATGTACAACATCCCTCCCTGTTACATAGTAGATATTCTAAATTTGATTTCTTTCTCCTCTCCTAAAAGAAAATTGTAATATTTCAAGATACACAATAAAGTTAGTGTTTAAAAATAAAATAAATCATATTACATTTAAATTTATTCCTTAATATTTATACTATTATAATTTTTATCTTTTAGTCACCTTTTTCATATATACATGTGATGTTTTAGTCAAAGAACAATTATAACTTATAAATAAGAGTACATATAATATCACTGATTATTGCTTGAATCTAATATGAACAAAGTAGAAGCTTTTTAAGATTTATTTTCAAAAATAATATTAAATGTTAAGAAATATTAATACACACAATTCTAAGATACTTGTAATGTCTTTTATCATAAGCATTCAATTCTTCCATGAAATGGAAAATCCAAAAATACAATCAACAGAATGAAATAACATATTAAGTTAATGTGAGTTTCTAAGTGATTTTGGTTTTGTGTGTAATGGCAAGAGAATGGAGAAAAAGGAAAGCTTTAGAGTATTGTAATTCAGCAGCCCTGTGGAAAATATTTATATGACAAAATGCAATATATTCACATCCAGATCCATCACAGATAACAATAGCTCCCTGAGAGAATGCTACTCTCTCTTTCATATTAATACCGAGGTAGCTCTTTTTTTCCCTGTCATTTTAAATCACTGAATGGAAACTTAATGGGTTTTTATTGCCTTTGCTGACTGAATAATACCAAAATTCATTTGTGTAGCTCAAAATTTAAGTAAATATTTAAAATTTAAAAGTGAGTTAATTTAATTAAAGGTAAAAATAGTATTGGGTGATATATGCATATTTAGAATATGCTATGCAATACTAAAACTTATAAAAATGCTAAATTTTGCCAGGGTTTTTTTTTTTTTTTTAGACGCAGTCTTGCTCTGTCACCCACCCAGGCTGGAGTGCAGTGGCGCAATCTTGGCTCACTGCAAGCTCCGCCTCCCGGGTTCACGCCATTCTCCTGCCTCAGCCTCCGGAGTAGCTGGGACTACAGGCGCCCGCCACCACGCCCGGCTAATTGTTTGTAATTTTAGTAGAGACGGGGTTTCACCGTGTTACCCAGGATAGTCTTGATCTCCTGACCTCGTGATCCTCCCGCCTCGGCCTCCTAAAGTGCTGGGATTACAGGCGTGAGTCACCACGCCCGGCCAACAGGGCTTATTTTTAAGTATATGAAACCATCCATTTTTGATGACTGAATGTGGATGAAGGGGGAATTTGAAAGTGTTTAGTGTTTCTATGGTTCCAGCAAAAAGATCTGGAAAAATCACCCTTAATTTTTTACAACCAAAATCCCTATTAAATACCATTCTAGTAATGAATATCAGCACAGTTTTAGAGAAATAAAAACACATTTAAATTACAAATGGACAATATGAGTCATTGTCAATTGAAAGGCATTTAAGCAACCCTCAGATAAACCAAATTCCAGTCAGTCTATTACATCTCCAACACTGTGCTAAACATTATAAACTAATTCTTGCCTGAAAATTATACAACATGAATATTAAAAGCAAGCATAAATTTAGGGAACATTTAGAAACAAATAATATAACACATTGTTTTGTAAAAAGTATAATGGCAAACTTGATCATCCAAAATATTATGCGGAAACTCAATTACCAAAACTGAGTTTAAAAATAGAAAGGAGAAAAGAGAGAGACAGAGAGAGACAGACAGACAGACAAATGGATAAATGCTTGGGCTGAAGTGACAGTGAGGAATTTGGAGCTAACTCAAAAACATCATTTAACTTTTGGGAACATTACCCCAAATTTCTTCTATACATGCCCTGTGGTAGACACACCAAAAACGTAAGGGGAAGCAGAATACCATTTGAATTCCACTGGAGAAGAAATCTATTCTAGAAATGAGAAACTAAATAATTAAGGGTCCCTACTGTAGAGAAAATACAAAACATGATAAAGAAGAATAGAGTCTGTTTTGATGGATAATTTAAGTAGGAAATTATTTCACTCAATAATACAGAACAGTATTGTAAAGGTCATTAAAAGCCATCGGGAGATTTTATGCAGTTGGCAAAGGACAAGCTTTCCGAATCTTGGGTAGAAAGTAACATAAGACAAGAAGTGCTTACCTCCTTTATTTCACTGTTTTTGATCCCTCAGGTCAACTCAGGAAGATTTTCCTCATTTTCCAAGTTATAGACCTAGAACTGTCAATGACCTACCTGTTAATTTTCTAAATATTGAGTTAGTCCAAATTATTTTTAAGATATTAATTATATACACAGTTAAATCACATTGCATATTTTATATGTTCCATGAGAGACCATACAGAAAATTATAATGACATGGTGAAAAATATATCTTACCATGAGAAATACACCGTGGTGGGGAATACATAATTCATATAATTAAAACATTATCTTTTTATTGTGGGCATTTTAATTAAACAAAAATTCAATATGTTACTGATCTTAATATTATGCTTCAAATTTATTTCTTGCCAAATAGTGGTATTTACAGTTATGTATTTTATAGTATTTGACCTTACTTATAACTATATTTAAGAACAAAAGCATATGAAAACTGGTGGGCTAATGTTAAATCCTGAAGGTAAAAAGCAGCCTTCACTTCTGGCTGGGTGATAGGATGCTGGCATGTATATGGCAGCTTACCTACTGGGTTGAACCAATGCCCTTTAGGCATTTCCTGTGGAGAAAAATTGATTTACCCCCCTTTATAAATAATTCCTGGTATTTTCTAGGCTAAGAAATTGATGACACCTAATTTAAGTTTTATTTTGTGTATTTTCTCCATGGTTTCATAACATTTCAAAAGAAAAATAAATATTTTAAGCAGAAAAGGAAAATTGTTTACATAAATGAGTTTGGCTAATTTCCTTTGTTTCCAAATCAAACCAATAAGCTATTTCTTTTACAAATGATTAAAATGAATTTAATCTAGCTCTCTAATTTTTACAATGGCTTAAAAATGAATTAATTCTATGATATAGGCCCTGCTTATAGTTTAAAAATCATCTTTAAAATAAGCAACGTGGATGCTTTCTCAAGTGTAAAAGAACATATGTAGAGGGAGGCTAGCATGAGTGAAAGAACATGGATGGTTGACATATACCAGTTATATCAAATGATTTGCCTCTTTCAGTTCTAATAGCATCCCACACTTAAATCAATTCTAGAAAAACATTAATTCAAGATTGACTTTCTCCCAAGCCTAAAACTGAAATGGTTTATAAAGAAAACATTGGATAAATTGATGAGTAGTTGAAAAAGATAAACTAATCTTAAATAATAAGGTCAAAATAAATCAATAACGAATGGAAAAAAGGCCCAAAATAATATTTATAATGTATTTTGGTATTTTTTGGTGGACCACTGTAGTTAACAAAAAGGGAGGCTGAATTTAGATAGCTTTGGAATTTTCTTTTTTTTTATTATTATACTTTAAGTTCTAGGGTACATGTACACATCGTGCAGGTTTGGTATATATGTATACATGTGCCATGTTGGTGTGCTGCACCCATTAACTCGTCATTTACATTGGGTATATCTCCTAATGCTTTCCCTCCCCACTCCCCCCACCCCACAACAGGCCCCAGTGTGTGATGTTCCCCTTCCTGTGTCCAAGTGCTCTCATTGTTCAATTCCCACCTATAAGTGAGAGCATGCAGTGTCTGGTTTTTTGTTCTTGCGATAGTTTGCTGAGAGTGATGGTTTCCAGCTTCATCCATGTCCCTACAAAGGACATGAACTCATCCTTTTTTATGGCTGCATCGTATTCCATGGTGTGTATGTGCCACATTTTCTTAATCCAGTCTATCATTGATAGACATTTGGGTTGGTTCCAAGTCTTTGCTATTGTGAATAGTGCCGCAATAAACATATGTGTGCACGTGCCTTTATAGCAGCATGATTTATAATTGTTTGGGTATATACCCAGTAATAGGATGGCTGGGTCAAATGGTATTTCTAGTTCTAGATCCTTGAGGAATCGCCACACCGTCTTCCACAGTGGTTGGACTAGTTTAAAACTTTATGACAGCAAAAGTGCACAGATACTGAGTTTGGACATTTGTATTAGTATTTCCATTTAAAAATGTGATTTATTATGCTCCTTTTGATAGTGCAAGTAAAAAAGTAATGAAATTCATACAAAATGGCTGTTTTATCTTTAAGACTACTATTCTAAAACTTTAAATATAATTAAATAAATTATAACTTTTTGTAAAAATACATTAACTAAAAGACAGTAGCCTACATTAATTTTTTCAATGTGTTTTAATATTGTATACATATTTCCATTATGGAAGTAGGTGATTCTGGAGATCATAGTTTGATAACTCTGACCATTAAATCATCGAAAATAATCCCTACATCCCAATTTCATGTTGATTAAAATCTACATCTGAATGTAAGTTTTCTTCCCTTGTAGTTACTTTCTTATGAAACGGAGATTGTCAATTCAGTAAGTGATATGATATTCAGTTCACCTAAAATTTCTTGGCGAAAATCAACAACTCGACACACTTTTATATAACCGTCTGACTTCCATTGAAATGTAACAATAGTGAAGTCCTATTAATAAACATAGAGTTTGCTGCCGTCATTGAAAACACTTATCTTTTATTAAAATAGTAGGCAATTTTTCTTGTGCATTTTTTTCAAATTTGTAGTGTAATGCTTATAATAATTAATGTAATTTTCCCACTTGTCTTTCTTTATATAAACTAAATTTTAGGTTAGCAATACACTAAAAATTCTGGGTCAATAATACATTAATCAAAAAATGATCTTTTAAAATTCTCTAACATTTATAATCAATAACATTTATTGAGCACTTATACTAGACACTAGTCTGGATTTTGATGATAAAGCTGTAAACTGAAAAGGAAAACACTGTGATCTCATGAAACTTAAATTTTATTAGAGGAATATTGACAATAAACCATAAGTTTTAAAAACACATCTAGAATATATTAATAATTATATGTGTGCATAAACACAAGCATATGTACATATCAAACATGTCTGCACAACAAATATGCCAATTGATAATAAAACAAAAAGTAATTCAGGAAAATGGATATAGATTAATGATTATGATGCCTTGGACATGCGTGATATTTGTAAAGTTACAATTCTATGTACACATTCTGGCAGATTGTGACTAGGTTTTCTAATGGATAAGATAAGGTTTATAAGAAAAAAGGGGTATTAAGGATTACACTCAGTGTTTTGATCTGAAAAATTGGTAAAATGAAATGAGCATTTACTCAGGCAGGCAAATCTGCAAATAGAGCAGGGAGAGAAAAAAACCATGCTGTTAATTTTGGATCTGTTAAGTTTGAGATATTAATTAGATATGCAAGTAAAGATGAAGAGTAGGCAATGGTCATAGGCCTGATGTTTGTGGGAAAAGTAAGGAACAGTGGTAAAATGTGTAAGTTGTGAAAATATAAATGACATCTAAAGCCATGAGACTAAATTAAATTGCCTAATATGTAAGGATAACAAAAGAAAAGAAGAAAATTTTGAGGACTATGTCCTTGAATATTCAAGTGTTTAGAGATCTAAACAATGAGAAATAATTGAGAAAGATACTAAGATATTTGAGAGGAACCATGGAGTATTATTCCAAAGCTGAACTGAAAGATGTTTGAAGAAGAAAGCTGAATCAACCATGCTAATATTCTAGTATGTAGACTGGCAACGTAGTATGAAAAGAGCATATTAGACATCGTTGTTGGGGAAAGATGATTGGAAAGGCTTTAAAAAAATAATAGAGAGTATTTAGATACAATTCACTCAGCTAAGTCTTTGGGCAAGTATTGTTTTTCCGTAAATAGAAATTAACTGTATTATTAGCCAGAAGAGAATCTGGGGTCACATAATTATTTCTTTTTCTAGTATGGAACAATACTGCCATTGCAGAAACTCAATACCACCATTGTAGGAGTTGTTTCATCTTGATTGCATAAACCCAATATGAAGGATGGAGCACCTGATGGATATTCGCACTTACGCTTTATTTCATTTCCTCTTCTGTTTGGTTTTCTGGTCATCTCTACCTATGTAGAGAATGTGTGTTGCTTCCACTAGTACTTTCCCACAGCTAGTTCTGCTTCTTTGGCATATTATTATATTCACTGTCATCACGTTTTCTGGGCACTACTACTGCCTCACTTAGTTCACAATACTATTGGATCATTCACCGTCTTCTTAGGGTATGGCTATGTTTGCCAGACATTGATGACTTTTCTGCTAAAGATTACTGTTTTTACCATTGCAGATATAAATAATTCAGTCCTTCCAAATTCAATGATACAGTGTATATTATTATTATGCTATATTAGCATAAAGGTTTGACAAGTTAATTAATTTATTCTCTTCTTATCTTTTTGCTTCCACTGCTCAAGTCTTCCTTCACTGCAAAGTAGTGTGTGTGTTCACAATCAAGCACTCTCAAAATCAAGTCCCACAGATAATCCTCTGGTTCAGTGTCAGTACATGCTAACTATTCTTACAGCTCCCTTAATTGCAGTCTTTCTTTTTTTTTTTTTTTTTTTCTGGTGAAGAATACCTCCAGCCATGTTTTGCTGGGATTTAATCCTAGTTATCAACCTAACATTCAGGAAAAGGGGTTAGAGGAAATCTTGAGGGGACATTTATTGGCTTGTAGGGGAACAGCCTCGGTATTATCTTCCTGTACTAGGAAAGGGAAGTCTAGGTCTCCAGATACTGAGGTTTTAGGGGAGTCTGCAGAGCCACAATATTTGGGGTCCATCTTGACATATATTCACATTTCACATTTCTAAGGTCTCAGGTTTTATGAACCAAAGACCTGACTTTAGCATAGCAGATTTGCTTGGTTGAACGTTCAATAATGTTTGAATTTCCATGAGCTTAACTATTAAATCTTGAGTTTATTCCTCAGCTGGGTGTGCTCTCTCCCTGTAGGAATTAAGGACCTCTTTGTAAGCTACCAGTGAGACCCTCAAGCTTTCAGACTTTGTTTATTTACCATGATGAGTTTCTTGATATATCTGTTAGCTTTAATGCACTTTTGCAATAACCAGACCACTTCGGCTTTCTTACATGTACTGTGTTACTCATATCTTTTAAATGCCTCAGTCATTGCACCTGTCAGATCATTCCTTTTACAGGGAGGTTTTCACAAACTTGTATTTATGAAATTTTTAGCAATTGATCTTCCAGTTTGTACCATGTACTATCACTTTCTCACTTGTCATTTGGAATATGTGCTTTCTTGTCAGCTGGGCGCTGAGTGATCCAGTCCCCAAATCTCATCTTAGCACCTCTACTTGGAATGTCTCCTAATACCAACTGTATGACTTTGGATCTTTAGGCAATCAGGGATCAAAAGAGAGATAAAAGTCAAGAAATTTATTTGGAGAAGTCCCTATGAAAAGTAAATGAAAGAGGGAGCAGAGGAAGTCTGAGAAACTTCCACGCCATAATGGCAGTCTGACACCTGTGAAAGAAGAGTGGGTAGAAAAGAATATCATTAGGCAAGAAAAGTCGCAGACTGTGGTGCATCTCTGATAACAACTTGGCCAGCCCAAAATAGATATGGTTCACAGATGATCTATGGAAGTGTCCTTTGTTAGGCAGCAACGTCCAGGCATTATCTCTGCTGTGCTAACTCGTGGCTAAGAATTGCCATGACAGAGTGTGGCCTTGGCTTGAATACAGTGGTGGATCTCAAAGGTACTGCAGGATATCAGTGAACTATATTTCTTCAAATAGTTTATTTCTGGAAGGGAAATCCAAATAGTACCTATCCATGGTTGCCAAAATTTGTTTTTTAAAAATAATAATAAACCTTCTCTAATGACAAAACTTTCCTAATGACAAAATAATTAAAAAGCAAAGCTATGAAATGAAAAACATTTCAATATATGCCATAAAAATTTATCCATATATAAATAAATAAGAACTCCCACCTCCAAATGAATTAACTAAAATAAGGAACACATAAACACAGGCAGTAATTACATACAGTTGTCTGACATTTTGCTTACTGTTATCCATAAAAAAACACAGGTTTATTTTTTCAAATTTTGTTCTCATGATGGTATATTTATCAAGGTATGAGTACAAAATATTTACAGTTTTTTTTAACAATTTATATCATTTAAGTGTTAATGTTTATCTGTGGCCTTCTAATTTTACCTCCGCCTCAGGCTCCCCAAAAGTCAGATGGTGCCAGTTTGGCTGAGCTTGGTGGTAGAATGGATGGGGAATGGTGGGGAGGAGACACAAAAATGATTTCTCTATTTTTACACTTATAACAAAAGCATAGCTTTCCATTCATTTGAAAGAAAATATGAGAGAGTCAAATTGTTATGTTTGTTTTTGTTGGTAGTGAGTGAGGGTGGATCCTCTGTTGTATTTGAATCATCTAAGTACACAGTTACTATACAGATCTGGCACTCCTAAGAATGAATGACCTGTATTAGTAAAGAAAAGTGTGACTTGCTTTTTAATTACTATCTGTGTGTCAGAGTCATCTTTTCGCATTACGTTCTCAAATATTTTTCAGAATATGTTTATGGAAAAAGGGATTGCGACAAAAAGTACACATTTTACTTTCTCTAAGATGTATTTGTTCCTGTAAGCCTTGGAGAGAGAGAGGGACAGAGAGTGTGTGTGTGTGTGTGAGTGAGAGAGAGAGAGAGAGAGAGAGAGAGGGAGGGAGAGAGACAGAGTTTTACTGCCAAAAGATTCAGTTAAAAATTGAAAGCATTCGATTATATTATTCTATCTAGGTCAATTTCCAACTCTTCCATGAGGTCTATATGAACACTTCAATCACCATTTCCTTTTTCTTAACTCTATTTCTTGCATTATAATTATCATCCTTTTTTGTCACTTGTATGTAGAGAGTGCCATTTGTGCTTAATTATTTGCTTAGTAAATGAAGTGTCCTCAAATAGACTATACATCTATGGAAGGCAACAATAATATTTTAGATTTTATTTGCTCCCTTTTTATCACTTAGGGCAGACATATAAATAGCAGAAACTAAAACACTAATCATGGCCAAATAACTGACAAAGCAGTAAACATTTCTCTTTTATAAGTACTCTTCAATGATACTGTATCATAATTATTTCTACCAATAGTTTGTGAGTGCTTATCTATAAGTGCCAGGCACTGCAGCCAATACATATGTCTTCTTTGATCCTCACAACAATAGCAAAGTGCAGATAATAGAATTATCCTCATTTTACAAATAAGAAAACAGTGGCTTAGAGTTAACAAATGACTTTTCTAGGGATATGCAGATGCTAGCTGTTAGAAAACGTGTTTAAATTCAGGATCAGGATTACATGCCTAGACCACATTGCTATTTTGCCTTCTTGAGAAGCAATTATACATAAAATCCTCTCTCTCTCTTTCTCACTCTCTCTCTCTCTCTATATATATATATAATTTTCATGCATAATTGCCTGAAATAATTTTGACATTATTTTGTAAGCATATAAATATACATATATATGTGTACATACACAATACTCTTTCACACACACATACATATATATAAAATATGTGTGTATATATATACATATATACATATATATAAAATATGTGTGTATATATATACATATATACATATATATAGTGGTTTGCAATGCAAGTAAGAGAAAATCCATCTCAAACAGACCAAACAAGTTTAGTTAACCCTATAGAAGGTAAGGCTTCAGGTCAGTTCAGTTGGATCTATGTTTAATTTTCTATAATTCTCTGTTATAAATGTTCTACATATAGTTTTTCCCAGGTGTTTCTGCCTCAGGTTTGAAAGTGGATATTAAATATTGGAGAGTAGATTTCTTTTCATTCCAATTCACGGAGAGGGAACATAATTTTCATCCACCGCTATCTAACAAATGCCCTGATAATTGGACTGATGGACCACGCCCAAACAAATCTCACTGGTTTGGGAAATGTGCAGCATTGCTTAAGTTAAGTTCATGACACTCTCTATTCCCTATCTCTGTGGGTGTGGGGTGTGGAAAGATTACTGCTATAGGCCCATCCCCTGAGCTATCGGTGTGACCAATAGATGAAACACCATGGGGTAAGTGTTAGTAAGACAACGATCTAGTTCACCACCCTTACCAGTCTCCTGGGTAAAATTGAGAAATTTGGTCAATTATGTGACTCCTGAACTTACTATCATTCATACTTATTTTTTTATGTTTTGCTCAATTTGCTTTTTTAAATCGTAAATTCTTAAATTATTAATGAAAATATTGAATCTATAATATGAATCAAAACTCTGAGCATTCTGTATAGTCAAATGTTCTCCCTTTGTGTAGCTTGGGCCTGCTTTTGGTTAGAAACTCACTACAGAAAAAGGTATATGTGGTTGATTTCTTCTGTAATTATTCTATAGGAACAGGAGCAGCCTTATTTAAATTAGTGCTATTTTAAGATGGAGTTATAACCCTGTGGAGCTGATAAGTACTGCAAGATGATTTTCTTGTGGAGTATTTTCAGTTGACCTTCAGAAGGTCTCTGCTATGTCTCTCTATTCTTAAATTCTTTTACATCTAGCATGCTTTTATATATTTTTTCCTGGTACTCATTTTGACTCATTTTTTAGGCTCAAAGAGGTCACATCTAGGATTTTTCTAGTGGTGGACCTTCACCCTTGCAGACAGCACTGAAGGATCCATGACCATCCACAGAATCACACGGGACTAATTTCTCTGCCATGAGAAATAGTCATGCATACTTGTTTGCTACCAGTTCTGGGAGTTCAGGCCATTTGATCTCAGCAAAGTAGCCCTCCGCAGCTCCAAACTAAAGCAATTCTTCACACAGTGTCTAGTCACCTTAAAATTCTTTTGCAGGAGTGAAATCTTCAGTGCAGTACATTTACATATATATATGCACACCCACATATATATATACCCACATACACGCGCGCGCACACACACACACACACACACACACACACACACACATATATATATTTATTTATTTATTTATTTTTTCCAGAGAGAGGGTCTAGTTTTGTTGCCCAGACTGGAGTATGGTGATGCAATCAAAGCTCGGTGTAGCCTTCAATTCCTGGGCTCAATCAACCCTCTTGCCTCAAGCTCTTGAGTACCTAGAACTACAGGCTCATGCCGCCACACCCAGCTAATTTTTGTATTTTTTTGTTAGAGACAGGCTGTCACTATGCCCAGTCTGGTCTGAAACTCCTGGCCTTGAGCAGTCCTCTCATCTTTGCCTCCCAAAGTGCTGGGATTACAAGCATGAGCCACTACACCTGGCCCAGTGCAATACATCTGTAATCTACATGGGCTTCACAGTAAATATTCCAAGACTTTAATAGAATTCCCATCATCACAGTCTTTGAAGGGTAGGTACTATCCCAATTGAAGTGAAAGGAAAAAGAGACAGTCCTTAAGACATCCTATCCATAAAAATCTATTACCCTCTGTCATCCTTTTTATATTTTCAAAATGGGTAGTTGTAGTGAAGGGCATGTTTTAGGATGCTGAAGCCATGGAACAAGTACTGGTTCTACAAATCTGAACATTGCAATTTACACATAGCATCACATGTCAAAGCTATTGTGCCTAGCTTGAATTTCTAGTTTTTTGTCTTATTACATTTGCAATGATTAAATTCAATAGATTTCCCCTTTATTCAGTATATTGTAGAATATACTGATATTTGCTTGAAAGTATGAAAAACATTTCAAAATAATAATCATCAGATGTTTTAAAAGATATTTTTCATAGTTTTAAAACATTTCATGAAATATAGGCAAGTTTTTCATTGGCAATTTAAATGGTTCATTATGAAGGTAATTTTTGTTCACAGATTCATCATGATTTTCTGTTTTGTTTTGTTTTTTGTCTTGCTGTTTTTGAGATGAGGTCTCACTGTGTTACCCAGGCTGGTCTCCAACTCATGGCTTCAGGCGATACTCACACTTCAGCTTCCTGAATAGCTGGGATTACAAGTGCACACTGTCATACTCAGCTATTTTATGTTAATATAAAAATAGGTTTGCATTAAATTTTCTGGAACATATTGGCTATATTAACACTGTATTTATTTAGAGCATTAAAGTTGTTAACACTTTTTGATTTACATGTGCCTTTGGGAAGAATAAGACTAGTGGTGAAAAAAGTCATGAACTAACTCTGATTTAGTTATCTTTCTTTTCTCCTATTTGTGGCACAGAGTAGGTGCCAATAAATGCTTTTGAATGAAATGAGTTAAAAGAATATTTTGAAGACATAACCCAAATTTCTGGCTCAACTTATTCAACCCATTCTTTTTTCCTTTCCTTTTGTTTCTTCTGCCTTTTAAAAAACAACACATAAAATTTTTAGGCCTATAGTTTGCTAAAATAAGAAAAACATTAAATTGCTCACAACAATTTGCTTAATATATCGAACCCAATTTAAACTAGTGCTGGCCAAATTTATTTCAAATATAAATTTTATGGGACTACAATTAAGGAAAGACTAGAAATTCATTGCATTAAAATGCTGAATATTCCCATGTAGTGTACTAAGACTTGCTTTCAGATGAAGATAAGTAAGAAAGACACTTTTAAACAGGTTGGAACTCAATACACATTTCCAGAACTTTTTTTTTTGAAATGTAATTTGCTTTATAGCCAACTTGACCCCTGGCAACTTCTCTATCAGTTCTTACAGCACATTCAATGTAGTCAATAAGCTAGTTCCAAAGTTATTTCAGGAACCTAGTTTGTGCTTAGGGGAAGCATTTTAGTAATTAAAACTGCTATTCTTCACAAGCAGAACTTATTAGGAAGAGTACTTTAAGTGGCTTAAGCAGGTAGAACGATTTGTACTTATTTTCTGAGCTGCCAATACCTATGCTAATCCAGTATCTGGTGGGGAGGTAGGAAGGATAGCTCTCTCTGCCCTGCCTCCAAACTTATCTTTATTTTTGCTTTTGTTGTGGAACTTACTGATTTTTTGCACACATATAAAACATGTACAACTTGAGATAATATTCACTTCCATTTTAGCCACCACCATGCATATTTAAGCAAGGCCTTGCACATGGTCTTGCACACATTTTAAAAAATGCTTATAGAATTGAATTAGATTTCTGAATTTTATACCCTAAAAATTAACGGATAAATGTTAAGTTTATTATTTTATAATTGCAAAAATACAAGCAATAACTATAATAATAGATAATATTGTATACGTAACATGCACCAGCCACTCTTTTAAGCAGTTTTTAGGTATTAACTAAGTAATCCTCATAACCAGCATATCAAGTTGGTTACTTTTTCTTGTTTACACAATTAGAAATGGATATGATATGAGATTAAATTAATTTTCCTTCATCAGGTGTACAGTAATGGGTGAATTCAAGATTCAAAATCAGACATTCTAACTTCAGATAATTTGTGTACAAAAACAAACAAGTCTTAAAATATGGGGCATTTCTGCTTCTGGCGACAATGAAATAATTTGCAGCAAATCAATGGTCACATAGCCACCAATGTGAAAGCCAAGTAAAGCGAATAATTTAAAGCATTAAGAAAGCTGCAGAATCAGGAAGGACTAGATGGTATAAGACTTTCGAAAAGAAAAAACTGAAGGCAAAAGGTGATTATCTGCAGCTGCTTTTTGTTCTGAAGTACTTGCTGATTCAGGGCATTGGCCAGAGACCAAGAATACAGATTATGCCTGGACAGAGGGCTGTGTGTTCAGGTTACACAAACCAGGGAACTTTCATTAATTAGGCAGGGCTATGGCAATATGGCTGAAACTCAAGAAACCTAACACATGTGGGTAGTTTCCACTGGAGATATTTGACAAATTCTAACGTGTATGCAGCAGGGTGCTAAAAATCTAAGTCTGAATTATAGAACAAGTTTTTTCTTTTTTTTATTATTGTACTTTAAGTTCTGGGGTGCATGTGCAGAACGTGTAGGTTTGTTACATAGATATACACGTGCCATGGTGGTTTGCTGCACCCATCAACCTGTCATCATATTAAGTGTTTCTCCTAATGCTATCCATCCCTTAGCCCCTCACCTCAGTGTGTGATGTTCCCCTCCCTGTGTCCATGTGTTCTCATTGTTCAACTCCCACTTATGAGTGAGAACATGTGGTGTTTGATTTTCCGTTCTTGTGTTAGTTTGCTAAGAATGATTGTTTCCAGCGTCGTTCATGTACCTGCAAAGGACATGAAGTCATCCTTTTTTATGGCTGCATAGTATTCCACAGTATATATGTGCCACATTTTCTTTATCCAGTCTATCATTGATGGGCATTTGGGTTTTTTCCACATCAAAAAACCCATTTCCAATATCAAATGGGTCTTTGATATTGAGAACAGTGCCACAATAAACATATGTGTGCAAGTGTCTTTATAGTAGAATAATTTATAATCCTTTGGGTATATACCAGTAATGCGATTGCTGGGTCAAATGGTATTTCTAGTTGTAGATCCTTGAGGAATTGCCACACTGTCTTCCACAATGGTTGAACTAATTTACACTCCCACCAACAGTGTAAAAGCATTCATTTTTCTCCACATCCTGTCCAGCATCTGTTGTTTACTGACTTTTTAATGACGGCCATTCAAACTGGCATGAGATGGTATCTCATTATTGTTTTGACTTTCATATCTCTAATAATCAGTGATAATGAGCTTTTTTTCATATGTTTCTTGGCTGCATAAATGTCTTCTTTTGAGAAGTATCTGTTCATATCCTTCGCCCACTTTTTGATGGTTTTTTTTTCTTGTAAATTTGTTTAAGTTATTTGTAGATTCTGGATATTAGCCTCTTGTCAGATAGATAGATTGCAAAGATTTTCTCCAATTCTGTAGGTTGCCTGTTCCCTCTGATGATAGTTTCTTATGCTGTGCAGAAGCTCTTTAGTTTAATTAGATCCTATTTGTCAATTTTGGCTTTTGTTGCCAATGCTTTTGGTGTTTTAGTCGTGAAGTCTTTGCCCATATCTATGTCCAGAATGGTATTGCCTAGGTTTTCTTCTAGAGTTTTTATGGTGTTAGGTATTACATTTAAGTCTTTAATCCATCTTGAGTTAATTTTTGTATAAGGTGTAAGGAAGGGGTCCAGTTTCAGTTTTCTGCATATGGCTAGCCAGTTTTTCCAACACCTTTTATTGAATAGGGAATCCTTTCCCCAATGCTTGTTTCTGTCAGGTTTGCCCAAGATCAGATGGCTGTATCTACATCTCATATGTTATTACCACCATCTGTGGTGTTATTTCTGAGGCCTCTGTTCTGTTCCATTTATCTGTATATCTGTTTTGGTAAAAGTACTATGCTGTTTTGGTTATGGTGTCCTTGTAGTATAGTTTGAAATCAGGTAGTGTGATGCCTACAGTGTTGTTCTTTTTGCTTAGGATTGTCTTGGCTATGTGGACTCTTTTTTGGTTCCATATGAAATTTAAAGTAGTTTTTTCTAATTCTGGGAAGAAAATCAATGGTAGCTTGATGGGGATAGCATTAAATGTATAAATTACTTTAGGCAGTATGGCCATTTTCACGATATTGATTCTTCCTATCCATGAGCATGGAATGTTTTTCCATTTGTTTGTGTCCTCTCTTATTTCCTTGGGCAGTGGTTTGTGGTTCCCCTTGAAGAGGTCCTTCACTCCCTTGTAAGTTGTATTCCGAGGTGTTTTATTCTCTTTGTAGTAATTGTGAATGGGAGTTCACTCTTGATTTGGCTCTCTGTTTGTCTGTTATGGTTGTGTAGGAATGCTTGTGATTTTTGCACATTGATTTTGTATCCTCAGGATTTGCTGAAGTTGCTTATCAGCTTAAGAAGATTTTGGGCTGAGATGATGGGATTTTCTAAATATACAATCATGTCATCTGCAAACAGAGACAATTTGAATTCCTCTATTCCTATTTGAATAAGCTTTATTTCTTTCTCTTCTCCAGTTGCCCTGGCCAGAACTTTCAATAATATGTTGAAGAGGATTGGTGAAAGAGGGCATCCTTGTCTTGTGCCAGTTTTCAATGGGAATGCTTCTGGGTTTTGCCAATTAAGTATGATATTGGCTGTGGGTTTATCATAAATAGCTCTTATTATTTTGAACAGATACCTAGTTCATTGAGAGATTTTAGCATGAAGGGCTGTTGATTTTTGTCGAAGGCCTTTTCTGAATTTATTGAGATAATCTTGTTTTGTCATTGCTTCTGTTTATGTGATGGATTGTGTTTATTGATTTATGTATGTAGAACCAGCCTTGCATCCCAGGGATAAAGCCCACTTGATCGTAGTGGATAAGCTTTTTGATGTGCTGCTGGATTCAGTTTGCCAGTATTATACTGAGGATTTTCGCATTGATGTTCATCAGGTATATTGGCCTAAATTTTCTCTTTTTGTTGTGTCTCTGTCAGGTGTTGCGGGAAGTCAGGGACCCCAAATGGAGGGACCGGCTGAAGCCATGGCAGAAGAATGTAGATTGTGAAGATTTCATGGACATTTATTAGTTCCCCAAATTAATACTTTTGTAATTTCTTATGCCTGTCTTTACTGCAATCTCTAAACATAAATTGTGAAGATTTCATGGACACTTATCACTTCCCCAATCAATACCCTTGTGATTTCCTATGCCTGTCTTTACTTTAATCTCTTAATCCTATCAGCTGAGGAGGATGTATGTCGCCTCAGGACCCTGTAATAATTGCATTAACTGCACAAATTGTACAGCATGTGTGTTTGAGCAATATGAAATCTGGGCACCTTGAAAAAAGAACAGGATAGCAGCAATTGTTCAGGGAATAAGAGAGATAACCTTAAACTCTGACCACCGGTGAGCCAGGTGTAACAGAGCCATATTTCTCTTCTTTCAAAAGCAAATGGGAGAAATATCGCTGAATTCCTTTTCTCAGCAAGGAACATCCCTGGGAAAGAGAATATGTGCCTGGGGGTGGGTCTCTGAACTGGCCCCCCTGGGCACGGCCGTCTCTTATGGTCGAGGCTGTAGGGGTGAAATAGACCCCAGTCTCCTATAGCGTTCCCAGGCCTATTAGGAAGAGGAAATTCCCGCCTAATAAATTTTGGTCGGACCGCTTGATCTCAAAACCCTGTCTCCTGATAAGATGTTATCAATGACAATCGTGCCCAAAACTTCATTAGCAATTTTAATTTTGCCTTGGTCCTGTGGTCCTGTGATCTTTCCCTGCCTCCACTTGCCTTGTGATATTCTATTACCTTGTAAAATACTTGATGCCTATGACCACACCTATTCGCACACTCCCTCCCCTTTTGAAAATCCCTAATAAAAACTTGCTGGTTTCTGTGGCTTGTGGGGCATCACGGAACCTACTGACATGTGATGTCTCCCCCAGACACTGAGCTTTAAAATTTCTCTCTTTTGTACTCTGTTCCTTTATTTCTCAAGCTGGCCTACACTTAAGGAAAATAGAAAAGAACCTACTTGAATATCGGGGCAGATTCCCTGATATCTGGCACCCCCATGGTCTTTCTTTCATGCAGAGTCTAAGCATCATGCTTATCTCTGCTATATTAAACTCCTGTTAAAACAGGGCGGTGTTCAATTGCCTATGGAAAATATGATCACTCTATTCAGGACGGTAGAAAAATACTGTACTTGGTTTCCTGAAAAAGGAACCTTAGGTGTAGAACTATGGGATCATGTTGCTACAACATTCAGGGAACTGGTCTCCACAGGGAATTATGTTCCCATCACTGTTTGGGGTGACTGGGCCTTGGTACGTGCTGTCCTGATGACATACCAATCCCATGGCCCCCTACAGTTACCACAGTTTTCTGAATCTGACGATCCTCCACCTTTTCTTCAATCTTTCTCTCCTGCACGGCCTTCGTTATCTGATCAGCCTCTCCCTCCGGCTACTCCTTCCCTACCTGACAATGTAGACAATTCAATGTCTAACTCCAGTGACTTTGACTTATGGTCACCCTGATGATCTTATTTCTTTTCATGAATAACCAGTACGTGTAACTCCTGCAGCCTGGACTCACACAGCCCAGGATCCTATATATGCTAATTCTTCTCTTCTCAAACCTCTGGAATCACCTAGCGGCTCTGGGACCAAACTACACTTTACCTATAATTCTGCTGGCCCTCCCCCACCCACTTCAGCCCCTCACCCTCCTGTCATTTCGGTTCCTCAACCAGTCACTTTACCATCTACTCAGCCTGCTTCTCTGTACCCTTCTTCACACGTGAACACCAGTAATCACCAGTATACTTCTGCTCCTTCTGCTCCCCCAATGCCTCTTTCTCACACTCTCATCCCAGTCCGACCCTCTCACCTTCAGTTTCCCTTATCTACACATGCTTTTCCTGTCACTTCTATGCTGACTCCGACTCAGATGCCTACTCTTGAAACTTCAATGCAAAGCTTGTTATGCCAAAACAGAGAAACAAGTGGATTAGACGCGTGGACTTATCTGGTCGCGCTAGACCCACCTAACTTCCAAGGGTTGCAAATGCATCATTATGTACCTCTTAATCTTACCTTTTTAAAAGAATTTAAGGATGCTTGTACTCAGTATGGTCCTACTTCTCCTTATGTTAAGATGGTTTTACAAACTTTTTGTACTGAGGTCACTTTACTCCCTTTAGATTGGGACCTTTCGGCAAAAGCTGTTCTAACCCCATCTCAGCATTTACAATTCCATACCTGGTGGTCAGAGGAGGCCCGTTTGTAGGCTCAGCTAAATAACAGTAATGGCATTCTAATTACTCAAGCTCAGCTCACAGGCTCCCATAGTTTCTCTGATGCTTATGCCCAATTAAACTTTGATGCCCTTACCACAGAACAAGTAACAAAGGTGTGCATGAGAGCTTGGGATAAATTATGTGCTCCAGGCCAAACTCCTGTTTCTTTTACCACAGTTAAACAAGGTCACCCTGAATTATACCCTGATTTTTTGGCTAAATTACAAGATGCTGTTAAAAAATCTGTCTCTGATGAGTGCGCTCAAGGCATTCTCCTTCCTATGTTAGCTTTTGAAAATGCAAACCATGAATGTAAAATGGCCATGCGTTCTGTCCAACGACAAAATTTACCTGATCATGAGGTGTTGCCTGCATATATTAAAGCTTGTGAAGGCATTGGATCAGATGCCCACAAAACTATTCTGTGGGCATGGGCCATGAAGGACACCAACCACACTGGTCCCATTAATTCTTCTCTTGGAGCCTGCTATGATTGTGAACAACTTGGTCATATTCAAAAAAATTGCACTGTTAAAAAGTTTTTAACAATTGCTTTGACTACCTAATATTGTTTTAAACATAGTAGATAAGACATGTGGCCCTGGGATGGGCTCCGGTGGTGAAAAGGCCGCTTATTGGATTAATATAATTTCTAAACAACGGCCCACCTGCACCATACACATTCAAGGAAGAAAGTTTGAGGGCCTAGTAGATACTGGTGCTGATGTTTCTGTTATTTCCTCTAGTTTATGGCCTTCCTCTTGGCTTAAACATCTGGCTAACATGGGACTAGTAGGTGTTGGAAAGGCCGAGGAAGTTTATGAGAGCACATTTATCTTGCCTTGCACTGGCCCTGATGGTCAAAAGGGTACAATTCAGCCCTATATCATACCAATTCCCATTAATCTTTGGGGTGTAGATTTACTGGCACAGTGGGAGGCTGAAATTAATATTCCACATAACACTTATAGTGCTCCCAGTCAGCATATGATGGAAAATATGGGGTTTGTTCCTGGACTCAGTCTCGGTCCAAAGCATGAAGGGATTACTAAACCCCTCCCAGTTACTATAAAAGAAAACAGGGCTGGTTTAGGTTATCATTTTTAGTGGCGGCTGCTGCCATGCCTCCTGATCCTATTACCTTGCAATGGAAATCTGACACACCTGCCTGGATTCAGCAGTGGCCACTTTCTAAAGAAAAACTGGAGGCTTTAAATCAATTGGTTTCTGAGCAGTTGCAACTTGGAAATGTGGAACCTTCTCTTTCCCCTTGGAATTCTCCTGTGTTTCTAGTAAAGAAGAAATCAGGCAAATGGCAGATGGTAACCGATTTAAGGGCCATTAATACTGTGATTAAACCTATGGGGGTCATCCAACCTGGAATGCCTGCCCCTGCTTTAATACCTAAAAATTGGCCTCTCATAGTTATTGATCTTAAAGTTTTTTTTCATATTGCTTTACATAAATTGGATTGTGAAAAATTTGCTTTTACTGTACCATCTATCAATAATCAGGAGCCTGCAGCTCGTTATCAATGGAAAGTACTTCCTCAGGGAATGCTAAATAGCCCTACAATCTGCCAGCTTTATGTTGGACAAGTGCTTTCACCAGTTCAAGCCCAATTTCCTGAGGTCTATATTCTTCATTATATTGATGATATTTTAATTGCTGCCCCCACTGATAAACAATTAATTGACTGTTACCAAATTTAGAGCCACTGTGTTACAGAGGCTGGATTGCACATCGCTCAGGATAAAATTCAACAGACCACTCCTGTTCAATATTTAGGAACGGTGGTTGATAAACAATGTATTCAACCTCAAAAAGTTCAAATTAGGAGAGATTCTTTAAAAATGTTAAATGACTTCCAAAAACTTTTGGGTAACATTAATTATTTAAGACCTACTTTAGGCATTCCAACCTGTGTGCTGTCTAACTTATTCTCTACTCTGCGGGGAGATTCCGATCCTGCAGCACCAGGACTTTGACTCCTGAGGCTTTACTAGAACTGGAATTCGTAGAGGAAAGAATCCAGACTGCCCAGTTATCTAGAGTACAGCCATTTCAGCCTCTTCAGCTTCTGGTTTTTCTTCATTACACTCCCCTACTGGACTAATAGTTCAACATAATAATTTAGTGGAGTGGTGTTTTCTTCCTCATTCTGTGTCAAAAACTTTGTCTGTTTATCTAGACCAAATAGCCATATTAATTGGACAGGCTCAGTGCAGAATACTTCAAATTTCTGGATTTGATCCAAACTTAATTGTAATTCCTTTAAATCGGCTCGAAGTTCAAGCTGCCTTTCAACATTCTGTACCATGGCAAATTCACTTGGCTGATTTTATTGGTGTTATTGACAATCATTATCCAAAAAACAAATTGTTTGATTTTATAAAAATGATGTCTTGGGTGGTTCCTCTATTAACCAAAGATCAACCCATTCCTGAGGCTGTTACAGTGTTCAATGATGGCTCCAGTAATGGCAATGCCAGTTACGTAGGTCCTACAGACAAACTTATTTCTACCTCTTATACTTCTGCTCAAAATGTGGAGTTAATTGCTGTGATTACTGCTATACAGGATTTCCCCAAACCTTTAAATATTGTCTCAGCTTCTGCTTATGTTGTACATGCCACTAAAAATATAGAAACTGCTACTATCAAACATATTGATAATTCTGAATTGGCTTCTTTATTTTCAAGGTTACAACAGGCGGTTCACCAACATAGACACCCTTTCTATATTACACATACTAGGTTTCATACCACTTTACCAGGACCCATGTCTGCCAGTAACCATAAAGTCGACTCTTTGGTCTATTTTGCAACCCAAGAAGCTCAGGAGTTCCATAATCTCGCTCACGTCAATGCCGCTGGATTAAAAGATAAGTTTGCTCTTACCTGGAAACAGGCTAAGTTTATTGTTCACAGCTGCCCTCAGTGCCAGGTCTTCGTACTTCCAAATCAGGAATCTGGCATTAATCCTAGAGGCCTAACTCCTAATGCTTTATGGCAAATGGATGTGACTCATGTTAGCTCCTTTGGCAGACTGTCATATGTGCATGTCTCTGTAGATACCTTCTCAGGTTTTATCTGGGCTACTTGCCAAAGAGGGGAAGGCACAGCCCATGTTAAAAAAAAATCTATATTCTTGCTTTGCAGTTATGAGGCTTCCATATCAAATAAAGATAGACAATGCCCCTAGAATTGTTAGTAAGGTTTTTGATTCATTTATGCAACAGTGGGAAATTTCCCATATTACTGGAATCCCTTACAATCCTCAGGGACAGGCTGTGGTGGAGCAGGCCAATCGCACTTTAAAAACCCAATTGTCCAAACAATCTGAACAACCAAAACATGATTTAACTACTCCCCACTCCCAATTACATTTGGCATTGTTTACTTTAAATTTTTTAACTGTTCCTAAAGATAATACTCTAACTGCAGCCGAACACCATTATACAGGCAAAAAATTCTCCTTAAACGAAGGCAAGCCAGTGTTATGGAAAAACTCCCAAACCAATACCTGAGAACCTGGCACAATTATAATGTGGGGAAGAGGATATGCTTGTGTTTCACCAGGAGATCATCAATCCCCTGTCTGGGTACCCCCCAGAAGACTCAAGCGTCAGGTGAATACTGACAACGAAAATCACAGAGAAAAGGTGTCTGTGTCAGAGACTGCCTTCAGACGTGGTGAGATCTGTGCCAACTCCTCAGAAACAGGCACACCAAATAACAATGGGTATAAATCAATCCTCCATGATGGCAATGGAGGCCCATCTAACTAATCACACTTCTCCTGATTACCTTTCTTTTTCTCCTTACAAATGTAAAAATCTTGCCATTTCTATTAGCCTGAAAATAACATCCCTCTGTTCTTCTCTTCCTCCTTCAGCACTCAATCTCACTTACACTAGGTTTTATTTAATGATTCTCCTCCTCATACTTTCTGTCTCACCAGTTTCCTCTCACACTGATTTATCTGCTACACATAATTATTCTTACTGGGCTTATGTGCCTGTTCCTCCACTTATTCAACGTCTCAACTGGATAGATGCTCCTGCAGAAATCTACACTAACGATAGTGTGTGGATGCCTGGAGCCACAGATGACCATTGCCCTGCTCAACCAGGAGAAGAAGGCACTGCATTTAATGTTACCATGGGTTATAAATACCCGCCTCTGTGCCTCAGACATGCACCTGGTTGCATCCATCTAGAAACTCAAGTCTGGGCCGTTTATCTTCCGGAAAGATCAGCTACAGATAAAACGGGACATTTGGTCTCTGGCCTCTCCCTTTCTCCTTTAAAACAAATGAAAGGAGGAGTAATGGGAGATACCCCATACTTTCAATATAAACCTGCAGGAAAATCATGACCTAAAAATTTTGAGGGCCCATCTAAAACTTTAATTTGGAAGATTGTGTTAACTCACATGCAGCAATATTAAAAAATGACTCATATGGTTTAGTAATAGACTGAGCACCAAAGGGCTATTTAAAAAACAATTGCTTCTCTGGTGGAAGGGAAAGCCTGGAGGCTAATTTTATTTCTTATCAGGAGAATGAGAATCATCATTCAACTTTGCATAGGAGGATCAGCTCATTCGTTCCCTTAAAATGGGAAAATAAAGGCATTACCGCCCCCTCCGAGGCCTCGTATGATACTTCCCATTCTGGGCCCAGAACACCCAGAACTTTGGAAATTGGCTGTGCCATGTCCGGACTGCGAGTATGGGAAAGGAAAACTATTCTGACTGTTGTTCCCACTACCGTCCCACTCTCTCAGTATCATCGTAGACCCAGACATTCTGCTTTACTTACCTCCAACCTGACTGTTCCCATACAGAGTTGTGTTAAGCCTCTTTACATGCTGTTAGTAGGAAATATCAAAATTTGGACGAATAATCAAACTGGCCCCACGTTGGGCGCCAGATATCGGGGACTCTGCCCCCGATACTCAAGTAGGTTCTTTTCTATTTTCCTTAAGAATTGGCCAGCTTGAGAAATAAAGGGACAGAGTACAAAAGAGAGAAATTTTAGAGCTGGGCATCTGGGGTAGACATCACATGTCGGTAGGTTCTGTGATGCCCCACAAGCCACAAAAACCAGCAAGATTTTATTAGGGATTTTCAAAAGTGGAGGGAGTGTGAGAATAGGTGTGGGTCACAGACATCAAGTACTTTACAAGGTAATAAAATATCACAAGGCAAGTGGAGACAGGGCGAGATCACAGGACCACAGGACCGAGGCAAAATTAAAATTGCTAATGAAGTTTCAGGCACCACTGTCATTGATAACATCTTATCAGGAGACAGGGCTTTGAGATCAACAGGTCTGACCAAAATTTATTAGGCGGGAATTTCCTCTTCCTAATAAGCCTGGGAATGCTTGGGAGACTGGGGTCTATTTCACCCCTACACCCTCGACCATAAGAGACGGCCACACCCAGGGGGGCCAGTTCAGAGATCCACCCCCAGGCACATATTCTCTTTCCCAGGGATGTTCCTTGCTGAGAAAAGGAATTCAGTGATATTTCTCCCATTTGCTTTTGAAAGAAGAGAAATATGGCTCTGTTACACCTGGCTCACCGGCGGTCAGAGTTTAAAGTTATCTCTCTTGTTCCCTGAACAATTCCTGTTATCCTGTTCTTTTTTCAAGGTGCCCAGATTTCATATTGCTCAAACACACATGCTGTACAATTTGTGCAGTTAATGCAATTATTATAGAGTCCTGAGGCGACAAACATCCTCCTCAGCTGATAGGATTAAGAGATTAAAGTAAAGACAGGCATAGGAAATCACAAGGGTATTGATTGGGGAAGTGATAAGTGTCCATGAAATCTTCACAATTTATGTTTAGAGATTGCAGTAAAGACAGGCATAAGAAATTACAAAAGTATTAATTTGGGGAACTAATAAATGTCCATGAAATCTTCACAATCTACGTTCTTCTGCCATGGCTTCAGCTGGTCCCTCCGTTTGGGGTCCCTGACTTCCCGCAACAGTCGGGCTTTGGTATCAGGATGATGTTGGCCTCATAAAATGAGTTAGGGAGAATTCCCTCTTTTTCTATTGTTTGGAATAGTTTCAGAAGGAATGATATCAGCTCCTCTTTTAACCACTGGGTGAATTCATCTGTGAATCTGTCTGGTCCTGGACTTTTTTTTAGTTGGTAGGCTATTAATTACTGCCTCAATTTCAGAACTTGTTATTGTTCTATTCAGGGATTCAACTTCTTCCTGGTTTAGTCTTGGGAGGGTGTATGTGTCCAGGAATTTACCCATTTCTTCTAGATTTTCTAGTTTATTTGCATAGAGGTGTTTATAGTATTCTCTGATGGCAGTTTGTATTTCTGTGGGATCAGTGGTGATATCCCCTTTATCATTTTTTATTGTGTCTATTTGAGTCTCCTCTCTTTTCTTCTGTATTAATATGGGTAGTGGTCAATCGATTTTGTTGATATTTTCAAAAAACCAGCTCCTGGATTCATTAATCTTTTGAGGGGTTTTTCATATCTCTATCTCCTTCTGTTCTGCTCTGATCTCAGTTATTTCTTGTCTTTTGCTAGATTGTGAATTTATTTGCTCTTGCTTCCCAAGTTATTTTAGTTGTGATGTTAGGGTGTTGATTTTAGATCTTTCCTGCTTTCTCTTGTGAGCATTTAGTGCTTTAAATTTCCCTCTAGACACTGCTTTAAATGTGTCCCAGATATTCTGGTATGTTGAGTCTTTTTTCTCATTGGTTTCAAAGAACTTCTTTATTTCTGCCTTAATTTCCTTATTTACCCAGTAGTCATTCAGGAGCAGGTTGTTCAGTTTCCATGTAGGTGTGCGATTTTGAGTGATTTTCTTAATTCTGAGTTGTAATTTGATTGCACTGTGGTCTGAGAGACTGTTTGTTATGATTTTTGTTCCTTTCCATTTGCTGAGGAGTGTTTTACTTCCAATTATGTGGTCAGTTTTAGAGTAGGTGTGATGTGGTGCTGAGAAGAATGTATATTCTGTTGATTTGGGGTGGAGGGTTCTGTAGATGTCTATTAGTTCCATTTGGTCCAGAGCTGAGTTCAAGTCCTGAATATTCTTGTTAATTTTCTGTCTCGTTGTCCTGTCTAAGATTGACAGTGGGGTGTTAAAGTCTCCCACTATTATTGTGTAGGAATCTAAGTCTCTTTGTAGGTCTCTAAGAACTTGCTTTATGAATCTGGGTGCTCCTGTATTGAGTGCATATATATTTAGGATAGTTATTCTCTTTTTGTTGCATTGATCCCTTTACCATTATGTAATGCCAATCTTCGTCTCTTTTGATCTTTGTTGGTTTAAAGTCTGTTTTATCAGAGACTAGGATTGTAACCCCTATTTTTTTTTGCTTTCCATTTGTTTGGTAGATCTTCCTCCATCCCTTTATTTTGACCCTATGTGTGTCTCTGCACATGAGATGGGTCTCTGAATACAGCACACTGATGGGTCTTGACTCTTCATCCAGTTTCCCAGTCTGAGTCTTTTAATTTGGGCACTTAGCCCATTTACATTTAAGGTTAATATTGTTATGTGTGAATTTGATACTGTCATTATGATGCTAGCTTTTTATTTTGGCCATTAGTTGGTGCAGTTTCTTTATAGCATCGATGGCCTTTACAATTTGATATGTTTTTGCTGTGGCTGGTATTGGTTGTTCCTTTCCATATTCAGTGCTTCTTTCAGGAACTCTTGTAAGGCAGGCCTGGTGGTGACAAAATCTGTCAGCATTCGTTTGTCTGTAATGGATTTTATTTCTCCTTCACTTATGAAGCTTAGTTTGGCTGGATATGAAATTCTGGGTTGAGAATTCTTTTCTTTAAGAATGTTGAATATTGGCCCCCACTCTCTTCTGGCTTGTAGGGTTTCTGCAGAGAGATCTGCTGTTAGTCTGATGGCCTTCCCTTTGTAGGTAACAAGACCTTTCTGGCTGCCATTGACAGTTTTTCCTTCATTTCAACCTTGGTGAATCTGACGATTATGTGTCTTAGGGTTGCTGTTCTCAAGGAGTATCTTTGTGGTGTTTTTTGTATTTCCTGAATTTGAATGTTGGTCTGTCTTGCTATGTTGGGAAAGTTTTCCTGATAATACCCTGAAGAGGGTTTTCCAACTTGGTTTCATTCTCCCTGTCACTTTCAGGTACACCAATCAAATGTAAATTTGGTCGCATATTTCTTGGAGGCTTTGTTTGTTCCTTTTCATTCTTTTTTTTGAATCTTGTCTTCATGCTTTATTTAATTAAGTTGATCTTCAATCTCTGATATCCTTTCTTCTGCTTGATGAATTTGGCTATTTATACTTGTTTGTGCTTCACAAAGTTCTCATGCTTTGTTTTTCAGCTCCATCAGGTCATTTATGTTCTTGTCTAAACTGTTTATTACAGTTAGCAACTCATCTAACATTTTTTCAAGATTCTTAGCTTCCTTGCATTGGGTTAGAACATACTCCTTTAGCTCAGAGGAGTTTATTATTATCAACCTTCTGAAGCCTAGTTCTGTCAATTCATCAAACTCATTCTCTGTCTAGTTTTGTTTCCTTGCTGGCAAGGAATTGTGATCCTTTGCAGAAGAAGAGGCGTTCTGGTTTTTGAAAATTTCAGCCTTTTTTCACTGGTTTCTTTCCATCTTTGTGGATTTATCTACCTTTGGCCTTTGGCGTAGGTGACCTTCGGATGGGGTCTCTGAATGGGCGTCCTTTTTGTTGATGTTGATGCTATTCCTTTCTGTTTGGTAGTTTTCCTTCTAAAGGTCAGGCGACTCTGCTGCAGGTCTGCTAGAGTTTGCTGGAGGTCCACTCCTGACCCTGTTTGTCTGGATATCACCAGCGGAGGCTGCAGAACAGAAAAGATTGCTGCCTGTTCCCTCATCTGGAAGCTTCATCCCAGAGGGGCACCCGCCAGATGCCAGCCAGAGCTCTCCTGTTTGAGGTGTCTGTCGGCCCCTACTGGGAGGTGTCTACCAATCAGGAGACATGGGGTCAGGGACTCACTTGAGAAGGTAATCTCACCCTTAGCAGAGCTCAAACTCTGTGCTGGGAGATCCACTGCTCTTTTCAGAGCTGTGAGGCAAGGATGTTTAAGTCTGCTGAAGCTGTGCCCACAACTGCCCTTCCCCCATGTGCTCTGTCCCAGGGAGATGGTAGCTTAACCTATAAGCCCCTGATTGGGGCTGCTGCCTTTATTTTTTCAGAGATGCCCTGCCCAGAGAGGAGGAATCTAGAGAGGCAGTCTGGCCATGGGGGCCTTGCTGAGCTGCAGTGGGCTCCACCCAGTTCGAACTTCCTGGTGGCTTTGTTTACACTGTGAGGGTAAAACCACCTACTCAAGCCTCAGCAATGGCAGATGCCCCTCCCCACACCAAGCATAAGTGTCCTAGGTCGAGCTCAGACTGCTGTGCCAACAGCAAGAATTTCAAGCTGGTGGATCTTAGGTTGCTGGGCTCTTTGGGGTGGAACCCACCAAGCCAGAACACTTGGCTCCCTGGCTTCAGCCCCCTTTCCAGGGGAGTGAACAGTTCGGTCTTGCTGGCATTCCAGGTGCCACTGGGGTATGAAGAAAGACTCCTGATGCAGCTAGCTCAGTGTCTGCCCAAACAGCCACCCAGTTTTGTGCTTGAAACCCAGGGCCCTGGTGGTGTAAGCACCAGAGGGAATCTCCTGGTCTGTGGGTTGTGAAGACCATGGGAAAAGTGCAGCATCTGGGCTTGAGTGCACAGTATGGTCCCTAATGGCTTCCCTTGGCTAGGAGAGGGAATTCCCTGACCTCTTGAGCTTCCTGGGTGAGGCAACAGCCCACCCTGCTTTGGCTCACCCTCCGTGTGCTGCACCCACTGTCCAAGCAGTCCCAATGAGATGAGTTGAAATACAGAAATCACCCACCTTCTACCTCGATCTCACTGGGAGCTGCAGTGGAGCTGTTCCTATTCATCCATCTTGCCAGCTGCCCCAGGTTTTCTTTCTGGTCTTATAAGGGTAAGGATGATATAGTCACAGCAGGGGAAAAGGCCTTTATTGCTAAACAAACTGACAACAAGCAAAGGCTCTTATATGAAAGGTCAGATGGGCCATATCCTCAAAAAGGTGGGAGAATAGAGGTAGCAGAGCCTTACCAAAACTATACCCAGGTTTGGATCAGCTCAGCATCGTATTGGATTCAGAGTTCAGCAGCTAACAATGTATCCTAAACTAAAGGAGAAAAGTGTGAGTTCTTTCCAGAGGATGATCATTTAGACATCTGTGTTGTCTAAAATGTTGTTATATCAAGGCAATACTAACATTCATTAAAATATTATGAGATGTTTTTAAAGACCATAGAACTATAAATCTAGAAAAAAAGCTGATAACAGACCAAAAATTGGTTCAGATAATGGATTATATTTGTATTTAGCAATCAAGGATTTTAATATAAATATAGCTGTATTTTTGAAAATAAAGGAAAAAATGAATCTTTAAAAATGAGTCAAGTAGAGTTTCTAAAGTTGAAAAAAAAATCCAAATTTTTAAAATCAACAGCGTTAACATAAATTTTAGTAGAGTAATAGAAATTAACCAAACTGGGTCATGAAAAAGAGATAAAGCAATACATAATAGTCTTGTAGAATACTATGTCAAGGTCAAATATAAGTGTAACTGGAGTATTAGAAAAAGAGAAAGAAATTAGATACAAGCAATGTTTGAATAGTGAACAAAATTGTGCTGAACCTGACAAAACGCATCAACTTAGAAATTTAAGAACCTCTAGAAACTTAACACATAATAAACACAAAGAAAATTACCATTAGCATATAATAAAATTTCTATAAACAAGAATATCTTGTTAAAAAAGCCAACAATATATGTTAGTGTGAAAAGAGCAGCAGTAAGACTCAGCAATCAGCAAAAAATATTAAAAGCCAGAAGACAACATAACAACATTTTTAAAGAATAAATACATAGATAGGTAAGTTGGGGAAGACAAAGGCAGAGAGAGACAGAGAGAGAGAAGGTAGTGCCTTTAACAATAATTAAAACATTTAGTTCCTTATACATCTCCAACTGAGGGAATTTCAATTGATCCACATAGTTTGTTTTCTACTCTTATGCCAATTTAATATATATTCTTTTCCAATGACTTCTGGATTGATAAAAATAATATTTTCTATGAGTCAATTTCATATTTTATAGGCATATATAATTGAATTCCTAATTTTGTATTAAAGAAATCTATATTTTACAACACCAAGGACATATATGACATGAATTATCCTTCATATAATTATAGTCCCCTTACTTTGTTAGGTCCAATTTACATAAGTTTTAGAATTTCTTACCATTATATTTTAAAATTGATAAATACAAAATTACATATATGTTTGTATATGTTATTTTTCTAATGTAACAGTGTAATATATAAAGAAAATGTAAAGTGTATGTAATAGAATTATAAAAGGAAAATGTTGCAGTTCTATCATAAGAAAAGAATAAATGCCAATATAAAGTTACTAGCAGCCATTACACACAAATACCAAGTATACTCCACAACTAAAATAACTATATTCCTTAGAAAATTTATATACATAAATGAAATTGTTTTATCCAATGATGCATTCAGCCAATTCAAGGTTACAAATTGTTCATTTGTTAGCTTGTCAGAAGAAATGAAGATAAAACTCAACTAATTGTTCCGGATTTTATTTCTATAAAACCTGATTCAGCTTTCTGATGTTATAAACAATGTATAGATGATTGGTTTCCCTTATGATGTACGAGTAAATTTTAGCTTCACTTTTATACAAAACTAAATGTTTTTGTTATTTATGGATTTTCTACTGAGATTACCTACCAGTGTTACATCTTTGGAGCCGAAGAGATGTACCACTTGAGTGTGCAATTCCAAAATCTCTTCAAATTTTTCTTACTACTCTTTTATAAAATTATTATTTGATTACAGGACTTTTTTTTTTTTTTTTGAGATGGAGTCTCCTTCTGTCACCCAGGCTGGAATGCAGTGGCATGATCTTGGCTCACTGCAACCTCCACTCCCGGGTTCAAGCGATTCTCCTGCCTCAGCCATCCCGAGTAGCTGGGACTACAGGCATGTGCCACCACGCTCAGCTAATTTTTTGTTTTGTATTTTTAGTACAGATGAGGTTTCACCATGTTGGCCAGGCTGGTCTCGATCTCTTGACCTCAGGTGATCCGCCCGTCTTGGCCTCCCAAAGTGCTAGGATTATAGGCATGAACTGCTGTGCCTGGCTGACTACAGAACTTTTTAAGCAATATAAAATGTATATTCCTTGAAGTTAATTTTCCCACATCATATTTTTTTCAAAATGATGTATTATGATTATATAATTATATATAGCTAACCAATGAAAAGAAAGAATTCCCACACTTTGAAAACATTAATTACATAACTTCACACAATTTCATATGGAGGTAGGAATCAGATAGTAATCTTCCATCATATTTACTCTATGCTTGGTTTTAATTATAGAGATTTAGACAAAGACACGTTTAGCTGCTAAAACAAAAGATGGATTTCCTGATTTCAAGTACATGCAGGCCTGTCATTTGAATGGTACCACTCTAGAGTTGTAAAACTGGTGGAACTTTCAAAAGAATCCACTGAGTTCTTTTATTTTAAAGTTTCTTAGAGAATTCTTAGTATCTCAATCAGTGATGAAGTTACTCCTTAGAGCTGACTAACATCAAGTTCTTTAAAAACTTTCTCACATTCAAGAGTAAAGGATTCAGAAATAGGGCTTTCTCATATACGAATTGTGGGGAATGTGTATTAGCAGAATTATCAACAGGTAACAATTAGCTGTATGTGTCATTAAAAATGGCACTGACTTTGCCTCTGTAATTTCAAGTTTTATAAATTGATTCACAAGAAATAATGAGGCACATAACACACAGACTTCTAATCAATACACTTTTACTTATTTTTCACTCAGCTCACTGATTTGAAAACTGACACATAATACAAATAATGTTATAGGATATTGGATGATTAAATTTCAGAATTGGTAAGAATAATTTAGTATAATACTTGGCATTTTATAGGTATATTTGTGTGTATATATACATATGTGTATGGATGTGTATGTATATATGTGTATGGATTTGTATGTAGCCATCTATGATAATACTGGTTTTGGAAATTATGACAAATATTTATATATACATATGTAACCACAATAGTAATAATATACAATATAGTTTTATTCAGGAAGATATAATTAATTAATTATAAGGTGAATACTGCTTAAAGAACATTCTGTATGTTCTGTATTAATCAAAAACTTACAAAATTAAATTAAAAAGTGAGAATCTTTGTTCAACCTTAGCAACTTTTTTGTATTTTATAGTGAATGAGATATATCATAGAATCCTACTCTACATTAAAACAATAAAACATTATTCAGCATTTAAAAAGGTTAACAATTATTTGCCTCCATATTAACTTGTATTATTGAATTAGGACAGCATTTTCATTAATATCTTTACTTGAATATATAGTTATTGTTTAAATAAGAAAAAAGCATCAGGCAAAAAAATGTGGTATCTGTTAAGCTTGTTTCCTCATAATTCTCCATATTTTTTTGTCCATGGTTGGGGTTGGGTAGGAAAGTTTATATTTTATGTATCACTTACAGCCCAATATCTGGAGAGTAATATTAATAGATTTACTTCACAAACAAGTACTCATAAAGAAAAGCTATATTTTTAAAATCAACTAGATCTTTTGATGAAATTGTAAGGTTGTTTTGTTCTTAGATTTTCAGGAACAATGAATTTGTAAATAAACAGTAGAAATATTTTTATTTATTTGAGCTATTTTTAAGTCTACAGTTTAGGTTTTATGAATTTCTAGAAATCCGTCTTTGCCTATGTTTTTTATGTGTGTGTGACAATCTTATTTATTCTCAAAAATTCTAATTTCAGTTATCTATAAATGACTACCAAGTATTTATCTCTAGTTTTGACTTTTCCATCTGCCTGCTTCTCAACTCTCTTTGGATATTTTGATATTTCAAAGGCACTAAAAATTAAACAAAACAAAACAAATCTCAATATATTCCCTTACTAAACCCGGTCATCTCACAACATTACTTTCTGAGCAGTTGCACAAACATCTATCCACTCAAACAAGAACAATATCTCCCACTGCCTCCACCTCATTTATAACTTATCAAATACCAAGTACTGTCTGTTTTACATCATATACTAAGCTATATAGAGATGAATACTGTAGCCCCAATTTTGCTTACTCATGTACTCTAAAAACTCTATAGAGTACCTAACCTTAATAATGTACTTAATAAGTATTTTTGAGTTAATAAATGAATGTAAATATATTTTGGTCTACATAAACAGGTGTTTCTATCACTTGATGTCAAGCAAGAAAAATAGAAACTAGTAGTAAAACTAGTACTAAAAACTGATATTGATAATGACAGGAGACAGACAAATTCATAGGCAGACAGGGACAGGTCCCTGGTTAAACCCAACTTTCAAGCTGAAGACAGTTTAAAGTTTGAAAACTGA
This sequence comes from Homo sapiens, assembly GCF_000001405.40. NCBI lineage: Eukaryota > Metazoa > Chordata > Mammalia > Primates > Hominidae > Homo > Homo sapiens. Next base: position 84,092,559 of record NC_000012.12, on the reverse strand, counting down.
GCTGCTAGTTCCAAGTAGAGCCCACCTCTTAACCAATTGAATGGTGCTTTTTCCAAGCTCACCCATGGACCAGTCAGCACACACTCCCCCATTCTGAGCCCATAAAAACCCTGGACTCAGCCTCACAGATGGCTACTGCTTTCGGACCCCCTCTCACAGCAAAGAGCTACCCACTTTGGGTTCTCTCTCATTGTCAAGAGTTTTTCTGTCACTTAATAAAATTCTTCTCTGCCTTGCTCACTCTCTGTTGTCCATGTACCTCAATCCTCTTGGTGGCAGGACAAGAACTCAGAACCTACCAAATGGCAGGTGTGAAAAGAGCTGTGAGGCTTCTCACCAACTAGTCAAGCTGCAGGCAGCAGGAAGGAGAAAGCTGTGGCATTCCCCAATTCACTGAGCTGCGAGCAGCAGATGTGAAAAGAGCTGTACATACACTCCTGCCCACCAACTATGGGAGTTAAAAAGCCAGCCACTGGCCACCACACAGTCCTGTGTGCTGACCTAGGGGAACAAAAGAGCTGTGACATTTTTGAGGCTCCAACCTCAGGACACCCTAGCAACAGCTGTAACACCCTTTGGGGTTCCGTGATTCCTGACATGTCCAAGTTTTCTGGTGCAGCCACATACCCTCATCTAAACACCAACGCCCAACAGGGAAGCTGCTCATGGCACACCCAGTTCAGCCACGGGCTGGATGCAGATCCTGTGGCAGGCGTGGGATCCAGACTGGGGCATGAGCCAAGCACAGCCTGCCTGGCCAAGCAGGCAGAGCAAGCTTGGTAGCCATGAGCAAGTCCCTGGGCAGAGGACACTGTGTCCACAGGGGTTTCCACTTGGTGAAGTGGCCCCAAAGGAGTCCTGTAACAGTATTATTGTAACTTTGGGTTGTAACTTCACATTATGATTTTCACAATATTTAGGAGACTAATAAACCAAAAAAAGTAGTTTAAGGTTTTTGGCATACAATGTATAAAGATGTAATTTTGTGACATCAACAGCTAAAAGGGCTGGGAAAAAAGAGCTTATAAACAATCAGAGGCTTTGAGGTTAAACTAGTATAAACTCAAATTAAAGTATTATAACTTCAAAATGTTAAATGCAATCTTCATGGTACTCACAAAGAAAATAGATAAATAATATACACAAAATGAAATGAGAAATAAATTTAAATGTTTCAGTACAAAAAATCAAACACAAAAGAAGGCAGTAATGCAGGACATAAGGGACAAAAAAGCTATAAGGCTTATAGAAAACAAATAGCATAGTGATAGAAGTAAGTCCCTCCTTACCAGCCATTACTTTTAAACAGCAATTAATTTAAACTCTTCAGTCAAAAGACAGAGACTGGCAGAATTAGTTTAAAAATTATCCAACTATATACTGTCTATAAAAGATTTATCTTAGAGACAAAGACACATATAGCTTGAAAGTTAAAAATACAAAGAGAAAATGAATATTCCATGGAAATATTAATCACCAGAGAGCAGGGGTAGCTGCATTAATGTCAAACAAAATAGATTATAAATTTTAAAAAAGTTGGCCGGGCGCGGTGGCTCACGCCTGTAATCCCAGCACTTTGGGAGGCCGAGGCGGGTGGATCATGAGGTCAGGAGATCGAGACCATCCTGGCTAACAAGGTGAAACCCCGTCTCTACTAAAAATACAAAAAATTAGCCGGGCGCGGTGGCGGGCGCCTGTAGTCCCAGCTACTCGGGAGGCTGAGGCAGGAGAATGGCGTGAACCCGGGAAGCGGAGCTTGCAGTGAGCCGAGATTGCGCCACTGCAGTCCGCAGTCCGACCTGGGCGACAGAGCGAGACTCCGTCTCAAAAAAAAAAAAAAAAAAAAAAAAAGTTACAAGACAAAAAAGACATTATATGTTAATAAAATTTTCAATATAGCAAGAAGATTAACACTTATATACACACGTGCATAGTAAGAAATCATCAAAATATATAAGGCAAAAGTTGATGAAGTTGAAGGAAGAAATAGAAACTCCCATAATAATAGTCAGCTACTTCAATAACCCACTCTCAGTAATGGATAGAATAACCAGACATAAGATAAATAAGGAAATAGAAGCTTTAGACAAAATAATAAACCATGTAAATCTAACAGACACATAGAAAACACTGTATCCAACAACAATAGAATATACATTCTTCTCAAGTGCACATAGGAACATGGGACATATTCCAGGATAGATCATACATTAGGCCACAGATTAAGTCTTAATAATTTAAAAAAGATATATTTCATACAAGATATCTTCTGTGACCACAATGCTACAAAGTTAGAAATCAATAACAGAAGGAAACAGAAAAATTCACAATTTGGTGGAAATTAAACAATATACTATAAAACAACCAGCATATTAAAGAATAAATCCTAAGAAAATTAGAAAATATGTAGAGAAAGATAAAAATGAAGACACAACAAAACAAAACTATTGGGACACAGGTAGTGCTAAGAGATAAAATTTAATTATAAATGCCTACAGTAAAATATAAGAAAGATTTCAAATCAAAAACCTAACTTTAGAATTTAAATAACTAGAAAAATAAAAACAAAGTCCAAATATACTAGAAGAAAGAAAATAATAAAGAGCATAGATATATAGAGATGAAAAAATAATACAGAAAATCATTAAAACAAAAAGTTGTTTTCTTGAAAAATTAAACAAAATAGATAAACCTTTATATGGACTCAAAGAGAAGATTCGATTACTCAAAAATTTAAAATGTGGACTTACTGCTGATCCTACATAAATAAAAAATATATGCAATACTATGAGCAATTTTCTGCCAATAATTTGGATAACACAGATGAAATGAACCAAATACTGGAAGCACAAACTTATCAAGATTCAACCATGGGAACTAGAAAATATGAATAGATGTATAACTAGTAAGAAGATTGAATTAGTAATCAAAAATCTCGCAAGAACATAACAAAAATCCTGGATGTGAAATCTTCACCAGTAAATTCTTCCAAATACTTGAAGAAATAACACCAACCCTTCTGAAACGTTTCCAAAAAAAGTAAAGAGGAGGGAACACGTCCTAGCTCATTCCGTAAGGCATGCAATAACCTAAAACCAAAGCCAAACAATGATAAAATAAAACTACAAGCCAATACTCCTTATAAAAACTGATGCAAAACTCTTCAACAAAATCTTAGTAAGCCAAATTCAGCAGCATATTAAAAAGTTATGCACTATGACTAAATGAAATTTATTCCTGAATACAAAAATGGTTTAACATGTGAAAAATGATCAACATTATACACCACATTAAAATAATTAATGAAACAAAGTCACATGATCATCTCAATGCAGAAAAAATAATTTTATAAAATTCAACACACTTTCATGATGAAAACACTCAACATAGTAAGAATAGAAGAAAAATACTTGAACATAATAGAAACTATGTATAAGAAAACCTCCAGTGGACATCATACTCAGTGGTGAAATACTGAAAGCTTTACCCTTATGATCAGGAACAAGGCAAGTATGTCTACTTTCACCACTTCTAGTCAACATAGTACTGGAAGTCCTAGCCAGAGCAACTAGAAAGGAAAAATAAATAATGGAGTTAGAATTGGAAAAGAAGTGAATTATTTCTGTTTACAGATGGTTTGATCTAATATGCAGAAAATATTAAATATTGTTTTAAAGTTAACTAGTTTCAGCAAAGCAACAGGATACAAAATCAACACACAAAAATCAGTTATGTTTTGATCCACTAACAATTAACAGTATGAAAAATAAATTAAATCATTATTTTCAATAAAATAAAAAGAATAAATACTTAGAAATTAGTTTAATCAACAAGGTAAAAGATTTGTGCAATGAAAACTACAAAGTATTTCTGAAAGAAATTAAAGAAGATATAAATAAATGGAAAGATATTCCATGCTCCTGGATTGGAAGACAATATTATGAAAATTTAGGCTATGGATCCATTTTGAGTTTTTTTTTTTAATATAGTATTAGGGAAGAGTCCAACTTGATTATTTTGCATGTCACTATCTGTTTTTTCCAGCACCGTTTGTTGAAAAGACTTTGTTCCATTAGTCTTGGCAACATTGCTAAAAATAATTTAGCCATATATGTGAGAGTAATAACCAAAGTAATCCCTAATATTTAATGTAATCCTTATCAAAATTCCAGTGACATTGTTTACAGAAATAGAAAAACCTAAATTTCATCTTACATAATTTTAACAAACCCTAAATAGCCAATTCTTGAAGAGAAAAACAAAGCTGGAGGACTCACATTTCCTAATTTCAAGCTCACAAAACTACAGTACTTAAAACAGTGGAGTACTGGAATAAAGAAAGACATGTAGACTAACTAAATGTAATAAAGTCCAGGAATATACCCTCTTACATACGGCCAAATTATTTCCAACAATGTTGTCAAGAATAGTTTATGGAAAAAATATTTTCAACAGATGGTGCTGGGGAGACGAGACAGTCACATGCAAAATAATCAAATTGGATCCTTACCTAATGTCACATTAAATAATTAGCAGAGAATGGATCCATAGCTTAAATGTAAGACCTAAAACTCTAAAACGCTTATGAGAAAATATAGGGCAAAAGCTTCATGACTTTGGATTTGATATCAAAGGCACAAGCAATTAAAGAACAAATGGGCAAATTGGACTTCATTAATAATTAAAAATTTTGTCCATCAAAAGACACTATCAACAGAATAAAGGCACCTCACATAATAGGAGAAAATATTTTCAAATTATATATCTGATAAGGAATTAATATCCAGAAAATACAGAGAACTCCTAAATCTTAACAACAACATCAAAAATACTTGAATAGTTATTTATCTAAAGAAGACATACAAATGGTCAAAAAGTGCTTAAAATACACAGAATATCACTAATCTTGTAAAAATGCAAATCAAAACTGAAGCAAGATACCACGTTAGACCCATTACGATGGCCACTGTCAATAAAAACCAAAATAAATGTTGGTGAGGATGTGAATAAATTGGAACTTTTGTGCACTGCTATTAGAAATATAAAAATGGTACAGCCACTGTGAAAATAGTATGGCAGTTCCTCAAACAAATAAATATTGAATTACCATATGATTCTGTCATTTCTTTTCTGGGTATATACCCAAAAGATTTGAACACAGGGCCCCAAAGAGATATATGTACACTGAAGTTTATAGAAGAAGTATTTATAATAGCTAAACATGCAAGAAATTCAAGTGTCCATTGTTTAATGAATGGCTAAGCAAAATGTAGTATACATGTATAATGAAATGTTATTCAATCTTAAATAAAATCTAAAATATGATACAACATTGATGAACCTTGAGGACATTATACTGCATAAATTAAACCAGTTTCAAAGATACAAATGCTGTATAATTGCTTATATGAGGTACTTAGAGTAGTCAAAATTATAGATATAGAAAGCAGAATAGTGGATTCCAGGCATTGCAAGAAGGGGGAAATAAGGAAGTATTTTTTAATAGTTATGGAGTTTCAGTTCTGCAATATGAAGAGTTCTGGAGATGGATAGTGTTTAGAGTTGTACAGCAGTAAGAATGTCATTAATACCACTGAAATGTATGATTCCAAATGGTTGAGAGTAAATTTTATGTTACATGTATTTTATCACAATAAAAATTTGGAAAACAATACTGAAAGTAAAATTAAAAACAAAACATTGGGAAAGATACACAATCTGTAGGTCAGGGTGAATTTTCTTGCCCTTCTGTAGTAGAAGCTACTTGCAGCCTCACACCAACCTGCTATGAATTCCCAGCTCTGTACTCACTGCATTTTCTCCCTCTGAACATTAGCTTTTGTCTTCTGTACAATGAAATCATCATAATGTCTCTACTATCTTCTAAAAATGATGCAAAGATTCATTTGAGAAAAATCTGGAAAGCTTACAAATAGTAAGATTTCCATACATGAAAGCTGCTAAACGAAGTTATTTACTGTACTAAAACTATAACCAAAAAATGAACAAAGCACATCTTGATGATTAGCTGAACTCTAGCTATTGTAGAAAACGTAGATTTACTCAATTCATTGTATTTAATGGATTTATTCAATGACTTGACACTGTAGAAATTATTACCTAGCACCTTCTCACTAATGTAAAATTGGAAGCCACATGCTGCCTAGTCAGGACATGGACCTAACTTCAGATTTGATTTCTTTTTCTCATTGAAGGCCAAATTATTTAATTATTAAAGCAGGAGCTTTAAATGGTCTCATTTTTATTAGCTGCACTTTAAAGTAATGGCAACCAACAAAGTTCTACTGGATCCTTAATGATGCTCAGACGTCACACTTTTCACTCTTTCATATGAGATGTAACTATTTAATCTCTTCTCTCCTCGAAACCTCCAATCACTCCTTCTCAACAGAAAAATGCTCAACTGATGATCTAACTCCTATTTTACTGAAAAACAAAAGAGAGGATCAAAGGCAAACTCCGAGAGATTCTCACTATCACATCCACCCACTCATTTGGCTGTCCTGTTTGATACAAGAGGTGATCTATCCGTGCTCCTATTTAATGTTTACTCTTCTATGTGTTCACTTCATAAATTTTCAACTACGAAGACGAGGTATTCCCATAATATTTTTATTTATAATCAACCTAATTATATTTAGCTATTCTATTTAAAATGGTTTCCTAAATATTAAGGTATGAAAGTTTTAATTTTTTAAATTATGTCGTTGCTTTTAAGATGTTAGAATAACCATTTAAAAGACTGCTCTTAATTTCAAAATGAGAAAAAATATTAAAAATGTGACTTTGTGAACAGAAATAGGACTTGTACATATATAGAACCTCAAACAGTTTCCGAACATGCTGTATGGAAAAAAATTAATAATAAAACTCTAATCATGTTTGTCTGCGTTCATGGAACCCCAGATTCTTTCTAGACATATCTAAGGGAGGAAGGAAAAAATAAAAACAACTCTACCCCAACCACACTTGGCTGGCACATAATTATCCCCCCATTCATTCCCCCAAATTTTCACTAGTAAAAATATCATCAATGATTTTTTTTAAGATTCACAGAGAAAATACTGAAGTATGTAGTAGAAACAGAATAATATAAAAGCATACTTTCATCCCTCAGTCAATCCTTTTTCGAATTACATATAATCTAAATTTACTTTTAGACACATGCAATGTTGTGATTTCAATTTAATATCTCTTCACTTTTAAGAAATATGCAATTGGGACTCATGCAAAATCCAGCTCTCTGTCCATGAAATTCTTTAGAGTTTATCTTGCATGAGAAACTAGGAAATGTTCTATAAATATTCATAAGCTGGCAGCTACCCATGGCTGCGATATATTTGAAGAATGAAAATAAAAGCTTATAGAAAAGTCCAACCTGATTATCATAAAACTGAAGTACGAACTTTTTTCCAGAGCTCATGTACAACCAGTGTGTTTACTGTATTTGAAACAGCCTGTTTTATTTTGTTATTTCCCAATTTTTATTCACCATTAATATAAAGTGGTTTTATACAATATATGCTGTTCATTTTGTTGGCACCTCTACTATATCATTCTATTTGCTTGTAGGTGGTCATAAATAGGAAAATATTTTTTCTGTTCTTAGAAGTACCTCCACATTCCTACTTATCACCCACTTCTTTATTTGATGTCTGACGATATTCTACTGTCACCTAAATTTTTGATTTATAATTTTGCATTTATTAAAATCATTTTTTATAATGTATCAAAATAAATATTTATTATGGGAAGAAAATTATTTTGTAAATGAAGTTTTCATTCATCTCTTGTTATAAATATATATATATATATATATATATATATATATATATATCAGGAGATTAATAGAATAATGACTTTTGTGAAAAAGCACTGGAAGATGTTGCCATAATTATTATATCTGGAATAGTGCAGCATCTCTGAATTTGCTCCTATTAATTTAAGTAAAAGTTATATAAACAATATTGATGAAAGTTGTCTATTCCTCAATTAAACTGAGCAGTACAAAAAATATTCTGATTATTAAGAAATAAAAAACTATCTGGGGACCTGAACTAATTTATACAAACTATATGCAAACTATCATATGTTCAACCAGTTTAAAGATATAACATAAAAGATATTACCAATGTATGTGCTTTCTATTGTATCAAAGCTATTCTGAAAATAATTGATACTGTTCTTGGTATTCTCATAATTATCACAGACCCAAAATTTTTGTTATAACTTGTATTAATAAAAGTGTTGAAATTTTGTTCCACATGAAATAATTCTCCCTTTCTGGAGAGTGTTGAAGTTAGTATGCATATGTCATGTTAATAAACCAACTTAGTAATGCTTTGGAGTGGAATGGTTGAAAATGAGACTATTACTTTTGCCTCACTAAATTTCTAGGAAAAAAAAAACAGACCATGTCTATATTATAGCAGTTGAAATGTATCAGATCAAGCTTCAGCAAATATTTCATGGCTGCACATTTTAATATGATCCAACAGTATTAGATCAATTTTCTGGGAAATCAGACCATTTAAATGTGTTCTTCCATATCCAGTCTAGTTACAGATTTAATAACAATCTTGAATATCCAGCCTATTTTTCAATCAAGAAAAAATTTGGATATGAATGATTTATGCAATTTGTTTTGACAAATATATAGTGTATACATCTGTGTGATTACTGCCCCTACGACTAAAATATAGATTATTTACAACATGCTGAAAGTGTCTTTATGCATTTTAGTTCTATCTCAAGTCCCATCAATAACCACTTTTATGAGTTCTGTCACTATACCTAAGTTTTGTCTGCTTTTGAACTTCATATAAATAATATCATATAACTTTTATGTTTTGTCTGGTTATTCTCATGCAGTAAAATGTTTCAAGATACAACCAACTTGTAACGCGTACCAGTAGTTTATTCCTTTTGCTTTGTTTAATGAAGCATTAAGCTCTGGCCTTTGCTCTTGGCTACCTTAAGGTGATACTTAAGCCCTGGGCATCCAGGCTTGGGTGAGCTTCACTGATTGGGAATACTCTATGTTTTATCAAACATCAATACCTGGAAAGTAATGTATCCATAATTTCTCAGGAACAGAAAACACAATCTCCATGTTTGGACCTTTCTTAGACTCTAATCCTATGCACTTTTTTCCCTGTTTGATTTTAATCTTTATCTTTTCCCAGTAAAAAAAGCATTAAGTATGGATACAAGAGCTTTCAGTGAATTCGATAATTCTGTCTAGAGGATTATCAACCCCAAGGGTCGTTTTGGAACCCCCTAAACTTGTGATTGGTATCAGAAGTGAGAGCAGTTCTATATAAACTGGTTCCTCTAACTATATCATTGTCTAAACTTTCTCAATATTGCTCTGTAGTGTTCAATTACATAAATACATTGTAGTTTTTCAGTCCTCATCTTTATAAACATTTGTTGTTTTTTTAATCCTTTTGGGGGCTGTTATGAATATAGATGTTATTAACATTCAGATGCAAGTTTTATGTGGACATTGTCTTTATTTCTTTTGAATAAGTGTTTAGAAGAGGGTTTTTTTGAAATTTTTAAATCTGAAATTTAACCTTTCTCACCGAATTTTGGAAATGCCTTGATATAGGTTTTCATGTTTTGTTTTGTTTACCTTTTTCTCCTTTCCTTTGGAATTTTAATTACAGTTTTGTTAGAATACTTGATATTTTTTCTTTTCTTCAAATTGGATCATTTTATAATGAACTGTCAAATTCGTTGATTTTCCTTCTGCAATATCTAATCATTTTTAAGTTAATGCAACATTTTTTTCAGTTTAATTATTGCAATTTTCAGTTCTATTATTTTCATTTTGTTCTTAATAGTTGCTATTTAACCACCAATGTTACTTATCTGTTCCCTCATTATCATCTTCTGCATACTTTATTGAACATATTTGTAGTATCTGCTTTAAGTCCTTGTCTGTTACGAACAGATCTGGTTTATCTTAGTTTCTGTCCTCATGAACTATATTTTGCTTGACTGTGAGTCATTTCACCATTTCTCTGCATATCTAGTAATTTTGAATGTGTACTGATATCATATATGACACATTTTAGAGACTATGGTTGCTGTTCATTTCTTTTGAAGACTCTTGAATATTATTCTGGCAGGAAGTTAAATTACTGACTGATTCCTTGAATTTGTGGAGAAAGGCTTTTATGCTTAGATTAGCCAGATTTGTGGAAAGCCCAGGCACATATCAAGCCCCTCTAACTTGGCTAATCCTAACTCCAAACTCTTTCTCCCCTCTAGTGGGAAGGAGTTGACATCTCTGTTAATTCTTTCAATTTTATAGCTTTCGATTTCCACCAGGCTCCTTGATGTCTCCTACAGGAAGGCAAAATTTAGGAACCACTCATGGGAAGGATACTAACAGATTTTGTGGCCCCATCCAGAATTAGCTTTCTCAGTTTTCAGCCACTTTGGAAGTCCTGAACTCCATTCTGAAATCTCAGTCCAAAATGACTGCGACTTTCTCCTTAAATTCTAAAGCCTACTACAAGGGCTGGAGAATGTCCTAAATTTAAAAAGCTATCTAAAGGAGAGTCTCAATTAATTAGTGAGGGTAGCATCTTTCTTTCAAGGGTCATATCCCCTTCAGTTTCTTCCTAGTTTTTGAGTCTCTTCAGTGCTTTCAAACATGTTTATCATTGTTACATTGTTATTTTGTTGTTTATAATTGTTATTTCCAGGAGTGTTAGGCCTATAAGATTTTCTGCCATTACTTCAACAGAATTTTTAATGTGGTTATTTCAATTATTAGCCAACTGTTGATTTTCTCAGCACCAACAATAAGAAAATTAAGATATAAAGAGGAAGTTGTTCTTGACTATATTAAGATTACTTCAAGAAGACCATCATCAAATATGAATTATTTGAATTCTAGTAAAGAACTAAAAAAACCCACGATATTTCTCTGGTAGAAGAGAATTGATGACTAAAATTCAGGTGTGAAAATCAGAAGTTCCTCACCATCACTTGCCAAAGCTAGTGCCTACAGAAACACTGATTTAAAATAATCATAATTGCAATCTTTAAAAAATTATAATTGAAAATTTAGAAATGTAGGGCACATACTATGAATAACACAGAGAATGAGATTATTCTACAAGTACTCCTAGAGGAATTTGGCTGAATTCAGAAGGCACAAGAATAAAGTGAAAACAGTATGTTTAAGATATGAGAAGAAAATGAAGTAGTGTGTTTAATAAATGAGAAGAAAACAAAGCAAAAAGCTCAAAGAATTATTTTAGGGGAAAATAAATCACCACAAGCAATTTATGAAAATAATAAATCTATAAATTAACCTAGGTATTCTGTAATTCTTTAAAAGAAATTGCTAATTTGCTTTGCTAGGATTTGGAGGATAAAACTTTACCACTGCACATAAATTTTTCTGATATTAACCTTGACATTGAGCCTGGCTTTACACATCTCTAGTTAATTTTTTTGTTGCCACATAGACACAAACCTAATTTAAAATGCATTGAATGTTCCCAATAATCATACAAGACGGTCTTAGTTCTTTTAATTTCCCTAAATACATAACTTATCTAATTACTATTTATCAGGCAACTTCCTGATGAATACACAGAAGAGTAAAATACAGTGTGTTGTGATCAATGGCAATATAGAAATACAAGAATACTAAATAAGCTAGTATCTTTTTGCTCGTAACTCTATCTCCAGTGCCTAGAATAGTTCCTAATTTATAGCAACCAATAGCAGCCACTCCATAAATATCAGTAGAACAAAGCATTTTTTAAAATAGTGACTTAGAAGAAACATATCCTTGCCCTCCTTTTTCACAGCACTCACTCTGGGTACCAATTGAGGGGAGGGGGGTGATAGTATTAAATGCAGTTCTTGAGGTCAAAAACTCATTTAGGATCTTAAATTTTCAGTAAACTAGATTACATGCCCAATATTATTCTATTTTGCATGAAGGATACCTATGTGGTTTAGACACATTATAATTTATCTCTCAAAAAATAGAAGGTGCTCCATGGATAAATACTACTTCTTTGGTCTTAAGAACTGTCAATATCTTTTAAGTGTACAAATTTGAGCAATTTAGAGAAGACTTTTTGTGACTGGTGTTAGCTTTAGTTTCCTTTTTTTTCTTCTAGCTTTATTGAGATGTAGTTGACAAATATGAATTGATATGGTTTGGTGAAATCCAAAATTCACCTTGGATTGTAACAATCCCCACGTGTCAAGGGTGGGACCAGGTGCAGATAATTGAATCATGGGAATGGTTTCCCCCATACTGTTCTCATTATAGTGAGTGAGTTCTCAGGAGATCTGATGATTTTATTAGGGGTTTCTCCCTTCGCTTGGCTCTCATTCTCTCTTCTGCCACTCTGTGAAGAGATATCTTCCTCTATGATTGTAAGTTTCTTCAGGCCTCCCCAGCCAGCAGAACTGTGAATCAATTAAACCTCTTTTCTTTATAAATTACCCAGTCTTGGGTAATTGTTTCATAGCAGTGTGAGAACAAACTAATACAGGAATTATATATATTTAAAATGTACAACATGATATTTGATATAGATATACACTGTGAAATGATTACCACAATCAAGCGAACTAACATATTTGTCACCTCACATAGTTACCTCTTCTTTTTTGTGGTGGAATATCTGGAATCTTAGTATCTCACACATCATACTAGAAATATCAGTCCAGATGACTACCTCCTCCTGCTATGCTATGCTCACATTTCCCATTGAAAAGTAGCTGTAGGTAACAACAGTCTGTGACTCCAAATCCTCCACAAAACTAATTAAATCACAGGTTAGTATTCCATCAAAGGATAGACAAGCTATGCTGCCAGCAGTTTAATGCAAAGTTCAGAAACTTGCCATTTCTGAACAAAGCTGGTCAGAATATTTTCACTGAGTAGCATAGAAACAAACATGTAGTTTATAGTGAGGAAAATAGACACAAAGCATGTAGATGACTTATATTTGTGACAAAGCAATAAAATGCCTAAAATGCATATCTATAACCTGTAGCATTGGATTCAGAGTAATCTGTTTTTATTCCTGAAAAAAATCTGAATCTACTAATATCTTTTGGCTCTTTACAAGGCCTAATTGTTCTTTTATAATTTGTGTGATTCACGGCCTTACAATCTATGTAGCTCCAAAATAAATCTATTACTTAAAATGATTTGAGTGAATCTCTGTTCCTTTTAAGAAGCTCTTAATTAAAATACTCTAGCATGGAACTCACACTTACCCAGATGACCACACTTCTTGTATTACTTGGGTGTAAACTATGATGGGATATCTTAACTTTTTTGTTTCTGTTTTTGGTTTTGGTTTTGCTTCGTATGTTTTCTGACTCATCATTAAATCTTTTGATTTGAAGAAAAAAATATGCCATTTCTTCACTGAGGAACCAACTCTATTGTCATCTGAATTCCAACCTTCGTACCTATCCTGCAAATTGTCTCCGCTTAAAAACCCCTTTTATTATTCTTCCACATTTGAATGTCTTATTTTAGAATTCCTTTATTTTAGAAACATATTCTATATTTTTGCATCCTAAGGAAGAATTTTTTGTCTGATATTTTTACCTGAAGGTATTGTCTATTAACCATCAAATTTCCTGAATGGATAATTTAAACTTATGCCTTCTAATATTTCTGGGAGCATTTATGCTTCCATTCTTCTGAAATATTGCTTCTACTCAATTTCTCCATTAGAAATTATCTTTCATATCACTAATGAGCAAATATTCACAAAATAAAGTGTCCTTTTTTGTGCATACTGACACTGAAGTATGTGATACAACTGATAATTCCATCTGTATTTTTATATTCATAACTTGTCCCTAAATACTACAAAATGGACAGGGGGTAGAATGAGGAACAGAAATGAATGGTTGTTTGGGATCCTATGAGGAAAAGTAACAACATAAAAGAGAGCTTCTCTTGCCTTTAAAGGTTTGGTATTCTTTTGAGTTTTCTCCTCAGAACTCTTGTATTTTTATTTTTCTTATCCTCTTAATGCGCGTCTTTTGTGTGTTAGCCTGGGGAAGGGTCTTCATAGACCCTTAACAAGTTGCTGATAAACATCTGATTTTTATGTGCAAACTTACATAATCTTATGATTATTTGCCCTTCTCCATCTTGCTATATTGTCTCAGGAAGCTGACTTATTTGATCTACATCAATGTACTCTGTTAACCTTCAGCATATGATTGGGTTTGGCCAGTGGAGACCACTGACTGAAGGTAAAGGAAAAGAGAAAAGTAAAGACAATTTTGTACTGTGCTGTGTTTCTTTCAGTGGGATTCCCAAAGGCTGGCTGTATCCCTAGACTGAACGGCAGAGTTCATATCAATTGGTTTTCTTCACACAATTCTTCCATTCTGAATCTGCTAGCAATTTTCTCCACTTCAGAGTTAGTAGTGTTGGTAGGCTCCAGCAATTACTAACCCTGTGGTTAGTATCTCATACAGTTTTCATAAACTCTTTATTAAACTCTTTTCTAATTATCCAGTTAAAGTATGCCATCTGTTTCCTCTCAGGGCATAGACAGATAAAGCACTTTGTATATATCTATGAATTTTCATTTTCAGTCATGTCATTTTCTTTGGCATCTAACCCTGAAAGATAAGCAAATTATCCTTTCTCTTTACCATGCTTCTAGACCATTAAATGGCTCTTAATCACCTTAGCCTCTTGACAGAAGCAGCAGAATTGAGCCAAATGTAGAAACAATTCATCTGTATATGAATAAGGATTTAGTCAGGCTTAACAGCTCTTTTTCTCACTGTATATGCTCTCTCTTAGCAATTATATTCACTTTCAAACCCTCATCTATCATCTCTTTAGATGACTTTCAAATATATGGAACATTTAAAGCTTTTCTTTTGATTCTTTGTGTAAGTTTTAATTTTCCTATCTATAAACATATGGTAATCTTTATACAAACAACTAGTGAACTCATGTAAAGGACATAGTTCCATACGTGTTATAAAACTAGCATTGATTCATGGTAGCTATTAGTAGCAGTGGTATTTATAATAGGTATTCAATGAGCACCTAAATTCTATCATACTCAAACCTGAATTCACTGTCTCCTTCTGCAAACTTGCTCCTTCTAAGCAGTAGACACTGAATAAACAGGAGCAGTGAACAAGCAGAAGTAATGGTCATGAACTTTGGCTTCACTGAAGACAAACTACAGCTGGATTAACCTTTATATTCTTTTTTTACAAAAATCTTTAGACTCTCTGTAAAGATGAAACAGATCCTGATGTCTCCCTTTCATCTGATAGTGTAACAGCCAAATTGTCTTGAGTTTCAGAAAGAATTATATACATTTGGATGATCCAATTCACAAGCTGAAAGAACACACTTTTGGGTAGAGCAAGTCCAAGGAATAGAGATAGCTTTAAGGTAAATCTCTGAAGATAGCCTTTGTTACATGGTAGTCCAGGGTCTTAGGCCTGGGATTATCAATATAGGCAGAAAGCCATGGTACAATAGTCCAGAAAGCCATGGTACAATACATTTGTTGAAGTATTCTGACAGAAAATTGAAATTCTGAATTTTCCTGGAGCAGGCGTACTTATAGGAAGGACATAACTCTCTCTCTCTCTTTTTTTTTTTAATAAGCAATGGTCTAGAAATATAAAAAAGCAGATATTCAGTGAAAACTTGGAGATCACTAAATGGCTTTTAAATATTTCCATTTAGAACAGAAAGCAAAGTGGACATGATACCACCAGAGCATGTCTCTAGTAGTTCAAATGGCAGCCTACAAATGACTTATAATCATGCTTATATTTCTTTCACAATTTTTATCTTTCTAAAAGCCTTTCTATCTAGAATCCTCCTGTTCTCTTGTTCTTTTTATTCTGTTCTTTGAAGCTAACTCAAATAACTCTACTGCTTTAAGAAGCCATTAATGATATTCACAAATAGAACAAACATTTAAAAATCTACAGAACACTTTCTACCTACATTATAGATTGCCTCACAGCCTATCAGCACTCATGCTTCAATGGTTGTTTATTTAGAAATCTGTCTCTTCCTCTTGTCTATATGCCTTCTAGAATTACATGTCAGGTTCCATTTATCTATAAAGTAGTAAAATGTTAAATGTAGACATTCAAAAGACAAATGTTGAACAGAAGTGCACTTTTTCTCTAATATGCAGTTGTTTATAAAGCATTTTAGATTATGAAAAAGAAAAGTTTTTTGGTTTTTTTTTCCTCATTTGTATGTTATTTTTTGTCATAACCCTTTCCAAAATACTTATAAGAACAGAGATTGTTGCATCACTGTCTGGGCAATATTCCTTAAATTTCTGATCATAAGACAGTGCTTCCAGTTAATAATAATATAACTCTATGTAAGAAATCTGATAATCTCTAACGCATTAAAGACAAACACCCACCTATGTTTAAATATATCCTTTCCAATGTCAGTCCACTAAAAGTGAAATAAGGGACTCACAAATTACAGTGAATAATACATTTCTGAAATGATTCATGTAATTCTTACCAGATCCTGTTGTGAGAATGGTTTCCTAATAGAAATCCTTTACCTTTTATATATCTCAGGCTACTCTACTCTATATTATGTGTAACTTTGCTCTGTATTTACATTTATGTGCATTTCTTATACTACAGTCACATTTTAAATAATTCAATATTGAGTTTGGGTTATTGACTATTATCACATCTGTAATATTATTACAATCAAGTAAATGGTCACACCCCAAATTTTTGCACCAATAACCAGCATTTTCCAATACATACAGGTTTAATTTTAGAGTTCTTTTCTTGTTAATTCATTGATCTTGGAGAGTGGTATGCTTATTATTTGAGCTGTAATTCCACAGATATATTTAAAAATGGAAAATTAATAACTTTTGAAGTGACTGATAAAAAGCATGCCCTATTTCCTTTTATTACATATCTTGGAGCATAATCCAATTTCTTTGAATTAAACTTAATTGAAATAAAGGCATGTATAATTTTTAGAAAGAACAGTAAGATATCCCAATTCTCATTATAGTGGACTTAAATGAATCAAGTAATGAAATTTGTTTTTTTATTATTATTATACTTTAAGTTTTAGGGTACATGTGCACAATGTGCAGGTTAGTTACATATGTATACATGTGCCATGCTGGTGTGCTGCACCCACTAACTCGTCATCTACCATTAGGTATAACTCCCAGTGCTATCCCTCCCCGCTCCCCCCACCCCACAACAGTCCCCAAAGTGTGATGTTCCCCTTCCTGTGTCCATGTGTTCCCATTGTTCAATTCCCACCTATGAGTGAGAATATGAGGTGTTTGGTTTTTTGTTCTTGCGATAGTTTACTGATAATGATGATTTCCAATGTCATCCATGTCCCTACAAAGGACATGAACTCATCATTTTTTATGGCTGCATAGTATTCCATGGTGTATAAAGTATTTCTTTAAAGCCAAACCTCTATATCCAAAGATAATGTAAAGAAAGCAAGATCTAAAGATTTTATCCTTAAATAGAATAATTAACTTAATTGATGACAGAAATAAAGGTAGGTTCTGACTGGGCAGGGTTTCGAACAAAATTACACTGGGCATTTGTTATGTGCCAAACACTAGGGAGAGGATAGTGAACCAAAAACTTGCGGAGTTTATATTCTAATTTGAGAGACCAAAGTTAAATAACTATATATAACATAATGTTATAAAAATTTTTAATTATGAGCTGAGAATCTCTAACTGAAGAACTGATTTATGGAGTGGAGTGCAAGAAATCTAAGAAAGGTACAGTGTAAAATGGTGGTTACCAACTGAGCATCTGTTCTCTTTTTTTTCCTTTCCCAGAAGGCCCTTATTATTCAGAATTCTAGGCCTCCTCCATAGAAGTCCTTTGCTGCAGGACTAATGACAGTCAGAGTCCTAGGGCTGGACTTGATTAGTTGAAGGATAATTCAATGGCACTTGCTAGTGATTAGCATATGATAAATTAAGAAACACTTGAGAGGCACGGAAACACAGAAAATCAAAAGGGAAAGATGAACAGAAACAAGATGATGATAGACAGCAGAAAAAATATTAAAATATGCAGGAGGCTGAGACGAGTATTGGACACTCTGGCAGTAGAGAAGGATAGAATAGCAAACAGGCACAAAATGGAACACAGTTTGAGAATTAGAATATATATTGGCATTAACCCTGTAGCTCTTGAAAGTACACACATAGAAAACTCTCTTTTTTTTTTTATTTTTTTTTGCCCAAGTCCTCTCTCATAAGCCCCAAACTCTTTCAAACTGCCTACTTTAATCTCCATTTGAATGTCAAATAAACCTTTCTTACTTGGGGGATACATCTAAAGCTAAATTCTCTCTTCTCCTCGAGTCAGTTTCATTCACAACTTTCCATATCTCTGCTGATAAACTGGATGTTGTACTTCCAAGATCCCTTCATAGATAGTGAGCTACTTGTTTCCCTACATGACAGGAGTATTAGATGCTTAGAGCTCACACCTAAACTTTCTCCAAGAATTTCCCTGATCCAAATGGATGAGAGTTGAAGTACCAAAATTATACCCTTCCTCAAGAGGTAGATTGTATCCAGTGAAAATTATTCACAGGGATACAAAGGCCCAGCCTTCTTGGCCAAACTTTGGACTACTCTGAGGGCCCATCTGAACTCTAGAATGTCTAGTAGGATCAGCTAAGATCTCTGTTGTAACTGAATCATATTTCAGCTTTTAACTCTACCCTATCCTGCTTCCCTTACTCCATTATTCTCCTCCAATAAGCCACCTAGGTACAATATCCATTTCAAATTCAGTTTTCTGGAGATTTTGACTAAAGAGAGTTTGTTCGAAGTGTGTTCCTAGCAAGCAGACTCTAACGTGGGATTTTGGAGCTGAATCACCAGCCAGCTGGCTGGCAATAAGAATACTATCAATGGTGTTAGATAGAGTACTGACAGCCTCTGGCAAAAGCTAGTGGTGCCATTGTTATACATTTCACAGATGTAATAAAGCCTTAGTAAAAGCAAATGTAGTCTCGTCTATAATACATTAGCCATTTTAGAGGTTTAGAGCAAGTACTAATTACATAGGATAACAAAATCGGATGAATGTTGCTAGATTTTACTAATGCATTGGAAAACAATAAAGGGCTAAGTGTAATTAATCATTAATTTAGGGTAAAATATGAAAAACAGAGGACTTTCTTGGCAGTTTCTAAAGAGATTCTCTTCTCCTAGAGCTAAAGGACAGATGAGGCTGAGGATCAGGCACAGGATGTAATTTTAAGGGTAGTAGAATTCCAGGGAAGGTTTAATTTTCAATCCAAGCTCTAATTAGGGAAGAAGGGAACCTGAAACTTGGGATGTGTACATCTGGCTCAATGCACTAGAAAACCTAGAGATGTGATCCAATTCCCAGCCCTTGTTGAAAGATGATGCAGAGGTCTCTGCTTTGCAAGAGAATATGTGCTCCCCCAGGATACCCCTACTTCTTTCTTGGTCTTCAGACCAATAATTAGGGTCAAATCACAACATATCTCAGAGAGTACTGGGATTCTGAAAGTGAAAGGTTTATACCCAGTAAAAGTATGGGAGTGCTGGACCAAGCTAACATGTACAAGAAGAAATATGGTATATATTTATGGAAATAGATAATGAAAATGCTGAATTGAAGAGCAAAGTTTGGACAATGGAGAATTTATCAGTTTATCAATATGGGTGCACTCTTCCATGAAGGAGTATTTAACTCTGTGATAAGTACCCTGGAAGAATGAAGTTATATTACGACTATGTTGGAGCTTGGGCACTAGAAGCATGCTGAAAGTGTTTTCCACTTTAAGTGAAGTAGAAATGCTAAGAGGTGGCCGGGCGCGGTGGCTCACGCCTGTAATCCCAGCACTTTGGGAGGCCGAGGCGGGCGGATCACGAGGTCAGGAGATCGAGACCATCCCGGCTAAAACGGTGAAACCCCGTCTCTACTACAAATACAAAAAATTAGCCGGGCGTAGTGGCGGGCGCCTGTAGTCCCAGCTACTTGGGAGGCTGAGGCAGGAGAATGGCGTGAACCCGGGAGGCGGAGCTTGCAGTGAGCCGAGATCCCGCCACTGCACTCCAGCCTGGGCGACAGAGCGAGACTCCGTCTCAAAAAAAAAAAAAAAAAAAAAAGAAATGCCAAGAGGTTGTGGCAAGAGATCAAAAGCTCAGAGAAGTGTTCATACTAGTACATATTTACTACATAAAACCAAAACATTCTAGCGTATAAGATTTTCTAAAATCAGTAAGATTTTAGATCTTAGATCAGATTTTAGATCAGAGTATAAGATTTTCTAAATAAGTAAGATTGTCCCTGTGGATAGCAGAATCTGTGGAGAAGATGCTATTACTGTCCTGAGCTCACTGATAGTAGTGACCATAATAGAGGCTAGATGAACTATAGAGTCAGGCACAATGATGATAAAGAATGGAACAGTTGAGAGCAGACCAGTAGGCCTAACTACAGAGAGCTATGGAGATAGCTAATAAAACCTAAGGCAAGATAGATGGGCAGCCAAAATGTTTATCACTATAGTAATTCAACAAAAAATCAAGGGTAGATCATCGGGATTATGAAAGAGGATGGACCAATCAAGTACAGACTTTTTTTTTTTTCCCAGTTTTCAGATCTGAGGTAGTTCTCAGATGAAGAAGTCACTCACTGAAAAGGGTTTATATCTTTAGGAGGAAGGATCCAGCAATACCATGACAAGTATACGATGTAAACAAACTCTCAGGCCTTCCCCAAAGCTATTTACTCAGGTACAATTCACTGGGAAAGCATGAAGGGAGACAGTTAAAGAACGCTTGGCTATAGGTTTCAAGCTTATATTGATGACAATTGCCAAAAACATTATCACTGCCACTTAGTTAGAATGGAAAAATGTGGATGCTGGGTAATAAACTGAGTAAGCCTCAGGTCAGGCCTGCTGTGGGACTCCTGGACTTCTGGACAAATTTTGTGAACATTTCCCCATTCCTGATTAGAACACCCATACCTGATAGCTGGCAGAACACTCTTTTAGTTTAGTTTAGTTTAGTTTAGTTTAGTTTAGTTTAGTTTTGTTTTGTTTTGTTTTGTTTTGTTTTTCTTGGGATAAAAGCCATCACAGTGGCAGAGGCCAAGTAGAATGACACTCTAAAACAACTACACCAACTCTCAGCCAAAATAGAAAATAAAATACAATATTGCATCCAAGGAGGAATGGCAAAGATTAGTACCAACTTAAAGATGGAAGTAACTCAATGGGCCCACTGTATCTTCCTTGAATTTACAAATTCTGCTTCTATGAAAAAGCAGACAAATCGTGGAAGACACCAGTGGGCTACCACACGATTAACTATATAGTAACACCAGTTGAGGCCACTATGTCAGATGTGGAATCTTTGCTGGAAAAAATGAACAGAGACTCAGGTGCATGGTGTGCGGTCATTTATCTGGCAAATGTTTTTACCCCCCCACTTCTCAAGAAGAATCAGAAGCAGTTCACAATCGCCCAGGATACAAAATATCATACACATTTACAGTTTTGCACAAGGCTATGTTAACCTTTCTGCCCTCTGTTATAATATACTCAAAACAGCCCTATATGAACTGGACATTCTGTAGAATATTACATTAGTCCAATATTGATTTTATCAGTGATATCGCAATAAGATCTGATGAGCCACTAATGGAAAATAAATTGAAGCTTTAATAAAACACATGTACCTCAAAGGCAGGAAGATAAACCCTATTAAGTTTCAGAAGCCCACTATGTATATCAGTGAAGGATTAGAAAATTCAGTGAGCTTCAGGATGCCAGGACATCACCTCCAACTTAAAGGCTGTATCTTTGCATTACAAACTGAGTAAAAATGAAAGTTCACACAATCACTTACAAGAATTTATGTGATCTGTCCGCTGTCCTCTCTCTGACCTCATTTTGTGCTATTTCCCCATCACTATTCATTCCAGTCACACTGGCCTCGATGCTGTTCCAGGAAGGCTCCCCGAACAGGGCCTTAGCTAATTTCCCTGCTGCCTGGAAGGCTCTTCTCCCAGATGTCTCCATGACTAATTCTCTTACTTCCTTTAAATATTTGCTCCAAGTCATCTTTTTAATGAGATCCACCTGTATAGCAACCGTCTTTTCCACCATCATCCCTCACACCCAATGCTTTCAGTCTCTATTATTCTCCATTAATTTCCTTTATAAAACAGCATATGTTCTAATATACTCAATATTTTATCTATTTTTAAGTATTTTGATATTTTTGTCTCCCCTCACTGCTAGAATATAAGGCAAAACTCTTTGTTTTGTTCATAAATATGTTCCAAGTGCCTAGAAAAATTTTTGGCATATAGTAGGTGCTCAATAAATTTTCTAGAAAGAATTGGAAGGAAAGAGCAACCACCACTTTGATTACAAATGCCTTTGAAATGAGAGTCTTTTGCTACAGCAAAGTAGTAAAGGCAGGATTGAAAAATAGTTACATACCTCTTAATAATTCCTAAGCATATCTGTTAACCATAGTGAGACAAGCAATTCAAAAGTATGCGAGGATAAATTGATACACTTGTAAATCAATGATGTGTTAAATTAGTCAGTCCTCTGGAATTTCATTAACATCTACTATCTTTTCTATCTATAGCACAACATAAATATTATTGCTCATTGGGATGACTTGACACTGATAAAGGAAATGCCATTAAAATACATTCCATGTGTGTGCTTTAAAATTTGGAGAAGAAGATAATACATTTATTCATCATTAATTACTTTGCAAATTGAAAACAGTTTGAATGTTAAAAAGCATAAATGGTTAATCGTTCAGGTATTCAGAAAATACTGATGTAAATTAGCTCCTTTGCCTGTGAAAATAAAGAAGAGATGCACAATATCACACTGTAAAATCTCAATTATCAATGTGTAGTTTTTCCACTCTGTGCATTATGTGCCATGTGTTTCAAATCATAGAGCAACTCCTCTGCACGATGCAGAACATTTCTGAGTGTCAGATTCTGTCTCCATCCCTAACCTCTGACTATCCAGGTGCTCCCACATGAGTAGGTTACCACCTGCAGATTCTGGAATTGGCAACAGTCTAAAAGTAATTCAGACCCAGCAGAATTCATAGGAGATCTTTCCTTCCTGAGGCAATATCTTAATAAAATCATAAGCTAGTCTTTGAGGAGGACTTAGATATGATCTAATCCTCTGACATACAAACAGAGCCCTAAGCGGATAGCTGTCAGTACCAGCAAGGGGCATAGCATGTTAGCTTGAAAAACTGAACTCTCCCAGTGTCCTTCACACAGAATATATCTGATTTACCTCTTCTATTTCCCAGGGTTCCATTGGAGACTTTTTAAACCCAGAGTTTTAAAGAAACTTTTTTTAAAAATTAGAAACACTACCAACTTTTATTCTTTACAGAAAGAACAAAAATTCCAGAGTGGAGAGAGCCCAATGATTCAGGCACAAATGTTCTTTTGTTTTATTCATGCATGAAACAATTTTTTATACTGCAGTCTAAGAATTAAAAAGGTTCTGCAGATTTCCTGAGGTTAATGATACAAAGCCAATGAAGGTGGTGGGAAAGGTCTTGGAATTCATAGTTTAAAAATGTAAAATCGAGGAAATTTTGGGCTGTAAAAGTAAAAACCAAAGGGAGCTGTGCAAAGCAATGGAGGTCGAGATAAGCAGTTATTAAGACATATTGGCTACTCTAAAATCTACATCTCCAATTCTAGATTTTAGAATTCCAACTGTCTCTTGAACTTCTCCATGATGTATAGAAAAAAACCCTCAGACTTTAACACACCTTCCCCTAGGAAGCCCTCGGTTTTCTTCTTCAAATCTCCTGTCCCTCAGACTTTCCCAGCTCTGCTATTAAATCTGTTGACCCAAAAGCTCAAGCCAAATATCACAGTGTTACTCTGATTTCCCTCTTTCCTCATTTCCCTCATGCAACTTATGAATAAGTCCTGTCAATACTATTCTAAAATATATCAACAATATTTTAATTTTCATTTTCTCCATTTTCACTAATCTGAAACTATTTCAAACCACCACTCTCCTACAATTGACCACTGCAATAGTCTTCTACTAGCAATCACTTATTTTATTCTGTCGTTTATAACTCATTCTTCACATGGAAGCCCGAGAAAGCTTCCCTGGTCACCTAATCTAAGAAAACAATCAGACACTCTCAATTACATAACTTTATTTTAATTTTATGCATTCTACTAATCGCTTTTTGGTATTTGCTAGAATTTATTTAGGTGTTTGCCTAATGTTTGCCTGACTTACGGAAATGAAGGCTTTAGGGACCATATCTGTCTCATTTTCCCTATATCATTAGGCCATGTTCCCAACATGGCCTAGAACATAGTAGCTGCTTAATAAATATTTGTTTAACAAATAGCTAACAAAAAAATCTGGCTATATGGCACTACAACCATGGCCTAATGTTTTTAAATGTCTCTATTCTAATTCCTCTGTAACCATTAATGTCTTTCTTCACATAGCCAAGTTTTCTGGCCATAATATAACATGAGCAAGGTTGAAAAATACTGGCAGATATTATTTGTCTTTAGCTATACAGTGGTTGATTATACAGACAGTGATGATTAGCATTGTATATATGTATGTATAAAGTAATCTCTCCCAATTATTGATTGCCCAATCCATTCTCAAGTTTCCCATTCAGAGGGGGTAATACACAATGTAGGTAATGTTAATATCATGTATATTTCCTTTAAAATCCCAGACATTTCGATTGTAGTTTTACTTTTTAAATTATGTTTTACACAGGTTAGCAGCAATTGTATTGCATTTGAATAGTACGTCTGATGATGTCATGGAGACTTATTGCCAATATTGGTAATTGGAACCCAAGAAACACTCAATTGAGGGATTATGTGCAGCAGAGTTAAGAAAACAATAGTTAAAATTTTTTGTGATGTGGGAAAATCAAATCTGCTACATTCTAAAAATTGCTTCATTCATTTGGTCATACAGATTCCAGGGACTAAATCACCTGCTCAAGTTCTCACACCTATCTAGTTACTTACCTGGTACTGGAGCTAAAGACCTTGATTATAGGTCACTGATTCACTACATCCTATTATCTACTTTATACACATATGTATTAGTTCAACTCATTATTGATCATCCACTATATTTTAGGCAAAATATCAAAGATGTCAGAAAATATTTAAATCATCATACTTGTCTATATTTATAGGAAAGATAAATGTATCTCAAATACATTTGTTAGTGTCTAAATTGCTTGGCCACGTCCTGACTCCTGGAATTTCATATTTCAGTAGGTTTGGTAAAATTACTTCTTTTATTACTACCAGCTCAGTCTTTTTTCATTCCCATAGGTTATTGGGGAACAGGTAATGTTTGGTTACATGAGTAAATTATTTAGTGGTAATTTATGAGGTTTCAGTGCACTCATCACCCTAGCAGTATACACTGCACCCTATTTGTAGTCTTTTATCCCTCATTCCCTTCCTACCCTTTCTCCCTGAGCCCTCAAAGTCCATTGTGCCATTCTTGTGCCTTTGCATCCTCCTAGCTTAACTCCCACTTATGAGAGAGAACATAAATGTTTGGTTGGTTTTCCATTCCTGAGTTACTTCACTTAGATTAATAGCCTCCAATATCATCCAGACGTTCACTGTGAATACCATTAATTCATTCCTTTATGGCTCAGTAGTATTCCATCATATATACATACATACATACATATATATATATATATATATATATATATATATATATATGTATCACAGTTTCCTTATCCCCTCATTGATTGATGGACATGGACATTTGGGTTGGTTCCATGTTTTTGCAATTGTGAATTGTGCTGCTATAAACATGCATGTGCAAGCATCTTTTTCGTATAATGACCTCTTTTCCTCTGGTTAGATACCCAGTAGTGGGATTGCTGGACTAAATGGTAGTTCTGCTTTTAGTTCTTTAAGGAATCTTCAAACTGTTTTCCATAGTGATTGTACTCGTTTACATTCCCACCAGCAGTGTTAAAGTGTTCCCTGTTCACTGCATCCACACCAACATCTATTATTTTTTTGTTCTTTGACTATGGCCATTCTTGCAGGAATAAGATGGTATTGCATTGTGGTTTTGATTTGCATTTCCCTGAGCATTAGTGATGTTGAGCATTTTTTCATATGCTTTTTGGCCATTGCCACATGTGGGAGAATGAAACTGGATCCTCATCTCTCACCTTATACAAAAATCAACTGAAGATGAATTAAGGACTTAAATCTAAGAACTGAAACTATAAAAATTCTAGATGATAACATTGGAATAACCCTCCTAGACATTGGGCTAGGCAAACCAAGAACCCAAAAGCAAATTCAACAAAAACAAAGATATATAACTGGGACTTAATTAAACTAAAGAGTTTTTGTATGGCAAAAGGAACAGTCAGCAGAGTGAACAGACAACCCACAGAGTGGGAGAATATCTTCACAATCTATACATCTGACAAAGGACTAATATCCAGAATCTACAATGAACTCGAACAAATCAGCAAGAAAAAGACAAACAATCCCATCAAAATGTGGGCTAAGGACATGAATAGACAATTCTTAAAAGAGGATATACCAGCTCAGTCTCATTCTTGACTCTCTGATTCAGTGACTGCTTGCCAGACAATTGCTTATTTAATTTACTAAGATATTTTGCTATAAGTTTCATATACTTTTTCAAATTTAATGTTCATATCAAATCAGTAAGTTATGGATTATGAATCTCATCTTTTAGATGATGAAACTGAGGTTTATATGCTATAGCCAGTAAGAAGTGGAGCTAAGTTTTGAACTCCTATTTTTATAGCTTATGCCCACGCCCATTCAATCATGCCATTCTGTCTTCCGATTATATTTCCTTGATACATAGAACCTGAATGTTTTCTGATTTTTAATTTCATTCATATTTTTCACTCGAATTTATATAAAGGTTTCTCATCTCTTGATATGTACACTTAGCTTCAACATAGGCTTTTAAATGTAATTCCCTGTTTGGGCCATTTTCTTCCCCAGTCTATTTCTGTAATTTTCTCCCATAATCGACTACTGCCTGTGACAAGTACTGCCAATGACGGTCACCACCAAACATCTTTGGGTGTATCTAGATGAAATTGGATTTTAGTATCAACATAAGAAAAATAATTACAAAAGTGAATGAGTTATTGAAATATATTTAGTTGCATTTACAATACATATAAACTACTCCATTCTCCTGACAACAGTAATTGAGACTTAAGATCGACACCAAGGGAAATTGTTTTACAATAACTCACTGTTAACCATCTTTATTGATATTATAATTGTGATCAAAAGCATTTAGGACATCACTGATATTATTTTCCACACTAGATTCTTCAAGTTACTCTTGGTCCAAAAATATGTCCTGGACTCTTTAAGCCATGAAGGCCTGGCCAGTCTGTCTCTCATCTGGTTTTTAGCATCACAGAGGCAGGATGGGTAGAGTCATCTATCTTCTATCTGTTTTATTCTGAATTCATTCATGGCTTTGAGGTGAATCTCCTAGGATTTGGCTTTCATAACATTTTTTTTGTTTTGATTTAATAGTTCAGGTAATAGATTCTATGATTGATATTTACTTCCTCATATTAAACCTTATCCCTGGCTTCTGAGGCAGTTCTAAACTTTGACTTCTGGCCTCGATCAATGGCCAGAAATATCACTCACAGTCCCTGCTGTCCCAAGTAAGATAAGGTAGATGATTCTGTGTTTGCATGATGGTATCTGCTGCATGACTTAAGAATAGTTTCCTTCACATTTTGAGGACAATCTTATAAATAACAAAGAGAAGGGGTGTCTTTGTCCGTTCAAGCTGCTGTAACAAATTACCATAGTCTGTGTGGTTTAAGCAATTTATTTCTCACAGTTCTGGAAGCTAGAAAGTCGAAGATCAAGACACCAACTGATCTAGTGTCTAGTGAGGGCCTGTTTTTTGGTTTTCTTGTAGCTTCACCTGGTGGAGAATAGAGAAAGCACAAACTCTCTTGTCTCTTTTCATAAGGGCACTAATTCTATTCATGGAGACTCCCACATAATTATCTACCAAAGGCTTCACTTTCTAATACCATCACCTTAGGGGTTAGGGTTTTAACACGTGAAGTTTGAGAAGACACAAACATTTAGTCCATAACAAGGAACTTCTTTATTTTACCATGTTATGAATTTGATGAATAGTCTGGAAAACAATTTGCTTATTCTTCATATTTTTCCACTTGTCTAGTGGTCTTCTCCTTTAAATTTTACTGTATCCTTAAAATAGTAGTAAAAAAATTAAATAACTGCAACAAAAACAAAAATCTTTATACTCAGAGACTCCTTATGTGTAAATACAATCACATGCTGTATAGCAGTATTTCAGTGCAATATGATGCTGATCTCATAAGATTATGATAGTTCATTTTTAGTGTTTCTTTTCTACACTTAGATATGTTTAGGTACCATTTACCATTGTGTTATAATTACCTATAGTATTTAGTACAGTAAGATGCTGATATGGTTTGGCTCTGTGTCCCCACCCAAATCTCATTTAGAATTGTAATCTGCCTACGTAGAGTAGAGGGAGGGAGGTGATTGGATCATGGGGGCAGATTCCCCCATGCTGTTCTCGTGAATTCTCAGGTGATCTGATGGTTTTATAGACGGTAGTTTTTTCCGTACTCTCACATGCTCTCTCTCTCACCTGCCATCATAAAAGACATGCCTGCTTCCCCTTTCATCATGATTGTAAGTTTCCTGAGGTCTCCCCAAACATGCAGAACTGTAAGTCAATGAAACCTCTTTCCTTTATAAATTACCCAGGCTCAGGAAGTTCTTTACAGCAGTGTGAAAACAAACTAATACTACAGTTTTGTAGTCTAGGAGCCATAGGCTATACCCCATAGCCTAGGTGTATATAGGTTCACCATCAAGCTTTGTGAGTATACTCCATGGTGTTTGCACATCACAAAATTACCTAATGATGCATTTCTCATATTTCTATCATTAAGTGACACATGACTGTAAATGGAGAATACTAATTAGAGAGGACAAATATTTTATTTTGAATTATTTCTTGTCATCCCTTGTTCAAAACTTTTAAAATTCAGTCAGGTCTGAAACATCATATGGTGGATATTATAAAATAAGTAAATGTTCTTTTCCAATTTAAATCAATCCTATACATTCCAATTTGAGATTTGCCATTATTTTGACACAGAGTCAAAGACAAACATAAATGTAGTTACAATAACCAACCTACGACTAATGCGTAGGACAATTTAACTTCCCCTTTTCAGAAAATTGTTGAATAAACACATCAAAGTAATCACCTAACTGAAGACCCAGATCATATTATTTTAATGACAGCTATACAAGATTTATTTTCAAAATGTCCACTTTAACATCAAGCAACTAGACAATTCAACAGCCCACCTGCAGAAGTGTCATGGTGACTTAAAACTATTAAATAACAGCCAGGACTTATTTTCTATTCACTTTAGAAGCAAGTAAGTGTTGTTTTAATGTTTGAAGGCAGCTTGATTTCCAGACAAACAGATGCCTAATTTTTATATTGCATTTTTATAAGAGCATACTTCAATTTACAGGTTCCTGTTAACAAGTTCTCAATTCCATTTTTGGAAAAACAGATTAAATTTGGGGGCCCAGGTGTATGTGTGTGTCTGTGTGTGTGTGTGTGTGTGTGTGTGTGTGTGTGCTTTAAATGGTGCCATGTCACTTTGAACTAGCTTCTAGTAAAATGCATCTCATTATTTGTTTAATAATCAGTATATTACAGACACCTTTAATTTGTTTTTTGTACTTAATGTTGAGATTGACACATTTACCTCAGGAAATAATAGTATAATACTTAGCCAGGGATACGAAATTTTATTTTTATTCTCAAATTGTATATTATAAGAATAATTAGCATTAGAAAAACTGTACTAAAATTTTGAGCAGGGACATCTGTGAAACAGGAAAATTCCAACAACAGAGTTCAATTCTAACCTGTTTTTCTGCATAAAGTTATGAAATCTACTAGTAACAAAAGTTCTTTTTCCACTAAATCAACTATGTTAGTGTAGGATTCAGCATTTGAAGCTAAAAATCATATCACATTATGATTTTCCTATGTAAAGGAATGTTCCCTTCCTTCTTATACAGGTCCTTGAAGGAGTGCATGGAAGCCCACAAATCTTACTACTTGGGGACTTTCTACAAAGTTAGAATAAATATGGGATTCAATACACTACACTACATTTCTAATGTTCTGCATCCGCTAAGTAAACATCAAAATTCAAATTTTACTTTCTGTGCTATAAACCAGCACTTTGTTTGATCATTTTTGAAATATACATTATGTAAATATCAAAGGAAATGTCAATATATGAAGTGGAAGTGCCTTCCATCACATGGCAGAGATCATTACTAACACTTCTAACAGCAAGTTGCCTGAGTGCAATTCAACATGCATTATGGCCATGGCCTTGAAGTCTCTACTCCCAGATCAGTATATTCTTAAATAACTATATTTGATTGAGCTATAGGGCCTAAAATCTGGGCTCAAGCAATTTTTAAATGCCATACAATTATATAGTTACATATTGATTTTATATTCAGTAATAGAAGAAAAGATGCACAATTCATACTTAGAAATACTATGAAAATAACATTTAGAAAATAAAGTGTATTTTTATTATTTATTTGTAGAACCAATTCATATGATAGCTCTTTTTGTCCCATCTAGCACATAACTATCTCTTCTCAGATTGCCAAGAATGCCAGTGATCCTTTTCAATTTCAAGGGAATTCTACAAAAAATTAATATCGCCAAACCTTTTAACAAGATTATCTATAAACCCTATAATGGGTTTTCTTAATTATCTTGCTGATTCCTCTATTCTCATACTGATCTATCTTTGGAATTAGAAGATGATAGATCATCTTAAATATCTACAATTTATTATATCTGGCTAAGCAGTCATGCAAATCTGAGGGTTCCAAAGAATGCTCTCTGTGGTCCCTTATTAATGTCTCAAGGAGGAAATTTAGCATAGCTCTTCCATTCAAGAACTTATTTTACCTCATATTATATTTAAAAGTATACAATTAAATACCACGTAGAGTTATAATAGATGTGTATTCATTTTTAAGCACTGTGAAAACGAGACAAGAATTTTTGAAATCATGGAGCTCAGAGCATAACATTTAAAAATGATTAATACATAAAATAATTATTGATTATTTATTATATATTATTTATATGGTTTTATCATAGGTGCTGCAAAGGGAAATTATGTCTAGCATAAGACACAATCTCTGACATTGAAGAACTTACAATTGAATTGAGGAAATAACATATCTCCGGACAACTTAACAAGGTAATTAATATCAAATTCCAAAGGGTATAATATATGCTAAAGATATTCAGAAAGAGGAGTGATATTTTCCATTGGGTCACACAATACCATTTGGTTTCATCGACATAGCAGTCGAGAGGTTTGTTAAAGGTGAATTATCATAAATTAATTTTTGTTCATAGTCATAATGAGTAATGAAAAACAGAAATAGAAATGGATGAGAGATGTTAGTTGACTAAGTCAAAATTTTATTTATTACTGAAGATTGAATATGATGTTGGATACTAGTAATGATGTATCTTGAATGTCAGTCTGAGAAATCCGCTTTTAACCTGAATCAATGGGCTGTCACTTCAGTACTTCAACTATTATTTGGTACTTCCACTCAGTAACCACTGAGGTCACAAAATAAACAAAAGCAAGGTGATCTAAAACATTGTGAAAAGCCATTTAGATCATGCTAGGAATGGGATTTTAAAAACCTAATCATATAGCAATTAGTAGTAAGAATAAAATTGCTTAGTAAACATTAGTTAAATATTGGATTTCTCACAGTACTTAATATTTTTCTATCTTATATAATTTTTATGATTTACACGATTATACATACTCTTGCCTATTCAAAGTTGATGACCTTACAACAACCTTTTGAGTAGACAGAGTGGTTATAAGTTTCTAAAATAAATAACTAAGAATTAGAAAATTTAAGTAACTTGTCACAGTTAAACAGCCAAGGTTTTATTTTAGACACTGATGGGGCCATATTTTCCTCTTAGAAATAAAGACTACAAAGCAGTTTTAATATTTCAATCATTTTTTTCTTTTTCTCTATGGTTTCTGAATAAACCATAGAAACTAAGCAGGGTCATAAGAGTTGCTAAACAAAGGTGTAACTTTGAAGGTAAGGACTCTTCTAGAACTGTTGAAACTCAGAGCCCATGCTCAACTCAAACATAAGGTAATAGGAAAAAATAAAGAATATTCTTTCTTCTGGTAAACCAATTACCTCTCAAAATCTACTTACAATGCAAATTAAAAGGGTTCAGAGGATTCTGTCAGCATCACTCCCTACATTTAAACATGCTTCATTTCATTGCTAACACATCGAGTTCACGATACATAATAATCGGTGTCACCAGCAATGAGTTTTATATATTCTATAACTACAGGAGTCAAATCCTTTTAAAGACTATGAAAAATTAATGTTTAACAAAAGAAGCATAGTAATTTTGTTATCCATTCCTTGATTAGGTTCATTTGTTCTTCTTTGTTATTTCAATCTGGTAAACATTTTCTTATGTGCTTGCACTGATGTACCGTATTATGGGTTTATAGTGTCCTCTTAATTTAAAGTTTCAGTGTGACATTTCCATTAGTTCTGATACAGCACTGCACTGGATTTCTTTAGTTTATCAGCTTATTTCCTAGTATTGGACACTGTGTTATTTTACATTTGTTCAAAACAATGTGAATTCAGAATATGCCTATTTTATGGCTAAGTGTATGGAAAGTAGATTTTGGGCAAGTCACTAGATAGGCAGATTAAAGGAATTGTATAATATAATATTGTCCTTCAGATATTTCTTGTCTCAAACATGAGAGAGCCTTCATCCATCTACCTTATTTTATCTCATAATTCTGGGCTAGAATCATCACCCAAGTCCTTACAAAGGGCAGTCTTTCATATACTGCTAGCAGTTGTTTAAGCTAATGCAATAATTTTTTTGAAGTATGTATATGCAATTTTTACTCAAATGCCAACAAATATTTATGTTCTTTACAACAAGATATAAACTTCTAGGCAGGTAAGTTTTGAATAATCTAAAATACAAGGAGCAAAGTTTGCCAAGCAGTATTGATTTCAAAATGAGTAGTGTAAAATATTGGAAACAATATCAATATCCAACAAAAGTGAAATGTCCATTGCATTATGAAACATCTAAAACAATGTGGATAAGAAGCATTTAATCACACAGAAAAGTAGTCACTAAGAGTGCAGATCCTATTAGACTTTCTACTACTACGCTCACAAAACGTCTTCCACAAACTACTAATTGAGTGGTCTTGGGCAAGCTGTTCTCTCTTTGTCTCTATTTTCTCAACCATTTAATGGAGATAATAACTACTTCAGGGGATGTTGTAAACATTTGACAAATTAATATATATTAAGCTTTTTGAACAGTGCTTGGAAGGTAATTAATGCCAAAAAAGCTATTATGAGTATTTTATTATAATTTTCATTAATAATATCTTAATGGTTTTTAAATAAGACTAAAAAGATTGAAAAATAATTACTAAAAGATAACGTTGAGATTATCAATGATGGTTTTATCTAAAATTTGACTTTATATTTTTAAAATTTAAAATTTCTTAAATATTTTTACAAATTAATATTTTACAATAAAAGTTAGCAATGTGAAAACGTGCTTAAGAAATACATACTTTAAATGGAAAATTAAAAAAGGAAGCCAGCTCCGCTATACCTGGTCAATCTAACACTGATTCCTAATTTGTTTGAGGAATTTTGGAAACAAATTTCTTACAAGTCTGTTTCAGGGAGGACTAGCTAGATTTTGCTGTGCTAAAACACACAAACAAAAACCAAAACTACCTCAAACTAAAGGGTTTAAAACAACAAGGACTTTTTTTTTTTCACCATGCTTATCACAGTTCAGTAGAGAGGGGAGAGCATGCTCTGCTTATCACAGTTCTTAAGAACGCTGACTGCTGGAGCAACGCCAATCTCAAATTGCCATCAATGTGCAAGAGTGGAGGAAACTCTAGAGGATCTTATTATTGGCAATTAAGTACCCTGGCCTGGGAGTGTTACTATACGTTCTTTAACAGTTCATTGGCCAGAACTAGTCACATGGTGAGACTAAACCATGAAGGGGTCCGAGAAGTGAACAAAGGGATTTTCATTCTTACACAAAAGTATATTAAAAATTAAGAAGTTTAAGAAAATGCCCAGAAGTCTATGCTTTAAATGCCAATTGGCTAGAGATTATAAATGTGTTATAAGAACATCAATCATACCTGTCAAAATAAGGGGCTCAGTAAAACTGCAACAAGGAGAAATAAAGGAGGTGAAATAATTAGAAGGCGGCCAGTGAACCTCAGATTTAATTCAGAAGGCAAGCAGAAAATTTTCAGTATGCCACTAAGCTCTACACTTTTGAGTGTGGCAGAAAATGTCCAGTCAAGTAAGGAGTGGCCAAAGGAAAAACAATTAGAGACATGAAAAGCAAAGGAGGTAATGAGCAGAGGATGAAGAAAAAGTAACACTAGTCTAAAACTGGGTATTTTTGTCTCAGAGTTATTATTTTAAAGAGCCAAGAATTATGTCTTCTTTCTCTTGTTTTACATGCTTTTAGTCCCAGAAAACTTCATTTCTACACTCATAGATTTCTATATGTGTAGTCTGAGAATCGGTTATTTGTTATTCTTGAATATGGTCACAACTTTCTATTAATATAATTATCTGGTCAGTATTGAAACATAATTAAAAATTATCTTCACTTTCTAATTTATAAAATTATTATATTGTTTTGAATAAACTAAGATTCCTTTGAATTTCAGAATTCTAACTAAAAGTTTAGA
The DNA here is from genome assembly GCF_000001405.40 of Homo sapiens. Classification (NCBI taxonomy): domain Eukaryota; kingdom Metazoa; phylum Chordata; class Mammalia; order Primates; family Hominidae; genus Homo; species Homo sapiens. The sequence goes on along the minus strand of NC_000012.12, from coordinate 84,057,472 downwards.
GTAAAATCAATTCTCAATACCCATTCTACTGTCAAAGTTCATCCCTCATTCCCACCTCGTGTTTTCATCTGGTTTCCTGTAATCCACCATTTCACAGTTTATCTTCTATATTTATGGGGGTTTCTGCTCATCTTTGATTTATGAGCTCATCTTCCCCAAACCCTAAGAGTTGTCCCAAATGTACCTCTTTGAATTTCCTTTTCATTTATTTTTTAAGTTTTGTTAAATCCTTGGAGAATACTTAATTTCTTTAAATATTCCAACAACTTCTGTATTGGTATCTTGAGACCACAGCTCTCTCCTCACTTTACTCATAATGAACTTCTTATTTGGTGTTTTCATCCACATGTATAATAAGAATATCAAATCAGCATACTGAAAACTGAGCTCCTCATCCTTTCTATCCCGATAAGTTTGTTTCTTCACCACCTCTGCAAAAGACAATTTTATTTTCAAGCTGCACAGGCCAAAAAACTCAGTATCTTACCCGACTCCTCTCTTTATATTACACCCTAGACTAAACAAAGGCCTTCAGCAATCTTGACCACTTCTCACTATTTCTACTGCTTCCATCCTAGCCTAAACCACCATCATATTTTTCCTGATTTATTTTCACCAGTCTTCCAAATAGTGCCTTGGCTTCCACCCTTAAACAGCTCCAATCTTTTCCTGACACAGTCATCGGAATGATCCAGTCAAAACAGAAGTCAGACCATATTATTCTTATAGCGAAACATCTAGTGTATTCCCACCACAGAGTAAAAATCAAATTTCTTATAATATTCGAAAAGGCTCTACACATTTTAAGCCCCCTTTATCTTTCTGACTTCTTTTCCTGTTGCTATCTTTTTTCTCATACTGATCTCCTAACTCTTTTATAAACATGCTAGGCATGCTTCTACCTCAGGCCATCTGTATTTCTGTTTGCTCTACCTAAAATGTTCTTCCCTCCTTTACCTGCTGGCTTACTTCCTCTCCACATTCAATTGTTTAACAAATTGTCACTTTCTCAATGAAACTCTTCCCATCTATTATGTTTAATTTTGAAAACTCCAATACTTCTTGTTATGCAACTCTCCAACAACCACCTTCTATAACATCCTTTATTTCTCTCTTCAGCAAGTATCACCATTTACCATGTAATTATTTTAATTATTTACCTTAGTTCTTACCTGATTTTCTCACTGAAGGAAAACTCTTATAGGCAATGTTTTTCTTTTGTCTTTCTGTTTATTCATTGTTGTATCTCTGGTGCCTAGAACATTGCTTGCTATATGACCCTCATTTGTGCTGACTGAATTAATGATTTATCCTGAATGTAATTATTTTTAACTGTGCCAGTATGATTTCCTCATATCTTACTTAATTTCTTATATTTGAATTTAGGTTGTATATGGATATTTGAATTTAAAGACAAATAATAATTGATTAACCTTATCAATAAATAGCTTATAATGTTACATCAGCTTGCAATTAATTAAAAGGCCCCCCCCTTTTTTTTTTCTTTTTGAGACAGAGTCTCTCTCTGTCGGCCAGGCTGGAGTGCAGTGGCATGATTTCGGCTCACTGCAACCTCCGTCTCCCAGGCTCAAGCAATTCTCCTGCCTCAGCCTCCCAAGTAGCTGGGATTACAGGCATGTGCCACCACACCTGGCTAATTTTTGTATTTTTAGTAGAGACAGGGTTTCACCATGTTGGCGAACTCCTGACCTCAGGTAATCCACCCGCCTCAGCCTCCCAAAGTGCTGGGATTACAGGTGTGAGCCACCTTGCCCAGCCAAAAGGCCCTTGATTTGTTAACCATTGAAACCAAACTTATAAGATAACAGAAATACATCATATTAGCATAATACAGGATAAAAATTACGTGATCATCTTAATAGGTGCAGAAAATACTTGAGATAAAAATTAATACACTTTCATGATAAAAATTCTCAACATACTGGGAATAAAAGGATGACCTTCAAAATAATGAAAACCATATATGCCAAACCCACAGCTAACATACTCAATGGTTGTATTAGTTCATTTTCACATTGCTATAAAGAAATACCCGAGGCTGGGTAATTTATAAAGGATAAAGTTTTGACACCTAGTTCCACATGGCTAGGGAGGACTCAGGAAACTTACAATCACGGTGGAAGGTGAAGGGGAAACAAAGACCTTCTTATCAAGGCAGCAGGAAAGAAAAGAGTAAATGAAGAACTTCTAAACATTTATAAAACCATCAGATCTTTTGAGAACTCACTATCATGAGATCTGATGAGAACATCAACTCACAACAACATCATTGAGGAAACTGCCCCATGATCCATTTACCTCCCTCCCTTGACACGAAGGGATTATAAATTATAATTCCAGATGAGATTTAGCTGGGGACACATTGCCAAACCACATCAATCAAGAAAAACTAAAAGCTTGTCTTCTAAGATCAGGAAAAAGACAAAAATTGCCACTCTCGTCACTTTTATTTAATATAGTTCTGGAAGTTCTAGCCAGAACAATAAGGCAAGAAAAAGAAATAAAATGATCTAAACAATAAGTAAGTAGTAGAATTGCCTCTGTTTGCAGATGACATTTTCTTAATATATAAAAAACACTAAATATTACACCAAAAACTATTTAAGCTAATAAACAAATTCAGTAAGGTTCCAGGATACAGAGTCAACATAAAAAGAAACAGTTGTATAGAAACAAACGTCAAACTATTAAAAAAACAAATTATGAAAACAATCCCATTAACAATAGCATCAAAAAGTTAAAATATAAATATAAATATAGCAAAGAATTTGAAAGATTTGGATACCGTAAACAATAAAAATTGATGAAGGAAGTTGATGCCACAAATTAATAGAAAGATATATCATATTTATGGATTAGAATAATTAATCTTATTTTATTTATACTTCTCAAAGCAGTATACATATCCAGTGCACTTCCTATCAAACTCCCAATGGCGTTTTTCACAAAAATAGGAAAAGAAAAGCTAAAACTCATATAAAATTACTAAGAGCCCAGAATAGCTGAAGCAATATAGAGAAAAAACAAACAAACAACAAAAAACAAAGCTGGAGTTGTCACACTATTTGGTTGCAAAATCTACTTCAAAGTTTTACTAATAAAAACAGTATGGCACTGTCATAAAACAGACATATAGAACAATAACAAAATAAAGGTATCATAAATAAATCCACACATTTACAGTCAATTGATAATTTGACAAAGTTCCAAGAACACACAATAGAAAAATATGAATGCTTTTAAGAAAACTGTATGTCTACATGCAGAAGAATGAAACTGGATGCTTATCTCAGACCACATACAAAAAGCAATCCAAAATAAAAGGCTTGAATATAAGACCTGCAGCTATAAAACTACCAGAAAAAAACACATTAAAAAAATACTTCTTGACATTGATCTTGGAAATATTATTTTGGTTATGACCCCCAAAACACAGGCAACAAAACGAAAAAGTAGACAAATTGGATTCCATCAAACTAAACATCTGCACAGCAAAGAATACATTAACAGAGTGAAGAGAAAACCAATGGAATGGGAGAACATATTTGCAAGTCATATATACAACAAGGAGTTAATATCCAAAATATACAAGAAACTTGGCCAGGAGCAGTGGCTCATGCCTGTAATCCCAGATACTCAGGAGGCTGAGGCAGAAGAATTGCTTGAGCCCTGGAGATGGAGGTTGCAGTGAGTTGAGATCATGCCACTGCACTCCAGCCTGGCCAACAGAGCAAGACTGTGAAGGAAGAAAGAAAGAGAGAAAGAAAGAGAAAGAGAGGAAAAAGAGGAAAGAGTGGAAAGAAGGAAAGAGAGGAAAGAAGGAAGGAAAGGAAGGAAAGAAAGAAAGGAAGGAAAGAATGGAAGGAAAGAAAGAAAGGAAGGAAGGAAAGAAAAGAAGAAAAGAAAGGAAGAAAAAGAAAGAAAGAAACTTAGCTCAATAGCAAGAAAACAAATAGCCCAGTTAAAAAAAAAATGAACAAAAGACCTGAGTGGACATTTCTCAAAAGAAGGAAGACAAATGGCAACAGGTATATGAAAAAAATGTTCAACCTCACTTATAATCAGTGAAATGCAAATCAAAATCACACTATCACTTCACATTTTTTATAATGGCTATCATCAAAAAGATAAAAGATAAAAAGTGTTGGAAACAACCTAAGTGTCCATCAACAGATGAATAGATGAAGACAATGTGGTAGTTACGCACAGTAGAGTACCATTCAGCCATAAAAAAGAATGAGTCTGTCATTTGCAAAAACTCAAGTGGAATGAAACATAAATGAAACTAGAGGTCATTATGTTAAGTGAAATAAGCCATGCACAGAAAAAACATCGCATGTTTTCACTTATCTGTGGAATCTAAAAAGTCAAAATAATTGAACTCATTGAGATAGAGAATAGAAGGATGGTTACCAGAAACTGGGAAGTGTAGTGGGGGTCGGGGGAGAGGTGTGGATGGTTAATGAGTACAGAAAAATTTAGAAGAAATGAACAGGACAATATTTGCTGGTACAGCAGGGTGGCTATAATTAATAATAATTTATTTGTACATTAAAAAATAACTAAAGGAATGTAATTGGATTGTTTGTAACACAAAGAATAAATGCATCGGGGGCTGGATACCCCATTCTCCATGATGTGATTATTACACATTTTGTGTCTCTACCATAATATCTCATGTACCCCATGAATATATGTAACTACTATGTACATACAAAAAACAAAAAAAAAAATAAAAAGAAAAGAAAAAATAAAAAGAGAGTAGTGTTGGTGAGAATGTGCGGAAAAGGGAAATCTGTATATTATTGGTAGGGATGCAAATTGATACAGCCATTGTTAAAAATAGTATGGAAGTTCTTCAAAAATTTAAAAATAGAACAACCATATGACCCAACAATCTTACTTCCAGGTATACACCCAAAGGAAATGACATTAGTATCTTGAAGAGATATCTACATCCCAATATTCACTGCAGTATTATTCACAATAGCCAAGATACAGAATCAAGCTAATTGATGGATCAATGGATTAAAAAATATGGTGATGTAAATATACAATGAAATATGCTTCTAAAATATTTTCTTCTGAAGAAGCAGAAAATTGGCAGGGCCTGGTTCCTCATGCCTGTAATCCCAGTACTTTGGGAAGCCCAGACAGGTGGATCATTTGAGGTCAGGAGTTTGAGACCAGCCTAACCAACATGGTGAAACCCCATCTCTACTAAAAATACAAAAATTAGCTGGATGGTGGTAGCATGTGCCTATAATCCCAGCTACTCAGGAGGCTGAGGCAGGAGAATCGCTTGAGCCTGGGAGGCGAAGGTTGCGGTGAGCTGAGATTTAGCCACTGCACTCCAGTCTGGGAGACAGAGTGAGACCCTGTCCCCCCAACTCCAAAAAAAAGGCAGAAAATTATGTCATTTGTGACAACATGAATGAATGTGGAGGACATTATGCTAAGTGAAATAAGCCAAGCACAGAAAGACAAATACTATATGATCTCATTAAATGTGGAATCTAATAAAGTCTAAATAATAGAAGCAGATAATAGGAAGGTGGTTACCAGGGTTGGCCTTTGTTGCTCAAACATGTTGATCAAAGAGTACAAAGTTTCAATTTAAAGGAAGCAGATCTAATGTACAGCATGGTGGCTAGAGTCAGTAAGCTGTATTGTACACTTGAAATTTGCTAAGAGAGCTTAAATGTTCTCAGCGTATGCAAGACAGTAACGATGTGAGGGGATGGCTATATTAATTAGTGTTATAGTGGTAATCAATTCATATGTTTATCAAAACATCACCTCGTACACTTTAAATATATATAATTATTTGTCAATTATACCTCTATAAAGTTGAGTAAAATAAATAGCAGAAAATAATCACGTAACTAAAAACATAATGATTTATTTTTCTTATATCACTGATACATTTAATAATTTTTTTGCTGTATAGCACACTGAGTAAAATGTTAATTAAAATTATGTTGTTTGCACAAATGTTGAAAACATGTGCAGAGGTACCTCATTTTATTTGAGCCAAGTTCTAAAATGAATATGTATGACACATATAGTCAAAATCTCCTTTTATAATTTTGTAAATTGCCTGTATATGTTCTTAATCTGTTGAATTACATCTATATAAATAAATAACATATAAATCTGTCATATTTACCAGAATACATTTCAAATTCTAAGAGTTTTATATATATGTATATATGTGTATGTACATATATATATTTATATATGCAAGTGATCACATATAGTTGAATTTAGTTAAAGAACCATGTATGGGAACGCCCATGTTCAGATACACAGCATTCATCATCTGTAATCCTCAGATTGTTTCCTATAAATTTTATAAATCACTCACCTCTGGATATGATTTAATAAGATAATGTAAAACTTAGTAAAATCAAAACAGTTATAATGTAAATGTTGCTAGTCATATTCTGAAATAATAAAAAGTGTTTAGTAGCTAATTTTATACAAATAATAACTTTAAATCTTTAATTATATAATGATTGGTTCTTATCACCAAATTCTTACAGCTGATCACCAAGCTTACAGTGTTTCCACAGATGTCTCTTGGTAATTAGTAAAGCCTTTTCACAGAAACAAGAAAAATAAATTTTATATTTAAAATTAAAGTATTTTAATAAGACCATACTTGTAATTTCACTGAGGCTACTTTAATAATAATAAGGTAGCTGCTTAATGTGCTTAAAGAGTTACTTAAATAAGTCTACATACTTTAAGGTATTTGCTCTGGCAAAATTAATTTAAAAACCTATATTCTAAAAGGTTGTAAAATTTGCATTATTATACATTAAAAACATAAGTTCTGATTTAATTATGTAATGCTGTTAAACTTTAAAAAGCAGATTTACCATGTTAATAACCAAGTCTCTTTATAACCTATTACTCTGAACAGCCACATAAATCATACACTTGCAACTTGGCACCTTTGAGGACCTCTCCCAACCCAAATACTGTTACACAAATAGTGTCCCATAAAGATTTAAAAACTCATAAAGATTTAAAATTCAGCTGGTGGTCCTTGCATCTGCTGTTGGCACACCATTCCCTTTTCATTAAAGTCGTAACCAAGATAATTCATACAATGACTAGTAAGAAACATTTGTGTGTGAAGTCCTTACAATATGTCAGGCACTGTGCTAGGAGCACTTTACACATATCCTTTTTATCTTTAAAAAATCCTTAGAGGTAGTAAACCTGTTCTAGTTCTACAGATGCCTGGAATAGAGGTAACTTATTTAAACACAAGAGGCTAAGAAGGAGCCTCAAATTCTGCTTAGGTTAGTTTCTAATGTTTCTGCAATTAAGAATAATAACAGCTGGTCAAAGGATACACAGTTTTAGTTAGGAAGAATAAATTTGAGATCTATTGTACAGCATGGAAACTGTAGTTAATAACATACATTGTATAGTTGAAAATTGCCAAGAGAATAGATTTTAAGTGTTTTCACCAAACACAGAAAAATAAGTATGTAAATTAGTGCATATTATTTATCATATTATTTTGTATAAATTAGTTTTTATTCTCAAAACAAATACAACCAACAAAATCTCTTCTACTTTTCTATTTGATATACACTATCAAATATGTTTTTTTATAGTTGAAATCACACTTAATTGGCAATGGAAATTTTAATGAAAATTCAATAAATATTTATTGAGTTTCTAGTACAGCAAGGTATTTTGCCAGGTCCTGAGGGGAATTTGCTTGACTTAGCTGTTCTTTAATGTATACACATTTTAAAACATCATGTTGCCTACCATAATATATATTCAATTTTATTTTTCAGTTAAAAAATATGAATTAATTAATTAATTAAAAAAATAATATCAGCAAAAGTGATTCAGTGCCAGGCAGCAGGCTGTGTTTTTTACACACTTTATGCTATTTACTTATCCCAATAACCCTAAAATATGAGTGTTATTATTATCTTTATTTTACATAGAAATAAACTGGAGCTTAGGAAGCTTACATAAATTTCCCAAGCTCATACAGATAGAACACAGAAGAGTGAGAGCTCTGTTAAGCAATCTCAAGCAAAAACACAACCAGTGGGTCTACCACCTAAGAAGTAGCACAGCTTCATGGATAACTGAGGAGGCTACAACTATATGGACCCTAATTATAGGAGGAAAACAGCCAAATAATTCTTACTGCTGTGTGTCCAGAAGAGTACCTCATTCCTCATATTAAATGGGAATGGGAAGTATTTATTCCTGAAAAGATTGCTGTGACATTTAAGTAAGAAATTTATTTAAATTATTCATCGCCATCTCTGTGGATGTCTCACCCTACCCTATCTACCGGCAGAGGAGTAATAAAAACTCGTGCTTCATCATAGAGAAGTATTCACTCAAAGTTGTTGTCTTAGGCTTTGTTACAGGTTTCTCCCTAAACAGACAGAGCTTAGAGTCAGATAACTGGTTAGAAGGCATAAGTGCAATAGGGACATACACAAAAAAAGGAATAATATAACAAAACCACTATATACCAAGAATGTAAGTCATCATAATAAAATGCCAACCATCAAGCTTTAGAATTGAATTAGAAACTTTACTAATGAATGTAACTCAAATAATACCTCAATTGTATTTTATAATTAGAAAATGAGTTTATTTAGTAATGTCACTTTGTAAGTGTAATTGAAAAGTGAACTTATCAGTTTATTAATTCATATGACAATTCTCCATTATAAATTGACTATACAAAGCAGGTCACAGAATTGCAGGCAACAATGAACTGGGTTTCTGAGATAAGAAATATTAATTATTGTTTTTCATAGCCTACTATATTTCAAAAATATTTAACATTTAAGCCCTCTTTAAAACTGTGTAAAATGAAGCAAGATGACATAAATTATTTGTTTATGAAAAAAATCTTTAAAATATTTTATAATTTTATATAATTTTATATATTTGAGACCATACTTCTTTTCCTAAGGGGTTAATTAATCCTTTACTGAAAATGACCCACTCTATGTTGGGCAACAGTTATCATAAAAATTTGTTTATCATATTATGTTGGTGAAGTACATTTTTCTACTCAAAAAAAATTGCAACAATAAACAAAACTACTTCTGCATTTTGTTTGATATGCACTATACATTTTCTGTTTTACAGTTGAAACCACACTTTCATGGCAATAGGAATTTCAATGATAATTCAATAAATATGTATTGAGTTTCTACAACAGCAAGATATTTTGCCAGGTCCTGAGGGGCTAGAAATATGAATGAGGTTTGGTTTGTGATTTCTAAGATATTACCATTTTATTTGGCTGGAATATATGTCATATGATAAAATGGAATAGAAAATTAGATCGTAAGAGAGGCCAAACCATGACAGTTCTTCCATATTGTGATTACAATTTTGGATTTAACTATACCATCAGGAGATTTTATCATAAGAAAAAAACAGTTTGAATTTAGATATACTTCCATCTGCTTAGCAGTGAGATGTTGATAAAGTCACTCTAGGCTACTGTAAGATTATGTCACTCTAAGCCTTAGCTCAAAATGGGGATAACAATCACTGTCTTTCAGTTATTTGACACCACTGTTCTCCCTCTTTCCCTTGGAACTTTATATATTTCTAATATGTGGTATTTCTTCATTTATTAGCTTTATTAATTCCTACTTTTTCTTTAGATGTCAACTAAATGTTCACCTATTCAGGAAATTCATCCATTACATTACATACATAATGTAGCAGTTCACCTTTTACCTTTTAAAATTTCACAGTACTCTGTACTTTTCCTTACTTTGAAATTATGTTTCTTTAATTTATATCAGAATATCCATTTTCTTAATGAAATCTGTACTCACCAGAGAGGCTGAAGCAACTTTCATTTGACTTACCATTTCACTTTCAATGCTTAGAGTAGTGACTGCATGTAGTAGATACACAAATATATTTGCAAAATAAAAAATAATAATAATTACTTGGAGCCACATGAGAAATAAACGTTTTTTTTTTCAAATTTGAATATTTGCATTGAAGAATAGTAGAGTTTATTAGAAAGATATTTCTCAGGAACCATCCTTGTATACCAGGAGTGAACCCCACTTAATTCTATTATGTAATCTTTTGAATGTGCTGCATAGCAAAAGAAATAATCAACAGAGTAAACAAAATGTGCAGAACAGGAGAAAACATTTGCAAACTGTGCATCTGACAAAAATCTAATATCTAGATTCCACAAGGACCTCCAACAACTCAATGAAAAAAACACAAATAAACTCCATTATAAAGTGGGCGAAGGTCACGAATAGACATTTTTCAAAAGAAGACATGGATGTGGTCAAAAAGCACATGAAAAAATGCTTAACATCACTAATCATCAGAGAAAGGCATATTAAAACCACAATAAGATACCATCTTACACCAGTCAGAATGGCTATTACTAATGAGTCAAAAGACAGCAGATGTCATCAAGAATAAAGAGAAAAGTAACCACTTAAACATTGTTGGTGGGAATATAAACTAGTACTTCTATGGAAAGCAGTATCAAGATTTCTCAAAGAACTAGAACTAAAAATACCATTTGATCCAGCAATCCCACCACGGGATATCTACCAAAGGGAAACAAAATCGTTACATAAAAAAGACACTTGCACTTGTGTGTTTATTGCAACACTATAGTAGCAAACTCATGGACCCAACCTGTGTCCATCAGTGGAGGACTGGATAAAGAAAAGATGGTGTGTATCCACACACACACACCATGGAATACTACTCAGCCATTAAAAAATATGAAATCAGAGTTTTTTTGTTTGTTTGTTTTGTTTCAACATGAATGGAACTGATGGCCATTATCTTAAGTGAAAAAACTCAAACAGTAAGTCAAATGCTGCATGTTCTCATGTATAAGTGAGAGCTAAACAATGGGTACACATGGACATACAAAGTTAAAAAGTAGTCATTGGAGCCTCCCAAAGGTGGATGAGAGGGTGGGAAGGTTGGAAAACTACCTACTGGGTACAGTGTTTACTATTTGGATGATGGGTACACTGAAAGCCCAGATGTCACCACTGTGCAGTGTATCCATGTAACAAAGCTGCACTTGTACCTCCTAAATACTGAAATAAAAAAACTTCAGAGAAAGAAATACATTTTTCATAAAAAGAACATAAATAAAATACAGAAATAATTGTGCAATAGATTTAACATTTCAAATATAGATTACATGCTGCTGATTAATGTCGTTATAATAACTGTGTGAAAACTCTTCAAATAGCCTGTCAAGAAAGCGACTGTGAGGCTGGGCATGGTGGCTCACACCTGTAATCCCAGCACTTTGGGAGGCCAGCGCAAGTAGATCACCTGAGGTCAGGAGTTCAAGAGCAGCCTAGGTAACATGGTGAAACCCTGTCTCTACTAAAAATACAAAAATTAGCTGGGCAAGGTGGTATGTGCTTGTAATCCAAGCTACTTGGGAGGCTGAAGCACAAGTATTGCTTGAACCTGGGAGGCAGAGATTGCAGTGAGCCGAGATCCAAGTTTGTGCCATTGCACTGCAGCCTTGTGACAGAGCGAGACTCTGTCAAAAACAAAAAACAAACAAACAAAAAAAAAACTGTGTATCAAGTTAATAAAAATATTTAAAAGCTCATGTCTTGCCGTAATAAGACCTACCAAAGGGATAATATTTTACCTCAGAGGGTAAATTGAGATAACTTTCTTGAACTATAATAACATAATAATAGCAACAATAATAAAAGAATATCCTAACATTCAGATTATAGTTTTCAGCTACTACAAATTGAATATTTCTTGGTGTCTGGCATGCAGGGTTTATTTTCTCAGATATAAGACATAGCTTTGAACTTGTCTATATATAGCAGTAAAAATAAGAAAAAAAGTTAAAGAATTAAGCAAAACATCAATTTGTTTTCTTCTGTGAATTGTTAGAGAGCAATTTTGTTACATTAGAATAAAATTTGAAAAGAAGATAACATGCCAAAAAGCTAAACTAGTAATAGAGAAGTGGAGTGTAATCCTGAATCCACATTTTAGAGTTAAAATCAACAGGGAAATAGAGTAACCTATTACACCTTGGATTTAAGTATATGAAATAACACTTGGGAACTATCCAAAACATTTTAGGAGGAAGTGAGGTGAGGAAATGAGAAAAACCATATTTTCTAAGATAATTACTCATAAATTCTTCCTATGAAATGTTGTTCTTCATTCAAACAAATTTCTCCCCTTGTTTTTAATAGATTGAATTGGATATTGGTCAGGAGAAATTTTTTTTAAATGACCGATAATTCTTTCTATACAAGGTCAGCCTTTTGGTGTTGGGGGTCATTTGAAAACACAACTTTAGAAAGTCCTTAACATAAATCTCTCTCAAAATCAATAAATCTAATGTGCCAAACTGAAGGTGTATCATTTCTCTGTGCATTTATTATCTGGTTTCTGGCATATCCAGGCACATAAATTTTAATCATAAAATTATCCCTGCAAATTTCAATCATCAGTATATATTATAATAAAAATCAATCCGATTGTTGGTAGGATTTATTTTATTCATGTCCTTTATTCATTAAAATATAATCAAAGATTGAATCTTCTTGAATTTCCAACCAAATATTTTACATGAAAACTATTTAAAAAAACTTGTTTTGACAGGTGACAGATAAGTTGAATATTAAAGCGATTTTAACATGATGATGCGACCCTAATTGCTTTTAAATCACTGCAAAATTATTATGGTTGGCTAATTTGTAATCAATTTCTTTGTGTCTACTTATATTGTTACCTAGCACCTTGCAGCCTCCAAGAATTTGGCATGCTCCTTTCTTTTACCATCACCTTGTATGCCATTGGTTTTCACCTCAGTTTTTTCATTTTTCCTCTATCTTTCTGACTGTGAAAGCTGCATAAATAAACTATTCTACAGGAATTTCCAGCTTAGAATGAAGATTCAGATGAGAATTCACAAAGAGAGGATGGCCAACAAGCCTAGACTCTTTCTTTAATTCTATTTCTAATATTCTCTTGTGGAATTCTGCCAGACTTTTTCTTACAAATCATCTATAACTAATGTTGGCAAGATTAAATACTAAATTAGTTTACTTGTATTTTTGGCTGCTGTTTTTTTATTGTTTTCTTCTGTCTTTTCCTGAGCCAGTTTGAAATTATTTTTTTCATCTGGTAAGAGCCCTAAAATAACTTTCAATATTTATTTCACTTAACTTCCAATGGTCTGGTTCTTGGTCTTATAGTTGAGGAAACACTTCCTGCTTTAGATTTTAAAAATTATTTTCCTTAAATTTATGTTAAATTGTCCTAAACTTGAAATCACTTCCTTTCCTGTCTCTTGGCTCTTTCTTGGCTCCTTCTGTCACCTCACTCGGGAAGTGCAAGGGGTTGGGGACTCCCTCCCATAGCCAAGGGAAGCTGTGAGGGACTTTGCCTGGAGGAACAGTGCATTCCAGCCCAGATACTACACTTTTCCCAAGGTCTTCGCATCCCACAGACCAGGAGATTCCCTCGGGTGCCTACACCACCAGGGCCCTGGGTTTCAAGCACAAAACTGGGTGGCCATTTGAGCAGACACCAAGCTAGCTGCAGGAGTTTTTGTTTTGTTTTGTTTTGTTTTGTTTTCTCATACCCCAGTGGTGACTGGAATGCCAGCGAGACAGAACCGTTGACTTCCCTGGAAATGGGTCTGAAGCCAGGGAGCCAAGTGGTCTAGCTCAGTGGATCCCACCCCCACGGAGCCCAGCAAGCTTAGATCCACTGGCTTGAAATTCTTGCTGCCAGCACAACAGACTGAAGTCAACCTGGGATACTCCAACTTGGTGTGGGGAGGTGTGTCCACCATTACTGAGGCTTGAGTAGGCAGCTTTCCCTTCACAGTGTAAACAAAGCCACTGAAGTTTGAACTGGGCGGTGCCCACCGCAGGTCAGCAAAGCCGCTGTAGCCAGACAGCCTCATTGGATTCCTCCTCTCTAAGCAGGGCATCTCTGAAAGAAAGGCAGCAGCCATAGTCATGGGCTTATAGATAAACCCCCCCATTTCCCTGGGACAGAGCACCTGGGGGAAAGGGTGGCTGTGGGCAGAGCTTCAGCAGACTTAAACGTCCCTGCCTGTAAGCTCTGAAGAGAGCAGCAGATCTCCCAGCACAGTGCTCAAGCTTTGCTAAAGGACAGACTGCCATCTCAAGTGGGTCCCTGATCTCCATCCCTCCTGACTCTGAGACACCTCCCAGCAGGGGTTGACAGACACCTCATACAGGAGAGCTCCAGCTGGCATCTGGCTGATGCCCCTCTGGAACAAGTCTTCCAGAGGAAGAAACAGGAAGCAATCTTTCCTGTTCTGCAGCCTCTGCTGGGAATACCCAGGCAAATAGGGTCTGGAGTGGACCTGCCGCAAACTCCAGCAGACCTGAAGCAGAGGGGCCTGACTGTTAGAAGGAAAACTAACAAACAGAAAGGAATAGCATCAACATCAACAAAAAGGATGTTCACACACGAACCCCAACCAAAAGTCACCAACATCAAACACCAAAGGTAGATAATTCCAGGAAGATAAGGAAAAACCAATGCAAAAAGGCTGAAAATTTCAAAAACCAGAATGCCTCTTCTCCTCCAAAGATCACAACTACTTACCAGCAAGGGAACAAAACTGGATGGAGAATGAGTTTGATGAATTGATAGAAGTAGGCTTCAGAAGGTGGGTAATAACAAACTCCTCCGAGCTAAAGGAGTATGTTCTAACCCAATGCAAGGAAGCTAAGAACATTGGAAAAGTTTAGAGGAATTGCTAACTAGAATAACCAGTTTAGAGAAGAACATAAATGACCTGTTGGAACTGAAAAACACAGCATGAGAACTTCGTGAAGCATACACGAGTATCAAGCTGAATCGACCAAGCAGAAGAAAGGATATCAGAGATTGAAGATCAACTTAATGAAATAAAGCATGAAGACAAGTTTGGAGAAAAAAGAATGAAAAGGAACGAACAAAGCCTCCAAGAAATATGGGACTATGTGAAAAAGACCAAACGTTTGACTGGTGTACCTGAAAGTGACGGGGAGAATGGAAGCAAGTTGGAAAACACTCTGCAGGATACTATGCAGGAGAAATTCCTGAAACCTAGCAAGAAAGGCCAACATTCAAATTCAGAAAATACAGAGAACACCAAAAAGATACTCCTCAAGAAGAGCAACCCCAAGATACATAATCGTCAGAGTCACCAAGGTCAAAATGAAGGAAAAAATGTTAAGGGCAGACAGAGAAAAAGGCTGGGTTACCCACAAAGGGAAGCCCATCAGACTAACAGCATATGTCTCTGCAGAAACCCTACAAGCCAGAGGAGAGTGGGGTCCAATGCTCAACATTCTTAAAGAAAAGCATTTTCAACACAGAATTTCATATCCAACCAAACTAAGCTTCATAAGCAAAGGAAAAATAAAATCCTTTACAGACACGCAAATGCTGAGAGGTTTTGTAACCACCAGGCCTGCCTTAGAAGAACTCCTGAAGGAAGCACTATATATGGAAAGGAAAAAATGGTATCAGCCACTGCAAAAATACACCAAATTGGAAAGATCATCTACACCATGGAGAAACTGCATCAACTAACGGGCAAAATAGCCAGCTAACATCATATTGACAGGATTAAATTCACACATAATAATATTAACCTTAAATGTAAATGGGCTAAATGCTCCAATTAAAAGACACAGACTGGCAAAATGGATAAAGAATCAAGAGTCATCAGTGTGCTGTATTCAGGAGACCCATCTCATGTGCAAACACACACACAAGCTCAAAATAACAAGATGGAGGAATATTTACCAAGCAAATAGAAAGCAAAAAAACAGCACGAGTTGCAATCCTAATCTCTGATAAAACAGACTTTAAACCAACAAAGATCAAAAGAGACAAAGAAGGGCATTACATAATAATAAAGGGATCAATGCAACAAGAAGAGCTAACTATCCTAAATATATATGTACCTAATACAGGAGCACCCAGATTTATAAAGCAAGTTTTTAGAGACCTACAAAGAGACTTAGACTCCTACACAATAATAGTGGGAGAATGTAACACTGTAATGTCAATATTAGACAGATCAACAAGACAGATTTTCAGGACTTGAACTCAGTTCTGGACCAAGCGGACCTAATAGACATCTACAGAACTCTCCACCCCAAATCAACAGAATGTACATTCTTCTCAGCACCACATCACACTTATTTTAAAATTGAACACATAATTGGAAGTAACACACTCCTCGGCAAATACAAAAGAATGGAAATCATACCCAATTGTCTCAGACCACAGTGCAACCAAATTAGAACTCAAGATTAAGAAACTCACTTAAAACCACACAACTACATGGAAACTGAACAACCATCTCCTGAATGACTACTGGGTAAATAACAAAATTAACGCAGAAATAAGTACATTCTTTGAAACCAATGAGAACAATGACACAATGTACCAGAATCTCTGGGACAGAGCTACAGCAGTGTTTAGAGGGAAATTTATAGCACTAAATTCCCACATCAGAAAGCTAGAAAGACCTCAAATTGACAGCCTAACATCACAATTAAAAGAACTAGAGAAGTAAGAGTAAACAAATTCAAAAGCTAGCAGAAGACAAGAAACAACTAAGATCAGAGCAGAACTGAAGGAGATAGAGAAACAAAAAAACCTTCAAAAAAATCAATGAATTTAGGAGCTGGTATTTTGAAAAAAGATTAACAAAATAGACCACTAGGAAGACTAATAAAGAAGAAAAGAGGGAAGAATCAAATAGACACAATAAAAAAATGATGAAGAGGTATCACCACTGATCCCACAGAAATATAAACTACCATCAGTGAATACTACTAACACCTCTATGCAAATAAATTAGAAAATCTAGAACAAATGGATAAATTCCTGGACACATACACCCTACAAAGACTAAATCAGGAAGAAATTGAATCCCTGAATAGACCAATAATAAGTTCTGAAAATGAGGCAGTAATTAATAACCTACCAACCAAAAGAAAGCCCAGGACCAGGCATATTCACAGCCGAATTCTTTCAGAGGTACAAAGAGGATCTGGTACCATTCCTTCTGAAACTATTCCAAACAATAGAAAAAGAGGTACTCCTCCCTAATTCATTTTATGAGGCCAGGATCATTCTGATAACAAAACCCAGCAGAGACATAACAAAAAAAGAAAATTTCAGACCAATATCACTGATGAGCATCAATGTGAAAATCCTCAATTAAATACTGGCAAACCGAATCCAGCAGCTTATCGAAAAAGCTTATCCACCATGATCAAGTTGGCTTCATCCCCGGGATGCAAGGCTGGTTCAAAATATGCAAACCAATAAACATAATACATAACATAAGCAAAACCAATGACAAAAACCACATGATTATCTCAATAGATGCAGAAAAGTCCTTTGATAAAATTCAACACCCCTTCATGCTAAAAACTCTCAATAAACTAGGTATTGATGGAACGTATCTCAAAATAATACGAACTATTTATGACAAACTGACAGCCAATATCATACTTAATGGGCAAAAGCTGGAAGCATTCCTTCTGAAAACCGGCACAAGACAAGGATGCTCTCTCTCACCACTCCTATTGAACATAGTATTGGAAGTTCTGGCCAGGTCAATCAGAAAAGAAAAAGAAATAAAGGCTATTCACATAAAAAGAGACGAAATCAAATCGTCTCTGTTTGCAGATGACATGATTGTATATTTAGAAAACCCCATTGTCTCAGCACAAAATCTTCAGAAGCTGATAAGCAACTTCAGCAAAATTTCAGGATGCAAAATCAAGGTGCAAAAATAACAAGCATTCCTATACACCAATAATAGAAAATCAGATAGCCAAATCATAAGTGAAATCCCATTCGCAATTGCTACAAAGAGAATAAAACACCTAGGAATACAACTTACAAGGGAAGTGAAGGACGTCTTCAAGGAGAACTACAAAACACTGTTCAAGGAAATAAGAGAGGACACAAACAAATGGAAAAACATTCCATGCTCATGGATAGGAAGAATCAATATCGTGAAAATGGCCATACTGCCCAAAGTAATTTATACATTCAATGCTATCCCTATCAAGCTACTGTTGACTTTCTTCACAGAATTAGAAAAAACTACTTTAAATTTCATGTGGAACCAAAAAAGAGCCTGCATAGCCAAGACAATCGTAAGCAAAAAGAACAAAGCTGGAGGCATCACCCCACCTGACTTCAAGCTATACTACAAGGCTACAGTAACCAAAACAGCAGGGTACTCGTACCAAAGCAGTTATGTAGACCAATGGAACAGAACAGAGGCCTCAGAAATCATGGCACATATCCACAACAATCTTATTTTGACAAACCTGACAAAAACAAGCAATGAGGAAAGGATTCCCTATTTAATAAATGATGTTGGGAAAACTGGCTAGCCATATGCAGAAAACTGAAACTGGACCCCTTCTTTATATCTTATACAAAAATTAACTCTGGATGGATTAAAGATTTAAATGTAAGACCTAAAACTTTAAAAACCCTAGAAGAAAGCCTAGCCAATACCATTCAGGACATAAGCATGGGCAAAGACTTCATGACTAAAACACCAAAAGCAATGGCAACAAAAGCCAAAATTGAAAAATGTGATCCAATTAAACCAAAGAGCTTCTGCACAGCAAAATAACTATCATCAGAGCGAACAGGCAACCGACAGAATGGGAGAAAATTTTTGCAATCTATCCATCTGACCAAGGGCTAATATCCAGAATCTACAAGGAACTTTGCCGGGTCTGACCCGCATACCCTGGCAGAATGAAGGATGAAGGAATGCACTCAGACACAAGTATCCAGTGAATGAGTGGGCTAGGAGACCGGACCGCTTACAGACTCTCAGGAGGTGCTGTAAAGAGTCAGCAGCCGCAGCCCTGACAAGCTTACCCTACGGGCATTTATTCAGCACAGATTGAATTAATGACAAAGGCTTTGAGTCAACACACTGTGGGCAATTCACATGGTCGCCACCACCCCCGCTGGCCCCCTGAGAGAGAGTGGTCGCAGATGATTAAAGGCCAGGTTTCTGGAGACATGAGTAAACAAGCTATTCAGATAAACTCCCTTTCATTCTTTTGTACCTACTTCTTGCCCTTTCCCCAGGGTAAGAACTGCTACCTTCAGCTCATTCTTCCCTGAAGCTTTGCAAAATCCCCTGGCCTTCCAAGAAGGTTTGTGTTTTTCCTACAATTTCTCCCACCACCCTGACCAATATACAGAAATTAACAAATTTACAATAATAAAAACAAACAACCCCATTAGGCAGGCAAACGTTATGAACAGACACTTCTCAAAAGAAGACATTTATGCTGCCAAGAAACATATGAAAATACGTTCACAATAGCAAAGTCTTAGAATCAACTCAAATGCCCATCAGTGATAGCCTGGATAAAGAAAATGTGGCAGATATACACCATGGAATACTATGAAGCCATAAAAAGGGATGAGTTCATGTCTTTTTTAGGGACATGGGTGATGCTGGAAACCATCATTCTCAGCAAACTAATGCAAGAACAGAAAACCAAACACCACATGTTCTCACATATAAGTATGAGTTGATCAATGAGAACACATGGACACAGAGAGGGGAGCATGACACACCTGGGCCTGTCAGGGACTGGGGGTCTAGGGGAGGAATAGCATTAGAAGAAATACCTAATGTAGATGACAGGTTGATTGGTGCAGCAAACCACCATGGCACGTGTATACCTATGTAACAAACATGCACATTCTGCACATATACCCCAGAACTTAAAGTATAATTAAAAAAAAAAGTCTTGTGAAAGTTGACTGCCAGTGCAGGCATAGCAAATAGGGAGAGAAAAAAAAAGAAAAGAAAAAAGAAAATGAAGTTTAAATCAAAATAAAAGAAGAAATATATATTGGAAACCCCAAATGCTGCGCACAAATTTTTCCAAATATTTGACTGATCTGTGAATTACAAATGTACTAAGCACATTTTGTGGAAATAAAATAACTGAATTTAGACTTAAGCTTCCGCCCAAGAGACAGAGTTTTTCCTTTGAGTATAGCCAAGAAATTGCATGCTAAGACAAATGGACCAACCAACATCAACAGTCTTCATAGAAGAATGTACAAAACAAAATTGAATTGAGAATCATTTTAACATAACGTTCATGGTGTACAGATTGAAACTTGGGATAAAAGAACCAGACAAATGTGACCCACAATTAAGGGAAAAGACAGTCAAAGGAAACCTCCATTTGTATTATCTCAAGAGATGAAGAGAAAAATGTGATTAAATTAACTTTTTTTTCATAATGAATATCCTCAGAAACATAACAATAGAAGGAAGCTTTTTCAATCTGATAAAGGGTATCTACAAAGCTACACTCGCAAAATAGTTAATGATGAAAAATGAACAAATTCCCCCTAACATGTGGAAAGCAGGAAAAAGTGGCTGATCATACTACTTCTTATCAACGTTTTCTGGAAGTAACAGTCATCACAAGAAGACAAGAGAAATAATAAAATGCATAAAGATTAGAGCATAAAAATAAAACCGTATCCATTTGCAGATAATAGTATTCTTCATATAGACAATTATAAGCAAGCTAGAAAAATGACTAGAACTAATCAATTTTTCAAAATCATGGGGTAGGAGGTTCACTTATAAAACTCAATTTTTATATACAAGTGTCATGATATTAAAAATATGTGTTAAATGTTCTACTTATAACATCACACAATGTAATATTCTTAGAAATATATATACCCAAAGCCATAAAAGATCTCTGAAAGGGGACAGTGGGGGTTTAATATAAGCTGGGTAGGGAATACATATGTGTTCATTTTATTGTGACTATTAAAACTGTGCATAGATCTTATAAGTATGTTTTATAGAAAGAATAAAATAAAGTATTTAGAGGACATACTTGGCATAAACCAAGTTGTTATTCCCTCTAGGTGAAATGCATTTAAGTACTATTTTGAATTAATATTTCATCAGGATTAGATTACTACCTTAGTAGTTTCAAAAGTGTGTATCTATATTCCAAGAAAGTTACTTAAATCTGCAACTTTCCACACTCATCTAAAATATTTTATTTCTTTTCTCACATGTAAATAAGTCAAATAATGTCACGTTGTTGCTCAAAACCCTTTAATGGATTTACATTTAATACAGATGAATATCTAAATTTTTTATGGCCAACAGTACGTGTTCTGTGCCTACGTGACCTGGCCTATGCCATCATTCCCTCCAGGCACTCCTCTAATCACCTAGGCCTTATTACCATTCTTTGAAAGAAACAAGTATTTTTACACTCATGCTCCTCTGTCTTCTTAGACTAGATATCTCTGTTTATAATTATGTTGTCACCCATTTTCAGATCTCCACTCAAATATCACTATCTCAAGGACACCTGCCTTTATCATTCTCTTTAAATGACACCTTCTTGAATGAAATAATGTCTTTTGCAGCAACTAGGATGGAGCTGGAAGCCATGATTCTAAGTGAAATAACTCAGGAATGGAAAACCGCATATTGTATGCTGTCAATTATAAACAGGAGATAAGTTGTGAGGACACAAACACATATAGAATAATATACTGAACTTCGAGGACTCGGTGGGGGAAGGGTGGGAGTGGAGTGAGGGATAAAAGACTATATATTGGGTACAGTGTACACTGCTTGGGTGACAGGCACACTAAATCTCAGAATTCACCTCTATAGAATTCATCCATTTAACCAAAAAATACTTGTACCCCCAAAAGCTATTAGAATTAAACAACTAATTAATTAATTTTTAAAATGGCACTTTCTCAGTCTTTACTGTCTAAATCTCTCTATTTTATATTAAAATTTTTAGGGTAATAAAATGTATACCCTAAAAAACATTTTTAAAACATTACCTACTCCCCTAATAGAATATAAGCAGAGCCCTATGGATGCACAGATATTGTGTTGTTTGTTGCTACGTCTTTAGTGCCTAAGATCTTTAACATTCATGGTTTACTATCAATAAACAGATATTGAGAGAATGAGTAAGGGCAGTTTACATTTTTATAGAATCTGCAATTAATTTTCTTTTTAAAAATGGATTTAAAATCGTTAATCTCAAATCAAGTTTAATGCATAGATTAAGTCACACTCAGCCCTGTGAAAGACCAAGCATGTAATGCCCTAGATTGCTAGCTCAGTTCACCTACACAGCATCTCTTTCATGATTCTCATTACTTTCACCCTTAGGCATGTGTGTATGCGCACACACACACACACACACACACACAGGTTTTCACAATCTGTCATTAGACTTTTACTATGTGCTTTAACAATAACAAACACCACTTTTCCTGAAGGAAATATAAACATTAAAAGTTCTTCCTGGCCAGATTCCCTCATTCTAAAAATTATGCGTTGTGCAATTGAAGAATATTCCCTTTGCTATTGGTATAGTACAATTACATGAGATTGCCAATGTTCATCATAATAATATATCCAACTCTGTCAATTTTTCTGAGTAGTTTTATAATTTAGTTAGCTTTTATTGCATTTCATCACAGTTTTGCATTACTGCATAAATTCCTGAAGGTATTTTACACATTAATAGTTATTTCATACCCAAATTTTAATCTTGACTATAACTTTATTGGGGTTCCTGTGAAAATGGAATTCATCTGAATATTGACATGACTTTGACAGAAAACACGCAGATTCCAAACATTCTGTAGAGTTCAATCAGTGCCAATTTGGTTTTGGCAAATATTAATAAAAAATAAAGCACTAATGAACACTTTGCCTAGAGTAATATTTGATGTTTATATAGTTTCCCTTATCAAAAGATATCAAACATGCAACAAGTGAAAATCTCATTAAGTCTCAAAATAGCCCAGTGAGAAAAAGTAGAGGTCAGGCTCTTCTACTCTAATTTCATAGACTTTCCATTCTACCTTTCTGGGAAAGAGGTAAAGCTTTTAAATAATGACACATACACAGAGGTGGAGAAAAAAAAAGCTGTCTCTTACAGAAAAATTGTTAAAATCAGAATTGCTCAAAAACTGGATTTAAATTAAATTTTGAAAGGGTTCTTTAGAGTATTTTGCACATGAAGACAAACATTAATGATTATATAAATTCTTGAAATATATTGCAAATTGATTAAATCTAGTATTTGTGAAGAAGCATTTTGCTCAACATTTTAAGTCAAGTATACTCTGGTATGTAGATGCCAAAGAACAAGATATGTGGATGAATGAACTGATAAAACTGACACTCATGAAAATATATTGTTTGAGATATAGTCCAGTGTAGTTCCTTGGTTCCTTGATTTTTTTTTTTTTTTTTTTTTGAGACGAAGTCTCGCTGTGTCTCCCAGGCTGGAGTGCAGTGGCGCGATCTGGGCTCACTGCAAGCTCCGCCTCCTGGCTTCACACCATTCTCCTGCCTCAGCCTCCCAAGTAGCTGGGACTACAGGCGCCCGCCACCTCGCCCAGCTAATTTTTTGTATTTTTAGTGGAGACGGGGTTTTACCGTGTTAGCCAGGATGGTCTCGATCTCCTGACCTCATGATCCGCCTGCCTTGGCCTCCCAAAGTGCTGGGCTTACAGGCGTGAGCCACCACGCCCAGCCAATATATATTTTTAAAGCATATTGCTGCTCCCTTAAGTGCCAGTTTCTGGCTTCCTCTCCCTCTGACCTGAAGTCAGAAGCTAGTATTTTCCTCCCTCCTCTCTAGTATTTACTCTAAAAAGATGCAGGATATTTTCGGTGCCACTTTGCCAGCCAGAAACCTCCACAACAGGAGGCGCCTCTTGCTGGAGTTTCACTCAGACCCTCTGGGCTTGCTCTACCCACTTGGCCGGGCAGGCTACGTTTAGGTCACACTGCTGGCCTTGATCTCACACCTGCCAAGGGCAAATCAGGAGTACTGGCTGCTTCAGTTTGGTGGACAGCTCCAGGCTGGTACAGGTGCTGGCTCCGTGAGAGGCTGCAGCTGGACCAGGCTCGACCACAAGCAGCTTCCACCTTGGTGCTGGTGTCTGGACAAGCAGAACGTGGTGGTGTCCAAAAAACTCTGAGACCCCAGAAGTCGTGGTGCCCCAAAGGAGGTGTTACAGCATGTTACAACTCTGGCTCCAACAGCCCTGAGGTCTGGGCCCCCAGGAAGCATTACAGCTCGTTTGTGTTACAGATCATTTGTTTCTCCTGTCCACACGCTTTGGCAAGTGGGGGCATATCCCAGCTGTTTTGTTCCCATTGCCCATTCTGGTCCATTGCTCCTGGGCTGGCCGTGCCCCACCTGCAGCTTCTCATTGCTTGGGGCAGGAGAACTGGGACAGGAGGGCTACAGTGTTACAGCAGCTCCTTTGGCACCGGCTGTTTGATGGGCCTCCCAGGTTGTTGTCCCACATCCAAGAAGAATGAGGTTACGTGTACAATCAAAGAGTGAGCAAGGCAGAGAAGAGTTTTACTGAGCAACAGAACAGCTCTCAGTAGAGAGGGGACCTGAAGTTGGTAGTCCCCACTGAAGGCAGGTAGTTCCAAAGTGTGGCTAAGTCAGGGGGTGAAGGGGGCGGGATTTATGGACTCAGAATGAGGGAGTGTGTGCTGATTGGTCCATCCGTGAGCCTGGGAAAAGAACCATTACATTGGATAAAAGGCATCCAGGAAGTTGTGACTCTGGTTGGGGTCTTTATCCCGTACCAGCAGCTTGGTTTTCAGGTCATTTTTGGCCTGAAGGTCAGGTTCAAGCAAAAAGGCCAAAAAGGGGACCCACCCCTTTCTGCCTAGAAATTTGTCTGCCTTCTGCCACTATCAATATTATAGTGATTTTCAATGTGTGGTCCACAGACTAGCAAAACCAATATACCTGGGCACTTGTTACAAAAGCAAAATTTCAGCTCTTAAACCAGACCCACGTAATTAGAAACTCTGTCATTTGAGCTTAAACTAAGATTTTAGATTTTTATTCTGATGCATGCTAATATCTGAGAATCACTTTATATGGCTTTCTTTACCATACCTATGAAAGTCATTTGCCAGATGCCTACATTCAAGTTATTCAGTATAAAGTGTCCATGGCGTTCTATCTGTCACAGTGCTTAATGAAACTATTTTACTTATTTCTGAAATCCCTCTAGATATTGCTTAATTGCCTAACCTGGTATTTTTCAAGTGATTCTGCGGCCTGACAGAAAACTGTATTCAAAAGAAGATAGAAATTATCTGTTATCTTAGAAAAATAATCTTAATATAAAATACTTTTTTAGAATTTGTGTAACATAGAATATTTTTATAGCTTTATGTTTAGTTTTCATTAATGAAGAATGGCAGAAGGAATTAGCAGGATGTAGATAGATTGTAATGGAGAGTAATATGATGGAATAGATTGGACTGATGTGGTCATAAAGCACTTTTCTAAGGATGTAATATTTAAACTAAGTTTGGAAAAAAGAAGAAACTGCATGCAAGAACAGTGGCTAGGATTTTGAGGCTGCAGATACTGCCCATCTATAGGCCAAGCTTCGTGAAAAAGCATCTTGTGTAAGGCATGTTAAAAGAGGACAGTAGGTGTTCAGCAGAGTGGACAAAGGGAAAGGATGAGAGAGATGCCAGAGAAAAAGAAATATACAAGCCATATGTGACTTCTTTCATTGAGAATTGCACATATGAAATGCAGATGTGTTATATGAATCAATAGTTTTTTCATTTCAATTACATAATAATAGTCCATTGGATCAGTGAAATGCAGTTTCTTTATGTAGGTCCTAAAAAGTAAGGCATTTATATTTTATTATAAAAAAGAAAAAATATTTAGTGAGTGTTAAGCACTGGTGTAGCATAATCCATCCATGTCTATAAAATATAAAGAAGTTTGCTTGTACAATGGTTGATATAGTTTTGAAAGTTCTAATAATGTAATATGACATGAAAAAATGTTTAATAAAATACAAGATACAAAATTAATTTCACATGCTTATGGCATTGGGTTTTAAAGTACAAGTAAAAACACACCTAGAATCAGTAGTAAGTAATAGAAATAGTAATAGTCATAGAAGGAAAAAAAACAACCTTTGAAAACAGGTAAGCCTGGGTTTAGCCTGAGCAGCATCATTTACAGAATAGGATCTTTTGAAAGGTATTTACCTCTAATGGGCATCAGTTTCTTCACCTGAAGAATAGAGGGAAATAATATCTATTTTGCAAGTTTGCACTGAAGATTAAAAGTGATAGTGCAACCCAAAGAATTAGTAGAAAGCAAATACCTTCCAAATAGGTTTTAAGATCATTGATAGAGTATCTTGATCCTGAAAATATACATGAGTGAATGTGTACATGTAGCTGAATTTTCCTATATAAGGGAAATAACCAATCAAAAATACAGTGGAAAAATAGACAAACCACATAAGAAGAAAGTCTATCATCTAATAAGTACATTAAAGAATAGACTGTGAAGTAACCAAAACATTTAGAAAGTAGAACTATTTTACTACATGTTCTAAATATGATTCAAATCTTTTAGCTGGTTAAAATTTTTAATATTTAAGAAACAAGACCAAGTGAGGAGGTCTATACCTGTAATCCCAGCACTTTGGGAGGCTGAGGCAGGCAGATCACTTGAGCCCAGGAGTTCAAGACCAATCTGGGCAGCATGGCAAAATCTCTGTCTCTACAAGAAAATCAAAAAATTAACCAGGCATGGTGGTGTGCCTGTGTTCCCAGCTACTCAGAAGGTGAAGTGGGAAGGATCACTTGAACCCAGGAAGTTGAGGCTGCAGTGAGCCAAGATTGTACCACTGCATTCCAGACTGGGTGACAGAGTGTGACCCTGTCTCAAAAAAAAAAAAAAAAAAAAAAAAAATTCAGTGGAAGATTTACATGTGAAAAACAAAACAAAACAACAAAAATTTTAAATGTATTTATAAACCCGAGATAGAAATGAATTTCTTAATAAAGACAAATTGTAAAATGAAAAGGAAATGTTAACTTTTATTACATTACATTTTTTAAACCTATGGGTCAAAAGACAGGATTTTTAAAATAAACATTTAACAGAAAAAAATCAGCAACAGCAACAATAGTAACTTCTGAGGAAATCCTTAATTAGTAGATTATAAATGCTACAATTGCTGGCTTTTTGACATACAGATGAGAAAATCATTCAGGGAAGTACAATGATATCTGACCAACTAAGTACCATAACTACAAATCACTGCATTTATCTCTAACCATTGTCATCATAATAATTGAAAAGATAATTTCATATCTAGATTAATAGTTGTTTCTACTACTTATGTGTTTTTCAGAAAAGTTAAAACATGGGCATTTATTTACAATTATTCACAATTAATTTTTACTTCATTTAGAAGATTATAACATGTTCCAAATTTTTGTACATTCATCTATGCAAATTGAATGTGTTCCTCACTTTGTCAATTCTAGTCTAAAATACATAAATTTGTGGAAGAGCTAGGGAATGCCTGAAGTGTGAATTTTTATTTCAAAGAATACCTGAATCTTGAAGCAGATTATAGTTTGTGATTTAAAAAAGCAACAATCAAATGGAATTTTTTTTTAGTGTGATTTCTCTTCAGAAGATTTTGTCTGTGAATAAAAATCTGTGCATTTTTTTTTCCTGGCAAAAACAAAGATTTAGACAAGTTACCTGGGGAAATTTGTGATGCATCATGTCAAAATTAATAAAACTATAGAAAATCACATTTCCCCACAAATCTCTTAGGGATGTTTTGTTTTATACTTGTTTGGCTTTCTATTCTGTAGCATCTGAGTAACTATCAGCATCAAGCCTTAAAAATGAACGTGCTTAGTTCATCAGTATGCCTTTAAATGCACTAAATGTTGGTGCTTATTACTAATTGGTGTTTCCTCCCTAGCAACCAATGAAATAGTTGACTTGCTCATGGAAATCAAATGCCAATTCTTTCTCAGTAGTCAGAGTGTGGTTTGTAGCAAAGTCATTCTTAGAAAAGTAGTATGACATAAATAAGGACCCCAAGACTTAGACACCTTGTTTTTCTGGATATTCCTTATATGCTATCAGGGATACCCCCAATATACATTTTCTCTCTATCCTCGTTATAAAAAACTTTCCAGTGGTGAGCAAGGATGTTCACCTCTGACGATGGTGAACACTTCTTAAGCTTACTTATAGGGGGCTCTCTTCTTCAGAGTCATTTGGCATAAAACTTTGAGTTGTAATATTTTTCTTGCTTTCCCAGCACTATTATTGCATGTGACTTCATAATTTTATATTTCCTTAATTTTTTTTGCCTTTGATTTCTATCTAAACTTCATGTCACCATTTTTTTCTTTTATTCTTGACTACTAAATAGACTTTCCATCTTTTTATTTTGTTTACAGAGCCCCCGTTTCTTTATTATACAAATATACCATTATTTCCTTCATTAATTTTATTCTCACCGGTTAATGTTTTAAAATTACCATCATTCATTTTCTTTCATTATACATCTTACCCTTGGTCATTTGTGTTAGAACCAATTATAGCAAGGAAATGGGGAAGAAAGAGGCATTTTCCAAAAATGCATTGTTGCCTCGGTTTTTAATTCACTACTTTTTTCTTTTATAAGGAATTGGGACCAATTTAAGTGATAAAATTTTGAGTGTCATTCCCTTTACGTGCAAAATTTTATGCCCTTAACTTTCACATAGATCTTGTTGTATTTTTTTTTTCAAACTCTTATTCACTTTGAAGCATCCTGCATAGGTCTGTAGGTGGTTGTATGTGTTTCAGTAATTCTTCATAACAAACAGCCACAAAAGACCAGTGACAAGTTACATGAATAATGTATTTCTTACTACCACATCTATGGATTCCTGGGTGCCTTTGCTCCATATATTTCATTGCGGGGCCGAGGATAGAAAGGTAGGGTCTGCTCAAGGTGTGGATGTGGTCTCCCAAGACAATGGCAAACATCGAGGATGGCAAGCACCTTTAAAGACTCTGCATGGATCCCATGCACTTACCAAAGCAAGTCATAGGGGCAAGTCCTGAAGAGCACTCCTCCTAAGCAGAGACCAAAACCTAACATCAATGGAATAAGGAAGTATACTCTTCCCATGGATAGGGACAGGTTAAGTAGTGAGTATTTGCTGAAAAAGAATCTAATCTACCACACCAAGTAGAGTGTTTGCAACCTCTTTTCAAAAGTTAAAAGACTAAAAATGTAAAACAATAACTAGTTTGACATTAGTGCTTCTATGAGAAAGACATATTGATACATTTTCCCATAAAAAGTAGTTACATATGGAGATTAGAATCAATTTTTAAATTACATTTTTGGTTAAGTGGATTTGAAGACTAGCCCGAAAGCAAACCACCGTGAATAGTATTATTTATGTGTTCCAAGTTATGACAGTTCAGTCTATAAACACTTTTTGTGGGGTCGCCAGTGGGAATTGCATTTTGGAGATAGATTGTATACATTGCTACCTTTACTCATGCTTCCCACAGAACATCTAGAATTTTATTTTTGATTGAGATGATGAAAGCTTAGAATAAAATATAAGTTTATCTAGATGTACATTCCCAGAAGGTCTGCATGAAAACATAGGCCACAGCACGTACCGTTTTCTGATACATTAATAGAAAGTGGGCTCAGAGAATTCTGTTTTACTCTTTTGCAAGATTTAAGTATTTATTATAACAATAACTATATAATAATAACTATATATCTTGTAAGTCTTCCATTTGCCTGTTATATATAGAATTTAACAAAAAAGTTGTAAAATATAGCTTTAAAAAAAGCTCGTATAGGATAAGCAACTTAATGTTACTACCATAGCCTGTAGACTTATACCCATCTCAGAATTCTCTTTCTGAGGCACCAGGTGACCAAAGAGCACACTTTTCTAAGAACAAGTACATTGCACTATGAGTAAAACACATAAGCAGTGCACACACACATACAAACGAGTGCACATGGAGTACAAAGAATATACAGTGTGTATTAGCTTACCAAATTTCCTTGATATTTAATCAGGATCTAATACCTACCTAACTTATTTATTGTACATTTTATTTATCTGTGCTTATTGCTAAGATAATAAAAATTAAGATAATTTTAAACACTCAAGTTCTCAGAAAATCTAAAAGATCTATTTAAATATATAACTAGTCCTTTCAGATTCTGTAATGGAAGAAATTTATAGGCTCTATAATAAAAAGTTAGTATCGCATTTATTATTAACATATTTATTTATCTTTCTTCAACTAGATTGAGCCAATTCTAATATTGCCATTCCTGACTCAGAAAAATATGTCTAAAATGTCATGCCTTCGTTAGTAACCAGATTTATTTTATTACTATTCAATAATTAAACATAAAGTGGAAGTTTTTTCTTCATTTCTTCTAAAAGACAAAAAAATGGGATACATGTGCAGAATGTGCAGGTTTGTTACCTAGGTGTACGTGTGCCATGGTGGTTTCCTGCAGCTACCAACCTATCCTCTAAGTTCCATCCCATTACTCCCCACCCCCCAACAGGCCCTGATGTGTGTTGTTCCCCTGTGTCCATGTGTTCTCAATGTTCAACTCCCATTTATGAGTGAGAACACATGGTGTTCGGTTTTCTGTTCCTCTGTTAGTTTGCTAAGGATAATGGCTTCCAGCTTTATCCATGTCCCTGCAAATGACATTATCTCATTTCTTTTTATGGCTGCATAGTATTACATGACGTGTATGTACCACATTTTCTTTATCTAATCTATCATTGATGGGCATTTGGGTTGGTTTTATGTCTTTGCTATGGTAAATAGTGCTGCAACAAACACATATGTGCATGTGTCTTTATAGTAGAATCATTTATATTCCTTTAGGTACGTGCCCACTAATAAGATTACTGGGTCAAATGGTATTTCTGGTTCCAGATCCTTGAGGAATTGCCGTACTGTCTTCCACAATGGTTAAACTAATTTACATTCCCACCAATAATGTAAAAACTTTCCTATTTCTCCACAGTCTTGCCAGCATCTATTGTTTCCTGATTTTTTAATAATCGCCACTCTGACTGGTGTAAGATGGTATCTCATGTTGGTTTTGATTTGCGTTTCTCTGATGATCAGTGATGTTGAGCTTTTTTTCATGTTTTTTGGCCAAGTAAATGTCTTATTTTGAGAAGTGTCTGTTCATATCCTTTGCCCACTTTTTGATGGGGTTGTTTTGTTCCGGTAAATATCTTTAAGTTCCTTGTAAATTTTGAATATTAGACCTTTGTCAGATGGACAGATTGCAAAAATTTTCTCCCATTCAGTAGTTTGCTTGTTCACTATGACAATAATTTCTTTTGCTGTGAAGAAGTTCTTCAGTTTAATTAGATTTAATTGATTTAATTAGATCAAATTTGTTAATTTAGGCTTTTGTTGCCATTGCTTTTGGCATTTTTATCTTGAAGTCTTTGCCCATGCCTATGTCCTGAACGGTATTGCCTAGGTTTTCTTCTAGGGTTTTTATGGTTTTAGGTCTTATGTTTAAGTCTTTAATCCATCTTCAGTTAAATTTTGTATAATGTGTAAGGAAAGGATCCAGTTTCAGTTTTCTGCATATGGCTAGCCAGTTTTCCCAACACGATTTATTAAATAGGGAATTCTTTCCCCATTGCTTGTTTTTGTCAGGTTTGTCAAAGATCAGATGGTTGTAGATGTGTGGTGTTATTTCTGAGGCCTCTGTTCTGTTCCATGGGTCTATATATGTGTTTTGGTGCCAGCACCATGCTGTTTTGGTTACTGTAGCCTTGTACTATAGTTTGAAGTCAGGAAGCGTGATGCCTCCAGCTTTGTTCTTTTTGCTTACGATTGTCTTGGCTATATGGGCTCTTCTTTGGTTCCATATGAAATTTAAAGTAGTTTTTTCTAATTCTGTGAAAAATGTCAATGGTAGTTTGGTGGGAATAGAATTGAATCTATAAATTTCTTTGGGCAGTATGGCCATATTCATGATATTGATTCTTCTTATCCATGAGCATGGACTGTTTTTCCATTTGTTTGTGTCCTCTCATTTCCTTCAGCACTGGTTTGTAGTTCTCCTTGAAGAGGTCCTTCACATCCCTTTTTAGCTGTATTCCTAGGTATTTTATTATCTTTTTAGTGATTGTGAATGGGAGTTCGTTCATGATTTGGCTCGCTCCTTGCTTATTGTTGGTGTAAAGAAATGCTTGTGATGTTTGCACATTGATTTTGTATCCTGAGACTTTGCTGAAGTTGCTTATCAGTTCAAAGAGTTTTTGGCCTAAGATGATGGGCTTTTGTAAATATAAAATCATGTCATCTATAAACAGAGACAATTTGACTTCCTCTCTTCTTATTTGAATACCCTTTATGTCTTTCTCTTGCCTGATTGCCCTGGCCAGAACTTCCAATACTATGTTGAATAGAAGTGGTGAGAGAGGGCATCCTTTTCCTGTACTGATTTTCAGAGGGAATGCTCCAACTTTTGCCCATTCAATATGATATTGGCTGTGGGTTTGTCATAAAGAGCATATATTATTTTGAGATATGTTCCATCAATACCAGTTCATTGAGAGTTTTTAACATGAAGGGATTTTTTTTTATATTTTAAGTTTTTTTTTATTATTATACTTTAAGTTTTAGGGTACATGTGCACAACATGCGGGTTAGTTACATACGTATACATGTGCCATGTTTGTGTGTTGCACCCAGTAACTTGTCATTTAACATTAGGTATATCTCCAAATGCTATCCCTCCCCCCTCCCCCCACCCCACAACAGGCCCCGGTGTGTGATGTTCCCCTTCCTGTGTCCATGTGTTCTCATTGTTCAATTCCCACCTATGAGTGAGAACATGTGGTGTTTGGTTTTTTGTCCTTGCGATAGTTTGCTGAGAATGATGGTTTCCAGCTTCATCCATGTCCCTACAAAGGACATGAACTCATCATTTTTTCTGGCTGCATAGTATTCCATGGTGTATATGTGCCACATTTTCTTAATGCAGTCTATTATTGATGGATATTTGGGTTGGTTCCAAGTCTTTGCTATTTTGAGTACTGCTGCAATAAACATACGTGTGCATGTGTCTTTACAGCAGTGTAATTTATATTCCTTTGGGTATATACCCAGTAATGGGATGGCTGGGTCAAATGGTATTTCTAGTTCTAGACCCCTGAGGAATCACCACACTGTCTTCCACAATGGCTGAACTAGTTTACAGTCCCACCAACAGTGTAAAAGTGTTCTTATTTCTCCACATCCTCTCCAGCACCAGTTGTTTCCTGACTTTTTAATGATCCCCATTCTAACTGCTGTGAGATGGTATCTCATTGTGGTTTTGATTTGCATTTCTCTGATGGCCGGTGATGACAAGCATTTTTTCATGTGTCTTTTGGCTGCATAAATGTCTTCTTTTGAGAAGTGTCTGTTCATATCCTTCGCCCACTTTTTGATGGGGTTGTTTTTTTCTTGTAAATTTGTTGGAGTTCATTGTAGAATCTGGATATTAGCCAATTGTCATATGAGTAGATTGCAAAAATTTTCTCCCATTATGTAGGTTGCCTGTTCACTCTGATGGTGGTTTCTTTCGCTGTGCAGAAGCTCTTTAGTTTAATTACATCCCATTTGTCTATTTTGGGTTTTGTTGCCATTGCTTTTGGTGTTTTAGACATGAAGTCCTTGCCCATGCCTATGTCCTGAATGGTATTGCCTAGGTTTTCTTCTATGGTTTTTATGGTTTTAGGTCTAACATTTAAGTCTTTAATCCATCTTGAATTAATTTTCGCATAAAGTGTAAGGAAGGGATCCTTACACTTTCAGCTTTCTACATGTGGCTAGCCAGTTTTCCCAGCACCATTTATTAAATAGGAAATCACTTCCCTATTTATTGTTTTTGTCAGGTTTGTCAAAGATCAGATGGTTGTAGATATGTGGCATTATTTCTGAGGACTCTGTTCTGTTCCATTGGTCTATATCTCTGCTTTGGTACCAGTACCATACTGTTTTGGTTACTGTAGCCTTATAGTTTAGTTTGAAGTGAGGTAGCGTGATGCCTCCAGCTTTGTTCTTTTGGATTAGGATTGACTTGGCAATGTGGGCTCTTTTTGGTTCCATATGAACTTTAAAGTAGTTTTTTCCAATTCTGTGAAGAAAGTCATTGGTAGCTTGATGGGGATGACATTCAATCTATAAATTACCTTAGGCAGTATGGCTGTTTTCATGATACTGATTCTTCTTACCCATGAGCATGGAATGTTCTTCCATTTGTTTGTATCCTCTTTTATTTCATTGAGCAGTGGTTTGTAGTTCTCCTTGAAGAGGTCCTTCACGTCCCTTGTAAGTTGGATTCCTAGGTATTTTATTCTCTTTAAAGCAATTGTGAATGGGAGTTCACTCATGATTTGGCTCTCTGTTTGTCTGTTATTGGTGTATAAGAATGCTTGTGATTTTTGCACATTGATTTTGTATCCTGAGACTTTGCTGAAGTTGCCTATCAGCTTAAGGAGATTTTGGGCTGAGATGATGGGGTTTTCTACATATACAATCATGTCATCTGCAAACAGGGACAATTTGACTTCCTCTTTTCCTAATTGAATACCCTTTATTTCCTTCTCCTGCCTGATGGCCCTGGCCAGAACTTCCAACACTATGTTGAATAGGAGTGGTGAGAGAGGGCATCCCTGTCTTGTGCCAGTTTTCAAAGGGAATGCTTCCAGTTTTTGCCCATTCAGTATGATATTGGCTGTGGGTTTGTCATAGATAGCTCTTATTATTTTGAGATACGTCCCATCAATACCTAAATTATTGAGAGCTTTTAGCTTGAAGGGTTGTTGAATTTTGTCAAAGGCCTTTTCTGCACCTATTGAGATAATCATATGGTTTTTGTACTTGGTTCTGTTTATATGCTGGATTATGTTTATTGATTTACATATGTTGAACCAGCCTTGCATCCCAGGGATGAAGCCCACTTGATCATGGTGGATAAGCTTTTTGATGTGCTGCTGGATTCGGTTTGCCAGTATTTTATTTAGGATTTTTGCATCGATGTTCATCAGGGATATTGGTCTAAAATTCTCTTTGTTTGTTGTGTCTCTGCCCTGCTTTGGTATCAGGATGATGCTGGCCTCATAAAATGAGTTAGGGAGGATTCCCTCTTTTTCTATTGATTGGAATAGTTTCAGAACGAATGGTACCAGTTCCTCCTTGTTCCTCTGGTAGAATTCGGCTGTGAATCTATCTGGTCCTGTACTTTTTTTCGTTGGTAAGCTATTCATTATTGCCTCAATTTCAGAGCCTGTTACTGGTCTATTCAGAGATTCAACTTCTTCCTGGTTTAGTCTTTGGAGGGTGTATGTGTCAAGGAATTTATCCATTTCTTCCAGATTTTCTAGTTTATTTGCATGGAGGTGTTTATAGTATTCTCTGATGGTAGTTTGTATTTCTGTGGGATTGGTGGTGATATCCCTTTTATCACTCTTTATTGCGTCTATTTGATTCTTCTCTCTTTTCTTCTTTATTAGTCTTGCTAGTGGTCTATCAATTTTGTTAATCTTTTCAAAAAACCAGCTCCTGGATTCATTGATTATTTGAAGGGTTTTTTCTATCTTTATTTCCTTCAGTTCTGCTCTGATCTTAGTTATTTGTTGCTTCTGCTAGCTTTTGAATGTGTTTGCTCTTGCTTCTCTAGTTCTTTTAATTGTGATGTTAGGGTGTCAATTTTGGATCTTTCCTGCTTTCTCTTGTGGGCTCTTAGTGCTATAAATTTCCCTCTACACACTGCTTTGAATGTGTCCCAGAGATTCTGGTATGTTGTGTCTTTGTTCTCGTTGGTTTCAAAGAACATCTTTATTTCTGCCTTCATTTTGTTATGTACCCAGTAGTCATTCAAGAGCAGGTTGTTCAGTTTCCATGTAGTCGAGCGGTTTTGAGTGAGTTTCTTAATCCTGAGTTCTAGTTTGATTGTCCTGCGGTCTGAGAGACAGTTTGTTATTATTTCTGTTTTTTACATTTGCTGAGGAGAGCTTTACTTCCAACTATGTGGTCAATTTTGGAATAAGTGCGGTGTGGTGCTGAAAAAAATGTATATTCTGTTGCTTTGGGGTGGAGAGTTCTGTAGATGTCTATTAGGTCCCCTTAGTGTGGAGCTGAGTTCAAGTCCTGGATATTCTTATTAACTTTCTGTCTCTTTGATCTGTCTAATGTTGACAGTGGGGTGTTAAAGTCTCCCATTATTATTGTGTGGGAGTCTAAGTCTTTTTGTAGGTCACTAAGGACTTGCTTTATGAATCTGGGTGCTCCTGTATTGGGTGCATATATATTTAGGATAGTTAGCTCTTCTTGTTGAATTGATCCCTTTACCATTATGTAATGGTCTTCTTTGTCTCTTTTGATCTTTGTTGGTTTAAAGTCTGTTTTATCAGAGACTAGGATTGCAACACCTGCCTTTTTTTGTTTTCCATTTGCTTGGTAGATCTTCCTCCATCCCTTTATTTTGAGCCTATGTGTGTCTCTGCACATGAGATGGGTTTCCTGAATACAGTGCACTGATGGGTCTTGACTCTTTATCCAATTTGCCAGTCTGTGTCTTTTAATTGGAATATTTAGCCCGTTTACTTTTAAGGTTAATATTGTTATGTGTGAATTTGATCCTGTCATTATGATGTTAGTTGGTTATTTTGCTCGTTAGTTGATGCAGTTTCTTCCTAGCCTCGATGGTCTTTACAATTTGGCATGTTTTTGCAGTGGCTGGTACCAGTTTTTCCTTTCCGTGTTTAGTGCTTCCTTCAGGAGCTCTTTTAGGGCAGGCCTGGTGGTGACAAAATCTCTCAGCATTTGCTTGTCTGTAAAGTATTTTATTTCTCTTTCACTTATGAAGCTTAGTTTAGCTGGATATGAAATTCTGGGTTGATAATTCTTTTCTTTAAGAATGTTGAATATTGTTCCCCACTCTCTTCTGACTTGTAGAGTTTCCATGAAGGGATGTTGAATTTTATCAAAGGCCTTGCCTGCATCTATTGAGATAATCAGGTGGTTTTTGCCTTTGGTTCTGTTTATGTGATGGATTACATTTACTGATTTGCGTATGTTGAACCAGCTTCGCATCCCAGGTATGAAGCCAACTTGATCATGGTGGATACGTTTTTGATGTGCTGCTAGATTTGGTTTGTCAGTATTATATTGAAGATTTTCATATTGATGTTCATCAGGAATATTGGCATGAAGTTTTCTTTTTTTGGTGTGTCTTCTCCTGTTTTTGGTATCAGGATGATGCTGACTTCATAAAATAAGTTAGGATGGAGTCTCTCCATTTCAAATGTTTGTAATAGTTTCAGAAGGAATAGTTCCAGCTCTTCTTTTTATTTCTGGTAGAATTCAGTTGTGAATCTCTCTGGTCCTGGGCTTTTTTTGGTTGTGAGGCTATTAATTACTGCCTCAATTTCAGAACTTGTTATTTGTCTATTCAGTGATTAAACTTCTTCCTGGTTTAGTCTTGGTAGGTGTATGTGTCCAGGAATTTATCCATTTGTTGTAGATTTTCTAGTTATTTTTGTAGAGTGTTTACAGTATTCTCTGATGGTAGTTTGTATTTCTGTGGGGTCAGTGGTGATATCCCCTTTATCAATTTCTATTTTGTCTATTTGATTTTTCTCTCTTCTTCTTCTTTATTAGTCTATATAGCGGTCTATTTTTTTAATTTTTTCAAAAAAACAGCTCCTGGATTTATTGATTTTTGAAGGGTTTATGTGTCTCTATCTCCTTCAATTCTCTTCTGATATTAGTTATTTCTTGTCTTCCACTAGCTTTTGGATTAGTTTGCTCTTGCCTATCTAGCTCTTTTAATTGTGATGTTAGGGTGTCTATTTGAGATCTTTCTAGTTTCTGATGTGGCATTTAGTGTTATAAATTTCACTCTTAACACTGCTTTAACTGAGTCCCAGAGATTCCGGTACTTCATTTCTTTGTTTTCATTGGTTTCAAAGAGCTTCTTGGTTTCTGCCTTAATTTCATTATTTACCCAAGAGTCATTCAGGAGCAGGTTGTTCAATTTCCATGAAATTGTGTGGTTTTGAGTTAGTTTCTTAATCCTGAGTTCTAATTTGATTGCACTGTAGTTTGAGAGACTGTTTAGTCTGATTTCAGTTATTTTCCATTGGCTGAGTAGTGATTTATTTTCAGTTATGTGGCCAATTTTAGAATAAGTGTCATGTGGCACTGAGAAGAATGTATATTCTGTTTACTTGGGGTACAGATTTCTATAGACGTCTACTAGGTCCACTTGATCCAGAGCTGAGTTCAAGGACTGAATATCCTTGTTAATTGTCTGTCCCATTGTCCTGCCTAATACTGACATTGGGGATTACAAGCGTGAGCCACCACGCCTGGTGGTTGGAGGTGAATTTTCATAAGGAAACTACAACTCCCAGCAGTCTCCAAAGCTTGCTGCCATATTGGCACAGTCTCCACCCCCATTGACTGGGGATAGTTATATTTCCTTTGGGTTTCTTTAATAATAGAGCCCAGAGTACAGAACAAGGTAGCTGCAACTCCTCATAGTCCTTGGAGGTAAGGGAGTTGCTAACACGGCTTTGCCTCAAAGACAGCTGGGAATTGTAGTTCTTTGAAGCTCATGGTGGTTAAGGGAATGAAAACATTTCCAGGCCAGGTGTGGTGGCTCATGTCTGTAATCCCAGCACTTCGGGGAGGCCAAAGGAGCCTAAGTATCTTTGTAAGTCTCTAAGAACTTGTTTTCTGAAACTGGTTGCTCCTGTATTGGGTACGTATATATTTAGAATAGTTAGCTCTTCTTGTTGAATTGTTCCTTTTACCATTATGTAATGCCCTTCTTTGATTTTTGATCTTTGTTGGTTTTAAGACTGTTTGATCAGAGACTAGGATTGCAACCCCTGCTTTTTTTTACTTTCCATTTGCTTGGTAAATATTTCTCCATCCCTTTATTTTGAGATTAAGTGTGTCTTTGCACATAAGATGAGTCTTTTGAATACAGCACACTGATGGGTCTTAACTCCTTATCCAATTTTTCTGTCTGTGTTTTCTAATTTGGGCATTTAGCCCCTTTAAATTTAAGGTTAGTATTGTTGTGTGTGTGTTTGATCCTGTCATCATGATGCTATTTGGTTATTTTGCACACTAATTGATGCAGTTTCTTCATAGTGTCATTGGTCTTTATGTTTTGGTGTGTTTTTGCAGTGGCTGGTACTGGTTTTTCCATTCCATATTTAGTGCTTCTTTTAGGAGCTCTTGCCGGGCAGACCTGGTTGTAACAAAAATCTCTCAGCATTTGCTTGTCTGGAAAGGATTTTATTTCTCCGTTCCTTATGGTGCTTAGTTTGGCTGGATATGAAATTATGGATTGAAAATTCTTTTCTTTAAGAATGTTGAATATTGGCCCCCCTCTCTTGTGGCCTGTAGGGTTTCTGCTGAGAGATCTGCTGTTAGTCTGATGGGCTTCCTTTCTTTCTCTTGCCTGATTGCCCTGGCCAGAACTTCCAATACTCTGTTGAATAGGAGTGGTGAGAGAGGGCATCCTTGTCTTGTGCCCTCTTTTATATACCATGTATATAAAACCAGCAAAAAATAAAAATGTAATATTTCAAATTAGTATTGGACTGCTGATTTTTTTTCATATAAAATAATAGAAAACCATTTAGATGCATACCTACTTGCAGTCTGGGATATATAGGAATGAAATATGCCTAAAACATATTTTTCAGATTTTCAATTTGACAAAATATTTTCTACTCTTGGGTAGTCCCTTCTCTTTTCAATTTTAGGTTTCTCAATGTGGCAATATTTTTAGAAGAATACTAATTTATATAAAATTTAGATTTTTTTAAAAAAATTACCCATTCATCATAAATAGTTTTATGCCATGCATTTTAAAACTTATTGCACAATTTCAGCTGCTTGTGCCTGCCAAGATCATACCACAATCAGGCTTATTTTTAAGTTAGTGATATAGACTTCCATTATAATATACAACATGAAGCTGCTGATTCCCAAAATACTTAGAAATATAGTACTCCTCACCAACTTTTGAGTTGCTACTTTAATTGGAGCAAAAAAAATTACTTTGTGCCAGTTATGCTAATAAGTGACTATGAGAAATTAAATTACCAGCTTCATATTTTAAATATATTCTAGTGATGGCTTATCTTGCTTTTAGACTGGTGCCAGACATCTGCCCAGCTTGTTCATACCTTAATAAAGTACTACTCCCAGTGGCAGCTGGTGGGGAGTAGACAAATCTGTGTTGTGTGCACATACACATATACATAAATCCCCTTCCAAGATGTTCCCTTTATGTAATCCACCATCTGTGGGACATCACAGGTTTCAGCATTGCCTTTGATCCCCAGCTTCAAGCTTGTGCTCACATACATAAACTCATTTTCCACCAAATTCTACATTGAGATATATATATATCATTTGAAAAATGAGAATATACATAAAAAGAGACTTAGGTATTTTGATGTAACTTCACTCCATCCCATTAATGGCTTTATTTACCCTACATCTATACTCATGTTCAACAAGATTATAATTTGTGTGCATACATTTCTATGGGTGTTTGTGTTTTAGTTTTTTGTTTTGAAATAGTCATAGATTCACAAAGGCAGTACAGAAAGGCTCAGGATACACTTCACTCAGTTTCTCCTATGAAAGAAACTTCCATTTTGCAATTATAGTACAATATCAAGATAAGGAATTTGTCATTGGTACAAATTGTGTGTATAGGCTCATGTCATTTAATATGTGTAAATTGTATAGTCACCATTCAATCAAGGTGAAGAACCAGTTAATCACTAGCAAGATCTTCTTCAAATTGCTTTTTATAGTCACCCTCATTACCCTCCTCCCAACATCCTCAATGCATAGCAATTACTAATTTGTCTTTCAACTCTATAATTTTGTAATTTCAAGAATGTGATTAAGAATGAAATAATACCGTGTGCGATGTTTTTATATTAGTATTTTTCTTCTCAACATAATGCCCTTGAGTAGTTCTGTTTATCAATTGTTCATTTGTTTTTATTGCTGAGTAGTATTACATGAGATGGAAGTACTATAATTTGTTTAACCACTCACCTATGGAGGGATATTTTAGTTGTTTTCAGGTTTGAGATATATGCTACTATACACATTCATGTATAGCTTTTTTCTGTGGAATTAAGTTTCTATTTCTTTGGAATAATGGGCAGAAATGCAATTTCTGGATCACATGTTGAATATAGGTTTAGCTGTTTTTTGTTTGTTTGCTTGTTTGTTTGATTAAAGACGGGGTCTTTCTCTGTTGTTGAGGTTGGAGTGAAGTGACCTGCTCATAGCTCACTGCACCCTCAAACTCATGTGCTCAAGCAATCCTTCCACCTCAGCCTCTCAAGTAACTAGTACTGCAGGCATGTGTCACCATGCCTGGTTAATTATTTTGTTAAAGTTTTGTAGTGATGGTGTCGCACTATGTTG
The DNA here is from genome assembly GCF_000001405.40 of Homo sapiens. Classification (NCBI taxonomy): domain Eukaryota; kingdom Metazoa; phylum Chordata; class Mammalia; order Primates; family Hominidae; genus Homo; species Homo sapiens. The sequence goes on along the minus strand of NC_000012.12, from coordinate 84,015,941 downwards.
CCCAGGCTGATCTTGAACTCCTGGCCTCAAGTGATCCTCCTGACTCGGCCTCCCAAAGTGTTGGAATTATCGGTATGAGCCACTATACCTGGCCTAGTTTGTTTCTTTTTAAAGAAATTAACAGATTATTTTCGACAGTTGCTGTAACATTTTACATTCCAACCAGATTGTATGAGAGATCCAATTTTTCTCCGTCTTCACCAGCATTAGGTATTGAATGTTGTCACATTAAAAAAAATAGCTGTTCTCAAGTTTTTTTAAAAGGGCTCCAAAGAAAAAGAAAACAAGAAATATACTTAATTAAGGAGATAAAAAATCTCCACAAAGAGAAGTACAAAACACTGATAAAAGAAATCACACAAAAAAAGGAAAAAACATCCAATGCTCATGGATTAGAATAATCAATATTGTGAAAATGACCCTGTGCTCTAAAGCAATCAACAGATTCACAAGTGCTATAAATATACCAATGCCATTTTTAATGAATTAGAAAACAAAATCTTAAAATTTATATGGAATTTTAAAAAGTACCTGAAGAGCCAAAGCAATCCAAAGCAAAAAAAACAAACCTGGAGGCACCACATTTCCTGACTTCAAATGATACTACAGAGTTATAGAAACCAAAACAGCCTGGTACTGGTACAAAAGTAGACACATAGACCTGCGAAACATAACAGAGAACCCAGAAATAAAGCCAAATACTTACAAGCAACCAATTTTCAACAAAGCAGATGGAAACCTACGCTGGGGAAAGGAAACACTATTCAGTAAATGGTGCTGGGAAAATTGGATAGTCACAAATAGAAGAATGAAACGGGAGCATTATCTCTCACCATATACAAAAATTAACACAAGATAAATAAAAGACTTAAATCTAAGACTTGAAATTATAAAAATTTCAGAAGAAAACCTCTCCAGGACATTGGCCTAGACAAATAATTTATGACTAAGACCCTAAAAGCAAATGCAACTAAAACAAAGATAAATAAATGGGACCTAATTAAACTAAAAATTTTCTGCAGAGAAAGGCTGAAGAGAAGCCTCTAGTGGTTATAATACTTACAAGAACACCAAATAGAACAACTATCCAAACAAAAAACACCTTCATAAGAACCAAAATGCAGGTGAGCGAATACAGTACCAGGTTTTGTTTTTACTTTTGTTTTGTTTTGTTTTTCTTTTTTCTTTTTCTTTTCTTTTTTTTTTTTTTTTTGAGACAGAGTCTCATTCTGTCGCCAGGCTGGAGTACAGTGGCGCAATCTCGGCTCACTGCAACCTCCGCCTCCCGGGTTCAAGCAATTCTCCTGCTTCAGCCTCCCAAGTAGCTGGGACTACAGGGGCACGCCACCATGCCCAGATAATTTTTGTGTTTTTAATAGATATGGGGTTTCACCATGTTGGCCAGGATGGTCTCGATCTTTTGACCTCGTCATCTGCCCACCTTGGCCTCCCAAAGTGCTGGGATTACAGGCGTGAGTCACCACGCCTGGCCCACACTACCAGGTTTTAACATCATATTGAGGGAAGAGGCACTGAAGATGGTAGGAAAAGTATTCTTGAACCATGTACATTACTCATTTTCTATATCCCCTAGCAATGGCCCAGTAGCATGGAGAGAGAATCTGTGCACATGGGTGAGAAAGAGGACAGTGATTGGGGATTTTGCATTGTGCTGTCAAACACATCAGAAAGTGATTCAGGGAACAATTCAGCCAGTGCTCACAGAGGGAGCACTTAGACAAGCTCTAGCTAGAAGGGAATTGTTCATTGTCCATCCAGAGGTTGGAACCTGAGTTCTGGCAAGTCCTGCCACTCTAGGCTAACTTGTTCTGGGTTTCTAAATAAACTTGAAAAGTAGTCTGGGCCACAAAGATTGCAATTGCTGGGCGAGTCCTTTTGTTGTGCTGGGCTCGGAGCCAGTGGACTTGGGGTGCATATAAACTAGTGAGATACTAGGTGGAACAGCCAGGATTGCCTGCATCAACCTTTCCTCAATGCCAGGCAGCACAGCTCATGGCTCCTGGAGAGACCCCTTCCCTCTGAGTGAGGAGACAAGAGAAGAGAGTAAAGATAACTTTGACTTGAAATATGGACACCAGATTACCCACAGTAGAATAGGGCACCAGGCAGAGTTCGGAGGCCCCTATTCCAGGACCTAGCTCATGGACAATATTTCTAAATACACCCTGGGTCAGAAGAGAACCAGCTGCTTTGACCTATCACCTGCTGAATAAAGAGCCCTAGGGTCCCTGAATAATCAGTAGTGGTAACCAGGCAGTACTTGCCATAGGTCCTGGATGAGACTCAGAGCTATGCTGTCTTAAGGTGTGACCCAGCACATCACCAGCATGGTAGCTACAGGAAGAGACCAAATATGCTTGAAGAAATGAGAGAAAAGTATAAAGAGGATATTGTCTTGCAGCTTGGGCACTGGCTTGGCCAAAATTGGGTAGGGGATTTTAGCAGTTGCCAATTTAAGACCTTGGCTACTGGACAGCATTTCTGAACACACTCTGAGCCAGAAGGAAGCCCATTGCCCAGAAGGGAGCGACTCAAGCCTGGCAGCATTCACCAAAAGCTAACTAAAGGAACTTGGGCATTGAGTGGACATAAGCAGTAGCCAGGCGGTAGTTGTCATAGGTCTGAGCTGGTGGTGGCCATGGGGAGAGAATCTACTGCTTAAGAAAAGGGGAAGGGAAAGTGGAAAGAACTTTGTCATGTAGCATGGATGCCAGTTCAGCTGTAGTAGAATAAAGGACCAAGTAGATTCCAAGGGTTTCTGGCTCCAGGCCCTTGCTCCTGGATGGCATCTTTGAACCAGCCCAGGACCAGAGGAAACTCACTGCCCTGAAGGAAAGGATGAAAGACTGGCTGAATATGTCACCTGCTGATTGTAGAGCCCTTGAGCCTTGAGTGAACATCAGCAGTAGCCAGGCAGTTGTCATCGTGAGCCTTTAGGGAGACCCAGTGCTGTGCTGAAAACAGGACTGACCAAGTACAGTTCCAGTAGTATTGTCTACAAAGATGCAATTCTCTAGCTGCATGAAGCTCAGTGCAGAGAGAGAGACACTCCATTGATTTGAGAGAAAATTAGGGAAGACAAGAAAAGTCTCTGCCTAGTAATCCAAGCAACTTTCCAATATCTTATTCCAGACCAGCAAGGTAGTTCCTCTACAAGCCTGGAGGATCCACAGCATAACTGGTTTTGCAGTGCCTCCTAAAACAGAAATGGCTGCAGTGACCAAAGACTTAGATCACAACACCCAAATCCCTGTGAATACATGGAAAAGCCTACCCAAGAAGGACAGATACAAACAAATGCAAACTGTGAGTACTACAAAAATACCTAAATCTTCGATGTTCAGACATTGATAAAAATTCACAGGCATCAATGCTATCCAGAAAACATGACCTCAGCAAACGAAATAAATAAGTCACCAGTGACCAGTCTAGGAGAGACAGAGATGTGACTTTTCAGACACAGAATTAAAAATAACTGTTTCTAGGAAACTTTATAAAATTGAAGATAGCACAGAGAAGAAATTTAGTATTCTATCAGATAAATTTAACAGACATTGAAATAATTAAAAACAAGAAGAAATTCTGGAGCTAAAAAATGCAACTGACATACTGACAATTCTGTTAGAGTTGCTAAACAGTAGAATTGGTAGAGCAGAAGAAAGAATTAGCAAGCTTAAAGACAGATATTTGAAAATATACAATCGGGGGCCTGGCACGGTGGCTCATGCCTGTAATCCCAGCACTTTGGGAGGCCAAGGTGGGCGGATCACAAGGTCAGGAGTTTGAGACCATCCTGGCCAACATGACGAAACCCCATCTCTACTAAAAATACAAAAAATTAGTTGTGTATGGTGGTGGGCACCTGTAATCCCAGCTACTTGGGAGGCTAAGGCAGGAGAATGGCGTGAACCCAGGAGGCAGAGGTTGCAGTGAGGCGAGATCGTGCCACTCTACTCCACTCCAGCCTGGGCAATAAGAGCAGAACTCCGAGAGGGAGGAGCCAAGATGGCCAAATAGGAACAGCTCTGGTCTACAGCTCCCAGCATGAGCGACACAGAAGACGGGTGATTTCTGCATTTCCATCTGAGGTACGGGGTTCATCTCACTAGGGAGTTCCAGACAGTGGGCACAGGTCAGTGAGTGCACGCACCGTGAGCGAGCCGAAGCAGGGCGAGGCATTGCCTCACTCGGGAAGCGCAAGGGGTCAGGGAGTTCCCTTTCCTAGTCTAAGAAAGGAGTGACAGACGGCACCTGGAAAATCGGGTCACTCCCACCCGAATACTGCGCTTTTCCGACAGGCTTAAAAAACGGCGCACCAGGGGATTATATCCTGCACCTGTATCGGAGGGTCCTACACCCACGGAGTATCACTGTTTGCTAGCACAGCAGTCTGAAATCAAACTGCAAGGTGGCAGCCAGGCTAGGGGAGGGCACCTGCCATTGCCCAGGCTTGCTTAGGTAAACAAAGCAGCCAGCCAGGAAGCTCGAACTGGGTGGAGCCCACCACAGCTCAAGGAGGCCTGCCTGCTTCTGTAGGCTCCACCTCTGGGGGCAGGGCACAGACAAACAAAAAGCAGTAACTTCTGCAGACTTAAATGTCCCTGATAGCTTTGAAGAGAGCAGTGGTTCTCCCAGCATGCAGCTGGAGATCTGAGAACGGGCAGACTGCCTCCTCAGGTGGGTCCCTGATCCCTGACCCCCGAGCACCCTAACTAGGAGGCATCCCCCAGCAGGGGCAGACTGACACCTCACACGGCCAGGTACTCCAACAGACCTGCAGCTGAGGGTCCTGTCTGTTGGAAGGAAAACTAACACACAGAAAGGACATCCACACCAAAAACCCATCTGTGCATCACCATCATCAAAGACCAAAAGTAGATAAAAACCACAAAGATGGGGAAAAAACAGAGCAGAAAAACTGGAAACTCTAAAAAGCAGAGCACCTCTCCTCCTCCAAAGGAACGCAGTTCCTCACTAACAATGGAATGAAGCTGGATGGAGAATGACTTTGATGAGCTGAGAGAAGAAGGCTTCAGGCGATCAAATTACTCTGAGCTACGGGAGGACATTCAAACCAAAGGCAAAGAAGTTGAAAACTTTGAAAAAAATTTAGAAGAATGTATAACTAGAATAACCAATACAGAGAAGTGCTTAAAGGAGCTGATGGAGCTGAAAACCAAGGCTCGAGAACTACGTGAAGAATGCAGAAGCCTCAGGAGCCGATGCGATCAACTGGAAGAAAGGGTATCAGCGATGGAAGATGAAATGAATGAAATTAAGCGAGAAGGGAAGTTTAGAGAAAAAAGAATAAAAAGAAACGAGCAAAGCCTCCAATAAATATGGGACTATGTGAAAAGACCAAATCTACATCTGATTGGTGTACCTGAAAGTGATGGGGAGAATGGAACCAAGTTGGAAATCACTCTGCAGGATATTATCCAGGAGAACTTCCCCAATCTAGCAAGGCAGGCCAACATTCAGATTCAGGAAATACAGAGAATGCTGCAAAGATACTCCTCGAGAAGAGCAACTCCAAGACACATAATTGTCAGATTCACCAAAGTTGAAATGAAGGAAAAAATGTTAAGGGCAGCCAGAGAGAAAGGTCAGGTTACCCTCAAAGGAAAGCCCATCAGACTAATGGCGGATCTCTCGGCAGAAACCCTACAAGCCAGAAGAGAGTGGGAGCCAATATTCAACATTCTTAAAGAAAAGAATTTTCAACCCAGAATTTCATATCCAGCCAAACTAAGCTTCATAAGTGAAGGAGAAATAAAATACTTTACAGACAAGCAAATGCTGAGAGATTTTGTCACCACCAGGCCTGCCCTAAAAGAGCTCCTGAAGGAAGCGCTAAACATGGAAACGAACAACCGGTACCAGCCACTGCATAATCATGCCAAAATGTAAAGACCATTGAGACTAGGAAGAAACTGCATCACTAAGAGCAAAAGAACCAGCTAACATCATCAAAATGACAGGATCAAATTCACACATAACAATATTAACTTTAAATGTAAATGGACAAATGGACTAAATGCTCCAATTAAAAGACACAGACTGGAAAATTGGATAGAGTCAAGACCCATCAGTGTGCTGTATTCAGGAAACCCATCTCACATGCAGAGACACACATAGGCTCAAAATAAAAGGACGGAGGAAGATCTACCAAGCAAATGGAAAACAAAAAAAGGTAGGGGTTGCAATCCTAGTCTCTGATAAAACAGACTTTAAACCAACAAAGATCAAAAGAGACAAAGAAGGCCATTACATAATGGTAAAGGGATCAATTCAACAAGAAGAGCTAACTATCCTAAATATATATGCACCCAATACAGGAGCACCCAGATTCATAAAGCAAGTACTGAGTGACCTACAAAGAGACTTAGACTCCCACACATTAATAATGGGAGACTTTAACACCCCACTGTCAACATTAGACAGATCAATGAGACAGAAAGTCAATAAGGATATCCAGGAATTGAACTCAGCTCTGCACCAAGTGGACCTAATAGACATCTACAGAACTCTCCACCCCAAATCAACAGAATATACATTTTTTTCAGCACCACACCACACCTATTCCAAAATTGACCACATACTTGGCAGTAAAGCTCTCCTCAGCAAATGTAAAAGAACAGAAATCATAACAAACTATCTCTCAGACCACAGTGCAATCAAACTAGAACTCAGGATTAAGAATCTCACTCAAAACCGCTCAACTACATGGAAACTGAACAGCCAGCTTCTGAATGACTACTGGGTACATAACGAAATGAACGCAGAAATAAAGATTTTCTTTGAAACCAACGAGAACAAAGACACAACATACCAGAATCTCTGGGATGCATTCAAAGCAGTGTGTAGAGGGAAATTTATAGCACTAAATGCCCACAAGAGAAAGCAGGAAAGATCCAAAATTGACACCCTAACATCACAATTAAAAGAACTAGAGAAGCAAGAGCAAACACATTCAAAAGCTAGCAGAAGGCAAGAAATAACTAAAATCAGAGCAGAACTGAATGAAATAGAGACACAAAAAGCCCTTCAAAAAATTAATGTATCCAGGAGCTGGTTTTTTGAAAGGATCAACAAAATTGATAAACTGCTAGCAAGACTAATAAAGAAAAAAAGAGTGAAGAATCAAATAGACGCAATAAAAAATGATAAAGGGGATATCACCACCAATCCCACAGAAATACAAACTACCATCAGAGAATACTACAAACACCTCTACGCAAATAAACTAGAAAATCTAGAAGAAATGGATAAATTCCTCGACACATACACTCTCCCAAGACTAAACCAGGAAGAAGAATCTCTGAATAGACCAATAACAGGATCTGAAATTGTGGCAATAATCAATAGCTTACCAACCAAAAAGAGTCCAGGACCAGATGGATTCACAGCCGAATTCTACCAGAGGTACAAGGAGGAACTGGTAGCATTCCTTCTGAAACTATTCCAATCAATAGAAAAAGAGGGAATCCTACCTAACTCATTTTATGAAGCCAGCATCATCCTGATACCAAAGCAGGGCAGAGACACAACGAAAAAAGAGAATTTTAGACCAATATCCCTGATGAACATCGATGCAAAAATCCTAAATAAAATACTGGCAAACCGAATCCAGCAGCACATCAAAAAGCTTATCCACCATGATCAAGTGGGCTTCATCCCTGGGATTCAAGGCTGGTTCAATATATGCAAATCGATAAATGTAATCCAGCATATAAACAGAACCAAAGACAAAAACCACATGATTATCTCAATAGATGCAGAAAAGGCCTTTGACAAAATTTAACAACCCTTCATGCTAAAAACTCTCAATAAATTAGGTATTGATGGGAAGTATTTCAAAATAATAAGAGCTATCTATGACAAACCCACAGCCAATATCATACTGAATGGGCAAAAACTGGAAGCATTCCCTTTGAAAACTGGCATAAGACAGGGATGCCCTCTTTCACCACTCCTATTCAACATAGTGTTGGAAGTTCTGGCCAGGGCAATCAGGCAGGAGAAGGAAATAAAGGGTATTCAATTAGGAAAAGAGGAAGTCAAATTGTCCCTGTTTGCAGACGACATGATTGTATATCTAGACAACCCCATCGTCTCAGCCCAAAATCTCCTTAAGCTGAGAAGCAACTTAGCAAAGTCTCAGGATACAAAATCAATGTGCAAAAATCACAAGCATTCTTATACACCAATAACAGACAAACAGAGAGCCAAATCATGAGTGAACTCCCATTCACAATTGCTTCAAAGAGAATAAAATACCTAGGAATCCAACTTACAAGGGATGTGAAGGACCTCTTCAAGGAGAACTACAAACCACTACTCAAGGAAATAAAAGAGGACACAAACAAATGGAAGAACATTCCATGCTCATGGGTAGGAAGAATCAATATCATGAAAATGTCCATACTGCCCAAGGTAATTTACAGATTCAATGCCATCCCCATCAAGCTACCAGTGACTTTCTTCACAGAATTGGAAAAAACTACTTTAAAGTTCATGTGGAACCAAAAAAGAGCCCGCATCGCCAAGTCAATCCTAATCCAAAAGAACAAAGCTGGAGGCATCACACTACCTGACTTCAAACTATACTACAAGGCTACAGTAAACAAAACAGCATGGTACTGGTACCAAAACAGAGATACAGAACAATGGAACAGAACAGAGCCCTCAGAAATAACGCCACATATCTACAACTATCTGATCTTTGACAAACCTGAGAAAAGCAAGCAATGGGGAAAGGATTCCCTACTTAATAAATGGTGCTGGGAAAACTGGGTAGCCATATGTAGAAATCTGAAACTGGATCCCTTCCTTACACCTTATACAAAAATCAATTCAAGATGGATTAAAGACTTAAATGTTAGACCTAAAACCATAAAAACCCTAGAAGAAAACCTAGGCATTACCATTCAGGACATAGGCATGGGCAAGGACTTCATGTCTAAAACACCAAAAGCAATGGCAGCAAAAGCCAAAATTGACAAATGGGATCTAATTAAACTAAAGAGCTTCTGCATAGCAAAAAAACTACCATCAGAGTGAACAGGCAACCTACAGAATGGGAGAAAATTTTCACAACCTACTCATCTGACAAAGGGCTAATATCCAGAATCTACAATGAACTCAAACAAATTTACAAGAAAAAAACAAACAACCCCATCAAAAAGTGGGCGAAGGACATGAACAGACACTTCTCAAAAGAAGACATTTATGCAGCCAAAAAACACATGAGAAAATGCTCACCATCACTGGCCATCAGAGAAATGCAAATCAAAACCACAATGAGATACCATCTCACACCAGTTAGAATGGCAATCATTAAAAAGTCAGGAAACAACAGGTGCTGGAGAGGATGTGGAGAAATAGGAACACTTTTACACTGTTGGTGGGACTGTAAACTAGTTCAACCATTGTGGAAGTCAGTGTGGCAATTCCTCAGGGATCTAGAACTAGAAATAGCATTTGACCCAGCCATCCCATTACTGGGTATATACCCAAAGGACTATAAATCATGCTGCTATAAAGACACATGCACACGTATGTTTATTGCGGCATTATTCACAATAGCAAAGACTTGGAACTAACACAAATGTCCAACAATGATAGACTGGATTAAGAAAATGTGGCACATATACACCATGGAATACTATGCAGCCATAAAAAATGATGAGTTCATGTCCTTTGTAGGGACATGGATGAAATTGGAAATCATCATTCTCAGTAAACTATCTCAAGAACAAAAAACCAAACACTGCACATTTTCATTCATAGGTGGGAATTGAACAATGAGAACACATGGACACAGGAAGGGGAACATCACACTCTGGGGACTGTTGTGGGGTGGGGGGAGGGGGGAGGGATAGCATTGGGAGATATACCTAATGCTAGATGACGAGTTGGTGGTTGCGGTGCACCAGCGTGGCACATGTGTACATATGTATCTAACCTGCACATTTTGTACATGTACCCTAAAACTTAAAGTATAATAATAATAATAATAAATAAATAAATACATAAAGAGCAGAACTCCATCTCAAAAAAAAAAAAAAGAAACAAAGAAAAAATATACAATCAGGGGTTTAATAAAAAAAGGAAAAAATAAGAAAATTGTCCAATGATCTATTGCCTACTAGAAAAACACTTCACCTATAAAAACACCGTAGACCAAAAATAAATGAATGGGAAAAAATATTCCATGCAAATAGAAACCAAAAAAATAAAGAATAGTCATAATCATATCAGACAAAATAGATTTTAAGACAATAAGAATAAAATATGAGGTAACTCTATAATAATAAAGGGGTCAATTTAGCATGAGCATATAACAATTGTAAATATATATGCACCCATCACTGGAGCACCCAGTTATCTCAAGCAAATATTAATGAAGTTAAAGAGAGCTACTTCCCAATACAATAATAACTGAAGACTACAGCACCCCACTTTCAACATTGGATAGGTGATCCAGACAGAAAATTAACACAGAAACTTAATCTGCGCTGAGACCAAATGAACCCAATAGATATTTTTAGAACATATCACTCAATGGCTGCAGAATACACATTCTTCACCTTAGCACATAAATCATTCTCAAAGACAGACCATGTATTAGGCCACAAGATAAGTCTTAAAAATTTCAAAGAATTAAAATTATATCAGATATCTTATCTGACCACAATGGAATAAAATTAGACATCAATAACAAGAGGAATTTTGGAAACTACAGAAACACATAGAAATTTAAAAATATGCTCCTGAATAATCAGTAAGTCAGTAAAAAAACAGGAACATTGAAAGTCTTTATGAAAGTGGAAACACTATGTATTAGTCTGTTCTCACACTGCTATAAAGAACTACCTGAGACTGGGTAATTAATGAAGAAAAGAGGTTTAATTAACTCACAGTTCCACAGGCTTAACAGGAAGCATGACTAGGAGGCCTCAGGAAACATACAATCATGGTGAAAGATGAAGAGGAAGCCAGCACGTCTTACCATGGTGGAGCAGGAGAGAGAGAGAGCAAAGTGGGAAGTGCCACACACCTTCAAACACCTAAATCTCCTGAGAACTCACCAGCACAAGAACAGCAAGGGTGATGTTCATCCCCATGATTCAATCACCTTCCACCAGGCCCCTCCCATGACATGTAGAGATTACAATTCAAGATGGGCTTAAGATGAGGACATGGAGCCAAACCATATCACACAACATATGAAAAAATATGGCATAAAACAAAAGCAGTAATAAAAAGAATGTTAATAGCAATAAGCACTACATCAAAAAAGTGGAAAAACTTAAAGAACCTAATGATGCATCTTAAAGAACTAGTAAAGGAAGAGCAAATATAATCCCAAGTTAGTAGGAGAAAATAAATAATAAATATCAGTGCCAAAATAAATGAAATTAAAATGAAAAATACAAAACATCAATGAAACACTAGTTGTTTTGAAAAGACAAACAAAATTAACAAACCTTTAGCCAAACTAAGAAAAAAAAGAGAAGATCCAAATAAATAAAATCACAGATGAAAAACCAGACATTACAACCAATACTGTAGAAATTCAATGGATTGTTAGAGACTAATATGAGCAACTGTATGCCAGTAAATCAGAAAACACAGAAGAAATGGATAAATTTATAGACACATACAACCTAGAAAGATTTAGCCATGAAGAAATCTAAAACCTGAACAGAGCTGTTACAACTAATGAGATCAAAGAAATAACAAAATTCTCCCAGTAATGAAAACCCAAGGGCCAGATGGCTTCACTGCTGAATTTTACCAAATATTTAAAGAACTAATACCAATCCTACTCAAACATTTCCAAAAATAAGAGGAGAAACTACCTCTAAACTCATTCTGTAAGGCAAGTATTACCCTGATACCGAACTAGAAAAATAAATCAAAAAATAAAAAAGAAGACAAAAGAAAACTACAGGCCAATATATCTGTTTAATATTGATGCAAAAGCTTCAATAAAATACTAGAAAAAGCAAAATCATTTAAAAGGATTCTTCATCATGACCAAGAGGGATTTACCCCAGGGATTGAAGGATGGTTCAACATACACAAATTAATCAACATGATACATCACAGCAACAAAATGAAGGGCAAATACATATGATCATTTTAATCAATGCTGAAAAGACATTTGATAAAATTCAACACCATTTATGATAAAAATTCTCAAGAACCTGGGAATAGAAGGAAATTCTTTAAAACAATAAAATCCACATCTAACAGACCCATAGATAGTATCATAATAAATGGGAAATATCTGAAAGTATTTCCTCTAAGATCTGGAACAACAAAAGGATGTCCACTTTCACCACTGTTATTCAACAAAGTACTCAAAGTCCTAGCTAGATCAATCTGACAAGAAAGAGAAATAAAGTGTCTCCAAGTTAGAAAGGAAGAAGTCAAGTTATTCTTGTTTGCAGATGATAAAATCTCATATTTGGAAAAATCTTAAGACACCACAAAAAAAACTATTAGAATTGATAAATGAATTAAGTAAATTTGCAGGATACAAAATTAACACACAAAAGTCAGTAACATTTCAATATGCCAATACTGAACAATCTGAAAAAGAAATCAAAGAAGTAATCCTATTTATAATAGCTACAAATAAAATAAAATACCTAGGGACAAACTTAACCAAAGAAGTAAAAGATCTCAACAATGAAAACTATAAAACACTGATGCAAGAAATTAAAGAGGACACAAAAATTTGAAAGATATTCCATGTTCATTGATTGAAAGAATCCAATAATGTTAAAATGTCTATAGTATCAAAAGCAATCTACAGATTCAGTGAAATCTCTAGCAAAATACCAATGACATTCTTCCAAGAAATAGAAAAAAGTAATATTAAAATTTACATGAAAACACAGAAGGCCCAGAACAGTCAAAAGAAAACTGGAGGAATCACATTACCCAACTTCAAATTATACTATAGAGTTATAGTTACAAAAATAGCATGGTACTGGCACAAAAACAGTCACATAGATCAATGGAACAGAATAGAGAACCCAGAAACCAATCCATACATCTACAGTGAATTCATTTTCAACAAAGCTGCCAGAAACATATATTGGAAAAAGGACTGTCTCTTCAATAAATAGTGCTGGGAAAATTGGACTTATCCATATGCAAAAGAATAAAATTAGACCCCTATCTCTCACCATATACAAAAACTAAATCAAACTGGATTTAATATTTAAATCTAAGACCTCAAACTGTGAAACTGGTATGGAAAACTTTGGGGAAACTCCAGGACACTGGAATGGCAAAGATGTTTCGAATAATACCCCACAAGTGCAAGCAACCAAAGCAAAAATAAACAATCCTTTCTTCACAGAGAAGGAAACAACCAAAAAAGTGAAGAGAAAACCCATATAATGGGAGAAAATATTTGCAAACAATTCATCTTACAAGGGATTAATGAACAGAATACATAAAGAGCTCAAGCAACTCAATAGGGAAAAAAAATCTAATAGTCTGATTGAAAATGGGCAAAAGATCTGAATAGACATTTCTCCTAAAAAAGACAAACAAATGGCACACAAGTATATGAAAAGGTGCTTAACATCAATGATCATCAGATAAATGCTAATCAAAACTACAATGAAATATAATTTTACCCCAGTTAAAATGGCTTTCATCTGAAAGACAGCCAATAGCAAATGCTGGCAATGATGTAGAGAAAGGGGAATGTATATTAGTACAACCACTATGGAGAACAGTTTAGAAGTTCCTCAAAAAAGTAAAAATAGAACTACCATATTATTCCACAATCTCACTGTTAGGTATACACCCCAAAGAAAGAATATCTGTATATCAAACAGATAGCTGCACTCTAATTTCACAATAACCAACATTTGAAAGCAAGCTAAGTGTCCATCAACAGATGAATGGATAAAGAGATTTTAGCACATATACACAATTGATTACTATTCAGCTATAAAAAATGAGTTTGTGTCATTTGCACTAACCTGGATGGAACTGGGATCCAATTATATTAAATGAAATAATCCACACACAGAAAGACAAACCACACATTATCACTTATTTGTGGGAGCTAAAAAAAATTAAAACAATTTAACTCATGAAATAAACAGTGGAATCATGGTTACCAAAGTCTGAGAAGGGTAGTGGGAAGTGGAAATGATGATGATTAGTGGGCACAAAAATATATTTAAATAGAATGAATAATATCTAGTATTTGATAGGACAACAGGGTAACTATGGCGAACAATAATTTATTTTACTTTGTTAAATAATTACAAAAGTATAATTGGATTGTTTGTCACATAAAGAAAAGATAAGTGGTTGAGGTGATGGGTACTTCATTTACCCTGGTGTGATTATTACACGCTATACACCGGTATCAAAATATCTCATGTAACTCATAAATATATACACACACTATGTACCCACAATTTTTTTTAAGGAAAAAGCTTCTCCACATCAAAAGAAATAAGTAACAGAGTAAATAAACGACCTACAGAATAAGAGAAAATAGTTGTGACTTATACATCAACAAAAGGATAACAGCTAGAATCTACAAGGAACTCAACAAATCATCAAGAAAAAAACAAATAATCCCATTAAAACGTGGGCAAAGTACATGAACAGAAATTTCTAAAAAGAGGATATACAAGTGGCCAACAAGCACATGAAGAAATGCAAAATCTCAGTAATCATTAGGAAAATGCAAATTAAAACTACAATGAAATACCACCTTACTCCAGCCTGAATGGCCATTATTTAAAAGTCAAACGATATATGCTGGAATGGATATGGTGAAAGAGAACGCTTATACACGGTTGGTGGGAATGTAAATTAGTACAACCTCTATGAAAAACAGAATGGAGATTCCTCAAAGAACTAAAAGTAGATCTACCATTCAATCCAGGAATCCCACTACCGGATATCTAGCCCAAAGCAAAATAAGTTGTTATAGCAAAATGAAACCTTCATATATATGTTTATTGAAGCACAATTCACAATTGAAAAAATACGGTATCAACGTAAGTGTCCATCAACTAATGAGTGGATAAAGAAAATGTAGCACATATACCATGGAATACTATTGAGCCATAAAGAGGAATGAAAGAATGTCTTTTGCAGCAACTTTAATGGAACTGGAGACCATTATCCTAAGTGAAGTAACTCAGGAAGGAAAAACCAATTACCGCATGCTCCCACTTATAAGTGGAATCTAAGCTATGGGTATGCAAAGGCAGTGTAATGAACACTACAAACTCAGAAGCCGGTAAGGTGGGAGGGTGAGGGATAAAACATTACCTATTTGGTATAGTGCACAATATTCAGGTGATGTGTACAGTAGAAGTCCAGATTTCACCACTATACAATTCATCCATATAACCAGAAATTATTTGTATCCCTAAAGCTATTGAAGTATTTTTAAAGACACATAGACATTTTAAAACTTTAAGCCCACTGAATTTAGGCATTACCATGAAACTTATGATGATGATTCACTAACTAAATTTAAAATATAGCTGTACTCTTTTTTTTTTTTGACAGAGTCTCACTCTGTCACCTAGGCTGGAGTACAGTGGCGCGATCTCTGCTCACTGCAACCTCCGCCTCCCAGGTTCACGCCATCCTCCTGCCTCAGCCTCTGGCGTAGCTGGGACTACAGGTGCCCGCCACCATGCCTGGCTAATTTTTTGTATCTTTAGTAGAGACAGGGTTTCACCGTATTAGCCAGAATGGTCTCGATCTCTTGACCTCGTGATCTGCCTGCGCTGGTCTCCCAAAGTGCTGGGATTACAGGCGTGAGCCACCGCGCCCAGTCAGCTGTACTCTTTTAATGACTAAATAAATCATATGCCATTTTGTAAAAAAAAAAAAAAAAAAATAGCAGTTTCATTAAGTATATAGTAATAGCTCATCACCGTTGAGAAAGTATTAATTTGTAAACGAGGAATGCCAAAATATAGATTTGCCTTTCCTTTGTTCTTGTATTTAACTAATCACAACAAAATTTTTTAATAAGTTATAACCCTGGAGATGGTTTTTGGAAAAAAAAATGGCAGGAAACCATCATTATTTTTATTCTAAAATTTCAAATATTCTCTTTTACAAACAAGAATTTTATTAAAAATGTATTAACACCTACCAACTAGGAAAGTGTATTAATTATGGACAATGTTGAACAAAGGTATCATTGAATGAATGGATTTTTGACATTATGAAATGAACATAAATACCTGTCCAGTACCAAAATGCAGGCTTTTCATCATGCTGATAGTTTAAAGTACAGTGTAAGCCTCTATTTCATCTATGTCATGTCTTCCTACTACTATTCATCATTTTCCAATGTTCAATTATTTTCTTCAGGATGGCAACTTACTACTGTAATATTAAATTTATCAGAAGCAGCAAATCTAAGTCACCTCATCCATCACTTTGTCTCCTGATTAGATTACATCGGAAAAAAAATCTTATTTATGAACACCTGCAGAAGAAGAAATTTTACAACTTTACTTGATAACAATTTAAATATTTAAATTTATTTGCTGTAGAAAGATGTCTTCCTTTGAATCTCTTCAAATGCTAAATGTTTAAAAGAGAGCCAGCTTTATCTTGTTCTCTGTTCAGCTTAAAATATCTGGCTCAAAGTTTTCATGTGCAGGTCGTTAGTTTATTCTCAGATTCTCCTGCTGAGTCATGAGAAGTTATTTGTAAATGAACCCTAATACAGTAACAAAATAAAAACACTTACTATAATTTTATCATTGACTTTTAAATTTTTATTAACAGACTTGGTTTTAGAACAGTTTTAGATGTATAGAAAAATTGAGCAGTTACTATTAATACAAAATTTCTCATATACCGCTCACAGCCAGGTTTTCCTACTATAAAACCTGGCTTATATTTCTTACATTAGTATGCTACATTTGTTACAATTAATAACCCAACTTTGATTCACTATTATTAAACTGAAGTCTATATTTCATTCAGATTTCCTTAGCTTTTACTTAATGCCATCTTTCTGTTCTAGGATTTCACCCAGGATAACACATTATATTTATTTGTCTTATTAGGCTCCTCTTGACAGTGAGTTTCTCAGTTTTCTTGGTTTTGATGAACTTAGTTTTCAGAAGTACGAATCTTGTATGTTGTAGGAGCCTCTGTGTTGAAATTTGCCTGATGTTTATCTCATTATTAGACGGGAGTGCTTTGGGAAGGAGAATCACAGGTTTGGATCCCAGTTCTGAAAGACACAATCCTGAATGCCGTAATCCCAAATGATCAAAATCCCTGAAGTCTAAATCCTTAATGTCTGAAACTCCTTAATGTCCAAAATCCCTAAAATCACAATCACAGGATAGTTGTATCATATCAGGCAGAATTATCACTGTGTTTTTGTCTTCCTTTGGAAATTAAGTATGGTTTAAGGAGAAGCATATGGGTGCCAAGCTGACAATGGGTGGACCTGTGGATTTAATTTTAGGCATCAACTTGGCTGGATTAAAGAATACCCAGAAATCTGGTAAATCATTATTCTGGGTGTGTCTGTGAGGTGTTTCCAGAAGAAATTCGTGTGTAAATCTGGTGTATTAGGTGGAGGAGTTTTGCGCTCCACGTTGGTGGGCATCATCCAATTTAATCAGCTGGGGACCCAGAGAGAACAAATACAGAAGGCTCTCCCTCTGTGATCTGGAAAAGACCTTTCTTCTGCTGCCTTGGACATCAGAACTGCAGGCTTGCTGGCCTTTGGACTTCAGGACTTACACCAGTAGCCTCCTGGATTTTGAAGCTTCTTGCCTGAGCCACTCTACTGGTATCCCAGGGAAGCCAGTTTACAGATAGTCTATCACGTAACTTCTCAGCCACCAGAATTATGTGAACCAATCCCCTTACTAAATCCATATATATACAGATATAGTTAGATATATATGTCTATATATATGTTTATTATCTATATCCATATATGTCTATTATACATATGTCTATATATGTGTATATATATGTGTGTGTGTATATATATGTCTATTAGTTCTATCTCTCTGTAGAACCTTCACTAAAACCTTTTTTTGTATTGGAAATTTGGTATTGGAAAACCTAAATATCATTCCTTCTTATTGTATTTCTTGCAACACAATGGAAGAAATCTGTGAAATTTTTCCCTCAGAAAGTCTAAGTTAAGTACAGGGTTACTTAATGGAGAAATATAAAGTTTAAAAGATAATTCTTATTGGAGCTGTAAAAATTAAAAAAATGCTTTAATGTGCTTACTAAGCAATAACTAAACTTTCAAATGGACAGCATATACTTACACAATTTGTAGACCACAGCCACTCTTCAAATAAAAGCAGTGTGTTTTGAAGATCATAGAAATGAAAATACAGGCAAAAGAATACAAATCTCCTCTGTCAACTTGCTCAACCATGTACAGCTTCTGACCCTTCACACATAGTGTGTCATGGTTGCTTTCAAAAAATTCCCTTTCTCAGGAAATAAAAATAATTTGACAAGCTCAGATACCTTCTGAGTCAGACAGATGCTAATATTGAGGTGCCTCCAGTGTTACAAAATACATTAAATGGTGAACTATTCTTGATTAGGGATTTCATTGTCAAAGAAGATAGGTTTATTGTTTTTACCACTAAATCTAACATAGAAAAACAAATGTATGCTTCACTTTGGCTAACAGATACCACTTTCAAAACTGCCCTCCATGTTTTTTATCACCTTTGTACAATTCATACCTCTGCTGGATCTGAAAATTCTAGAACTCTGATAATTTCTATATTAATGACTGGAAAATGTGAAGCACTTTGCAAAGGCTTATTTAAAGATTTAATGAACTTTAAGGAAGGAAATGATGAACACAAGGAAATGAATTTCAACTGAATCTGCAAATCATATGACAAATATCGATTTTGGTACAATCAAGGCTTCTAAAAGTGAATTTCAAGATATGACCAGTAAAATTTGTTTTGTTAATTTGGCCCAATGCATTTGGCAGAAAACTTAGATGAGTCATGGCCATGCCATAGGGCAGCAATGAGTACTTCACTTGAAAATTTTGTTATTTGTCTGCATTGGTATTCTTTCCAGCTGTTGACATTTCAGGAGCTTTAATGAATTTAAGCCACATTTGCCTAAAGAAGTTAATGACATTACTGACTAGTTTGAAAATAACTATGTGCATGGTAGGGAAAGAAGACACTTATACAACAATCTTGCCTTTCGATCACCAGTATTGTTTCTGCCAAATTTGTGGTTTTGTATATGAGTACATGCAGAATGGATTTCCATGCACCGGAATCAACATAGAAGCATGGCACAGAAAATGGGAAAATTTAATATAGAACATTCATGTCAGGCATATATCAGATCATAGAAGAATTTCAGAAAAAGCACCACAATGTAGAAAATCATTGTGAACCTATTTTCCAAAGATAGCCACATCCTGAAAGAAAAGAAAAGAACAGCTATTCATCATGAAATGAGACTTCAAAATATAATGATCATAAATTCATAAATGTTGGGCAGATTTTATGAACTATCTCTGTGCAATCGCCCATAAATATATCCCTATGATACATTTATTCATATGTCAAATTTTCTTTTTAGTTTTTCTTTTTCTTTTATTTCACCTTTAAAAAGTTTTTTCACTATTTAAAGTTATCAGCATTACAAAATTAAGTGCACACCATTGCCAACTATGGTGATATGTGCTTATACATTTCTCTACTTGACCTATTCTTTATGATACCGTTCATCAAGCCTGTTATACCCGTGACTGCCCTTAGTACACCTGAGTGTTTATGATGGCAAAAATTGTGTGTGGTATTGCCTATTTTATTGTGTAAAGTGGCCTGTGGAGTGTTCTTTTGTGTTTTTTATATGTTTCTCAAACAAATTCCCTCTTAAAAATGTAAATGAATATCTTTAAATAACTTTAATTTTTTTCCAGAATTATATTTTTGGGATTTCGATCTTCACATTTAAAGTAGTTATTGATGTAGTTAGTTTGCTTTCTATATTTTTACATGATTTCCAATTTTGTTGAGCTTTTTTGTATCCTTCTTACCCTCTTTCTGGTTGCATGAATTTTCCTTATTTTCTCAGGTTATCAATTATACTTTAATGTACATATGTGTGTGTATATATATATGTATATATATATATGTATGTATACATGTATTTATACGTATATATATATACACATATATATACACACACATACACACACATATGTATATATTTCAGTTACTGCCTTAGAATTTTTTATGTATACTGACAATTTTGGGCCACTTCTAGATAACACTATACTGCCTCATGAGTAGTAGAAGTACTTTATGGCAGAGCATTCTCATCCTTTCCTCTCATCCCTTATAACATTGTTGTTATTCATTTCACTTTTCCATATACTATAATCACCCAATAGATTGTTATTATTACTTTAAACAGTTATCTGTTAGATAAATTGAGAGTAAGAAAAAAGAAAATGTTTTTAGATTTTTATTTATTCTTTCTCCAACATTCTTCATGTCTTTATGTTGATACCAGTTTCTGAAATATATACTTTTTTGTTTTCTGAATATTTTATTTTAATATTTATTACAGGGCAGGTCTACTAGTGATAAACTCCTTCCATTTTTACTTGTCTGAGAAAGCCTATATATCCCTTTCACTTTGGGAGGATACTTTTACTGAATTCAAAATTTAGCTTGGTGGATTTCGTCTTTAAATTCTTTAAATATTTAACTTTACTCTCTTTTTGTTTACATGGTTCCTGAAAAGAAGTCTGATACAATTTTTCTCCTTATTTTTCTATTAGAGAGGCATCTTTTTTTTTTTTCTTCTGGCCTCTTGAAAAATTTTCTCTCTTTTTTTGTAGCAATTTGAATATGATATGCCTACATGTAGGTTTTTTGGTATTTATCCTTTGTGTTCTATAAGTTTTTTTAGGTCTATGGTTTAGTAACTGTCATTAATTTTGGAAAATTATTGGCTGTTTTTACTTCAAATATTCCTTCTGCTTCTTCCTTTTTTCCACTGCAGTAATCCTATTATGTATACGTAACACCTTTTGTAATTATCTCATAGTTCTTAGATATTATGGTCCATTATGAAAATTTATTTTTTACTTTCCATGTTTTATATGCAAATTTCTCTTTGCATATTGTTACACTGAAAAAAATATGTCTATTGACATATCTTCAAGCTCACTGTTACATTCTCTAGTGGGGTTCAGGCTACTGAAAAGCCCACATTTGTTCTTTATTTCTATTACAGTGTTGTGTTTTTCTTTTTTTTCCATTTCTATCACTTTTTAATTCTTTCTTTGAGTTTCTAGCTCGAGTTGCCAACTTTTTCCCTCTTGAGCCCTCAACTTATTAACTAAAGTTATTTAAATTCTCTATCCCTCAACTTATTAACTATAGTTATTTAAATTATCTACCTGATAATTTCAAAATCTATGTCAAATCTGAGTCTGGTTCTAATGCTTTTCTTTCTTTTCAGATTGTGTTTTTTCTAGCCTCATATCATGTCTTATAATTAATTTCTTGTTTAAGTCAGGTAACAGACACTGAAGTAATAAGCCATTACTCTGAAAATTTACACTAATCTTCATAGGATCTGAGCTGTGTTTAATGTAACTATAGCTATAGGTACCAGTGGCTTCCATTTCCTATAGTATCTTCATTGTTGTTTTTTTCCTTTCCTTTTTGTCTTTAGTTTCTCTATAAACTGTTTCTGAAACAAGGTAGGTGCCTTGCAGCTTTTTCAGTTGCAATCCACAGTTACTATACTGTATCCTTATTGACATGGTAGGAAAGCGTGAGAGAGGGAAGCACTCTACAATCTTATGATTAAAGTTCAGTCTTTTAGTCAGCCTGAGTTTCTGGGTTGTGATTTCACATGTGTTCCGTAGTCTTCTATTTTTTTCTCCATAGTCAATCCAGTAGTCTTCTATTTTTTTCTCCTTAGTCAATCCAGGAAGGCTAGAAGAGGCTGAAATTAGCTAATTGCCTTTCCCCCAAGTATATTAGGCCCTGATAAACTAGTATCCTTTGGAGAGCAGGTCTTTGTTATATAGAATGCTCTAGGTATAACTCAACTTTGTTGCTTTATTGTCCTCTGCTCATAACATGAGTGATGCTTTCTCATATCTCTGACTTGAGAACAGGATAGGGTTCCTAGAGGTAAAAATCATGAAAATATGGAGACCTTTCTAAGACTAGCCCACCAGGAGTTTCTCACTTTTTCAAGCTAATCCTCACTCAGTCATCAGCAAATTACCATTTTAGTATTCCTACAAGTTTATGGCTCCAGTGGCATATGCTCTAGGTAAGCTGGTCTCGGTTGTGATTTTTCTCTATGTGTCTATCTGTCCAGGTTTTAGAGTTCCAGTTTGTCCTAGGACCTCGGTTCTTTTATGACTCTAAAGGAGACATTGATTTTCAGTTTAGTTAGTTTTGTTTTCATGTCATAAGGACTAGAATGACAACTTAAAAGCTTTAACATGGTGGAGCTAAAAAGAGAAGTTGACTCTTAATTTTAATTAACAAAATTTGACCCACCTCAATCCCTCAAATTAGTCATCTTTAGAAATCATTTTTAACTTAATTCCATTTATCCCTTAATTTTTAAATATTTTTCTATTAACTTTTTTAGAGATCGGGTCTTGCTATGTTGCCCAGGCTGGTCTCACACTCCTGGTGTCAAACAATTCTCCTATCTCAGCCTCCTGATTAACTGACTACAGGTGCACACCACCACATATGGATTCGTCATTAACTTTTTATCATTGTGCTTCGTAATTATAGAAAGAAACTCAAAAATATGATTATTAAGTGTACTTTCTTCTGTGTATATTTACGTTGATGCTTTTACTTTTACAGTGGGAAGATAAAGGAGCATAGGTTAAAAGGTACTATTTATATGTCCTCTTTTATTACATTAGTCTACATTTCTCTACATTGAGCTTATCAAGAAACACAGTATGTTCTTTTAGAAGCTTTTTTGTGTTTTTACATCTGAAACTAAAAATATCTTATTCCAAGTAATGAATATTTTTTGTGGAAAATTCCTATTCTCAGAAAAATAATGGTTTTCTCATTTAATGACCCCTTACATAGAGGAGTTACTTCTGAGAGTTGATTAGTCATTCTGTCAATATCCAGAATATAATTATCATTTAATGTTGATCTTTTATTTCTATCTGTAGAAACTTCTGTTATTCTACTTTCTTCTCCTAAAGTTAAACGTGACATGAATTATGGAATTATAATTTCTATTAAAACAAATAAAATTAGAATAAAAGAATGAATGATATTTAAAAACAGTGTTATTTGTACATTTCTATATAGCAATGATTATTAAGATCAAAAAACACAGCATAACAGCTCATATTGTTTAAAACAATGTACAGTTTTCTAATATACTTTCATCTAAAGATTCAGTGGTCCTACCAATGATTGAAAAACAATAAATAGAGATATGTAAGAGATTGTGAGTTTTTAAATTTATTTTTTACCAATTATATATGAGAATTCAATGCAATTTCAAAGTACCATTCTTGTTCAACAGGAGAGTGGTAGATCTTCAATTAGAAGATTAATTATTTCACAGAATAATGTAGATTAAGGTAAATATATAGTTTTTGGTATCAATATAAATATAGATATTCATCCCATGAGCAAGAATTATTTATTAAATGTTATCACACTGCTGTGGTTTGAATGTGTACCCTCCAAAATGTATGTGTTAGAAACTTAATCCTCAATGCAAGAGTTGAGCGGGGTATGAGGCCTTTCGATATGAGTTTAAGTCATGAGAGCTCCACCCTCATGAATGGATAAATACGCCTATTAAAAGCGCTTGTGGGATTGGGTTCACTGTTTTCTAATCTGCTATGTGAGTATATAGAATTCATCTGTCTCTTGCTCTTCTGCCTTCTTCTATGTGAGGATGCTGTAATAAGGCCCATGCCAGAGGCTGGCACCTTGATCTTGGACTTCCCAGCTTCGAAACTGTGAGAGAATAAATTTCTGTTGTTTATAAATTACCCAGTACCACTTACTCTGTTATAGCAGCACAAAACCTATGAAGACACATGCTAATACTTCTGAATGGGGTGACATATTATACTGATATCAATGATAGCTTATTATTATTTAAATAGATGAAATAAATTTATTTAATCCTATAAATATATAGGTGTATATGTATGTGTATGTGTATATATATACATGTACACATTATATATATATCTGATTATATATATTATATATATAAAATATATATATCTGAGAGTGAAGAAATGTATCATAAGTCTCATAGGGGGAGCCAATGGTACACACTGTTGATCTTTCAATACTGACTCCCCGGATGACTCTATTCCCATGTGTTCCTCACTAGGTTCCATGCAGGAGCTTCTTTTGAGTAGTTGTTCAGGTTATCCACATAGTCATTGGCTTGTAAGTCTCCTCAATTTCACCCCACCTCAACAGCACTGTACCACAACAACCTCACAGGTTTTATGGTCCGTTTGAGTCCTAGAGATCACCCCCATGCATTCAGCCATTTTGCTTTTTAACCTCTCAAACCCAAGAACAGGGCTCAAATGTTAAAACCATCATCTTTCTACAGAAAAACCTCCTCACTATCATGAGAGTAAAAGTCACCTATGCCTTGAAAATTCAAAAGACTTTTACTTCCCTCTTCAATTTCTTTGATGGGGACACAAAGGAACCTGAGGCATGAACATATTTTTTGCAAGTCAGGCAGGAGAGTTTTCTAATGCCCTTAAATAAATTTGTGAGATTATATCTTCAAAAAATGTCTTCACTAATTTAGAGTTTCCACCTTCATTGCATTGCATGTGATTAAACCGTCACTACTGGTGCCCAACAAGCACAATTTTATTTTTCCCAACAATCACAATTTTAGTGATGCATCTGAGTACCTCACATAATAGCTTATTTCTTAAGCTACTTAGCAGAAACAGGAGATTTAGTTTCTCTTACCTGGGCACAAGTGCAGACATCCTCTACAACTGTGCATAAATAACTCAACATTCTTAAGTAGTTGGTTCAGTTCTATATTCTTAAGTAGTTGGTTCTTAACTATTCTTAAGTAGTTGGTTCAGTATCTATATCCATATATCTGAGTTAAATGTGCCTACAATGCTTGAGCTCAACCAATCTCACTGCAGAGTAGATACACGAAGTAATTGGCCAATAAGTGTAAACATTTACTGGCTTTATTTATAGTTTATATATTGTTTAACAAGTTAAGCAGCACATATAGAGAGAGCTATATTAGTTTTACCCTTCTATACCCTTTCTAAAATTTGTGTTCTAGCTTCCAGAACATGGGAAAGCATGCTATCTTTGACCAATGTGGTGTATTGCTACAAAAGGGAGAAAAAAAAAAAAAGAAAAAGCAGTATATTTTGAAAAGCAAGAGGTGCGTACTCTGGAAGAGAAGGGAAACTTAATGAAAATCAAATATGCAAGTACCAAAAAATGCTCTTTACTTTATTAAGAAGGAAATAGTTGATAACTCCAGAAGAGACAGAGTTAATGCAGTAATGGAGGGGAGGACAGATTATAGTAGGTAGAGGGATAATGCACTGAGGCAGTAGAGAGAGTGAATTTAGAATGCTACTTCACCTAGATGTTTGGGTCTATAAGTCTCTTCTAAATCAGAGTGGAAATATTTAGGCACAGCTTATTTCTCTTTCTTCATATTTTCATTAACTATTTCCCTATAAACCATTATTTCCATATTTGAATACAGCCTGCCTCATCGTAGTTTTCACAATAAGCTCAGCACATTAAAAAAAATAAGTAAGTGAAAAATGGCCTTTAGTGTGAGTTGTAGTCACTTTCAAGCTTTGAGTAATTTATCTGTAAACTATTTTGTCCATTCTCTGTTTATTGGAAACTCAGTTATTTTATCTATTTTTTTCAAGAGCATCATCACTTCGTAATGATTTTATGGTTATATCTACTTAGAGGATTTCATCCAGGATGTCTAAATGGATTATTTGTGGACTAATTGAGAATATTAGAAATATGAACTAGAACTCACTACATTAAGGCTAGGAAATAAATCCACTTTCATCAGCTAGTTGAATGTAAAAACATAAATAAGGTGTTTTTATTCAAATATGTGAAATCATATTCATTACTAAACTACCTTTGGGTGGTGATAGCTTATTCATTTATTCATGATGTAATCAGTCTAAAAATTTGAGCCATTACCACTAGGGTTATCTAGATTTAATTCCTCTAAACAGAGTTTGTTGATATGGGTTAAATTTCATATTTTAAGCCTATTTTTATTCAAATTTATCAGCATTATTTTTCAAATTGCTCTAACTAGCATTAGAGAGAAAAAAGGAGACTTAACATAGTAAGCTTCTAATTCCTACTAAATTATAGTTTTAATAAATTACATATAAAAGAGACTTAAATATGTTATTTATTACACCAAAATTACCCTACTTAGTTCCAGTTATAAAATGAATATCAGGACTAGAAATAAGAATTGGATGAATAGGTGAACTAATCAGGATAAAATTCATTAACTAAATAAATAAGAGTTTTTTAGTTCCTTCTGCAGCCTGAAGAATATAAGCAATCAACCTCTTTGGATGAAATTTGCATAATTTTGAATTAAAGTCAATCCTTAGAGCAAGAAAATTCTAATTTTGTGTGGAGGCTGATTCTAAAGTCTATACAATAAGAGTTATCAAGTATAATTCTGCATTTTTAAATGCATCGTATTTTTGAGGTATATTTTGTGGGTTTTATACATTATCAAGGATTAATTTATTATAATCACCCCATTTGCATGCACATTAAGATAATTAATTTATTTAAATGTATGAGTCAATGAAATTATACAGTTATCTCATTATGTCTTTATTATTTGCCCAGGGTTTTATCTTTAGGCATGTATTATTTGCCAAATGAGGTACTTGCTTTGCAAACATACAGCAAACTGCCCTTGGTTTATTGACTGCGTTATACAAAGTCTGCAAATGATACAGGAGGAATGCTGTGGATAACTAAAATATAGAACTAAGACATGTACTTCACACATAGAATTTAATAGCATACACAATATTACATATTTATTCTTGTGTAACTCTTTTCTCAACATCTTATCAAGTCAAGTTAAGGTCATAAGAATCAACATTTCCATTTTTGGAGATTGGAATGAATACATGTAGCTTCAACTTAACACCAAAAGAAATATAGCAAACCAAATGTTGATTAGTACGTTTATTATCTTATAATTTATGAAGTTTATATTTGTTTGTTTATTTGGTTTTTCTGTTATTTCATTTCAATAATCTTTAATAATGAAAGTGTAGTTCTCTTTAGAGTGCTAAGAATTCAAGTTCATGATTGTTCAGGGAGTTTCTTGATTGCACAGTAATTTTTTTCCATTAAAAGCCTGTAATTCTCTCAGCAGTTGGACTAAAGGAAATTCTGATTATCGCTCTTTTGTGGTTGTTGTTTTCATCTTCCACAAATCACCAAAAGATCTACAGTACTTAGCTTTCCACTTTCTGAGGATTCCATGAAGAGAATACAGAGTTGTGAGAATATTAGTGAGGTCTGAGCTGTAAAACATGCATGCAGCAAACATATCTTTCTGGACACAAACACTTTCACAAGTGACTAGAGAATTCTGAGACAAATAGTAAGTACATATTGCCGCTGAACTAAAAGACATAAAATAATTTTAAAAAGCAACAGCCTGCCAGGCTAAAGTGATTTTTAAAATTGCACTCTATACTGAGAAGCCACAGCAGTATCCCTACAGCATGTTGAGCATTCTCCCAGCAGAATACTATTTAAGTAGGTGGTGTGGTCATTTTGGGAATTCTATCCAGTCCTGTTATACATAGCTTTTGCCTAACAGATCCTTGAGTTTGTTCAGATATTCATGCCTCTCTAAAGCAGGCCATGACTGATTTTACTCATATAATATGAAAAATATATTTTAACAAGTGATACTGGACCTCTAAAAGAAGAAGTTATTTCTTTTTTTTTTTTTTTTTTTTTTGAGGCGGAGTCTCGCTCTGTCGACCAGGCTGGAGTGCAGTGGCGGGATCTCGGCTCACTGCAAGCTCCGCCTCCCGGGTTCATGCCATTCTCCTGCCTCAGCCTCCCAGGTAGCTGGGACTACAGGCGCCCGCCACTACGCCCGGCTAATTTTTTGTATTTTTAGTAGAGACGGGGTTTCACCGTTTTAGCCGGGATGGTCTCGATCTCCTGACCTCGTGATTCGCCCGCCTCGGCCTCCCAAAGTGCTGGGATTACAGGCGTGAGCCACCGCGCCCGGCCAGAAGAAGTTATTTCTAATAGGAAGAATTGAAAAGCTATAGAGGACATGGCATTTGACCTGAATGCTGATAAGTACATTGTATTTTGATGGGAGAGGTTGGATAAAAAGTACTCTTCTTAAAGGAAAGAATATTGGCCATGAAATAACGCAAGGAAAGCCAGGGCCATCACCAGGAAATAATAAATAGTCCAATGTGGCAGGATTGTATTGTATTCCAAGGAAAATGACTAGAGATGAGACAGTTGTTAATTGGCCTTCAATAATTTGTAAAGAAATTTGAATTTTATTAAAAAAATTTTATAAATATATACCTACTGTAAGTTAGAAGTGAAAGAGATATTAACCTTGAATCACATCCTAAGGTTAGACTCCATTTTGTAGGCACAGGTAAGCTATATATTTGAAATATTTATCCGAAAGTCTTTTTAAATACTATTCTATTCGGCACTTCTTTGTATTATTGCTATGATATTCCATTCTGTGTATTGTATTCATATAAGTTTTCTTCCATGAAGTCAAATTTTAAGACTTAATAATCATTTCTGTATGTGTGTGTGTGTGTGTGTATATACATATATATGTGTATATATATATATATATATATACACACACACACACACACATACATACATACATATTTTTTTCTTCAGCTCAATTTGCCTATAAGACACTCTCATATATAGGAAACAAATGACTGACTCTGTATCCTGGGAAGAATTGTTCTCAATTTATGTTAAGATCCAAACATGCAGTACTCTAATTAAAAGTAAAGCCAGTAAAAATCTGCTGTAAACATGGTGTTCAATCAATAAACACCTGCTTACAAGCTAAATAAAGACAAGCTCAAAGGTTTTTATTTGCTGTCCTTATTTCTCCTCTAGAGAGACTAGAATTGACTCAAGGAAATGAGAAAGCTAGACAAACTGATTATATAAGAAAATCAAATATGTAACTTTTTTGTTTTTGTTTTTGTTTTTTGAGACAGCGTCTTGCTCTGTAGCCCAGACTGGAGTGCAGTGGTGTGATCTCAGCTCACTGCAAACTCTGCCTCCTGCCTCCTGGGTTCAAGCAATTCTCTGACTCAGCCTCCCGAGTAGCTGGGACTACAGGTGCCTGCCACCATGCTGGGCTAATTTTTGTATGTTTAGTAGAGACGAGGTTTCACCATCTTGGCCAGCTGGTCTTGAACTCCTGACCTCATGATCCACCCACCTCAGCCTCCCAAAGTGCTGGGGTTACAGGCGTGAGCCACCACACTGGGCCTATAACATTTTTAAACCTTGTTTCGATGGAGAATCTTACAAATGAAAGTGCTAGGTCCTTTGTATACAATAGCATGCAAGTTAGAAAAAAGAAAAAAAATTATCTGTCTAGAAATCTTACTGTAGCTTATGTTAGCACACATTAAATTATATAATCACTCATAGTCTCTTAAAATTTTTTTTTCCAAATTAAATCAAAATTACAGATATCTTAGCTTCAATATATCTAAACTATTATTTGTGATTAAGGGATATCCTTGATTTCCTTTACTCTAAGCTCAGCTCAATGCTTTGCACTTTACACACATTCACATGATTGAAACCTTAATGCAACCAATCATATATCAATTGTAAATAATTTAGCCTTTCTAAATTCTATCCATCATATTTATGCCAGGCCCAAGTAAAAGAACATGCCATTAAAGAAACTAAATAGGATGCTCTGCCAAAGGAATTATGCCTTGTGTTGCTACAATCCATTTTGACACTGGAGGATATCAAATCTTATTTTTGAAGAATAGTTTCACTCATCTCTCATTGCATAGGTTAGAATAATACTAAAAATACAGCATCAGGCTTATTATGAGGATTGTGATATGATAATGATTGCTAGATCACTTAAAAAACTGCTTTTGACAATTCATTTTCACTTTTGGAAGAAGTTTATTTTTATTCAAACTGCATTTGTTGGTCCAGTGCCAAAAGTGATGCTATAAAACAGGAGGGACTCTCCTTCAAAAGAATACTAGTGTTTTTATTATAAATAATAAATGGTTCATGAAAGTTATAAACAAATATCTTAGGAATAATCTTTTAGCTCTAAATCTATGGTAGAAATGTGTATGAACAGTTATCCTTCGATCCTTCAATTATTTCTATAGGCTAGGCTAGAGTTACGAAACTAAGCACATTTGTCTCAAATGAAAAAATTGCAGCTCTAATAGACTCACAAGTGCCAGGCTTTGCATCCATTGCCTCTGCCAAAATCAAATATTTTGGCTGGAGCTGTAATAGATTGTGCTGATAAGAAGCTAGTAAATTATCTAGTGAGGTGATCAGTCTCACAGCACTTGACAGCCAGGTCACCCAGATAGATTCTCTTTTTACAAAAAGGAACTGTAAGAGCAGAACTATGAAATTCCATGTACATTTCTAATTTTCTTGAGCCTAAAGCATAATTTAGCTTATGTCTATTTCTTCTGCAGAATATTTATATGTAAGAAAATATTTATGTAGTGTTTGAAGGTTAAGTATTTCAATAGTTCAGTGATAAACTCCAGAGTACATTCATTTAGGCATAAAAACTGTGCTATTTAACCTGAATGTGAAATAATTAGTAATGTTTAGATGCTTATATGCAGCATTGTAGCATATAAATAGTAATTTCACAATCATTAATAAACAAGTAAATGGATAACTTTACAGTGAGGAATGCTGTCACATGGAAAGAGCGATGTTTATAATTGCTATTGAGAAACATTAATAGTTTTAGTTCATCAAGCCAGTAAAACTTCTTAATATAGAATAATTTTTTTCTTGGACTGGTTTCCTTCAGACTACCTGTCTATATCTTTTTTTGTTCTAATATATAATAATAAATTCATGTTGGAAATACAAAACCATAATAAAAGTGCTCAGCATAATTTCATTAAAAACTATTACTTATTGAATAACCTAGGTAGTGTTGCTGACAGATATTCGGCAATATTTATGGGTATGTGTATGTGTGTGTGTGTGTGTGTGTGCATACTTTAAATGTGAATTATACTATTTGCCATCAAAGAGAAAATAGCTAATAACAAAAATGTTCTAAATTGAAGTATCTTTGCTTTTAATCATATTGCATCTAGGTGTTTTGGTATGAAGTAGCATTGTGTGGTATGTTTTGTACTGCATAGTAAAGTTGAAAGTGATATAGGAAGAAAACAAAATCTTTTAGGATAGGATGTTCCAGTATAGTATAAGAGTATCTTACAGTATAGTACAATAGCATAACAGAGTAAAGTAGAACACAGTATAACATATTGAAAATAGCATCAAATTTTATTTCTGAATATATATACTAGTACAAAATTCAGATTATCATCATTATGCAGTCCTGGGCAGATCACTTAACTATACTGAGTCCCAAGTTTCCCAGGTTTCTTTTTCTTTTTCTTTTCTTTCTTTCTTTCTTTCTTTTTTTTTTTTTTTTTTGAGATGGAGTTTCTTTCTTGCTGGCCAGCCTGGAGTGTGCAATGCCACGATCTTGACTCACCGCAACCTCCACCTTCTGGGTTCAAGTGATTCTCCTGCCTTAGCCTCCCAAGTAGCTGGGATTACAGGGGCCCACCACCATGCCTGGCTAATTTTTATATTTTTATTTGAAATGGGGTTTCACCATGTTGGCCAGGCTGGTCTCGAACTCCTGACCTCAAGTGATCCACATGCCTCGGCCTCTCAAAGTGCAGGGATTACAGGTGTGAGCCATCATGCCCAACCAACAGGTTTCTTTTTAAATGACCATGACTTTTTGGTTAATTTTAAAGATACAGATTTTCTTCCCTCATAGCTGAATATTCTTGATTTATTAAAACATTGTCTTTTTGCCTATTATCTAATTATCTAATATTGTCTATTATCTCACTGAGGGTACTACTTAGACTATTTTCAAAAGTACTAGACTATTTCCTAAGTTATTTCTGCTTCAATAAAAAGCATGTCCTATGATTACTTGTTCTTTTCTTTTTGTCAGTTTTTCCCAATTATTATTTTCTCATATTCAGAAATTCAGGTTTAGACTAAGGAATACTATTAGCAGGAA
Organism: Homo sapiens; assembly: GCF_000001405.40. Lineage (NCBI taxonomy): Eukaryota > Metazoa > Chordata > Mammalia > Primates > Hominidae > Homo > Homo sapiens. Next base: position 83,983,472 of record NC_000012.12, on the reverse strand, counting down.
TGGGCTGTCAGTATTGATATAGGTAACTTTTTAAATGTCCCCCACACAATTCTTGAGGACATTGCACTTGACCAGGAAGGTCAGCAGAAGAAATCTACCCTCAGTGAAGTGAGTGGATAGTGGTGGGCATCATATCAGCTTTTTTCAAGTACTCAGCTTAATCCTCCCCTAAACTAGACTTTGCAGCTTAGTTTCAATTATGTTGTTTTTCAGACAAGCTAAGCCTGTGGAGCTATCCCTGGGAAAACTGCTCTGCTTTTAAAAATTTAATGGATTTCTCAATGTCTTTCAATATGTTATCCAACATGTTTGTGGAATAGTAAGGATGTTTGCATTTATCTAGAGCCCTAGTTACAACTGGAGAACAGACTTTTTCTGTAGAGGTTAAACATTTTTCATTTTTCTTCTATCTCTTAATTTGATACAGCTAGTCATAAATAATTATGAGAAAATAATGAAAGATTTTGATAGAGAAAATAGAAAGGAACATGTTGGCTAGTTTAGTCTGATGAAACCATAAATACAGCCCATTTTTTTCAAATTCTGTGAATGTAGATGCAATGAGTATTCATAGACTGTATCACAATTAGTAAACTGTAAATCAAGACCGAACTTGTGTGAAAAATGAAGTGCTACTGGAGAAGGAAGTCTGTGGATGGATGGAAAAAAACAAAGATTTCAAATAGACTGTAAACAGGAAAAGAAACACAGATATATATATATATATAAACCTGGCAACAAAGCATTTAAAAGTGAGGCCATGTCTCCATTTATTATCAGAGTTAAGAGGTATGGATATGAAATAAGTATGAGAACTCAAATACATAATAAGAAATATACCTTAAATTTTATAGGGAACATGCGCGGCAGACTGGATATTCTATAATGAATCGAGCCAACAGGAAAAATGAGAATGAGGTGTCACTGTGATAGAACCAGTGAGAACCCAAATATGGAAATCTCCTATCAGTTCAGTGACTATGAGTGAAGGGAAACATCATCCTTAGCCTGGTTTTAATAGCAAAGGAAAGAGCAACACTGATATTTACAATAGGATATGTATGTATACAGTCATGTGACACATAACATTTTGGTCAACAATGCACTGCATATATAATGATGGCCCCATAGGATTGTAATGTAATGTAACCCCATAGGATTGTAATTTTTTATTGAAATAAAATATTTCTATCACCTGGTAGGGTTGTAGTCAACCTAACATTATATTGCAACACATCACTCATGTTTGTGATAATGATGGTGTAAACAAACCTACTGTGTTGCCAGTCATATAAAAGTATAATGCATACAAATATGTGCAGTAACATAATACTTGATAACAAATGACTTATGATATTGGTGAATGTATTTATACTGGTACTTACTGCACTATACTTTTATTGCAATTTTAGAGTGTACTCCTTCTACTAATAAAAAAAAGTTAACTATAAATCAGCCTCAGGCAGGATGCTCATGAAATATTTCAGAAGAAGGCATTTTTATTATAGGAGATGACAGCTGCGCGTGTGTTTTTGCCCCTGACGACCTTCCAGTGGGACAAGATGTGAAGGTGGAAGAGAATAATATTGATAATCCTGACCCATTGTAGGCCTAGGCTGATATGTGTGTTTGTGTCTTACTTTTTAACAAAAAAAAGTTTAAAAAGTAAAAAATAAAATAAAACATTTCAAAAATAGTAAAAGGCTTATAGAATAAGGAGATAAAAATATTTTTGTACAGTTGTACAATGTGTTTGTGTTTTAAGCTAAGTATTATTAGAAAAGAGTCAAAAAATTTAAAATCTAAAAGTTTATAAAGTAAAATAGTAATAGTGAGCTAAGATTAATTTATAGAAAAAAAGAAAATTTTATAAATTAATTTCTATGTATCCTAAGTGTACAATGTCTATAAAGTCTACAATACTGTACAGTAATGTCCTAGGCCTTCACATTCACTCACCTCTTAATCACCAAGAGCAAATTTGGGTCCTGCAAGCTCAATTAGTGGCTAATGACCTCTACATGGGTATAATTTCTTTAAATATTTTATACAATACTTCAACAGTACCTTTTCCATGTTTAGATATGTTTACATACACAAATACTGATTATTGTGTTATAATTGCCTATGGTATTCAGTAGAGTAACATGCTGTACAGTTTTGTAGCTTAGAAACACTTAGCTATACTATATAGCCTAAGTGTGTAAAAGGATATACAAATTAGGTTTGTGAAAGTACACTATATGATGTACACACAACAATGAAATTGGCTAAGGCTGCATTTCATAAAATGTATTCCTTTTGTTAAGTGATTCCTGCCTCTCTCTCTCTCTCTCTCTCTCTCTGTGTAGGTATATATGTCTATATTTCTTTGTGGGTATGTGTATACACAGATAAATTTATTATAAAGAATTGGCTCAGAAGTCCCCAGGAAAGCTGGTGGTACAATTCCATTCTGAGTCCAAAGGCATAAGAACCAGGAATACTGATGGTATAAATCTCAGTCCAAGGATAGGAGAAGAATTGAGATTTCAGCTCAAACACTCAGACAGAAGAGTGAATTTGAATTTCCAGCTCAAATACTCAGACAGAAGGGTGAATTTGAATTTCCAGCTCAAACACTCAGAGAGAAGAGTGAATTTGAATTTCCACCTCAAACACTCAGACAGAAGGGTGAATTTGAATTTCCAGCTCAAACACTCAGACAGAAGGGTAAATTTGAATTTCCAGCTCAAACACTCAGACAGAAGGGTGAATTTGAATTTCCAGCTCAAACACTCAGACAGAAGGGTGAATTTGCTTGTCCTTTCCCTTTTTTCTATTCAAGCCCTCAACAAATTGGCTAGTGCCTACTCACACTGGGGAGAGCCATCTGATTTACTAAGTCTACTGAATGAAATGTTAATCTCATCCTCTCATCTGGAAACACCCTCACAGACACATTCACAAATAATATTTAACCAAACATCTGGACACCCAGTTACCTAATCAAGTTGACACACAACATTAATGATTACACCTATTACAAAGCCAAAGACAGACTCAAAATTCTGGATCTGAAGGCTTCTGAGGTTTGGCCCACCCTCAGTCTGAGCCAGCATGCAGACCTCCTGAAAACAGGCTGGTCTTAGGTTAAAATATTCCTTGGCATGCCCTCCAATCATGCCACCCTATCTTTCATCCCCATTCCCTACACCTCGTTCTTTCCAGCATTGTTTACTCATCTCTGTAAAAGAAAACCCCTTTCTGCCTAACTCTTGAGATGCTTGGAAGACCCTTTAGTTAGAACATTCGCCCTATTGTAAATAGTCCCTTTCTCTCCTTGCACTCATCCTTTCAAATAAAAGTTTCTATCAATCTAGATTTGTTGCTCATTTCATGAGCAATTCCTCAAATATTTATTGTAAATATGACTACTAGCAGTATTCCTAATAGTCATAGCTTTTAATGTGCATTCTGAAATCCTTTATCATTCTGACATTATTGTCATGCATTGGTACCTCACTCAAAATATTCCTTTGGTTCTGCAAATAGTGCAAAATAAATACCTATACATTTTTCCTTAATGATCCTTACCCACACACAATGACCCTTTACGTGGGAGGTTTTGAATGCTTCAAAATTTATAAGTTACTAAAAGCATTTGGCACATATTGGCCATCAATTTGCTTTTATGAATTTTTATTCCATATAACCTAGGTAGTTTAAGACTCAGGGTTAGAATCCCTAGCTCTAGGTTTATTAGTCAAACAATTAGTTATTTAAGGGAAAAAAAAGAGAACTATATCTCATCAAAATAACATTTCAATTATCTATGGCCTTTGCCTTTTCCCATTATTTATATCCACATGATAATGTCTTGCTTTATTAGCAAAAAAAATCAAGCCACAGCATTGTATTTAAATGCAATGGCTTAGAAGAATATTTTTAAGCTAAGGAAAAGTTCACAATACATTAAATATATTAAAAGTGTATAAAATAAATTAAATGGAAAGAATGATTACAGTGAGTATATAAATAAATATGTTCAGTGTGATTCCAGTTCTGTGCATATCTGTGTATATAAACATGAATATATATGTAAGAGGAAATTAACAGTGGTTATTTCTATGAAGTAGAATTTTACATCAAGCTTATCCAACCTGTGGCCTGTGGGCTGCGTGAGTCCCAGGATGGCTTTGAATGTGATCCAACACAAATTTGTAAACTTTCTTAAAACATCATGAGATTTCTTTTTCTTTTTAAGCTCATCAGTGTTAGTGTATTTTATGTGTGGCCCAAAACAATTCTTCTTCTTCCAATGTGGTCTAGGGAAGCCAAAAGTTTGGACATCCATGTTTTACATAATATTTATGTGTTCTTTGTACTGTTCCACGTGTCTCTAATTTTCTTTGATTAATATGTCCTTAGTCTTTAAAACTCTAAAAGAAACTTTATTATTCATTTTAAAACTAATCTCTAAAATGTTCTTTTTATAAGAATAATTTATTTCAATCATTTTTAGTCTGTCTCATGTCATTTTAATGCAACTTGTCTCACAGTGACTTAGAAAAATCATCTATAGAATGTTTCCAAACATCATTAATCTTTTGTATAGGAGGTAGGTGGTAAAACTTTAATAAGGGTTAGTTGGAGGGTTAAATGAGGGGAGAAATAATATTGATATAGTTATTAAAAGATTTCTATGGGATTTTGGAAACCGCCTTCTTGACCAAATGGAAAAAATGTATTGGCAGTCTTTGGGATATTCTACTCAGTAATGTGTGTTTATATGTATGTGCATGTATATAATTGGTTAATATTTAATATCATCCAGGCACGGTGGCTCATGCCTGTAATCCCAGAACTTTGGGAGGCTGAGGTGGGCAGATCACTGTAAGTCAGGAGTGTGAGACCAGCCTGGCCAACATGGTGAAACCCCATCCCTACCAAAAACAGAAAAAAACTTAGCTGGGTATGGTGGCACATGCCTGTAATCCCAGCTACTTGGGAGGCTAAGGTAGGAGAATCAATTGAACCTGGGAGGCAGAGGTTGCAGTGAGCTGAAATCGTGTCATTGCACTCCAGCTTGGGTGACAGACAGAGCAAGACCCCAATTCCAAAATTTAATATTATATACTATGCATATATATTTTATATATACATTTATTATATGTAAGACAAAATTATACTTTCTGTGGAGGAAAAATTCATGAAAGAACAGTTGCTAGGCCAGGCGTGGCGACTCACACCTGTAATCCCAGCACGTTGGGAGGCCAAGTCAGGCGGATCATGAGGTGAGGAGATTGAGACAATCTTGACTAACAAGGTGAAACCCTGTCTCTACTAAAAATACAAAAATTATCCGGGCGTGGTGGCATGTGCCTGTAGTCCTAGCTACTTGGGAGGCTGAGGCAGGAGAATTGCTTAAACCTGGGAGGCGGAGGTTGCAGTGAGCCGAGATTACACCACTGCACTCCAGCCTGGGCAACAAAGCAGGACTCCATCAAAAAAAAAAAAAAAAACACCAAGAAGAAGAAGAAAGAAAGAATAGTTGCTATCCCCCTGTACAACCTTTCCTTTCTGGACCCAACAAAGACTCTAACTTATATTTCCACTAGCACACATGGGTGGGCCATCAAGACTTCTATGTACATAAGAGCAGATGTACTTCCTGTAAGAAAAAAAAAACATAAATACATGGAAAAATATAATGTTACTATTTGAGGCAAAATATAAATATATGTTAGGGTTGGGGCAAGACCATCACTGCCCTTTTAGATAATGCATATGGATGAAGGGTGGGGAAACTCACCTGAGATGAGAACAGAAATATAAGGTCTAGTAATGATCTAGTGATTAAAAAGAACACGGAAAAGAACATTTTCTAGTGTATGTCGTGTTAACATTCAAATATTCCCTGAGCAGAAGATGAGAGTAATTGCTTGACATTGGAAGCTGTAAGATAAGAAGAGAGCAGCAGTCTCCCAAGTGAAAGGGTGCCCCAGCCACCTCTGTGAGAACACTCTCAGCAGTGACATGAAGGCTACAGTGGAAGACTGACAGTGACAGGAGGGGCAGAGTCTTGGTGACAAAGAAAAGAGAGATACATGCCAGTGGCAATGTCAAGCATGACCCATGAGGGAGAATTTGTAACAGCTGGCAAAGGCCTGTAGGTAAATGCACGTTGAGGAACTCCAAGAATGGCAGTTCATTTTAATTGCTGTCAAGGCAAAAGATGCCCTTTTTTTTAGTTCCTTATGTGAGGAAAAAAACGTAAATTTGAGATGTGAAATCTCACCAACTCCAAAATTACTACCGAAATTAAATTTCCTACATCTGGGGACTCAAATCAAAGGTTATTAAGGTGATAGGAAGTGGGATGAGGTGACGGGAAGGTGGTCAGGGGAAAGGTTCTAAGGTTCCATCTAAGCCAATTTAAATTCTTAAAATACCTTGTTTTAAATCATTTCTCAGGAAAAATTGTGGCATGCCTTAATTTTCTGTGGCAGTGTAAGATACAATAGAAGAAGTTAATTTCTCTTTTTCTTTGACAGAAGAAGAGCTTTGAATAAGTAAGGATAGGTTCCTTTGCATCCAGTGGAAAGGTAAGAGTGTTTTGTTTTTCTTGTCTTTTCCTTTTTTTTTTTTTTTATTTTACTTTAAATTCTGGGATACATCTGCAGAATGTGCAGGTTTGTTACATAGGTATATATGTGCCATGGTTGTTTGCTGCACCCATCAACCCTTCATCTAGGTTTTAAGCCCCACATGCATTAGGTATTTTTCCTAATTCTCTCCCTTACCTTGCTCCTAACCCTGCAACAGGCAACATTGTGTGATGTTCCCTTCCCTGTGTCCATGTATTCTCATTGTTCAACTTCCACTTATGAGTGAGAACATGTGGTGTTTGGTTTTCTGTTCCTGTGTTAGTTTGCTGAAAATGAGGGCTTCCAGCTTCATCCATGTCCCTGCAAAAGACATGAATTCATTCTTTTTTATGGCTCCATAGTATTCCATGGTGTATATGTGCCACATTTTCTTTAACCGGTCTATCATTGATGGGCATTTGGGTTGGTTCCAAGTCTTTGCTGTTGTAAATAGCGCTGCAATAAGCATATGTGTGCATGTGTTTTTATAGTAGAATTATTTATAATCCTTAGGGTATACACCCAATAATGGGATTGCTGGGTCAAATGGTATTTCTGGTTCTAGATCCTTGAGGAATAGCCACAATGTCTTCCACAATGGTTGAACTAGTTTACACTCCCACAATAGAGAAGTGAATAGTTGGACTGTCCCAAACAGGACTGTCCCAGACTAGCCAATAATTCTGAACCATGAGAAATAGAGAAGCTCTGACCATAGGAAGGGAGAAGGAAGCTTCAGGGTCTTCCTCAAGTGGCAGAGACCAGGACACAATAAATCATAAGCTGACTATTTTTGGATGCTAGTATGGACAAGACAAAGACAGCCACAGATTTAAGAATGTCATTAAGGCCAACAGAAGATCAAGATTTTTGTAGGTCATAAAGCTTATACACATTACAGGGAAAAAACTCTTCAAGAAAAAAAATGTTAAAATTATGAATACCAACTTAGATAGTAAAGTGCATGTTTGTTTAGAATATGAAAAACAAATTTCAAAAAATTATATTTTTTAAACAGCTGACAATCATCACCATAAATATTCAAAAATAAAATGCATTTTATTTATTAGCTCTCCTGTTAGATCTGTAAAATAAATTTTTGGTTTTCGTTTTTGGTTATATATTCTGTGATATATACATATTCTTCCTGTATGAAAATTATTTTGTAATATGATTTGCTATAGTGAGAAGAGAAAGAAAATTGAGTCTTTCTTTAGAGTTATGAATCACAATTTGTTTTTTGTCATTGATAGTTTAGAAAAGTTTGTATCATATTCAAAATTTTTATTGGTAATATGTGTATTTTTAAGGTTAGAGTTGCCCCTTGATATATATGGAGAATTTGTTCCAGGATGCCCATAAACACCCAAATCTGTGGATGCTCAAGTCTCTTATATAAAATTACATTATATTTACATATTACCTATGTATATTCTCCTATATACTTTAACTCTAGATAACTTATAATACCTAATACTATGCAAGTTTTCTGTAATTAGTTGTTATACTGTATGGTTTTATTTGTACTTTTTAAATTATTGCATTTTAATTTTTTAAATATTTTCAATCTGTGGCTAATTGAGTCTGTGGATATGACAGTATTGTCACATGTGGGAAACTGCCATCAAGATGTAATATATTCAGGCATTTCAAGATAATTTGGGCAGTGGCTAATTCAACATAGTTTTTACCTTGATTATATTAATTAACCTATTTACTGTAGATGTATGTGCCATAGTAACTTATAAATTTTAAGAATCTGTGAGGCGGGCGTGGTTGCTCATGCCTGTAATCCCAGAACTTTGGGAGACCAAGGTGGATGGATTACCTGAGGTCAGGAGTTCAAGACCAGCCTGGCCAACATGGTGAAACCCCGTCTCTAATAAAAATACAAAAGTTAGCAGAGCGTGGTAGCAGATGCCTGTAATCCCAGCTACTCTGGAGGCCGAGGCAGGAGAATCGCTTGAACCCAGGAGGCAGAGGTTGCAATGAGCTGAGATCGCATCATTGCACCATTGCACTCTAGCCTAGGCAACAGACTGAGACTCTGTCTCAAAAAAAAAAAAAAAAAAAAAAAAAAAGAATCTGTATATCAATTTTCATGTGAAATCAGAAAGAATTTAAATTTTTACTGTGTTTTGTGATTCACTTTTTAATATTAAATGGATTACTAAACAACCTATTAGTTCATATTTGACTTCAGTTTGAAGTCAGTTACTCAGTTAATTATCACTACCATGTGGTTTAAAATATTTTTGCTAAAAATTACTGCTTGGTATATGTAGTAATTTCCTAAAGCTGCTGTAACAAACTTACCATAAACTTGGTGGCTTTAAACAACAGAAATTTACTCTCTCACAGTTCTAAAGGTCAGTATTCTAAAATTAACGTTTTGGTAAACCTTAATTTCCTCCCTACACTCCCTACAGTGATTTTAGGGAAGAAATTATTTCATGCATCTTCTGCCTTTTGGCAGTTGCAAGCTTCCTGAGCTCATTTCTACATCATTTCAATTTCTGCCTTTGTCCCCATATTGCCTTCTTTGTGTCAGTCTTCTCATTTGTGTGTCTTATAACAGCACTTGTTATTGGATGTAGAGCCAGCTGGATCATCCACAATGATCCCTTTATCTCAACATCCTTAATTATATCTGCAAAGACCCTTTTTATTGTCTTCAGATAAGGTAACAGTATAGGTTTGAAGAACTAGGATGTGAACATAACTTATTGGGTGGCCCCTCTGCAGCCCTCTACATTGTCTACATTATCAGAATAATTTCTACTACTTTTACTGCACATTTCTTATATTTCCCACATTTTATTAATTCTTATCTGCATTTTCTCTTATTTTATTAATAAAAATAAGAACAAAGAATGTGTCCCTCTTTCTCAAGCACCTATTGTCACAATACCATGCATAATAATCTCACTTCAAACTTAATTTGGCTAGAACAACCATCATTTAATGTTTCTCAATAATCTGATTTAGCTGGTTGGTTGTGCTGATCTGGAGTGGGTTCCGCTGATTTCCACTGGGCTCAGTCTACTGAGAAACTCAGATACAGACAGATCTGCCTTCAGTTAGGCTGATCAGATGAATGCTGGCTGGTCTGGAATGACTTCCAATGGGAATGGCATATATCCTCTCTATGTAGTTTCTCACCTTCCAGTAGCCTTCTCGTACCCAGATTTATTCTCTTGGCAATGGCAGAGATGATATAGTTCTAGAAGGACACAAAGCCTCTTGAGGCCTAGAGTCAGAACCTGCACACTGGCATTCTATTGGCCAAAGCACTCACAAGTCTAGTCTAATTTCAAAAGGCTGACTGGCAGACATGCCACGTCACATTGCAAAGGACAGGGAAAGAGAAGAGTATGAAATATTGGAGCCTCCATGCTACCCATCTATTACAACTTTTTTTAAATTTAATGTAATTATTTCTATAGGTAATTGGGGAACAGGTGGTGTTTGGTTACATGAGTAAGTTATTTAGTGGTGATTTGTGAGATTTTGGAGCACCCATTAACCGAGCAGTGCACACTGAACTCAATTTGTAGTCTTTCATTCCTCACCCCCCCTCACCCTTTCTCCCTTGTCCTCAAAGTCCATTGTGTTATTCTTATGCCTTTGCACCTTCATAGCTTAGCTCCCATTTATGAGTGAGAACATACAAAGTTTGGTTTTCCATTTGTGAGTTGCTTCTTAGAATAATAGTTTCCAATCTCATCCAGTTGCTGCAAATGCCATAATTTATTACTTTTTTATGGCTGAGTAGTTTTCCTTCATATATATATATCTTATATATATTTGCAATGGTGAATTGTGCTGTTATAAACATGCATCTGCAAGTATCTTTTACATATAATGATTTATTTTCCCCGGGGTAGATACCCAGTAGTGGGATTGCTGGATCAAATGGTAGATCTACTTTTAGTTTTTTAAGGAATCTCCACACACTTTTACATAGTGGTTGCACTGGTTTATATGCCCACCAGCAATGTAGAAGTGTTCCCTGTTCACTGCATCCATGCCAACATCTATTATTTTTTGATTGTTTGATTATGGCCATTCTTGTAGGAGTAAGGTGGTATTGCATTACGGTTTTGATTTGCATTTCCCTAATCATTATTGATGTTGAGCACTTTTTCGCGTTTGTTGGCCATTTATGTATTTTCTTTTGAGAGTTGTCTATTCATGTCCTTAGCCCACTTTTTGTTGGGATTGTTTGCTTTTTTGCTTACTAATTTGTTTGAGTTCGTTGTAGATTCTGGATAATAGTCCTTTGTCAGATGTATAGGTTGTGAAGATTTCCTCCCACTCTATGGGTGGTCTGTTTACTCTCCTGACTGTTCCTTTTGCCATGCAAAAGCTCTTTAGTTTATACATTCAAACCAGGTATCTGCAAATTCTAACATTATGTATTGGAATTGTCTTAAATGCCATTCTAATTATTGCTAAAATAGGGTATTCAAGCTTTATCAACTTTATTAATACAAATTTTGCATCTCATTAGTGAATGAGTTTCTTTTCTAATTCTGCAAAATGTATTTTAGAGTTTTCATAAGATATTTTACTTATCTTAGGAGGCTCGAACAACTTTATAGTGAACATTTTATTACACTTAAACAATAAAGAAAAACCCAAACTGCATGGGTGACAGAGTTACTAGTCACTCTGTGTTCAAAATATTCAACAAAGAAGCCACATTTCAAAAAAATACATACAATACTGCAAAATACTGAATTAGTTAACAATATGAGGTACTTTGGAGGTAGTCTTTTCTCCAATCAGGAAAAGAATATGAGCTGCACTTAACATAAATTTTGTGACACTTGTATGTCACAATAATACAGGATGAGTCAGCGCGGTGGGTATTAGTAGTATTCCTACATCAGTTATAAATAACTTTATACAGATGTGACAGTGAACCACAAATATAACGCTACTCAATCCAACTTAATCATACACCCCAAATTAGCTATGTTACTTCAAAGACATTGAACACAAGAGAATATATGATTGAAGAAACATTGAGAAGATAGAGATAGGAGTCTATCAACTGCATTTAAAAAAACATTGCAAAAATTTCAAAAACATATGACCAGGTGAAAAATTTGCTAGAGACTATCCCAAGGCCTTTAAGGGATGTATGCAATTATGGGGTACTGAATCTTAAATGGAAAATGCCTCTGATGATATTTTACATGGGTTAGTCTAGTGTCAGAGTGGTTAGCCACTAAAGGGAGTATTTCTAAATCCGCTTAAAGCATAGGACCATCTCAGGACCCCGCCTTCACATAGCTGAATTTAGTAGAAAGATCAATAATAAAAATAATGATCCCCATGTGTAAAGGCCATACCCTCCTGTAGTCTGTCGTATAAACCAAGATACTTTGAAGAGGAAAGAAAAGATCCCCAGTAATAACTGAGTTTGAATTTTTTATTATAGTGGTACAAGAGGGTACAAAACATGTTTTCTGATTTAGAAAAATAACAAAATTCAGTATGTCTTAAACCAAAAATTATAGATCATTCACATCTTCAGTTATTATCAATAGCCAATATTTTATTATCAATTAAATTACATAAATTTTATACACTGTATCTTCTCTTTGGAGATCTGCGATCCAAATAACATAGTAACTATATCTGCTTAACTTTCTCTAATCTATTCTTCCTAAACTTATTTGATGTGAACCACTAACATCTCTCCCAACCAGTATTCTAAATAACGCAGAAATCAGAGTTCTAGGGAGGTCATTCAAAATCAGAATGTTCTGTAGTCTCTGACTCTTTGGTCAAAAAGCATTTCCCTTAAACCACATTCAATATCATTAACATACCAGCAAAATAAATGTTGATGTATTTGGCAGACTTAAATTTTGCATCACAATCTTTGAAATAACTATACTTGTTTTTTAAGCAATATTTATTAAAAGGAGTGAAGAGAAAAAATCTTCAAATTATATTATTATAATATGACTAACAAGAATTCCAAATATTTAAATTTTTTTCTAATAATACGTTAAATCATCTAAAATTATTGCAGTTAAGTGAATCTAGCTAATTAAACCCTTTTTTCCAGTTTGAAAACATAAAATAAAGGTCAACTAAGTAACCTACATTTCATTATGAATGTGAAAGGAAAATAAATCTTGAGGCCCCAAAATCACTAAGCTAAAGGGAAAAATCAAGCTGGGAACTGCTTAGGGAAAACCTGTCTCCCATTCTATTCAAAGTCTTCTCTCTGCTCACTGAGATAAATGCATATCTGATTGCCTCCTTTAAAAAGGCTAATCAGAAACTCAAAAAAATGCAATCTTCTTTTATCTACCTGTGACCTAGAAGCCCCCTCCCTGCTTTGAGTTGTCCTGCCTTTCCTGATATAACCAATGTACACATTACACATATTGATTGATGTCTCATGTCTCCCTAAAATATAAAAAACCCAGCTGTGCCCCAGCCACCTTGGGCACATATCCCCAGGACCTCCTGAGGCTGTGTCAAGGGCATGTGTCCTTAACTTTGGCAAAATAAACTTTCTAAATTAACTGAAACCTGTCTCAGATATTCGGGGTTCACATGAGGAATAATGTGACATCAATTTTTTTTGCAAGATCGATTTATTGTTTTTTCTTCTTTATTAAATATATCTCTAATAATTCCATGTATTTAAATACTAAAGAATAAAGATTCTTTAGTAATTATTACTTTAGCAATTATTATTCTTTAGTAATTATTCTACTTTTTAAGTTGGCACAGTGATTATTTTCTGACTTTAATTTATTTTGTACAGCTTTTTAGATATAACTTACATATTCTAAAAGGTATCCATGGCAAGTACATAAGTCAACAATTTTTATAGTTTTTTATATTTTTATAGTTTATATTTCTATAGTTTATAGGGTTATGTAACCACTAGCATAATCTCATTTTAGAACTTTTTTCCATCACCCTCAAAATTTTCCCCAACCCCATTTGCAAATAATTCCTACCTAGGCCCCAATTGAATCATACTATAGTCTGTTGTGTCTGGCTTATTTCACTTGGCATGTGGTTTTTGAGATATGTCCATGTTGTAGCATATGTATTTATTTGTTTTAATTCATTTTTACTGATGAATAGTATTCGATTATATGCGTATGCTACATCTTGTTTATTTATTCATCAGTCAAAGGATACAGCAGCTTCTTTAATAACGTCATTCATTTTATTTGATGTTGTTTTGTTATTACACTGATGAGAAAAAAAAAAAAATCAATTCCTGCATAAAACCAGTATCATTGTGGAATTTGCACATTCTCCCCACAGCTGCATATGTTTTTTCCAGGGACTCCAGTTTTCTCCCACATCCCAAAGATATGCATGTTAGGCTTATTAGTGGGTCAAAATGGTCCCAGTGTGAGTATGGGGTCGTGTGTCAGTATGCCCTATGATGGGATGGCATCCTGTCCAGGGCTGGTTCCCACCTTGTGCCTTAAGCTGCGTTAGGTTTTAGCCACCCATGACCCTGAAGTGGAATACCTGGGTTAATAATTATCTTACTGGTTTTTATCAGTCTTTCTTAAATGTATATATAGCTCACATTTATTTCAATATTTAATATAAGAAGGGTTTTGATCTATATTTAGAAGTACCATGATGCTTTTGTGGCCAGAGCTATGCCACAGGAAATTAACACTCTTCTTTATATTGATAAGCCTGTGGTAAAATTGGTTTTGTTATACATAATTTCACTTAAAGTCACAGTTTCCAATAACCTGTTGATGATGTTAAGGAAAGACTTACTGTATTTGAAATTGTTCAATTTTTTAGCTCTTACAAATAACGCTTCTTTGAGCATTCACATACAAACCTTTAAGAGGACATATGTTTTCATTTATCTTAGGTAGATTTGTAAAAGTAGAATTAATAGTAAGTCAAGTAAGACCATTCTAGCAGTGGCAGAAATACTTCTGGTTTTCATAGTCTGTGTGTCTAGTTAAACCTGGCATGCTACCAGAGCAGGGAGGGTGGACAAAGCTCCAGGCAAGAACACCATGCACTTCAATCTACTCTCACCTGTAGCTCAATAGTCTTGATGAATTAAAACTTCTTAGCTTGTTCAGTGTTACTGGTCAATTTCCAGAGTATTGAAATTATTGATTTGACAGTTCTGTCCAACTTTATGGTTGCTTTTGGGGGAGTGCATTTATTGACTTTCTCATTCTATCATGTTAGAAATGAATCTCCAAAATTTATTTTTGAACTTTATATATGTGGCAATATATAAGAGAACTTTATGTATGTTGCAATATATAAATATTGCATTGTCTCTAAAATCATTTTGATACTTAAGATAATGAAGGGAGCTTATTTTGCTTTGTTTTTGTACACACATATATAACAATAGATTAAAATTGTAACTAATTATAAATTTGTTTATTAAAATAGATAAGTTTAAAATGTATGCAAATGCCAATGTCATGCTGTTTTGGTCTCTATAGCATTGTAGTACATTTTGAAATCTAATAATGTGATACCTCCAGCTTTGTTCTTTGGTCAAGATTGTTTTGGCTGTTCTGGGTCTTTAGTGGCTTCATACAAACTTTTGAATTTTTTTTCTACTTCTGGAAGAATTTTGACAGAGATTGCCTTGAATCTTTATATCACTTTGGGTAGTATGGACATTTTAACAATATCAATTCTTGCGATCCATGAACACAGGATATTTTTCCACTTCTTGTGTCATCTTTCACAGATCTTTCACAGGTCTAAATTTCACCTTGATTAAATTTACTCAAGTATTTTTATGCTATTATAAATGAGATTGTTAGCCTAATTTATTTTACAAGTAGTTCATAGAGTATTGTAGTTCACATAGTAGTTCATAGAAACACTACTGATTTTTGATTTTTGTACATTGATTTATTATCTTGCAACTTTACTGAATCTGCTTATCAGCTCTAACAGATTTTTGGTGGAATCTTTAGGATTATCTACATTTAAGACTTGGTCATCAGCAAACAGAGACAATTTCACCTATTTTTTCACATCTGGATAACTTTTATTTATTTATTTGCTTATTTATTTGCCTGATTGCTTGGGCTAGGATTCCCAGGACTATGTTGAACAGAACTCTTCTGAGTGGGCATCCTTGACTTGTGGGCATGCAGACCTTGGAGGAAATGCCTTTAATTTTTCACCATTGAGTATGATGTTAGCTGTGGGCTTTTCATACATGGCCCTTATTGTGTTGAGAAGCATTGCTTCTATACCTAATTTGTTGGGTATTTATTTACTTATTTATTTATTTAGAGATGGAGTCTCACTCGGTTGCCCATGCTGGAGTGCAGTGGCACAATCTTGGCTCACTGCAACCTCTGCCTCCCAGGTTCAAGCGATTCTCCCCACTCCACTTCCCAAGTAGCTCGGATTACAGGTGCACCACCACACCCAGCTAATTTTTGTATTTTTAGTAGAGACAGGGTTTCACCATGTTGGCCAAGCTGGCCTTGAACTCTCAACCTCAGGTGATATGCCTGCCTCAGCCTCCCAAAGTGCTGGATTACAGATGCGAGCCACTGCACTCAGCCTTAATTTGTTGGGGTTTTATCATGAAAGGATGTTGAATTTTGTCATATGCTTTTCTGCATCTACTGAGATGATCATATGGGTTTTGCCTTTATTTTCTTAACATGGTGAATTACATTTATTGATTTGCATGTGTTGAACCAACCTTGTATCCCATTTGGTTGAGGTGAATTATTCTTTTAGTGTACTGCTGAATCGAGTCTGCTAGTATTCTGTTGATAATTTTTGCGTCCACATTCACCAGTGACATTGGCCTGTACTTTTATTTGTGGTGTCTTTGTCTAGCATTAGTATCAGAATAGTGCTGATCTCATAAAATGAGCTTAGAAATATTCTCTATTTTTTAATTTTTTGAAAGATTTTCAGGATTGGTATTAGTTCTTTAATTGTTTGGTAGAATTCAGCCATGAAGCCATCTGGTTTACGGCTTTTCCTTGATAAGATAATTTTAATTACTGATTCTATCTCCTTATTTCTTATGGGTTTGTTCTAATTTCTAATTTCTTTATGATTCAGTCTCAGTAGTTTTATGTTTTTAGAAATTTACTCATTAATTCTATTTTGTCCAATTTGTTGATGTATAATTGTTCATAGTAGTCTGTTATGGTCCCTTGTATTTTATGTTACCAGTTGTGATGTCTCCTCTTTCATTTCTAATTTTGAGTCTTATCTCTTTTTTTAGTCTAGGTAAGGGTTTGTCAATTTTCCTTAGCTTTTTTAAAGAATACATTCTTAATTTCATTGATCTTTCATTTTTCTAGTCTCTATTTTATTTATTTCTGCTCTGATCTTTGTATTTCTTTCCTTATGCTAACTTTCAAAACAGTATGGTATTGGCATAAAGACAGACACATAGACCAATGGAACTGGATAAAGAGCCCAGAAATAAGTTGGCAGATTTACAGTCAGTTGATTTTTCGACACATGGGCCAAGAGCACACAATGAGTAAAGGACAGGCTATTCAATAAATTGTGTTTCGGAAAAACTGGATATTTACATTCAGAAGATACAAATGAATGTTATTTCATCTGTTCTGCAAGAATCAACTCAAAATATGTTAAAGGCTTACATTTAAGACCTGAAATTATAAAACTATTGAAAGAAAACAGGGGAAAAGACCCCACGACACTGACCTGGGCAGTGATTTCTTGAATAAGATCCTAAAGTACAGGCAACAAAGGCAAAAATATCCAAATGGGATTTCATCATACTAAAAAATCTTCAGTATAGCGAGGAAAAGAAATAAATTAAGGAGATTGGAGAAATATTTGCAAACAATACTTCTGATAAGAAACTAAGATCCAAAATATACAAGGAACTCATACTACTCAATAACAAGAAAAAAAGCTATTTTAATATTGGCAAAGGACTTGAATAGCCATTTCTCAAATGAAGACATAATAATGACCAATAAATATATATAAAAAATGCTCATTACTAATATAGGGGAAATGTAAATTAAAACCAACTGAGATATCATCTCACACCTGTTACATTGGCTATTATAAAAAAAAGAAAGTTAATAACTCTTGTTGAGAATGTGGAGAAAGGGGAACCCTTATACCATGTTGGTGGTATTGTAAATTAGTACAGTGATTTTGCAAAACAGTATGAAATTTCCTCAAAAAACTAAAAATAGAATTACTATATGATCCAGTAATCCTCTTTCTGGATATATATCTAGAGGAACTGTAATCAGTGTGCTGGAGAGCTGTCTGCACTCTCATGTTCATTGCAACATTATTCTCAATGGTCAAGATATGAGAAGATAGGATGTGTAGGTGCCAGGGGAAAATCGTGGTTCTCTAGGGCACTACAGAAATTGGGTCTTGGGCTGGGTGGCATCTAACAGTCATGGATAATGCTTGCTTTTCCAGTTGATGTGGCCATGTGATTCCAAGCGTCATGTTGCTTTGTGGCAGGATTGTTGTGTGACTTGTTTTTAAAAGAAATGGAAACTATTTGTGGGCTGTAGGAAACTTTCTGATGCCTCAGGATTGTGTCAGTAGTACCCATCAGGAGGGTCTACAACTAGAAACACTTGTTCCTGTTTGCTTCCCCTTTCTTTGTTCAGCATGCTTGTCAAGTTGCCCTGCTTGGAGTTGTCTGTCACGCACAAGTGTCCTGTAGTCATAGCTAGAAGGGTGGGAGTCTCCTGCTGATGAGTGATAGCTTAAGCTTGGGGAGAAGGTCTTTTCCACTGCCTAGCTAAGCAGTCTGGGAAGAGCATTGGGATAATTTCTGTGTGTGTGGGTAGTCAGCAAGATTGAGACTTAGTTAAGATTGCCCTCGAAACCTCCTTAATGTTTATTAGCTTCTAACTAGTGTTAAAGTCCACTGCCAGAATTTGGAGATGTGAGTTCTTCTTTTCATGGCTTTTATTCTCTATGATAATAAGCTTCCTAATAAATCTCTGCCAGATATAAACCTAAATCTTCATCAACAGATGAATGGATTTTTAAAATATTCTGTAAGTAGACACTGGAATAATATTTAGCCTTTCAAAGACAGAAAATTCTGTCATTTGCAATAACATGAATAAAACTGGAGGACATTATGTTATGTAAAATAAGCCAGTCACAAAGAGACAAATACTATATGATTTCATTTATATGTGGTATGGAAAAAAACTAAACTCACAGGGAGTAGAATGGTTGTTACCAAAGGATGGAGGCAGGGGTTAATTGAGGAAAAAGGAGATGTTAGTCAAGGTATAAAGTTTCAGTTAGGTAGGAGGAATAAATTCTGGTGTTCTATTGCATAGCATGATGACTATAGTTGATATACAATTATTGTCAGTTAACTATAAAACTTTTAAAAATCTATGCAAATGATAGATCATATTTTATAGGATAAATATCTTGTTGTTACTAAGTTGTTCACCCTGTGTATTTCATACAGTCACTAAGCCTTTATAAAACCCAAAGACCATTAATTTTAACCAGCTTTTTTTTTTTTTTTTTTTTTTTTGAGACACAGTCTTGCTCTGTCGCCCAGGCTGGAGTGAAGTGGCGCGATCTCTGCTCACTGCAAGCTCTGCCTCCTGGGTTCACGCCATTCTCCTGCCTCAGCCTCTCCGAGTAGCTGGGACTACAGGCACCTGCCACTACACCCGGCTAATTTTTTTGTATTTTTTAGTAGAGACAGGGTTTCATCGTGTTAGCCAGGATAGTCTCGATCTCCTGACCTTGTGATCTGCCCGCCTCGGCCTCCCAAAGTGCTGGGATTGCAGGTGTGAGCCACCGCGCCTGGCCTATTTTAACCAGCTTTTAACTTGTCTACTAGGGCTTTGTTTTGTTTTGTTTTTGAAGTACAACCTTGTCTCAGTATTATATGTCACTAAAATGAACGTTTTCTGCTGGTTGTATTTTAAAAATACATCATTCCTAATGTGGTCACGGTGAAAAATAAGTTTAAGATGCCAATGTCAGTCTAGCACTTACTGGCCATAAACTGTGAAATAGAAGTTTGGAAACCAATAAATAATAGATATTTGAGTCAAGGTCAGTAAGGTATATTAGCAAAGAGTAGATCTCAATACATGTCAGATTGCCCCAGTGGGAATCTTAGAATTGTTTCCCAGTGGTAGAAAAAAAAAAAAAACTTAAGGGAGATGAAATCTCTTGAGGAGAGATTTAATCACAGATTTAATGTAATAAGCATGTGGAAAGAAGATTTTAGACTATGAATTGCAGATTAAACTTTAAAAACAAACAAAGATTAAACATATAAAAATACATTACCAGAAACTTTATTCGTGAGTAAAACTGTGAGGAACATTCTTCTATAACCATGGATAAAGTACCATGATGAGCTCACTGCTGAGCATGGTGGGGAGTGTAGGGTGAGGATGAGGAAAGATTTTGTTTGTCTAATCACAGAATGTAAGCGTTAATCCTAGGCATCATCAGAGGCTATATTACAAAGGAAAAGTATTTTTCTATATAAACATTATGTTTCTAAACAGAACATTGTATTTAAAATTTAACAAAATAAACTGTACTATTAAATAAGAGTCCCGTAAGAAAATACAAATATACATACCAAGGGTCATGAGGAGAGAAATGAGTGCAGTCATAGGACTTAGATTTCTAAGTTTCCATGGTGGGCTTGGAGAAGAATGAGGACACCTATTACATTATACTGGGTTTGAAAGTTGTGTGCCTTTGATGTTTGAGCTCAGACTGAATTAAGAGCAATGCATAGGTTTTCCTACTTCTGTTCCATGCTCACAAGCTTCTTGTACATGAAATGCCCATTTCCTAAATTCTATCGTTTTATATCCCTCAATTCAAATGTGATCTTTGTAAAATTTAAAGTGCTAGCCTAAAAGAATCCCTTTAATTCATCTCATCTTCTCTCTCCTTTTCAGTTTTATCTCCTATTATTTTGATACACAAACCTTGCGATCCAGTCTAATTCAACCACTTGATATTTCTCAAATACTTTGTCCTCCCTGTCCACAAGCCAGGCCCGCTGAATAGAGTTTTCTTCCTCCACTTTTTGCTGGTTCTCTAGCCCTTGAAATTCTTTCAATATCTTTAAGATCTAAATCCATGGGTGTATTAGTCCGTTCAGATGCTGCTAATAAAGACATACCTGAGAATGGATAATTTATGAAGGAAAGAGGTTTAATTGACTCACAGTTCCACATAGCTGGGGAGGCCTCACAATCACAACAGAAGGCAACTAAGGAGCACAGTCATGTCTCACATGATGGCAGGCAAGAGAGCTTGTGTACGGGAATTCCCATGTATAAAATCATCTGATCTTATGAGACTTATTCAATCACTACCACAATAATAGTGTGGAAGAAACCACCCCCATACTGTTCTTTTATCAGTTATCACCATCTGGTCCCACCCTTGACGTGGGGATTATTACAATTCAAGGTGAGATTTGAATGGAACACAACCAAACCATATCAGCTGGTAAATTCTGTTCATAAAAATCTCACTCAGGGTTTAAATCATGAGGGAAATAAGGTGATATTTTGCATTGAAAAAAAATGAAATTCATCAAGAATATTTAAATAAGAGCAAAACTAGATGTGTTTAATTTAAAATATAAAGTGAGTCAAATAAAACTTTCTTCTGTTCAGTGACCTCCCCAACCATATCTAAGTAAAATTTATTAATATTGTTGAATGTCTACTACATGCTGATGCTATGTCTTAAGCATTGAGGTTAGAGCAGTTAAGAAGACACGCACAGTTGTGCTATCATGAGGTTTAAATTCTAATCAAGGAAGATCCAGTCAACAGACAAATAAATACGTATAATCAAGTATGTTATAATTTTAGTTATTGGAATGTGATATGAGAAAATAAGTGGGTAATGGTTCGTAACGTAAGAGAGTAATATGATTGAGAGAAACTCAGACACAGGACAGATAAAGAATATAATTTAAATAATATGGTCAGCTCAGCCACACTAAAGAGATAGTATTTGAATCAAGGCATTAATGATGAAGATAAGCCAGACACGTTAAAACTGGTGGTGGAAGTAGAGATGGAACACTTTCTAGCAGAGGTTACAGCAGTTGCAAAGGCCCTGACATGGGAACTGAATTGGCCTATGTGAGTCTCAAAGAAAAGACTTACTATTGTAACATAACATATGGGAAAAGTAGTCGAAAATAAATCCAGAGAAAGAGGGGAAACCACATCTCATAAAATGTGCTCTATATGGTCAAAAACATATGGGTAGATGTGGATGTCATTATTTAACACTATGAAAACAAATTTTCATTATTTTTGGTTGATAGAGTGTCTTTCCATATCTTGAGTCCTTCTATCACCTTGCAAATCAGTTATGGCTTTTACTGGTCTCTATATTATTCATGCAGTCTTTTAGGTTATTTAGCAGATAATCCACTTGAGGCTGAGGATCATATTACTTATTTTTGTATTCTTGAAACATCTACTTTGGTATTTTGGTGGGGTAATAGTAATTATTATTATCATGGTAAGTATCCTGAAGCTGCACAAAATACAACAAATAAAAGTAATCTGAAGTGAATTTTGGTTGAATCAATTGACATTATTTAATATTTATTAGCAAGTAGTCATTCAGTGAATAGTTCTCCTGATGTTATTTGTGATCATTAGTTTATATTACAGTATAGTGGAGATTCTCATAAATGACCCAAGTGAAACAGTATCTAAGGACATGTTAGATTTATTGGAGGAGAGGACTCTATCTTATCAAACTCCACTAGTATACTTTAGACAGTAAAGACATTCTAATGAAGTTAGTAAACCCAAATGGAAACCTTCCACATGTTGCAACTTCTGTAAGTTAATTAAAGGAAATTCAGGGTAGTCAATAACAAAGATGTAATATGTCGGATCTGAAGAACTACAAGGACACTCAATTATTGAATTTCAAGGACCTGCTTGCATTTCAGGGATGACATAAATCAATTATGTGGGAAAGAATCTTTATAGCCCTTGTTGTTACTACTCTTCAGTTTTCTTGTCTCAGTCCCCACAATATGTTGATGTGAGAGTATCCTTCAAAGACCATGAAACTATTATTTGAAAAGTTCTACGAAAAGGTGAAAAAAGCTAACAGAGTTACATATGATAGAGACTAACTTAAATATAATCAATAAATGTAGAAAAAAAATAAGAAGAAAGCAATGGCACCTTTTTCCTCCAGTCTTATAAATGTGATTGACATTTACAAAAGTCTCTGTAAGTATAGATTTCAGCTACAGAAGTCTCTGTAAGTATGGATTTTAGCTAGTTGTAAATAGTGTTTTATTTCTTGCAGGTTCATAAAACTTTGCTGTTTGGGTCAATGTGAATAATGCAAAATAAATCACATTAGGAGTTCATGATAATTAACTCCTAAGCCAACTAAAGAAAATCTACATCCTAAAGTTTAAATGAACCTGTGAATCAAAAATTGATTTTATTCTTTTTGGAAAACTTGTTTCAAATAGTTTTAATTTAATGATCTTTAGCACATAACTACAAAATATGGATTAATTTTTTCCAAACAAACTTTAAGATATTTGATGAGTACTAGCTAATTAAATGTTTGAAAAACCAAAGTCAATAAATACATTTAAAAATAAAAATAAAATAAATAAGTTAAGTGACCCTGCTTTCTTATGTTAAATAAAATGGTTTCTTCACAATGACATATAGCTTCTCAAACTAATACAAAATGATAGCAAACCCTCTCTTTAGTTTTATTGGTGCCCCTTTCTCTGTCCAAAAGTATCCTAATATTAGGCCACCATCAGTTACTAGTGAAAATTAACTTTTTGAAACACTTTGGAAAATGTTAAAAGAAATTAATAACAAATATGCTTTTCTATATGTTTATTTTGCACTAAATGAAGTAAATAACATTCCTTTCTAAATTACAAAAGCCTGCCACAATGTTAAGTGCTTTAAGGAAACATGTCTTTATTTCTAAATATTTATTTTTTCTTAAAGTCTTATGTAGTCAAGCTTTTTCTTCCTGTTTACTAGTTTATTTATTTTTTGTAAACTTAAATATATAAGCATAGTTATACAATCATAGGATTGGACAGACTGTTTTCATCAAATGTCTATTGTCCTTTTGTAAAGTTTTCTTACCCCTTTAAGAATCTGATGAAAGCTGCGTAGACTGTCTTCATGATAATGCACTAGGGCCCCCTCCCACAAACTTCTGTATACAGTTTCAAAGGGTTTAGGACCTTTGATTTTGTTAATTCCCCTGTCTGATATACAAAGAAAAACTGTTTTGAACCATGGTCTTAAAACTCTTAAGAAAAGGTATTCCATAACAGCATTTAGTAATGCATTCCAAATGGTTCAAAACCTTTCTTAATCAGTACCATATCTCAGAAGAGATCAGACCTTATAAGTCAATGCAGACAAAAAACAATTGTCCACTTTTCTCTGTTCTTGAGTAGAAACGAACAGGTACAATGACAGTACAGTAACTAAAAGTAAAAATCCCCAACCCAGTTTTTCTTTGTTCCACTTTCAGCTGAATGAAACTTTCCTTCTGAACTATTGACAAACTGATCAACATGAAAATTGCATGGTGAAAGTTTCATTTCTCAACTGAATTTCATATTGTGGTGATTCATAAAACAAACATTTGTGTTCAAAATTCCCTTTCATACATTCAGAAGGATCTGGAGGTAATTTCTGAGACTCTAGATTATATGGAACTGAAGGTTGAAAGCAATGATTTTTTTCAACAGATTTGAATATTTGCTCACTGTCAATATTTCCAACATCTCATCTAACCACCTTTCTACACGATTTTCGTTGCTTCTATCTGAAATGTGAATGCAAAGCAGACTTGACTCACCATGCATTGAACGTTTTTCTTTACACTTAGAGGCCTTTCAGCAACAGAAATTTAACAAATAGTTATTTGTTTACACACAGCTCACTTCTCAACATCATTTATTAGATTTTTACTCTATGCAAATTACAAGTTTCTCTAACATTTTCCAATCTCTTCATTTTTTATTGTTGGTTTTAAAACTCACAAATTCCTCTCTAGATCTCCAACATTTAGAGTTAGTTTTCTTATTGTCCTAGAGAGCACAATAAGAAAAGACTCAGCTATCCTTTCTATTATAGGCAAATATATAAGTGAGGATAAACTTGATGTATAAAAAGTGAATGAATATATGCCATTGCAATATGCTATTAGGATCATATGTAACATCAGTATCTTTATTTGATATAAAATATTCTAGTTGTTTCTTTATGCAACGCATTCATGCCATTCTATTAACATTCTAAGCGATTCTACTTAAATAATATATTTTTAAAAAGTTTTAAATATTTTTGTAACTTTAATAAAAGTTTAATTCTCATGCTAAACACCTTTTTGAGAATGACAGGATGATGATTCATAGGCAATGTGACACATAGAGGCTGGCATTTCATTTTTTACATACAGTACTACTTACAGTAATTTGAGAATATTCATGTCACTTGGTCATATTTTAACACATGACATACATTTGAATTTTGTACTTATGTACTTCTAGTTCTAAAGCTTTGTTGAAGTGCTCATTTAATGACTACTTGAAGTTTCATTGGAGATTCTAATTATCTTTGTCTGTAAGGAAATAAATGGATGGGGAATGATGAACATGAGTGATGAAGAAAACATTATTCTCTTTTTAAACCATAAAGTACTGAAATTCCAATTAAAGATGACTGTTTAGTCACCCATGTCCAATCTCTTTGCCTCACATAGCACACTAAAATAATAGCTAAAAAACCAGAATGAGATTTAAATCTACAAGGAAAGGATAGGATGCAGACTACAGCCTAGGAAATGTATGAGTATTTTTTCCTTTTGTGAGGACTGAAAATTGATTGAAGTATGACTAGTTTCTGGAAGATCAATATTTACCAATAAATTATATAAAATTTTGAAAAGAGTAAAAGTAATTAAATATAAAGCCTTGTTTGGAAGAAAGCATAGAATCCCCTGAACAGTAAGTGCAGAACCCACAACTAAAAACACTGGCTGGAGATGTCAAGAAGAATTAGACATTTGGAAACCTTGTAGCTACCACCATGAGCTTGATATGCACTCAATATTTAATTTATTCTGATGATATCAATGGTGATATTAATATGAGTTTTCAGCTATATCATGAATTATGGCAACATTTAGAATATGTACATAATTCGATGAATCAACATTTTCCAAAATAATACATGGGTATAGAATCAATTCAAAGGACAAGATGGACCAATGAATTTAAAGTAATAGAGTAAGAATGTTCCTTGTTACGGTTTCAGTTTCCACATTGCAACTAACCATGAAGAAAATATAAAGACTGAGTCAAGATTTAGTAACAAAGGAGATTTTCCATGATTATATGAAAACTGTATATCTTTGTGAAGTTGAATTTATTTAACATAGTTCAAGCTAGACATTTTTCAACAGAATATATACCAAAGTAGATATGACAATATATTAAACTGGACATTAAAGTGATTTGCAAAAATATAAAATACTACTTTTCTCATTAAATATTTGTGGATTTGTAACACAGGATTATGTTTCATAAAAATATACCTATATTAAATTGTAATAGGTTATAATTGCTATTTAAAAAGACATGGTGTATGAATATGTTAAATATTCATTGGTTTTGATTTTAATATAACTATCAAAATATGCATCCTCATATGAGCAAAAGCTCTTTGGGACCTCAATAATTTCTAATAGTTTGAGAGTCTTGAGACCAGAAAGTTTGAGAACTGTTGTATTGGAACAACTAAGTAAGTTTACCATGACACACAGGTGCTGAATTTATTCCATCACTTAAAAATCCATATTTTTTCCACACCAGCAAGATATTCTCCCTTAATGTCTATTTTTAGCCAGAGTTTTGGGGCTAATGGTGAGGTTAACTTTTCATATGTTAGGACAGGAGCTTATTCTGATAAATTGAGAGAGTAGTATATTAGTCTGTTCTCTGTCATACTGTTAATAAAGACATACCCAAGACTGGGTAATTTATAAAGGAAAGAGGTTTAATTGACTCACAGTTCAGAATGGATGGGGAGGCCTCAGGAAACTTATAGTCATGATAGTGAGTGAGAATTCACAAGATCTGAGAGTTTTAAAAGGAGCTTTTTCCCTCTTTGCTCAGCCCTTCTCCTTGCTGCTGCCATGTGAAAAAGGACATGTTTGCTTTCTCTTCTGCCATGACTTTCATATTATTACAAGTTAGTATGAAAGAGTCTTGAGACTTTACTATACGTATCTAGAAATATCCTTGGTATCATTAAACACATTACATGTTATCTGCTAAAAATTTATAGCAGAGAAATTATAAAAAGAATCACAGGTAAGGTAGCAGTGATCATCTCCATAGCTGGATATGTCTCCCTGTTTTTTACTTTCTCAAAATTATACTTCTTCAGTCAGGCCCCTATTTCTAATTAAGTTAACTCTATCCTTTCTTGATTCTTTTCTTTTTCTCAGGTTCCAGAGTCCCCAAACCTTGTTAAACCAAACGCTAAGGATATAATAAAAATTAATATAACCAATTTTTATAATATCAGTGATATGGTTTGAATATTTGTTCCCCCCAATCTCATATTGAAATGTAATCACCAACATCAGAGGAGGGACCCAGTGGAAGGTGGTAGGATCATGGGGGGTGGATCCCTAATGAATTGGTGATAAGTGAGTACTTGCTCAGCTAGTTCACATGAGATCTGGTTGTTTAAAAGTCTGCGACCTCCCCACCCTCGCTGTCTTGTTTCCTGCTCTCACCATGTGATGTGCCTTCCCCCACTTTGCCTTCCACCATGATTGTAAGTTTCCTGTGGCCCTCACCAGAAGCCAAGGAGATGTTGATGCCATGCTTGTATAGCCTGCAGAGCCATGAGCCAATTAAATCTCTTTTCTTTATAAATTTACCAAGTTGCAGGTATTCATTTATACTGTAAACCAAAAGGTATCTGAGACAGGTCTCAATCAATTTAGAATTTTATTTTACCAAGGTTAAAGACATGCCCATCACACAGCCTCAGAAGGTCCTAAGAACATGTGCCCAAGGTGGTTGGGTCACAGTTTGATTTTTTACATTTTAAGGCGACAGAAGTTACAGGCAGACATCAATCAATACATGTTAGGTATACATTGGTTTGGTCAGGAAAGGTGTGACAGCTAGAAAAGGGGATTGGATTCCCTGTCATAGGTGGATTCAAAGATTTCCTGACTGGCAATTGATTGAAAAAGGTGAGTTTTGCCTAAAGAGTTGAAGTCAGTAGAAAGAAATAATGCTTGAGGTTAAGATAAGGGAGACTGTGGAAGCCAAGGTTCTTGTTAGGCAGATGAAGCCTCCAGGTGGCAGTCTTCAGAGACACTGGATGGTAACTGTCTTCTTACCAGATCTTAAAAGGTGCTAGACGCTCCTGAAAATACCTACTAAGGGAAGAAGATTCTCTACAGAAAGTAAATTTACCTCACAAGAGACAGCTTTGCAGGGCCATTTTAAAATATGTCAAAGTAATATATTTTGGGTTAAAATACTTGCATTTCTTTCAAGGCCTGTCTTCTGTCATGTAATGCTATACTAGAGTCAAATTGGTATCTTATTGCTACAAAGAGTTTGTTTTGTCAGTCTTAAGATCTCTGTTTTAATGCTAATGTCGGTCAGTTGTACCTGAATTCCAAAGGGAGGAGAATATAATGAGGCATGTCCCAGCTGTCTTCTCATCATGGACTGAATTAGTTTTTCGGGTTTATTTTGGAATGTCCTTGGTTGAGAGGAGGGGTCCATTCAGTCAGTTAGGGGTCTGAGAAATTTATCTTTGGTTTACAATAGTAATGCAAAAAAAGGCCTGAAACAACTAGACCTAAGCCTCTCCCATTTGGGTTTGCTTTTCCTGACACAATGCACTGTATTAAATTGCTTTTTTCCGAGTGAGAAGAGTAATTATCTTTCTCATATCATAAAATATATGATTTTAGAATAAATGGGGTCTCTTGACATTTTTAAGATAATGTGTGACATCACATATGTCTTTTATAAAGAAAATTGGCAGCATTTAGAAGAGAGAAAGACTGGAGACAAACTTGTTAGGAAGCTATTGCAATAAATATGTAGAGTAAGATTACGAATTTAAGTGTTACTAGTCAGCTTGAAGCAAAGCAGACAGAATAAAGAAATATTCAAGAGAAAGAAATACCACAATTTATTATAAGTAATTACAGATGAAATCAGGGAGAACTCAGAGATGACCTAAGTATTATGTTCACTTACTGGAAGGAGAAAAAATTGCTCTACTCAAGATAATGCCTACAAGCAAAAAACTTGTATAGATAGTAAAAATTACTTTGAAAATGTTGATTTGTGGTGCCAGTGAAACAATGAAATGAAGATATCAAAGTAGCATTTAGAAACCTCTAGTCTGGCATTTAAGAGAAAGGCCAGAGCTTGGAAAGAGAATTGAAAATCACATATTACAGGCGGAAGCAGAAGCCAATAAAAAGGATGAAACCAACTAGCAGATGCAGAGAATAAGCTGCAGAAGCATTCCAGGGTAGAAAACAATGGCTTATTCTTTCAAATGTTTGGGGTAAGTTAAATAGGATAAAGAACTATTTTTAAATACAAAAGGACTTTGTTTATCTCATCTATCCAATTATCTAAATCAAAAAATAATTAGGAAGATTATAGCATATCAACTCCATGGACCATAATTAAATCATAAAATGATTACATACTCTATCTCGATCTATAAGAAAATATTTATAATACTAAACTAAATATACAAATAAAAAATATAAGAGGCATTATTATTACACTAGTATAAAATGTCAGCATGTAGATAACTATTGGGAAGGTGGTGAAGAGAGTTTTTTAAATATGGACTTGATCAGATTTTCTGGATTTGAAACAAACTCCAACAGTATTTTTTTACTTTTGCAGGTTTACCCCCACTAATTATCTAAGACTCAGTTTTCACATTTGTAAATTAAGTATAATAATAAATTTTTTTTCTGCTTGTGGAGAGGACTGGATTGAATACGATAATACATAACTTGACACATAACTGGCACTCAGTATCTAATAGACCTAATTATTAATTTTGATTACTGGGAAAAACAGAGAAAAGCAAAAGTAGTTGCTATTTGGAAATGGTGATTTTTTAAGGAGACTAGACACAGTAGTCAGTCTCTATTATGTCATTTCTGCACATGGCACAAGTTACTTATTCTCTCTAGGCAAATAACAATAACACTTATTCAACAGATTTGTTATAAAAATTGAGTAAGTTAAAACCTAAAATAGTGCTTGGCATTTATTTAGGACTCAAAATTTTTGTTAATGCTCATAATTTTATGCTAAATATTAAAAAGTCATTGTATTCATTTCTTTGAGTTTTTTTTTTTTTACTTAATGGATAAAAAATACTGTCCTTAAAATGTAAATTTAAAATAGAAAAATACCTAAGGAAGATAAGCTATGTCGATAATCAAAGATAACCCATTTTCCTTTTTCCCAATTTTATTAATTCACATAGAAAACATATGTAATTATTGTATTGTATAATGTTGTGCTGTGACATTTAAACTTATGTTGTGTACATGTTAAAAAATATATAGGAATATCCACTCATCAACTTGGGAGATCACAGATCATTTATTTTCATATTCTTGACATTTTGGATATTTTCATTTCAATGTTTATGAGTTCAATTATAGGAATGTACACCATCTTAGAAATGAGAATGAATACTCAAGAAAAATGCAATCTAGGAGATGTATAATCTTAAGGTCAGGCAATATAAGCTCCTCACAGTTTCCATTGCATTTTTTGGAATTAAAAAAAAGAATGAAACAAGATAAATGTCAGGGGTAACTTCAGGTTTATTCACAACTACATATAATAAACCACTTCCTTCAGAAACTGTAGAGCCTAATTAAGGTGCTAAAAGAGGGAAACAATAAAAAATAAAAATATATCAGTGAATGAACAAAAATAACTCTTAAAAATTACTGTATTGTTAGTTTTTAAAAAATTAGGTACCTTATTGGTGTATTATGTATCTCACATACTTAGCCTTATTTTCACATTAACATGGATCTGATCATCTCCTGAAGAATACAAACAAATGTTACTATGTCAAAACATGAGTTTCCATGTATACCTTTAAAAATTCCAGGTCAGAATTAAAGATACACATTAATTTTCTATTGTAATTGCTAAAACATTGTTATAGTTATTATGACAAAATGACATATTTCATAACAATAGAAACTACTTTTTAGCTTGATAAGGCCAGCAAAAAAAAAGAGGTAAGTACACTGTATTTTACAGTGCATAAGAGCAAGGACCCTAAAGCCACAGCAGAATCTTCAGATTTAACTCTGACACATTAGTTGCAACTTTAGACAAATGCTGTAATCTCTGTAGTCCTTGGTTTTCTGATTTTTAAAATTAAAATAATTATAATTACCTACATTAGTAATTATGTAGTACTCATAATTAGGACCATTATGAGTACTAAATGAATTAATACATCTATAGCACCTAGAAACAGTGGCTAACAAACATTGTATATAAACAGTAAGCATACAATAAGTATCAGCTATTATAAATATATACAAATTTATGCATCTACAGGTCTTAAAGCATATACATTTTTGTGAGTAATTTTTTTCAATAATATACCAATGATATTCCCTTGATAAAAGTTTTCTATAATATTTTAAATTGGGAAATTCCTGAGCTGGCAAAGTTAATGTATGTTTACTAGAAGTTTCTCCCTAGCTGATTATGTGGAAGTTTTGGTATAGGTTAATAAATTAATATTTATTTTCAATTATATTATATTAGTAAATCTATAACATCACTCATCAATAAAGGATTATAAGTCATTTGATGTTTTTTAAGCAATTTGGCAGAAAATGAGGTAGCAGAGATATTTTACTTGGTCAATAAAATATAGCCAAATGTTACATTCTGATTATGATTGCAAAACAACTTTGGGAGAACTTACTTTCTTCTCTACTAACTTAGTAATTGTGTGACCTCATACTACTTATTTTATGTACCTAAGTCTCAGTTTCTAATTTTAAAAAAGTTAAGTAGAATATTTTTCACAGTGTTTTGAAAATGTAACAAGTTGACATATATAGGTCCTTACTAGGATTGTAATATAGCAACATTCAAGTATTTAACTTGTTACTCAGATACAAAATCTAGTCACCATTATGAAGCAAGATACTTCCCTGGCCCTTTTGTAAGTGGGAACTGGAGTACAGGGGTGCTGAACAAAACCAGTCACTTCGGCACTGGCAGCAGTGAGCTCCACTCAGTCGAACCCTCTGTGTTCCACCCCTCATGGGAGGGGGCATGCAGGTGAGTGGGTGCAGGAGCTGGGACAAGTGCTTTTGGGCACCAGCAGGAGCAAAATTCCATGTGGGCCCTGTGATAGCATCTGGGGCAGGGGTAGTCCATGACCCCTGAAGCCCCAAGGGGAGTGTTATCAGTGCTCTTTTAGCTTTGTCATTCATGGATGGCTTAAGTGTTAACAGCTCACTGCAGGGTCAGTGTGACAGCCTTTTGCACCAGTACTCATGGCACTCAACTTCTTGTCTGGCATCCAGGAGGAATGAGTTTGCATGAACGAATTGAAGATGGTAAATGCAGGGAATTTTATTGCTGTTGAAAGTGGCTCTCAGCGTGAAGGGGAGCTGAAAAGGGGACAGAGCGGGAAGGTAATCTTTCCCTGAAGTCTGGCTGTCCTTGGCTAGACTCCTTTTCAAAGCTACACCATCAACCTGTCCGTCTGAAGTCAAGTTGCTTCTCTCTGACGTCTAACCATAGTCTCCGATGTCCAGCTGCTTCCCTCTCTCTGCCAGCTGAGCCTGGAGTTTTTATGGGCACAAAATGGGGGGCAGGGTAGGCAGTGGGTGGTTTTGGAAAAGGCAACATTTGAGCAGGAAAACAAGGATGTAAGTTCTCACCTTGGGCTGTGCTTCCAGGCTTGAGGGTGGGGCTCTCACCAGGGACCCGCCCTCTTCTGTCCAGAATTTCCCTGCCTCCTGTCCCTATCAATTATTTGCTCTTCTCTTTTCCTCAGGACTACTAATTTTGGTTCTATCTTCAAAATATACTGAACTCTACTTTTTTCTATCATTTCGACTACAATGCCTTAGTTTCAAGCCTTCAACATCTATAGGCTGGACTCCCTGTAGGGTTGTCCTGATAGGGCAACTGGTTTCACTCCTGCATCCTAACCCTGCACACAGTATTCTCCACACACTAGCCAAAGAATGCTTTTAACATGTGAGTTAAATTATGTTGCTCTACATCTATGTGCACAACTACGCAAGCACTCCAGTGGTTTGTCACTGCATTTAGAATAGCACCTTTAGTTTTAGATCTGGCTCCTCTCCCACTTGCTCACACCAAACCATTTGCCTTCATCTTCTTGAGGTTTCATGAATAAGTCAAAGCAATTTCCACCTAATGACCTTTGCACTTGCCACTCTTGGCTCAACACAATCAGTATTTCAGCTAATTTAGGCTCTGCCTAAAATGTGTCCATTCTCAATTCCCTTATAGTTTTCTATCATTCTATTCCTTGACATACAATTGTGAGCTAAATGAACACAAGTTATCTGCTTTGAACCAAGTTGTATCCCCACTACCTAGAACAGTGCATGGCATGCAATAGGTAATGTACTAATTAATTAATCAATATTTATTATAATTATATAGAATTCAGAATATACATTTTTTTGATTATAAAATTTTAACTGCTTCTAAATATATAAATTTATGAAAATAAAAATATTTTCCAAGATTATTTTGTCAAGAATCACTTCTCCCCACTCTATTTCAGCAGGTGATATTAAGGAAACTTTTTGACATATTTCCTTTCAAATTAATGCATTTATTTTAAATAACTGAGATAAAGGATTAGTCAAGGTTGTGTCCATAAAGCAGAACTCATTATAGTTATTTGAAACAGGAAGAGATTTGATACAGGGAATTAGATGCTTACAAAATCAGTGAGTAATAGACACATTAAGCTATAGAAGTCACTGTTAGCTCACATTTGCTGCTTCCTTCCAAAGTATCAGATAGTTTCAGGAATCACAGGCAACTTCTAAGGATGATCACATTTGCTTATAGCAAAGTGGTGAGTGATTAAAATGAAAACACCTAGAATTACTGCAAAGATATCATGTTTATCCCAGTCCATGCCTGTCCACTATGTTGGAAGAAAGACAATATGCCCTAAAATTTTCTCTCTCAGTCTTCCTCAACATAATACATCTTATTTTTTCCAGTTTTCGACACCAATAATTTAGATAACATTATTAGCCTTTAATCTCTCTCCCCCAATTGTAATCATACTCAAAGAACTGTTTATTATTTTAATTCCAAAATGATTTAAAAAGTCCCTCTCGTTTCTATCTTTACTTGTAGCAACTCATCTCACTTCGATTGATGCAACAGTCTACATTCTTGCTCCTCTCCAATGTATT
Source organism: Homo sapiens (assembly GCF_000001405.40). NCBI lineage: Eukaryota > Metazoa > Chordata > Mammalia > Primates > Hominidae > Homo > Homo sapiens. The sequence continues at coordinate 83,949,261 of NC_000012.12, read as the reverse complement.
CTGCATATAAACATCATCACTTTTTGAAATAATTGAAATGGGAGGTATTTCTATGACACTTTGGACAATATTAAAATTGTGTACCATAAGATGTAGCAATTGACTATATAAGGTGAATAAAAGTTTTAAAGCAAAAGAAGTGTGGTTTTACTCACTCTAGAGGTAGATTGGATAAATATATCAAACAAGCAAGTTGAGTTGTGTGTCTGGATCACTGGCCAGGAATTGAAAAAATAAAAAAAAAGGAATAGGGAGTAAGCAGAATTGTGTCTTCTAGAACGTCTGACATAATGATGATATCCTTTCTAATACACCAAGTTCTTAAATAATGTGTATCATATTGAAAGTAAGATTCAGTGATTATTTAAAGGCAGTCAAAGGTGAGGAAAAAAGCAACAGCAGAAGGTCATTTATAAAAACGAAAAAAAAAACAAACCACAAGATACAGATGGTAAGCCTCTTTTTAAAACTGAGTTAGATACCAGAGAAAAGTCTAAAACTTCATGCAGTTATTCTAAACTTGAGCACTTATTCATGGTAATAAATTCTCACCAATCTTTACCAGTTGAATTTTGGAAATCTGCTGTCATAACTCTCTCTCTCTCTCTCTCTCTCTCACACACACACACACACACACACACACACAAACACATCCAGCAAGCTCTAAAATCCTAAGACAAATTAATTAAGAAAAATTACCGAGAACTATTTATTTTTCCCCAATGCCAGTATAGTATTATTTGCCTGGTTAGATGTCTGTATACTTCCTTAGATATTTGATCAGGAATATTAGCACTCTAGGTAATGTGTAGTTTTTAAGAATACTTTCCATATAATATTACACACAAAGCCAAAGTGATATGAAAGTTTTATTTGTTACCAAAAACATGCTGACCCAAATGTAATTGTAGTACAATTTTATTTTCTTGTGTTAAACCAGTCTTTTTGCATTTTCTTTTTTTATTTTACAAAATAAAATTCATCTGCAAATGCTCCACTTAAGGTCAAAACCTGTCATTTTTTTCTCAATCCTTTGTCTTTAATATGTTATTTAAAGAAACCAGACATTCAACGTTAGCATATCAAATGCAACCAGCTAGGACCCAGGTATAGGCTCACCCTTTCATAGTCCCCAATTCTCCTATTTTATTTAACTAGAAACATTTGCACACAGATAATGATAGAAAACTGACAAATGTTAACTGACAAGCACCTGGTACTTATTAGACAAGATCTACAACTAATCATAAAGCATATGCCTTCATAGCTATAAAGTTCAATACAAAGACACATTAAAATACTTTTCAAATATAGGAGATAAAATATTAATTGTGATGGAACTATAATTTTAAAATGTTCTAAAAACTAAAATTTAATGATATTCTTGGTTTATTTTCCCTTCTTCCCCTAAGAACAACATCCTCATGTCACCAGGACCAATGGCTGTCTTTATTTCACCAGCTTCGCTAACACTCTCTTCAGAAATTATGACTAATTATTGCAACCAACCAATCTTCACCCAACCCAATCTAGCAACAAATCACTTACCTTTCTATATTGAGATTATTATCATTGAATGTTAAAAAGTTCTTCTCTCTAATAAGAAACAACTCAATTGAAATAACACCATGATTTTTAAAAGCCTTTATACTCAATCAGAGATTCACCCATTTTAGTAATTTACAAGGAGTTAAATAGTAGTAACCTGATCTATTGGTTTAAGAGTAATCAATACTGGCGAAGGAACTGGGCTGAGAGCAGTAAAACATTGATTTCTCAATAATATCTAATCTACATACTTGTGGAACATCTGCTCTCTTGAAGTTCTGCTTTTTCAAATGAATTCACACCTTATGCTTTAAATTTTTTTAGACTTATTATGATTGTGGGTCAATGCAGCAGAATTTCAGTCAGAGGACATTTAAAATTATATTCAGCAATCTGAATTGAAACAAAAATGGGACAATTTTATCCACAAAAGAGGGAAGGGGAAGATAAATTTTCTCTGCCCTAATTACATACAAAAACACTCCTATATATGGAACTCTTAAAATATTTTTTATTTGGCTTCTTCTAAGAGATGACATTTTAGTCAGTTACAGATAATATTTAGAAATTGGCCCGCTAAAAGTTAAGACTTCCTGATAGTCACTAGGTAATTCTAAAATCTACAAACAAAATTACCCAATATCTGTGAACAGTATACCCTCCAACTCCATGCTTTAACTCAATGAAATACTGTGTGGGGAGGACAGTCTCGCACACCTCACCTTCTGAAAAACCCAAGTAAACTGCTGTTATTAGTCAGCTTGAGTTGCCATAAAAACAAAAAACAAACAAACAAAACAGCACAGACTGGGTGACTTAAAAAATCAAAATTTATTTTCTCACAGTTCTGGAATTTAAAGGTTCAAGATTAGGGTGCCAGTATTTTCAGTTTCTGGTGAGGCCTCTTCTCTTGGCCATCTTGCTATGTGCTAACATGAACTCTTCTTGCCTGCTTGTTGTGGGTGGGGAAACTGAGAGCTCTACGGTGTCTCTTCTTATAAGGACACTAACCCTGTGGAATCATTTTACCTCAATTACTTCCTTAGAGGCCCCATTTGTAAATACAGCAAGACTAGGCTTTAACATACACATTTCAAGTGGTGGAGAACAAAAACATTCAGTCCCATAAAATGTATGTCATGAGATATGAGGGAAATAATGAAAGGGAAGAAGAAAATTCAGGAGTTCTGTTTAAAATATTATTTAAAGTAGTGCATGCTTTCAAATGTAAATATAATACAGTCAATTATTAACATAATAAAGAAGTTCTAGAAAATAACATGTAAACTTTAAAATTATATGGAAAAGTTTTTACTTTAGCAAACCTTGTCTGCCAAATATTAATATAACATACTTACAACGGAATTAATTTCAGCAAAAACACTTTTCAATTTAAACAGAAGAATGAAGCATTAAGAAATATTGAATTCTGTACTAGTTGTTTAAGTAACACAAGTTATCAAAATAAAATCACAACAGAATGAAAGAATGGATTTTTAAAATTTATTTATACAGCAATGTCAGCAGCAGTCTTCAATTCATGTGAAGGTTAGATACAGGTTATTATGAATCATGCTTGTGCAGTTTCATGAGTAAAATGACCTTTGACCTTTACATTTCCAGATGTTACTATTTGCTGTTTAATAGTCAAAACAGCTCTAACTCACACTGAGAACTGGCAGGAATTCATAGCACAGTAGACCAGGCTATTTATTTTACATATCAACAGAATTTGGGTGTGTCCTCAGTTAGTATACTCTCATAAATCATTATTATATATAATGCCTTCTAAGGATTATTTAAATTAATGGCTGTGTGTGTTTTTCTTTAACCTCATGTTACTATAAATTAATTGTTACAGCTACATTAGCTAAAAATACAATTTCATTCATTTCATTCAAGAAAGACTGAGAAACAGTTAACACTAATTCCTCTACCTTTCCAGGTATCAGGAGAAAAGTTCTGGGGACTCTTTCAATGCAGACATAAAACAGAATTTAGAATTGGTGCTAAGTAAATGTGAGGAAGCACACATAATCTTAACTAGAAAAATGTATTTGAAATAAAAGAATTATCACTAGCATTTTTAGTGTAAGAAATTACATTCCTAAAATTAGCATGGAGGTTATCATTAAGAATTTTGTATTTGTTTGCTAAGATAGTTATCTAGGAATTTAATTTGGTTAATTTTATTCGTAAATGGGGAAAATTCTTTACTTCTCTAATATCTAGCAGAATCTTTCATTCTCAACAACCTTAGATTGAAGTCACAAAATCACGGAGGAAAAGAAGAAATTAATCACTACCACATATTAGTAGATTGTATGTATTTAATACATAAGCCATGGGAAAAAAATCTCAAAATCATTCCCATATGTAAAATTTACAGTACATATATATTCACTGCATAAGAATATACTTACACAGTTTTTAAATTCTATAGGCAATGTATTTGTAAGTTTAATAAAAATGTTTGGCCGGGCGCGGTGGCTCACGCCTGTAATCCCAGCACTTTGGGAGGCCGAGGCGGGCGGATCACGAGGTCAGGAGATCGAGACCATCCCGGCTAAAACGGTGAAACCCCGTCTCTACTAAAAATACAAAAAATTAGCCGGGCGTAGTGGCGGGCGCCTGTAGTCCCAGCTACTTGGGAGGCTGAGGCAGGAGAATGGCGTGAACCCGGGAGGCGGAGCTTGCAGTGAGCCGAGATCCCGCCACTGCACTCCAGCCTGGGCGACAGAGCGAGACTCCGTCTCAAAAAAAAAAAAAAAAAAAAATGTTTAATTACTTCATTTACTTTTATAGAAAAAAACTTTTTCATTTTATTACTACTATGATTTACCTGTAGAGTGAAGAATTGGATAAGACATATAAAAATGTTGTGTAGAGATTTTTGGAAAGTTGAGATATTGTGTTTTGCTTGCAATTATGTGTTCCATGTTGAATATTTTTCTTAATGCTCTCCTTTTCTTCCTTTTTTTTCATTCTTTAAACAGTATTGAGTACATACTTCTGTGGCATTATATCAAACACTTTATGTGGAATCTCTTATTAAGTCTCACCACATGTACAAACACTAACAATCCAGACGTGTTCTCTCTCTTCTTTTAGTATGAAAATAAAAATTTAGAGATTAACTTTCAGCCATGTGAATAGGTGCCAGTTATAAATGAACTCAACTTGTGAGCAATATTGCCTCATGAGTCAATAACATTCCCTCTAAGATAATCAGATTTTGCAGAATGTATGGGTAAATTATTCCAATAAATGGCAGGGAACAAAAAGACCGTTTCTGTAGTTCATAGTAGAATGTATCTTTCAGTTGAGTGTAGTCATTCTCAACTGGGGTCTCTGGACCAGCAACATCAATATCACCTGAGTACTTGTTAGAAATACCAATTCTTGGGCCCCACCCCAGACCTGCTGAATCAGAAACTAGTTGTGGCACACCAATCTGTATTTCAACAAGACTTCCAGGCTATTCTCACTAAATTTTAGAATACATGTCTCTGAATATTTACACTTAATAACCATTTACATTTGTCTCTCACAGTGAGAATTACTCCCTGTTTTAGAAAAGTTTAATTTGAAAGAATTGGCAATAGCTCATCTAAGAAAAACAAATTGAGGAGAAACAAATGTAGAAAAATTAAATACAGCTTTTACATTCTTGAGGAAAGGTCTTGCTCAAAATATTTCTTAGCTATAGTTTGTGTCTTCAAATTTAAATCAATGAGTCTTTCTTCCTTTAGCAGATGAAAAAGATATGCATATTGGGGTAAAGGCAGAAAGGATCAACAACATATGAACCTGGAAGTGGTTGAGGATGGCATGTAACAACAGGAAGCTGATGAGAAACAAGCGGCAACAGAGATTGTACATCCTACTTAGTAAGGAAGCCGAACCATTCCAGGGACTTTCTTATGAAGTCTTATACCTAGTTTATTTTTATTCATTTATTATGTTTCTTATTTTCCTTTCTGCTGCTTATTCTAAATTATTATTTAGCTCATAGGATTCACTTTATTTTAGTCTTATTCTGTAAATACTAGTTTAACCTCTTAGTTGATGATTTTTATTTTATTTAAAATTGTACTTATTTTACCTCAATCATTTTATTTACATTCTTTATTTTACTTTTACTTTTTAGTTTAACATATTCTAGGTATTTCTTATTGTAGAAAAATTCTCTTATTTCTTTTTAATATCTCCCTTTTTAAAATTCATAATCTTTAAAACTATAGAACAATACAAACAAACATTTCTCTATATATACACTCAGCAATTAATTATCTTGCATTAGACTTACACTGACATACTGTAGTATTTGAGCTAAGCTTATTTTTTCAGGGGGAAAAGGACATACAGCATAAAGGATTGCCAGAAGTTTTTCTACGTATGTATAGGCTGGCTCTTGCTCTTACTTTGCCTGGGAGAATCCTTATTTTCTCTTGTTGTATCAGGATAATTATTAATAGCACCCTGAGTTATACTCAGATATGCCCTATTTCTACTACAAATTAAATGAATACCCTTTGGGGAAAAAGTTGAGCTAAGCTTTGTGCTCCACTCTAAAAATGTCTTGACCAACAAAGGTGAAAAATATACTTAATTTCCTCACCATCCTTTTAAAAATTGGAGGACTTTTTGAATACTCTCTATCTCCATTCTCCAATTTAATTATATCATAGTAGTTTGCAATAAATTACTATGTATTTTATTTTTTTTTGTTACTTGTCTCTAGAATCTAAGTACTATGAGTTCAGAAATTTTTCTCTTTATTTGATTCTATGTTCTCAGGAACTATTTCAGTACTTTCGACATAATGGTAATCATATATAAATACATAATTACATATACATTAATTATATATCTAAACATCATACTTTTAAACATTATAATATGGTTATATATGATAATTATATTGATATTAATTATTATATCAGTATTAATATATCAATATAAGACCTATTACTATCATAATTAATATTAATATGACAATATTATTACATAATGTACATTATTATATTAATATATGTTTAAAATGTTCATATATAATTTATGTATATATAATTATGTATATGTTAATATGTACATTATGTATATACACATTAAACATATACAATTATATATAAACAATTTATAATGTTATTACATTATTATAATTAACATGATTTTATATGAGTGTGTATACATATATATATAAAACTGATATTTTTTCTTGCTTAGCTATGATTCTTTCAACTCAGTCCTTCCTTCAATACACTGTTCCCTTCTTCCTGAAACCTCCTTTAATAAAGACCTATTGATGGTAAACACCCTTAATTTATAAAAAATAAAAATACTATAATCATGCCTATTTTGAATAAGTTTGCTATTGGATACTTAATGTTTCTCAAGTACCTTGAATTGCACAAAATTATTTTAACCCAGTACCATGCCTGATTGTTAATGGACATGTGTTGTTTTAGTCAATTGAAAACAATATTTGCTACATTGATACAGAGATACTCTACAGTTGTATGAAGGCCGTAGCCACTAGCCACAAGCCACATTTGGCTATGGGCTACTTGAAATGCAACTAGTCTGAATTGCAGTACGGTATAAAGGCTGAATTTTGAGATCTTAGTACAAAAAAGAAGGTAAAATATCTCATTAATTATTAATACATTAAATACCTATTGAAATGATAATATTTTGGAATATTGGTTAAATAAAATATATCATTAACATTAATTTCACCTATTTATTTTTACTTTTATTTTAAGAGCTTATCACTCAGCATTATATTATACATTTTAATGCAGGAATGTCCTTATTCTTGGAAGAGTAAGGGGCTACTGATAGGCTAGTAGAGTTTGGATGTCTGGCCTTTCCAAATCTCATGTTGAAATTTGATCCCTAGGGTTGAAGGCAGGGCCTGGTGGAAGGGGTAATGAGTGACTTATTGCTCTGAGTTCCTGGGTCCAGATCTGATTGTTAAAAAAAGAACCTGGCACCTTCTCCTCTCTTTCTTTCTCTCTCATCATGTGATGCCTGCTCCCCTCTCCCTTCTGCCGTGAGTGGAAACTTCCATAAGTCCTCACCAGAAGCAGATGCTGGTGCCATGCTTCTTGTATAGCCTGTTAAAACATAAGCCAAATAAATATCTTTCTTTGACAAACACCCAGCTCCAAATATTCTTTTATAGCAAAGCAAACACAAGGACAATGCCAAATAGAGAATAGGAAGTTATTTTGATAATGAAAGTAAACAAATTTGTTGTAAGGACAAACAAAGATGGTGGTTACAATCTACACAGGTAAATCCCTGTCATGGTCTTCTCTCCTCCTGATACTGGGAATGGTTCAGTAGAATGTGAGCATGAAAAAGAAATGATGATTTTAACCAAGTGTTGTAGCAATTAGTTGCTCTTGTATAAAATAAATGTAGCTCTAGCCAGGAAAATAATTCATTTATGCACTGATCCCATAGAGATGTTTGGGAGATAAAATGAATAACAAAGTGACACAAATATACGTTGATTAGACATTCAAAGCAAATATTTAAAAAAAAATAAGAAAAAAACAATTAGGGGGGCGCGGTGGCTCACGCCTGTAATCCCAGCACTTTGGGAGGCTGAGGCAGGCGGATCACGAGGTCAGGAGATCGAGACCATCCTGGCTAACACGGGGAAACCCCGTCTCTACTAAAAACACACAAAAAATTTAGCCAGGTGTGGTGGCGGGTGCCTGTAGTCCCAGTTACTCAAGAGGCTGAGGCAGGAGAATGGCGAGAACCCGGAAGGCGGAGCTTGCAGTGAGCCGCTGAGTTCATGCCACTATACTCTGAAGCCTGGGCAACAGAGCGAGACTCTGTCTCAAAAAAAAAAAAAAAAAAAAAAAAAAAAGAAAAAGAAAAGAAAAAGAAAAAGAAAAGAAAAAAATGTAATGGAACACATTATAGCAGTGTTTTTATTTTCTGAACTTCCAAAATGGGCTTTTCTCAGTTTCAAAAAAGGAAATGAATTTGCTTCAATTTTTCTTATATGATTCCTCATGAGATCAGAACTGAAAAATCACGTCTTAAACAAAATAATTAACATTTGTCTTAAATTTACCACATAAACAGTTTTGTTATTATAAAATGATACTCTTCCTTTCATAATACTTATCTCAGGATCTCATACATAATGTCACAATTAAATTATTCCCTTTAGTTATCTTTTTCATTTCCCCACATTTTCTCACAGAACAAAATGTATTATCATCATCTATAGTTATCTTTTTCATTTCCCCACATTTTCTCACAGAACAAAATGTATTATCATCATCTACCCTAACATAAGTCTATGCTATTGCCTTATTAAGAAAAAGAAATTGAATAGCAGTATCAAAATAATTGACAAGTATATAAAAGGTATAATGTGGTTCATTAAGCTCTTTGTCATATGCATTATTATCTTTTTACAGAAACATCTTTATATTGATAAACTTTCTATAAATACACACTTCCATATTCTAGTATGGCACTACTTACAGTGCAAAAATTGTTTTCATAACATTTTCTAGAATATCCAGGTTCAGTTATTAAAAGTACATTGTCAAATGTAAACTTGTATCCTGATTTTTTTTATCTGAAGTGATTCACCTTTTTTCCTAAATTACTTTTTTTTGGTATTTATAAACATATATTTTATACATATTAAGTAGTCTATCTATTTAACATATGTATATATGCTATTTAAATAGAACAATACTTGACATTCAACAAATATATATTGAATGATGGAATAAAGTTTTTGATGACTGTGGCAGATTCTAGTGGTCACCTAATTGAATTTCTATTCCCAGAAATCTTCTGCTTCTCCCATCTACTAACTATAGAACCTAGAAAGTTAAGTCTCATTCTTACAGCCTTCATTGCCTTTAGAGAGAGTAACATGAAACAGTTCTGGACATTAAGATGTACACATATGAAAGTCCACAAGGAATGATCATGAGAATACTTTGCTTCCTTATAAAAAAGACAGGTATAGCTTGAACCACCCTTTCTTTTTCTTCTTGCCTTAAATATAGATATTTTTTACTGGGTTCATGGCAGTCAGCTTAGGGTCTTGAGCAGAGCCCATGAGAACTGCAGATATAGAAATATTAGGTTATTGAGCTGCTATAGCTATTACCATCACTACCTCTTCATGTTATGTGATAAAAAGAATTAAAAAAAAACTTGTTTAAACCACTTCTGGGTGGGGTTTTTCTGATAATTATCTAGCAAAACAATATACTATAATAAAATATTTCAAAAGCTAGGTTGTAGCTATCACTCAAATACAACAACTGGACTAATTGTTATATTTTATTGCCTCCTTTTTTCAATTCTCTCTTTGGCTTTCCACAACAGGCAATGCATAGCCAGTGACTGTGAGATTTCTGTAGCCACAGATGTTAGTTCCTTTTTTTGATATATATAGAGCAATATTTGTAAGTTTCCAACATATTACATCAAATATTTACCACAGAGTATTAAATCGATCAGAGTGCTTAGAGAAAAAATTTTCTTAGTAGAATTTGAATATAGAATCCATTCCTCTGAACTCAAATCCTTCAGATGGTGCAATTTTTATTTTTTAGGGAAGAAATAATGGTGAGAAGACCTTAATCTAAAGATCTAATAATCTTTATCAGTCATTTCTTGTTGTTAGAGACAACAAGACCTAACTTTGTCAGGGTCTTTCTCATTTATTTCTCTCTAAGGTATGATGAATAAGGTGTCATTTGACATAATTCAAAATGCTTAATATATAATTTGTAGACATTGACACTTCTTTGTGTGTGTACAGCTGCCAGATGCGAGGTTTCCCCAACAATGGATTTCCCAGGCCTCCTCTCTATCCATGTATTGTAAAATAGTTGCCTCCAGGTATTTTAGCAGATTCAGGAAACAATTTTGATACCATTAGCTTCATGATGTTGGGTCAGAGGCGCTTCATAAACCCTTGCATGGTCATTTTAATTTTATGGATTTTATTGAGAGAAAGTCATAAAGTAGTCTAAACCATTAAAAGAATCAAAGACTAACATGCCTGTGTTTCATCAAGGCATATTTTCCATTATTTGAATATTTCAAGGCCTGAACAATTTATTTAATATGTCATAACTCCTTTTAAATTTCTGGATCATAAAGATAAGGCAAGAACAATAAAAATTTCCCACAGAAAGTGTGTAGGAAATTGCCCGAGCAAACTAATTGAAGAAATAATAGTATTTTTAAAATAAGGTTATTTTCTATTTTATTAAAATGCTATTTATGGAATATTTGTTATATAAACATTCCAATAAAATATGATTTATTTCTTAACCAGAAACCATTTTTGTTTTAATTAAATATTCTTTTTCATAGAGAAGATGTTTAATGATAAAATAGTCATAGGTAAAATATTCAAGATACAAGTTATTTTTGCCAATATATCTAATCATAACTATATGATCAGTTACATTTTCATCTACCTTTAAGCTGGATGTCTAATTACAAAGATAAGTATAATGTATTCTGAATTCATGAGAAATTGTTACATTCATAAAGTTAGATATATTCACTTAGCTATCCCAATTACTATCACCTTCTAAGAAAAATATCTTTTAAAATCTAATTATGAAATATTTTATATATAAGGCAGAATGAATAAGTATGATATATAACATAAATATACTATGAATACTTATAAATTTGTCAAATATCATTTCAATAGAACATAGAAATAATGTTCTATTTCTTCAGATGGGAACTGATTTTAATGTTCTTCTCTTCATCTTTTTCCTTCTTCACTGCCTAAAGTTTACAGTTTATCATTTCCTTTTTCATCTTCATCATTTTAATTAAAAAATACATTATATAACTTTGCTAGTTACTAACCTTTGTTTAAATTGAATCTTACAATATACACTTTTGTAGCACTTGTTTGTATTACACATTATCTTCCCAACTGTGTCTGTAGTTATCTCCTCTTGTCATTCTCCTTAACTTTATGTGTGCCTTTTTCTAGGGATTTTTCCTGATGACGCTTGTGAGAGTTTGCTAGATTTTTACAAGTATTCAAAGATGTTACTTTCAATTTGTTGATCCTCACTACTTACTTGTTGACTAATTCTTTAATTCCTGCTCTTCTCTTTATCATTTCATTTCTTATAATTTTGCATATTGTATTCTATTTTATATGCAATATCTAAACTATAATCCAAGGTTGTTATTTTTAGTCATTTTCTTCTTTTAAATATATGAATTAAATACTGTAAAAGTTGCTCTGAATCTTTTTTGTTTTAACCTGTAAAGCTGGATATTATATATTAAATATCATATCTAGTCTCAACTCACTGTGTATATATTATAGGTGTGATATGTTTATTTAGTACTTTAAGTACATTATTCTCCTCTATTTTACCCTCTCTATTGCTGCATACAAGTCAATTGCCAGTCTAATTTCTTGTAGGCGATACTTATTTTATTCTCTATCTGCCATGAAGTTATTCTCCTTGACTCTGAATATATAGTTTCTCTAGTTAGTCCTGCATAGAATGTGTTGGGCTTTACAAATCTGAGGATTCATGGGAATGCCATTACACCTTCTCTGAGCTCATGCTTCTTCAAAAAGGTATTACTTTTACCACCTGCCTGAGCAGCTATTAAGTTGGACTTATCTGAAAGTTTAGCTCCCTCACTCTCATGCATGGTGTCTACAAGAGAAGACTCAAATATCTAGAGAATGAAACAACTGGGCCTTCTCACATCACTCTCTCTGTATGTTTGCATCCTTTCAACCAAGAAAGGTTCAGAGTACTCACATTTTTTATATTGCAGTTCAGAGTTCCAAAGACACTTGCCTTAAAAGAGAAAGATAGGTGGAGTATATTGCCTTTTATGATCTCTCCTCAAAGATCACATAGGATAATTTGTCATGCTTTATTACACAAAGTTACAGAGGTCTACCCAGGTTCAAGGAAGGGGGCTTTGTTTGAAAAGGATATGAGATGGATACATATTGGTGAGGATATATTTGGAAATTACAGTCTCCCCTAGGATGGAAACCACCTGATAACTTTTGAGAAAAATTTCTTGGTTATAGCTTGCTGTGGAGGCTCAGGTAACATGGAAATAAGTTTTGAACCTTGATGATAGCTATTTATGACATCAAATTTAGGGAAGTCTTCTTCCCAATTAAAGACCAAGACAGACAATTTTCCTTTTTGGATTGAATTTTGTTGCTGTTAAGCTTATTATTTCATCTAACAGCAGTCCTTCTTTAGGTGGGGTCACCTATTTCAACTTCCCAATCTGAACCAATCAAATTGGAGACTTAAGGCCTTGTTTTTCGTCTTTCCATGCCTTCTAAAGCAGAAATCTGATAGATGTTATCTTAGGAGAAGAGTGGAATAGTAATAAAAAGGGAGCCTGAAGAAGCTAGATAGAACTAAATGTTCTATTTCTTCATATGGAAACTGATTAAATAGATGTGCTCACTTTATGAAAATTAATTGGTGTTTACATTCATAATTTATACTCTTTGATGCCTGTGCTATACTTCAACAGAATGTAAAACACACCAAAAAATGAACAAAAACCATGGATAACAAGAGATTTACAAATGACCTCTTAGAACTGCCTTCTGCTTCAGCATATGATTACCTTTGATTTGTTCTTCTCTTTAGTTTTGAGTTTTGAGATATGCATAATATATAAATATATACAATATAGACTCAGTTATACATTTAAATTGATTTTTAATGTCTGAGCTACAGATTTTAGTCCTCTGTGTTTAAAGTAATTTCATATACCATTATTTTTAATTTAACCAAGCCTACCGCCATCAAATTAGTTTAAATTTGTTCAATTAATTTAAAAAAATTATGAATTCCTCTCATACGTGCATCATCCCAGTGAGCAGGAATACAAAAGTCATATAAGTTTTGCAGACTTCCAAAATATAAGCCAAACCACACCACAGTTTAAGCTATCAATATGCACAATGAGCGTTGTGTTGCTGCTATAACTAAGGATGTCACCACATTAAAAATCAGAGTAGATCCTTTACATTTTTTAAAAGAGGAGGAAATTAGGTCTCCCCAAAATGTGAGATATAAAAAGTGTACCATTTTTATTTGATATAATTTACAAAGTTATTTCAAACCAATTGTTTGCTTTTAGGCTCACATACAAAAATGTGCCATACAGATCTTACTACTGCAGTTATGCTATGGATGAAATGGCTTCTACTAGTTCTAGGTAAACACTCTCATTGTCTTCTGGCTTGGTGACTGGAACCTCAATATTTACATCAATATTTAATTACTGTTATAGCTAATTTCATACCAAACACATAAATAGGGACTTATATGTGAAGCTCTCAACTCATCAGCCACTCCAACAGCAAACTTGCAATTGCTATGTTAAGCCACATGACACTGAAGGAGAAAGCTCAGGACCTATTTGGCTTTACTCAGGTCAGGCCACCAGCCCTGCTCTGAATAGATCTTCAAACCACAACATGCAAACATTAGGACCTTGATGGCCTTTACGAAGAAGTGCGGAATGATGCTTAGGTTCTAGAATGTTCAGTGCTACTTTGGAAACTTAGATTGCAGGTAGATTCAAGGGGAAAAAATAGTTTGAATTTGTTCAATTAATTTTAAAAAATTGTGAATTCCTCTCATATTCTGGCTCTGCTCCAAGTTATAGATGTGGAAAGATTGCTAAGACATAACCCACTGCCTTCAACAAAATCACAGGACTTTTTTCTAATGCTGAATCATTCAAAAAATCTGAAAAATATTTAGTTAAAATATATCCCTCTTTTTCTGTCCATGATTCTGCTTATGTCTTTTCGTTATTCAAAAATAGTAAAAATATAAAATTTAAATATGTGTGTGTGGGAGTTCTCACACTTCATTTCCTTTTATCTTTCTGAATTTTCAAATCACTATCCCCTGTCCATTATGTAAGATAATATGCTATTTGTAGTCTTCTTTCAGTGAAGACCTATGCTTCAAGACAGGAGATGATGTGGAAAGAACAGCCCATATTCAGATCAGCCTAAAATTCTAGGTAAAAACAAAATATAGTTGACATTGAGATCCCCCAAGAGAACTTGGCATTTAGCCTGGGTAAAGGCCAACATCATTTGTAATCAATGTCTTACTCATATCACCAAGCTCTGACTCCCCTCTGCTTTGTACATAAAACAAGCTACCCAGATTTCACTGGAAACTGTATTTTTCTGAAATGCTTTTACCAAGGAGATCAACTGTCAGCAATGTTATTGCGGTTGCTAATGATTGATTTTAATTGGCAGTTTTTTAAACAGCTTTATTGAGTTATAATTGATAAATAAAGAATATTTAATATAAACAATTTGATAAGTTTAGATATATGCAAACACCCGGCATACCATCACTATAATGAAGGCAATACATATCCAACACATCTCAGAGTTTTTTGTGTCCCGTTGTTTTGTGTGTGTGTGTGTGTGTTTTGTTTTGTTGCTTTTGTGGCAAGAACCCATAACATGAAATCTATCATTTTAACAAATTTTGAAGTGTATAGTATTGTATTATTTACTATAGGCAGTATGTTATACAGCAGATCTCTAGAACTTATTCTTCTAGCATAACTGAAACTTTATACCCATTGAAAAAATCCTTTCTATTTCTTTCATCCCCACAGCCTTTGGCAGCTACTATTTTTATTAGCTGCTTCTGTAAGTTGGACTATTATAGGTAACTCATATAGGTGGAATCATAGAATATTTGTCCTTCTGTGACAGGCTTGTTTTACTTAGCATAATGTCCTCCAAGTTTATCCATGTTGTCATAAATGGCAAGATTTCCTTCCTTTTGAAGGCTGAATAATATTCCACTGAATGTATATACCACATTTTCTTTACTCATTCAATTATCAGTGGACACTTGGGCTGTTTCCATATCTTGGGTATTGTGAATAATATTGCAATGAACATAATAGTGGAGATACTCCTTCAAGATACAGCTGTCCATTATTTGGGATATATATTCAGAAATGGAATTGCTGGATCAAATGGGAATTCTATTTTTAACTTTTTGAGGAACCTCCATTCTGTTTTTCATAGCTGCTGCACTATTTAACATTTCCACCAACAGTGTATACGATTCCAGTTTCTTCACATCCCCACCAACACTTATCTTTGTTGCTATTGTTTTCTACTATAGCAGCCATCTTAATAGGAGTGATAGAAATATCTCAGCATGGTTTTGATTTGCATTTCCCTGATGATAAGTGATGCTGAGCACCTTTTCTCATACCTGTTAGTCATTTGTGTGTTTTCTTGAAACATGTTTTCTCAAAGTTTTGCCCAATCGTAATCAGGTTTTTTTTGTTTGTTTGTTTGTTTGTTTGTTTTGCTATTGATTTATAGGAGTTCCCTGTAAGTTTTGGATATTAACCACTTATCAGATGTATCGTTTGCAAATATTTTCTCCCATTTCATGGGTTGCCTTTTGATTCTGCTGATTTTTTTTTCCTTTTTTTGCTATGCAAAAGCATTTTTGTTTTACGTAATGCCACTTGTCTGTTTTTGCTTTGCTTCAAAAAATCGTTGCTAAGATCAATGTCAAGAAAGTTTTCCCCTATGTTTTCTTCTAGGAGTCTTGGCCTTTAATTCATTATGGTTTAATTTTTGTGTATGGTATAAGGTAGAGGTCCAATTTCATTTTTTTTGGCATGTGGAAATCCAGTTTTCTTACCATCATTTGTTGAAGAAACTATTATATTCCTTTTATGTATTCCTAGCCCCCTTCTTGAAGATCGGTTGACTGTGTATGTGTGAGTTTTTTTCTGGACTCTGATCTGTTCCTTTATTCTATATGTACGTATTTATGCCAGTACCATACTGTTTTACTGTTGTTTTGTAATATAATTTGGAATCAGGCAGTGTGATGCCTCACTGTTTGTTCTTTTTCAAGATTACTTTGCCTATTCTGAATCCTTTGGAATTCCTTGTAAATTTTAGTTTTTTTTTCTATTTCTGTAAAAAGTGCCATTTGGATTTTGATAGGAATAGCATTGAATCTGTAGGTCGCTTGAGTAATATGGACATATAAGCAATATTAAGTCTTCCAATTAATAAACACAGTATGTATACAATGTCAAATATATTTCATTCTATGCAATGCTTTCATGCAATTGACAAGTTGAACCTTTGCTTTATCACTGATAAAGCAGCTGAGGAAATATTTGAATGTTAGGGGGAAAATAAACGTTAACTGATCAAGATGAACACCTCATTAGGCACATAATTTGTAAATGCATTTATCATAGATCCAGGCTGCTTTTTGGATCTGCTAGACTGGTCTGTGTTGTGGTAAATTATATGTGTAAGAAGTATATTTTTATATTTAACTTTGCCTGAAAGAGAGCATAAGGTGCTATTCAGTATTCGTTGAAACAAGTTGCACCCTACACTCCAGCCACACCAAACTACATATGTTTCCTAGACACAGTTCCAGCTTATGCTGGGCGTTCTGCCTAAAATCGCATTCCCTCCACTGTCACCGCCCCCCCCCCCCACACACACACATAATGTGATGTTTTCTGCCTATAAGCTTTGTATATGTTTGTTAATATTTAAACTCCTTGCTTAGCAGAGAACTGGCTACATAGTATATACTAAATGAATGAACAATAAACACAGAAAGGAGGACAGAAGAAGTAACTGATATATGGAATATGTTTAGTACAACACTATATTATGGATTCACGATATTCCATTAATTAAAAGACCAACTTGGGGATTTCAGACCATATAAAATGAAACTGATAAAGAGCAAGAATATTTTCAGTTATCACCAATATGTGAGGAATTGAAGTATCAAAAATAATTCTAAGGCAAGAAATAATAAAAGTAGCATGTGAAATCATCATAGGAAGCAAAAATAGAATCTGCTTTGATCTGTTGGAAAAACCCTATGTAGTGTGGTATATATGTGTGTAAGAGAAAGAAAAAAGAGAAACCAAAGGGATTAAGGCATAAGACATGGAAACTCTCCACAAAGAATGAATTTCCAGCAATGAAAAGATAACATAAAATGTTTCTTGGCATGATAAAAGGACACTTGGATTTGAGAAGTCACAGCAGGAAAAAACTATTAGCAGTATAAATGAACACACAAAATCAAGTTAAGCATTTCAAAACTATCACTCAGCAGCTTATTATGTTAAAAAATGATATTAAGAATCAGAACTAAATGAAAAATTGCATTTAAGCTTACAGCCAAAGAGCAATTACAGGGTGCTATAGAATTTAAGAAATCTTTTTCCTTCTTTCATATGTAAAATTAATGATTGTGGCAAGAAATATATGTATGTCTTCTTTATAATTAAACTTATATTATTTGGGAAAAATTGTAGTGCTTTATTGCCACATATGAGTTGCTCATATTATGTGTCCATATTCATAATTTTTGAGTTAGTGGGTTTTACTATTGTTTAAAAAACATAATTTTTCTTCTCTTATTTGTAATTTATTTATTCTTTGTCAGTATGGGTAAATCCTTTGGGGCATGTGAGTAAATTCTGGAGAGTATCATATGCTTATTTCCCCATTTTTTTTTCTCCTTTACTTTTCCATCTTCGTCAGTTGGGATTTTTGAGATTTACATCTAATAGGAACTCATTACTCTCTGATTTTCATTATTTGTTGCCATATGCAGAGTTCTCCTGGTCATGTAAATAATTTTAAAAATACATGTAGGCATGTTTCTATCATTAATGGGTGCCTGGTGCTTCCTGATCACACCTAAATGTATGTAACTTACATCTATTGTTTATGTAATAAAATCATTTTTGTCTCTCTAAAAGAAAATTACAATTGTCCTTGTATGTGGCCTCTGTTAAATGGCTCCAGGGATGCAAATGTCTCATGAAAAAAACCTAGGATTTTTGATCCAGATAAAACAATCTGTAAAGTTATTATTCTCTACTGGACATCATATGCACATTTTAAGTTAAAATCTTCCTTGGAATGAAACATTTGAGAAAAAGTTTAAATATTTCAGTGATAAAAAATGTTCAAATTAATTATATAACTGGTAATTTGTTTTTATAGAGCTTTCATTTCTATACCTTCCTGTTATTTAAAATGTGCTGCAATTCTCTAGAATTTTAGGAAATGTGAAATGTTTTCATTCTGATTCATTTATTTTCTTTTGCATTTAAACAATAAAAACATCACAACAAAACAATAAATGTAAAAGAAAAACACTCACATACACGTTTACATTACACTATCAGAAGGTCAGTTTATATATCAGTGTCCCTAGTTTGTTTTCCCTGAGGTTTAACTTATACAAAAATTTTTACTTAGGAAGTGTGCTAACTTCAGAATGCATGTTTGCCTGCTATTCACCTGTTAGACTATCCTTTTTCCTTTTTTCTTTGATAGTTCAGCAGATGCTTGGAATTTTATTTTATTTTATTTTATTTTTTGAGACAGAGTCTCACTCTGTCGCCCAGGCTGGAGTGCAGTGGCATGATCTCAGCTCACTGCAAACTCCGCCTCCCGGGTTGAAGCCATTCTCCTGCCTCAGCCTCCCAATTAGCTGGGACTACAGGTGCCCGCCACCACGCGTGGCTAATTTTTTGTATTTTTTAGTAGAGAGGGGGTTTCACCGTGTTAGCCAGTATGGTCTGGATCTCCTGATCTCGTGATCCGCCCTCCTCGGCCTCCCAAAGTGCTGGTATTACAGGCATGAGCCACCGCGCCCGGCTGGAAATATTTTTAATGTTAACATAAGTACATCTGTAAATATTTACATTGTAGATTAATTAATGCATCTGTACTTCAAAACTTATCGTATAGCAAATATTTTCTTAACTATTAGTCTTTTGCTGGTGGACAGTTTTTGCATTTTTTAATTTCATCTTTATTATTTTCCTCTTTTTAGAGAATTGAAAAGGAAAAATTAAGCACAAGATAAAATAAGTACTTGTGATAACCACACATAGCCTATATTATTGGTATTTTAATGTGTTTTCCCAGGTAGTCTCTTTGGTAGAAATATTACGTGATGGGATTAAGATGACAGAGGAGAAAAACAACTTTGTAGTCTGCTTTTATTGGCAGTGGAGTGGTAGGGAAAGAAGTTGAGTAGAACAAATGGGGCTTAGGAGGTCCCACTGCCTGGGGTTGAAACATGGTTGCATTTTAAGAGTTGGGAAGCCTGAAGTCACTAACTATACTATCCATTTCTTGCTTGTAAAATTGTGACAGTAAAATATATTATGTGTGTGTGTGTATAAAATCATTAGCACAATAATTATCATAAATATGGAAATGTGATAGCTAACACTATTATTTTCTCTTATATCTTAATATTTCTTTGTCATTAAAAATGCTTTCAAAGCCCTCATAAAACCTGTAGAATAGTCTATCAATTGGCTGAAGATACTTTGCTAAGCGCTAACATTCCCTTATTTTAACACTTGAATTATGTTTAATTTGTTACTATTTTTAATAATTTTGACAGTAAAAGGCGAGCTTTTATCTATAATTACCATGATTGTTATTATTCCATTCTACTCTTTTATTGGTCAACTTAGGCTTCAAAGCTACATTATTTTAATTACTATAACTTTTAAAATGTTGTGTGTATGTGTCTGTCTGTGTTTGTGTATCAGATCAGATTTCCATCCTTTCTATCTTATGCTTATTTTTCAAGTATTTCTTGATAATTGCCCCATGAGATTTTCCAAGTTTCTTCTTATTTTATATTCTCTGTATAACATCACTGTGATTTCTAATTGCTTTTAATTATATTTTCTTACTTCATTCTTTCTCATTTTTATGACTCAATTTGTTGAAAAACATATTTATTATTGATGTGGAACAATATGCTAAGCTTCTTATAATGGTTACTATGATATTTTTGTTATTTTGATATTGTATGGCATGATGATATGATTTAGATATGATAGACATTTTACTAGACTGGAGTTTTGTTTATCAAATTTCTTGATGTTTTTGATTTGGTGTGTGACAATTATAATTTTTAAAATTATATAGGAACTTAGCAATGTTCTACAAAGTAATTGATTTTCAGGAATAGATTCCAGCCATTAAGCAGGAGATGACTTTACGTATATCATCCGGTCATATTTTACCAAATCCTCTGCTTCTTCCTAATATAAGGCCCTCTCATTCCTGTCCTAAATAGTGCTAGAACATCCTGTTTCTAACTGTATTAGTCAGGGCTCTCTAGAGGGACAGAATTAATAGGAGATATATATACATGAGTTTATTAAGGAATAATAAACCTCACCCCATGAGGTCCCACAATAGGCTGTCTGCAAACTGAGGAGCAAGGAAGCCAGTCAGAGTCCCAAAGCTGAAGAACTTGGAGTCCGATGTTCGAGGGCAGGAAACATCCAACATGAGAGAAAGACGTAGGCCAGAACATTAAACCAGTGTAGTCTTTTCACATTCTTCTGCCTGCTTTTATTCTGACTGTGCTGGCAGCTGATTAGGCTGTGCCCAGCCAGATTGAGGGTGGATCTGCCTTTCCCATTCCACTGACTCAAATGTTAATCTCCTTTGCCAACACCCTCACAGACACACCCAGGAACAATACTTTGCATCCTTCAATCCAATCAAGTTGACACTCAACATTAAGCATCACACCAACCTTGCTGCTTTAGCCTGTTCTCATCGAAGCAGCCATAGTGATTCTTATAAATATAAACAATGTTAACTTACTCCTCTGCTCAAACTCCAAATTGACTTCCCATAAACTGTAAGTAAAATCCAAAACCTTGCCTGTAATCTCAGCACTTTGGGAGGCTGAGGCAGGAGGATCACCTGAGGTCAGTAGTTCGAGAGCAGCCTGACCACCATGGCAAAACCCTGTCTCTGCTAAAAATACAAAAATTAGCTGGGCGTGGTGGCGCATGCCTGTAGTCCCAGGTACTTGGGAGGCTGAGGCAGGAGAATTGCTTGAATCCAGGAGGTGGAGGTTGCAGTGAGCTGAGATCCACTGCACTCCAGCCTGGGGGATAGAGCAAGACTGTCTCAAAAATAAATAAATAAATAAAAATTTAAAAAAAATTGAAAATATTTGCTTGATCATATGGTCCCCTGTAGTCTCACTGACCTCATAACCTCTTACTCTCCAATTTTCTCCCTCTGAGGCAGCCTTGCTGTTTGTCCATGGACAAATAACTCTCTTTTCTTGGATGCTTTGTAGTTTCCCCCTACCTGAAAAGTGCTTGCCGTATATATCCACGTACTTACATCCTCACTTCCATTAAGCTTGTTCTCAAATGATAATCTAAAGTTTTTCCTGGCCATCAAACATAAAGCAATATCCCTTTCACCAGTATTCCATGTACGCCCTAGCTGCCTTGATTTTAGTCCATAATATTGATTGCCATATGAATACATGTTTCTGCTTTAACACAAATTTAACACTCATGCTAAAAAACCCTGGAATTCTACAAAATCATAACCCCAAATAATCCTGAATAGTAAAATGGTATTTTTGCCTAAAATAATTCTTATAAGTAAAATGGTGTTATAGGAGCAGATATTAAAAATTTATGCAACTCTTTAACTAAAGCATCAACAAAATATTAAAACTACTAATAGAAAAATGACAGAACGGTTTTAAAATACTTTTAACATTCTAATGAAACTATAGTTAAAAAGGGATTTTGTCATAAAAAATGAAGGTGGCTTAATGGCAGAGGATATGAAGAAGATTCCAAGCTTCTGAATTATGGACACAAGAAAAACATGCATGAAGATTCTGCAGAAATGTACAATAAGCACTTCAAAAACAGTGCACCTGTCCAAAGTAAGCCAAAAGAAAAAGAACGGGCTATTCAGCATCCATGTCCTGCTGGATTTAGCTATATCAGTATATTTTGTATTTTGCTATTATAACTTACATGAGCAGGTTAGGAAGTTATTGTTTTTTGATTGAATTTTCATCCTTCCATAATCTGCTCAGTAATACAGGTGCTGAGAAAACTACATTTCTTCTTTGCCAACTGGCTTCCTGCTATGTTCTGCCAAAGGGACCACTAAAAGAAGGTTTGAAATTCAGCAGGGAGAGAGTACTTGCATCTTCTGGTCTCCTTGCTGATCCTTTCAGCATCAATCTAGCTAAGGCAGTTTACTGTAAAATAGGCAGTTGGTTCCAACTTCCAGCTCCTCGTGGCACTCCTAGAACTAACCCATTGAGCCCCTTGGGAGACAGCAGCACCCTTGGGCTGTATCACCTCTTGAGATACTGGCAATGGCAGAACACATTGCAGTAAACGTCTAGTAAATGCAACAAATAGATGTTATTTATTTCTTGTTTATTTCCTCTCGCTAGAATATAAACTCCATGAGAGATTTTTTTCCTGTTTTGTTCACTCTTAAAATTTAGAGGTGAGATGAAAGACTACAATTGAGTACAAAGAATGCTCATAAATATATGTTGAATTTTTAAAACATGCTATCTTATTTTCATCAAGAAGGTCCTACCTTCCAAACCTCCCCCACGCATATACATACAAAAGTACAATTCTTACTCAGTGCTCACTTATGCATTGTGATGTTTCCCTAGCAGATATGTTCTTAAGGTATACAAAATCAGTGTTAAAGTTAACCCACATATGATCAACTGGGAAAGGTAATTATACAGAGAAAAAAATAAAGTGATTTTTTAATGCCCAGGCAAGTAATTCATTTCATTGTGTATTGTTTAGAATTAATTTTCTTTCCCTTTAATTTGCACAGATTACTTAAAGCTGTAAATTTAATTGGTTTACTTCATACATACCTAAAGAAAATGAGTTGCTATTGTAAACTAAAACTGACATTTGTATGTTAGACTATGCCATAGTTTTAAATTATTTTATTAATTTTGTTGATAGACATTTTCCTGCTCTACAATTTAAAAATTAAATTATACTCCATAAATATTGTTAAATGCATTACTTTAGATGAAAAATGTTCATATATAGAAATATATATTCACTATAGAATACCTCTGAGAAAAGAGAAACTATATAGAGAAAAAAAATGAGTGAATTTTTAGTTTAAAATTTCTGATGCTCTATTTCATTGTCACTTTGAGGCACACATAGGTACTAGATAAATAAAATGGAAGAAAAAAGTTTAGCTTAAATGTATAGTTGTATATAAAAGATATAAAAGTAAGCAACTGATTTGCATTTTTAACTCAGGGCAAGACAATTTAATGTTATATTAATTTGGCAGATAATATATTCAGGGGTTAGATTTTACTCACATAGAGGGTATAGGCTGGATCCTAGAAAAAGTCCATAAAAATATTTGTGAAAGTTTAGTGAGAAGCAGAAGATTTACACAGCCATAAAATATCTCCCTTCATAGGAATGAATAGTTTTTTTACAGCGGAGAAACCTGGTGAGCATCTGACCAACACGGTGAAACCCTGTCTCTACTAAAAATACAAAATCAGCTGGGAGTGGTGGTGAATGCCTGTAATTGCAGCTACTTGGGAGGCTGAGGCAGGAGAATCGCTTGAACCTGGGAGGCAGAGGTTACAGTGAGCTGAGATTGCACCATTGCACTCCAGCCTGGGCCACAAGAGCGAAACTCTGTCTCAAAAAAAAGAGAGAGAGAGAGAAATTATCTAAGCCAACCACCAACCATAAGGCATATTCAGCATGTGCCTCCTAATAAGATGCACTGAGCAGGGTACGTTACTTCAATGCTACTCCTGACAGAGACCAAAATTGAGACACATTTTACAAAATAACAGACTGTACTCTGAAAATATCAAATGTCAACAAAAAAAAGGGACAAAGGAAAGCTGAAAGTTTCCAAACGAAAGGAGACTTACGAGAAATAAAACAAATAAAATGCATGATCTAGGATTTAATTTAGAGAATGGTGAAAAATTGTCAATGGAACATTTGACAAAGTTTGAATACGTATTATAGATTATAAATACTGTACCAATGTTACACTTCCAGATAAGACATGATTAAAGGTGTTTTAAAACATCTTATAGAAAAGGTCTTTGTTCTTGGGAAATATATTCTGAATTACTGAGGAGTAAAGGTGCATGATTGTTCCAACTTTCTTTCAAGTACTTCAAAAAACATTTAATCCATGTCTACATATAGATAGATGATAGATATATCTATATTATCTGTATGTATATTTTATCAATATAGATAGCTATATTATTTTCTGTATATATCTATTCATATACATTGATTCTGTTTCATATATGTTTATTAAAATTATAAATACTACGATTAAATTTAGGGCAAACTTTGTGTTAATATGAATTTGTTTACAGAAAAGTTGATCACCTCAAAATCACTTTGATTTAATTTTGCTTTAATTCTATTATATACTACAAATTCCACAAGAGTTAGTGTAATTAAAAGAAAATAATCTATTCCCTAATAACATGTGCCACTATGACTCTTACGGAAGAACACAAGAGAAATAATTCAGTAACTGATAATATAGACAAGTGAGGCACATCAATTTAGTGTAAAACAATAGTAATTCTCAGTTTTAAATTGTTAACATTCATGGACCTTGCTTCCTGGGGTTTCATATTCAATGATCTTCCAATATATTGCTCAAAAGAGACATGGATCTGAGGTAACTGTTTTCATAATTAATCATAAATTATACTTGCTGCTCCAGATGCAATGATCTGGAAAAATTTAATTAAGAAATGAATAGTGCCAACTCTCCATTTTGATTCAATGGTTCTTTGATTCATTAGTTCTATTGTATTTATTTAAGTAAATGTCTTGGTGATAAAATGGAAATACACCATAGTGACTGCCTCAAAAATTTAACTCTCTCTCTTTCAGCTGAAAGTTACTTAGAATTGAATAAAGTTGTGTAGTTACCTGGATCACACATAACTAAATCAAGACCTTACCAACTTCTCAGTATAAAAAACAGATTATCATACTACAGTAGAAAACAGCCATATTCTCACTTGATTGCGGTTTTCGGGAGCCCAGGAGTATGCCTTATGCTTAGTTTATTTGCTGATAAACTTACCACAGCGCGCCAACTCATATTAAGTTCTGACAAATTCTTAATGACTTACGAACTATGAATACAAGGTCAACATCTTGTTCCTCATACTGTGATAGTTATTTGAGCACCTACCACAAAATACACATAAGCACCAGTGCTGGGAATTTATATAATGAAGAGAAATATCTTGGATGAATTCAGAAATGTGGAGAAATATAAAGACTTACCTCTCCCCTTGACTTTATATTCAACCAGGACCCATGTAACCCTGTTTGTTTCATCTTCCTCATAGCATTTAGAGTTGTGTGTAAAAGTTCACATGATGAGGAAGTACAGGATGTAAAGAAGTACATTGCCACTAGCCCACCTTGAAAGGTTTGAAGGACAGTGACCTTGAGAAAGTGACATCTATGATGAGAAATAAAGGATGACAAGTTTTTAATATATCACATAGGATGAGGAGAGTAGCATTAAGATGCTCAAACGGTGGGGATAGAAGACATAAAAGTGTGAGGAAAAATTAGTGAATGGTATGTTCTGAGAGCTGAAAGACATTCATGGATGCCAGAATACAGAAGACAGGTTAGGAGTACTAAGAGATGAATGAGGAGAAATAAATTGAAGCAACCATTTTAAAAAGTATTAAGTCTTTTGCATCGTAGCTGAAGAGCAATAGGAAACCATTAAAAGTTATTTAAAGCAGACAATGACATGAATATATTTATATTTCCTAAAGATTTATCAGTATCAGTAAAATTGAGAAAGGTAAGATAAGAGGCTAAGAGGGTCAGGAAATAATTGTATTAATCCAAACAGATATTAATGGCCTTCTGAAATAGAGTGGTACCAGTGTGGAAGGGAGAAACAGGAATAGTAAGGGGAAAGTATATCCATGGACGATTTGACAGTATTTTATTGCTTGATTCAATAAATGAATCAATTTTAGAAATAAGAGTTATCTTTCAGTCATACTTTATTTCATGAGGTGTTTGATGAGGTTTACAAAAATGTATGCAAATGTTAACATAAATACAGCAGTTAAGAGAGATAATTTCATAAACTGTGCCAAAATCTACTTTTACTAGGTAGCTAAAGTTCATTTTCTAAATGGGCAAAAGTTGTTTTTTTTTTTCACAAAGGTTTTAGGCTAGAAAAATAAAAGCTGTAATAATAAATATACATTCATGCATCAGTAAATGATAGGAATATGTTCTGAGAAATGCATCATTAGGTGATTTTATCATTGTGTGAACATCATGGTATAGACTTAACACAAACCTAGATGGTATAGCCTACCACATACCTAGACTATATGGTATAGCCCATTGCTCCTGGACTACAAACCTGTACCGCATGTTGCTGTACTGAATACTGCAGGCAACTGGAACATAATGATAACTATTTGTATAACAAAACATATCCGAACATAGAAAAAGTACAGTGAAAATACAATATAAAAGATAAAAAGTGATATGCCTGAATAGGGCATTTACCATAAATGAAGTTTGCAGCACCAGATGTTTCTTTAGGTGAGTGACTGAGTGAGTGGTGAGTGAATGGGAGGGCCTAAGACATTACTTTCCAGAACTGTAGATATTATAAGCACTGTATACTTAAACTACACTAAATTTATTTTAAATTATTTCTTCAATAATAAATTAATGTTAGCTCACTGTAACTTTTTTTACTTTATAAACTTCTTATTTAAATAATTTTTTATTCTTTGGTAATAACAGCTTCAGACACAAACACATTACACAGATGTATGAAAAAAAATTTCTTTCTTTAATGTCCTCATTGTGTAAGTGTTTTACTAACTTTAAATATTTATTTTATTTTTTTATTTTTAAACATTTATATTAAAAAGTAAGATACATGCGCACACATTAGCCTAGGTCTACACAGGGTCAGGATCATCAGTATTACTGTCTTCCACCTCCATATCTTCTTTCACTGAGATGTCTTCAGGTACAGTGAAAGTATTTCAGAGAAAGATTTGACAGTACTTTATTGCTGGAACTGGCATCTCCTATGATAAGAATGCCTTCTTCTGGAATACCTCCTGAAGGACCTGCCTGAGGCTGTTTTCCTGTTAACTAAAAAAAAAAAAAAAAAAAGAAAAAGAAAAAAAATGGAGGAGGAGTACATTCTAAAATAATAGTAGGATCGCTTGAGCCCAGAAGTTTGAAACCAGACTGAGCCCAGAAGTTTGAAACCAGACTGGAAAACATAGTAAGACTCCTGTCTCTACAAAAAAAATAAAAAAAAAAAATTAGCTGCACATGGCGGTGTGTGCCTGTATTCCCAGCTACTCAGAAAACTGATCATGTTACTGCACTCCAGTCTGTTTGACAGAGAAAGAACCAGTCTCAACAGAAAAGTCATTAAAAAAGTCATTTACACATTGAAAACTAAAAGACAAATATTCCCATAGAAAAATATACAAATTAACAACTCAAAGAAGAGTTAGTTTCAATAACCTATGAGTATAACTGATGATGCTCAATCTTACTATGAGTTGAAGACAAAATTAAGCTCAAAAGAAATTGAAGTAACAATAAAAGGTTACTTATCATCTATATGAAAGAAATGTTAACAGATGGCAATATTTATGGCTGTCAGTAATAAGTGGAAAGATCTACTTCTGTATAGTGTAGAAATTTGAATCATTACCTCAAGGGAAACATTACAGTCAATTATAGCTAAAATATGTATATTTTATTCTAACATTCCTATTCATGAGAATCTCTCTCATAGAAATGAAAGTATGAATATGCCCAGAAATTCAAAGGGTAATTTATTATGGATCTGCTGGCTGAAAACCAAACTTAGAAATAAAATGAATGCTCATCATTAAGGGAATGGTTGAATAAATGCTGGTATGTTATTAAATGGCATGAAACATTTTCCCATAAAAATAATTAATTATATCTATGCTATTGACTTGAAAAGATTTCCATGAGGTATTTTTAAAAATTAGATAAAAATGTTTCCTAAATGATATATATTATTCATAAAGAAACAATCCTATCAAATTGTCTGTAAATGTATGTGTGTGTTTGTAAAAGACAGTTTTTGGTTTTGTATGATTCTGTGGAGAAATATGTAGAAGGGAATCTACTTTGTTAATTTCAATTTCTTTTAGTTGAAGATAGATTAAGCTGAGAAAGCAAACAGAAAGGGCTTTTTAAAAGTTGTCTATTGTAAAAAAAAAAAAAGCACAAATAATCACTTACGAAGATGTGTGTGAATGTAGGCATAGAGAATCATTATAAGGCTATTAATTAAACAACAGACATTATTCTATTCCAGGGTTTTTGTTTTTTGGTTTTTCATTTTCTGTTTTTGCTTTTTCCCATTAAGTCCTTTCTCTTTTCCTGGAGTAAATCAGAATCACACAGCGCATTTAATCATTATGCCTCCTAAGTTGCCTATAATCTATGACAGATCCTTAGTCTTTCCTTATCTTTTAAAACTTTCACATTTTTATTGAGTAGTGGCCAGTTAATTTGCAGAATATCACTAAATTTGGATGGTCTGACATTTTCTCATGACTGGTTTGAAGGTAAACATTTTTGGCAAGAATACCACAAGAGTGATATACCCTTCTCAGTACATATCCAGGGCTTCTCAATATGACATAAGAAATTAGATTTTCACATATATTTTATTTTATTAAAATGCTTCCTATATATTTTTATACTAAACACCTATGTTATATAATCAATGAAAACAAGTGATCATAAATGAAAGTTTGGAGATTCTGTAGTAACTAAGTTATTTTAACCTAGTATATTGACCTAGTGAGGTCTCTAGTTTTTTATTTTTATTTTTTATTTTAATACCTATCTGAAATCTCATAGAATAGTGTTCCTTATAAATAAATTGAGGCACGGCGAAAAGAAAATAATTTTCATCATTTTTGAGCCTCTCAATTCAGTATAATAAGATTTCTTTCCATATCCATCAAGAAAAGTAGTGATGTGAAAAAAACATAGTACAATTATCTTGGTTTTCCTAAGAGCAAGGCCATCATCAATCTGATACTGCAGTTAATGGGGTCTGTAAGAAGGCACCATTTTTATTTGAGTTTTATAATGCAGTAATGAAGGATTTTTGGACCCACATCCAAAAAAAATTCTAAGCATTCTTTATAAAAGAAACTGACTAGTATTTAGTAACTAGCCTCGCACTCTTTCTTGATTTCAGATGAAACAAAATAGGCTTTCTTCCAATTCATTAAAATTACCTGAAGCTAGCCAATTTTTTTCCATATAAAATGTATTATAGCTCTCAATTGTACGTCAAAGCTATATTATATAAATATTACAGTAATCAACTGTGAAGGTCCCAGATGCATTATGGAAGAGAAAGGGAAGGCTTTTATCAAAAGCCAGTTCCTGCTTCCTGAACAATGATACAGTTTCAGCAGTTTCTCTCAAGAGACCTGAATTTAGTTAGTATTCACAGAATGAGAAAATAAAATTTTGAAATACGTGCATGCACAAACACACAAACACAGTATACACTCATACTTTTCAATTATCTTAACATGTCTTTTTCTTCTGTAGATGTTTGTTTTGATTTATTGAGACGTGCTCTCAGTATGTGTTTTAAGGCAACAAGTTTTAAAACTTCAAGGAAGGAGTGCTATTACTTTTAGTTTTCCTTTGCAAAGGATTTTACCTTTTGCTGCTCATCTAAAGTATAGCATGGAGTTAGTGTAATGATGAGATGTTATGTTAATTTAACCAGATCATCTTTAGTCTCCCACTCAAATTAGTACAAACGATTTCTCAGACAACAAGAAAATTTACAGCATTCATGTTGTCACATTAACTATAGTTATTTAACATGAAAGTTAATATAATATCTTGAAAAAATTAATTTGTTATTACCATTCTAACAAGAAAACTCATACCATAATTTAACCATTATATTCCTTTGTTGCAATCTGAAATTGCCTTTATTATTCTAAAAGCATTTGTTTTATTTCTGGCTTTGGCACATAACATGTTTGTTTTCTAAGTGTTCATTTGACAAATACTTAATAACATCCTACAGTGTATTAGAAATATAAGCATTTCAGAAACATGAACCCTGCCCTGAGAAACTCACTTTATTCGCTTTGCATTCAATATTATAGAGATAGATATGGTTTTCCCCTTGTCTCTCCTTGGCACCAAGGCAAAATTTGAGTGTGTGTGTGTGTGTGTGTGTGTGTGTGTGTGTGTGTGTGTGTGTATGTTTCCTTGAGGAGCTGGGAAGAGAATTTTTATTTTGTTTTCAGGCTTGCTCTGTGAATATAGCCCTTTGGATCCAAGCTTAAGGTGAAGAAGTATTCTTATTGGTCTTCCTCCCTTGGAGAGACTCTGGCTTTTTACTTCATTTCCCTTTCCCTGTTGTACTGTCAAAACTAAAATTTTGCATTTGGGTAGGAGGGAGAAACATTACCTGATGTCCTGTGGAGCTCTGAAGGGTGGATCAGGAAATGTCGAGAAGAGCAACAAGGCTTGTGATCTACCCCATTGATTAGTAATTAGGTTAAGAGATATATCCAAGGAAGGCATAAATTTGGGCAGGACAGCTCTCCCAATACTGGGAAAATGAATGCATTCATCCATAATGGGTGACCTAGGTAAACTAGCCACTAGTGTCTTTTTCATTTCTAAATTGTGTTCATCAATGTGATTGGTCCAAGTAACTCAGGCTACTGTATTTCCAGAAGGGGAATATAAGATGACTACAAAAAGCTCATGGAAAATCCATAGTATCAAAAAAATTACTCATGGATTTCAAATTTTTGCACCAAAATACACTTGTACTAACTTATTATAACATATCTAAACAGGATTTAGTCTAAAGCACTAAAAAGGGTAACACATCATTTTGAAAAGAACACCTATCAGAGCAACATGAATTCTGCTAAAATTGAAGCAAGAACAAACATCAAACTTATGGTGAAGCTTGGGTGGAAGAATGATGAAATAATTGGTTCTTCATGAAATTTTATGAAAACATGCCCTAAGAAATCAATAGTTTACAAACAAATAACTCATTTTAAGAAGAGATGAGATGATGTTAAAGATGAAACCCATAGCAGCAGACCATCCACATCAATCTGTAAGGAAAAAAATTCATCTTGTTTGTGCCCTAATTGAAGAGGACCAACAATTAAAAGCATAAATTTTATGAAAACATGCCCCAAGAAATCAACAGCTTACAAACAATTAACTCATTTTAAGAAGAGATGAGATGGTGTTAAAGATGAAGCCCATAGCAGCAGATCATCCACATCAATCTATAAGGAAAAAAATTCATCTTGTTTGTGCCCTAATTGAAGAGGGCCAACGATTAAAAGCATTTTGCTTATTGACTTTATGGAGGGCCAAATAATGATAACATCTGCTTATTATAAGAGTGTTTTAACAAAGTTTCCCAAAGGTCTAGCAGAAAATGCCTGAGAAAGCTTCACCAGAGAGTCCTAATCCACCATGGCAATGCTCCCACTCATGTGTCTCATCAAACAAGGGCAATTTTGTGAGAGTTTCAGTGGAAAATCACTAGGCATCCACCTTATGATCCTGATATGGCTTATTCTGATTGTTTTTTCTAATCTTAAAAAAATGAGTAAAGATCACCCATTTTTCTTCAGTTGATAATGTAAAAAAAGACTACATTACCATGGTTAAATTTCCAGGACCCTCAGTTCTTTAGGGACAGACTAAATGACTGGTATCATCACTTACAAAAGTGCTTGACTTTGATAGAGTTTATGTTAAGAAAAAATGTTTGTATTTTTTCATTTTTACTTTCTAATTCCATTTTCCAGAAACTTTTCAATGTCCCCTCATATAAATACATGTATTTTTCCCCATTGGATGATTCGTGTGTGTTTTCTCACATCATAAAATAATCCGAGTTTTTAAACAATCAGTGCTTGACTAAAGTAGCTACAACATACCAATGAAATAACCGTAAGAATTTATATGATTATAAATAATACATATGGATCTATTTAAACAAGCATTCCAAATAAAACAACATTGGAATAAATAGTATAAAGATGCCAGTTTATCCTAAGTTCCTGTATAAATGTAATTCTCAGTAAAATTATAAAATAGTTAAAAAGACCATTGAAGGAAAAGCTAAGAAGCTAATCTAATGAAGAATTACCTGGGGAAACAAGTTCTATAATACATTAAAATAGATTATACAATCTCATTAAACATATCAGTGTCCTACTAGAAGAGGAGGATACAAAGAAATCAATAAAAAAGCATATCATATTAAATACACGAATTTCATGTATATAAAATGACAGCACAAATAACTGCTAAAGAACAATTTTGGGGAAAAAGAATTGTTTAATATCTAAATAAATGTAATGATTTATTTAGAAAAAGTTAATTACAACTTAACATATTATTAAAGCTCATTACAATTATGTTAAGCAAAAAACAAATTTATTTAACAAACAGGGATCAACAAGAATAATACAAAGAAAAAGTGAGGGATCAGGTCTTAGTAAAGAAAGACTTAGGGAGGCTGTGCAATTTAGGTAGAGGGAAACAATTACTGTCACTTCAGAGTAACCCTGTCAATCTGAATGGCTCGTATGTTTTTCAGTGTTTGGTTTATCTGTTCAAGATTCAAATTCCAGAGCAAAAGGCTCTAATTACCCTTGCTTGGGTCGTTTGTCTTGGTCGGGAGAAAACAAGGCACCTTGCCTATTAGTGACATCATAAGTGAAGGCAATTGTACATTATCAGGTTCTCTAAAACTACAGCACTTTTGCCACAAGAAAACAAAAGCATCCTTAGCCAAAGTAATAGATGTTCCCTGCTTTTATGGAAAGTGTTGTTTCCCTCTACTTCAATTGCAGAGCCTCCCTAAGTTTTTCTTTTTTCTTAGATCTGATTCCTCACATTTTCCTTATATTCTTCTTGTTAATCTATCCACCAGTGAGAATACCAAGCCATGCTTATGAACAGGTCATAGGAATGTAAATTACTACAACTATTCTGAGAAAGTATTTTATCAATTTTCAAATGACATAAAAGTAATCCTCTCTAGTAACTCGACTATGAATATGTCATAAGAAACTAATCTGAAACTTTGACAAAAAATGATCTCAGATCCATCACTTATAAAACTATAAGACTTTGGCAAGCCTCAGTTTCTTCTAAACAATGGTAATAAGTGCACTCATATCACAGGGTAACTGTGAGGAGAATGCACTGTCCGGAATATTGTATTATTAAGTATTAAATATATTTAAAAGTATTTCTATATATTTACCTTAGTGGAAAACGTGAAAAATCATTTCATTAAACAAATTATGATGCATGCATCAGATAGAATATGACATAATCCTACATATTTAAAAAACAATTAAGTAGATGGTAACTTTGTGAGAAAACATGGAATATATGTTGTTAAGTAAAAATAACAAAGAAAACATAAAATTATATATGTAGTATATTCTCAATTATGTAAATAAGACTAGATGGAAATTTAATTTTTCTGTCATATAGTGGCAGAAAGGTTAAATAAATCAAATAAACATAGATTAAAATGTACCATAATTATCACTGAAATTACAGTTATAAAGATTTGAGGATTTTCTTTCTCCTTACTTTCTATGATATTTTAATTGAGATAATACGTTTCATTTTATCAAATGAAAAAATGTATTGATTTCTCTCATTTGATAAAAGTAGTTAGAAAAAAAGAGAAATAGTAGATTTAAAGAAATTATCATTATGCAACTAGAAACGAGTAACAGAATAGGCAACCAACTGAAAGGAGCATAAAAATTTGCTTTTATTACAAATATAAAACATAACTTTCTGACAATATTATTAAATATGAATCTAGTAAAATGACCTTGTTAAAATTGTATATACCTCCTAAAATGTTACATTTATTAATAAAAGCTATTAATATCATAGATTTGAATTTACCAACCTTCAGTGTATTGCTCTATTTCATATCTAAATTATTAATGCCTGATATTATTATGCAGTATTATCTATAAGTTAATATATTGCTATAGAAAACTTTTAAAAAATTGGTCAATCATAGTGGCTCACACCTGTAATCCCAGCACTTGGGGAAGCTGAGGCAGGAGGATGGGTTGAGCCCAAGAGTTTGAGAACTTCCTGGGAAACATAGCAAGACCTCATCCCTAGAAATAATAAAAAACTTAGCCAGGCATGGTAGCATGCACCTGTGATCCCAGTTACTCAGGAGGCTGAGTCAGGAAAATCCCTTGAGACCCAGTGGTTCAGGCTGCAGTGAGCTGTGATGGTGCCACTACACCCCAACCTGGGCAACAGAGGCAAAAACAAAACAAAACAAAACAAAACAAAAACCACCTTTTTAAAAAATAAAATTAAAATTATATTATTTTGTGGCAAATCTTTTCAAACATATCACTTTATACCACCACTAATTTCACTCTCAATATTTACTCTAAATTCTGGACAGAATGTTGTTTATACATTATTAAATCTGTTGGTGGAGTTTTATCATTTTGGTAAAAATAAAATCACATATCTTAAATCATATGAATAAATTAAGAAGATTTTATTTGTACTATATATAAAGAGAAGTTTAAAAAATAATTAACCAGGGCTGGGCGCAGTGGCTCTCTCCTGTAATCCTAGCACCTTGGGAGGCCAAGGCGGGTGGATCACTTGAGGTCAGGAGTTCAAGACCAGCCTGGCCAACAGAGTGAAAGCCAGTCTCTACTAAAAATAATTAAAAAAAAAAAATGACCAGGCATGGGGGTTCACGCCTGTAGTCCCAGCTACTTGAGAGGCTGAGGCAGGAGAATCGCTTGAATCCAGGAGGCGGAGGGTGCAGTGAGCTAAGATCAAGCCATGCACGCAGCCTGGGTGACAGAGTGATACTCTGTCTCAAAACAAAAAATAGATAGATAATAATAATTAACCACATGTATAACTAGTTAAAGAAGAAAAATGAAAATGATAAATAAATACTTGTAACTACTAAATCACCTGAAAGTCTTGGAAATACCAATCTCGATATTTTTCTTAGTTTATTTTAATAATTAACAAATTTGGGTGAAGGTACATTTTAAAATATTTTCTATAAGTATGGGAAAAGTATTATGATGATAAGCTATAAAAATTAAGTTCTTGATACAGATAGTCTAGTGGAAGTTTTTACGATGTGTAATTATTTTATTAGTCTGATATTTTATTTGAAAAAAATCCATATTTTATTCAATGTTTATCTTAAAACATATTGTAGTAGATAGCTGTTGAAAACACAACATCTTAATAGTCATTTATTCCAGCAAAACTTAAGAGAGTTTGAATACATATAATGCAGGTTGTATTAAACATTGGAGTTTTGTTACACATGATAATTATAAACACTTCCCAGTCATTGTGGATTGAAGAGGAAAAACTTGGCAATTTTAACTTCAATTCTACAATCCAAAGTATAAACCTTTTGTTTTTGCTGCTGTTAATGGCAACCCTTAAGAATCGAATTAAAGTCCTCTTTCCTAGAAAACAAGCAAGCATTCAAAATATTAAGGTATGCACTATGTTAAACAAATTTTCAAGAGGTCTTGAATTTACTTGGGATTACTTTTTATTGTTACAAAATTAACTTTATATATAAAAATAAAATATACATTGTAATTGTCTAAATAAATTTTTAAAAAAGATTTAATCAAAAGGCTCAAGTTAGTATTTAAAATGTCAACATCTTTTAAAAGTTATGCACACAAAATGTTAGAATAAGGAAGTTAATCATTGCATTATTTATTATGATATGTTCTAAAATTAGTTATCTAATGGAGTAAGATGTTCAGTTAAACCCCAATAATTAAATAAGTATTTACTTCTAATCCCACTCATAGCTTCATTACAACAGCAGGGAATACATTTTTAAAAGGAACAACCTACATTAGCCAATAACTGGCTGGAGAAATAGCAGAGAAGGTATGTCAACAAATTTCAAAAGATAAAATAGAGAAATAACAGTGATAGCTGATTTAGCCAGTAAGATGAAACCAAATGCCTACAGTAGGACAAAGTTAGCAAGAATCAAGTTGACTTATGACCCAGAATCCCAGGAACATTTAACTGATAGTTCCAGTTTCACTGATAGCAATAAGTATCTTTGAAGGATGGAAAGAAAATATATTATATTTAGCACCAAAAAGATTAAGTAAAAGTTTCTTTAAAAAGTAGTTAAGAAATTCAGGACTCTTTATTAGCTTCACAACAAAGTAAACTCCTTCTTGTCCACCTGCACTCTGCAGATGAAAAGATTTATTTCTGGATAGGGATATCAGATGGATATAGGCCCTTTCCACACATGAAAAATCCTACATGACTGGAATTCCAATTTACCTAACTAATTCACTGCATTGCCAATTCCACTGAATTCATGGAAAAACAACTAATTGCTCCAGATGGTCAATTTGCTAAATAACCTTTGTGAAATGATTAATTGGCTAAATTAACTTATTTATTTTTAAATATTTTATAAAAATACATACTTCATATCATATATTGTATTTATAATGTGAATTCTTTATATTAAATGATATACTTTGAGAATGTATCAATATATTGTTCATACATTTATTTATAAGAATAATATATGTACAAAGAATACAGGCCTAAGAAAATATTTATTCAATATATTCTTGAAGCATACATGTTTAGGCTTGTATTTCTAGCAACATAGGGAACCAGATATCAGAAAACACCTAAAACAACTGAAAACAGTAGATAGAGTTTTAAATATAGTTTTCTAATCTTCAGTTTTATGCAGACAAACTGGAGATATTTTCCTGAGGTTAAAGAGGCACAAATCCGTAGGAGTGAAAAAACTGTGGAACCAATGATCAGCCTGATGTATCTGCTCATCTCTGGAGTACTAAAATGTGCCTTTAGATTAATCAAATGAACCTAGTGCAGAAGCCAAAGCCTGACACTTAAGCAGAGGGCAAGGGCAGGAAGTTCAGAACAGAGCTATTCACAAAATGTCAGGATCTGGGAAGAGGTACAGCCTTTGTGGGTGCATCAGAAAGGAATCTACCCAAGAGAATGGGGCACACCTACCTAGGCCTTGGCTCTGGGAAATTCCCAAGAAAAGGACTGAGATACAGAAGGGGATGGTTTTCAAATAAAATGTTTGACATGTGGATAACTAAATAAACACTGACCATATAAAACAATAACAATAATATCTAACCTAGTCAATTTAAAAAAATAAGTTAGAATTGAAATAATCCTGGATTATCATACTATGTCCACATAATTCATAAGTAAAATAGATAATCATATCAATAATTAAAATAGAAAAGTACATCATGCAATTTATAAACCTTTTTTAAAAGACAAAATTCTATATTCTTTCCTAAAGACTAATATTTTAGTTAATCAGAGATATGATTTTGAAATAAAATGACCGAAGTGAATTGTTGTCTTGGGTCCCCTGGGAACACTGAAATTTACATCTATTTTGAAAACAGCCATTTCTACTTATACTGGTATATGAAATATTTTCGTAAACCGATAGTAAAATAGAATCCGTATTATGCTTTTTCATATGATTCAAATCTTTTCTCCCTTATTGTTCAGTTATTCTTGCATTATTGCTAAATGCTTAAAGTTTCTATGGTTTTAGAAATAATTTCTGAAAATCATTTTGGGAGCAAATCCAAACTTCTAAGTAAAACTCATGGATAGCAAAATGAATCCAAAAAAAAAAAAAAGATTCAGCACAACCTCTATGAACCAAAGCCTCTAAGTTTTGCTTAAGTTAGTTCAGACAGGGTTCAGATAAAATGTGAGCTCATAGTTTCTAGCCAAACCAAATAAAATGCCAAAATCGTGACATTGTTAGATTATTCTTAATAATTTCAACGTCTGTTGCTTCATACTTGTCTGTCTACAAAATATGAGAGGATAATAGGCATTTTCTTACCAAAAGTATATTGCTTTTGCAATTACACCAATGTTTGCTATACATAAATTATTCCATAATAATTACTTTTTAAATTTTGGAAGAGGTGCTTCATAGAACCAAAATTTATATCCTAAATTCTACAATATTCTGAGATATCAACCTCAGTAATATATTCTGGATTCGAAATATTAAGGAAAAGCAGATAGATGCTAAAGGACATCTTCCTTGGGTTTAGTTGCTTTGCTGTTTCTAAATCAATCAGGAAACCGACAGAACAGATGACATTCTCACTTTTAATATAGTCTTAAGAGGGCTTACATATAAATGATTAATTGCACTGGTATAAATAGAATAGAGAGGAAGTAAAAGTGTACCAAAATATGAAGCCAGTATCAGCAGTCTGTAATCACTCCTAGGATAAGGGGAGAGATGTTATTAGAAACCAGCAGGATGGAGCTTCATGTAGAGCTGGCCTCACAAAGAGGATCAATGAACTTCCTTTCGAGGAAAGTCAGTAGTGGTGACCTCAAGGGACACAGGAGGAAATAAGTATGCAACTTCTCTCACCTTTTTCCCAGGTGTCCTTATCATTGTCCCCATGACAAAACCTAAATGGAAGGAAGAGGGCCCAGACTACAACTATTCAATTTATAAATATCAGCATCCTCATTAGAGATTAGAATGGGAAAGGTACAGGGT
This sequence comes from Homo sapiens, assembly GCF_000001405.40. Lineage (NCBI taxonomy): Eukaryota > Metazoa > Chordata > Mammalia > Primates > Hominidae > Homo > Homo sapiens. The sequence continues at coordinate 83,910,005 of NC_000012.12, read as the reverse complement.
AATTCTGAAGGGGAGATTGAAGAAACTCTGCACATTTTAATATTGTGAGCTCAGGAAAATGCATTATGGCACCTAAATAACAATTAAGTGTGGATTATATTATGGAAGTTCTCTGATATGAAAAATCACAATAACAAAATATCCCAAGTTTTTAAAAGGCAGTATCAAATGCCAGTGAAAAAGTAGAGTACAATAAATTAGCTGGTTATACCATTTCCTTCTACGTACATGTGTGTGCATGCCTATTTCTCTTTTGAAGTAAATTTAATAAAATAATGTTTGTAAAGTCTTTGAATATTTAATATCATATGAAAAATGCACATGTCACGACCTTAATACTATAAACATTCTTCTGTTAATAAAAATTCCATTGTAATGAATATTTAGCTAGTAAAATGAAATACAACATTTTTCCTAAATAACTAAATTCACATAACAGTTCTCATAGATATTTTCCAGCACTATCTTAATATTTTAAGTCATAAAAAGTTCAGATAATAAACAGTTAATATTAAAACCATGATATAAGCTTTAAAGCTTTATACCATTTTATGTCCATGATTCCAAAGACATTTATAAGATTATAAAACTTCATTTCTCTCCTTACAAAGCAAATCAAGACAGCTTTTAAAATGATTTTTATTTTCTTGTAATTTTACTTGAAAAGTATTCCACTCTTTTATTAAATGAGAAGCATGATAAAAATAGAGGAATTTTGTTTCTTGATGACATATAGCTATGTGGCACCATTCTTTACATTTTTATTAATTTGGCATGACTGCAAAGAATGTCTGTAACCAAAGAGACATTGGTCAAAATTCTGACTTGTGATTTTTTTTTTTATAATTAGGTAGGGTACTTAATCTCTATACATTTCAACTTTTGTTGTTGTTGTTATTGTTGTTGTTTTTGGACATGGAGTCTCGCTCTGTCACCCAGGCTGGACTGCAGTGACACATCTCGGCTCATTGCAACCTCCACCTCCCAGATTCCAGTGATTCTCCTGCCTCAGCCTCCCGAGTAGCTGGGATTACAGGTGCCTGCCACCATGCCCGGCTAATTTTTGTATTTTTAGTAGAGATGTGGTTTCACCATGTTGGCCAGGCTGATCCTGACCTCATGATCTGCTGGCCTCAGCCTCCCAAAGTGCTGAGATTACAGGTGGAAGCCACTGCGCCCAGCCTACATTACAGCTTTCTCATCTTTAAAATTGAGGTATAAGGATATTAATTGTAGTTATAATATCTACCTACCTTATTGTTTTCAAAAATGTAAAATAACACTAAAGTCTCACTAGTAGATATTACTCTTTTACCCCTAATCTCAACACACATATCAGATTCAAACATCTATATATCCTAAGAGGGAGATCTAAGCTAATTTCTGCTTGGAAAATAACTTCCCAAAATCTCCATTTGAGATACTCACCAAGTCTTTTGTCTGAAATATGGTGCCAAAGGAAAGTGCTAAGAAATAATTACATGTTCAGAACATATTCTGGAAAAAAAGACTGAGTATACAGTCAGAATACAGAGCTCCCCATCTCTGAGATCAGCTAGTAATTTTTTATTATATAGAAATATATATATATATATTTCCAATTCCCACTTCCACCAATATTACTCTGTTCCAAGGCAAGATCATTGTTTGATGGATTAGTTCCATAACCACCTCTATCAATTTACTCACAACATGGCTTATAGAAGGACTCTATTAAATTGGTATGTCAATTATATCAATTACCTGCTGAAAACTCAAAGATGGAGCCTTTACAGCAGTCCTAAGAGACCCGGGTCTCAAATCTGTAGAGACAGAAAACAGATGAGTGGGTGCCTAGGACTGAGGGCTTGGGAGGACTAGCAGGTGATAGCTGAAGTGTATGGGGTTGATTTTGGGGGTAATAAAAATGCTCTAAAATTGATTGTGATGACTGTTGAATAACTCTGAATATACTGAAACAATTGAATTGTATGCTTTAAGTGGGTGAATTATGTGATATGTAAATTATGTCTCAATAAAGCTGTTGCCAAAAGGAAAAATTAAAAGGACCTGGTCCTCATCTGCCATGACTTTATCCCCACCTCACTCTGCTCCAGCCACTCTGTCCTCCCCGAAGTCCTTCTGACAAGCCCAGCATGCTATGTCTTAGGATATTGGCTCTGGATGTGCCATCTGCCTGTAACACTTTCCAATTTTATTTTATTGTATTTATTTTTATGTGTATAAACTTAAGGGGTACAAATATAGTTTTGTTACATGGTATGTTAGTCTGTTTGCCTTGCTATAAAGGAATATCTGAATCTGGGTACTTAATTGATAAGGAAAGTTTTATTTGGCTCATGGTTCTGCAGACTGTACAAGAAGCATGGAACCAGCATTTGCTTCTAGCAAGAGCCTCAAGAAGCTTCCAATCATAAAGAAAGGCGAAGAGGGAAGCATGTGCATCACATAATGAAAGAGAGAGGGGAGGAGGTGCCAGTATCTTTTTACTGATGGGATGTTGTAGTAACTAACAGAGCTAGGGCACTCACTCATTACAGCACCAAGCCACTCATGAGGGATCTGCCGTCTTTACACAAACACCTCACATCAATCCCCACCTCAAACACTGGGCATCACATTTCAACATGAAATTTTGAGGGGACAATATCCAAACTATTTCACATTGATCTATTGCATAGGGATGAAGTTTGGGCTTTTAGTGCCACTATCACCCATATAATGTACATTGTACCCATGAAGTAATTTTTCATGCTTTATCCCCCTCCCACTTCCCACCCTTCTTAGCCTTCAATGCCTAGGATTCCATACGCTATCTCCATGTGTACACATAATTTATCTAGATTTGCATTGCAAATCATTTTTAATTGTTAAACTACCACTTCCCAAAGTATTTTCTGATGGACACTAATCCAGTTAGATCTTTCTTGAGAATGGATTATATAGTCATACATATCTGGAAATAATGCATATCACCACACACCTTTGAAAATTCACACAAAATATTAACATATTATAATCTTTGAGAAGGAAGCCCTGTAGCAGAAAAACTGATTTACCTTTGCTTCTGTAGTTCCAAAATATACTTAGACTGAAAAAGGAAACTAACATCTTTATTGTCTCTCATATGTCATGAAATCTGCCCTCTTCAAAATGCTCCATTAAGCAAATCCATTTTCAGACCCTTAAATGACCATTTTTAAAGTACTAACTGTATTGATAAAGCCAACATTAATACAACCCTGCTTACTTTGACTGTCCATTCAATTAATTTTTTGAGATAAACTGACAGTATACATTTAATTAATAAACTTTCATCTATAAAATCACAATGTTTGTGTTTGTTGAAACAATTTTCATAATGGAAGGGTCAAAAGAAAATGGACAATTATATAAATGAAGCAATGTAGCTCACAGAATGATATGGATTTTATTCTGTTGCAACATGAATCATTTGCAAAACCTAACCATTTACTAGAACAAAGTGAAAAAGAAATTTTATCATATTTGAACTTATAAATAGCTATCTTGAGAAGTATTCCTACCATACAAAAATTAACTGAAGAAATATATATGAATTTTAGTCTAGAAACTATACGTTAGCTTATATTAGGTAAGAAAGTAATCGTATTCTTGTTTTTCTTATTGCAAAAAATTGAGATTATTTCACAGATGGGCTGGAAATTGTGCTGCAAGGTATACACTCTATGTATTACATAGTTCAAAACAAAGATATGACAATGAATCATACATTACATAAGAAACAATCCAAAATGTTTAGACCTAAGAATGACCATGTTAGATTTTTCTGAGTTCAAATATTCTGGCAAGTAGTCCTTATACATATACGTGTATATCTGATATTGTTTTGGAAAATGTATTCACTATATAGTGGTAAAATATCTAGGGTGTTTAATAAAGATGTAGAGATATTAGTGCATCACGACTTTCTTTTTCCTTACATCTTATTATCTCTTCTTATTTATTCTTGGTTACATTCTCATTTTGTGAATTTAAAATTGGAAATATTTTGTCAAGTGTGCATATTCTGAATATGTAACCTTCAATTAAAAACATTTAGTAGATTGCCTCTGATTCTTACTAAAGTGTAAAAATGTAAGGCAGAAAAAAGAGATTTTGTGAAGAGCAAGTGCTATATGCCTCAGCTTTGAACATTCTTTACATGGCAGAGTATAGATTTATAAATATTCTAAACTAAGAAACAACCCAATCTTTCTTTAAAGTTATTTGCCCAGGGTATTTAATAAATCTGAAAATCATAAGGACATGCTAATTTTTACCATTAAGAAACTTGGATTAGCCAGGCGTGGTGGCACATGCCTGTAGTCGAAGCTACTTGGGAGGATCAGTTGAGCCCAGGAGGTCAAGGCAGCCGTGAGCTGTGATTGTGCGACTGCACTCCAGCCTGGGTGACAGAGTGAGACCCTGTCTAAAAAAGAAAAAAAAAAAACTTGGAAAATAAGGAAAACCTATAAAAGTGTAGATCTTTACCACAAAGAGAGTTCCACAAAAGCACTAGCTGTTTGCCAAAATGCTTTTCTTCATGGGCACTGAATGTGTTAACCCGACTATCTAACAATCTACCCCAACTTAATGGTTCAAATAAACATTTGTTGTTTTCTTCACAATTCTGTGAGTTCACAATTCTGTGGTTCAGATAAACATTTTTCATTGTTTTGTTCACAATTCTGTGGGCTGGGTTTAGCTGAGATTTTATCGGCTTGCACTGAACTTACTTCAGCACCTGCAGTCACCTGATAGACCTTCTGGAAGTGGATGATCTAGGGATAGGGACAGGAGGCAGAGAAATTGTAGGCAGAAAAGGGCAGGTCTTTAACAAAAACCTACTCTCAAGCCTGAGACTGTGGCCCAAAGTGAGAACTTATATCCCTATTTTCCTGCTTGAATGTTGCCTTTTCCAAAGCCACCCATGGCCTGCCCCACCCCACATTCTGTGCCTGTGAAAACTACAGATTCAGGCAGCAGAGAGGGAGAGAAGCAGCTGGATGATAGATACTAAGGCTGGATGTCAGATACTAAGGCTGGATGTCAAAGAGAAGTGGCTTGACTTCAGAGGGACAGCTTGATGGTGTAACTTCAGAGAAAAATCTAGCTGGAGAAGGCCAGGGGAATAATCTTCAGGGGAAGATTATCTTCCTACCCTGTCCCCTTTCCAGCTCCCCCTTCTGCTGAGAGCCACCTCCATCACCAAGAAAATCCCCTTTATTTACCATCCTTCAATTCATTTGTGTGATCTCATTTCTCCTGGACACCGGACAAGAACTCGGGAACCACAGTGTGGATGCAAAAGGATGTCACACTGACCCTTTGCTTTCACTGATGGAAGGCAGCTGCCTTGTGCGAAAAGGTAGAGGGTCCACTGAGCTGTTAACACTTAAGCCATCCATGGGCAGCAGAACTGTGAGAGCAGTGTAACACTCCCTCTGGGACTTCAGGACTTCAGGACTTATGGGTACCCCCTCCAAGACACTGCCACGGGGCCTGCACACAGTTCTCTCCTGCCAATGCCCAAAAGCACTCACCCTGCCTCCTGTACCCACTCACCTGTGTGCTCCCTCCCATGGAGGTGTGGAGTGCAGTGGGTCTGAGTGAGTGGAGTTTGCCCCCGCTGGCGCTGAAATGGCCGGCTAGTTCCAGCACTCCAGTTCTCACCTCCTTCACTTGCACTTTCCCTCACAGAAGCAGTTGTGAGCTGCGGGCTGAGTAAACCAGGCACCCCATTCATGCATCCCGTGAAGGGTGTCAGGGAAATATCCTACTTCACTAGGATGGCCTCATTCACATATCTGGTGTTTGGTAGGCTATTGGTTAGCTTTAGACTGACTCCCAATCTTGGCAATATTCCAAGAGGGAGAGAGCAGAAGGTGCAAGTTTTTTTTAGTCCAAAGCTCAGAATCTGCTAAGTCACTTGTCTCATATTTCTTTTAATTAAATCAAGTCATTTGCACAAGATCAGATTCAAGGGGTAGGAGGAAAAGACTCCACCACTGGATGGGAGAGGCTGTAGAAATGTGTGGAGGTTTTTAGATCTGACACGTATACATAATTTAACTAGATACATAATTAAACCTCTGATCACATTGGGTGTAGCCATCTGAATGAGTTCTAAATACTTAGATAAAGTGATGTTTGCTACCTTTAGACTTAGCCAATAAAAACTGCCATGGATGCTTTTCTATGTTTTTTGTTTGTTTGATTGATTTTTGTTTTTTTTTTTTGTTTGTTTGCCCTTCAAATTCACTGGGATTGCATTTTTAAGGCCATGAAGAACAGGTAATAATGAAGAACACATTTTTTCAGCCTGAGTCTCTGAATGGCCGTGTAGAACAGAGCATCTCCATCTACTCCCTGCTTACCCCACCTTCCTGAGACAATCTTAAACTGCATGCGAGTAAATTAAAAGGTTACTTAATATTATGGTATTACCTACTGGAGACGACTGCTCCAGTACAGCTTAATTTATTAGAATTAAAGTGGATAGTTTACTTGTTTTCTCCACACTTGTCATTATATTGTGAATATTTCAATACTGATTGATTTTTCCTGACAGATATTTATTTTGAGATTAAAAGTCCATTATTAATGTGCTGCTGGATTTGGTTTGCCGGTATTTTATTGAGGATTTTCACATTGATGTTCATCAGGGATATTGGCCTGAAATTTTCCCTTGTTGTTTTGTCTCTGCCAGGTTTTGGTATCAGGATGATGCTGGCCTCATAAAATGAGTTAGGGAGGAGTACATCTTTTTCTATTGTTTGAATAGTTTCAGAAGGAATGGTACCAGCTCCTCTTTGTACCTCTAGTAGAATTCGGCTGTGAATCATCTGGTACTGGACTTTTTTTGGTTGGTAGGCTATTAATTACTGCCTCAATATCAGAACTTGTTATTGGTCTATTCAGGATTCCACTTCTTCCTGGTTTAGACTTGGGAGGGTGTATGTGTCCAGGAATTTATCCATTTCTTCTAGGTTTTCTAGTTTATTTGCGTAGAGGTGTTTATAGTATTTTCTGATGGTAATTTGTATTTCTGTGGGATCAGCAGTGATATCCCCTGTATCATTTATTTTATTTTATTATTATTATACTTTAAGTTTTAGGGTACATGTGCACAATGTGCAGGTTAGTTACACATGTATACATGTGCCATGCTGGTGTGCTGCACCCATTAACTCATCATTTAGCATCAGGTATATCTCCTAATGCTATCCCTCCCCCCTCCCCCCACCCCACAACAGTCCCCAGAGTGTGATGTTCCCCTTCCTGTGTCCATGTGTTCTCATTGTTCAATTCCCACCTATGAGTGAGAATATGTGGTGTTTGGTTTTTTGTTCTTGCGATAGTTTACTGAGAATGATGATTTCCAATTTCATCCATGTCCCTACAAAGGACATGAACTCATCATTTTTTATGGCTGCATAGTATTCCATGGTGTATATGTGCCACATTTTCTTAATCCAGTCTATCATTGTTGGACATTTGGGTTGGTTCCAAGTCTTTGCTATTGTGAATAATGCCGCAATAAACATACGTGTGCATGTGTCTTTATAGCAGCATGATTTATAGTCCTTTGGGTATATACCCAGTTAATGGGATGGCTGGGTCAAATGGTATTTCTAGTTCTAGATCCCTGAGGAATCACCACACTGACTTCCACAATGGTTGAACTAGTTTACAGTCCCACCAACAGTGTAAAAGTGTCCCTATTTCTCCACATGCTCTCCAGCACCTGTTGTTTCCTGACTTTTTAATGATTGCCATTCTAACTGGTGTGAGATGGTATCTCATTGTGGTTTTGATTTGCATTTCTCTGACACTTCTCAAAAGAAGACATTTATGCAGCCAAAAAACACATAAAAAATGCTCACCCTATATCATTTTTTATTGCATGTATTTGATTCTTCTCTCTTCTCTTCTTTATTAGTCTGGCTAATGGTCTATCTATTTTGTTGAACTTTTCCAAGAACAAGCTCCTGGATTCATCGATTTTTTGAAGGCTTTTTTGTGTCTCTATCTCCTTCAGTTCTGCTCTGATCTTAGTTATTTCTTGCCTTCTGCTAGCTTTTGAATGTGTTTGCTCTTGCTTCTCTAGTTCTTTTAATTGTGATGTTAGGGTGTCAATTTTAGATCTTTCCTCCTTCCTCTTGTGGACATTTAGTGCTATAAATTTCCCTCTACATGCTGCTTAAATGTGTCCCAGAGATTCTGGTACGTTGTGACTTCATTCTCATTGGTTTTAAAGAACTTATTTATTTCTGCCTTAATTTCGTTATTTACTCAGTAGTCATTCACGAGCAGGTTGTTCAGTTTCCACGTAGTTGTGCAGTTTTGAGTGAGTTTCTTAATCCTGAGTTCTAATTTGATTGTACTGTTGTCTGAGAGGCTGTTTGTTATGATTTCTGTTCTTTTGCACTTGATGGGAGTTTTACTCCCAATTATGTGGTCAGTTTTGGAATAAGTGCCACATAGTGCTGAGACGAATGTATATTCTGTTGATTTGGGGTGGAGAGTTCTGTGGATGCCTATTAGGTCCCCTTGGTCAAGAGCTGAGTTCAACTCCTGAATATTTTTGTTAATTTTCTGTCTCATTGATCTGTCTAATATTGACAGTGGGGTGTTAAAATCTCCCACTATTGTTGCGTGGGAGCCTAAGTCTCTTTGTAGGTCTCCAAGAACTTGCTTTATGAATCTGGGTGCTCCTGTATTGGGTGCATATACATTTAGGGTTGTTAGCTCTTCTTGCTGCATTGATCCCTTTACCATTATATAATGGGCTTGTCTCTTTGATCTTTGTTGGTTTAAAGTCTGTTTTATCAGAGATTAGGATTTCAACTCCTGCTTTTTTTTTTTTTTTTTTTTTTTTTTGCTTTCCATTTGCTTAGTAAATATTCCCCCATCTTTATATTTTGAGCCTATGTGTGTCTCTGCATGTGAGATGGGTCTCCTGAAGGAAGCACCCTGATGGGTCTTGACTCTTTATAAAATTTGCCAGTCTATGTCTTTTGATTGAGACATTTAGCCCATGTATGTTTAAGGTTAATATTGTTATGTGTGAATTTGATCCTGTCATTATGATGCTAGCCCGTTGTTTTGCCCGTTAGTCGATGCAGTTTCTTCATAGTTTCGATGTTCTTTACAATTTGATATGTTGTTGCAGTGGCTGGTGGAGGTTATTCCTTTCCATGTTCAGTGCTTCCTTCAGGAGCTCTCGTAAGGCAGGTCTGGTGGTGACAAAATCTCTCAGCATTTGCTTGTCTGTAACAGATTTTATTTCTCCTTCGGTTATGAAGCTTAGCTCGCCTGGATATTAAATTCTGGGTTGAAAATTCTTTTCTTTAAGAATGTTAAATATTGGCCCCCACGCTCTTCTGGCTTGTAGCATTTCTGCAGAGAGATCCACTGTTAGTCTGACGGGCTTCCCTTTGTGGGTAACCTGGCATTTCTCACTGGCTGCCCTTAACATCTTTTCCTTCATTTCAACCTTTATGAATCTGACGATTATGTGTGTTGGGTTTGCTCTTCTCAAGGAGTATCTTTGTGAGGTTGTCTGTATTTCCTGAATTTGAATGTTGGCCTATCTTGCTAGGTTGGGGACGTCCTTCTGGATAATATCCTGAAGAGTGTTTTCCAACTTGGTTCCATTCTCCTCATCACTTTCACATACACCAATAAGACGTAGGTTTGGTCTTTTCACATAGTCCCATATTTCTTGGAGGCTTTGTTCATTCCTTTTTATTCTTTTTTCTCTAATCTTGTCTTCTTGCTTATTAAGTTGATCTTCAATCTCTGATATCCTTTCTTCTGCTTGATCAATTCAGCTATTGATACTTGTGTATGTGTCATGAAGTTCTTGTGCTGTGTTTTTTGGCTCCATCAGATCATTTATTTTCTTCTCTAAACTGGTTATTCTAGTTAGCAATTCCTCTAACCTTTTTTCCAGGTTCTTAGCATCCTTGCATTAGGTTAGAACATGCTCCTTTAGCTTGGAGGATTTTGTTATTACCCACCTTCTGAAGCCTACTTCTGTCAATTTGTCAAACTCATTCTCCATCTAGTTTTGTTCCCTTGCTAGTGAGGAGTTGTAATCCTTTAGAGGAGAAGAGGCTTTCTGTTTTTTGGAATTTTCAGCCTTTTTGTGCTGGTTTCTACCCATCTTTGTGGATTTATCCTACAGTAACCAAAACAGCATGGTACTGGTAACAAAACAGATATATAGACCCATGGAACAGAACAGTGGCCTCAGAAATAACACCACACATCTACAACCATCTGATCTTTGACAAACCTGACACAAATAAGCAATGGGGAAAAGATTCGCTATTTAATCAATGGTGTTGAGAAAACTGGGTAGCCATATGCAGAAAACTGAGACTGGATCCCTTCCCTACACCTTATACAAAAATTAACTCAAGGTGGATTAAAGACTCAAATGTAAGACCTAAAACCATAAAAATCCTAGAAGAAAACCTGGGCAATACAATTCAGGATATAGGCATGGGCAAAGACTGTATGACTTTGAACACCAAAGCAATGGCAACAAAAGCCAAAATTGGCAAATGAGATATAACTAAACTAAAGAGCTCCTGCACAGTAAAAGAAACTATCATCCAAGTGAACAGGCAACCTACAGAATGGGAGAAAATTTTTGCAATATACCGATTTGACAAACGTCTAATATCCAGAATCTACAATGAACTTAAACATATTTACAAGAAAAAAAAAATCAAAAAGTGGACAAAGGATATGAACAGACATTTCTGAAAAGAAGACATTTATGCAGCCAACAGACATATGCAAAAATGCTCATCATCACTGGTCATTGGAGAAATGCAAATCAATACCATAATGAGATACTATCTCATGCCAGTTAGAATGGCGATCACTAAAAAGTCAGGAAACAATAGATGCTTGAGAGGATGTGGAGAAATAGGAAGGCTTTTACACTGTTGGTGAGAGTGAAAATTAGTTCAACCATTGTGGAAGACAGTGTGGCGATTCCTCAAGGATCTACAGCTAGAAATACCATTTGACCCAGCAATCCCATTCCCGGGTATATACCCAAAGGATTATAAATCATTCTACTATAAAGACACATACACACATATGTTTATTGCAGTATTATTCACAATAGCAAAGACTTGGAACCTACCCAAATGCCCATCAATGATAGACTGGATAAAGAAAATGTGGCACACATACACCATGGAATACTACACAGCCATAAAAAAGGATGAATTCATGTCCTTTGCAGGAACATGGATGAAGCTGGAAACCATCATTCTCAGCATACTATCACAAGAACAGAAAACCAAACACCATATGTTCTCACTCATAAGTGGGAGTTGAACAAGGAGAGCACATGGACACAGTGAGGGGGAACATCACACACCAAGGCCTCTTGGGGGGTGGGGTGCTAGGGAGGAATAGCATTAGGAGAAATCCCTAATGTAGATGATGAGTTGATGGGTGCAGCAAACCACCTTGGCATGTGTATACATATGTAACAAAACTGCAGTTTCTGCACATGTATCCCAGAACTCAAATAATAATAATAAAGAAGTCCATTATTAAATGGAAAATTCTACATTTTTACTGAATCATAATTTCTATGTGCAAAGATGAAATTCCTTAAAACCTATGAAGATATGTGAAACATCTACAAAGTTTTTGTATAAGCTGTAAGATACGTAAAACCTTGGTAGAGTGATTCTTCTTTAAATCTAGAGTTCGATCTGATCCTCATCAGTGTCAAGAGTTGCTAAAAAAGTCCCATGAGATATGTATAATTTTTTTTCAACTTGGAAATTCAGAAGTAACTATTTCAGGAAATGAGTAACAAAACTTTTATTGAAATATAATTCTCTGAGTATGCAAAGTTAATTTCTTTCAGAAACTTTTAATAATCTCGAGAAGAAATAAGATTTCCTACAACGACCATTTGAAAAGAAGACTTCCCAAAACTTTAAAGAGTAACATTACAAGCATTGAGCTGTTTGGAAAGAATACTCCAAAATATTCTCCTCCAGTATTTTTTCTCATGTGTAATGCTGTCATAACAAAACAATGTAGAATAAATGTATCTACAGATTTTACTTTTTAAAGTAATGCATGAATGTGTAAAAATCTACATAGTACAAGAGAAAAAATGAAAATTAAATTCCTTCCTCTTCCATTCCACCACCCCATCTCCCTCCATTGCTGAAAAAATAGCTACTATTCACAAATTCTTTGATTCTTCAATAAAATTATATTAGTCTTCTTTTTACATTATTCTATACCTGGGACTTTTCACTTAATATTAATTATGTAGCTTACAGATACAAATCTTTCTTTTATAACTTGTATTTTGGACAGTTCTTGTTGACTCTTCTATGAAATATAAGGAAATTAACACATTTACACATTTCTGTCATTTCCCCTCCATCATTTTTTCAGATAATCTCACTCATTTTTATTACATTGTCAGTATTTAGGACACTTACATTTTGATTTATGCACAAAATTTTTAGATATTTTTACGTATAGTTTTATATCAAAATACTTTTCCTGTGCATTGTCAAATTTTAACAGTTTCTCCAAAATGGCAGTACAATATTATTATTTTTATCATCATTATTTTGATGTATCTCTAGTTGACTGTATTCCAGCCACAATGTTTTATTAAGTTTAATATGAAATTGATAATAAATTGGCTGGGAATAAAATTATTCAGTCATATCTTCTGTCTAAAACTTTCATAGAACTGGAAAATGTATTTTCTATTGTTGATCAGTGAATCATATGGAAAAAGCTTTGAAGTCCAATTTATTTGTTGTTGTTGTTTTACTAATAAGTAATTGGCTTTTTGTACTTGGGGACCATGCTGTTTTTCTTTGTTTTTTAAATATAAAAAAATAACAGATTATGTTATGTTGTTGATTATCTTCTACCAAGGTGTCTTGGAGCTTGGCCTATCTTTTCATTCTAAAGATGCCTGTATTGGAAAATGCTATGTTACACCAATATCATCTCAAATACCTTTACCATTTTTATACATATCGACTCCTAGTGTGCATCACACACAGCAATGAGCATTTGAGTCTCTCTGTTAGAGGGCTGTCCACAGGCCACCAGATTCATTTTCCCTGCTTTTGGAAAACTAGAAGTTCTTAGAATTTATATCCCCACCTTGCCTGGGAGTAGCTGTTAAACAAAGACTGATGCATGCAGAGTATAAATATTATAGTTCCCTTGCCTCTGACTGGGACAACTCTCACTCATGAGCTGTATTCTCTCCAGAGCTGTTTTATGGGATTTTGACCATATTTTCCTCTTCTGGTATTTTACTAGGTATCATACTATTGTTTGGCTTCCTTCCATTTCTGTTCCCATTTCACTCCCCTACTGTTTTTATCTCGGAAAATTTCCTAATCCTTTTCATACATTCCTTTTCTCAAAACATGCTTCTGGTGTATTCCTGTATTTCAAGAAAGTTTTATCCTTTTATATTAGAATGCTTTTTTTTTAGTTCATTAGTTATTTCGTGGTTTTAAAAATAAAAATTATGCTTATGGGTTTCCTTTTTTTCTTTCTTATCTATCATAGTTTCTTTGTGTTCTTTACTTTTTTTTAGCTTATTCTCTTTTGCTCTTTCTCAATCTTCCCCCTCCCCCTCCCTCCACTCCCACCAAATTTTCTGAGTCCACATACTCTTCAATTATTTCAAAGTGGGGAAAATGCTTTTTGAAATGTCCACCCTTTTCTAAAATAATTATTCATCTTCTATAGACTATTAATGTGCTTTTGGTTTATATGTTATTTTCTCCTTTGTAAACATTAGTTTTAAAAGGTGTTCACTTACCTAAAAGGTTTCAGGTTTAAGAGAGAAATATCCTTAGTTTGATTACAAAGTGTATTAGTCCATTTTCACTCTGCTATAACAAAATACTCGATACTGGGTAATTCATAAGCCAAATAGATTTAATGGACTCACAGTTCTGCATGCCTGGGGAGGTCTCAGGAAACTTACAATCACAGCAGAAGGTGAAGGGGAAGCAGGCACCGTCACAACGTAGCAGTATGGTAAGTCTTGATATGTAGTATCCCATTTAATTCTCACAATATATGCAAGTCTATTGTTTCCAATGAATAAATGAGGAAAGTAAATGTTAATGAGATTAAATATACTTATAATGAAATATGAATATAGGTAAATGATTTTTCTCTGTGCATTCATTTTTACAGTTAATTCTGTGAGTTAGAAGTCAGATATCATATTTGTGATCACAGATTACTGTTTGCTAAAAACAAGAATACCATATTACAAATAAATTATCAATTATAGGAGAGGTCTGGAACATTTCCCCAATTAAAAATTGTTTTAAAACCATCTCATGAAACAGTGTTTCAGAACAGTTTCCTTGGACCACATCAAAAAGGAAATATAAAAAGAAAAGAAAGCTTAGCATCATATGTTTTATTTTCACAATACCACTTAACATATTACAGTACACATAATCAATACTAAATGCTTTTTGAATGTAACATAACAGTGCCATATCTGATAGCATCTTATCAAGCCACCATGATTCAGAATCTAACTATAAGATAGATTTTTTTCAGCCAGGTGCGCTGGCTCACGCTTGTTCCCAGCACTTTGGGAGGCTGAGGCAGGCAGATCACCTGAGGTCAGGAGTTCAAGACCAGACTGACCAACATGGAGAAACTCCGTCTCTACTAAAAATACAAAATTAGCCGGGTGTGGTGGCACATGCCTGTAGTCCCAGCTACTTGGGAGGCTGAGGCAGGAGAATCACCTGAACCCGGGAGGCAGAAGTTGCAGTGAGCCGAGATTGCACTATTGCACTCCAGCCTGGACAACAAAAGCAAAACTCCATCTCAAAATAAATAAATAAATAAATAAATAAATAAATAAATAAATAAATATAAAAAATAAAAGATAGATTTTTTCTTTTTGTTTTATAATAAAAGAAAAAATGTTTTTATAGCATATCTGAACATATCTAAATATTGATTTGTAAAGTCAATAAACTTTTTTTTCTTTTATTATTATACTTTAAGTTTTAGGGTACATGTGCACATTGTGCAGGTTAGTTACATATGTATACATGTGCCACGCTGGTGCGCTGCACCCACTAACTCGTCATCTAGCATTAGGTATATCTCCCAATGCTATCCCTCCCCCCTCCCCCCACCCCCCACCCCACAACAGTCCCCAGAGTGTGATGTTCCCCTTCCTGTGTCCATGTGATCTCATTGTTCAATTCCCACCTATGAGTGAGAATATGCGGTGTTTGGTTTTTTGTTCTTGCGATAGTTTACTGAGAATGATGATTTCCAATTTCATCCATGTCCCTACAAAGGACATGAACTCATCATTTTTTATGGCTGCATAGTATTCCATGGTGTATATGTGCCACATTTTCTTAATCCAGTCTATCATTGTTGGACATTTGGGTTGGTTCCAAGTCTTTGCTATTGTGAATAGTGCCTCAATAAACATACGTGTGCATGTGTCTTTATAGCAGCATGATTTATGTGGCGATTCCTCAGGGATCTAGAACTAGAAATACCATTTGACCCAGCCATCCCATTACTGGGTATATACCCAAAGGACTATAAATAAACTTTTTTTTAAGAAATAAAAAGAGACAGCAAGAGAAGGGAGGGAGAGGGGAAAGGAAGGAGAAAAAGAGGAAGAATAAAAGATATAGAGAAAGAGAGAGAAGAGGGAGAGCCATATAATTCCCCTCTTTTTCCAGAAACATGGGAGGATTGTTCTTGCTTTCCATTTGGAAGTTGGTTGTGGCTATATGACCTACTTTGGCTAGCAGAATATAAATTAAAATGGCATGCATCACTTCTTAGCGTCTCCTGATATGCCTTGACATGCAGTGGCAATTTGGTTAGATTTTTAATTCCTGGCACATTGCCTTTTGCACTGCAAACAGTAAAAATATTGTTTTTTTTTTTTTTTTGTCAGTAAATTTATCCTAATCTCGTCTTAACTGTTTTATCCTTTGGAAGTGAGCTTATATTTCCAGCTGGATAGTTTTGGGAATTTTTTTTTCCAGTAAAATTCACTAATGCCACCATCATAAATATTGTCAGGAGAGGGATAAGAGTTTTGTAGAAACTTTGTACTTTCATGTTTTGTTTGATTTTTAAAAATTTTTATGAGTTCTAGGCTCCGGGTCTACTCCAGGTGGGAAGCTTAGCCTGTTCTGTGAGTGATAGGAAAATGCCACTAGAGTTTTGATTTGATCTTTTGGTTAGGAAGAGCTGCCACGTTGGTGAGATATCTAGTTATGGTCACAGGCTATTGTTCATAGGCTGCATTGATGTAGTTAAATGCATGATTTTCTTTACCCAGATACATCTTTTCTGTAGTTGAAAAGTAAAATTATCTGCACACCTCACCCCTTCCAGTCAGAAAACTGATTCCGGAGAATAACAGAAAAAAGTACAAGCAGAGTAACTTCTTTTCCAATGCGGCTTCCTAGAATAATTAGCTCTAAGACATGTTTTGATACCTTCATAGAGCCTACATACATCTTCTGCTTTTTTCCAGACAATCTTGCTATCATTGGAGGAATCTTAAGAATTTATTTTGTTTTCCAATCTGCCAGGACTCACTGTACTTCTTCCAAACTGGGAAGTGTGGCTCAATATGAAATTCCTCTTTTGGATTTTTCCACATTTAATATCTGGCAGTTATTCTTTGATGTGGGTGGAAACCATGAGCACATGTGACATTTTATTTTCACTTTTAATTCTATTTCACTTGTTTGATACTTTTAGTTTTTTTTTTATTTTTGCTCTTTATTTTCTTTATTGTAAAATAAATGTTAATTTTTCCACTCAAGAAAAAAATGACATTTTGGTGAAGATTCACACTCTACAGCAAAACTATCTTGAGTTCAAACCCTGGCTCATCAATTCGTGACATAGTTTTGAGAATTAAGTATGCTCATTAATATACTGAGTTTATAACTGGTACATGATAAATACTTGACAGTTATTGGCTTTTGTTAGCTACCATCTCTTCTGGAATTATCTAGTCATGTTCTTACTGTACCTTATTACATCTATACCTCTTAACAATGCTATACTTGATTATAAGCTACATTTTACACATGAGAAAACCAATGCTCATAGAATGTAACATATTTATCCAAATCCTACAGAGAGAAAGTGGCCAAACGAAGACTTAAAGCCATTTTCTCAAAGTCCAAAACTATGCTTTTATTACACTGCATTGGCTTTTGTAATTTCCAAATGTATTGCTGAATATTACTTGCTGTATTTATTACGTTATTTAAAATTTTGCCCCAATGACATATCTCATGCACATAGAAAGTTGGGTATGAAAAAACAGGCACAAATATTCTAGTAGCCCTACAAAACCACAAATGTGTTCATTTTAAGTCTCTCAAAGTGATGCTATAAATTTTGGTTCAAAATCTCAAGCTCTCATGTTGAATATATGTCCACTTCATATACTGCAACAATTATAAAGAACTGCCTTATTTTTTCCTTAGACTTTCTGAACTAGTAATTAATTTCACAGTGTACCCATAAAACAGTTCACGCTATTGTCATCTCCTTGTGTGTGTGTGCACACGTGCACATGTGTGTGTGTTAGAGAGAGAGAGAGAGAGAAACAGAACACTAATTCTAATTTATGGATTATATATAGGTATATATCTACTCTCTTTGAATAAGGCATTTTCTATAAACTCTTTGTAAAATTAAGATGCATGAAAGACTGAGAACACAAGGTGTTATAGACATGAGCCAAAGATGACCTTCTATAGTGGCCCAATATTTTTTTCTTCTTCACAGCAGGCAGGATCCATTAACTCATAATCCTGCCAGCACAAAGCTGAAATTTTAAAATCAATCTAATGTTTTAAAAATAGCCCCAATAAGCAGATTTTTAGCCATGTAGAGCCTGTCTGCTTTGAATATACCGTAAAACTGAACCCAACATCTGCTAGCCACAGATGAAATAAACCTCAGGCTTATAAAATCCCAAAACTGCTGCTGCTCTTTGGAGCACTCTGACCCAGAGACTCCTTGCCATGCTGCTGAGTGACATCACCTAGATACATAATATCCATCTCTGATTCCTCTACCTCCTGGAGTTCACATGCCCTCCTCCCCTTTTGAGTAGTGGCCCCCATCCCATAGCCTCTAAAGGTCTCACACTGTAAGAAACCTCCCTTTCTCCCATGCAAACCCGTCAAAGTGTAGTTTAAAGAAAACTTGTTGCAGGCTTCTGCCACCTTATGATGATGTCTCTTTTCTTGATCACCTCAAAAATTCCTCAATGTCACTATAAAAGTGGAATATAGTTTGTCTCATCAGGGCCAAAATAGGCATATAATATACAATAATAATGTAATATAGTAGACACAAATATAATGTTGAAGGCAAAACTGCTCCGTCTTTGACAAAATAAAGATAGTGTTCAAAATTAATCCATTATACTATATTTAAAATATTGCTTTCAAAGTATTGACTAAATTAACAACAGCTTCATCGAGCTTCCAGCAAATGGCAATGATGCCAGTTAAGTTTGTTTAGGAACTAGTCTTGATTCCAAACTTAGTGGCAAATAGTGTCTGATTTTTACTATATTAAAAATTGAATTTCCCTTTGTCACCCTAAATTGGATTTATTCTAAAATTTCTAATTTATTTTAAATAATCTATCATCTAGAACTTATTTCAGAGATGTCTGATGCCTCCTATCTTAATTCATTGTACATTCTTTCAATAAACATGTGTAGTCAGACATTGGACTGAACACCATTTCTGTCATAATCTCTCAGACTCCGGACTAAGAATACAACATATTTAGGAGTAGTTTCCTGACTATAAAATAAAAAGATAATTTCTAATAGACATTTTTATGAATATTAAAACAAGCTAACGCATGTTATAAAAACATACACTTTTGGCATAGAGTAAACATTCAACAAGTGGTAACTGCCATTATTGTTGTGACTATTTATATTTATTTTACTTTTGATTCATTATTTTATACCTTATATTGTGCTTGAGTTATTAGCTATATAAATGACATAGAGAGAGCTGTCTAAAGATTGCAGTTTCAGTGATATAAAAGGGCCCACCTTTAATAATAGAAAATCAAAATAATAGTAAACCTCAGAATATATTACTTTTTTTACTTTCCAGGAATAACATTACAACAACCAAATTCAAGTGGTAGAATTATGGAAAGGTGAACATGACAGAACAAGAGGGACAGGCTCAAAGTGTCAGAACACCTAACAAGATAAAAAGGCTGCTGAAAATGAATGCCAAAAATAATTAAACTACATAAAATAATGTTCATATTACATTGTCAAATAAGATTTAAAAAGTAGAACAATACATACAGTATAAAAATTTTGTATGAAAAGAAAAATTATATACATAATATTAGTCATTTTTTCATTTGATTCTAGAGGTCAAAAGGCTGGATTGAGCTTCCTTAATTAAGAGAAGGGAATTGGGCCGGGCACGGTGTCTCACACCTGTAATCCCAGCACTTTGGGAGGCCAAGATGCGCGGATCACGAGGTCAGGAGATGTAGACAATTCTGGCTAACACGGTGAAACCCTGTCTCTAATAAAAATACAAAATGTTAGCTGGGCGTGGTGGCCCCCGTAGTCCCAGCCACTCGGGAGGCTGAGGCAGGAAAATGGCGTGAACCCGGGAGGCGGAGCTTGCAGTGAGCCGAGATCGCGGCACTGCACTCCAGCCTGGGTGACAGAGCGAGACTCCGTCTCAAAAAAAAAAAAAAAAAAAAAAAAAAAAAAAAAAGAGAGAGAGAGAGAAGGGAATTGGCTGAAAATATTTAGTTTTCTCATGTGGACCCAACCTGTGGCAAGATGTGAATAAGTAAATGCATTTAGGGATTATGGATATGTGGAACCAGATAATAAGTATTATCTCTCTCACTCTCTTTTTCTCTTTCTTCTCAGGCAGCTGCTTCCATCTCCATGTCAACTTCATTCTTTCTTACTGCAGATCATCTGTCAATTCATAGTTCATATCAGGACCACCATCAACTCTTACATGCCATATGCAACACAGAGGAGACATTCCTATTTTTCTACATCCTTTCTAAAAAGCACTGGTAAAGAATCCTGATAGTCACAATTAGATGTTTACCCACAGATTATTAGTTCTGTATATGAAGATGCAGTTGGCCAATATAGATATGATCACTGAGACTCCATTCGTTTGTTTGTTTGTTTGTTTATTTATTTATTTATTTATTTATTTATACTTTAAGTTCTAGGGTACATGTGCACAATGTGCAGGTTTGGAGACCCCATTCTTTAGTTTCAGGATGATTTCACAAAAGCATGGATCATGACTTTGACAACTACTTATTGCCTCCTTAGGGCAACTATGGCTAAAATACAAAAAGTATTTACACATACATTATAAATATGCATATGTATGCAAACTAAAATCAATGAAGGGATGATAGGTAACAAAGATGGGGACATTTACTTTAACTTAATATTCTTAACTTTAGGATATTGAGGATATTGTTTGAAGTGGCCACATAGCTACTGATAAAATTATTTTTGGCTGAATAAAAGTTAATACATACTTAAACTTTTTATGTTGCATTAAGTGACATAAATTCTGCAACATAATGGGAGAAAATTTATTTTAATACGATTAGGTCACATTTGAAATGTGTCACTTTAAGTTAGTATAGTCAAACTCTGGAAAATCTATCAAACAAATATCAGCAAGGTGAAGAGAAATCATGATGGGAAAATGAGTTTCCCATGAGGGATGCCAAAACAATAGCCATTTACCCTTTTAGCACTGCTAAATAAATATTTGCCAAACTCACAGATGAGCTGAATAGCTTTAACAATAGCAGCTGTACTTTCATCTGTTTGTTCACATTTGATATAACATTCTATCAAAATTGCTTTCAAAGTTTAAAAATTACAGCATTAAATGACTCTGAGATCTTTTCAACCCTAAGATTTACTTATTGCCTCTTTAGGGCAACTATAGCTACAACCTATATGTCTCAGTTCTAAGTAAAATTGACATGAATAATTATTTAATTTTACTGTTACTTTTTCATTTTTATATATTGTGTTTGATTCAGTGTTTTTAAATTGTTACATTTACTTTAAAATACATTATTAGTTTTAAAAGTTATATTATAAAAAATATATTTGTGTTGTGCCCAAATAAATATTTTATTATGTAACTTACTTCTTTTTATTATACTGGTCTCTTGAATTGAGGAACAAATTGCCAATGCCTGATAAATAAGACTTGCAACAAATGAAATAATATAATGTAAAAGCATTGCTGTTATCAATTTGCATTTTGGAAAAACATAAAATGCAAATAGAACATAAGATATGAAATATAGCAATTTTTCCAAATCAAAGTGCATCTATAAATGAGAGATCATAGAGCCAGTCTCAAACATTGTAGCACATTATGTATATTAAGCACAAATATAAAAGAATATTTTCTTTACATCTGAATATTACATAGTCTTTTACCGAATCCTACTTTGTAATTCATACTAAGATAGTATTGTTTTGTCTTAAAGAAAACTAGAAAGAAAAATAAGAATATTATTGATTGGTAAAGACCTTTCTTGTTTTCACAGTGTTTTAGAGCCTTCTGGACTGTGGGTTGTTGGCCAATTTTAGAGAAGCGATCTAAAAACATAGAGGAAAAATATAGTAGAAGAGATAGCAATTAAAAATAAGCTTATCTCTCCAGCCTGTAGGGGTTCCTGGAAACACCATCTATGCATACTGAGGAGAGACTGTACATACAGTGGAGAGTAGAGTACTATTCGGTGTTAGAAGAAGGAGGTACTGGTATTTGCAAGAACATGGGTAAACCTGGAGAACATTATGCTAAGAGAAATAAGCCAGATACCGAAAAAAAAAAGTATTGCGTACTATCACTTATATGTGAAATCTTAAAAAAAAGTCCAATACATAGAAATAGAAAGCAGAATGGTCAGTACTAGGCAAAGAGAGGGGAAGGAAATGGGGAGATAATAAGTCAAAGAGTACAAACTTGCAGTTATATGGGATGAATAAACATAAAGCTTTAGTGTACCACAGGAGGATGACAGTTAACAATATTGTATACATTGAATTTTGCTAACAAATATTTTAGGTGCTCTTACCACACATACACACAAAAGTGGTTAACAATGGAAGGTGATGAGTATGTCAATTTACTTACTTGTAGTAATCCTTTGACTATGTAATCAAATTAATATAGCTGGTTATGAATAAATAATTTGCCTTATCAATTAGAAATTTTAGCTACATGAATCAGTTACTTACTATGTGACTTCTTTCAAATTAGGATAATACAAATGTTGATCCTGCCTTTAGTGTGATGCAAGCAAGAATTGTAGTAGTTAGGAAGGAGAACTCAAACAGAATTGAGTTTGCATCCAAGTAAAGAATTTGCTACAAAGAGTTAAACAGTTTAGTTCACCCACTCTTGGGCTCAGTTTCCTGAGGAACTGATGATATTGAGAATACCCAGGTCATGCGATTATTTTGAGAACTAAATGAAATAATGGTTCTAAAGCATCTGGCACAATGTCAAGGTCGTAATGTGCATACACACACACACACACACACACACACACACACACCACACTTTAGATTTTTTTTAAGTTACAAATTCAGAGAGTTGTAAAGATTAAATTAAATAAACTAATCTATGCCAATCTCAAGCAGAGAGGAAGGATGCAGCACTTGGTAATATGATATCCCTGAGAAATAATTCAATTTAAATAATATATAAAACAAGAATGAGGAAGAAGACAGGAAAAGAAGGAAGAAAAATAAAGAAAGAGATGGAAAAGAAGAAGGGGAGCAAAAAGGAAAGGAAGAAAGGGGAAAGGGAGGTTTATCATCACCTCTCAAATATATGAGAAAATTAACACTGAAACCCTACTTAGTTTTATTCTGTTGACTTTTAATTTCTTTCCCCTTTATCACTTTTGGCACGTTTCCTGCTCAATGTATTTTAATTAAGAGTATTCCTCTACCATTGTGAACTTTAAAGAACCAACACTTTGATAAAACATCAAACTAGAATGGGAAGTTGGAAAAATCATAATCCAAAAGTGGAATTAAAACTTGGAGTTATATTTTGGAAACCCAGTCATCAAAACAGGACAAGAGACACTCGGGTCATGAAGCTACAGTTCTGATGTTTAATATGCAAAGCCAAATGCCCAAAAAGTGGTGACGTAATACTGGCCTAAAGTTAGATGAGACATTTTTTCAACTGGGCCTTTTCTCTCATTAACTTAATAATCCTGAGGTAGACGTGTCAACTCTCTGAACTCTGGTTTCTTCATATGTAAAATAAGAGATATGCTCTTATTTTTATAACCCACATATATTTTATATATGGATTTTAATTTTATAGTCCATAAATATATTTACACACATGCATATACTTTCCCATGTATACATATAGATATATATTCTCATGCCTAGGTGCTTCAAAATAGAATTGGTGGTCCATATTCTCAGGTTCCTCATCTACGGATTCAACAAATCACAAACTGAAAATATTCAATAAATAAATAATAATACAAATAGATATAGTATAATATTATTTACATACTATTTACACCGTATTAGGTATTGTAGGTAAGTAGCGATTATTTAAAGCATATGGGAGGAGATTAATATGTTAAATACAAATACTTGCCATTTCATATAAGAGACTTGAGAATGGATTTTGGTATTTAGGAAGGGGTCCTGGAACCAATTCCTTGTGGATACTGAGGGATGATTTTATTCATAGCCTGGCATTTTATTACACAGGCACATTAAATAACCAAAGGTTATCACAAAAAGTAGAATAAAATATGATCCTTGCCTTCAACAAGATGTCAGTTATCAGCTTATTTCTCAAAGTCAACTTACTTGCAGATCTAATATTTCTTTTAGTGAGCAAATATCCCTCAGAATCAGCTTCCTCAACCTGAACTTTCACTCTTGCCCACTTTATTAGAACTTACTCCAAACTAATAATTTCAAAACTCCCATACACTGCTGTTCATTTTCAAATAACACCATTCCCCTAATTTATTTTCTCACTGTGAGTTTTGAAACCAGAAATATCTAGGTTCGGATTCCAGGTTTGCCAGTTGCATGCTAGGAAACGTAGGCAAGATGCTTAATTATTCTGAACATCCATTGCTTCATAAATTGGAGGTGCTGTATGTAAGATTCAGCACAGTGTGTGGTACATGGTAGACATAATGGTTACTCCATCAGTTATAGATATGGCATAAGAAATTTGCCTGGTCTTCCACACATTGTAAGATGAACTCTTTGACTTCACAACTGACTCAGTTATTTGTAATCTACTCTCACCAGGTGCTGAGGGAAATCCCTGCCAGGTTATCATTGTTCCAAACTAAAAGATATGAGAAGAATATGCAGTCTGATTTTGTCTAATCATGTGTTCTTCTAACATTTTCTATATTAAATCTTGATCTCAACTTTTAAAACTAAAATTCACAAATTGCCATGAATATACTCACCAGTTTTGCCACTTAAGAAATTCCTATTAGGAATACATGTTTGAAGAAGGACAGAGTTTTAAAAGGAAGTTTCGAAGGCTAGAATGATATCAAAGATAGCTTAACAATACCATCTTCCTTCTCCAAAAGGTCATTGCTCTCTTGTTGAACCGTCCTTTAACCCAGACTTCTACCAGTCTCCTCCCACATTAACGTAAGTCCTATTTTTGAGTAGTCTTTACATAGATATGTTCAGCACCTTCTTACCCTCCCTAAAGAAAAGCAAATTACACAGTTTGTGAGAGACATATACTAGCATTTGGTAATTTATTGAAGTAACAATTTTATGTGTGAAATTGTTCATTTATATAAGAAACCATATGGTTCAGCAAATAAAAGTTAAAAAATTATTTTCAGTATCAAATGAATTTGACCACATAAGATAAAAATGAAACCAGCAGAGGGTTTATTAATTAGTGGTGCTTAGGATGAAACATGTCTCCCTTAGCCTGAAGTGAGATCAGAACATTTTTCTCTGAGGCATGATCAAGTAACATTTTGAATAAGGATAAAAGTCTTATTTTTCAATCAGTCCCATTTTATAATTCTAGTAAAAGACTATCAAGTTTTACTCATGATATATTTAAACCTATTTAATATTCCCAATACTCTTCTATGGTAAAGCTATAGTTTTACTAGAAATTGAAGTTGGGCTCAGAGGAGTATAATTTCTAGGGGCATATTTCATGATATTTCATAAGTTATTTTATTCTTTTAGCCTCACTTTATGGGGCTTTTTAATATATTCACTGTATTATACTACAAGGCTCACAGTAGACCCTAAGTCTTCTCACAAAGACCTTGTGTTTATATTTACTATGCTGTAACTCAAGGCGCCTAAAACATTTTAAGGATCCTGGTAGTTCAAACAACACTGTGAAAATTCCAAAGTTATTTGAGAAGGCAATTGATGTTATTATACTGACGAACAGCATTTGGAAATAGACATTGTACATTTATTTTAAAATGACTTTTGACCAGCCCCACAATGCGTCCTCCACATTTCCAAATCTACAAAGCTCTAAAAATGGAAGAAATTATTTTATTTTCTTTTAAAATTTTTAAGTTTGATGCCAAAACTCATTTAGCAGTTAAATCTGAGAAAAAATGGAATTTAGGCTATTTACAGTCTTTATTTATCCCACTTCATGTGAATATTCATAGGTTTTGCTGTTTATTAATGGGGTTAGGGAATGTTGTCCTAGACTTTTCTAAGAATTACATAGTAAATGGTATATGTGTCATAATAAGTAAAAAGAAATTTAAACTTATTATGTAAAATGCAGTTTAATATACATAAAACTATGTATATTGCTAGGACTGCCATAAAAAATACCGCAGATTGAGTATATTAAACAATAGTAATTTATTTACTCATAGTTCTGCAGAGTAGAAGTCCAAGATCAAGACGTTGGCAGGATTGGTTCCTTCTGAAGACTCTCTCCTTGGCTTGTCAATGGTCGTTTTCTCCCTGTTTCCTAACATGGTTTTTCCTCTGCTCATGTTGGTTCCTGGTGTCTGTGGTGCCTGCCTAATCTAATATCCTTTTTTTTTTGGGTAAAGATAATAGTCATATTGGATTAAGGCCTACCTTAATGGCTTCATTTGAACTCAACTACCTCTTTAAAGCTTTTATTTACAAACACAGTCACAATTGGGGGTACTGGGATACCCATACTAAATATAAGTATGGGTACACATACTGAGGTAATTCAGCTTATAATTTTAAGGCTGGATGCAGTGGCTTCTGTCTGCAATCCCCACACTTAGGGAGACCAAGATGAGAGGATTGTATGAGTCCAGCAGCTTGAGACCAGCCTAAGCAACAGTGAGACACTGTCTCTACAAAAAATTTAAAAATAAAATTAGCTGGACATGGTGGCACACACCTGTGGTCCCAGCTATTTGAGAGGCTGAGGTGGGAGGATCCCTTGAGCCCAGGAGGTCAAGGCTGCAGTGTGCCATGTTCCCACCACTGCCCTCCAGCCTGGGCAATAGCAGACTCTGTCTCTCTCTCTCTGTGTCAGATACATATATACATATAATATATATATATATATAAAATATATTATATATATAATACATGTTTTATATAGATATATAATACATGTTTTAAATTTCAACATATAAATATTGGGGAAACAAATTAGGCCCCTAACATGCGTAATTTGATTAAATTTACACATACACAATTACCAGCACTTCAGAAGTCCCTCATGTTCCCCTTCAGGCACTGCCATTGAATCATTGCATTACTAAGGGTAATCTATGCTGATTTCCATTAGCATAGGTTGGATATTTTTCTGATTCCATTTTATACTACCGGAATAATATATTGCATGCTCTTTGTGTTGGATTTCTCTCAGCAAGGTTCACTCATAATGACTTGTATAGTTGTAGGTAATTCATTCAAATTGTTGTATAATATCCATTGTGTCTGTAAGTTGATTTTTTTTTATCTATTTCACTACTAATTGTAATTTAGGTAGTTTCCAGTTTTAAGCTATTACAACTGTGCTGTTAACTTTCTTTTACATGTCTGTTAATGGGCATTGGCAAGAAATGGGACTGTTGGTCATAAGATGTGCATATGTTCAGCTTTAGTTGATCTGCTGTACTGTGTTTCAAAGTAGCTAGACCATTTGAAACTAGAATCTGAACAATATTAGAGTTCTGATTGTTCTCCTTTGGAAAGGATCAGAGTTTTGATTGTTCTTAATTTCACTAAAAGGCGGTATTTTCATCTTTTTCATTTTAGTCATTCCTATAAGTAGTATCACATAGTGGTTTTAATTTGTTTCTCCCCAATGGCTACAATTAAACACTTTTTATATATTTATTGGCAATTCAGATATCATGTTTTTGAAGTATTTATTCAATATTTGTTCATTTATCTATTGGATTATCTGTCTTCTTGATTGCTGGTTCTTCATATATTTATACATTCTAGATACGTGAAGTTTGTTGTCAGATATGTTACAAATATGTTTTATCATTCTGTGGAGTCCCCTTGCACCCTGTTAGCTTTTGTTTTATGAAGAATTCCTTATTTTTAATGTCTATTTTAAATGTTTGCTGCAATTTGCATCACATCTTAAAATATACCACTGAAAGATATCTCATGTTCACAGATCAGATGACTCAATGTTGTTAAGATGAAAATATTTCTCAAATTGATCTAAAGATTCATTACAATTCCCATAGAAATCTCAGATTTTTAAAATAAATTGACAAACTGATTCTAAAATTCATTTGCAAATGCAAGGAGAGCAGATGCCCAAACAATTTAGAGAAAGAATATAGCTAGAGGTTGCCATATCAAGAAAGTGTGATACTAGCATAAAGACAGACATTTAGGGCCTGGCGCAGTAGCTCACCACTGTAATCCCAGCACTTTGGGAGGCCGAGATGGGCAGATCACTTGAGGTCAGTAGTTCAAGACCAGCCTGGATAACATGGTGAAACCCCGTCTCTACTAAAAACATTAAAAAATTAGCCAGGCGTGGTGGCTCAAACCTGTAATCCCAGCTACTCGGAAGGCTGAGGCAGGATAATTGTTGAATCTGGGAGGCGGAGGTTGCAGTGAACTGAGATCACACACTGCACTCCAGCCTGGGTGACAGGGCAAGACTCCATCCCCTGCACCTACCCTCCCCCACCAAAAAAAAAAAGAAGATAGACATTTAGATCTGTGAAATAGAATTGAGAGTAAAGAGAAAACCCTAACTCTTCAGGTCAAGTGATTTTTGACAAAGTATCTGAGGTAATGGGAGAAGAGTAATATTTTAAATAAATGGTGCTGAGACAATTGGATATTCACATGCAAAAGAATAAGTTGGGTCCCATACCTAATACCATACACAAAACAATAACTAAAAGTAAGTCATGAGCCTAAAACTAAGAGCCAAAGCAATAAGATACTTATTGAAAACATAAGAGTAGATATTTTTAACCTAGAGTTAGGAAATTATTTCTTAGGTATGACACCAAAAGCATAAGCAATACAAAGAAGGTGGTAAGATGGCTTATCAAAAATAAATGTTTTTTGCCTCAAAGAAGACCATAAAGAAAGTGAAATAATACCCATGAAAAGGGAGAAAATACTTGCAAAGTATATATCTATAAATGAAATAATATCCAGAAAATATAAATAACTCATATAACTCAATAATAAAAGAAAAATAATCCGTAACAAAATTAAAGGATTTTCATAGATATTTCTACAAAGAAGAGACACGAATGACTAATAATCACATGAATGTATGCAAAATTATGTCATTAGGAAAATGCAAATCAAAACCACATGTGATATCACACTCACTTGGATGGCCATACTCACAGAAGTAGACAATAACAAGTATTCACAAGAATGTGGAATAATTGAACATACATACATTTTTTATGGGAACATAAAATGGTGCAGCTACTTTGTAAAAATAGTTTGACAGTTATTCAACACTGCTGATGAAGTAATGAATAAAGTACTGAGATATGCTACCACAATGACTAATCTAAAAAAAAGTGCTAGGTAAAAAAGCAAGTCAAAAAAGACCACATATTGTATGATCTCATTTAAGCTAATCTATTGAGATAAAAATTAGATACAGTAGACATAAGGTAGATATAGCAAATCCTTAGTAGACAGACAGTAGGAAATTACTGCTACCTAGAGTTAAAGTAGGGGTGAGGTATCCGGGATGGGAAGGGAAATGACTGCTAATGAATACAAGTTTTCTCTTTGGGATGATTGAAATGTTCTAAAATTAGAATACAGTGTCCACAACTCTGTAAATACACTAAAAACCACTGAATCATACTTTTTTTTTTTTAACTCTGTCGCCCAGGCTGGAGTGCAGTGGCATGATCTTCACTCACTGCAACTTCCTCCTCCCGGGTTCAAGCGTGAATCATACATTTTAAGTGGTTGAACTTTATGACACATAAATTAGGTATCAAGAAACTTGTTAAAATTGCTGTCTAATATTATGGTTTGTTTTATTAAAAATTTTCTGAGTCCTAAAGCACATATATGGTTCCAAACATTTTAAAGAAGAAATTGTGGACCCATACTTAAGATAATGGAAACATGTTATATCTATAATATTGATTTCTGGGGTAACATAATGAGGTAACTGTAATAAAAATCAGCAAAGAAAAACTAGATTATATCTCTTCTGATATTTTATGATCTTATAAATATGGCTTATCTTAATTCTTCTTAACCCTAACTATACTTTAGATTACCTGATCATAAGCTTTTTATCCAGTAATAACTTTTCTTGCTCCTAATTACATAAATTGTTTCCCTAAAATGCCATAATTAATATATCACATAGTAGGAACTCAATAATGGATTGGAAGTCCCTTTACCATCTTAAGAAGAAGGCTGAATTAGTTCATCCCCAATCTCACTGTTATCACAATGAAGAGGTTGAGGATCACAGTCTGAAGTAATTCACATTATCAGTATACCACTAATTATAATGATTTGGACAAGTTATTAATCAAACATAAAATATTATGCACTACAACAATATGCATGTGTATACATATATATGTGTGTGTATGTGTGTATAATAAATTAACCCTTATAACATATGTAAGTTGCTATAATATATAATTATATACATATAAGTTAATTTTTATAATAATTAAAATTTAGCTATTATTGACACTAATTTTCCTCTGTCTGAAGAAACACAGTTATATGAAATATGTAAAATTACCTTCCCAAGATTGCATATTAAGTGGGTCATAGAGCCAATTTCCAAACCTAGAGTCACCTGGCTGCAAAGTCTATTACATTTCCACTTGCTACATTGCCTCCTGCCTTTAGTTCTGGTACTGTACTAATATATGTCCTTGATATACTCATAATTTTATTTCACAATATGGTAATAAGAAGCTTCCAAAATATATACATCTACTCCATGCAGTTCCTTGATGGAGTGACTGAGATAAGCAAATGGGAAGAATCAAATGCTTTTTGGTTTCTAACCGGTGTCTCTTTCTCAAATATGAAATAAGTTCTTGAAATATTCACTATGAATTAAATTCACTATTATAAAGTTGTTAACTTTATCCAGGATGAGTTCGTTTCTTCATGAACAGGATGTCTATTTCATAAAGAAAGATACTCTGATGATTTAGAATAATATAGGAGATCAAAGCTGGTATAGGGAAGGTATTAGAGAGGAAACAGAAGCCTCCAGGTTATGTATCAATGATTTTAAGATGTGACACATACATCAAGTAAGAATGCAAAGTACCACTGTACTAACTCTGAGAAGTCAAGGTTAAAAATGGGCATGACTATGTTTTATGCCCACTTTGTCAGCTAACAAACCCAGTGGAAATTGTTTTCAAATCACCAGATTAAAAATAGAAACAAGAACTTCAGGATTCAAGTAGACATAATTAGATCGTGTAACTGAATACCAAGGAAATCATTGAGTCAAGGTAATCTGTCTTCCAGGAACAATAATGTTTTTGTTTGTTTGGTTTTTAAAAAGGCTGTGATGACCTCTGAAGAACTCAAATACTCTATAACCTTTGAAGAGTGGTTGCAAAATTGGGTATCTTGCCCTCCTCCATTTGGTCTCAATACATTCCCTGAACTTCACCCAATCTAATCTGCATTGATGGGCAATGCACTGAATCCTTCAAATTACTCTTCAAAGGATTCCTTGAAAATTATTCTAATTGACTTCAGCCAACAAAAACACAATCAACTGTCTGGAGGGTATGAAGCAGGGAAATAACCAGGACTCACTCTGTTTCTCCTCCAAATGTTTCAATTCTCATTAGGCAGTCCACAATATTTCCAATTACCACTGGCTGGTGCTCATTCTGATCAGATCATTTCCCTCTTTAGTTCCTCCAAAGTGACCATGGTCTCCTGATGTTACTAATCTTTGGTTGGCTCCTCATTTCTTCTTTGGCTTTCCAGGTCTTCCATCTTTTTTGTAACTACACCAGTCTATTAAATTATCTAAAATGGGGTCTGCTTTCTAATTAGATCTTTATTAATACAGTCTTAATAACAGGAGTGATTCCACAAAAGAGACTTTCAGCAGAGGATTCTAGAGGATTGTATTTCTCCTTATGGAGCTTGATCACATCACAGCTTTTTTGCTAAAGGAAAATGTGATGCCAGTAACATGTGGCATGCCGATGCAGCAGGATTGCCTATAGTGGTCATCTTTTCTTGTTTGGGATGAAAGGTCAATTCAGGGGTGAGCTTTGAGATGTTAAGTATTTGCTGGCTGCTTCTCACACATGTAAAGAACTTAAAAAATCATAATGACAGTCCCAGACTTTTAAATTTCCATCTCAAGAAATTAGAGAATAAATGATTTCTTATCATGTCCTTAAATAAGTTTCTTACTTTTCGGTAGCTATAAGGCAGACATGTCTAAAAGTTTGACCCAAAATCCAATTAGACCGATTATAGAATTAAAATGCAACTCAAATGTATAGCACTTAAATGTTTTTATGTTATTATTGCGGCATTGCCTTGGGAAAATTAAAACCTGATTATTGAAATGAGAAAAATTGAGAAGACAGATTAATCTAAAAAAACTTGAGCAAATTCTACTGAAAACTGTCTGCCAGCAGATACACCTTTCCTTCACCATCTGAGGAGACAAGCGTCCCTTTCTAAAGATGCTGTAATAGGTTTACCTGAGATATTTGTTTGGAGGGAAATATTGATCATACTCAACTTTACCACTATTTCTTGCCTCAGAATTGGTAATTAGAGGAATGTTGAAATGGAAAGCCCACTAACCACCCCAAAATTACGTCCTTGGGAAGGCTCCAAGCACACCTTTTCACTAATCAATGAAAAATTTATTAGAGAAGATAACAACAGAATTCTTGGAATCCTTGTATTAGCTGATTGTAGTGAACTGAAGTGATGGCTCATGATGCCAAAGTTGGAATCGTGTTCTGATTTCAATGGGAATTGATATCCCAGAGTAGCAAAGTTTGAATAGTAGCATTTAGTCAGCAGGTGCAATTGTAATAATGTGTATAAGCAGTGAAGTGGAAATCAGTGAATTGACCCTTAAAGATCTGTGGCAGTGACAAAATTATCATGTTGTCCTAAAAAATCAAAAGGTTTAATACTTGGGTGATGAAATAATCTGTACAACAAACCGCAGTGACATAAATTTTCCTAAGTAACAAATCTGCACATGTACCTCTGAACTTAAAATAAAAGTTTTAAAAAGCTACCTGCTGACATATTAATTAAATACTAGGTTCACCGAGCATGACCTTCCTTTCCTCATCATGACAGAGTCAGTCATAGCCTCTTTCCCCATTCACATACTTAGGCCTATTTAGAGACCTTTAAATGAATGGGAGGCCAGCTTATTTTCAGAAAAATATCCACTGTCACAATTTATACTAAAATTTCCCACAAACCTTCCCCAAAGGGACCTGCAATATTTTCTAGAGTACTACATAAGGAACATATGCAGAGTTTTAGAAAATTATTAGTCACTTGCTCTGAATTAGCACTAATCAATGTAAAGACAAAATTTCACTGTTATGAAATTCAGAGTAGATGCTTATTAATTGCAAAATTATTAAGTGTAATTTTGACCCAACTCCATATCATAATGGGTGAATGAATCTTCAGATTCTTCTTATAGTTACGCTCTTCATTCCTGAATGTGTAGTTTAATAGACATGTTCAGCAACTGAAAAATATTCCCATATTGACTCCCTGACCTATGAACTGCATGTTATTTTGACAAGAAGGAGCAAAAAGGTAGTTCCTCAAAGACTATTCCTCCAATATCATATAGCAAAAGCAATATTGTATCTCTCAGGGAACTGACAAGATTAGTGTCATCATTAAAGTGTTAAAAAAGTTGGCTTTAGAAAAAGCCAAATAAATATTGAACAGATTGCATTTTTTAAGCTTAATTAGGAGGTGACTTTATCTGTAGCTGCTCTTCCAGATATGATCTCTTTCCTAAGGAAATGAAATTAGACACTAGGCATCTGGTATGCATCTATTGATCTGTCAGAAGTTTCTTGTATTGCTTTGTTCATTTTTTTTTCTCTTTTTTGAGTGGGCTATAGCCCACTAAAGCTTTTGTTCTTTCATAAAAGTCTACTTTGTCTCACCATCAAATTCTTCCAATATTAGTTGCAACTAATTCTTCATTATAAATTCCCCTGTTGTCCAGGGGTGGTTGCTCACGCCTGTAATCCCAGCACTTTGGGAGGCTGAGGCAGGTGGATCACCTGAGGTCAGGAGTTCATCAGCCTGGCCAACATGGTGAAACCCTGTCTCTACTAAAAATACAAAAAACTTAGCTGGGCATGGTGGCTCATGCCTGTAATCCCAGCTACTTGGGAGGCTGAGGCAGGAGAATCGCTTGAATCTGGGAGGTGGAGGTTGCAGCGAGCTGAGATGGCGCCATGGCACTCCAGCCTGGGCAACAAGAACCAAACTCCATCTCAAAATAAATAAATATATACATGCATACATACATATATAAGTTTCCTCTGTTTAACGCTTTGTGTGGACGATGTTTTTCTGCCTCGATCTGACTAATGTAATATGTGAAAACAACATACTGTGACTAAAAAACATAGTAAAACAAATTTGCTGATGCATGCATTCACTAATACATTGCTATGGTTTTCAAAATTATTAATGCAGGGTTATCTCCAATTTTTTCCGTATCATCACAAATATTTTCCAGTACTTCAGACTAATTCTTTACCTGTGTCCATTTATAACCATGTTTGGCCAAAAAGCAGCTATAGAGTAAATGTTTTCCACATTAAGAAATAAGTTATTTCTTCAGTGCTCATTGGGTAAAGAGACAAAATGATTTCATTGGATTATATTCCTACTTCTTGGAAAAAATATCAATTTTAAATCTCTGCATAAATGTCTTTCAATTCTACCCCTAACACTGCATGACACTCAGTATCTTAAATGAGTTACCCTGAATCACACTATTCTCATCTTCATTCTCCTTAAGACCGAATATAGTCTCTCATAAAATTATTTTTTATCTAACAGTTCAATCCTTTGTTTCTCCCACTCACACCACCACACTATACATTAAATAGAAATGTGAACTTGTTCATTCATTTAGGTGTATGTGAATGTGTTTTGGATATTTTATAGCTACATGTTGTACATTTTAAGAAAATATTTTCATGTCTGATTTCTGTAAGAAACTTGGGAGTACCTTAGAAGCTTGGATCTATTCACCATTGTTCTTATTCCCAGCACAGTGCTCAACACATACCAGTTATCCAATGAGTACATGTTGAATTGACGAATGAATGACTTTTATAACTTCTTGGATTAGATACGAAAATGTATTTTTTGCTTCAGATCTGTGGCATAAATAAAAGCAAGTCATAATGATGCATTTATCACATGTTTGTAGGGGGTATATGCAAAGAAATGAAAAGTACCAGTTATAATTTTCCTGTTCAATACAAAAAGCTATTAGTCTAAAAATGTGGCTTTTTAAGTTAAGCTTTTTTTTTTAATCACATTTTACTGGATATTTTATAAAAACTGGACCACATATTTTTAGAAGTGGTATTTTTCTTATTGAAAGTTGAAATCATTGTTATGACATAACCACATTTGTCATATTAAATTTAATTATAATTTATATCAGGGAAATTCTCTTTTTGGTTGTGTCTCTGCCCGGCTTTGGTATCAGGATGATGCTGGCCTCATAAAATGAGTTGGGGAGGATTCCCTCTTTTTCTATTGATTGGAATAGTTTCAGAAGGAATGGTACCAGTTCCTCCTTGTACCTCTGGTAGAATTCGGCTGTGAATCCATCTGGTCCTGGACTCTTTTTGGTTGGTAAGCTATTGATTATTGCCACAATTTCAGAACCTGTTATTGGTCTATTCAGAGATTCAACTTCTTCCTGGTTTAGTCTTGGGAGGGTGTATGTGTCGAGGAATTTATCCATTTCTTCTAGATTTTCTAGTTTATTTGCATAGAGGTGTTTGTAGTATTCTCTGATGGCAGTTTGTATTTCTGTGGGATCGGTGGTGATATCCCCTTTCTCATTTTTTATTGCGTCTATTTGATTCTTCTCTCTTTTCTTCTTTATTGGTCTTGCTAGCGGTCTATCAATTTTGTTAATCCTTTCAAAAAACAAGCTCCTGGATTCATTAATTTTTTGAAGGGTTTTTTGTGTCTCTATTTCCTTCAGTTCTGCTCTGATTTTAGTTATTTCTTGCTTTCTGCTAGCTTTTGAATGTGTTTGCTCTTGCTTTTCTAGTTCTTTTAATTGTGATATTAGGGTGTCAATTTTGGATCTTTCCTGCTTTCTCTTGTGGGCATTTAGTGCTATAAATTTCCTCTACACACTGCTTTGAATGTGTCCCAGAGATTCTGGTATGTTGTGTCTTTGTTCTGGTTGGTTTCAAAGAACATCTTTATTTCTGCCTTCATTTCGTTATGTACCCAGTAGTCATTCAGGAGCAGGTTGTTCAGTTTCCATGTAGTTGAGCAGTTTTGAGTGAGTTTCTTAATCCTGAGTTCTAGTTTGATTGCACTGTGGTCTGAGAGACAGTTTGTTATAATTTCTGTTCTTTTACTTTTGCTGAGGAGTGCTTTACTTCCAAGTATGTGGTCAATTTTGGAATAGGTGTGGTGTGGTGCTGAAAAAAATGTATATTCTGTTGATTTGGGGTGGAGAGTTCTGTAGATGTCTATTAGGTCTGCTTGGTGCAGAGCTGAGTTCAATTCCTGGGTATCCTTGTTAACTTTCTGTCTCGTTGATCTGTCTAATATTGACAGTGGGGTGTTAAAGTCTCCCATTATTATTGTGTGGGAGTCTAAGTCTCTTTGTAGGTCACTAAGGACTTGCTTTATGAATCTGGGTCCTCCTGTATTGGGTGCATATATATTTAGGATAGTTAGTTCTTCTTGTTGAATTGATCCCTTTACCATTATGTAATGGCCTTCTTTGTCTCTTTTGATCTTTATTGGTTTAAAGTCTGTTTCATCAGAGACTAGGATTGCAACCCCTGCCTTTTTCTGTTTTCCATTTCCTTGGTAGATCTTCCTCCATCCTTTTATTTTGAGCCTATGTGTGTCTCTGCAGGTGAGATGGGTTTCCTGAATACAGCACACTGATAGGTCTTAACTCTTTATCCAATTTGCCAGTCTGTGTCTTTTAATTGGAGCATTTAGTCCATTTACATTTAAAGTTAATATTGTTATGTGTGAATTTGATCCTGTCATTATGATGTTAGCTGGTTATTTTGCTAGTTAGTTGATGAAGTTTCTTCCTAGCCTCGATGGTCTTTACATTTTGGCATGATTTTGCAGTGGCTGGTACCGGTTGTTCCTTTCCATGTTTAGTGCTTCCTTCAGAAGCTCTTTTAGGGCAGGCTTGGTGGTGGCAAAATCTCTCAGCATTTGCTTGTCTGTAAAGTATTTTATTTCTCCTTCACTTATGAAGCTTAGTTTGGCTGGATATGAAATTCTGGGTTGAAAATTCTGTTCTCTAAGAATGTTGAATATTGTCCCTCACTGTCTTCTGGCTTGTAGAGTTTCTGCCGAGAGATCCACTGTTAGTCTGATGGGCTTCCCTTTGTGGGTAACCCGACCTTTCTCTCTGGCTGCCCTTAATGTTTTTTGCTTCATTTCAACTTTGGTGAATCTGACAATTATGTGTCTTGGAGTTGCTCTTCTTGAGGAGTATCTTTGTGGTGTTCTCTGTATTTCCTGAATCTGGATGTTGGCCTGCCTTGCTGGATTGGGGAAGTTCTCCTGGATAATATCCTGCAGAGTGTTTTCTAACTTGGTTCCATTCTCCCCATCACTTTCAGGTACACCAATCAGACGTAGATTTGGTCTTTTCACATAGTCCCATATTTCTTGGAGGCTTTGTTATTTTCTTTTTATTCTTTT
Source organism: Homo sapiens (assembly GCF_000001405.40). Classification (NCBI taxonomy): domain Eukaryota; kingdom Metazoa; phylum Chordata; class Mammalia; order Primates; family Hominidae; genus Homo; species Homo sapiens. The sequence goes on along the minus strand of NC_000012.12, from coordinate 83,872,396 downwards.
TTCTCTAAACTTCCCTTCACACTTCATTTCATGTTCCATCAGTGATACCCTTTCTTCCAGTTGTTCTCAACAGCTCCTGAGGCTTCTGCATTCTTCACGTAGTTCTCGAGCCTTGGCTTTCAGCTCCATCAGCTCCTTTAAGCACTTCTCTGTATGGGTTATTCTAGTTATACATTCGTCTGAATTTTTTTCAAAGTTTTAACTTCTTTGCCTTTGGTTTGAATTTCCTCCTGTAGCTTGGAGTAGTTTGATGGTCTGAAGCCTTCTTCTCTCAACTCGTTGAAGTAATTCTCGGTCCAGCTTTGTTCCACTGCTGGTGAGGAAAGCGTTCCTTTGGAGGAGTAGAGGCACTGTGCTTTTTAGAGTTTCCAGTTTTTCTGCTCTGTTTTTTCCCCATCTTTCTGGTTTTACCTACTTTTGGTCTTTGATGATGGTGATGTACAGATGGGTTTTTGGTGTGGATGTCCTTTCTGTTTGTTAGTTTTCCTTCTAACAGAGAGGACCCTCAGCTGCAGGTCTGTTGGAGTTTGCTAGAGGTCCACTCCAGATGCTGTTTGCCTAGGTATCAGCAGCTGTGGCTACAGAACAGCGGATTTTTGTGAACTGCGAATGCTGCTGTCTGACCGTTCCTCTGGATGTTTTGTCTCAGAGGAGTACCTGGCCGTGTGAGGTGTCAGTCTGCCCCTACTGGGGGGTGCCTCCCAGTTAGGCTGCTCGGGGTTCAGTGTCAGGGACCCACTTGAGGAAGCAGTCTGCCCATTCTCAGATCTCCAGCTGCATGCTGGGAGAACCACTGCTCTCTTCAAAGCTGTCAGACATGGACATTTAAGTCTGCAGAGGTTACTGCTGTCTTTTTGTTTGTCTGTGCCCTGCCCCCAGAGGTGGAGCCTACAGAGGCAGGCAGGCCTCCTTGAGCTGTGGTGGGCTCCACCCAGTTCAAGCTTCCAGGCTGCTTTGTTTACCTAAGCAAGTCTGGGCAATGGCAGGCACCCCTCCCCCAGCCTTGCTGCCACCTTGCAGTTTGATCTCGGACTGCTGTGCTAGCAATCAGCGAGACTCCGTGGGTGTAGGACCCTCCGAGCCAGGTGCAGGATATAATCTCCTGGTGTGCCATTTTTTAAGCCCTTCAGAAAAGCGCAGTATTAGGGTGGGAGTGACCCGATTTTCCAGGTGCCATCTGTCACCCCTTTCTTTGACTAGGAAAGGGAACTCCCTGACCCCTTGCACTTCCCGAGTGAGGCAATGCCTCGCTGTGCTTTGGCTCGCGCACGGTGCCCTGCACCCACTGTCCTGCGCGCACTGTCTGGCACTCCCTAGTGAGATGAACCCGGTACCTCAGATGGAAATGCAGAAATCACCCGTCTTCTGCGTCGCTCACGCTGGGAGCTGTAGACCGGAGCTGTTCCTATTTGGCCATCTTGGCTCCCACCGGTTTTCAGTTTCTAATCCAAATGATATGATTGTTATATAGCTGTTGGTCCAGAAGAACTGTATTTGCTTTTTCTGTTTCATTTAAATATTAGCAGACACCTAAAATATATTAAAAATCAGTAACCTATCTCAAAAGGTAATTGAATATTTTTTTTGGACCATGAAAATTATAGAAAGCAGAAAATAAATATTGCTATACAATTTAATTTATTTTTAGTAATTTCAGCAAAAGTGTAATTATAACTTTGGAGCCAATGTTTTTGTCACTCCTAAATGCCAGGCCATGCAAAATCTGCCGTTGGTTTCTCTTTCACATCTTGAATGTATTTCATGTAATTTTTAAATGTTTTCTTATGATCTGTTTTTTCACCAACCTCCACATGCCTGATGGGAGATATAAAACAGCTTTTCCATATGCTTTTTGTAAAATATGTTGAATGAAGAAAATTGGGCATGAAACAGTCTACTTAGAAAAAAAAATATGAGCAAAACAAAAATATCCAAAAAAGGCAAATTATATTTAGTCAGTTCTTTTGGCTTGAAATTTCCAAATTCAAAATTCAGATGATTTAAAATTTAGTAAACAATTGCACATTGGCACAATTGGTGTTTTACTATTGGTTTATAAAGATAAGCATGCATTACTAGAGGTTTACTTTCTAAAGTAACTTATAACAGAGCTATGACAGGTTGTTAAGAAGTATGCAAAAGACAGGTACCAGATATTTTTAATTAATTTATTTATAATGTATGCCTAATCACTTCCTTTCTAGTATTTCAGTCACCTTAAAATAAACGGAACATACTCAGCAAGTTTTAAAAAGCATATATTAAAAAGCAAACCATATATCAAATTATTTTCTTAATGGAATTAAGGTAATTTAGGATTAAATTTAGGTTCTAATCTGTCTGCACAGTGTAATTTAAACAAAATAAAAACTTAAAATAATATTTTCCATAACATGTAATTTTAGCATTGCTCACCATGCTGTGGGAGCTAGACCTCATAATAAGTGCTTCATTAATTGTATTTTAGTTGATACTTCTAACAACCCAAGAGAAGATATTATTATTACCCTTTTACAGATGAGGACACCAAAGTAGAAAGCAATTAAAGAAACTATGCAAGGTTATACAAAAGTAATCAACCAAAGTTAGAGTTTAAATTCAGATCTAACTCAGATACAAAGCTCTCTCCCACTATTTAATGATGTTCACACATCACCAAGTCCTACAAGAAATGCCATACACACACTTAAAAATAATTCGAGTCTTATTAGAATATCTATTTTGTTTTCAGTATAACCAAAAGATCTTCGTCTTGGTAAACTTACTGCAATTTACCAAGTAGGCAGAAGGATAAATGATTTAAATGTTACTTATGGTTGCAAAGTACTTCTGATTGGATACTATCTCCAAAGGAATGAATCAATTAGTACTCCCCATTTTTCTGACTAAAATCATATTAATGATATAACATTACATAACCAAAATTGTATCCTAGGCACTTTTCTCTTCACATTTTGCTGAAATTAACATACATGTTTTAAATAGTCAGATGTTTATAATAATAGCCATGTTAAATCACCATTGATAATGGCTGAAATTATGCGACTTGGACTAATATGATCACAATGGAAAAGAACATGGATTATTGTGATATGGAAGACATATTTAATGAGACATGAGAAAGGATTGGATATAGAGACTAAGGGAAAGGAAGTTGTAGATGCTGACTCTTCGATTTCTAACTTGAGAAAGTGAAGGAATAGTGGAGATATTGGGACAAGATGTGAGGAGCCTTTACATAAATGGGTGATAATGCTAAATATATTATATCCATCTGCGCTGAGAGGAAAGATTAAGACTAGCAATATAAATGCAAACTGTCTAAGCTAGAGAAGTTCATGTGTAATGCATGCATACAGCTAGGGAGATAATGCAAATTAAGTAGAAAGAAGACTTAGGGCTATTCCTTGAGAAACATAAACATTTAATAACTAGAGAACAGAAGATACACCTATAAAGTATATGACCTAGGAGACATCAGAGATGTAGAAGAAAAAGTGACACAATTTCATTGATATAGGTGAAAAAGAATACAAAATGAGAACAACCAATGAGACAAATACTGCTAAAAGTGAAAGACTGAAGCCCCAAAATATTCTTTTTATTTATTATATAGAAGGAATAATACTTATATTTCCAAATTAACTTATTAACTGTATGTCCTTGTCATCATTTCTACTCAAAAGTATTCTGTTGGACAGGCAATAAGTTCATGAATTCCATCAACCCTATAGCTTCTACACATTAGTAAATTGACTTCCATGAGAAAAATTATAATGGAGAAATTAAGAATACAGGTCTTTAAGGCCTAATAATCTCAAAACAATTGTTTAATGTAGACCCAGATTCATCTTTGAAAATATTTTCAAATTACTTTAAACTACTTCAAAATAATGTTAACTTTTGAAAATTAAGAATACTTATAAATTAATTAGATAAGTAAAATAATTTAAGTAGCTTCAATTAATTAAAATAATTTACAAAGGATGAACATTATATATCTTTGAAGTTTTTAAACATATTTTTATTTAAGTTACATTCATCTTTTCACCTAAGTATAGTTTACATAGACTCATTACTATAAAAATATTGCACACATCATGAGAAAGTTACTTTTAAGTTATACATAACCTAAATCTATGAAAACCAGGTTTTAATCAGAATAAAAACATACTTTATCGTCCAACTGAGAGCTGATTCGATGTGGGAAAAAATTATTTACAGAAAGCTTTTATGAGGATTCTTAAATGTGTGGATACATGTGCATGAACGCACATACACATATACATTTTAGTGTTTACACGTTTGGATTAGGTTAATATATGAAATATATATCATACTATTGTAAAAGAAAATTAAAACAATTTTTTGGGTGTATTGGGATTTTGAATTTGAATAACATCTTCCTTCCCCTCTTGAGTTAGGAATTAATTGAAATAGAAAGCACAAAACTCAGAGACACTGAAATGAAAATATCAGGTTTATTATTGAAAGGCTATTTAGAGAACTTGCTTTAAATTTACAGCATAAAGGGCTTGCAAACACTTCAAACTAGAATTAAACATACTTGCACAGATGTAAAAAAGTCAAGACTTCTCCCCAACAAGCTTCATACTGACAGCACAAATATGTGATTTTTGAGGCAGCCATCAAAATAAAGAGGAAAATGGAGATTAATGTACATAATTCCTTCTATCAAATTTTGCAAGTAATTTAATCCTCTGCCTATGGAGATGTGTGTGTAAGTGAGTAGTGAGAAAGGGACCAAGTATTGCTTTAAGCCAGAGAGTTTTTTCACTTGGAAATCTGAGCAGATGATAAACATGTTTCCCTGCACATACACCCTTGAACCTAAAATGAAAGTGAAAAAAGGTAGTTTCCCCACACAGGACTATGCCATTAATAAAATACATTTAAATTAATTTGAATAAATACTCAATAAATGTGTGTAGACCTGTCAGGTATGCCAAATTTCCATTTCATAATTCTCTTATGTTATATTTTTAACGTGGCAAAATTATTTCTCTCCAGGAAAAAAATAATTTAGACTAGTTACAAAGAATAATAAGTAAAGAATTTTGCCAAATGTAGAATGAGTATATAAGACTATAAAGATAACTTATTTGTAAATATTTTACCTTTTTAATACACCAGTCTCACTTTACCAAAAAGAAAAAAAGTATGTGTGTGCAACCCCAGTCAATTTGATGATATTTGCTTAACTTCAATCTTAATGTTAAACTAATATGGCCTATAAATTGAATGCCCATCAAAAGTATCAAATATTTGGTAAATACCTCTAATATAAAGGGATTTTTATTGGCTGAACCAGTATTTTTTATCTTTACTGTTATTAAGCGTTCACTACAACTTCCATTAATTGAGAAAACATTGTCCCTCTAAACCTTTGGCCTCTCCTTTTACTTGCCAATGTGATTTCAGGCATCTCAAAACAAAAATCAGGGGAAAATAGAGAATCTATGAGCCAGTTTCAGTCCAATTTGAAATTATAAATTTATTGTCTGGAAAATGATCAACATTTGGATTTCTAACTCTTTATTATGAATGGACACCAAATATGGGGAACTGTGGGAGTTAAAAATGAGGCTAGAAGGAAGTGAGAGACAGATATGCTGGTAGAAAACCGAAGGCAGTTTCAGCAAGCAACCAGCCAAGTCTGGAGAGGATGCTGGCTTCTTTGCCAACTTGCACTTCCCTCCTAACACCCCACACAGTCACTATGCCTGCCGCATTCCCACTCATTACCCATCGGGGTTTTTTCTTTTATGGCAATGGGAAAATGACACCGAGCTCTGTGCAGGAATTCAACCTCCCAGATCCCTCCTTTGCATGTATTCCTCTCAACATAAGAAATAGGAGGATGGACCTGAAAGCTAGGAAAATCATAAAACAGCCTGCCTGCCTTGAGTTTTTCCACTCATGAATGTGGTCCTAGGTTGTTGAGGTTCACAGAAAAGGGTATACATTCCATGAGAAAAGGAAACTTTCTAGTTTACTTCTATATTTCCTATGTCTGGGCACATGGTAGAGCCAAAATAATATGTGCAGCAAGACAGGAGGACACAAGAGACTGATTTAAAACTGGGGTGGAAAATAAAAGATGTTAGAGTTAGAAGACAGAGCTTGATGATGGTAAATAGAGAGAAAGATCCTGAGAATTTCTTTTTCAGTTGCTTGAATGTTCAAATAAACCTTATGTGTCTGCCTAGAGGATAGTCAGAGATTTTTCTCATGGCAAGAGGACTCCATTGAAGCTCAGTATTTTGGGCCACTGTTTTCGTGAAGTCCTTGCCTGGAAAACGAACTGATTACAGGTCAGTAGAGATGTTCGTTAGTCTTTTCCAAAGTGATCGAATCTGCAGTCAGTTTTACAGGAAGCATTACACCCTGCTCCATCCCTTCCTTTCCATTCAGCTGCTTGAACACATGGAAGGCTAAAGGTACTTTACTGAAGTACAGAATCTCAGTCCTTTAGATTGAGCCTCTCCCTCAATCTGCTTCTCTCCAGGCATTGGCTGATCATATCTATAAATCTGATCAACAGTTTATTGGGAAATTTCCAAACCTTCTGGAAGTGCCGTCCAGGAGATATATTTATTCAAGCTCATACCCTGAGTAAAGAAATAGAATATGGTGCTATAACAGTGGCCATTGGCTCAGTTCATGTAAAGTTCATTTGCTAATTTCCTGCTTGGCAGGAACCTCATAATTTGCTTATGCTTCAGCAAGATGCCTGAGGTTGCTAAGTACAATGAATTTATACCACATAGGAGCCTGTTCACCTTTCTTCCATCAGGCAATTACTCATTCATTCAAAAGTATTTGTTCAATCCCAAGCACAAGTAACTCTAGGCACTAGGGAGGCAGTGCTGAGCTTGACTGGCATTACCCTTCTCCACAGAACTCCATTACCCTTCTCCACAGAACTCCTCTGGTGGATGACATAAATTTTAAACTTTTAAATAATAAACATAATAATTCAAAATTCTAGTAAGTGCTATAAAAGAAAGAAAAAAGAAGATAAGATAGAAGCTAACTGAAACCACTGGGAACCCCCTTTAGCTAGAGTGGTCCCAATTATTTCCTTGTAAGTAATGTTTAATCTGAGAAATGAAAGAAGAATGAATTTACTGCCTAACAGCAGAGTTAGGGAAGAATATTCTAGCATGTACCCTGATGTGGTCATGGGAAGTACTATGCCCCATAAAGAGTGCAAGACCCAACCATGAAGAAATTTTGGTGAATTTCTGACTAAAAGTGCCAGGCAAGCCTTTTCATGCTGCAGAACATTTACAGTGAGAGTTTTTACATGTCCCAGACATTTTCCATCTGATTGTTAGACCAGAATCTAGTCCCACAAAGCCTTGTTTCCAGTCAGCTGTCAATCCAGCCACAAATAATTTTCAAACAATTCTTACTAAGGAATTAGGTAACAATGACCTAACACTCTGAGATATTTAATTTTTAAAAGTAGACACAAAGCAAACATAAGTTCATTAAACTGCAGAGAAGTGAAGCCATAGTGGATCACCCAGCAGAAGCATGGATTTGGTAGGTCATACCCACCTGCAATCGCAGAATATGGTTTTATAAATATTTTCCCACCAGAGTACTTATAAATTGGGGCTTATTCATTGTGAAGGAAGTAGGGTATTGCTGATTCTGTTTTATGTGTTTTGGTTCTAATTTGACTAAATAACTACACACACACATGAACACACACACACACATTTTTCATTATTCTATTGTGGCCAGGTAACATTCTTAAAATTGTTTCATTACCCATTTAGTCAATTTGAGCCACATTTACAATGATTAGAGTCATTACATTTGAGAACCAGGTTTTTGTTTTCTAAAATCATTGTATATGGTTTTTCTCTCATGGAAAAACAAACCTTATGAGTGTGCTGTTCTATGGCTATTAGCTTGAGTAGAGGACACTTTGCTTCGCTCTGTCAATCCTTGACCACTGCTAAATTATCAATTTACAATAATACTCTAGATAGTTTGATGCATTGTCCCAGAACCCTTTCATTTTCACCAACATAATATGGGTTATGAGTCAAAAAATAAATACAAGTTTTTAAGGAATGTGTATACTCAGTAGCATTTTGCTTCAATAAAATGTTTAAAACTATTTGTTCAAACACCCGGGGTTTGGCAAAACATAAAATGCTTTGGCCAAACACTTTCCTCCCAATTTTTAAACCCACTACATTTCAAGGGAAATTTAATTCATATGTTTCCAGTATATTTACACTTAGCTTCTTTAAATAATGTTTTGTAAGAGCTCTGTGAGGTCCAGTAAGTCAATAACCAGCTTATAAAACATTTAAGTTTCCTTTACATTGAACTAAGTGAGCACATTTTGTTCAAAATAATAAAATTAAATAAAAATTTATGAATTTACTTTAAAATGTGATATTCTATAACACTCATTATATTTGAACTATGTAAAAGATACATATGATTGCCAAATAGGTGTAATAATCTGGCATTAGCTGCCACCCAAGCATTCCTTTTTAGAGCTGTGCTGTAACCCAAAGGACCCCAACAAGATCAATCCAGGCTGAGAAACATGCAATCTGAGGCATGATGACCAAGCTAGCTTCAGAAAGGAAACTTCTTAAACTCTTCTGGAAGTAGTTGGCACTACTAACCGTATGTTAGCCTTCCTGTTTATTGTGACTTTAGATGAACCACTGAACTTCCCACCACTATAATTTCCTTTTACCCAAACAAATGGCAGTAATATAGAACTAATTTTATAGGGTTAGAGTGGGGACTAAATAAAATAATAATGGTAATGTTATAAGGCACTCAGAAGTGGGTCTACCTACAGCAAACGCTCAATGATAAAAATGATAGTTACATACATTTGAGTTAAGTTTACCTCCAATAACAGCTTCAGCTAAACTGCCTTTAGGTAGATGCCCATTACTTAAAGACCATTTTTTTCTTTTTCTTTTTGTTTTAATTATACTTTAAGTTCTAGGATACATGTGCACAACGTGCAGGTTTGTTACATATGTATAATTGTGCCATGTTGGTGTGCTGCACCCGTTAACTCGTCATTTACATTGGTAAATCTCCTAGTGCTATCCCTCCCCCCCTCCCCCCACCCCACAACAGGCCCAGGTGTGTGATGTTCCCCATCCTGTGTCCAAGTGTTCTCATTGTTCAATTCCCACCTATGAGTGAGAACATGTGGTGTTTGGTTTTCTGTCCTTGAGATAGTTTGCTCAGAATGATGGTTTCCAGCTTCATGCATGTCCCTACAAAGGACATGAACTCATCCTTTTTTATGGCTGCATAGTATTCCATGGTGTATATGTGCCACATTTTCTTAATCCAGTCTATCATTGATGGACATTTAATTTTTTAAAGTGATTCTGACTTACATGGAAAAACAAACAGAGAAAAAAACTAAGATAAAGTTAGGGAAAAAAATTAGAGCCTTCCAGTTTTTATTTATAGTGTTGGATAGTGACAAGAACACTGAAGTAGGAAAAGGCAAGCACTCCCATTCTCTGCACTATTAGCTGTATGATTGTAGGGAAGTTATTTAACTTTGCTGGGCTCCAGCTTCAACAGCAAAATGATGTGTCTAGAATAAGTGACCTCAGGTTTCTCCCAGCATTTGAATATAGTGGTTCTACTGTTTGCCTCAGCATTGAAATAGGCTCAAAATCTGTTATGAAAATTAACTAATGGCTATAATTGTTTCCTAAATATATTTAGGCAGGGACACCAGAAATTGCTTAAGCTTTAGCAAGATGCCTGCTGTTAGAAGGTACAATGAACATACACCACATATGAGCCTAACACATCTTTCTTCCATCAAGCATCTACTCATTCACTTACTAATTCAAAATCATTTTTCAACATCAAGTACAATGCTAGGTACTGAAGGGGCAGCTGTGAGCTTGTCTAAAATTTCTCCTTTTCATTTTCTAGAATATACTGGGATAATAAGTCAAAAATAAGTGACTTAACTAATCCATATACATAATATTATTTATGTTCATGTTTCCAAAAATTAGAAATACAGAAACATAAGCATACAATTGTACTTCTAAGTTTCTTACAAGGTATAGGTTGGAATAATTTGTGTCACATTAACTCATTTTGCTTTTGCTTTTTCTGACTTTTAATTCATAAAATCTTCAAAAATAAGGAGTCAGTATATTTTTGTTACCCACAGAGCATGAGTTGGACAGAATCAATGCAATAATACTTCCTCTGTTCTATTGGCAGTCCATTATTTTGTATTAATTTTTCAATTTATGTATGCATTTTCATTTAGAATCATTTTTTCTTCAAAAAATATCAGCCAGTATATGAATGTTGATATGGTTTGGCTCTGTGTCCCCACCCAAATCTCATTTTGAATTGTACTCTTATAATTCCCATATGTTATGTTGTGGGAGGGACCCAGTGGGAGATGATTTGAATCATGGGGGTGGTTTCTCCCATACTGTTTTCATGGTAGTGAATAAGTCTCTCATGAGATCTGATGGATTTATCAGGGGTTTCCACTTTCGCATCTTCCACATTTTCTCTTGCTGCTGCCATGTAAGAGGTACCTTTCACCTCCCGCCATGATTCTGAGGCCTCCCCAGTCATGTGGAACTGCTTTCAAGTCCAATTAAACCTCCTTTTCTTCCCAGTCTCACGTATGTCTTTATCAGCAGCATGAAAACAGACTAATACAAATGTATATGCTGAAAGTGAAAATATTTTTTAACTAAATCCATTTATTTGGATATTTTATCTCTCTGATCCTCACTTGATTTTCTATAAAATAAAGGGATTATTTTAGAAGATTTCTAAAAATTCTTTTTATACCCTATGAGTCTATAGAATTTATCTTTCTGTTATTTAAATGAAATGTACATATATATGCATATATATAAACAAACATACATAATGGAGTTGTTTGAATATGTTGATTCCTATATTTGATCTTAGCAAAAAGGCTGAGAAATGATTGTTATTTATTTCTTATTTTTTTTTTACATAGCACATTTTGAAACAAAAACAAAACTTGCTGCTAGAAAAATACAAATAATATTTTAGAAAGAAAAAAACATAGTTTAAGTTTTACAGGACATTTTAACCTTGTCTTTACAAGTATTCAGTTTTAGAATTCTGACAATAAAGCTAAGCTTTTCAAGTTAATCAGGGCCAGGCACGATGACTCACACCTGTAATCCCAGCATTTTGGGAGGCTGAGGGGGGGTGGATCACTTGAAGTCAGGAGTTCAAGACCAGCCTGGCCAACAAAGTGAAACCCCATCTCTACTAAAAATATGAAAATTAGCCGGGCATGGTGGCAGGCGTGCATAATCCCAGCTACTCAGAAGGCTGAGGCAGGAGAATCACTTAAAAGCCCAGGAGGTGGAGGTTGCCGTGAGCTGAGATCGTACCACTACACTCCAGCCTGGGTGACAGAGCGGGACTCCATCTCAAAAATAAATAAATAAATTAATTAATTAAAGTTAATAAGGTTTTTCAAGAAACTTGTCTTAGTTCCATTAAACCAATAATTACTAGAATGCAATGAAGTGCAGCAATTTTTTATTGCAAAATTCTCTATTCATGCTATAAAATAGTTGCCTTTGATAAACATTTATTTTTTGTGCATTAGTGAAACATTAGCTTAGCCAGCATTGTAAAAATGTTGCTAATATATACTAAGAAAAAAACCTCACGGTAACACATACATTTCTTCACTGGGCAGTCAAAGTGTAAAGTGCTACTTCAAGCACTGTGTTACTTTTAAGTCTCATGTTATTGCAGAACCTGTCACATGCTGTATTTAAAAGCAGAAGCAGAACAAAAGAGAGTTTAACCTCATGATAGGTTATTCCTTTCCTTTCATACTTAGGAATTTTAAATATACCCACACTACAGTTCTCACTTGGTTTTCTTTAAATGTTATCAGTGGCTATTTGTCTTTCTACCTATATTACATCTCACACATGAAAAAGAATAACACAGAGCATCATGCCATTCTTTTCAGTGTTAGCCTTTCTACTTTTGATTCCTTTATTCAATACTATCCAAAAAAGCTTAAAATGCATGGTTTTGGAGAGATTTCTGTGAGAAAGTCTAGCCTGTCAGTGGACAACTTCTGCCCCTAAATAGAAATCACTGTAACTCATTACAGAAAGCAATTTCCATTGCCTCACTAGTATCTGGTTATGAAAGAAAATGTGGATACTGTGGCTTTAACCCATTTTCAGTGTTCAAAAATATACTTTTATAAACTGTGGAAGTTTTGTCAATTTTTAAATCAAAGTTTCTTTTACAAATTCAATTCAATTCAATTGAGTACTACTATATGCCAGAGAAGGTACTATGCATACATAGCAAAAAGAAATATATACTTTGATCTCAAAGCACTCACAATTAATCATGGGAAACAGAAATGGAAGTAGCAATTTCTTCTTTCTCACTCTTTCAATGACATCATTTCCTTGCCTCCACAATAAAATGCAATACTATATCCACTCTTTTGCTAACATTCTATATCCTGATCTTCATGCCTTTGAATCCCACAGGACCCTGTACTTTTTAACTTAGATGATTCTATCTCATTTGCTCCTAAATTTGGTTTCTGAATGGTGTTACAGAAAGGCATACAATCCTGGAGGACGGTGGCACCCCACTCCCTAATTCTCTGATATCCGCTAAACCCAGGGACCTCTCAAGCACTTTCAGGTTAATGATGCTTTCAGGTACCATTAACCAGTTGGCACACATTTTTATAAAAATTATTTTTAAAACAAAATGTACATTTTACTTCTCTAGATAAAACTTTTCTAATCTACAAAAGTTTTCTATCTCAAAATTGATTATGTGTGGCATCACTGAAATGATCATGGGTGCCAAAATTGAACTTATTTAAATTGCTGTCCTCTATGATTGTATTTACAATTATACCTGCCTTCACTGTATTTGCTCCAACCTAGGAAAACTAGGCATATTTTCTGCCCTTTAAGGATGATATTTCCAACTCTACTTTCTGTGACATGCTTTCTCAATTCAAAACAACATTTGGGCCATGATAAATGTTCAAAAATAAGTATTCAACCTACATTCTGGTTTCTGCTTCTATGAGTTCATCTTTCTAGAATGCACATACACATGAGATCATGTGGCATTTATCTTTCTGTGGCTGGCTTATTTCACTTACCATAATGTCTTACAGGTTCATCTATGTTGTCATAAATGACAGGATTTTCTTTCCTTCTTTTTTAAGGTTATGGTTACTAGAAAGGGGAGATTGAATAGATTTTGGCCAAAGGGTACAAAATGTCAGATAAGAGGAATAATTTTATGAGATCTACTGTACATTGTTAAGAATATAGTTAATAACAACATGTTGTATACTCAAAAATTGCTGAGAGTAGATTGTAAATGTTTTCACCACACACAAAAAAATAGGTATAGAAGGTAATTCTTATGTTAATTTGCTTGATTTAGCAATTTCACAATGTATGCGTATGTCAAAACTCTGTATTAGAGGAATGGGCTTCAAGATGGCTGACTAAAGGCATCTGGGACTTGCCTCCCCAACAAAGAACCAAAATAATGAGTAGATAAATAAGCTTTGAATATATTACCTATGAGAGAATTCTGGAATTCAACAGAGAAATGACAGGAAACATCCAAGGCAAGGAAGGAGAGGGAAGTGAGGAAGCCTGCTCTGCTGGGATTGGCTGGGAGCCCAGAGAGGCACCCCAGTGTCAGGGAGGGTGAGTGACCCCTAGCAGTTCACATTCCCACAACAGACTTTGGCAATCCTAGCCATGAAAGAGCCTCTCAATTCAAGTGGGCCCTGAGACTAACATAGGAAGCTGCCTAGAGACCATGCAATGACAGTATTCCAAATAAGCTCACACTGGGTCCCACACATCCTCCACGTTCTAAGCAGCTGCTGTACAGTGTCATTTGGAGAGCTGAGCCCTTACCAGACTGCATCCTGCCTTGGTACCCAAAACCTCCTGCATCTCCACATCCCTGGAGCCCCATTGACATCCTTGACCTCTGTTGGGCACCACTGCTGGGTGCTGCTGCCAGATCCAAAGTGCAAGGCATTGGCAGCGATCCCACCACTCCCAGTAGCAGGATTGTACCACATGCATAAGTGCCCTGAGGATAGGCTGTCCTGTTGCAGCTACCACATGGGGCCAAAGCTCATGCTCCCCAGCCTGTTTATGACTTTTGTCACTGACAACAACCCCACCCAGCCCAGTTTTACCCTCCTCAGAGCCTGAGCACATGGTCTGGAAGACTGAGACTCTCTCTGCCCTATCCACTACCAGTGTTCAGGTGGTACCTGAACACTCCTCCTAGGGGCATGAGAACAGGTCCACCAAACCTGCTTCTACCACCACACCTGTACCCATCCATATAGACCACCTGTAGGCTTGGACATTGGCCCACCCAGTCATCACAGCCACCACCAACAACAGTGCAGACCACTTGAGAGCCAAAGGATTGTCCCACCACTGCTACCACCATTAATCATACCATTCTCATGCTTGGGAGCCGGATGTCCCACCCACACACCTGGCAAACCGCTGCCCCTGCAAGCTCCTTGGAAGCCAAATAATCAGTCTGCCTGAAGCCATTAACACCAGTGCCAATGTATGCTGCTCTGGGGCCAAAGACAAGCATGCTTGCCCCACCACTGCCAACAATGGGGCATGAGGATTGGCCCACCCAACTTCCCTGTTCCCAGAAAAATTTTGCCACAACTTCCACTAACAACCATGGTGTAAGCCACTAAGGAAATCACAGAAATTTCTGATATTGTTTGAAGCTGAAGAAATCATATGGGGACTACACTACTGCATGTACCCAGAAGCAAAGTGTCCTACCCAACCAACACCATATATATATACACACACATACATATATAATATATATATATATATATATATATATTCAGGAAAAAGTTCTCCACTATAAAAGCAAATTTAAAAACTGGAAGAAGTGACTGTTACAGCAGATATCAATGTAAGGACAAAAGAAACATAAAAAAGCAAAGAAACATGCCATCTCCAAAGGAACATGATAATTCTACAGCAATAACTTCCAATAAAAAATAAATGCATACAATTCTGGAGAAAAAATTAAACTAATATTAAAGAAAGTGAGATATAACAGTTCTCAGATATTCAACACAAAGAAATGAGAAAAAAATTCAGTATATGAATGATAAATTTACCAAAAATACCTTTTAATATAACAAAACAAATTCTGGAACTGAAAAATTTATTGAAGGATACACAAAATACATTTGAAATCTTTAACAATATGCTAGATCAATCAGAGGAAAGAATTTCTGGACTTGAAGGTCTTTTGAAAGAACTGATTGATATGGTTTGGATATTTGTCCTTGTCCAAATGTCATGTTGAATTGTAATCCTCAGTGTTGAAAGCAGGGCCTGGTGGGAGATGTTTGGATCATGGAGATGAATCTTTCATGAATGGCTTAGGCTATCTTCTTTGGTGATAAGTGAGCTCTCACTCTGAGTTCACATAATGTATTAGTCTGTTCTCATGCTGCTAGTAAAGTCATACCCGAGACTGGATAATTTATAAAAGAAAGATGTTTAATTGACTCAGAGATCCACATGGATAGGGAGGCCTCATAATCATGGCAGTGGACACAGAAGGAGCAAAGTCACGTCTTATGTGGTCCTGGCAAGAGAGCATGTGCAGGACAACTCCCCGTTATAAAAACCATGTGATCTCATGAGACTTACTCGCTATCACAACAACAGCACAGAAAAGACCTGCTTCCATGATTCAATTACTTCCCACCAGTTACTCCCAGGACACATGGGAATTATGGGAGCTAGAATTCAAGAAGAGATTTGGATGGGGACACAGCCAAACTATATCATTCCACACCCAGCCCCTACCAAATCCTATGTCCTCATATTTCAAAACCAATCATGCCTTCCCAACAGTTCCCCAAAGTCTTAACTCATTTCAGCATTAACTTGAAAGTCCACAGTTCAAAGTTTCATCAGAGACAGGGCAAGTCCCTTTCACCTATGAGCCTGTAAAATCAAAAGCAAGTTAGTTACTTCCCAGATACAATGGTGATACAGGGATTCGGTAAATATACCTGTTCCAAATGGGAGAAAGTGGCCAAAATAAAGGGACTACAGGCCCTATGGAAGTCCAAAATTCAGTAGGCCAGTGATTAAACCTTAGATTTCCAAAATGGTCTCCTTTGACTCTGTGTCTCACATCTAGGTCATGCTGATGAAAGATGTGGGTTCCCAGAGACTTAAGCAACTCTGCCCCTGTGGCTTTATAGGGTACAGCCCCCTTCCTAGCTGCTTTCATGGGATGGCATTAAGGGGCTGTGGCTTTTCCACATGCAAAGTGCAAGCAGCCCATGAATCTATCATTCTGGAATCTGGATGATGGCGGCCCTCTTCTCACAGATCCACCAGGCAGTGCCCCAGTGGGAACTCTGTGTGGTGGTTACAACCCCACATTTCCCTTCCATGTTGCTTTAGCTGAGGTTCTCCATGAGAGAACCACCCCTGTAGCAAACTTCTGCCTGGATATCCAGGTGTTTCCATACATCCTGTGAAATCTAGATGGACGTTTCCAAACCTCAATTCTTGACTTCTGTGTACCCACAGTCTCAATATCATGTGTAAGCCACCAAGGCTTGGAACTTCCTCCCTCTGAAGCAATGGCCTGAGCCGTATATTGGCCTCTTTTAGCCATGGCTGGAGCTGGAGCAGCTGGGATGCAGGGTACGCTGACCCAGGGCTTCATAGAACAGGGGGACCCTGGGCCCAGCCAGGAAACCATTTTTCCCTCTTAGGTCTCCAGGACTGTGATAGGTGTGGCTGCTATGAAGGTCTCTGACATGGCCTGGAGATATTTCCCCATTGTCTTGTTGATTAACACTTGGTTTCTCATTACTTATGCAAATTTCTGCAGCCAGCTTGAATTTCTCCCCAGAAAATAGTGTTTTCTTTTCTATTGCATAGTCAGCCTGCAAATTTTTCAAAATTTTATGCTCTGCTTCCTCTTGAATGCTTTGCCACTTAGAAATTTCTTCCATCAGATACCCTAAATCATGTCTCTCAAGTTCAATGTTCCACAGTTCTCTAGGGCAGGGGCAAAATGCCATCAGTGTCTTTGCATAACAAGAGTGACCTTTACTCCAGTTCCCAGCAAGTTCCTCATCTCTATCTGAGACCACCTCAGCCTGGACCTTATTGTCTATATCACTATTAACATTTTGGTCAAAGCCATTCAACAAGTCTCTAGGAAGTTCCAAACCTTCCTACATCTGCCTATCTTGTGACTCCTCCACGTCTCTAGGAAGTTCCAAACTTTCCCACATTTTCCTGTCTTCTTCTGAGCCCTCCAACCTGTTCCAACCTCTATCTATTATCCAGTTCCAAAGTTGCTTCCACATTTTTGGGTATCTTTACACAGTGCCCCACTACCTGGTACCAGTTTGCTGTATTAGTCCTTTCTCAGGCTGTTAATAAAGACATACCCAAGACTGGGTAATTTATAAAGGAAAGAGGTTTAACTGACTCACAATTCCACATGGCTCGGAGGCCTGACAATCATGGTGGAAGGCAAATGAGGAGCAAAGTCACATCTTACATGGCATCAGGCAAGAGAGCATGTTCAGGGGAACTCCCCTTTATAAAACCATCAGATCTCATGAGACTTATTCACTATTTATGAGAACAGCATGGGAAAGGCTCACCCTCATGATTCAATTACCTCCCACCAGGTCCCTCCCACAACATGGGATTATGGGAGCTACAACTCAAAATGAGATTGGGCAGGGACACAGCTAAACCACAGCAAATGATATCTGGCTATTTAAAATTGTGTGACTCCCCCTGGAGCCCCCACTATCTTTCTCTCCTATTTACTCCTGCTTTCTCCATGTGATGTGCTTACTCCCCCTTTGTCTTCTGCCATGATTGGAGCTTTCCTGAAGCCTTATAAGAAGCCAAACAGATGCCCAGTGCCATGGTTTCTGTACAGCCTGCAGAATCGTAAGCCCATTAAACCTCTTTTTGTTATAAATTACCTTGTCTTGGGTAGTTTTTATAGCAAAGAAAGAAAGGTCTAAAAAACCAGTCAGACAAAAATATAGAAAAATGAATCAAAAATAATGAGAAAAGCCTATTTGACATTTGGGTCACCATAAAGCAAACAAATATTTGCATTTGTGGTGTCCCAGAAAGTGAAGAGAAATATCAAAGTAATAGAAAGCAATTTAACAAAATAATCACTAGAAAAAAATTCTAGCAAGAGATTTAGACATACAGATAAGAAAGCTCAAAGATCTCCAGATAGATACAATTTAAGGTCTTCTCCATAGCACAGTATGGTCAAACTGTGAAAGGTCAAAGACAAATAAAGAATTCTAAAAACAGCAAGAGAAAGCCTTGTAGTTACTTGTAGCAGAACTGCCATAAAATGAACAATGAATTCTTCAGCAGACACTTTACAGGTCAACGGATAATAAGATGATATATTTAATGTGCTGGAAAAAAAAAACAAAAACAAAAATGAACAAACAAAAAGACACCTGCTAGCCAAGATACTACAGCCAGAAAAGCTATCCTTAATAAATGAAGAAGAAATAAAGTATTTCCTAGAAAAACAAAAGTTAAAGGAATTCATCATCACTAAGATAGGCCTAGAGGAAATGCTTAAGGGAGTCCTACACAAAATAAGTGAAGAATGATACTTACCATCATGAAAACACACAAAACTATAAAACCCACTGGTACAAAGAACACACAAATGAGAAAAATGACTCAAATGATACAAATACAGAAAACCATCAAACTATAATGAGGAACAGTAAGAAAAAAAGAAATAAAGGATGTATAAAACACCAGAAATCAATTAATAAAATGACAGGAATAAGCCCTCACATGTCAATAATTACTGTTAATGTCAATGAGTTAAACTTTCCACTTAAAACATACAGCCTGGCTGAATGGATTAAAAACAAAATACCCTGGCCAGGCGCGGTGGCTCACACCTGTAATCCCAGCACTTTGGGAGGCCAAGGTGGGTGGATCACAAGGTCAGGAGTTCGAGACCATTCTGGCCAATATGGTGAAACTCTGTCTCTACTAAAAACACAAAAATTAGCCGGACGTGGTGGTGTGTGCCTGTAGTACCAGCTACTTGGGAGGCTGAGGCAGAATAATCGCTTGAACCCGGGAGGCAGAGGTTGCAGTGAGCCAAGATGGTGCCACTGAACTCCAGCCTGGGTGACAGAGGGAGACTCCATTAAAAAACAAAACAAAACAAAACAAAACAAAAAAAACCTAACTAGATGCTGCCTACAAGAAAATTATCTTACTTGTAAAGAAATATACAGACTGAAAATGTTGGGATGGGAAAGATATTTCATGTAAACAGAAACCAAAATCCAGTAGGAATGGCTATACCTACATTAGATAAAACAGTTTTTAAGTCAAAAAAGTAAAAGAAGACAAAAAGGTCATTATATAATGACAAATGTATCAATTCAGTGAGATGATATAAGAATTCTAGACATATGTGCACCCAATAGTGGAGCACTCAGATATATAAAGCAATCATTATCACATATAAGGGATAGCTAGACTCAAGTACAACAATAGTTGGGAACTTCAACACTCTGCTCTCAGCATTAGACAGATTAGGTAGAGAGAAAATTAACAAAGAAACATTAGATTTAAACTGCACATTAGACCAACTGTACCTAACAGACATTTACAGGACATTTCACCCAATAGCCACAGAATACACATTCTTTTCATCAGCACACAGAACACTCTCCAGGATAGATCATATGTTAGGGCACAAAACAAGTGTCAATACATTTTTTAAAAAGAAAATTATATCAATTATAATCTCAGGCCACAAGGGAATAAAAATAGATATCGGTAACAAGAGGAACTTGGGAAACTGTGCAACTACACGGAAATTAAACAACATGCTCCTGAAAGTCCACTGGATCAAAGAAGAAATTAAGAAATACAAAAGAATCCTTGAAATAAATAAGTGTCAAAACATAACATTGCAAAACTGATGAGATAACAGCAAAAGCAGCGCTAGAGGAAAGTGCATAGCAATAAACACGTACATTTAAAAATCAGAAAGATTCCATATAAACAATGTAACAATACATGTCAAATAACTAGAAAAGCAGAACAAAACCAAACACAAAGTTCATGGAAGAGAAAAGAATAATAAAGATTAGAGCAGAACTAAACAACATAGAGACTGAAGAAAAACAAGACAAACCATTGACAAAATGAAAAGTTGGCTTTCTCAGAAGATGAACAAAATCAATAAGCCACTAATAAGACTAACCAAGGAAAAAAAGACCAAAATAAACAATTTAGAGAAGAAAAAGGAAATATTACAACTGACATCACAGATACACAAAAGATCATCAGAGTCGAGTATAAGCAACTATGTACTCACAAACTGGAAAACCTAGAGGAAATGAATAAATGTCTGAACACATACAACCTACCAAGAGTGTATCAGGAAGAAATAGAAAACCTGAACAAATGAACAATGATTAATGAAATTGAATTGGTAATAAAAAGTCTCCAAACAAAGACAACTATAGGACTGATGGCTTTACTACCAAATTCTACCA
Organism: Homo sapiens; assembly: GCF_000001405.40. NCBI lineage: Eukaryota > Metazoa > Chordata > Mammalia > Primates > Hominidae > Homo > Homo sapiens. The sequence continues at coordinate 83,851,683 of NC_000012.12, read as the reverse complement.
ATGTTTCATGTAGAAACTAACACCGATTCTTCTCAAACAATTTCAAAAAATTAAAGAGGAGAGAATTCTCCCTAACTTATTCTGTAAGGTCAGCATTACCCTGAAACTGAAACCAGAAAAGGACAGAACAATAACAACAACAACAACAACAAAACAGTAGGCCAATATCTCTGATGATGGTGGATCCAAAAACCTCCACAGAATACACCAAACAGTATGGCCTTAGTATCAAAACAGACACATAGACAAATGTAGCAGAATATAGAACCCAGAAATAAATGTGCTAACAACCAACTTATTTTAGACAAAGCCAACAATAATATACTTTGGAGAAATGACACCCTCTTCAATAAATGGTGCTGGAAAAATTGGATATCCGTATACAGAAAAATGAAATGGAACCCTTATTTCTTACCATATATAAAAATTTACTCAAGATGGATTAAAGACTTAAATGTAAGACAAAAAAATATGAAACTATTAAAAGAAAATGCAGGGGAAACACTAGTTCATTGATCTAGGCAAAGATTTTATGGCTAAAACCTCAAAAGCACATGCAACATAAACAAAAATAGTCAATGGGACTATATTAAATTAAACCAAAGAGCTTCTGCTCAGCAAAGGAAAAAATCAATAGAGTAAAGAAGCAACCTGTTAAACTGGTGAGCACATTTGCAAACTATTCATCTGACAAGAGATTAAATTTACCTCATAAATATCTACAAATACTTGTATAAAAATAAACAAAACTAGGATTATGTGTTAATATAGAAAAATATAAAAATAATTAGGATATAAAATCAATTTGTAGAATGCAATGAATATAAGAATATATTTTTATAACAATGAAAACTTTCACATCTACACATTCTTATTTTTGTATATGCTCATACGTAGTAAATGTGTACACATGCACGAACAACAGAAACATTAATTTCAAGATGGTGATTAACACTGGGAAGGAAGAGATGACAAAGAAATGACTAATGTCTTGAACATAAGGCTTCAACTATCTCTGGAATTGATACATTTTAAAAAATATCTGTTGCAGATACTAAAAAAAAACCAGTTTTCCTAAAACTAGTTGGCTGGTACATTGTTTTTTATGTTATATTATACAATTTTATTTCTGTTTTAAATGTTCCATAATTTTAGAAAAATAAAATAATAACCAAAGTGTCATTGAGGTAGATTTCCTTTTTCTGCTAACTTTCACTCTCCCTTTGCTCCACCTCATTAGGAAGCATATTTTTACCTACCCAATGATAGGCGGCTCAGCCATAAGGTTTTCTTTGGCTAACAGAATATGGGCATATGTGACATGTTGCCAGTTTTGAGTAATGGCTGTAAAAGGCATGGCAAGTTTCTGATTCCCATTTGTTTCTGTACACTACCACAAAAACATCACATCCGAGATGTGTGCCTCACCACACCAGTCATAGAATGAGAGAAGACATTGAAGTTACTCTAAATTTGCCATTGAACTTGGAGCAGAGTCAGTATCTAACCCACAGACACTGACATGAAATATAACTGAGAAGTAAATCTATAGTTATGTAAGGTACTGAAAGTCAAAGGTTATTTGTTACAGAACCTTTTGCAGCAGAAGCTGTCAAATAGAGTCCAAAATTATTATATTAGAGAATATTAATGCAAAATATCATAAAACTTTATATTAGTATATGAAACTGCCTCAAATATTCAAAGCCAGAACCATATCCATAAAATATACCAAATGTCCTTAATTTGAAGTTGGTTCATGTTCACTACTCCAAACTCAATACACAGTATGAAGACATGCACCTTGCAAATGTCTACCATTAATGATAAGCAAAAATAAATGGTCTATCTAATAAGTATAATTCCTTTTAAGAAAGAAGGAATGAGGTTTAAATATTGCTAAATATAACACTAGCAAAAAATAAGAAGAATGTGATTTTGAATTTACTTAGTACTATAAGATCTTTGTCATTTGGGTAATAGACTTTTGGGGTTAATTTTCATCAGCCAAATACCACCTATAATCTTTCACATAATTATGTGTAGAGAAAATAGCCTCCGAAGCATAGAACTTCTTATAATAGATGATGATGATTATTATTTTTTTGACACAGAGTCTCGCTCTGTCACCCAGACTGGAGTGCAGTGGCGCGATCTTGGCTCACTGCAACCTCCACCTCCTGGGTTCAAGCGATTCTCCTGCCTCAGCCTCCTGAGTAGCTGGGATTACAGGCATGTGCCACCATGCCTGGCTTACTTTTGTATTTTTAGTAGAAACGTGGTTTCACCATGTTGGTCAGGCTGGTCTCGAACAAGAGAAGAGACTGCCTCAAAATTCCTGTGTTCTTTGTAGTGAAGCTAAGGGCAGTGATGAAGAAGGAGTAAGAGTTTGGATCCTATCCATTCACTGATTCACAAAATTAGAGTTGAAGCCCTACCAATCCCCACTCTACTCCCAGGTATTGACAATGGGAAAAATTGTCAACAAGTCTTTGGTAACCATCAGGCTTCCTATTCAGTATAATCCCACAGTCCCTCTGAAAACAATTAAGATACTAATTAAAATACTTAAAGAAATTGTTTTAAAAGCTTCAAAGAACTGATAAGATAAAATGAATCAATAAGCCAAAATATAAGTATGAAATTCTCCAGAAAAGCAAACAGAGCACAGCAGCCATGTTTTCCCTGAAGACATTTGCCAATCATGGTGATATTGTACTGATGCTTATTGGCCTTGTAAGGCATAAGGACAGAACCCAAAGACCTAGAGCTGTCCATGGTGCAGAGTATAGATAGAAAACCACTCATACCCTTCTACCAGGAAAGCTAGGACTCTAAAGGCTACATCCTCAATGTAAAAGTGAATCTGGAGTAAACCCATCTACACTTCTCCATTCCCAAGGGATTTCAACGAAAGCAATTTGACAATAAGCAGAGTTGGTAGTGTGTACAGTGTGTGTGGGTGTGTAATAAATCTAAGTCTCAGTTGTGGCCACAACACTTTATCAGTTCAAACACAAAAGTGCTGCCTACAGTCAGAAAAAGACCTCACATCTAATCAGTATCACCACATGATGGTTGTTTGATTTGCATATATATAAAACTCAAGAAAGACGGCTGCAGTACCACAACCAGATATTTGGAAATCACATCAAGGTTTAATATTTTAGAGTTCTCTGATTTACATACAGGTAAATCTCACAATCAGTTGGGTGGTATTAACAACAAGTATGTGCACTTATCATATGGAGAACCATTTTATTATGGTTTACAAATTACTAATATATAAACCCCAAACCTTCATACCTCAATGACATTTGTTTCCACTGGAAAGATTTCTCCAGTTTTCTAACAGTAGATGGTAAAATCTTTAATCAGCGCCCACACCTCACTCTGATCAAAGACCTTGTAAGAGGCCCACATCACTGTAATAATTAAGTGGGAGGGAGAGAGAAGGAAACACAGAGAGAAGAAGGAGGAGGAGGAGAAGACAGAAGTAGGGAGGAAGAGAGAGAGAGAGAGAATCTGAATCCGTATCTCGAGGGTGACCAATGGACCACCATAAATATCCACCTAGATAAGGCATTTTGCCTCCAACCCCGTGAAATATGTCTATGAGATGTGTATTAATAGGAAGGCTTAATTTAAATAAATTAGATATTTCATATTAGATAATCTTATGGTACATTGAATAATTCCATAATGAATACAAGTAATTTGAAAAAGCTCTTTCTAGTCAGTCTCTAGTCAACATTATTTTGTTAAAGGTAGTGGATGAAATATAGTTCAGTTTCTTGTAGATCTTGAACCCTCCTCTTTTCACTCATATTATAGCATTAACAAGATGTGGCAAAAACCATTCCTTAGAAGTGGAAACCACATTCAACCCCTCTCAGCCTAAACCCACATCACCTAAGTATTATAGTTTAAAAAATAAAGCCAAACAAATTGAAATTTCATTTACCCCTATTAACAGAAGGAAAGAAAAATCTCTAAAAGTGTTTGACTTCAACTTAGTCATAAAGAATTCCCACAATTTTCCAAGCAGAGAAAAAAAATCCCAGTCAAAATAAGCTAAGCATGAAAGGAAACAGTATAGTGTGCTCAAGAACCAACTTACATAACAGAATGCAGAAACCAAACCACAATGTGTTGAGTTGGAGCTTTCCAATCCAGATTATAAATTAATGACAGTGTTAAAATGTTTAAAGAACAGACAAGATTGGCAATATCCACAGAGAATGATGAACTACAAAAATAATTGTACAAATATGAAGAGAATCAAAAGCTCAGAAATTAAAGCAACATAAATTAAAAACTCAGTGAATTTGATAGGACCAGGTGAAGAAAAAAAGTGGTGAACTATTAGACAATAAGTCAGAAAAGATTAATTAATATAGAGAGAGCAAAAAATAATAGAATCAAATATAACATTTCTATTCAAAGCTCCAGAAGGTGAGAGAAAGAGAATGGCATAGATGCATATCTGAAGATACAGAGTCTAAGAACATTTGAAAACTGATAAAAGACATCAAGCCAAAATAGTCCAACAAAGGATAAATAAAAGGACTTCCACCCCTAGGCATATCATTGTAAAATTGAGGAAAACCAGTGGCACACCAAGAAAATTAAAAAGCTAAAAACCACATTACTTAAAGGAGTAATAATTTGACAGAGAACTCACTTCTCAATAACAATAATAGAAGCCAGACTTCAGTGATGATAACTTCAACAGGCTCCAAAGAAATAAATTTCAACCTCAAAAAATATAAGAAAAGAAAATTTCTCAAGAATGGAGGTTAAAAAACAAAAGACATTTTCAGAAAAAAATGAATTTATCACAGGTGAAACTGGGCTGAAGTCTAAATGATGTACTCTGGGCCAGGGGTCCTTGATCCCCAGGCCAAGGTCCCTGGTACCCTGGTCCATGGCCTGTTAGGAACCTGGCTGCATAGAGGAGGTGAGCAGTGGGCAAGCAAGCAAAGCTTCATCTGTATTTACAGCCACTCCCCATTGCTTGCATTACCACCTGAGCTCCACCTCCTGTCAGATCAGAGGAGGTATTAGATTCTCACAGGGGCACAAATCCTATTGTAAAGTGCACATGTAAGGGATATAAGTTGCATGCCCCTTGTGAGAATCTAATGGCTGATGATCTGTCACTCTCTCCCACCACCCCAAGATGGGACCATCTGGTTGCAGAAAAACACGCTTAGGGCTCCTGCTGGTTCTACATTATGGTGAGTTGTATAATTATTTCATCATATATTACAATGTAATAATAATAGAAATAAAGTGCACAATAAATGTAATGCACTTGAATCATCCCAAAACCATATCCCTAACCCCAGTTTGTGGAAAAATTGGCTTCCAGGAAACCAGTCCCTGATGCCAAAAGGTTGGGGACCACTACTCTAGACAAAAAGAAAGAGGACCCCGATGAAGGGGTAAAATTAATGGAAGAAAGAAAGTACACAAAGTGATAAATATATGAGTATATCTAAATGACTAGTTACTGAGTAAAACATATAATGTAATGTTTAACAGAGTTATATATGTAGAATTAAAATATTGAACAGAAGTAAGTTGTTATGAGTAGAGCAAATTAAATCATTCTGTTGGTTTTATATGATCTTGGAAGAAAGCAATGATACTGATTAGAGTTCAATGTTGAAAATGTGTATTTTGTAATTGCCATGGTAATCCCTACCACAGTTGAAAAAAAAGTGTATACCTTACAAATACTGGGGTAGCAAGAAAAATGTATCATGAGACAAAATTAATTCCAAAGAAGGCAAGAAATAAGAAAAAGAATACTTAGAATCGGTAGGAAAACAACATATAAAAGTGAATCCAATTATATTACAAATCAGTCTAAATACAACCAACTAAATTCTCGAGCTAAAGAACAGATTTTAAGACTGAACTTAAACATCAATGTATATGCTTTTTATGCATTTAAAAATAAATATAGAAAGTAAAAGAATGGAAAGAGATGAACCAATAAAATTGGGATTGTTATATAATTTACTGAGAAAGTATTATATAATGAAAGGCATTACCAAAGATAAAGACTTTTACTTTATAATAAGTAAACATTAATTTTGTGAGGAAGACATTGCAATTTGAAATTTCTTTGAAACCTAATAGCAGGTATGTGTACAACATTACTGAATCTTACATATATTATATAATTTTGAACAAAATAAGTGACAGAAATAAACCTAAAGTATTATTCCATTTTTATAAATTTCCAAAACAGGCCAAACTAAATAGACATTTATGCCTATATTTTAGGCATAAATATATGTGTCTGATAAAAATAAAAAGAAAATAAGAGAATGAGTAACACAAAATTCAGATTGGTGATTATTCGGATTGTTGGGAGAGAAGGGAAGAAGAAACACTAGAGGGGCACCTCAGGGAATTCTAAGTAGATGGCAATATTTTCACTGTTAGGCTGAGTGGTGGTAACAAGGATGCTTGCTTTAATATTATTCCTTAAAACGTGTGCATATATTTGTATATTTGTATTTATATATTATATATTTCACAATTTAAAAAATGTAAAACCAAGATCCAAAATATATAAATGACATACTTAAGGTAACACAGCTAGTAATAACACTAAAATCTCTGGCTCCCAGTATGTTATTCTTTCCATTACAATGTGACTTCTTTAACTTCCTTGATAACATCTCATTCTTTTTATTCCTCAGTGGTCCAGTTGTATAAAAATATATGATATGTTTATACTACCTCATAGATTTCATGGGAAATATATATAAGTCACATTTTTACTTTGTTCTAGAAACTCATTTAGTAACTCAAGCATGCATTTCTGAATAACCACAGAGATCCCTAGTGTAATATCCCAATTTGTAATTGTCTATGACAACTGTCATTTTGTCCAGATGAAATCTTTCTTCTTCCATTAACAGAATTCTCCTTTACTATGGGCATATTACTTTATCAGTGTCCAGTTAAATTCACTCTTTTGGCTCCTGCCACAGAGATAGTTAGATAACCTGAGACATAGGCCTGGCTAATAAGAATACAAAGCCCCTGTTCAGGCGTAATGGGTTGGGTTGTTCATGCGGCCTGAGATAGGTTAATAAAAGCTGTCTCAAAAGTGTTATGTTGGATTAGTTGGGAAATATATTTTCCCTTTTTCTAGAATCATTGGTATTAAAGATTATGTAAGCCTGGGGATACCCAGTGGTCTCTAACATCTCATGGCTATAGCCAGCCTTAGAATGTTACCAACACAGAGGACAACAGAGTTAAGAAACAGAGAACAAAAATTGTAGATTTCTGATGGCATTAATTTATATCCCTACATTCAAATAATTTGAGCCAATCACTTACCACTTTTATTTTTAAGGAAATCTAAGTTGGTTTTACCACTTGTAACCCAAAAGTATTAGCTATCTCACATGTTCTAAAATCTTAAATCAGGGCTTGAAACTGAGAGGCCTATAGGGGCCAAGCTGGCAAATAGGTTAAGAAAGCCAGGTAAATGCTGGCCAAACCCTTACTCCCTTACTTCGCACAGCCCTCAAAAGTCCTACTTTGTTCCATGCAAAAGAATTTCAAAACGTAATTGTTTTTAAAGAAGCATGTCTATGTTTTTTCTTGTCTTAGACAAATGCAACTAGCAATAGAACATTTGGATTGACAGATCTGGAGGGTTCATCCCCCATCAGAAGGAGCAGCTGCTATTAGGCTACAGCAGACTTCTGTCACTCAAGCATGTGGGCCCAGTGTGGATATATTTCCTGATTTTTTCAGAGAAGATGGAATTTTTTTGAGAGAAATTTCCCATTTTTTAAATGTGGTGATTAATTCAAGTTTGTTTTAAACACTGTGTGTGCCAAATAAAACACATCTGTAGATCTGCAGACAAAATTCTTCTTGGGGGTCAGCAGTTTGGAACATTTCCCTAATAGTGATTGCCTCACTCAGTATGACCTTTTAAACAGTTCTCCACAGGGCGATCTCTCTCTCTCACACACACACACACACACACACACACTCACACACACACATACACTTTCACACGTACACACTCATTTACATCAAAACATTGCTTCTGACCTTCTTGTATTCAGTTGATTGTGTCTATTTGTAAGTAGAAATACTCAGTTGGTAAGGTTAAGTAGGAAAAATTGTAAGTTTTTTCAGGCTGTAAGGTAAAGAGACTTTCATGATGTGTATTAGTTAATGACTGTAAATTGTTAAGAAAAAGAAAAAACAAGAAGTAAATGAACACTACTACTCATGACATTTATTTAAACACTAAAGATACATTGTTAAATATAGAGAAAATACCTTATTAGACATAATCTAGGTAAAAAGTTATGTGCTCAGGCATATTTTGAAATAGACACACAGACAGACACACACACACATCATACTTTAGGAGTTAAAAATCTTGAATTATAATTAATCAAGCTTGATATAGTCCACAAAATCCATGACTTTTTTGAGGAAGACAGATGAAGGTTCCAACAAGGTATGGATATTTTTATATTTTATAAGGTACTTTGCTTTCTTACTGACACAAAACAAAAAGAGAGAGACTTGGGTAGACTTTGGAAATAATTTGCTCAGAGAAGAATGCCTGAGCCCACTAGGTTGAAGAAAATTGGTGGTGGATAAAAGAGGCAGCATAAGCCTGTTATGCAAAGTATATTTTGGCCACAGCACATACCTCTTTTTTACTCAATGGCATAGATGTAAAGACTGTCATTAAAATAAATATATGTAAATACATTTAATATGGTCCCATTTAGGGTGAAGGCAAATAACAGTATCATGATTTCATTTATATAATGGCTTGGGTTCTAGCCACGATGTCAGCAGAAAAAATCTGAGTCCATTATGAGGGCTATGATGAGGACTGACAAAATAAACCAAAAAGCTTCTTATCCACCTTAGTGATGGCACTAAGACGGTGCCTCCATAATCATGGTACATAAGGAACTTCAATAGTTACCTATTGCTGCGTTAAAAACCACCCCCAAAACTTGGTGGCTTCAAATAATATCTGTGTCTTAATGCTAATAAGTTTATAGCATGGCTTGAAGTTCTGGTTTTGTCTTGGCTTCCTCATGCATCTGCAGCCATCTGTGGGACAGGTAAACAATTGTGTTAATTTTGTCTGGTACATTCCCATATTTGTGGTCAGTCTGCCATCAATTATGAAAAATCAACTCCCCTCCATGTGCTTGTTCATCCTCCAATAGGCTAGCCCAGGCTTGATCTCATAACAAAGGCAGAGGAACAAGAGGGAGAACAAAAGTGTGCAAGGACACTTGAGCTTTAAGCTTTGAACTTGCAAGTTGTCAGTTCTGCCATGTTCTACTGCCCAAAACACTCATATCCCAGATTCAAGGAGTGGGGAAAAAAACTCCAGCTTATAATAGAAAGAACTGCAAAGTCACACTGTAAAATGTGTGAAAACAGGTAGGGCTGGAAAATTTTACCATTGTTGTAATCATTATGCCAAATGACATCCAGCTGTGATAATGGACATGAAAGTTCTTTGAATTTTCTTTAAAAGAGGAAATATAATTTATAGGAACTTACACAGTCCATCACACACACATACATGCACACTTACTCCTCCTAAAATTGGTGGCATTTACTACAGCTCCAAAAATCAAACGAAAAAGCTTTAGCTAAAAGCCATTTTTAATGCATCATCAAAGAGAAATAAAGAGCAGTGGTGGATCAGTTATGAATAAGTGATTCCTATGTGCTGAGGCTACAAAGATAGAACATTTTCTGTGACAGCCAGCATCTCATAGCAAAGAAAGTGTCATGAGATGTCCTTGGGGAGAAACTGAATGCCTATTCAGAAATCTCATACCTCTTCAAATACAGATCTTAATCATAACCAGACTGGCTTCAAACAAAAGGAAGTGATGTGTCATTTTTAGGGTTTGTCTTATAGAATTTTTTTTATTGTGGTGGTGGTGGTGGCGGTGCTGGGATTTTTCATTTGTTTTTAAATCAGACAGTAGAGCCTGTGGGATATATAGGGAAATACTAAATTTCAGAAATGCAGATTCCACATCAAGTTTTGCTCGATTCAGCAAGTTCATTAAATCTTGAGAGACTTTTAAATAATTAGTTTGTATTTCATTGATGATATTCTCCGTAAATAATTGAGGTATCTTTCTAAAATTTTGGCATATATTTTATTTGTTAAAAATTTTTGCAAAAGTTACTGGAATTTTTATGTTGGTTTTTGAAGTGTCCTGAAATTTTCTTAATACATATCTAAGAGAATGTTGCCATCATGTATGCATTATTCATACTCTCAGACCTAGGCACCACTTTTATTTACCCCAATCTACCATCTTGATTTCTACCCATGTCTCTCCTAAAATCAAACACTATGTCCTATGTCCTTTAGTGTTAATTAAGGAATTGAACATTTCTTTTATTTTCTTTCTTTTTTTTTTTTTTTTTTTTTTTTGAGACGGAGTCTTACTCTGTCACCTAGGCTAGAGTGTAGTGGTGCAATCTTGGCTCACTGCAACCTCTGCCTCCTGGGTTTAAGCGATTCTCCTGCCTCAGCCTCCTGAGTAGCTGGGATTACAGGCACACACCACCACGTCCAGCTAATTTTTGTATTTTTAGTAGAGACGGGGTTTCACCATGTTGGTCAAGCTAGTCTCGAACTCCTGACCTCATGATCCGCCCACCTCAGCCTCCCAATGTGCTGGGATTACAGGTGTGAGCCACCGTGCCTGGCCTTCTTTTGTTTTCCTCTAATTCATCATCTTTACTTCATTTCCAATATCAAAACCTCAAGAAGATCTGCATGCTTTCTTTCCCCAAAGAGCCTAAAATTTGATTTATAGTTAATCTCTTCTAATTAAGCTGCATTATTGTATCCACATGAATTTTCTTTTATTTTCTTTTTTACTATCCTTCTGTGTCAGAACATGAATTTCCTTGATCACAAATAACACAAATGAACAAGTCATTTCACTATTTTGAATCCTTACAATATTTTGTGAAAGCATTGGGGAAAGTAACAACAAATTATCAGGATATCAAAGGCTTCCACGAGGTATTCCTAGCCTACCTGTTTTATATACCCAAATTCTTGGAGATCTATAAAATTGTATCCAACGTTCCCTAGGCAGCAAATAGACTGTGCTTTTTCTGATTAACTCTAATTTATTCTCTCCATTTAACCTTTAGAGCCACCTCTTCAAAGAATCTTTTCTGACTCACTCTACATTAGGATTCTTCTGCTTTATGTCTCCTACAGCACTTACTACCCCATATGACTGTCCCACTCAGCAATCGACTATACAGTGTTTGAGGAAAGGTTTCTTTTTGTGTTTAAAGTGTTTGTGTGTGCGTGTGTATGTGTCTTTAACAAATATTTGTATATTTGTCATTTTACCAACACAAGCCAGAGACATAACCCAAGACTTTCCCTATCTCACATTTTAACACTGAAAATAAATCAACAAAATATCTCAAATAAATATACATAATATCTCAACTAAATTTATTTTAAAATTACCTCATTTCAAAAATATAGAAACTAAGAATTGGATGATTCTAAGCAAGACAACATAATTCTGAGTTTAAAAAAGTAATAGAGAAAGAGTTATAGGAAAGTCAAATCATCCAGTATAATCCTATACACTCAATGTCATTAATAATGTCTCCATGTCTATTCTGAATATTCTTGTTTTTTTCTATGAAGAACCATTTGGACAGTTGCTCAATATGTCTGTCTTTACCAGAATGTTATCTTTATAATGTTTAAATAAATGACTATTATTTTAGAGTCTCCATTGAAGTTGATATTTCTTTATTAACTTCACTATAAACAAAACTAAAACTAAGCTTATGCTATTGAACAGGTTGCAAAATGTCCTTAAAATGGACTTTATTAATAGAAAAGAGATGATTAGCCACTTGGAAGCAATGAAAATAAAATGAAGCCATGAAAGAAGTCAAATAGCCTTTTTTATTATACATTCAACGTTTAAAAACTCATCCCTGTTTACTACTTAAGTTAGTAAGAATGTTATTAATTGAATCACAGCCTTACTCCATATAACATTACAATGATTTACAGAATGATTCTATCATAGACTAAAGGCAAATGATAGCCACTCAATTTTTAATCACTTTATAAAGTTATAAACACAGGTGGTATTGAAATATAAAATACTAGTGCCTATAAAATAATAATAGTTCTTTCTATAATTAAAGTAACCACAACTCAGTCTTAGGAGATATTTCAACAGAAATTCATCTATTGCAATTTTAAACAGTAAGCAATAACGCCGACCTTGAAATTTCTTTATTGTTTCCCAGTGCATATTTAGGAATTCCTGGTGTTTTAGTTGGAACTGCCACAATAGAGTATCATACATTTGAATGACTTATAAACAACATAAATCCATTTCTTGCATTTCTCTAAACTGGAAATCCAAGATCAGGGTGCCAGTATGGTAAGGTTTTGGTGACAGCCTATTTCCAGGTTGCAGACTGCAGACTTTCCACACAGTGGAAAAAAGGCAAGATAACTCTATGGGGCCTTTTTATAAGGACACTAATCCCATACTTAAAAGCTCTACTATCATGAACTAATTACCTCCAAAAGGTCTCACCTTTTAATACCATCATCTTGGGGGTGAATATTTCAACATGTAAAATTTAGGGGAACACAAACATTCAGTTAATGATACTTGGCAATTTATTTTTGGAAAATGCTATTTACCTATCTAGGCACATATATAAACAAATATGTATTGCTTATCCTTCCTACCATCTCTTTCCAATATCTCTACCCCCACCCCATATAATATTTTGTATTTGACTTCTAATTTTCCCTGTTTCACTCAATTTTCTTAAAAGATGATGAACAAATGCCACATGGGAGAATTGGTACATTGTCCAAATAAAAGTCATTGTCAAATGACAGAAGGATCAACGTTCACCAAATTACTGCATGCAGTAAGGGAATGTTTTTCTCAGAGATTTTGCAGAAGAGACTGTGTAATAGATACAAGGTGTGAAAAGCAATATAATGTTCATCAGTAATAAAAGGGGTTAAATGTAGATGTGTGGACAAAGGGGTTGCAAAGGTAAAATACACACACCTCTATATGATTTCTGAGCACAGTTAGTAAGTGTTGGAATTATTTTCTGTAGTGTGCATCTGTGAAAACAATCGCACTCAACCTCAACACAAACCTTGGCTTTTGGCTACAGTTTTGGGTGGGTAAATTTGCTGGTAGCAGAAAATTCTGACTAAAATAAGGTTAAATAATGAAAAATATATAAACACAAATATAAAAGACATTACAGGTGATGGAGATCTAAGCAGGATCTGTTTTCTGGTATGTTGTTCCCACTTCTCTATGTTCCTTTTGGTTCTGTGCTTCTCTTTATGTTGTCATTTTACCAGGTTTGTAGTCAGATGGTCATGGAACTTCCCAGCTTACCATATGTTTTTATCAATGACCATATGAGAAAGATGTATAAACATATTTCAACTCCCTTTTACAGAAACACGTAAAACTTTCTCAGAATCCCATACAGATTTCTCTTTAGTTCTCATTGATAACAATTATATCATGTGCCCAACCTGGCTGGGTCATGTGCCAATCACTGGCAATGAAATAGTCATGTGAGGATAGGCCTGTAATAATCACTGGAGGTGAAATGGATATTAGAAAATTAAGCACAGAACACACAACAATAGTGTACATTTAGTAAATCTGGGAGCCAATTGTGAAAAATAAATTTTAAAAGGAAAGGAGTCTGCTCTTATTGTTTATCATCAAATTTATATCATGGAGACCTATGCCTTTTTCTATTTTTACTAAATCAATGAGAGGATAGATATTGCAAAAGAATTTCATTTTTCTTCATCTGCAAGCACCCAACCTAATACCACATGGTGGAAAATAAAACACACATAGCTTTCACATTCAGTATTTTTTATTTATGCTTTTAAGTATTTTCCAGAATCAATGATAGTTTAGGGCGAATACACAGCATCCTTTGTAAAGATCTGGGGTAAGGAAATGAGGAAGGAGTGCATGTAAAATTATGGGCATATTCATTTTACATTCTGGTTAATTTTGTTAATTAGGGGTAACCTCAAAGTCATGAAAGTGACAGAGGGGATAACAAGATGAACAAAGGTAGGCTAGACTCTCTAGTGATGTTAGTACACTGTCCAAAATTTCTTCAAATGCCAGTCAATTTTGGGTTGTCTCCTTTTTTAAATTACCAGTGTCTTTTGGGAAGCTCAAACTTTATTCACACCTTCAAGTACATACTAGGCTCTTGATTTTATTCCACTTGTTCTGTGAGTAGTTGTGCCCATCAATAAACACACTGTCTAGTTTTCTGAGACTTGCTGCCCTATAAACTGTCTAATTTCCTGCATCCTGGAAACTAGAATTATTTTTGGTCACTGAAAGCTTTTATGATACAATGCTGGCAGGTTACAACACAACCACCTCATGGCCTTCCATGCCTGTTCTGCATATATACTCAGTGCTTCCAGCAGACTGACTCTGTAACATCTCATGAACAAGATCTGAGTTATAGCCTCCTTCATATTTATCATCATTCTTATTAAATTCCCCATCTCATAAAAGATGCTCAATAAATAACTATAAAATATATATGGGAAGAGATAATTGCTATAAAACATTTCCCAATATTATACCTATTAGTGTAATAACCTGACTTTGGAGTCAAACAAAGCAGGAATCATGTATTAAATTCTCACTTGTGATCTATGTGACTGAAAACAATTTTCTCACCTCTTCAAACACCTGTTTCAGATCTACGAAATTGCCTAACAATGGGTACACAATACAATTTTCTGAAGATCAAATTAGTTAACAAAATAAATTTGAGTGTGCTTGACATATAAGACACATTCAATATGACATAGCTCACATTATTATGTATATTCTAGGTAGTAAATGTTTGATTAAGCTGTTTTTGAAAACAGCTCAACTATTAAAATATGATTAATTCTTTCCTCTTTTAAAAAGAAACTGTGTTTTTAGCCATAAAATTGTAAACATTTCAAGCAGTCATCATAATTGATGATATATGAGGTATTCTGTTCACCATTCTTCTAAATACTGCTCTCTCTGTTCTAGGAAGCAGATTTATAGAAATCATATTAGCAGTTTGCAATGTCTTTGGGCTTCAGGTTTGATTTGGCTAATAGGAAACCCCAGCAAGGAAACAAAGGAAGATAGAAGAACGTGGACAGGTTTTTTTCTCCTGGGCCTTTCCCAGCAAGGAACTTTGAGCTGGCTATTTTTGACTGAAAGTCCATGCTAATTCTATAAAAATATTTCCTTCTGGTCTTCTGTAACCACCGCTACCACCCCTTTTTCCACTGGGATTAGGAATAGTAAGAGGGTCATTTTTACAAAGCCCAGTACATCTCTCATGATTCCATTACATGAAAATTTTTGTAAATAGTCCTTTGGAAATTGATCTTCTTTAAGTATCTATTTTGGGTGTGTGAACTTTCTCCTATGGTGGTTCTCATTAACAAACACTTGAAATAGTATTTTAAGATTGGGTTCGTTGAAGAGTAAATAAGTATGAATAAATTCCTTACTTATAGAGGATTGGATAGAGGAAAGAACCATGGGAAATACATGTCAAAGAATGACATAAGATTCACTCAAATTATCATCTGTTGTGGCATGGGTTGAAGTGTAGGTAAGAGAAAGGGAGTTGAAAGATCAACTTCCTAATGATACCAATGGTATTGATTATAAAGATGTGGAGTCTGCTGGCTGCTTCTTATATCTCTAGAGAGTTTACATAGGAAATATGAGAAGCAAAATCTACAGTAATGAAAGCAGAAACGTACTTGACAAAAACAGCAGGCAAATATGACTGAAGATGAAGGTTAGGTCGGATTGCAGAAGTGACAGATTTATAGGACCAACTATGTGTGTGACCATGCCAGGTAGGAGCACTAGTGGGAGACCCTGAGATATGAGATAGGATGTTTGGATACTCATGGAAGAGCTTGAGAACTTTGAACTTCCACATTTTCTTACTGGACAAGGCAGCACTTCCCCTTCCCTAGGGAACCAGATCTTTGCAACAACAACAACAACAACAACAACAAACTTTTCATAGATAACTCTAAGAAGGTTACATCATAAACTGATGCAAATTATCCTTAGGACAATGTCTCTACATCAAGTATTGACTCTAGGTCTCTATAAAGACTTAGAATTCTGCTTAACTCAAACAGATATTGAGCTGTTTGGCAAGAGATACAGTTACGCCAAAAATGTTCCAAGACTGAAGCTTTTATGTCAGGAAAATCTTGAGGAGTATTTGTGGAGTGCATTCTAAAGATGTAGGTCTATATGGAAAAGAGATACATGACTTGATGAGGCTGAATTCATGAACAGTGTTGTACCCACTAAGGATCTAGGTTTTAATGTCTTGGCTTCAGCACCTGTGAATGGCATTACTATTTATGAATTGTCAGTCAGATGATTAATTAAAGCCTGGAAACAAAAATTGCTTATAATCAATGAAATTGAAATGCAGCAACTTCAAAAGCATGGGATTAAGAAATGAGTTAATAGACTACCAAAGTGGTTATGTTGGAATGTATCTATTAGAAGCAACCTACTCTCCCAACCCTGAGAGTCCATAAAATACTTCTTTCCTCAAAGCATTAAGAAATGCCCTGGGAGAGGAGGTTTTTTTTCTTTAAAATTTCTGAGTCATCATTTTGGCAATAATAATAATATAATAATAATAATGGTAATGTGGAATTCTCTTTCATAATATCAAGTGTTTTAAACCTTGAACATTTAACAGCCTTCCCAAAATCAAACTTCAGTTTCAAAATTGTCTTTCCTGACACTTGGCTTTTCAAATACTTCACAGGGCCCCTGAAGTGTCCAGAAAAGAAAGGTAAACAGGATTATTTGACATGTTTGGGTACATGGAATTGCCAAAATGATCCTCAATCTTCTTCAGGTTATATCTTGGTAAATAATGCTAATATATGTTCCAAAATTGTATGAGAGTTCTAACATTCTATGGTCTGAGTATATGCTATCAATCATAATTAAGGTTTTTATGTTAAGTTATTGTAAACCACAGAGATAACCAAACTTCTTTGTCAATCATGTTTATAACTGTAACTACCCTGGTCATCTTGCTGTTCACAGACAATCATTTTTTTTTTATCCTTTTCAAAGATGGTTTATGGTAAGCTATCAGACTCTTGACAGGTGCTCTCAAATATGGGCTTCTGATAACTTTTGGGATTGTAATATTGGAATAAAGGAAAATGTACAGGACCCATGAAGAGCTGAAATGCTCATTAATATCAAGCAAAGCAAGAATTAACTAAATAGATTGAACTCAGAAAGCAGAAGCAAATCATTTTGACTTTTGCTTGGAATATTACTGATCCTTGTTTTGTTTTTCAGAGTCAAAGAAACTTATTTTAAACCATTTATGGCCTTTAATAATTGAGTAAGTTATACTCCTATGAACACAATTTGGAGCATGTTTCTCTCTGTCTGGTTCCTCTAGAATTTGGAAACTAAGTATTCTTAACTTATGGCAAGATATTTGTTTGCACAAATCAAATAAGAATTCATTTTTATTTTGCAACAGGACACAATTGGAGAAAGTGGTTATTTTATCATGGCTTTGACTGGAAGGGTATGCTTCCCTTTAAGGAGTCAATCTCAACTTGCAGAGCCAATAAAAGCCCCATGGAGAAACTGGTCTCATACCCTCGTCTATGTAGTCTCTGTACAGGGTTCCTGATGTATGTTCAGTAAAGAATGTCACTTTTTTTTTTTTTCTTTTTTAGACAGAGTCTTGCTTTGTCACCCAGGCTGGAGTGCAGTGGCGTGATCTCGGCTCACTGCAAACTCCACCTCCCGGGTTCACACCATTCTCCTGCCTCAGCCTCCTGAGTAGCTGGGACTACAGGCACCCACTACCATGCCCCGCTAATTTTTTTGGTATTTTTAATAGAAACAGGGTTTCACCATGTTAGCCAGGATGGTCTCCATCTCCTGACCTCGTGATCTGCCTGCCTTGGCCTCCCAAAGTGCTGGGATTACAGGCTTGAGCCACCACGCCTGGCCAAGAATGTCACTTTCTAACAAGTCCAGGAGCTCCAAGTTTATCTTGGGACCTTAAGAGAAAAGGATCACCCAACTTACAGGTGTTTGACCATAAAAATCTATGGCTTGGCTCAGCTTTAAAAGATCTTATCTGAGACACCTTGTGGAATAGAGTTCCATCAAAACCAATCCAAAAGACCAATGTAGAAATAATTTTTCTTGCTGTACTTTATGCAAATAATCACACCAAGTATAGTACTAAAGTCTTCTTTACACACCACTCAATCCTATGATGATTTGTTTCTTAACAAAAATGAGAATTGGAGAGGGAGAAATTATGTTTCAAAATTTACACATGTCATTAAATTCTAAGCCCATTAGTTGTTTTTTTAAGTTTGCCCCTACATTTTTAGACTAATCCAGCTTGTTCCTGTGAACCAACCAGCAATCTCTGGCTGCAGCTCAGAAAGAACAAGACGGATGGATAACGTAAAAATCTGAATCAATATTCTAGTTCTGAGCAATTATCCTGCAAATCCTGCCAGATAATGGAATAAATAGGATGCCCATCACTTGGAGATTTCCTTTAAAGTAAGACCAAGGGAGCTAACTAAAGCCAAGCACCATACACTCAAATCCTGCAAGCATAACTATAGCCACCAGTTATCTGGGTGTGTCATAAGACAACGTTTTTCTCCCTTGTTGAAAGAGGACTCAATTCCACAGTTTCACCTTAATATTTGGCTTATGATAAGGAGTCCATGCAACCCACCCTGAGACAAATTTTTGTCCCAAACTCAATTCCAAGCTTCAGGTCAAAGCCCTAGGAAGGACAACTGGAACCGAGGGATTCAGAGGCAAATGGCAACAGAAGTTAAAAGTCACAATGCTATTATTTAAACTGTTCCCAGAAGTTAATTTGTTTTGTTGTTTTTTGTTTTTGTTTGTTTGTTTTTTATAGCCTGGTCAGACTTGCTCATTGGATGACAGAAAATAATGTTTTTTAAAAAAACAAATATTTTGGTTTTTGGAAACACAGTAATTATAATTATTGATTATCAGTATTCTACTCAGCATTACATATAAGTGGATTTAGTTATGATTTAATCAGAAATCATAATGTAAATGGATCATACTCCCAAGCCTTTAATAATATGATCTCTTACTGTGTTGGTCTGTTCTTCTACAACAAAATAATATTTATCTTTTCTTAGTATGGTTGGTAAAAGGTGATTTAATATTAAAACATACACCCATTTTCAGTAGCACTGAGATTAGATGAATGTTTTACGCTAAGTATAGATTACTAAATGGTCTTTAATCTGATTTCTTCCTAAAGCCTGTATTTCATCATGCAGGTAATAGTTATTAATTATATTGTATTAAATGTAAAGATATTCTACAGAGCAGTGCTATCTAATAAAAATACTAACATGTTTTATATATGCAATTTTAAATGCTCTAGTAGCCACATTGAAAAAGTGAAAAGAAAAAGGTGAACTTAATTTTAATAACAAATTTCATTTAACCCAATATATAAAAAGGAGGTGTTTTTTTCTAAAAAGATCAACAAAATTGATAGACCACTAGCAAGACTAATAAAGAAGAAAAGAGAGAAGAATCAAATAGACGCAATAAAAAATGACAAAGGGGATATCACCACCGATCCCACAGAAATACAAACTACCATCAGAGAATACTATAAACACCTCTACGCAAATAAACTAGAACATCTAGAAGAAATGGATAAATTCCTGGACACATACACCCTCCCAAGACTAAACCAGGACGAAGCTGAATCCCTGAATAGACCAATAACAGGCTCTGAAATTGAGGCAAAAATTAATAGCCTACCAATCCAAAAAAAGTCCAGGACCAGATGGATTCACAGCCAAATTCTATCAGAGGTACAAGAAGGAGCTGGTACTATTCCTTCTGAAACTATTCCAATCAATAGAAAAAGAGGGAATCCTCCCTAACTCATTTTATGAGGCCAGCATCATCCTGATACCAAAGCCTGGCAGAGACACAACCAAAAAAGATAATTTTAGACTAATATCCCTGATGAACATCGGTGCAAAAATCCTCAATAAAATACTGGCAAACCAAATCCAGCAGCACTTATACACCATGATCAAGTGGGCTTCATCCCTGGGATGCAAGGCTGGTTCAACATATGCAAATCAATAAACGTAATCAAGCATATAAACAGAACCAATGACAAAAAACACAGGATTATCTCAATAGATGCAGAAAAGACCTTTGACAAAATTCAACAACCCTTCATGCTAAAACTCTCAATAAATTAGGAATTGATGGGACGTATCTCAAAATAATAAGAGTTATTTATGACAAATCCACAGTCAATATCATACTGAATGGGCAAAAAATGGAAGCATTCCCTTTGAAAACTGGCACAAGACAGGGATGCCCTCTCTCACCACTCCTATTCAACATAGTGTTGGAAGTTCTGGCCAGGGCAATCAGGCAGGAGAAAGAAATAAAGGGTATTCAATTAGGAAAAGGGGAAGTCAAATTGTCCCTGTTGGCAGATGACATGATTGTATATCTAGAAAACCCCATTGTCTCAGCCCAAAATCTCCTTAAGCTGATAAGCAACTTCAGCAAAATCTCAGGATACAAAATCAACGTGCAAAAATCACAAACATTCTTATACACCAATAACAGACAAACAGAGAGCCAAATCATGAGTGAACTCCCATTCACAATTGCTTAAAAGAGAATAAAAACCTAGGAATCCAACTTACAAGGGATGTGAAGGACCTCTTCAAGGAGAACTACAAACCACTACTCAAGGAAATAAAAGAGGACACAAACAAATGGAAGAACATTCCATGCTCATGGATAAGAAGAATCAATATCATGAAAATAACCATACTGCCCAAAGTAATTTATAGATTCAATGCCATCCCCATCAAGCTACCAATGACTTTCTTCACAGAATTGGAAAAAACTACTTTAAAATTTATCTGGAACCAAAAAAGAGCCCCCATTGCCAAGTCAATCCTAAGCCAAAAGAACAAAGCTGGAGGCATCACGTTACCTGACTTCAAACTATACTACAAGGCTACAGTAACCAAAAGAGCATAGTACTGGTACCAAAACAGAGATATAGACCAATGGAACAGAACAGAGCCCTCAGAAATAATACCACACATCTTCAACCATCTGATCTTTGACAAACCTGACAAAAACAAGAAATGGGGAAAGGATTCCCTATTTAATAAATGGTGCTAGGAAAACTAGCTAGCCATATGTAGAAAGCTGAAACTGCATCCCTTCCTTATACCTTACACTACAATTAATTCAAGATGGATTAAAGACTTAAATGTTAGACCTAAAACCATAAAAACCCTAGAAGAAAACCTAGGCAATACCATTCAGGACATAGGCATGGGCAAGGACTTCATGTCTAAAACACCAAAAGCAAAGACAACAAAAGCCAAAATTGACAAATGGGATCTAATTAAACTAAAGAGCTTCTGCACAGCAAAAGAAACTACCATCAGAGTGAACAGGCAACCTACAGAATGGAAGAAAAGTTTTGCAATCTACTCATCTGACAAAGGGCTAATATCCAGAATCTACAATGAACTCAAACAAACTTACAAGAAAAAAACAAACAACCCCATCAAAAAGTGGGTGAAGGATATGAACAGACACTTTTGAAAAGAAGACATTTATGCAGCCAAAAGACACATGAAAAAATGCTCATCATCACTGGCCATCAGAAAAATGCAAATCAAAACCACAATGAGATACCATCTCACACCAGTTAGAATGGCAATCATTAAAAAGTCAGGAAACAACAGGTACTGGAGAGGATGTGGAGAAATAGGAACACTTTTATACTGTTGGTGGACTGTAAACTAGTTCAACCATTGTGGAAGTCAGTGTTGTGATTCCTCAGGGATCTAGAACTAGAAATACCATTTGACCCAGCCATCCCATTACTGGGTGTATACCCAAAGGATTATAAATCATGCTGCTATAAAGACACATGCACACGTATGTTTACTGCAGCACTATTCACAATAGCAAAGACTTGGAACCAACCCAAATGTCCAACAATGATAGACTGGATTAAGAAAATGTGACACATATACACCATGGAATACTATGAAGCCATTAAAAAGGATGAGTTCATGTCCTTTGAAGGGACATGGATGAAGCTGGAAACCGTCATTCTCAGCAAACTATCACAAGGACAGAAAACAAAACATCGCATGTTCTCACTCATAGGTGGGAATTGAACAATGAGAACACTTGGATACAGGAAGGGGAACATCACACACTGGGGCCTGTCGTGGGGTGGGGGGAGTGGGGAGGGATAGCGTTAGGAGATAAACCTAATGTAAATGACGAGTTAATGGGTGCAGCACACCAACATGGCACATGTATACATATGTAACAAACCTGCACATTGTGCAAATGTAACCTAGAACTTAAAATATAATTAAAAAAAGGAATCAAAGAATAAAAAAAATAAAATAAAATATTATTTAAACAAAAATAGAATATAATAAAAGGCACAATGCAGGTGAGCCTGGCTGATTTCTGCCAATTACGCCAACCCAAGCTTCCCGTTTCACAGATAAAAGCCACATTAATATCCATGGCATAAATGAGGTCAAGGGAACTCTAAGGCTACTGACAGTTGAGGGGATAGAGGAATAGGTCAGAGCAGATAATTCCTATTTTCTAGGTCCTCCCTGCTTCACGGGTGCAAGTCGCTTTGACACTCATGGTCATGCCTGCCAAGGTTTCCAGGACTCGGGTATGCAAGGATGGAAGAGGGAAAAGGAACACTCTTTTGTCTCCCCCTCACATGCCCAAGTATCTGCTAGGAAGAGAAGGGAACCAGGGATACCTGCTCCCCTCTTTATAGATGGATAGCCATTCATCTTCAGGCTGTTCCCCTTTCAAATGCATCCTGAACCCCTGGGACTCCTTTGAAAAAAAATGCCTCTTTTTTCTTCTCTCCTCCCTGCTCCTCTCTTCACAGTCAGGTAATTTTGTCTCCGAACTACTGGACACTCCCCTCAGATGCATCCTCCAAACTGGAAAGGGTTAATTTTTCCAAGGCTTAGGACTGAGCTCAGGGGAAGAAAACTCAGAATGCCAACATGCCAGCAAAAGGGTGAAGTTTTTTGTTTTTCTGGTTTTTTTGTTTTTTTACAAGTTGGGCTTTTGGCATCCCTCTCCTTGTGCAAACTGGTAAAAGGCCTTGGCATTTTTGAGCTGTCCTTACCCCTCCTTTTGTTTCATTTTGATACATGTTTTCAAATAACCCAGTTTGTCTGTTCTTGACTTCAGGCCATCAAACTCAAAACGTTCATGCAGCTGGAGCCTCTGACCCTGGCCCCTTTGGCTGGAAGCCCTTAATTAGGCCTCTGAGGGAGCTCTGACTGCCATTTCCTCAAAAACAGTGCCCCCTGTCAGCAGGAAGCAGTTAAAATGGGTCTTCGTCCTTATCCTTAATCTAAGTCAGATGTACTTCCTTAGAGAGGGGAATGAGACAACCAGGTAGGAGGGAATTCCTGGAAAAACTCCAACCAGCTTGAGCACTGGGGTGGAGCCTTAGGAAGTTTGTGCCATTTGCAGCAGGGAGGAGCCTGGCCCCTCCTCTTCCTGTGTGGAACCTGGGATTCAAGCTGCAGGCTGGAAGCGCTCTAGCAGGGATTCTGGCCTAGAATCCCTGTTTTCCCCTTTTCACCCAATAAAACCCTGTTTTACTCACCATGAATTGTCTGAGAGCCTGAATTTTTGTGGTCATGGGACGAAGACCCCATCTTTAGCTGAACTAAGGAAAAGTCCTGCAACTCTACCTCACAGGGGACCTTGCAGAAATCTGCCAGTTAACACAGCCAGTGATCACAGGTTGACAGAAGCTCCCAACGGAGATATGAGACCTAATCTTGAGTGGGGATGAACCCCACTGGCCAAAATTGAGGGGTGAGCAGGAAGCACACTATGGCTATGGGTACAGGAGCTAGACATCCCTGCTCCATAGGCAGACTAGGAATGGCCTGGAAGCTGTGGTTTCTGTCTCCGTTGAGAAGGCTTATGGCCTAGGGCAGTTTTGAGTTCTGAGCAGAGGCTGCCGGAACACAGCCAGCTGCTGCTAACAGAACACTGTGTGTTCTGTGTGAGACCTGCCTTGCCAAGGAATCTGAGTGGGCTTACTGCTGCCTGCTACCCCAACTCCCACTCCATGCAGATTCTTTTGTGTAACAGAGGCAGCTGCACTCCTCCCTGGAATATTATGCCACAGCCAGCAACTGCCCTCTAATACCCAATGGGGCCACTGCTAGTGTCCACGTGTGGAGAACCAGAGTACAGACTTACCTGACCCAGCCCCCACCCAGATTAGCCCCTGTACCTGCCCTGGTAGCATAACACAAAAGACAGGGACGTTTGGGAGCTCCACGGCCCAGCCATTTCCTGAAACATCAGAGTACTCCCCTGGTTACATAAGGTAAGCATAAATTCCACCACTACCACTACTGGTGATGCTTCTCTGCAAATGCCACCTCTTAGCTAGAGGCCAACCTGCATAGCCCATTACAGCATCTGTAGATAAAATAACACAGCACTCAGGAAGTAGAAAACTTTTGCATGATCTCAGCTATCGCCATTGCCTGCATCATCCTGGCTAATAACTAGAAAGTCTTCAGTCTGTCCACACACCCAGTATGTTACTATTACAGCTGGCATCTGAGAAGGCCAACATACTAAGGCTATACACAACAAAGGAAGCCTCAGCATCTATGCCACTCCTCTCACACCTCCATGACAGCTGGTGCTGGTTCCCACTGCTGGGAAACTAGAGGGCAGGTCACATCACTGAATACCTTGCAGACATGCCCCAGGACCAGCCCAAGTGTGGCAGCTCCACTGGGTGGCTAGACTCAGAGGAGCAGCAGGATTCACAGTAGTCTGGTCTTCAGCAACTTCTACTCCTAGGGGAAGGGAAAGTGCACCACATTAGGGAAGAAACCCATGGGACAAAAGAAACCAGACTGCAGGCCTTGAGTCCTAGATCTTTCCATTTGTGGGAAGTTTATTTCAGCAGAGGCACAGGTACACTGGGCTCAGTGGGGGGAGTCTCTATCCCAACAGTCAGGCAGTCCTGGTACACATGAAAAGTAATGGAGAGTGACTATTTCTCCCCATCTCTCACTACTGCAAACACAATTGGGGCTCCCCCTACAGGAGCTCATCATGACTGCACCTGTAGCCATGCAACCTGCAGTCTATGCAACACTTCAGGGTAACTGCATTCCCACAGGAGGAGTGCTCTCCAGGTTAGGATTTGCATGAGGGGTAAAAATCACAATCACTCTCTACAGGAACATCAGTATTCCTGCAGATGAAAAGAGGTGCTTTTCTGATCTAAATAGCCAGAACACCAGGTCAGGAGTGTGACCAGGAGGCAGATTCCTTTCCTGCTGGCCTGGAAGGAGAGCTGTGGGGACTCCCTCCCTTTCCCCTAAAAAGACCTCAGTGCATTTCACTGAGAGCTTCCCCAGCTGCCTCTGTCAAGGCTAGGACCTCTGCTCACCATTGGAGTATTGCATTTACCCACCTGCTTTAGACAGAGCTGGTTTTTACCTATAGGCACCTCCTACTGGCCTGAAACCTGAAATATTCAACCCAGTGAATAAAATATTGAGGAAAATTAATGTCAAAAAAAGTGATCAACACTGAGACCTCTGCCATTCCAAGCCCTCAGGTTACCAAATCAATGTACACAAATCAGTAGCACCAACAATGATCAGGCTGAGAATTAAATCAAGAATTTAATTCCTTTTATAATAGCTACAAAAAATAAAGTACCTAGAAACATAATTAACTAAGGAGGTGGACAATCTCTACAAGAAGAACTATAAAACACTGCTAAAAGAAGCCATAGATGACACAAACAAATGGAAATTTATCCCATGCTCATAGATTGGGAGAATTAATATCATGAAAATGACCATATTGCCCAAAGCAATCTATAGATTCAATGCAATTCCTATCAAAATACCAGCATTATTCTTCAAAGAAATAGAAAAGACAATCCTAATATTCATACAGAACCAAAAAGGAGCTCCAATACCCAAAGCAATTCTAAGCAAAAAGAACAAATCTGGAGGTATCACATTACCCAACTTCAAATTATACTACAAGGCTATAGTAACCGAAACAGCATGGTACCTGTTATAAATGTTGATATATATGTATCAATGGAACACAATGGAGAATGCAGATATAAAGCCAAACACAACCAACTGATCTTTGACAATGCATACAAAATCATACATTAGAAAAAGGATACCCTATTCAATAAATCATGTTGGAAAAATTGGACAGCCACAGGTAGAAGAATGAAACTCAATCCATATCTCTCACCATGTACAAAAATTAACTCAAGATGGATTAAAGTTCTAAATCTAAGACCTGAACCCATAAAAATTCTAGAAGAAAACCTATGAGAAACTCTTCTGGACATTGGCCTACACAAAGAATTTATGACTAAGACCCCAAAATCAAATGCAATGAAAACAAAAATAAATAAATGAGACCTAAACTAAAAAGCTTCATCACAGCAAAATAAATAATCATCAGAGTATACAGACAACCTACATAATTGGAGAAAATATTTACAAGTTATGCTTCTGACAGTAGACTAATATCCAGAATCTGCAATGAGCCCAAATTAATCAACAGGGGGAAAAAAATCCCATTAAATAGCAGGCAAAGGAAATGAATAGACATTTCTCAAAAGGGGCTATACAAATGGCCAAGAAACATGAAAAAATGTTCAACATCACTAATGATCAGGGAAATGCAAATTAAAACCACAATGAGATACCACCTTACTCCCACCAGAATAACCATTACTAGTAAGTCAAAAAAAAAAAAACCCAATAGATCTTGGTGTAGACAAGGTGAAAAGAAACACTTATACACTGCTGGTGGGAATATAAATTAGCACAACCTCTATTGAAAACACTACGGAAATTTCTCAAAGAACTAAAAATATACCTACCATTCACTCCAGCAATCCCACTACTGAATATCTACCCAAAGTGATAGCTGCAGGAGGCAGAGAAATCCATAGACAGATAGGGCTTGGTCCCTGGTGAAACCCCCTTTCAAGCCAAAGATACGTTTAAAGTCTGAAAGTCAAGCTACAAGTCAAATCCACAGACCTGACTGAGAACTTCTGTTCCTGATTTGTGTGCTTTCCTCTGATTGATCCTCACCTTTCACCTGGTTTACATACACCTACCCTTCCCTAATTGTTTTTTTGCACTGTCTTACCCACCTTTGAATAATGCCTTTGTTTTAGCCTTTTCTGCGTACTCAGAAGCCAATCAGCACACACTTCCAATTCTGAGCCCATAAAACCTCCAGACCCTGCCACACAGAAAGACAGACCACCTGACTTCAGGTGGCTGACCACCCTCACATCCCTCTCTGCTGAGAGCAATTTTGTTGCTCAATAAAATTATTCTCCGCTCTCCTCATCCTTCAATTCAACATAAATTCATTCTTCTTGGATGTAGGACAAGAACTTTTGACCCACCAAACTCAGGTACAAAGAAGGTTGTAACACTGTGGCCCTTTCCAGCAGAGGGCAGCCACCCCACACGATGGGAAACAATAATGGCAAGCAGAGGCAGGGCCAAGCCAGCCATGGAGCTGCAGGCCAGAGCAGAATCACAGAACTGAGTTGTTCACACACTGCCGCCTATCGGGCTGTAGACGTGTGGACTAAAAGAGCTAATTAGCATGCCGTAACACCCTATCTAGGGCATCAAGGTCACAGGCAACCCTCATATGGATGTCAGAGTCCACCATGGAAGACACTTGTGACACATCTGGTCCAACCACAAGCCCCACACAGAGCCTGTTCTTGTGCTGGCACTTAGAACAGCCGGCTGGACCCTGCACTCACTTGCTCACACACCCACTCCTGCCAGAGGCTGAGTATGAAGTTGTGGTGGTCACTGGATCTGTGCTGGAGTGTAAGCCAGGTGCGGCCCAGTGGGCCAAGTAGACAGGGCATCTCCTGCCATGAGCCTGGGCCCAAGCAAGGCTGGCAAAGTGGTCAAGAAAAATCCTCTGTCAAAAGGAAAAGAAACCACTTATCAAAAAGACATCTGCATGTGCATCTCAGCACAATTCACAACTGCAAATATATGAAATCAACCTAAGCGCCTATCAAAAGATGAGTGGATAAAAAACTGTAGTGTGTAGACACACACACACACACACACACACACAACATAGAATACTACTGAGCCCTAAGAAACAATAAAATAATGTCTTTTGCAGCAACTAGGATGGAGCTGGAGGCTGTTATTTTAAGTGAAGTAACTCACAAATTGAAAACTAAATACTGCATATTCTCACATGTAAGTGGGACCTAAGCTATGCATATTCAAAAGCATACAGAGTGGTGTAATAGACATTGGAGACTCAGAAGAGGGGAGAGTGGGAGAGAGATGAGGGATGAAAAACTACCTGTTGGGTACAATGTACACTACTCAAGTGATGGTTGCACTAAAATCCAAGATTTCACACTATACAATTCATCCATGTAACCAAAAAGACCACTTATATACCCTTAAAGCTATTAAAATTTCAAAAACATTTTAAAATAAATTGGAGTGGTCATAGGAGACCAAAAAAATGTCCAGGAAATTTCCAGAATGGTGTGATATATAAATGTGTAGCTCCTTGCAGATAGTATGAATGTGCCTGCTTTTTCCTCTGCTAACCTCACTCACTCTGTATTCTGTCTTCCATATATCCTAGAGATGGCTATAGGGTCAAAAGTTAAGTGAAATATGGGTTCCAGATTCTCAAGGTAAATTTCAATAAAAAAAAAAGTGAATGGAGAAGGAAGGGTTTCTCCTGGCTAATATCTTTCTTTTCAAATGTATTCATTAACTCCTTTTTAAAAACAACTCCCACCTACTGACTTATATAGCTACTCTCCACTTTCCATCCTTTAGTCATTATTTTAGTCTGAGTGACGACATATAAGGAAATTCATTATTCTCCTTAATCTGTGGACCAACTCTAGTCTTCCATATTACAGGAAACTGCCTTCTTGAAAATCCTCCAAGAAGTTTTTTTCATGTGCAACAGGTTTTCCAGTTCTCATTATTTTATTCCTATCCATAATTTGATACTGTTGCCCAAATCCAGCTGCTATTGCTTTTCTCTCTTCTCTCCTTGGTTATATTTCATCCTCTTGCCCTCCTATCTGTGGACATTCCCTCGGATGTGGTCCAAAAATTTTGCTATTTACTCCTTTTATTTGTAAGAAAGCTTATTCTTGCTCAAGGCTCTGATGTTACAGATGACTCTTGCAAAGTTAAATGCACTATTATCTATTCAGAATTGCAACACAGAATCATTTCTTATACTCCAAGTAGCCACCACAGTTTTGAGTTGAGAGTGTTACCATAGCTTCAAATTTTCTGTTCCTAATCTAGGTAATGTTTGTTGTTTGTTTTGTTTTGTTTTCTCTGATCAGAATGACTCAGGTATGTAACTGCTATTTGAAACAATTCTCCTAGTACTGTTTTTTTTTTTATTTTTAAAGGTTCATGCTAATCTTTTCTATATTGTTCCAATTTTAGTATATGTGCTACTGAAGCAAATCTTGTCCTTTCTTTCCATTCTCTACATCACTATTCCTTTCATCTTTTGCAGGGGTTCCTACAATAACCTCTTTACTAGTCTTGTTTTCACTATTTCCTCACTCTATTCCCACAACAAAAGACTACTTGATCAATCTTTTACAAGCATTGATTTTATTAAAGTATGCTTCTGTATATAAGCATGCCCTCAGGATAAAATCTGTATTCAGTAAGTGTGACTTTGAAAGTCCTTCCTTACCTAAGCTCTCTGCACCTATCCTCCCTCCTCCCACCAACTTTATCTAATTACTGTTGCATAAAAACATCCTATAATCATTTTATCTTCATTTTGGTTTTAATATATTTGTTCAGTTCTAGGGACTGTTTATTTGATAACTTCCGTATACTACTATATCACTGCCTGACATCCAATAATTTTATATTATAATTTCTCATGATTAAGAAATAAATTATGAAGGAGCCATAAAACTGACCTCTCTGCAGATAAATGCATTCTCTAGTTACACAGAAAAATGCTCATAACATTGGTGATTCTTTAAATTATAAAATATAAATTGTATACATTCATAGATACATATGTTTAGTATGTGATACATATTTATATACCTAAATATTTATAGAGCTTTCCTTTTAATATTGGGTTATGAGTGACTACTTTTATTCTTTATGCTTTTCTGTAATTTCATAATATTCTGTAAAACATACTAGTTTGTTATATAATGATAACAAATAGATTAGGAATAGAAAAACATTAGACATGTACTTTTTAGATATATTTACATGCTTTTGTCATGTAAAAATTTTTTAATCTTTTTACAATTTCATTTTTGTCGTTTGTTGCATTTATTTTATGTTATCTCTCCACAAGTGCTATTATTATAACAGGTAAAAACTTTGGTTTCCATCTAGAGGGTTGGTGCTGGTGTTACAATCAATCCCTGGCTTCTAGGCAGGTATTATGTGGAATATTACAAAAGTTTTTTCTGACCTTTGCTATAAACACTCCAGGCTATTGTATCAACATTCTTGAGGAAGCACTGCTTAAAATTTCTCTGCAAGGCTGGGCACGGTGGCTCATGCCTGTGATCTCAGCACTTTGGGAGGCCGAGGCAGGCTGATCATGAGGTCAGGAGTTCAAGACCAGCCTGGCCAACATGGTGAAACCCTGTCTCTACTAAAAATACAAAAATTAGCTGGGCATGGTGGTGGGAGCGTGTAATCCCAGCTCCTTGGGAGGCTGAGGCAGGAGAATTGTTTGAACCTGGGAGGCTGAGGTTACAGTGAGCCGAGATCGTGCCGTTACACTCCAGCCTGGGCAACAGGCGAGCATCCATATCCAAAAAAAAAAGAAAAAATGGTTTCTGGGTCTCTTATTACTAACCTTTGAATTGATCATTAAATGTCTACTTACAAAAAGAATAAATCAAAATCTGATTTCTTCCTTCAGTGGTTACTTTGATACTTAGAATAGAAAATCCTGTTGTTATATTTTCATTGGATCTTTAAATATCTACATTCTGTTTAATACGAAGACCAACTAGAAACGAAGTAGGCCTGGAGTACTGTACAATTTACTTATACAAATAAATTTTTATTATCCACACTGACTGTATGTGATTTAGATCAAAAGGAGGCAGACATTATGTAGCCATTTTCCTGTGTTACTAAATAATGCATTTATCTCCATAAAAGACAATTTAATGGCCCCATCCTGATTTATTTCTTAAGCTTGAGAAACTGTAATTTCAACACCTGCTTATTTTACTTGTTAATTATAATGAAGATAGTTTTCTAATACTCTTTGCTTAGGAACTTTGAACCTAGAATTCAAACTTGTATCATGCACTAGAACTAGGATTTGTTTTGTCAGGGGAAACAAAATTTCCATTTCAAAGTATTCCAGTGAACTGAAAGACAATTGTTAAATACATATTACATATCCGGCTTAGGATACATTCCCCTACTTATTCTAATAGGAGCATTTCTCATGCTATTTAATTTCTTTGACAATATCATTGAGCCTATTTATAATCCTACAATAATATAGAACCGTGCCAGTCTCATTTTGAGTAATGCTATTTTCCAAAGTCCATTTTTGATGACTGTAAAATCTGTATTTCTATTCCCTCATTCTCTTTCATGCTGAAAGCCATATTTCAAAGTATCTGGATGCCCTAAAGCCACCTCAGACTTAATATAAACTAAACTGAACTCTTTACCTTCCCTAGAAAGTTTATTACTTTTCCTGTTTCCTAACTCCATGAATAATGTCAGAATCATCTAAATCCCCAAATTCGAAGCTTCAAAGTCATCCTCAAATGTGATCTCTCTCTTTTCTCCCCAAGGCAATTAATCAAGTTCTATTAATTTTATATCATCAACGTCTTTCAAATTTGCTTTTTGTCTCTAACCAATGTTACTGTTTTATTCCATCTTTTATAAACTCTCAACTGGCACATGAATAGCATCCTAAGTGTTTCCTTTAACTCTCATGCAACTTTTATCCAGTCACTAAAATTCCATTCAGTAAAAAATAGCAAGGAAACAAATTTAAAAATCAATCTCTTACTTAATGTATTTTATCATCCTTCAATAATTAAAAGTCAAATTCTTCAATATGACATTCAAGCTCTCCACAATCTAATGCTTAAAAACATATTTCTCATCTTTTTATCTTACTCTTATTATGCAAGCCGAAGCTCTCTCAACAACCCTACCTAAACCCCCAGACAAAAGCCAGCACCAGCAGCAAGATACATAAATGAGTCATCTTGACTGGCCCAGCCCCAGCCAAGCCTCTAAATCAAAGTAGTCCAGCCAGTGCTATGTAGATCAGACAAAACTACTCCTACTAAGCCCAGCCAACCCAGAGAATTCTGACAGATAATCAATGGAAATTGTTACTGTAAGTGACTGAGATTTTGGTGATTTGTACATACCAATAAGTAACTAAAAGAGTTAAGTATCCAAAAAGAATGCATTAACTATGCATTTATGTATAATATTTGTCAAATCCAAGCAGGCCTCTAATTTATGAGCATCTCTTAAATAACCCCAAAATTCCACCACTGAAGACCTGCTTATTTTACTTGTTCATTATAATGAAGGGATTATTTTCTACACTCTTTGCCTAGGAGCTTTGAAACCTAGAATTTAAATTTTTTATCATTCAATAGAACTAGGATTTGTTTTGTTAGGGGAAACAAGGGTATGTCGATCACTAATGGCCAATGATTTAATCAATCATGCCTATATAATGAAGCCTTCATAGTAGCCCAAAATGATAGAGTTTGGATGAGGCTTCAGATGGCCAAACACGTGGGGGCTTCCAGGAAGGTGAAAAACATATTCATGTGCAGGAAGAGTGGTGCACTTCAACTTCATGGGACAGAAGCTTCTGTGCTAAGGATTGTACCAGACCTCATCGTATGTATCTTTTTATATGGCTGTTTAATGGTATTATTTAAAATATATTTTGTAAGAAACCAGTAAATGTGTTTTCCTGAGTTCTCTGAACCACTCTAGCAAGTTAATCAAACCCAGGGAGGGAGCTGTGGGAGCCCCAAATTATAGCCATTTGTTCAGAAGCACAGGCAAAATAACCTGGGGCTTGTGACTGGCATCAGAAATGGGGCCAGTCCTGTAGGGCTGAGTCCTCAATCTGTGTGATCTGTCACTATCCCACGTAGGTAGGTAGATGGTGTCAGAAATTAAATTGACTTAGAGGACACCCAGTTGGTATCTACTGCAGAATTGATTGTTTGCTTGCTGCTGGGGGAAATCTCTACACATTGGGTGTTAGAAACATGTTGTAAGAGAGTGGGAAAAACTTATTTTCTACTCAAAGCAGTATAAGCAAACAAATAAGAACAGACATTCATCATGAGTCCAAGGAATCCACATTCTAGATAGGCATTAGAATTAGTGAGCAAACAATGATGGCACAGTGTTTATCCTGTGGTAGAGCTATATATGGGTTGCTAGAGGAATAAAGTAGGCAAGTACTTAAGTCCGAAAGAGAGGGGTAGTAATGAGAAGAGTTTCCTATGGGGGAGAAACTTTCATTCTGAAGGACAGGGAAGAGGTAGCCAGGAGTGAAAAAGAGAACAGGTATGTCTCTTGGCAGACTGATTAACATATAAAACATAAGGTTTCAACCTATAAAATATTTTAGTATAACTTGAATATATGCATATTTGGCAATTACAGGGGTCAGAAATGTAGACAGCAGCAGGGTCAAAAGATGTGTATGTCCTCTCAAGAGGTTTCAGTTGCATCCTGCAGATGATGAAAGACAAAACATTTGTTAATTATTGGTATTATCAGATTTGTATTTTACAAAGATCTTTCTGGAAACAAACTGGGAAATTGGTAGGAGAGTGGTAGAGATGGGGCTGGTAAAACAGCTTGGTAAAATAGAGTAAAACAAGCTAAATATCTATATATCTATACATATTTATATATGTATGTCTACAAAAAACAGTATCATTGGGCATGGAGATAAAGAAACATAAGTAAGTCAG
The DNA here is from genome assembly GCF_000001405.40 of Homo sapiens. NCBI lineage: Eukaryota > Metazoa > Chordata > Mammalia > Primates > Hominidae > Homo > Homo sapiens. The sequence continues at coordinate 83,817,324 of NC_000012.12, read as the reverse complement.
TTTTCTGAAGGTAGAAATTAAAGGATTTGGTGACTGGAAGTGTGAATTTGAGAAGTTAATAATGACTCCTAAGTTCCTGTCAGGTATGATAGAGAGAATGGGGATGACATTTTGCAAGAAACTGAATTTCAAAGAAGGAGTAAATATGGTATAGGTGAAAACTGATGAGTTTGAAGCATTTGTGAGATATCTAGTTATATATTTTAAATAGAATGGAAACTATTCAGGAGGCTATAGAATGAGGATCACTTGAGCCCAGGAGTTCAAGGCTGCAGTGAGGTATAATTTCACCACTGCACTCCAGCCTGGGCAACAGAGTAAAGCCTTGTCTCTAGAAAAAATAAATAAATAAACTAAATGAATTAATAATATTTCTACTATGTCAACTTGATTTTTCTATCTTTTCTCCATTTCATTATCATCAACCAAAAAAATTACTATTTACTATGTGCTAGATGAAGTTTTCGTTCTGTTTAGGTTAAAACATTAGTTATACATTTACTTCCGCCATATAGGAATCATGTTCCTAACCTCTTGTTCACCTTAACCATTTAAGGTTTTTGGAAAAAAATTCATTAGGCATAGATAGATTTTACATTGATTTGTTTTTCAGAGTGCTTTACTAATAAAAACAATTATTTCAAAATTGCATCATGCAATTTTTATCATGCAATAGAACTAGGATTTGTCTTGTTAGGGGAAACAAGGGTGAGTTGATCACCAATGGCCAGTGATTTAATCAATCATGCCTACTTAATGAAGCCTTCATAGTAGCCCAAAATGATAGAGTTTGGATGAGCTTGTGGATAACCAAACACGTGGGGGCTTGCATGCCTTCCTTGAATGAATGCTATTTGAAGCATGTATTCAGGTTAGTATTCTCCATCTTAGCTGGAAAGGAAAAGGGGCATTTCTGTTCCTCAAATAAAATTATTCAAAATTCTGCCCCTTTGTTACAGATTGAATTGTGTCCCCATTTCCAATATAGTTCTATACAAATTACCTTAGAATATGACTGTATTTGGAGATAGGACCTTTAAAGAAGTAACTAAAGTTAATTGAGGTTATTCTGGTGGGCTCTAATCCAATCTGACTGATGTCCTTATAAGAAAAGGAAGAGAGGATGTGTGGATGCACAGGCACAGAGAAAAGGCCATGTGAGGACACAGTGAGAAGGCTGCTTTCTGCAAGCTAAGGAGAGAGGCCTCAGGAGAAACCAATGGAAAGAACTTTTGATTTTTTTTTTCCATATATTCTTTTTTTTTTTTTTTTTTAGACAGAATCTTGCTCTGTCACCCAGGCTGGAGTGCAGTGGTACCACTCACTGCAACCTCCACCTCCTGGGTTCAAGAGATTCTCCTGCCTCAGCCTCCCTAATAGCTAGGACTACAGGCATGCACCACCACGCCTGGCTATTTTTTTTGTATTTTTAGGAGAGACAGCGTTTTACCATGCTGGTCAAGCTGGTCTCAAACTCCTGATCTCAAATGATCTGCCTGCCTTGGCCTCCCAAAGAGCTGGGATTACAGGCATGAGCCTCCGTCCCAGCCAATATATTCTTTTATTTACTGTCTCACATCATCTCTATCCCCAGACAATAAAATAATGAATTTGTCCTGAATTTCAGTACATTCATCATTTCATGTTTTACTAGCAGGCCACATCACTCTAGTGAAAGCCAGCACTCTCTCTGTGGGTTCTCTATTTATTGACTTCCTATAACAAGCACACCTGTGAGATCCCTAATGAAGGTCTGATCACACATGTTCATGCTGCTGCCCAGAAAAATGAACTCGACTCCATCTCTCAGATGCATTCATTTCCTTTTAAAAGACCTAGAATTAGGAAACCTGTTTAGGTCTTTTGTGTGAACTGTATTTCTCCACTCAGCAAGTATCAGAGAAACTATACTTACAATATAGGGTGCTGGAAACTTGCTTGGTGATTTATAAAAGTATTATCTTATTTGCTTTATTATTGATTATCAACTCAAAGAAATTTGGAAAAAGAAGAAGTAGTAGGACCTCAATTTCAATACCTAAACTCGACCCTCTAAAAATAAATATTATATTTCCTTTTAAAACTACCTGTTAAATATATCTTACTCTAACAACTCAGCATCTATTTTCCATGTGCTCGCAAGTAAAGAAAACTACATAGCTGGATGGAATCTGGGGTATCTGTAGAACAAATAACCTGAAATTGCTTAAAATTAAGCTTTTTTAAAATGTCAAAATATTTTTCTTTAATGTGCCACTTACCTGATTGCTTTTTCTACTCCGCAGAAAAAGTTATTGTATATTAAAGACCAGAGTTTTTAAAACTAAAAGGGTTGTAAATTGTTATATAATATGGTCTCCAAAGTAGGCTCTATAGAGAAATAATTAAATTGGGATTCCATAGATCAAGAAATTGTTATTTTCAATTTATGTGTGTTAGTTTATTTACTCAATGTACTGTATTTGTATAATAAGAAAAGTAGACCTGAAGGAATTCCTTTTATTTAAGAATAAAAACTAAGAATGTTAAAATGAGCAACAAGAAACATAACATTATCAAATGACATGATCAAATTCTATAGTTATTAGGTTTAAAATGTATAGCTACAATTTTAATGAACCTATGGGGAACACCCCACATAGACTCAAATAAGTTTAAAATAATATAGAGTACCTAAAATATACTGAGTTAAACTACTTCTACTTAATATATTAGACTTTACCAGAATAACAATAAAAATGAATTAAATTTAATCACGATTTATAGAAATGTATCCCATTTGAGACTGACACTTGAATTTTTTACATATGTTCATGTTTATTGCATCTTTTCTTTTCAATTAAAATTATTTCTATAGATTTTGCTAAATATAGTGGATGGTAAACATACATTTAACTTAATCCCTTTCCAAAACCCTAATAAATAAAAATAGATAATTTTTAAAACTTTACTCATGAGGAGTAATGGAATATAAGATATAATGAAATGACAGAACAAAAGGCAAGAAACTGGATCAACAGGGTAAGGAAAACCCAGAAAAAGTTCAATTATACTGCAAAAAACACACACTAAATTGACAAAAATTAAAAAAAAAAACTTAACAATACCAAGTTTTGACCAGGATGTGGAGAAACTAGAATTTATATACTGCTGCTGAAAATGTATATTTAGACAAGCACTTTGGTAATCTGTTTGACACCTCCACTAACTCCGAACTCGTGCATATTCTATGACCCTGGAATTTTACTCCTACTTTTTTACTCAACACAAATGAGCACATATGTGACATAAGATATGTACAGAATGCTTATAACATTACTTTCAACTTGAAACAACCAAACTTTCAATCTATAGTAAAACAGATACATGAATTGCAGTATATTGTATATAATGGAATATTACACATAATAAAAATGAACAAACAAGCTATAAAATAATCTCAAATACAATATTGGGAAGAGTCATTCAAAAACTTGTCTAATAACATTTATATAAAATTCAAAAACAGGCAAAATGAATCTATGATTTTACAAGCTGGACTAGTGATGACTTTTAAGGAAGAACAAGGTAGGGCACAATGAACTAGGGAATGAGAGAAATTCTGAGTTGCTGGTTATATTCTATTTCTTCACTTGGGTGAAGACAAGGGTGCATTAACTTTGTGATAATGTATTAAGTGGGACAATTATAAGTTTTGCAGCAGTTCTCTGAGAATATTGCTGAAAAATTACAAATATTTTTCTTATTGAAGGACATGATTAAATAGAAATGTACGTGGTTTTTTTTTAAGTGGTTTTGGTCAACCATGTCAAATACTATGAATTAAGCTAATTAAGATAAATCAAGATATTCAACAGATTTAGAAATAAGGCAATAAGAATACTAACTGTTCTTGCTATAGAAAAGTTCCAGAATATGGTAAAGTCAAAACTCTACAGAGCTGGAATAAAGACAGAGTATAAAACTAGAAAGTGAAAATATTAATTACAGTCAGTTCTTTCAAGAAGTTTTACTGTGAAGGTCATGATTTGAAGAATAGTTAGAGGTCAAGGGAGAGTTAAAATGTAAGAATTTCTAGAACATGTTCATAAGCTGATGGGAATACACACCAGAGAAAGAGAAATCCGTAGAGTAAGGAGAGAAATCCCAGTTGTAGGAATAAGAGACTGTTAGAAAAGAGGGGAACCGGAGCCCAGGTGGATGTTAATTCCACCCATAGTAACAGGAGAGTAGGAAAGGAGTGTGAGTACAGATGCTGGTATACTAGTAGATGTGGTACAATGCAGAACACGGAGTTTATGTGTGATTGCTTTATCACCTGTGAGTTAAGAGAAGTGAGGATAAAAGAAGTATGATAAGACAAGAGAGGCTGAAATGACCATTTTGGAAAGAGAAAAGGGGAGTGTAGCAGTAAAGGCCAGTAACATGATTTGTTTCTTTACCATTGCTCTGTAAATTAAAACAATGGTAAGTAATACGGACTTTAGAGGAATAAAAGACATTCTGCTGGTTTATAATGAATTATCAATTTATGTAGAAGTATTTAATTCCTAAAATTAGACTCTGGTTAGGAAAGGAAGCTAGAAAGACCCTTCAAGCTACTGTTTAATTAGACCTAAATAAATACATGAAACAGCAATCAGATTGTATTGTCATCTAAAGAGATAACTGTAAAACCCTTTTAATGAGTTAAAAAAAGACATCGGTTGCTAAAGTTAAATGGAATTGGTGTCGCTTCAATAACATATAAAGAGCATTTATTGATTATCTAAGGTCAAATATTAGGCTAGAATTAGAGATTTTAAAGTTATGATTAAGAAAGGAGCAAAAGCAGAAGGAAGGAAGGAAGGGAGGGAAGAAGGAAAGAAGGAAATCATATCTTTAAGAAGATTTCAATCAATTGGTGGAGATTTACTTGAAAAGAAAGTATAGTAATCAGTGGAAAGGATATAGTAAAATAGGTAGGCCTGATGTACAGTGCTTAGTGATAGCAGTTATAACAAAGTGGTTAATTCTTATTTGAAGTAGCTTTGTATTTCAGGATCTTAATACAAAGAAGTCAAGAGTCATGCTTTCTTCAGTTGATTTCTGATTAATTCAAAAAATATTTATTGAGTACCAACTTCACACCAGGATCTGTTTTACACACTAGGAATAAAGCAGTGAACAAAAATGTTGTCCTTGTCATTAGGTAGCTTAAATTCAAGTAGTGGAGAGAAACAATGAACAAACACACATACATGGTCTGGTGATAAGTATTATAAAGCAGTTATTAATTGACATGAAAGGTTGGAAAGGCAAAGGAACCAGTGTTGCATTTATTAGGGAGAAAATAAACAGCAAGGTACAAGGAAAGGAAAGAAAAATGAGAAAAGATTATAATAAGTAATGTGATTCCTGATAAATCTTTTGAATGCTGTGTAAAAGTGGATTTTGTTCTGAATGTATTGTTAAAGTGCTAAAGAGTATCAATCAAGGGAATGAGTTATTTAGATTTATGTTTTTAAAAGACTGCTTGAACAGTGGTATAGTGTTTGAATCAGAGTAGAGAAAGACTAAAATTAAAAGATAGCCTTTTAGGCAGTAAAACAAAACAAAACAGAAATCCAGAAAAAAAAGAAAAGAAAAAATTCAGTGAGAAAGGCAAGGGAATGTTTTGTGAATGAAATAGAGAGGGTGAATCCAAGAGAAAACAGTGCAGCATACTTATATAATCATAAGCTCTATAGCCAGGCTCCTTGACTCCCAGTCCTCTCTTGTCTACTCACTTCTGTTTGACCTTGGGTAGTGCTTTTTTTATCTCAATATTTTTGTAATCGAGGGTGATAATGAAATATGTCCTATGTTTGTTATTAAGCTAATTAATATATGTGCTTTACTTTGAATGTACCTGACACATAGTAAATGATCAATACATATTAGAAAAGAAAATTAAAAAGCAGGACATGTCAATTTGGGGGATACAAAAAAGGAATGAGTTGAGGATGACCTCAAGTTTCTTATCAGGTTAATTGGACCGATGGTAGTAATAACACTTTAGAGAGGGAACAAAAGGAGAGGCAGATGTGAGAGATATAGAAGAAGTTTAATGTTTAACATGTTGATTTTCAATTATCTGAAAAATATCTTATTAAGCATGCTTATTAGGCAGTTGGATTTTTTAAGTCAGTAGTTCAATGAGGAGGTCTATATTGAAGATAAATATTTGTGATTTGTATCTGTGTAGAAGTAGGTAAAGTCATTTATTGCACATGTATTATCTAGAGAAACCATGTAGATTTATAAAAGATAAAAGGTCATATAATATATGTATACAGAATCAAGCAAAAAAGAGAAAGCAAATGGCACAGTCAGATTTGAAGAACAAATATGGAAGAAAAATTTAAAGATACTGAGGGAATAAAGATTTTCAAAACGAATAGTATTCAATATTATCACATTCTAACATAGTAAACAGGACAAGAATATAAAATCTTCTCACTTCTTTCTGAGTCCTTACTAACAAACTAGCTAACATCTATATTCCTTTGAAAAGTTCCTTCAAGGGAATCTATACTTTGGTTATCTTTGCTCTCAAAATTCTTCCGCCTCTGCCCATTGCCAAATCTCAAAGTAGTCCATATTCTTAGGTTATTTGTTACAGCTGTACCCACTTCCAGAAATGCAGTTTTGTATTAGTGTTGTTGTTGTTTTTACTGCAGTAACAATTCTTCACAAACATAGTGGCTTAAAACAATTCAGATTTATTTTCTAACAGTTCTGGGGATCAGAAGTCTGAAATGAGTTTCACTGGACTAAAATCAAAGTATTGGTAGGACTGCTTTTCTTTCTGAAGGTTCTAGAGGAGATTTCCTATTCTAGCTTTTTCCTAGATTCTAGAGACTGCCTGCATCCCTTGGCTTTGCCTCCCCTTCCATCTTTAAAGCCAGCAATGGCCAGTCAAGCTTTCTCATGATGCCATTTCTCTGGTTCTAGTGTTTCTGCTCCTCTCTTCCCCTTTTAAGACCCTTCTTATTACATTGAGCTCACCCAGATAATCCAGGTTAATCTCCTTATTTTTAGGTCAGCTTTTAGCGACCTTAATTCATCCTTGCCATGTAACATAATGTTTTCACACACTCGGGGAATTACAAAGTGAACACTTTATAGGAGCTGTTATTCTACCTAACACAACATCATTCATGGCATAATTGAATGCATGTCTAAGAATGTGATATTGACATAAAACAGATTATATTGTGTTTAGAAAGGCATAGATGATTTGGAAGGGAAGACAGCCTGGCTAGCAATTAATATGGTGAATAGGAAATCAATATATAAAAATAGGAAACTGGTGAAACAGTAACTTCCTTTTTTTCATTGTTAATAAGATAACATGACCATAGAATGGTAGGTAGTGGTTTATGGAAGTCTGATAAATACAAATGGCATCCAAAATTTTAACTAAGAGCTGGATTAATTTTTTAAATCATAACAGGTATCAATGTATGTATCATACAGTATATCAGCCAGCTTTCTTGCCATTATCTTAATCAGGTTTCTTCACTTCTTATGGATTAGAAGTGACAGTGGTAAAGATATCAGACCATGGTATGTATTGAAAATGAGAAAAAAGATCATAACTCACAATTAAGAAAAAGGGCTCTATAGTAAGATATTTTCCAAATGATATTATAATACATTCAACAGAAAGAATATGATATTAAAAATACTGTTATGATCAAACATTGATATATATGTAGAGCCAGCCACTGGAACTCTCATATACTCCTGATGTGAAAGTAAATTGATAAAACCATATTTGAAAGAAGTCAGAACTCTTTCAAACAATTTGGAAAACTGATTTGCGGAACAAATTTAGAACTTATGGAAACCTCCACCCCTAGACACATTCCTAATTTTATATATATATATATATAATCTGTGATATATAATGTCACATATAATATCATGTATATATAATGTCAACACAAAACATAAATGATAATTTTATCAGTCTTTTTTGTAATTTCCCAGTCTGGAAGTAATCAAATTGTACATCAAAATAAGATAAAATTTTTTACTTCATTTAATGAAATGCCATACAGAATTAATTACTGTTATATACAACATGAAGGAATACTACATATATAATATTGAGTAAAAGTATCTAGATTCTATCATTGTATTTACATAGAGCTCTAAATCAAAGAAACAATGATTTTCAAAGTCCAAATAGTGGTAAACTTTGGGAAGGGGAGTAATAGTGACTAGAAAGAAGCACATGTAGGGGCTCAAGTTTTATTTTTTTAATATGCATGTTAATTACGCTAGTGTTTTCACTTTCTCAAAAATTGTCAAGGCATATACTTGATATTTGTGCACTATTTTCTTTGCATAAATATTAACTATATGCCAATATGAACAAATATTAAGTACATGAATAAAACAGAAAAGTGACATGAAATAGTGTAATAAGTAATCTCAGACTAACGAGGGAGGAAATAAAGGACAGCTGTGTCTCGTTACTATGAAAACTCACAGGGTATTTGGCAATGGGGATGAGTGCAGATAGCCATTTCAAAAAGGCAACGGCAAACCCACAAAAAAACTAAGTGCCAACCTCAAGACTAGAAAGAACAATATTCCAAAAAAGGTTTCAAAATAAATCTGTAGCTGATTGCCTATATATACTTTATTGAAATGGGAGAATACAAATGAGAAAACAAATGTGCTTGTAAAATAAGGGTTATTTTAGTCTACAAACTCACAAAATTTCAAAACCGTCTTTAGAATTCCAAAGAAGTTTTGGTGCAACTAAATATAAGTTGTCATATGCACAGATGTTACTGCAGTTTACCCTATATTAACTATAATTTTAGCTTGTGATATTTCTCCTTTTCAAGCAAAGGCTATATTCCCGAATGAAATGCCAGATGGCAAAAAGGTTGTATTGTATACCCTGGAAACCAAATCCAAAAACGTTGAGGGTTTTGTTCAATGGGCCACTGTTACATTTGGCTCAGATTATTTAAATATTAAGCAGGATGTAAAGCCCAGACAATAATTATTTAAAAAATAATCTTATTGTATATGTAATTTCTAAATGTACAGCAATTTGTCTAATTCCCCAGGTTGTTTTCCTTTTAATTTACTGTGATTGCTACATAACCACTCATTTCGTCTCTTTCCCCAGACTTAAATGCCGAAATACTCATTGAGTAACGCACTGGATCATTCCACAGGGTCTGCCTTTTGACTTCAACTAGCTCTAGCAAGTATTTGGTTTTAAGTATATTTTCTTAAGGAATTTGGCAGCTGAAGAATATTGAAATTTTACTGGAATCTCTATGTACAGCCAGTTTTTAGCTCTGCCAAATAAAAAATGATGAATTAATTTAAAAATTTAAATGTCTCCAATTTAAAATAATAAATCCCTTCTACTTCCTAGCAGGAGGGAACTGACCATTTATAAAGACTCTTGATAACTGAGAAACTATCCAAATGGAATATGTTCCATACAGGACTGGAATGCTTATTTTTATTGAAGGTGTATCTCAGGAAACTATTCCAAACAACATTTTCCCCTCAGAAGTCAAAATAAAGAAAATCAATCACAAATATTTTGCTTCTAAAATAACTTCTTTTGTAAAAGTAAACGTGAAAGTAATAAAACTGGCACTGATCAAAGACCAGTTCAATATTTAGAAAACTGTGATTTCTATAGAAGGAAGCATTGTTGTACTTTAGAAAAAAAAAATAGAAAATTTTGGTCTGGATCCTTAGCTCATTATTAATTAACTGTATGATCTTGAACAAGACAACGAAAATTTTTGGTCTTCTATTTCCTCCTCTGATAGGCATCTGCATTTAAGGTAAATAATCCCCATAATCTTGTTTATCTCTGAAAGTCAACAGATTAATATGAAAATTCTAGAAAAGTGTGCTTTCATGTATTATTTTTTAAATTAACCCTTGTGTTATTTATACATTGCAAGTAACCAGATCATTGGTTTACACGTGTCTTAGCAGCAAATACCATCTTTCAAATGAATCTTATGAAAGAGCAAAAAACAAGTAAAAAATAGATAAAAGATGTGTTGCTCACATTAAAAGGATTGGGGAGTTGCACATTCATTACAATGTTGACCTTTCTGTTTTGCCTCCTGAATCAGACTTTCCAGAATCTTTAAGGCTCCTTGGAATACAGTTTAAAAATTGCTACCCTAGAAAGCCCTACACAGCTTCTAACAATAAGTGTCTCGGACTCAGGATTCTGGTATTACCCATTTTACATTCTAAAATTTTTAAAGAATGATAATATATATCTTTCTTATCTTTTACTTAACACCAACCATAATAATTAGCCCTCACATATCAAGTAAAGTAAGCCTCTCAAATAACGTCACTAATGAGATGCCTAAATTAGAACTCAGTTTAATTAACTATAACAAATCTTATTTTCAAATATGACATTATTTTCACTCATTCAACCATGAAATATCACAAACTACTAGAACTATGATGTATATATTATCAGTGTAGATACAATAAAATTCAACTTATAATTATTAATACAAATACATATGAAGAAACAAATATTTTGATAGTAATTTGACATTCACAGCACTATTTCTGCTTTCATAAGGTGATCTTTTACACCGAACTTCCCTGATCAACCATCACTGAGTAACACCTTGATAATGTGCTACATATGGAAAAATGATAATGTGGTAAAAACAGGCAAAAGGAAGACAACAGGTTTTAGAATATATGACCTTGCTGTCCTATATGAACCACGTTTAATTCTGAAGGTAAAAATCAGCTATATAAAGAGACAGAAATAGGAAAAGGTTGAATAAAATAGACTAAACAAAAATTCTAAAGAAATGTGGTAGGAAATTTAAAATTGCATGCATTAAGTCCAATAAATTAGACTTAAGTCCAATAAATTAGTCCTTCCTTAATATTTCAAGTAAAAATTTTAAAAACACAATTAAGCTATAGTCAATATATTTGGTAGGTTGCCATAATACAGTACCACAACTAGTTGGCTTACAGAACAGGAATTTATTGTCTCACAGCTCTGAAGGTTACAGGTTCAACATGGAGATATCGACAAAGTTGGTTCCTTCTGAGGGCTGTGAAGAAAATATGTTCCATGCCTCTCTTAGAGTTTCTGGTGATTTGCTCTCAATATTTGGTGTTCCTTGACCTCTGCTACATCACCTTAATCTTTAACTTCATGTTTACACAGTGTTCTCCCTGTGTGTGTGTCTGTGTCCACATTTCCGCTTGTTAAAACGATACCAATCATATTGGATTAGGGACTCACCCTTCTTCAGTATGACCTCGTCTTAAACAATTAGATCTGCAAAGACTCCTTTTCCAAAAAAGGTCATATTCTGAGGTCCTCACAGTTAGGATTTAACATACAAATTTTGGAGGGACTCATCAACCCATCACACAGGCAGAATTTCAGCCAGATACAGCAATAATAAAATTATGAGAGAACGAAGCAGAAGATATTAATGAATATTAGAAGAAAACAAAACACTGTTTTCTAAGGCATTTATCTTCTAGTATTAGTCTTCCTGCTTGCAATTGCAAATCACAAGATAACATATTTGGAGAAAGTATAGTGCAGTAAGCTAGTGATCAGAAAAGAAAAGATTAAAAGCAAGACTCGGACAGGAGTGTCTAGTCCATACTAGAAAAATGTTCAACTTAACGAGAGGGCAAGTATTACCATCATCTATCACGGCCAGAGAAAGTGAGCTGGACAATACTTCATTGCAATCATATCATTTAATAAACCCACATCAGAAGAATTTGAGCAGTGAAGTCACTACATCTTGGCATGGGACCACAGTGGAACTATACAGAAAATGCAGCAGTAATCTGAGACTTACCATTATTAAAGCAAATTGTCTAGGATAAGTTTAAATGTCAGCACAGATTTCTAATCAACCCATAAAGTGGAACTATAAGGAACTTAACACATGATGGGGTATTCAACAAACAAAGATTTACAATGACTAAGATAAGGCAATTCAAATAAAATGGAGAATCTTTCGTGACAAGGGTAGAAAAACATTGTTTAATATCTGGACTGTGACCAAATCTAAATAAAATGTTAGTGTACCATAGTAACCTCAAAAAGTGAGAGGACAAATGATTTGTAATCAGAACCAAGACCTAATAGCTAGAAAAAATTATGAACTGAACTGTGTCATTTATTATGAGACCACAGAGAGATGCATAATAAATTTAATAGCTGAAAATTGCATGTTTAATTCAGCTTGCATTATTTATATATAACTTAGTTATATTCACATATATTTTATATATGAGTCATTTACTATTCATTAATATACAGTTTTTCAGTACTGAGTGGATTATATGTCAGTTATAATAAGTGCTGAAATACAAAGATGAGTAAGACATAGTTCTTGTCCTCAAAATGTAACAGTCCAGTAGTAGAGAGAGAGATTGAAAAATGAGGGGCTAAATGATAAGACTGAGTAAAAAACAAAAGATTTCAGAAAACCAATGAAATAGTAGCTTAAAGAATAGCTATCATTTAGTTTACCACCCAAGGAATGTGTAAAGTTTTCAAGCCAAAGAAAGTAGAAGAGACTTTTTCGGTTGCTAAAAATCAAAAATGGTTTAATCTGCCAGTGCCTTTCGATGAGATCAATAGCAAGCTAAGATACCTGGGCAGGTACATCCTGTTGCTAAATCTACAATTTCTGGATTGCTTAAATAATTTAACCTAACCAATGTCCATAGAAGCATCTGTCCTCAATTAGCAATAGCAATTTACAAAGCATTTAAAAAGTACATGGGTTGCATCTTTTCTAGATGATGTGCGACCAATTTCATTTTCGTCACTTAGCAAACAGCAATTTCTTTGGGCAAAACCATAGACCAAATATTTGTATTAATCTAGGAATCCTTTAGATAGGCAAAAAGCTGTACTCCTGCTGACTAAAGGAGAACATGTAACACTCTTAGATAAACTAAATATGCTATAACAATTTCCTTACAATTCTATGCTTTCTTTTATAATAAAATTTTCAGTAGCTTTGTCCTTCCCGTTATTAGTAGTTGAAAGTGTCTGGGAAGGCCACTAAGAAAAGGCAGTTGTGAGAACTTCTAGAGCCTAAATATTCAGATAGTTTATAAGACTAATGTTTTGGCCAAAAAATTATTATTTCTATATTTATCTATAAAATGAGAATAATAATAATAATAATGCAATAGGAAGTGTTATGAAAATTAAATGAAATAACACATAAAGTTCTTAGAATAGTATTATTATTATTCTTTAAATTAATTAAATAAATGACACGCCATAATAAAGGACAAAAATTTAAGCCTAATTTCTCATGATTATTAACTTTAAAAAATCATACTAAAAGTGATAACCAGTACATAGACATTGAAATTCTACTTTTGATTCAGCTAACTAATTTATGCTTCCAAATAAGTTTTATTTTGGTCACCTTATAGCAGTCTGGGTATATAAAAATAGATATTTAAATGTTGATTAAATATCAATAGCAAGTATATTACAATATCAGAGAGAGATCCATTTTCCAAACTAAAAGAATTAAAATCTTTTTTTGTACATATAGTAAACCAATATTGTAGATTCAGTTAAAAAGAAAATACATGGCCATAAATCTTTTTTTTTTTGAGACGGAGTTTCACTCTGTCGCCCAGGCCAGAGTGCAGTGGCGCGATCTCGGCTCGCTGCAAAAAAGCTCCACCTCCCGGGTTCACGCCATTCTCCTGCCTCAGCCTGAGGAGTAGCTGGGACTACAGGCGCCCGCCACCACGGCCCGGCTAATTTTTTGTGTGTTTTTGTAGAGACGGGGTTTCACTATGTTAGCCAGGATGGTCTTGATCTCCTGACCTCGTGATCCGCCCTCCTTGGCCTCCCAAAGTGCTGGGATTACAGGCGTGAGCCACCGCGCCCGGCCCATAAATCTTAATCTAATAATAGACTGTCGACTTCCTTAAGGCACCTATTTCTTTGAGCCATCAGTACATCAGTTTCCTCACCTGTCAAGCAGAAATACTATTTGCTCTACAGGAGCACCGCATGCTTAAAGTGAATACAAATTGACTTATATATCAAATATGCATTTAGAACCAAAGAGGTGAGTTGATCTAGCACATCATTAAGAGTGTGGGTTCTATTGTCAAAGAGGTTTAATTTAAAATGTCTCTGCCTTTGTTAGTCTTTTAATATTGGCACGTTACTTCTCTGAAATCAAGTTTTGTGTAGCAATAATCACTTTCCTCATGGAACTTATAAAAGCATTATAATAAACAGTGACTTTTTTCCCTCATGAATGCAGTAAGTAAGCCTACATAATTTAGGCAAAGTACATAAACACTTTAACAGGCTTCAGAGATCTGAAATTGTAAGCATTAGAGTTATGAAATGTACAATAAAATCGTACATGTACATACACATTTTAGAATGTGCTATTTTTCTGTTTCTCCTTTAAATACAAAATTTGCAAATATTTTTGCCTCCTAAATTTGAAAGGCAGGAAAAAAGAAAAACAAAATATAGTTGCCTCCATGAGAAGTTCCCTGTACACTAAAGTTAATGTCCTTTTATTATGAAAACTGAGTTATTATATTACTGCAAGTCTTCAGGATCTTTGTCTTACATTTCTTCTTAAAGACACATGACAGGATTAATTTCTTCTTTTCCCAGATACAAATGGTAATAAAATTATTTTTATAATACTCTGAGTTCAAATAAAATGTCAACTAAAAGATAAAAATGCATGTAATTTTATATCTAAGATACACAAGTTCGACTATTTATCACAACTGCAAGGACTTTTTATCAGATAATTTAGAAAGAATAAAATTTTATTGCACAAATATTATTGCAGTATGATTATTTCACTTTACAACCTATTTTTTGAAATTTCAGATATCTCCTGTGGATTCTGGAATATTCTTAAAATTTATAGTGCATCAAAAACATTAATCAATTCAAGGCTGTTGGGTGCTGGTTTTGTTTTGCTTTTGCTTTTGTGTGAACATAGCAGAGCACTTGCTTCTGCTTATATGACTACTTTAACTTAATAAACACCATCTGGAGCAGTAGGAACCTGAGCATTTGCATACATCTGGGCACAAATAACATGTTGCTACAAAAATGATTAATAATAGTGTTGAACAGGCTACCATTAGCTATATTTACATCTTGGTGCCAATGGGAAAGGAGAAAATGAATATGATTCCTATCTTGCCTTAATTTGAAAAGGCTGTTAAGCAATGTTGTAACCTGTGTGAGCTGTATTTCTGAAAAGTTTAATGCAGAAAATGGATGCTTTCTGTCTTTCATTCTCTGTGGTAGAGGGTACATAACCACACTAGGTGATTAATAAAAATAACTGCTTTGAATCCAGTTTAATGTATATATTTTTTATTAAAAAATACTTTTTTGTGGTGAAAGGAAGCCGCATGTTCCCATTAAGATCTATACAGCCTTGAGACTACATTCAATCTCAAGTAGGCTTTTACAAATAAAATTGTATATTGTTTTGTGTAATTCTATGTAAGCCTAAGCAAAGTGTGGATTCTCTGCTTTACATCATTCATTCACACCAGTGTGTTCGGAAGAAAACTTGATTCCACACATTCAACAAAGTAGAGAAATAATAAGATGATTCTTTTTAAAGTACTACAGGTAGCATTTTAAAGGGCGATTTAAAACATTCTTATTCACCAACTTTTTTTCTAAAGAGAACAATTAAAATCCAAACAACTATTTTTTTTTCCCTTACCAACTGTGAGGTCTCAAAAATATATTTTTCCTTTTCCTCTCCTTCTCTCCCTTCTTCCCTCTAACTAGACACATCCACAAATAAAACCTCAAGTTGCATAACTTTAGTGTAAATAATGATATATAAATAAGGAAACAATTTTGAATATTCTTATCACTGAGTTTAAGAAAAAATATATACACGATAGCTTTGATCGAATTGATTTCTATAAAATACTACATATTTTTCCCTATCCATATTTTTGTTAGGAAAATTAGAAGGAATAGCCTTTAGGGAGGGCGTGTTTTACATAAATACTGTTGTGTTTTACATATACTACCAGTACGTCTCACATTTTAATATACACACAAACCACCAGGGGATCTTGCAAAAATGCAGATTCTGATTCAGTAGACCTCAAGGGAGCTCCTTGCTAACAAGCTTCCAGTGTTTCAGATGCTGTGATGGAAGGACTCCATGCTGAGTATTGACTAATTTCAAGTACAGATAAGTTAAGCAATTTCTTAGGGAAAAAAAAATATATAAAAATAGCAAGCCGGCTGGGCGCGGTGGCTCACACCTGTAATCTCGGGACTTTGGGAGGCCGAGGGGGGTGGATCACGAGGTCATGAGATCGAGACCATCCTGGCTAACACAGTGAAACCCCGTATCTACTAAAAATACAAAAAAAATTAGCCGGGCGTGGTGGCGGGTGCCTGTAGTCCCAGCTACTCGAGAGGCTGAGGCAGGAGAATGGCGTGAAACTGGGAGGCGGAGCTGGCTGTGAGCCGAGATTGCGCCACTGCACTCCACAGCCTGGGCGACAGAGCAAGACTCCGTCTCAAAAAAAAAAAAAAAAAAAAAAAATAGCAAGCCATGTAATGCATATGTACATTCACAGAGTTGATCTCCAGGCTCCACATAATTCATTCCAACCCTATATTGTCTGTCGGTTAATTAAGGCTAAGTACTGGAATATTTCCACGCATGGGTAAGGCAAAAAAGAGACGGGGAGCCTGGAATAGAGGAACAAGGTGGGAGAAGGGAATGGGGAAATAGGGAGGAGGAGGAAATTAGGGGAACAGGGAAGGCAAAGCAAAGAACCAAGTTCCTGAAAAAACATGTGTTAATTATTTCCATTCCACTTTATAAAGCCAAAGTCTATAGAACAATCACCTGATACTACATGCAGAGATATTTGTTTGATAATATCTCAAAGACAGTGATTAGCAAACTGAATTTGTCACTCTGAATTAGGCCTGTCCTTCTGTTCTCCGAAAGAGATTATTTGACTATCAGTCGTGGACAGTTTTGGTTTTACTGGAGCTCATGAAACACCTGGAATACAAACATCACATTGAGGAGAAAGTTCAAAGTCTATGGTAAAGTTGGCTCCCCACCTTCTTTGTTAAATTATTTTGGACATAACACTTGTCTTCTTACTGTTTTGTACTATAATCACTCATGTCACATACCCAATTTGCTTTTTAAAGTTGATATTATATCTAGACATTAAATGTCTGTGAAAGGTGAAACAAAAGATTGTAGTAATATAGAGTTACTAGAATTAAAATTTTCATGTATTCAACAATCACTGAGTGCTTACTATGTTCCACGTACTATTATAACTATATGCTGCTAGGTACACAGTGGTGAAAGAAAAAACAAAGACCGTTGTCTAGTGGTGCCTACGTTATAGTAAGAGAACAAACAACTAGCAAGTATAAAAAGAAGTCAGGTAATGCATGCTAGGAAGAAAAATTAAATAAAGCTAAAAGGCTAATAAATAGTAAGGGAGAGGATACCATTTTAAACGGAGTGGTCAGGGAAGGCTCTTCTGAAAAGGGGCATTGAGCAGGGCCTCAGTGCAGTGAAAGAGGAAGCCATGAAAATATCTGGAGAGAAAGCATTCTGGACCTAAAGATGCAAGTGGAAGGCACCATCACAGAAAAGAGCTTACTGTTCCTGAAGAACATCAAGTTGGTTAGTATGGCTGGGGAGGAGTGAAAGAAGGCCAAGAGATGTAGAAAATATGGTAATAGAAGGGCTACAATAAAGACAGGAGTGACATGAAATGTCTCAGGTTCTGCTTTGGGAGAAATCCACTAAAACAGCATACTTTGAAGGGCTTTTATTCTAACCGTTTACAGCAGCATGGGAGTGAAAGCAGAATAAGCAGGAATGTAAATTTAATCAGACAGGGTTTTTTTAATTTATAAGAAATATTTTTATATACAAGTAGTACATACATATAAATAAATATATGTACATGTTATATATATATAAGCAGTTTATATAACTTTTCTCTGGAGAAATGCCAAAGAAAGTAGTATAATTTTTTACCCAAATGCAAATTTTGATTTAGAAAATTATACATTTATTTATTCACTTAAATAGAAGTCACTGAGCATTTTTCACATGCTAGGAATAGATTTGGGTGGTAGGAATACAGGAATAAACAAAAAAACAAAAATATCTTCCTTCATATACATTTATATTTTAACTAACATATGATGTAGCTAAATTATACACACAGTGTTTAAATTTTACCTCCTCTGTCCTGTGACTATGGTAGGCACAAAAATGAGTGAAAGTGGTAAAGATGGAAGAGAAAGGAGAATGCTTAAAGAAATCCACAAATAATGTGGATAAACGAGATTTTTTTAAATCCTAGATTTATCTTTACAACGTTTAAATCTCCTAGACATTCAATTTTGATATTTTTAGTTTTGAACAATTTATTTGTCATAAAAAGTCCACTAGAAGCCTATATTGTGAAAGCCCCCTTTTTAAAATTATGTTGAATTCTCAATGTTTGACCATGTGCAAAAACAAAAATAAAACATAATGTCAAATATGTTCCTCAGAGTGATGACTGTATTTTTTATGACAAACAATTATTTAAAATCATTATGCAGTCTTTCCTTGTAGTTGGTAAAATTTATGAAAACATGGAAGGATGAATTAGTGATCCCATCATTGTTGAAAGAGTTGAGGACAACTAGATTATTAAAACTGCAAATCTGTGAAAACAGCCAGTGATAATAGTAGAAAGAATTTACTGTGGTCAAGGTTAAAGTCTAAAGGGTGGTCACCCTTTCGGAAGTTGTCCTTATGAGCCACACTATATATTATAATTTTACCACTATACAAAAAAAAAGGTTATTCAATGGACACAGTGGCATCTAAATTTAGAATTCTAAAATACTCCATGTAATTCACTGGAAATATAATCATAAATTATTTTTCTAAAGTTTTTTAATATTGTGAAAAGTATGAACTTAGAACAAAAACCTTATTAAATAATGCTTGCATATGTTGTTTTTCTGATTTTCTTTTTAAGTGAACATGGATCTCTGGCATTATGTTCATCAAAGAATATTTACAAATCTTTAAAACATTTGAAAACACCAATGGCGATTTAGTTCTTTGTTCTTGTTATAGATAATGTTTTGGCAATCAAATATCACATTATATGTAACATCTATTTATTATTGTTTTTGATGTATTACTAAAAATATAGTTTCAGAAGAATTCCACAGTCTATAAATATTTATGACCAATGAAGAAATTCTTGTTAGGTTAAAGCAAGCCATGCTAAGCAGCCACTGTATTTTAATAATGCAGTGAATACATGTAACAATTTTGAGAAGCAGATGCCTTCTATCTATATGAAAATTGCTTATTGCAATATGCCCAATTTTTTAGGATCATATAGGAAAATGAATTTTAAAGTGTCAAAGAGATACCACAATTTTCTTTCTGTGGCTTTATTCACTCTTTCAAGTACTTGCTTTCTTCTAAAACCAAACCTAACAAATGTTAGTTTAACACAATCTCAATAGAAGAAATAAGTGCAAATGGAACTATATAGGAAGACAGGCTACTCTATGCAAGTAGGGATATATATCTCTACAAGTTTTCAAGCAAAAGTTTATCTGTCAATTATGCCACAGAAGAGATCCCTGAAAAGTGGGAGAAGGGAAGAAATGACATAGGGATAGAGTGACAATTTCTCATTTTGACTGAGAAAAGCGAAAGAGAGTGAACAGGAACAAAATTAATGATTATCATGCGCAATGATTGTAAACCTGGACAATTTCAGGGAAAAAAATATGGTCACCCAAACTCTGAAATTTCTTTCAATCCTATGATTTAGAGATCAAGATATGCTGATACATAGCAATATTATTTTCAGAATATCCTAAATCACTTTTATGGAGACTAGCGTGAGTCCTTTCTCTAATAAAAAGATAAGTCATGACTCTGGCAGCAAACACTTACATCCCTTACATCCAAAGACCAACTCTGCACCTCTGTCTTTGATAGTATTACATGAGACTGAAAAGCTGACACTGGAAAATAAAATAATTAAATTATAAACATAACAGAGTTGATAAAATTAAAATGAACCTAACTGCAAATGCCATATCACAAAATTTCAAAGCATATCAATAATTACATTATCAAATTAGCATAGCTGTAGATGACCCTCCTAAAGTTGTAGGAAAAATCAAATCCGTGTAACTAGGAAACAAATATAATTTCAATGTGGTAAACAATAGAGCAGCTAAGGAAATAGGAAAAAAATGCTAAAAATCAGAAGGTCCTAATTACTCAAGATAAATTACTGTTTTGTTTTGTAAGCTAGAAAGAGAGCTGCAGGCTGTCCAATTTCTTGATTCATTGGCCTCAGGAATTAATTCTGCAATTGTTTTCATCACTTGGTAAGGGGTAAACTTGTGAAGCAGAGATTCCCTTAGTCAGTCCCAGAGCTGCGTGGCATTTAAGGAAACACTCAACAGGAATGCACACTTTTATTGAAGCGTCTCTAAAATACCTGAGGGCAGAGCAGAGGCAAAGATGAAAGGAGATCAAAAAGTGACTTGGGAAAAAAGGAATTTCTTTTATACAGCTCTCTCTCTTTTATTTTAATTATAAAAGGACAGGATCAGAAATCAAGGCCTTTGTTTTGTAGTTTTTTAGATCTGAGTAGTCGGCAAGAGAAAGGCTTAACCTTTTTATTCTTAGATGCTCTAAATTTAAACCATTTCAAGATCTTCCGCTGCTTTGAGACTTGTTTGTTTTGTTTCTGTAAAATAATGTAGCAATAAATGTGATAATAGTACCAAAAAGAAAAAAAAACAGTCAAACAATAATTTCTTTTCAAATAATCATTGAATCTCCAATACTTAAAAATTATCACATGCATTTGCAGCAACTTATAGTGGCTATAGAAATTACTGGGAATCTTTCTATGTAAGTTCCATAGTCATAATCATTGTAATAGACTCAACTTCAATGGATTAATTACTTTTAAAAGGCTTGTATAAACCAACCGACCCAGTTGTTTTACTCCTATGTATTTTTAATGAGCAGAGAAGAAGTATATATCCCAAATTTCCTGTTCAATAAATTCTAGTTTTTCATAAACTCTCAATTTTAATTTTACAACTTGGACGTTTCTCCTGGCCACTTGATTTCCTGGAATCTTTACCTGTAGCTGAGGACATTATACTTTTGCTCACAAAGCCAACTGCGAACGTCCACAGTGTCTTTTCCAGAGCAATGGTTACAGAATTCACTAATGATACTCCTTTACCTCCAGAGTAATCAACACTTCTGCCATGACATTACTCATATTTCAGTGGTTTCACTAATCTAATGCCAATAATTTGGTCTTTCTCTCTTGGAGAAGGTGAGGCTACTTACCATTCAACATTTTTGTCTGGGCTGAGAGTAAAATTAAATAAATGTCATTGTCAGATGCATATCTCAATTATCTTCAACAAAGTAATGTGTTCAGTGTCCTCCTGAAGATTATAATCCAGTAGGGTAAAAGACATTAAATAATTACATAAAGAATTACATAAATATATAATATGTGACTGAATAAAAAGTAAACAATTATTGTATAAAGCAAAATATGAGTTTCCTGAGGAAGTGATATTTTAACAGCAAATTAGAAGATAAGTATATACTAGCCAAAAGAAGAGAAAAATACAGAGAAGTTGAGCAAAGTTTCCCGGTTAGGAGGAGGTAGACAGTGAGTTCAATAAATATACCAAAGTTCAAGGTGGCAATTTGTACGTTTATGGTTATTCATATACCATTACTATCTCATTACATTTTACAAATGCTGATATATATATTTAAAGAAAAATTTTTATGTTTTAATACATTAACTGCACATTTTGTTTTTGCTTTTTGAACAAGTGTGCCACATATTTTGCACTGTACTTTGTAAATTATGTAGCCTTTGCTAACTCCCAAAATTATACAGAAAAAGAAATGGGCCAATTCTAAGTCTAGAGACAGGAAGAATATCCAAAAAAAAAAAATACCTCAAGAATATCCAAAGGAACCCTTCATCTTTCCAGAAGAAGGTCAGAACCTTCAATTTCCCCTGCCCTTGGATCCTACTTCCCAGAGCTTATGCATATTAACAACACCTTTTAGGAACTGGTTAGGGCATTTCAAGTTCTAGTTCACTAGATTAACTATGCACAAAATTTTCCAGTTGGCGTGGTCATTTATGTACATAATAATTCTCAAAAGTTATATTTCACAATAGTTCTCAAAAAATTAATATAATAATTCTTAAAATGTATTTTATAAAATAAGTTGTAGATTACTCAAAGTGAATATAACTGAATTATATTTTAAAATTAAGAAGATAAAGCATATTTTAAGAGATTAGGAAAGGAGTTTATGATCTGGAAATAGATGCTACATGTTGACTCCACTTGTGAATTTTATTTACATGTTAAGAGGCCAGAGAGGTAAATTTGAAAACTAGAAGCTGATATTGCTTAGAATGATGAATTTATATTTTTAGAAATGTAATGTTTCAAGAAGAACATTTTAAAAATCAGATCTATTTGAAAAATGTATTTCTGTAGATCACATCTCTTCATGAGATGAGCAAAGAAAAGTAAGTTTCTAGCTTCCAGGAGACTGATATTTTGGCATCTCTTATAAATTGATATTTGGCATATTTTTTAAATTGTCTGAGAATCTATAGTCTAAAATTAAACAAACAGATTTAATTAAACATGCATTTGCTTTACTTCAAATCTTCCCTAAGTCCATAAATATTGGGCACTATATAATAGAATTCATTACTGTTTCAACAATCTTTTTCTAAAGAAAACTGTTTCCATTGGTCTATAGCTCTGTTTTGGTACCAGTACCAACATGGCACATGTATACATATGTAACAAACCTGCATGTTGTGCACATGTACCCTAAAACTTAAAGTATAATAAAAATAAAAAAAAGAAAGTTGAAAACAAACAAAAAAAAAAGAAAACTGTTTTCTAGATTATGGACCATGAAGCAAAGCACAGCATATGTAAAATGTGTTAGAAACTGATGTTCATGGGAAGTGTCAATTTTCTATTCCAATTCCGAAAGCCAGTGTATGGTCTCCTACTTTTATTCTTTTAAGAATAATGGAATAATGTGTCATGATAATCTTGTAATTGAGATTCAAGGAAAGAAAGATTACATTACAAATAAAATAGTTTGTTGAAACAAGAGAAGAAATCAGGAATAAAAAATATATACTAGGAGAAATGGTAATAAAATAAGAAAAAAGATAATATCACACCATTTCTATATTTCTTTTTCTGTTACTCAACAAATACTCAGTGCCTACATTGCTACACTTTGTGTCAGGCACTTATGAAACAAACACAAATAACATATTGATCCTGCCCTCCAGGCTGCCTGTCCAGTCAGAAGATTGGGCAAGAAGAGGTCTTGCAGCATATTTTGAGCAGCAGAGCAGATCTCTCAGAAGGCTGCAAATCCATCCCACAAAGATGTTTCCATATAAGAGGCAAAAGCTCAGGATTATTTTGAAGAAAATTACAATTTAGAGGTAAAAATAATAAAATAAAATGCATTTACTTAAAATCTAATGTAATAATTAAAGTCATGACCTTTAATGAAGAGGCTTTTAATAATATAAACACCAGAATTTTAAATCATGGAAATATCAATAGAGATGGACTTTTATTCCACTTTCCTGACTCACTAGAATAACTAATACCCTCAATTCCTCTGTAAGACATACTAAGTGTGCCTTCATGCCTTGAACAGACTGGTAGAGGCTGCTACCCAGTGTGACCATGCAGTTCTGCTGACTGCAGTTGAGTTGAATTTTATCAGTAGACTGTTGTGTGTGATGCCCAAACCGTGCTCTTCAAACTTGTTGTTTTAATGACATGATGTGTTTTATTTGTTTTTTTGTTTTTTTTCGAGATGGGGTCATGCTCTGTCACCCAGGCTGGAGTGCAAGGGCAGGATCATGGCTCACTGTAGCTTTGGACACCTGAACTCCAGCCATCCTCCCACCTCAGCCTCCCAAGTAGCTGGGATTATAGGCATGCAGCACCACACTAAGCTAAATGTAAAAAAAAAAAAAAAAAAAAAAAAAAAAAGTTGTAGAGACAGAGGTCTTGCCATGTTTCCCAGGTGGATCTTGAACTCCTGGAATCAAGCAATCCTTCTGCCTCACCCTCCCAAAGTGCTGGGATTACAGGAGTGAGCCAAGGCACCAGGCCAGGCCATAACGTATTTAATAGTATTTAAGCTGCAAAAAAAAAAAGTGTGTTATTTCCATGGTAACTAAATTTAATGTTTTGGAAAGGCTTAAAAAGATGGGCTAGTTTTAAAAATCACTATCTAATTAGGTGTAGGTAAGATAACAGTATAAATATGGGGAAAAACAAAACATTGAAATACTTTTGCATGCAAGTTGTTTCACAGTCTTAAATTACATCCCAAAGATGACAGAATTTCTCATCAATAGACCCAAAGGTTTTTTTGAAAAATTGTCTTGACTCCTAATGAAATAATTGATAAATGTACATTTTTATATTTTAAGTTAAAATAAAATATTTTAACAATCATGAATCTTTGTCATGCCCCATTTAAATCTCCTTTTTATAATAGATGATTCACTCATTTTAATAGAATCAGAATATTTTATGAGAAATAATAATTTAGTTATAGACTTATACACAGATAAATAAAATATTGAAGGGAAAATACTAACTTTTAAGAGTTTTTGTTTTTTGTCTAAAACAGATATTTCTTCAATATCTCTAAGGCAGCTTTAATTGTGGCTTAAAATCAAATGCCTGTTTTTGTTTGCATACATTGAAGATGTGGAACTTAAAATATGGAAGGAAACTTATTCAAGGCAATATAAGAACTGACTCACCTGTCCAATACCTCTTAATGATAAAACCATCTAGTGCTATTGGAAATTTTTGCACCATTAGAGGTAATGTAGTAGATACAAAAAAAAGAGATTATTAGCATCAAAATTCATACTTGTATATAAAAAAGTGTAACCCAAGTATAAGCTAGGGTCACCCTCTTTTTAAAAATGTATATAACAGTTGTTTATAAGGATTTTAAACTACCTACCACCTAATAGGATATGCTGTGTCTTTCCCAAGAACCAGAAAATGCTGACTTCGCTTGGGTGTATCCTAATCAGTTTAATACTAAATTCCTACTCTGAAAATTTCTTAATGTCTGTAACATTTAATCTCCTCCAACTGGTCTTTTCTCTCAGCTCCAGTTAAACGTAAATATGGAATATAACAGCAATTCTCACATTTTAGTTTGCATCAGAATTACCTGGAGGGCTCCATAAAACACATATTGCTAAATTCTACTACTTGAGTTTCTAATTCAGCAGGTCTGGGTTAAGTCCTGATAATTTGCATTACTAACAAGTTCCCAGATGGTGCTGATATTGCTGTTCCAGGTGCATATGTTAAGGATCACTGAACTACAACCCCTTTTCCTTGGTTTATCCAAAATCGTCATTTTGGGAGTATACTCTATTAAAATTGGGACAAAAAGAGTTGACATTGCATTAGCATGAAGAAATAAATACTGAAAATTAAATTTATTGATTCTAACAGATCCTTTGGCCATGTTATAATGATCTTTTCAGCCAATTCTTCATGATCTCCAGCTTCCGTAGCTTGGTGGCCTCCTTTTCTTTGACCTTCTCCTCTTCTCCTTCTCACTGATTGACCCTGCACCAAAATTCTTATTAACTCTTTATAAAGAGCACTTTAACATTGCTTAGCAATCTCTTTACAAACAGTCATTGCGGGGATTTAAACTCGCATCAAAAATTTGACTTTCAAGACATTCGTAAGGGAGAGAACCTCATAAAAATGTTAGAACAAGCTCTTTTAATAACCTCTTTTACTTTCTATAAATAGATGATGAAAACAGATTTGTTCATCTTTAGTTAGAATACCACCTGTAATTAAAACCTGACGGTAGAAAACACATACCTGCTTCTTCTCTCCTTACAAATTTAGCAATAACAGGGAGTAATCAACTTCCAGGTGAATGAAAGGGAGAAATGCATGTTTTTGGTCAGTTATTAAAGTGGCGGCACAAGCAGGTAGCTGACTCCAATCAGATGGGTCTCTATAGGGTTTATTAATGATTAACATAACCACAAAAAGTGACAGAAATGAAAAAGTACCAAGTCAGTTCTGCATATCAATAAGCCAAGGAAAGAGAAACCTACAGAATAAGATGAACAACTTGAGCACTCGTACATTACCTGTACCAATAAACCAGGACATTGGAGGAGACAGGCTCCTTAAGATTATCTACCCCACACTTAGAGGAAATAAGAAAAGATCACACTTGGAAATTTGATGGAAATAAGTCATAATCCTGTTTACCAAACAAAAAATAGCATTTTTATTCTGATTTAATTTATGAATGAGTAAGTGTATTTTGGTGTTGACTCCATTTAGGTTTATAGCCATAATTTTACCTGTCTACTAAAAAATATTTAAAATAATATTATAGAGAATTTTAAAATAGTTTAAATTATATTATAAATCTGTAGCCCAGTGTCTCTGTTTTGACCAAGGTTCCTTAGGGGCAAAAGAGGGTGGACTATTGTAGTAGAAGAATCTGAGGGCAATATCAAACACAGCAGGAAGCATAATATTCACTTGAAATAGCATATCATATCCTACATTTTCATGATAATATGGTATTCTGCTGCCCAATATATTTGTCTTTGATTTAATTTGAATTCAACTAGAAAAATAATAGACTGGTTTGCTTTCACTTTGATATCAATCTCAAAACTTAGTTGCATTCAACAAAGTACTTTTCTACCAGCCACTGTCACAGACAACTCAATGGCGAAAAAAAAGGTGGGGGGAAATAGACATTCTTTCAAAGAAGATAGGCAAATGGACCACAGGTACATGAAATGGTGTTCAATATCACTAATCATCAGAAAAATGCAAATCAAAACCACAATGACTTATCATCTCACACCTGTCAGCATGGCTAGTATTAAAAAAATAAAAACAACAAAAGAGTATTCATTTGCAAAGAAGTGGGGAAAAAAGAACCCCGAATAGACAAAGGTTCTTTTTTCCCCACTTCTTTGCAAATGAATACTCTTTTGTTGTTTTTTTTAATACTAGCAGTTGAATCTCTGAATAGACCAATAACAGGCTCAGAAATTGTGGCAATAATCAATAGCTTACCAACCAAAAAGAGTCCAGGACCAGATGGATTCACAGCCAAATTCTATCAGAGGTACAAGGAGGAACTGGTATCATTCCTTCTGAAACTATTCCAATCAGTAGAAAAAGAGGGAATCCTCCCTAACTCATTTTATGAGGCCAGCATCATCCTGATACCAAAGCCAGGCAGAGACACAACCAAAAAAGAGAATTTTAGACCAATATCCTTGATGAACATTGATGCAAAAATCCTCGATAAAATACTGGCAAACTGAATCCAGCAGCACATCAAAAAGCTTATCCACCATGATCAAGTGGGCTTCATCCCTGGGATGCAAGGCTGGTTCAATATACACAAATCAATAAATGTAATCCAGCATATAAACAGAACCAAAGACAAAAACCACATGATTATCTCAATAAATGCAGAAAAGTCCTTTGACAAAATTCAACAACCCTTCCTGCTAAAAACTCTCAATAAATTAGGTATTGATGGGACGTATCTCAAAATAATAAGAGCTATCTATGACAAACCCACAGCCAATATCATACTGAATGGCAAAAACTGGAAGCATTCCCTTTGAAAACTGGCACAAGACAGGGATGCCCACTCTCACCACTCCTATTCAACATAGTGTTGGAAGTTCTGGCCAGGGCAATTAGGCAGGAGAAGGAAATAAAGGGTACTCAATTACGAAAAGAGGAAATCAAATTGTCCCTGTTTGCAGATGACATGATTGTATATCCAGAAAACCCCATTGTCTCAGCCCAAAATCTCCTTAAGCTGATAAGCAACTTCAGCAAAGTCTCTGGATACAAAATCAATGTACAAAAATCACAAGCATTCTTATATACCAATAACAAACAGAGAGCCAAATCATGAGTGAACTCCCATTCACAATTGCTTCAAAGAGAATAAAATACCTAGGAATCCAACTTACAAAGGAAGTGAAGGACCTCTTCAAGGAGAACTACAAACCACTGCTCAATGAAATAAAAGAGGAAACAAACAAATGGAAGAACATTCCATGCTCATGGGTAGGAAAAATCAATATTGTGAAAATGGCCATACTGCCCAAGGTAATTTATAGATTCAATGCCATCCCCATCAAACTACCAATAACTTTCTTCACAGAATTGGAAAAAACTACTTTAATCATATGGAACCAAAAAAAGAGCCCGCATCGCCAAGTCAATCCTAAGCCAAAAGAACAAAGCTGGAGGCATCATGCTACCTGACTTCAAACTATACTACAAGGCTACAGTAACCAAAACAGCATGGTACTGGTACCAAAACAGAGATATAGACCAATGGAACAGAACAGAGCCCTCAGAAATAACGCCGCATATCTACAACTATCTGATCTTTGACAAACCTGAGAAAAACAAGCAATGGGGAAAGGATTCCCTATTTAATAAATGGTGTTGGGAAAACTGGCTAGTCATATGTAGAAATCTGAAACTGGATCCCTTCCTTACACCTTATACAAAAATTAATTCAGGATGGATTAAAGACTTAAATGTTAGACCTAAAACCGTAAAAACTCTAGAAGAAAACCTAGGCATTACCATTCAGGACATAGGCATGGGCAAGTACTTCATGTCTAAAACACCAAAAGCAATGGCAACAAAAGCCAAAATTGACAAATGGGATCTCATTAATCTAAAGAGCTTCTGCACAGCAAAAGAAACTACTATCAGAGTGAACAGGCAACCTA
Organism: Homo sapiens; assembly: GCF_000001405.40. NCBI lineage: Eukaryota > Metazoa > Chordata > Mammalia > Primates > Hominidae > Homo > Homo sapiens. The sequence continues at coordinate 83,788,287 of NC_000012.12, read as the reverse complement.
CAAAATGGGAGAAAATTTTCGTAACCTACTCATCTGACAAAGGGCTAATATCCAGAATCTACAATGAACTCAAACAAATTTACAAGAAAAAAACAAACAACCCCATCAAAAAGTGGTCAAAGGATATGAACAGACACTTCTCAAAAGAAGACTTTTATGCAGCCAAAAAACACATGAAAAAATGCTCACCATCACTGGCCATCAGAGAAATGCAAATCAAAACCACAATGAGATACCATCTCACACCAGTTAGAATGGCAATCATTAAAAAGTCAGGAAACAACAGGTGCTGGAGAGGATGTGGAGAAATAGGAACACTTTTACACTGTTGGTGGGACTGTAAACTAGTTCAACCATTGTGGAAGTCAGTGTGGTGGTTCCTCAGGGATCTAGAACTAGAAATACCATTTGACCCAGCCATCCCATTACTGGGTATATACCCAAAGGACTATAAATCATGCTGCTATAAAGACACATGCACACGTATGTTTATTGCGGCACTATTCACAATGGCAAAGACTTGGAACCAACCCAAATGTCCAACAATGATAGACTGGATTAAGAAAATGTGGCATATATACACCATGGAATACTATGCAGCCATAAAAAATGATGAGTTCATGTTCTTTGTGGGGATGTGGATGAAATTGGAAATCATTATTCTCAGTAAACTATCACAAGGACAAAAAACCAAACACCACATATTCTCACTCATAGGTGGGAATTGAAGAATGAGAACACATGGACACAAGAAGGGGAACATCACACTTTGGGGACTGTTGTGGGGTGGGGGGAGGGGGGAGGGATAGCATTAGGAGATATATCTAATGCTAAATGATGAGTTAATGGGTGCAGCACACCAGCATGGCACATGTATACATATGTAACTAACCGGCACATTGTGCACATGTACCCTAAAACTTAAAGTATAATAATAATAAAATAAACTTAAAAAAAGAAAAAAAGAAAATTTCAGAAAAAAAAAGAACCTTTGTACACTGTTGGTAAGATTATAAATTGGCACAGCCATTATGGAAAATTTTGTGGAGGTTCCTCAAAAGGCTATCATATGATCCAGCAATCCCACATCTAGATATACATATAGCTATATTTTTTGATATACATATATATAGTCTGTGTGTATATATATAGACATACACATACTATACATATACATATATATAGTGTGTATATATACACACACACATATACATGTATATCCAAAAAAATGAAATCCATATCATAAAAAATATTTGTACTCTTACATCATTGCAGAATTGTTCACAATAGCCAAGATATTAAAGTGACCTAAGTACGCATCGAAGGTCGAACTGATAAAGAAAATGTGGTATATACACACGATGGAACACTATTCAGCCTTATGAAATAAGGAAATCTTGCCATTTGCAAAAACATGGATGAATCTGGAGAACATTATGTAAAGTGAAATAAGCTAGGCACAAAAAAAATACTAAATAATCTCACATGTATGTGGACTCTAAAGAAGATAACTCATAGAAAGTGAGTGAAGTGGTTGCCAGCCAGCCTGGCCAACATGGTGAAACAACATGGTGAAACCCCATCTCTACTAAATACCTGTAATCCCAGCTACTTGGGAGGCTGAGGCAGGAGAATCACTTGAACTCAGGAGGCGGAGATTGCAGTGAGCTGATATCGCACCACTGCACTCCAGCCTAGGCCACAAAGCAAGACTCCGTCTCAAAATAAATAAAGAAGAATAAATGAAGTGGTTGCCAGGATTTATGGGATGGGGCAATGGGAGAATTTTGGTCAAAGTTTATAAACTTTTAGTTATAAGATGAATAAGTGCTGGCGATCTAATGCACAGCATGGTGAATATAGTTAATGTATCATATACTTGAAATTTCCTAGGAGAGATCTTAAGGGTTCTCATCTCTCACACAAAAATGTTAAGTATGTGAAGTGATGAATGTATAAAGTAGCTAGATTGAGGTAATCATTTCACTATATATAGTTTATATATATACTATATATAGTTTATATATGCTATAGTTTATATATACTATATATAGTATATATACTATATATAAACTATATATAATGTATATATAGTTTATATATAGTATATATACTATATATACTATGTATAGTTTATATATACTATATATACTATGTATAGTTTATATATACTATATATAGTTTTTATATATACTATATATAGTTTATATATACACTATATATAGTTTATATATACTATATATAGTTTATATAGTATATATAGTTTATATATAGTATATATAGTTTACATATAGTTTATATAAACTATATGTATTATATATAGTTTATACATACTATATAGTATATATAGTTTATATATACTATATAGTATATATACAGCATATGTATAGTTTATATATACTATATATAGTATATATAGTTTGTATATATAGTTTATAAATATAGTTTATATATACTACATATAGTATATAGTTTATATATACTACATATAGTATATAGTTTATATATACTATATATAGTATATAGATAGTGTATATATATAGTTTATAGATAGTATATATATATATATATAAACATCAAGTTGTACACCTTAAATATATACATTTTTTTTCCAGTATACCTCAATCAAGTTGAGAGGGGGAACAGAAACAACTTAAAATTTACTGGCTTCTCTTAAAGAATGACTAATGTGTATCCTAGCCATGTTACATAAATTAGCTTTCTGAATGGAGTTCTTTCTCTCTCAGCCCTCTGTAGCTGTCCCCAGAATCCTCTTCTTTCACCCCATGTAGAAATTTTTAAAAGTTAATTAACTGCCCAAGACCATTCAGCTAGTTTGCAGCTTGTCTGTGAAGGATGTCCACACTGTTCTATTCTAAGAAACTGCTTCTTTGCAAGACTAATTACAGGGAAAATATTTTTCTGGATTGGACTTGTATTTTATTTATTGTTGTTTATTTCTGTGTGAGTGCAATGCTTTAAATTTGAATTCAAAATTCCTTAACATTAATCCAGGCTGTTCCTCTTCCTGGGTGTGTAATTTTGGGTAAATCCCTCATGTAATTTTGGGTAAATCCCTTTTATTTGCTCTCATATGAAGACAAAGCTAATGAAATAGGACTCTTGAATGACTTAATAAATCTGAAAATGTATGTAAGGTAAAATAAGCAAATTCAGGTTAGTAATTTCTGAAAATTATATAGTGATGCAAGGGCAACCACATAAATATGAGAGTATCGATGTGAGTTATTAATGTATTTTGTAAAGTATAGTGGAGCTTAATGGCATTTTAAGAACACTGCTTAGGTAAAAAACAAAAGAGGATATTTTGACAAAATACATAAATAAGAAAAATAATGATATTTAAATGATGTTGCCTATTCCAATCTAAAATAATAAAGCATCTCGCAATCTTTAGTGTCATAATTTTAAAAATCTGAATTATCCTGAACTTGTTTAAAATAGTCACTGCATGGACATACATTTTTAAGCCTGAACAAAGTTGTTCAAAATCCAGCAGTACCCTGTCACTTTTGGCCTACTTAAAAGCTTCCTCTCCTCCTGTGACTGTGAAATAGCCTGTTTGTTACTCACCCCATTGAACCAAATCCCAGCACGCTCTACAACAGCTGACCACAATAAAACATCAGCATCAGAGTCAAGTAAATAAGTTCCTCCTTCACAGGTGTTTTCTTTAAACTGGCCAAGCCACAACCCCCACAGGAGAACCTACAGAATAAGGCCCATGGACCCTACTTAAAGGCAGAGTCCCACAGCCCCGCCCTCTCTTGCTGGCTCTCTACCGCCTCCAGACTTCCTATCCACCTCCACTGGGCGCCACTAACCTCTCTGGGTCTGTAAGTAGTACGTTTATTTTGTATCATGCATTTTAGTTACACTTTCTCATTGTTTCTCCACTGACCAACACAACTGAATCTTGCTTTGCGCCATCACAGCTCTCCTAGAAAATGACTCCCTTGGTCTACAGCCACTCTCAAGAGAGAGACCTTAAGATCAAATAAGAAAGAAACAATAACAATAGAAATAACGACAACAATGCTTACATAATCAAATAAGATAAATGGACTGTCAAAAGTGAAAATAGATTAGGATTATATTTTTAAAGAACACTCTGAGAGCACTGTTTTTAAATCAATATAATTCCCCCAAATTTCTTGTATTAACAACTCTGCTGATTTTACTTTATCTGTCAGCTTTTTTACGTAGAGCCATTGTTCCCAAACATTCATGGAACAGAGGTACTTGGAGGGACAGTTGAACTGCAGATATCTGGACTCTATACCCAGCATTTCTGATTAAGTACACCTGTGCTAAACTTTTAACAAGTTTCCAGGCGATGCTGCTGCTACTTAGGGAAATTCATTTTGAAAACCACTGATATAAACTTTAACGCACTTACAATGATGGCATGAAACACAAAGGAATGTCTCTTTAATGCTGTAAAATATCACATGCTAGTGCTCAGCTTACATGCACTGTGCTCTTAGAAGTGTATAGGGTATATTGCTAACTTTTTAACTTTTAGGTTCTGAGGTACATGTGAAGGTTTACCTATATGGTAAATTTGGGTCGAGGGAGTTGTTGTACAGATTATTTCATTACCCACATATTAAGCCCAGTACCCAATAGTTACCTTTTCTGCACCTCTCCCTCTCCCCAAACCCTCAAGTAGACCCCAGTGTCTATTGTTTCCTTCTGTTCATCAGTTCTCATCTTTTAGCTCACACTTATAAGTGAAAAGATGCGGTATTTGGTTTTCTGCACCTGTGTTAGTTTGCTAAGTACAGTGGCTTCCAGCTGCATCCATGTTCCCGTGAAAGACATAATCTGTCTCTTTTATGGCTACATCGTATTCCACGGTGTATATGTATCACATTTTCTTATCCAGTCTATCATTGATGGGCATTTAGGTTGACTTCATGATCTTTGCTATTGTGAATAGGGCTGCAATGAATATACATGTGTGTGCCTTTATTGCAGAATGATTTCTATTCCTCTGAGTTTATACCCAGTAATAAGATTACTGAATCGAATGGTAGTTCTGTTTTTAGCTCTTTGAGGAATTGCCATACTGCTTTCCACAATGGTTGAACTAATTTACACTCCTACCGACAGTGTATAAGTGTTTCCTTTCCCCTCAACTTTGCCAGCATCTGTTCTTTTTTGACTTTTTAAAAATAGCCATTCTGACCAATGCGAGATGGTATTTCATTGTGGCTTTGATTTGCACTTCTCCAATGATCAAGGATATTGAGCTTTCTTCATATGCTTGTTGGCCACATGTATGTCTTCTTTTGAAAAGTGTCTGTTCATGTCCTCTGCCTACTTTTTAATGGGGATGTTTGCTCTTCTCTTGTAAATATGTTTAAGTTCCTTATAGATGCTGCTTTATTAGACCTTTGTCAGATTCATAGTTTGCAAATACTTTTTCCCATTCTGTAGGTTGTTTACTCTGTTGATAGTTTCTTTGGCTCTGCAGAAGCTCTGAAGTTTAATTAAATCCTATTTGTCAATTTTTGCTTTTGTTGCGATTGGGATAACTGGTTAGCCATATGCAGGACATTGAAGTTGGACCCCTTTCTTACACCATACACAAAAATCAACTCAAGATGGATTAAATACTTAAATGTAAAACCCAAAACTATAAAAACCCTAGAAGTCAACCTAGGCAATACCACCCTAGACAAAGAAATGGGCAAGGATTTCACGACAAAAACACCAAAAGCACAACAAATCCAAAAGTACTTTCAATGGTATAACAGATATGTTATATTTGAGCATCCCTAATCTGAACAGGTTGAGCATGTGTAATCAGAAAATCCAAAATCTGAAATGCTCTAAAATCCAAAACTTTTTGAATGCCCACAAGATGCCACAAGTGGAAAATTCCACACCTAACCTTATGTAACAAGTCACTGTCAACATTTTGTTAAATGCACAAGATTATTAAAAATATTATATAAAGTTACCTTCAGGCTATGTGTACAACGTGCATATGAAACCACAAATGCATGTCATGTTTAGGCTTGGGTCCCATTCCTAGATATTTCATTATGTACATACAAATACTCCAAAATCCAAAAAAAATAAAAAAACCCAAAGCACTTGTTTTCCCAAGCACTTTGGATAAGGAATGCTCAACCTGTATTCTCAAGAATTACATTTTTCTGTGATTTTATTTCTTATAAAATGGAAACCAAGAGTACAAACTGCTGAGAAGATTTCTTCAAAGAAATTTTTTAATGCTGTCTTTTCTTTGCACTCCTCTTCTTAAAATACCTTGTTTTCTTTGTGTTGACAGTTTTATACATTTAGGACTCAAAACATTATTATTCTAATCTTATACTTTGATTTGTTATAAATTGGGATATAGAATCAACTACTATTAAAAAGTTGCCTAAAAATACAGCGGTATAAATAAACTAGAAGTTTGACCCTTTCTTTCTTTTTTTGTTTTTTGGTTGGTCTTTTTCTTTTTTTTTTTTTTTTATTATACTTTAAGTTTTAGGGTACATGTGCACAACGCACAGTTTACTTACATATGTATACATGTGCCATGTTGGTGTGCTGCACCCATTAACTCGTCATTTAACACTGGGTATATCCCCTAATGCTATCCCTCCCCCCTCCCCCCTCCCCCTACCCCACAACAGGCCCTGGAGATGTTCCCCTTCCTGTGTCCATGTGTTCTCATTGTTTAATTCCCATCTATGAGTGAGAACATGCGGTGTTTGGTTTTTTAACCCTTTCTTAATTTAGCATTCTAAATGTAGGCAGGCATACAGGCAGGCTCTGACTGGTAGACTCTGCTTCTAGGCCAGCCATCTCTGCACAAAAAGTGACTTTCATCTCTGTACCTAAGCTTTCTTTTGTAGTTGTGATTTTCATGCCAGAAGAAGAGGATACAGTGGAAAGTTACAACACACCCATTTGTCTTTAAGTTGAAAATGACCAAGTAATTGTATAATCACTTTTGTTGTGTCCCATTGGCAGGAGCTTAGTTGCATAGACACACCTGAATAGAAGGGAGGCTAAGATACATCCAGCTAAAACCCAGAGAGGATGGGGTGAGTGTGAACATGGACAGGGAGCATAGTGCTTACTACTAAAAGGAAAATGGTGAGAATGAATCCTGGGGGACAGTTTAACTGTATCTCCTACAGGTGGGAGTATACCAGGTGAACTAAAGCAGTTCCAATGTTAGTGAAAATAACAAGCCTGAGTAGACTTAATGGATCCTTTAAAGCACTTCTGAGGGAGGCTACTCACCTAAAGAGGACTGCAATATTTTAAATTTAACATTCCAGAAATAAGTTAATGGTTCAACTTATTTTTAAAGAAAAGTTTAAGAAAAGACAGAATAAACTTTCTTTATTTTCCTGGGTGGAAAGGTTGTACATCTGTGTGTACATATGTTTAGGAAGCAAAAGAAGGAAGCAATGATACCACTGTGTAATATCTTTCATTTATATGTCTAATAATGAGAAGCTTTTATTTTTATTGCATTTTATCATTGATAATTGAAAGTTGTCTTTGCAGCAGAATTTTAAAGACCCTCTTTTTTCCCATTTACTATGTCCTTAAATATGTGCTGGGAGATTTAGGTAAAAGCCAGCATTGTTGCAGGTCTAGGTCCTTCATGTAAAACATCTAATCACCTTATTTTTGCTTAAATGAATCTCCTACCCAAAAGTCATTTTTATCTGTTCTCTCTACGTCTATTTATTTCTTCAGTATTCTTACTCTTAGTTTACCATCTTGTTCCTCTGAAAAGATTGAAATTTTTAAAGTACAATAAACTATTTCCAGTGTGTTTTACTAAACCAAGGCAAGATGGTAATTACAGACACACTGAAAACTTTTTTTCATTGAGAAAACAACAACAAAAAATTATGTTACTAGAATTATTACCTGAAATACATAGAGCCTGTTCTAAAAGGTGTTTAGTTATAAAGGTGGGTCATGGATATTTGAATGTGTGACTTCTTTTGAGGAAGTCATGGGACATCTATATACCAAAATAATAACACTGGTTTCAATTCAACTTGTATGACCTTTGTGCAACTCATAGGTCAGCTCCTTTCAGGTGTATAAACTTCCTACTGTGAAATCTGACACTCTATATAGTACTTTAAAACACCTCTAAACTCCAAAGGTGGTGGTAGTTTTCTGTGTATATGTACAATATTCTGTTGGCAAGATCTTGTTCCATACATGTGAAAAGCTGAGATGAAAGTTGGAGCACCAAGGCAAGTAGATTCACATACTACTCTGAGCTGTATGACATATTGAGAGCGGTATTGTGATATATATTTTATCACATAAAAAGCTGGAAAGTTGACTACAACAACTACAACAGCATTGCCCTGCATTTTTTTACTAGAAAAATTCTGGCCGAGGTCTTTCTGTACAAACTACAAAAAGCATCATCAACCATTCCCTTTTAAACCATGGTAAAAGTTTAATTTCATTGCAGCACAGCACACATTATCTTTGCAAATAGATTCTGCATTCACTTAGGGAACAAACTCAAAACAAATGGCCAGCACAAATGTGTCATCACTGGAAAACTTAGGCTGCCAATATATTTTTAAAATGTAGTTACAGAAGTAGGGTGGAGAATGGAACAGCCAGCGGCCACCAGAGCAAGGGGGAAAATACTTTTTTTTTTTTGTGATGTATAAATTGTTTCTGGTGATATGATAAAATATCATGAGTTGTATAGTATTCATTATAGCTCATAACCAACATTTTTGTAACAATGATCACTTCTAATTAAGTAGCAAGCCATGAAAGACTACATTTATCTAATTAACCTCAGGTGTATGGTAGACAAAAAGTAAAGCCAAGTTCTTAAAATAAGTGAACTATCATTAATTATTGTGACTGTATAATCATATGTCTGATCCTAAATATAAACCAACTCTTCCCAAACCAAAATTTTAGTTTTAAATTATCAAGTTTTATAATCTGCAAAAAGTTAGTTTAACTATTAAAAAGGTACTTTACAAAGTTAAGGTCATTGTTCCACCTATAAATAGTATATGATTTTGAGCATTTAAACAACTGTTATTTTTAATATAAATTATTCTAAGTAACTATTGTCTACATTATAAAGTTCTAAACAGGAAAAACAGAAAAAAAGCAATACTGAGACAACCAAGGGAATTATTGAATGATATTTGTATTACAAAGTCACAGTATCAATATGTCTGTGTAATGTGTGATACATAGATCCTAATTTATTCCTAAACTGGAAGACACAGGGAAATATTCTCTATTGCTGTTGTAACATATGAAGGAGAAGAATAAAAGGAAAGGAGAAGAAAACATCAAACTAAAGAGAAAGAAGATACAGATTAGAGACACATTAGAAGCTCTAGAAGTCACAGAAATAGGAAGAAATAAAAGGCATGGAGAAGCAAGAAGCCAATAAAGACCTAGACCTGTCTGATCCAGGAAGTGACACCTATGTAACTACATGTGTCAGGACCTTTAGAATGAATTTGAATTATTACCTTGGGAAATGCCAGTCTTCATATAGGAAGAGCTATGGTATCAAATCTAGGCATCTATTAGTATAGAGTAATTTGCTGCTTGACGCAATAAATACAATGTTAAAAATTAACATTTAGTAAGCATTTACTGTATTTCAGTCTCTGTGATAAAGTACTTTAAGAATATTATCTCTTTTAATTCTCATCAAACCATAAGAAGTAGGGGATTGAGTACAAATAATGCACAGTGAATGAAGTTTCAGTAAAAGCAAAGCCTGACTAGACTTCCCCAAGTGATGATTGAATTGAAAGCTGGGAAGAAGTTATGAGATAAAAATGATTGAGAGAGAATTAATACAGTGCATACAAAGGTCCTGTGCTCATGGGCTGCTTCAAGGATCTAAAAGCAATGAAGCACAAGGAGTGGACACAAAATCTGAGTCCCCATAGGAGATGAGGTCAGAGAGAGAGATCTTGTAAACCTTATTAAGGTTTTGGTCTTTATCAAATCATTATACTTGGAAGTTGCAGAAATATTCAACGTAAGAGTGTGGCCAAATCAGATCTGCATTTTAGTAAAAATTATTTTGGTTATAGATTATAGAGAAGCTGGAGACAGGCAAGTATATAAAAGAGACTATTCAGGAGGTTAGTCTGGTAGTATAGTTGAAGGAGAGTGGTAGAACAAGTGGTGGTGGGGGTAGAGAGGAATAAATACGGAAAAATTGGTGAACTAGCTTAGAGGTGAAATTAAAAGCATTTGGTAATGTATTAGATATAGAAAATGAGGAAACAGATGGTTTCAAGACTTAAGTCCTAGGTTTCTAGCTTGTGCATCTGGTTTTACGATGATGATTTATATTGATCAAGAGAACACAAATTGGATACCATTTAAAAAGATCATAAATTCAATTTTAGGTAGGCTGATTTTAATGAATTTCCTAAACATCTAAGAGTTATCAGGGAGGCAGTGTATCATTCAGTCTAGAGAGCAAAGGAAACATCTGGACTAGAGATAAATTGTGCTTCATTTGCATAAAAGTGGTAATTGATTTCTTAGGGAATCAATATTACCTAGGAAAAGAATAGAAGCTATAGAAATCCCAAAAGAAACTACCATCAGAGTGAACAGGCAACCTACAGAATGAGAGAAAATTTTTGCAATCTACTCATCTGAATATCCAGAATCTACAAAGAACTCAAACAAATTTACAAGAAAAAAACAACCACATCAACAAGTAGGCAAAGGATATGAACAGACACTTTTCAAAAGACATTTATGCAGCCAACAAACACATGAAAAAATGCTCATCATCACTGGCCGTCAGAGAAATGCAAATCAAAACCACAATGAGATACCATCTCACACCAGTTAGAATGGTGATCATTAAAAAGTCAGGAGACAACAGGTGCTGGAGAGGATGTGAAGAAATAGGAACACTTTTACACTGTTGGTGGGACTGTAAACTAGTCAACCATTGTGGAAGTCAGTGTGGTGATTCCTCAGGGATCTAGAACTAGAAATACCATTTGACCCAGCCATCCCATTACTGGGTATATACCCAAAGGACTATAAATCATGCTGCTATAAAGACACATGCACACGTATGTTTATTGCAGCACTATTCACAATGGCAAAGACTTGGAACCAACCCAAATGTCCAACAATGATAGACTGGATTAAGAAAATGTGGCACATATACACCATGGAATACTATGCAGCCATAAAAAATGATGAGTTCATGTCCTTTGTAGGGACATGGATGAAGCTGGAAACCATCATTTTCAGCAAACTATTGCAAGGACAAAAAACCAAACACTGCATGTTCTCGCTCATAGGCGGGAATTGAACAATGAGAACACATGGACACAGGAAGGGGAACATCACACTCTGGGGCCTGTTGTGGGGTAGGGGGAGAGGGGAGGGATAGCATTAGGAGGTATACCTAATGTTAATGATGAGTTAATGGGTGCAGCACACCAACATGGCACATGTATACATGTGTAACAAACCTTCATGTTGTGCACATGTACCCTAAAACTTAAAGTATAATAAAAAGAAGTCCCAAAGCCTCTGTTCTAAAAAAGCTTTGTCATGTTATAGTAGCACAACATAAGAAACATTGGGTTTTCTTCTAGTTCACTGTGCCTTTTTACATGCCATTAGAACAATAAACTTTACTAAAATAAATTATTTTTAAGGAGACTCTTACATAAGTATATAGACTTGCTTAATATCCCAATAGCTATTTTTCAACTTCTACCTTATTAAAACATAGTCATTTATCTTTTGGCTGACTTATGTGAGGATTTTCTCGTATATTTGGATCTTTGTCCTCTAACATTTGACTGTGTTTTTTACTTATCCACATTGCAAAATTGATCTATACTCTTTATGTTTTTTTAATAAACCCTCTGGCCCATGAAATCATTAACATTAATATATCCGGCATTTACACTTAATACCCATGAAATAGCACTTATCTAGACAACAAGGGTATTCCAAGTAAAAATACACTTGGGAAGAATTAATTATTCATCTAGGGTGAACTTTGAAGTAACACATTAGAGAATACTAATTTCAAATGGGAATAAGGGAAGAGAAGAATAGCTGCAGCAAAACTGTAGAAGAATGAGGGAAATAGCCTCAGAGCAAATGGGAACCTCAATCTGTGGTACAGCAAAGATTGAAATTAGTGTCAAAGAACTGGATAAAGTCAGTTTAGCAACTCTGTACACTATCAATGTAATCTACAGGTATATCTTAATTCAACTAGTTCATTCAATTTTTCAGGCCCTCAATAATATCTAATATGAACTCAAAGTGAGTTACAAAATGATATATGGAGAATATTAAAGAGTGAATAATACAGAGGAAATTATAGAAATGACTATAATTGGTGGTATTTAGGAATAGGGATAACAGCTACAAATTGGACAGATGTTGGAGCAAAAGCTGTATGTAAAGAGATATAATCTGGCATTAAGTTCTTTTAAAACTAATTTACTGATACATGCATAATAATTGCACATGTGTATTATAGGGCATATGTGATATTTTGATGCATACAACATATAATGATCAAATCAGCATATTTAGAATATTCATCACCTCATACATTTATCATTTGTGTTTGGGAATATTCCAAATCTTCTAGCTATTTTGAATATATGATAAATTATTCTTAACTATTGTCACCTTACTATGCTATTGAACACTACAACTTTTTCTATCTAATGTATTTTTGTATCCATTAACCAACCTCTATCTTACCATCTGCCTACCCTTTCTAGCCTCTGATAGCTATCATTGTACTAACTTTATGAGATCAGCTTTTGTAGTTCCCACAAAAGAGTGAGAATGTGATATTCGTCTTTCTGTACCTGGTTTATTTCACTGAACATGATGTCCTTCAGTTCCACCCATGTTGCTGCAAATGACAGGATTTCATTATTTTTTATGGCTTAATAATTCTCCATTGTGTAGATATGCCACAATTTCTTTATTCATTCATCCTTTTGTGAGCCCTCAGGTTGCTTCCATCTCTTGGCAACTGTGAATAGTGTTTCAATAAATATAGGAGTGCAGATATCTATTTGATATACTAATTTAAATTCCTACCAACAGTGTTCTTGCATTCCCTTGTCTCCACATTCTCTTCATTCTCACGTTTATTTTTTCTTTTTGATAATAACCATTTTAACCAGGTTAAAATGACATCTCACTATGGTTTTGATTCACACTTCCCTGATGATTAGTAATGTTGAGTATTTTTTCATATACCTGTTGACCTTTTGTATGTCTTTTCTGAATGTCTATTCAGATCATTTGTCCCTTTTTAATTAGATTATTACTTTTATATTTTGGACCCTTAAGTTGATTTCCTTACATATTCTGGATATTAATCCCTTGTCATATTGTTTATAAATATTTTCTCCCATTCTGTAGGTTGTCTTTTCACTTTGCTGGTTCTTTCGTTTGTTTTCCAGGAGCTTTTAAGCTTGTTGTATTTCCATTTGTCTATTTTTGCTCTTGTTTACCATGCTTCTGAAGTCCTACCTAAAAAAAAATATATATTTGCCCAGACCAGTATTCTGAAGTATTATTCCAGCATTTTAAAAGGACTTACATTTAAGTCTTTAATCCATTTTGAGTTGACTTTTGTATATGGTGAGAGATAGGGGTCTAGTTTTATTCTTTTGCATGTGGATATTCTGCTCTTTGGTTTTCATTGGCATGGAAATATTTTTCTATCCCTTCACTTTCAATCTGTGTGTGTCTTTATAGGTGAAGTGAGTTTCTTGGAAACAACAAATAGTTCGGTCTTGTTTTGTTTTTATTCATTCAGTTACACTATGTATTAGATAATTTAATCCATTTACATTCAGGCTTATTGACAGGTAAGGGTATACTGCTGCCATTTTGTTACTTATTTCATATGGGTTTATAGTTTTTTTTCTTCTCTCATTTTCTTCCTTTGGGGTTAAGCAGTTTCACTAGTAGTACATTTTGATTTGTGCTATTTGTTTAGTGTATCTATATAGCTTTCTCTTTTGTGGTTACCATGAAGCTTACAAAAATGTCTTATAGTTATAACAGGTTATTTTAAATTGTTGGCAATTTAACTTTGATGCCCCAAAATGTAACAAAAACAAACTTATGATTTAACACCATGCTCAACATTATGATATATTAATGTTTTAATTTTATTACTTATATTGCTTCTCTTAATTGTTGTTGATTATAATAGTTTTGTCTTTTAGTCTTCATACGTAAGTCATTTATTTAGTCCAATTACACTATTAGAGTATTCTGAATTTGTCCTTTATTCTTTTTTTTTTACACCAGTGAGTTTCATACCATTAGACATTTTTAGATAGAAGTCAATGTCTATTTCTGACTAAAGACCTTCCTTTAGCATTTCTTATATGACAGATCTAGTGTTGATGAATTTCCTCACCTTTTATTTGTCTGAGAAAATCTGTCTACTAAGTGTTTTTTTTATTTTTATTTTATTATTATTATACTATGCTGGGCATAGTATTCTTGGTTGTCAGTTGTTTTCTTCAGTGCTTCAAATATAGCACCACTCTCTCCTGGCCTGCAAGGTTTCTGCTGAAAATCCTCTGAAAGTGGAATTGGGACTTTATTTAATCTAATGTGTCTCTTTTCTTTTTGCTGCTTTGATTATTCTTTCTTCATCTTTTATTTTCACCGATTTGATTTTGATATGCATTGCGGATTTCCTCTTTGGGTTGAGTTTGGTTAGTAATCTTGGAGTTTCTTGTACCTAGGTGGTGCCATCTGTCTCCTGATTTGGGAAATTTTCAGGCATTATTTTCTTCTACCTGCTTTCTAGACCTTTTCTCTCATTTGCTTCAGGAATTCCTGTTATGAGCTTAGTTTGCTTGATGGTATCCCATAAATGTTGTCTTTACTCTTTTATTATTTTATTCCTTTTGCTCTTCTATTGGATAACTTTATATGTTCTGTCCTCAAGTTTGCTCATTCTTTCCTCTGTTTGATCAAGTTTGCTGTAGAAGGTTTTTAATGAATTTTTCAGTTATATGACTGTATACTTCTAGGATTTTTAGAATTTTAATTGTTTTTTAAGTTTCCATGTTATTTACAAATTGTTTTCCAATTTTCATTTAGTTTTCTATTAATATTTTCTTGTGATTTCCTAAATGTCTTTAAAAGATTCTTCTGAATTCTCTTTCCAACTTTTCATAGATCTTCAGTTAGTCTGGGCCCATTGCTAGAGCTTTGTTAGTTTATTTTGGTGGTGTCCTATTTCTGAGTTTTCAGTCCTTGAAACTTTACTTTTCCACCTGCTCATCTGAGGAAACATCCCTTTCTTCCAGTTTTTGCAAGTGCTTTTTGGTGTTATACCTTTAATTCTTAGTATCAGAACTTAAACACTGGCCAGTTGTTTCTTCCCATTCTGGGGAAAACTTACAGTGAGCATTGAAACTAAAACATTACACTGAAACTAATTTGTTGCCTTGCCATTATTTAGGAAAGACTTACAGTGAATATCAAAATGTAAACACTGCTCCAAAACTATATTGCTGCCTGCCATTGTTTCCCAGTCTGGGGAAGACTTAAGGAGACACCAAAACTTAATTTCAAACTTTGACTTGTTTCTGGGCCAGGAAAAGCCTCCACAGGAGCACTTGGGTGGAAAATCCGGCCAGGGATTTGGGCCGTCCCACAGATTTGCCCCAAACAGCACCATGGTACCAGCTAATCTTGTCAAAATGGTGTCCGTCCTGATCAAAGTACAGAGTAGCCACCAATATCCATGTTCTAGTCACTGCTGTTTGTTCTCAATTCACCTCAGCTGGTTTATTCCTCCTGGCACTCCCTATGATACCAGTAGGGTGGAACTAGAGTGGGCTTCCTGCAAAGATTTCCAAACCAGCAGGGGGACTAAATGTTGATTCCAATTTCCTTCTCTCACCTTGGAAACCACAGGTCTAGGGAAGCTGTTAGTTGTGGCACGCCAGCTCCGGGAAGGGGCAGTGCAGTCTAAAATGACTGTTTCTTTTATTGATCACAGCTTCTCTTAATTCTGTGGGCTCAGGTTTATCCACTTCTCCCCCAAGTACTGGCAGACTTAAGAGTATTTTTAATCTTTGAATAGTTTCTAATTATATTTTTGTGGGGTAGAGATGCGGGGATCTGCATCTGATTCAGTGAGATCTGCTATTCTGATTCAGTGAGTGTTAGAGCTATGTATCTCTGATCTCCAGAGTGATGTTAATGCTGCATGTCAATGGACCACATTTTGAGTATAGAACCAATAACGCAAAGTCCAGTTTCTATTATGGCCCCAAAATAGCATAGTGGCATCCATGGTTATATTGTAAATTCTGAATGAAATGAGGTAGACATGAATAGAATTTTGAAAAGTATCACCCTGTCTTTAGGGTCAGAGTGTAGCAAAGAGTATTCAGGGACAAGGGGAACAAGAAGGCTAGTATCGCTGCCAATTATTCTGCTTGCTTCATAGCAAAAAAGTGGGTAGAGACATTTTGAAGTCAACAAGATGTGACCTTTTTCTATACTCCATTTAGAGTTACATTTGTGTCAAACCTAGAA
The DNA here is from genome assembly GCF_000001405.40 of Homo sapiens. Classification (NCBI taxonomy): domain Eukaryota; kingdom Metazoa; phylum Chordata; class Mammalia; order Primates; family Hominidae; genus Homo; species Homo sapiens. The sequence continues at coordinate 83,771,664 of NC_000012.12, read as the reverse complement.
ACCAAATTAGGAATTCATCTTATTATGGTGTAACAACTTAGAGTTATTTATTGATTGCTTAATACGTGCCAGATATTAAGTTTAGTATGTGCCATATGGGTTATATCATTTAACCCTGACATCTCCATGGGGTAACCAATTATGCCTCACTGTAATGCAAATTCTACTGAGGCAGAGGGAGAGGTTAGGTCACTTGTTTAATGCCACACCAGGAGTGGCATGTAGGATATCTGAAACTAGCCTGATAACACATAAATACAACAATTTCCTTCTATGATGTGCTTGTAATAAGTAAAACTGAAACCCTTGTGCCCATTGTATGTGAATTCATGTCACTTTGGGGAGTTAAGGCACTGTTCTCAAAATTCCATGTCAAATTAATTCTTAAGATAATATTCCCTAGAAAAGAAGAAAACCTTAAAGGAACAGGAGCCAGGGCAGAGAGGCTAAAAATGTGTATTGAAGCTTATAGAAGTTATTTTGTGTATTTGAATATACAAATTTGTTTTCTTTTTTCCTAACTTTTACTTTCCTTACCAGTTTATATGTTCTCTCTAGTTTTATTATATGCATATTTTTATCCCTCTTGCAAAAGACAAGATGTACAAAAAGACAAAAGCGATTAATTAAATGCACATTTTTTCCTGTACAAAATGAGCAATTTATTTGGAAAGTGGAGGATGACAAGTCACTCACTGAATTAAAAACATTGACAGTGTCTCTTGTCCATATTCTAGTCCTGCTGGTATGAATCGAGACATTTACCATATCACAAAGGGGCTGATGTAAAATGAAAGCTCCAGTGTCACTGAGGTTCTTCTCATTTTCAGTAGTTGGAAATATCTCATCCTGTAGAACCAGATTAAATTACACATCTATTTCTTGCCCATCCTGTTAGTGATAGAGGAGAAAACAAACCATCCAATTTTATTTATTCTTCCAAATCCAATCTAGGTACCATCACTGGCCTGAATCAGATATTTTCCCCTTTTTATGTTTCCTGGAACGTAGTGAATGTATCACATATGTAGGCACCTAATGCTATAATGTAATAGCTTGTATTACTTTTCCCTTGGCTTCCTCATCTCTTCTCCACAGGATGATTATAAACTCAGTGAGAAACAAATGTGTCATAGCCACCTCTTGCTTTACTCCTTATTACTGTTGGTAAGACCTCTATCTAGATTACAATATGAATCAATATTCTCTGGTTTCTTGCTCGAATGTTTTAGAATAACCCTTCAAAAACACTTTCAGGAGTGTTTTGTGGAACACACTTGATGACTGTCTTTCCCACTTAAATTTTAAAACTCAAGCAGTGGGTCTAGGGAAAATGATTTCATACCAAAGTTTGTTTTTTTCCAGTGATAATGGGATAGGCTTATTTGATTGTTTATTGTGATTTATGTAATTTGGATTTAGTTCATTTCAGTCTTTTCAAATGTGAACCAAAATTGATCTCATTGCTTTTTAGCAAATAATAAATGTCTTAGTGAAGCTTTTAAAAAGTATACTTGCTTGACATAATATTGAATAAGTAGAAATTTATATTTTTACTGCAAAAGAAAATCTGATCACACTTATGTAATTTTATATTTAATTTATTAAATTTAAATTTCTTTATTCATTCTAAAATTATTCTTTTCAAATGTGAACCAAAATTGATCTCATTGCTTTTTAGCAAATAATAAATGTCTTAGTGAAGCTTTTAAAAAGTATACTTGCTTGACATAATATTGAATAAGTAGAAATTTATATTTTTACTGCAAAAGAAAATCTGATCACACTTATGTAATTTTATATTTAATTTATTAAATTTAAATTTCTTTATTCATTCTAAAATTATTCCGTTAACAAAATTAATTGTAAAAACAAAAATCATTTTCTAAAATACTTAGCACCTAAAGGCAGCTATGTTTACAAATGTTATGTTTCTCCTTTAAGTCCTCAAAACCCTAAAACAAGGGAAAGACTGAATATTGGTCAATTTGTTAAAGAACTCAGTTCTGTATTACTCTGAAAAGTTTTGAAGGGATATTGGCTCATTTTCAAGCAAGTATTCAATTTCCTTTATGCATGCGGTTACTAAATGAGTACTGCAAACAGCTAACATTATCATTTTGTTTAAGAAAAAAAAAAGATGCTAGTCAGCTTCATTGTCCAACTCCTAGTAGTTTGTACGCTACTCTAAAGTACTTTGATACAGGCTGAACAGCGGAGTATAATAGTTCCTGGTTTACATCTTAAGCAGGTTAATAGGTCTTCAGACTTCATTTAGCACCACATTTTCAGACCATCGTAAGTTTTAAACTTACTTCCATGCTGACAGCTTAATGTTCAAATAAGCAAGGAGTTAACTTACTTTTAACTTCTAAACCTTAGGACCTCTCACTTAGAGCTATAAAATTGACATTTCAGCATGGATATTTTTCATGATGTATCTTTCAAACTTGCACATACTACAATTTCTAAAACAGCTGTCCATGTTTACATTAAAGACCTTTCAAAACATTTTTTTTCTTTAGGATGCCATTTGTGCAGAAAGGAAAATAAGCAAATCAATTGCTTTTTTCCTTCCTTCCTTCCTTTTCCTCCCATTCTCCTCTTTCTGATTTTTTTCTTTCCTTTTCTTTTTCCTTTCTTCTCTTTTCATTCTTTCTAAACTACTTCAAAATAACTTTAGCAATTACTCAAGCAGAGTGGGGAATGCCAGAAATTTAAATCTGCACTCTGCCTTTAATTCTTGTCAGGGTTTCACATGCATATATCAGAAGTGAAATGTTCTATACATCATGTTAACCACCTAGAGGTCAAAGAACTAAATCATTGCATTCATGAAAGTAAAATGTTGTGCTTTCCAACTGCCATCACTATTGGAGACTCTCACCTCCAATTACCAAAGTGACCTTCAAATCTGAATTGACCACTTTATAGTAAAATTTATTACAACTGACACAACAATATAAAATTTTAAAAAATAACATGGGTAAGATAGCTGAAAATACAGTAATAACATTTTTAGACTCAATTTTATATTCAATTTTTTGCTTGGTTGACTTTTTCCTGATTCTTTATATTACATTTGCCAATATATTGTTAATATACTGTTTATAGGATTCTACCATCCTTTAAATGTGTAAACTTAAAAAATTTCTTAATATAGATTCATGGATGTGCAAGGACTCAACTTTTGTAGAAAAACATTCTAAGACACATTAATATCCCACATGATACTAACATAGGGTGAGGGGATCACTTGTAAACTCCTGTTTAGACAATGAAATATCAGTGCTCTATAATGCTAATTTGGAACTCCCTTAATACCATTCCAAGATGTCAATAAGAAGTAAAAACTAATAATTACCAGTAATATACTATCTGCTAGAAATATGAACAACACTAAGCCCTTCCCAAGTGCTTTACTGTTAACTTCTCAAAGTTTTATTAAAGAGAATTATATTCCAGAAAAAATCAGGTAACTTTGAAAATCACATAGCTAGGAAAGGACAGAAACTGAAAGCAGGACTGGGTTGTCTGCTTTCAAAACATTTCCACTGTGAGGTATTTATGGATGGTAGGGGGCCTAAAATAATCTAACTCTAGTCTACTGCTTTCATTTGCAGATGAGGAAAATGAGGCACACAGATGTAACAAGGCTTGACAAAGGTCAAAAAGAATCATTTCGTTGCCCTATCTCTTCATTTCATCCCATATCACCTTTACTATGAGCTATTCATTTACCTAATGAAAACAAGGGGTCATCCAAAGGGCAGGTCAGTTCTGGAGACTGTACACCCAACCAAGTTGCATAGAAAACACTTGATACTATGCTGAGAAGCATATTGTAAAATTGACTTTTTCTGAATTATGTTGCTATGGAAATTTACATTGATGCTATTAAGGCTGTGAGTAAATGGAAAATGAAGAAAAGCAAAAAAGCCTCACAACTTGTATTTGTTTTTGTATACATTTTATAATTATTTTTCTAGCAGAATTATTGCAGTTCTGGTTTCAAAAGGTCAAATAAAAATGTGCACTTATTGTAGTTAAAAAAATAAAAGCAGAAATAGACTGTTTTGAGATACCTCATTACCTTTCAACTCTATTACATTCCCCTAGTTAACTACTGTTTACAGTTTTATATCCTTACAGAATGTTTAATACATGTAGGTGAACAGATAAAATTATATTGATTAAAAACTGGTACACAAATTCAATTAAAGGTTTAAAAAAGTCAAAAAAAGTGTCATAGAGGGACCAATAGAAACACAAAATGAAATGGTGGATTTAAATTAAAATATAGCAGTAACTGGATTAAATGTGAACAGTCTAAATACTTTGTTGTTAAAGACAAAGGTTGTCAACCTCTGTTAAAAACTAAACCCAAATATGTGCAGTTTAAAGGAGTCATATCTGAAACAAGATGGCACAGAAAGCTTGGCACTAAATATGGATAACATACATAAAGTCGAAATGGATAGAGTACATATCACTTAGTAGATATTTTAAAGACAATTTAAATTTTAAGGAAGGAAATTACTAGAGATGGAAGGCAGATGTTATAAAATGTCCAATTCTCAAGAAAGATATACTATGTTCAAATTTCTATGCATGGAACAACATAGCCTCTTTAATTTTTTTTAAATTAAAACCTCAGAGGAATATAAAAATATATTGACAAATACCCAGTCAAGAAGAAATCTCACATTCTGCAATAGATGACAGGTGGGGAGAACTTCAGGAAAAATATAAAAGGTTTAGTTAACATGATTAAAACAGGACACAAGGAGCATATATAGAATTCTGCCCTCAATAACTGCAGAATAGTATTTTTTTTCCCCAAGCATACACAAAACACACATGCAAAAACCAAATATACTAAGAAATTGTTAAGTTTGTATTCAGGTCTCTACTTTGAGTTTCTATATGATTAACTGTACCTAACTGAGGTTTTGGTTTTTTTTAACACATACCAATTTAGGAGTATTCATTTATTTGCAGCCCTATCTCAGCAAGTCACAAACAGCCAAGCTTCAGTCAAAAGGCAGCCAACTGGCCCGGCACAGTGGCTCACGCCTGTAATCCCAGCACTTTGGGAGGCCGATGCGGGCAGATCATAAGGTCAGGAGATCGAGACCATCCTGGCTAACATGGTGAAGCCCCCGTCTCTACTAAAAATATATTAAAAAAAAAAAATTCCGGGCATAGTGGCGGGCGCCTGTAGTCCCAGCTACTCGGGAGGCTGAGGCAGGAGAATGGCGTGAAGCCAGGAGGCGGAACTTGCAGTGCGCTGAGATTGCACTATTGCACTCCAGCCTGGGTGACAGAGAGAGACGCCGTCTCAAAAAACAAAACAAAACAAAAAAGGCAGCCAACTGATCAGACTATGCCCAAATAAGGCAAAGGCCTTGCTATAATCAATCAGGCTATTTATATACTTTTGTGTCTGCCTTTAAATACTCCCCATGTTACAGAGCAGAGCTATCTGAGAGCTATCTGAATTTCTTCTGGTTCTGAATGCTGCCTGATTCATGAATCATGCACTATTCAAACTACTGTTAAATTTAAATATATTTTGTTTAAAGTTTCTAACACCATGAAATAAGTTTCAACAAATATCAAAGGATTATGAAATAATATACGTTTATAAACTCATGTGATTAAATTATATATAGTAAAATGTAACTATGAAAATCATGATGTGTTTGAAAATTTACACATCTAAGTAACTTGTAGATCAAATAAGCATAATAAGAAAAAGAAAATACTTTGAATGAAATTATAATGAAAATGCTACATATATCTTTTGGGTTGCACAAGGAAAGTTATAGTTTTAAAATTAAGATTGGAAGAGAATGAAGCTGAAAATTAAACAAGTTAGCTACCTTAAAATGTTAGAAAGCAGGCAGTAAAATAAACACATAGGAAGTAAAAACCTAACTATAGAAATTAATAAAATAGAAAATAAAATGGAGTGAATAAAAAGCAAAAGTTGATTCTCTGAAAACTAACAATTTTCCATAGTTCTGGAAAACTTAGTAAAATTAACAAATATTAGGAGTGAAAACAAGAAACAAATCACCATAATTATAGATGGTGCAAGCAATAAGCAGCTAAAAAGTCTTTGTTCTTTCATAAACCAAGATGTATTTTAAAATTAAGAGAATGTAGTATTGGCACAGGAATTACAAATAAACTAACATATAGAAGAAAAAATAGTCCACATCTGTCAATGTCTGACATTTGACAGACTGCAAAATAGTGCAGAAAACACAGAACAGTTCATTATGAATTATATGTAGTTATTAAAAATAATGAAAACAATCGTTTTTTCTATTATAGAAGACCTACAATATCTTAGGTAAGAAAAGGAAGGTACAAAACAATGTTAGGTAGAGCAAGGTATATTTTAGGTAAAAGTAGCTGGAGAAAACTGTATCTTTATTTGCTTCTGTGTGCTTTAAAGTTATATAAAATAATCTACAAGAAACTAACACCTGTTATTACTTATTGGGGCAGGAGGAAATGGGTAGATCAAAAACTAAATACGTTAAAAACTGGAAAATTGGCACTAGTGTAAGAGGATATCCACATGGGGGAAAAAAATCAAACTGGATTCTTAAATAACTGGCCAAACTCAATTCCAAAAAGATTAGAGGCCTCATTGTGAAAGGCAAAGCAATAAAACCTTTAGAAAATGCCAGGAGGACATTTTAATCATCTTAATTTAGGAATAAATTTTTAAATAAAAATAAAATATTGGCCATAAAAGAAAATGTTGATAAACTGGACAACACTGAAATTAATATTATTTATTCAACAATACCATATTAAAGAGTAAAAATCTATATCACAAGCAACAACTGTATTTTATAATATGAGCAAAAAATTAGTATCCAAAATAGAAAAATCCTATTATTTTGTAATTTTAAACAGTTAAATAAAAATTGGGATAATATGTACCAAGGCACTTTACAAAAGAATATGGCAAACGTGAATGTTTTCAACCTCAAATATAAGTTCCATCAAATTTCATGAACATGACATGGAACAGTTACAACAGATTGGGGAAAAACTAGAGTTTGATATCAAATATTGACAAGGATGCGGAACAACATAATTTCTCATGAATATAAATGCAGACATTCACTTTCTTAAACAGTTTAACCTTTTTAATTAAAGTTGCAAGTTCACGTGCCTATGACCAGTTATTTTCATCTTAGACGTGTCATTGAGAGAAATACGTGCAAGTACACGCCAGAAGGTATGCCCTTTTAAATGACAGAAACAAGATACAAAAGGATACATATAATGCTTTATTCACTTAATGTTCCAAACAGCCAAATCTAAACTATATAAGAATATATACATGAGTAGTGTAGAATACAATGACTATTAGTACTGTCTGATGGGACTGATCCCATTCACGCTATGGTGCCTGCAGATCAGCTCACTGCCTCCAAAATTACACTCAGTGCTTCTCATCTTCTGCTACCTATGCCCTGAATACTCACCTTCAAAACTGAATGGGCGTGAACTGTAAAATGAATAAAATGGTGTGAAAGTCATGGTGTGCATGTTTAGAGGCTAGGTCATAAAAGGATTTGGCAGGAAGCTAGCTGCTATGCTGTGAGAACAAATAGCCCACTGGAGAACCCAACTGAAAAGGAACTAAGATCTCTTACCAATACCTAACACCATCTCGCTAGTCATGTAAACAGGCATTTTTGTAAGAGAATCCTCCAGTCTTAGTCAAGTCTTCCTACTACTTTGCCTTGCCCAACATCTGAGTATTATGAGAAACCACAGAAGTATTAGAGTAGGCAGATATCTAGAAAGCAGCAGGAGGGCGAGCCCCTGAAAAAAGGAGGTCTGGAAAATCTCACATCCCAGAGACCACTCAAAACGTGTGCTAGATATGAGCAGAGAGGAGAGGAAATACCTTCGTAGAAAGAAACACCCCCTTTAGACGCCCAGTAATTACTCACTCTGCAGTTAGCCTGTCAGAATGGAGTTAGCTACATGATGATTAGAAAGGAACAAGGGCAAAGGAGAAATTCCTAAGAGATATGCAGTTGCAGTAAGTACAGATTTAACTGCTCTACAACCTTCCTCGGGTGGTGGTAATGAGTAACACAGCCATGAGGTAGAATTTATATCTAACACCAAGCCCGCACATGCCCATCAACTGACAGGATGAATCCCACAAACCTGGGGCCAGAACTAGGCAGGGACAATGTGCAGACTTAAGGCAGAAACAGCAGCTAGACAAGGCAGAGACTTCAGGCAGAGGTGAGAATTTAAAGAAACAATCTAACAAAATAACTGCAAGGCAGAATTCTCGAGGCTGCTGCTGGCTCATTCTCTTAACAGCCCACTCTACCTCTGCCTCCTCTTTCAGAGTGTAGTGTCTCTGCTATTACTTAATCCCTGCAGCCGCTGCTGCTTTTCCCCCGCTGTCAGCCAGACCAACCCAGAGCTGTTTTCCAACTGGACCAGTCTGCTTCTCTCTTGGAATGTACTTTAATAAACTCCCTGCTTTTTATTTCCTTCAATAAACCCCTGCTCTTAACTTTCCTTCAGTGCACGTTTGCTTACATTATGAATTGTTGGTCTCTTGGTTGAATTCTCTCACAAGTAGGACTAAGAACTGAGGACTTGTACTTCTCTTAATAGGAGGAACCACCTAGCCATGCTAATGCAGGGCAGGCGAGCCCCAAAGTAGAGCTTAGCCCACAAGAGGTCTTGGCTTTGCCCAGGAAAGAACTCAAGCGCAAGCCAGAGGTAGAAGAAAACAACTTTATTGAAAAGGCAGTGTTACAGCTCTGTGACCATTCCTGCAGAGTGGGGCTACTCTGTAGGCAGAGAGTAGTAGCTCAGGGCAGTTTTCTAAACATATTTATACCCACTTTTAATTGCATGCAGATTAAGGGGCAGTTTATGCAGAAATATCTAGGGAAGTGGTAGTAACTTTTGGGTCATTGGGTCATTGCCATGGAAAGAGGTGTAACTCCTAGGTATTGCCATGGCAATGGTAAATGGACATGGTACACTGGTGGGCATGTCTGATTGAAAGCTGCTTTCACTTCAGCCCTGTTTTAACTAGTCCTCAATCTGGTTTGGTGTCCGAGCCCTGCCTCTGGAGTCCAGTCCCATCTCCAGTCTCAATGCTACTCCCAAATTCTTGATCCACCTAATTTTAAGTAAAAAAAAATGTCTTAAGCTACTAAGCTTTGGGATGGTCTAACATTCACCAGCGCTTTGATCCTATCAGTGCAATTGTCAACACAATGAAAGTTACAAGTAACATCTTATTATAAAAATAATTTTAACACTAAAACTTCCTGAAATGATCTCAAAGACCTTAAGATCTACAAAGCATGTATTGAGAATGTATTTTTGGTATATTAACTACAATTATTTTTATTATTTGGATCTACTACAACATATTCAAATATTTCCCCATTGTTTGACATATTTCAAATAGTCTTCCAGAGCAGTGCTATACTTATCTTTATTTTTGAATAATATTGATATAACTTTGTGGTTCCCAATTAGATTCTTAGTTTCTTGATAATATTAAAAACTACTACCATCATAAATTTGCCCATCATTTGCCTATCATTATACCCATATTAAATCAGAAAGAGAAAGAAATGTCCTATGTTGATTCATCTATAGGCGACAGCAGAGAAGTTTTCAAATCCTGCTCATTTAGTGGTTGTTTCCATTTGGAAAATTTCTTTATTTTAGTTGCCCTATTTATGAAATGGGTAAAATAGTAATTCCGCCTAGCCTGCACTGCCATAGGTTTTTAATGAGTTAGCACCTGTTACAACATCTGAAACTCAGAGGTAATAACTAGGTATAGATTACCTCATTAATCTTCGCACATACCTGTACAATATGAATTCTTATTCCAGTTTTATACCTAGTATGGATCCTGACTGGGCCTCGAATGAGACAGTCTTATTTTGCTGTTGATCTAGTGCAGTGGAGTCTCCAGATATCAATTCACTTGATCTGATTTTTTTCCACAGGGATGGAGGCCTGTAATGGGGAGGAGGCTAAAATGAGTAATGGGAGAGAACAGGGACAAGCACATAGTCCTACAGAGGGCACCAGCAGGAGCCCCAATTAAGTCATATTGTTTCCAATGATATGAATTCTTGAGAAGACTGAAGACCAAGGAATACAAGAATTCTATTCCTAAGCGTATTTAAAATATTTCTGTGGGCTCCAGAAAATAACTGGGGATGATTTTGAAAATGAAGTAGACAATTCTGCAGTTCTGGGCACAGGCCATTATCTAGAGAATATTTGCTAGGGACATACAGTAGCATACAAATTAAGAAGCAGCAGCTCAGAGTAGCAAAGTGACTTGTTCAAGTTTGTACAGCTAGTAAGTGGCAAACTTTCAATCTCTGGTCTTTGTGTACAAAGCCTATGTTCTTAAACATGAAGTTAGTCACAGAACACCATGACTGATACATCCTATGTCAAAGACATGTGTGAGCATCGTTCTATAACATATTTTACAATTGAATACTGGCCAGTCTGATTATGCTTTAAGATGATATTTAAACAAAATATGAAAACAATAAATCTCCTTCCCAAGAAATGTTCTCAGGGATTATTTCAGCATGTAATTCTCTTCTGCATATAATTGCTCTCCTCACCACAGCTTTTAAAGACTCAAAATTTTCATCTCAAAGCTTTGGGTTCACATTAAAGACTATCTCCTTAGACTTATTGTATTTGTCCTCCATTTTCTAACAAAGAAACAAGAACAACCTTAATTAACATTAATGAAAATGGGATTATTGGGAGCTTCCATCAAGGTGACTTCAGGCACAAATTAGTCAATCAAATTCTATATGGGGGCAATGGATATTGGTAATAGAAATGGAATTCCATGAAATTTGGGAGCTCAAAGAAATATAACCTAATGTAAAACCAGTTATGGAGGTTTTATTTCCTATTCTGAATAACATTAATTTTATATATAATGTTCATTACATTATATGTAAAAATAATAATAATTATGTTAATTATATATGTAATATAATTGGTTACTTTTCTGTAAAATTACTTAATTTTACATATGTTTATAATTTTACATATGTTTGGAGTCAATAATTTTAATTGGTTAAAATGATCTAGAGGTTTGAAAAAGTTAAGCTATCTCTCAGTACAGAAAATTACTTTCACTTATTTTTCACTTTAATTGATAATCACTTTGTGTTATCAAAGTAAATATTTATGTAAGTATTTGTTCTAGGTGATAGGTTATCGATTCGTGCAGCTTTAAAATATTTATAACTATGTATGGCAACTAATATTCTAAAAATACAAGATTCTAAATGTGAAAAGTTGTTTTGTATTTTCCGTTTCAAAGTGGAAAGGCTTTAAAAAGGGCAGAGACTTTTAAAAACAATGACCTTTCTCATAGTATGTCTTGTACTGAATTCCAAACAGAGCATGCTGGTTGAAAGACAAGGAATAACTGTCATTGAAACATAGGATTCATCAAGTTATAATGTCAATTTGGTAGTAAAAATGCTTTCCTACAGTCTTGTCAACTGACAGGCTGTCATCACATTTTAAAAACTGACAAGACATTGATGAATTAGATTGGCTGCTTCGGACAATATTAAAAACAAAGTTCAAAAAAGCAAAGAGAACATTGCCATCAGTTAAGCATCCCATTTCTTGACTTTAAAATCATTTTAAAGAAAATATGTAGATAAACTTATGGACTTCTAAATAGGCATGAAATTAGTTATTTTACAATTTAAACACTAATAACTGAAAATGAGCATATACCATATACAGTAAAGGATATGTACTTGGGTAAAACTCACTCTTTAAGTACACAGGTCTATGAATTTTTGACAAATGTATAAAGCTGTGAAACTCTCACTACAAACGCATTAAAAAATGATTCCATTATTCTTGAAAGTTTCCTTGTGTTTTATAGTCAGTTGCCTTTTCTCACTCAAGGTCCTGGCAACCACAAATTTTTTACTGTCTCTATAGATATGCCTATTCTGGACACTTTCTACAAGTAGAATAGTATAGTATATGGCCTTTAAGTCCAGCTTCTTTCACTTAAAATAATTCCTTTTCAAATCATCAATTTAGTTGCACTTTTCAGTAGTTGATACCCACTTTTGCTGAGTAGGATTTCCTTACATGGATATACCGCAATGTTTCATTCATTTGCCAGTTGATGGGCATTTTTATTGTTTCCAGTTTGGGGCAATTATAAACAAAGCTGAAATAAACAATCTGACACAGGCTTCGTGGGAACTTATGTTTTCATTTCTCTGGGGTAAATACCTAAAAGTGAAGTTGCAGGTCATATGGTAAGTAGATATTAAACTTTATTAGAAACTGCCAAATCATTTTTCAAAGTGACTGTACAAATGTGCATTCACAAAAGCAGTGTATGAAAATCACTTCATTTGCTTCATATATTTGTCAGCATTTGGCATTTTCAATTTTATCTTTTTGTTTTATTTCAGTTTGTCTTAGTTTTAGTCATTCTAGTAGGCATGTAGTGGTATTACGCTGTGGTTTTAATTTGCATTTATCTGATTAACAATATTGAGCGTATTTCCTCCCATGTGCTTATTTGCAATCCTTTTATTTTCTCTGGGGAAGCATCTGTTCAAAGCTTTTGCTTTTAAAAAATGATTTTTTATTGAGTTTTGAGAGTTCTTTATATTATAAATAACTTACTTTTGTAAAGTAAGACCGTTATCATAGATATATTTTGTAAATTTTCTGTCTATGGCTTGTATATATATTTTCTGGTAATGCCTTTCAAAAAACAGAAGGTTTTCATTTTAATGGCCATGTCCTAAGAAATACTTGCCTAATCCAAAGTCACAAAAATGTTCTGTGTTTCTTCCAGAACTCTTAGGTTTTACATGTGGGTTTATAATCCAGTTAAAGTTGATTTTATTTTTTTAATGAAGAAACTTCTTATTTCATTGTTTATTTTTTTCTCACTATTGCCATTCCATTCTCAGTTTCATTGATTTTCTTTTTTTCCTTCTAAGTGTTGCCTTATCTGTGCCCTGGATATTTTTATATGTTCTCTTTTTATTTTTACTTAATTCAAAATATTTCAAAATATTTACATAGACTTCCTTATCGACTTATCAGTTATTTAAACAATGTTGTTTAGTCCAAATATTTGGGCATTTTCTAGGTATCTTTCTGTTACGGATTTACAATTTAATTCAGTGGTCATCAGAAAATGATTTCTATGGCTTAAATTATTTTAAATTTTTCAGGATTATTTTGATGACACAAAGTATGACCTAGCTGGTAAATAGTCCATGTATACTTGAATTGAATGTGTATTCTGCTATCTTAGGTAGGATATTCTATAAATATCAAAGTCAAATTGATAATGCTTCAGTCATACATATTTTTATTTTCTATTTGTGATTTCTCAAAGGCATGTTGAAGTCACCATCTGTAACTGTAGATTTGACTATTTCTCCTTTCATTCTATCAGTTTTCACCTAATAAACTTTGAAGGCTTGTTAAGGACATACACGTTTAAGATCATTATGTATCTTGATGAATTGACCTGTTATCATAACATAATGTTCCTCTCTATCCATTATAATATTCGTTTTTCTGACATATCCTTTAACATACCCATTCCAGCTATATTACTAAACAATTACATCCCATACTTTGAGTCTTACTGGTGAATAAAGTACCTGAAAATGCACCCCTCCTCTCCAGCAGATCACTATCAACTCTAATGGATGTCAGATTCTGATACGTGTTACAGTGGTATTATGCCATGAATAGACATGTAGTGGCATACAATCCATTCTTCTAAGGGAAATCAGAGAAGGTGGCACGAATAGATGATATTTGTGTTAGACTAAAAAAGAGCTATTTTATTCCAGACAAGGGAAGATAGATGTGAATGGGTAAAATATCACAGGGATCAGTCTATCAGTTCCCTAAGGTCCATGGTGGAGAGGCATGAAATCAAGAACTAAGTCTGATGGTAAGGTTTAGAGCCAAATAATGGGCATTCAATGGTGTTTGTTTGTTTTTGTTTTTTTAAACAATGTTATACGTGTGTTTATGTACATTCCATGGCAATACAGAAAATTGATTTAATCATCAGAATGATTTGTCCAATCATCAGTAGATATGTGTTCAATGATGGTCTTATACCTTTTCATCCAGATATCACAAATGTTTTCAAAAATTGTTTTGTGGTTATCCATGTTAAGATGTAAATTCTTAATCACTTGCATAAAAGTCATAAAGAATGGTATAAAATTCTCACATTTCATATCATAGAAGCAACCTTCATGTACTGTTCTGTTTAAAGTAGTAAAAAGAGGCACAGACAAACAAGAATGGTATTTATAATGGTATGGAATATAATAAAATTACAAACTGAGGCTACAGAAGTTTTGTGGGTTTGTTTGTACAAATTACTCAAAATCATTGGAAAAATAGCCTCTTGGAATATCATAATATAGAAGTTAAAGTTATTTTGCTCGAAGGTTTCAGAAAAGGACATTAAACGTTTTAGATTAATTTTTTGAAGTAGTTGAAATTTGAATTCCCAATTTCTATTTTTATTTTTGGGTAGCAACCCTACTCTGCATTTCTACTGTAGTCTTCTCCATCTCATGCGATAGTGTGCCAGGTTATCGCTGCCCTTGTTGAAAACCAGAGGGGTCTATTTTCACTGATGTTCTATTGTTTCATCTAAATGACTAGAAGGGAGCTGAGGCCCTCAACTCCAGTCATCTACACAAAATTGTATGGTAAAGTGACTATGTTCCCTAGAGCTATCAGCCTCTCTGTTGATTAAAAGGAAGGCCCTGTGTTCTGCAATTTAGAAATGTTAATAAACTAAGGGTTTAAAAGCTAGATAAAATGTCATGATTAAGGTTTTATGTTAAGATTTTAATTTCCACTCTCCTATGCAATTGGCTTTCTCTTTAAAATTTTTTTTTCTGCTTAAACTCCTGATTACAACTTGTTTTCTTAAAATTTTATGATTCTCAAAAGCCCACTAAAATTAAGTATGCGCTAATGACATTTTGCCTGTAAACATAGATGTTATTTATAGAATCTTAAAACGCAGGACAATACATCATATAGATAAATATGTTACACACTGCATATATTTGACAAATATATGGAAGAACTAAATCTGTATTGCTTTGAAGCATCAGTATATCCAGAATTAATACAAAAGTGATAACATTTATGTATTGAGAGAGACAATATTGCCTGGCATTTCTGAGCAGTGTTTCACAAGATGATTTGGGACTATGTATATGCATCACTGAATAATATTGATGCACAAATTGGGAAAGTTAA
Organism: Homo sapiens; assembly: GCF_000001405.40. Taxonomy (NCBI): domain Eukaryota; kingdom Metazoa; phylum Chordata; class Mammalia; order Primates; family Hominidae; genus Homo; species Homo sapiens. The sequence continues at coordinate 83,756,283 of NC_000012.12, read as the reverse complement.
TCCCTTTTAAATTTTCTACCAATTTTTTTTGTTATTTCAGGGAACATATTTCACTTTTGTACTTAATAATTATTAATGTTCTTCTTGTAGGCCCCAGGTAGATTTCAGTTTCTCTTTTTATAGGTAATAACAGAAAAGTGAAAGCGACTGAATTAATTTTCCAGGGTAAAACCACCAGTATAGGTGATAGAAAATATATTTGAGTCTTCGTCTGTCTGACTTCAAAGATAGTTACTGTATTTTTTCATTGTGTTTAAGTTTATGACTACTTTCTATTTATGACTATTCTAAGTTCTATTCAGATAATGTTAAGTTTCTGTATGAGAGATCTTTATTTAAATGAAATTATTAGTCTTTGGAAGAAAAGATTAAGAGAATAGAATCAGTTGATCTAGGCCTAATTGCCATTACATTTATTTGTTTATCCTCCCATGCATTTCTTTGTGTTAAGATAGAATGACCCTCTATACCACTGGCTCCCAGGTTTCCATGTTAGTGGGTTTCTTGCTAGCTTTGGCCAATGAGAGTTATTGGTGGAAGATTAGAGGGGGAGATGTAGGAGTACAACAGGGAATTTCTTCCCATTTTATTTTTCTCAGGTGGTATCTATCCCTGACATTGACTGTGTTTCTTTCTCACAGATCAGGCCCACCTTGATTATAGGTTACATTAAGTCATATTATCACTGTCCCTTGGTTCTGGTACCGGGGCCTCTCCTTTTGTCCTTCCACCTTGGCTTTATGCTGCTGCTAATCTCTGGATAGACTCTTTGGTCTCCTTTTTACCTTCTCAGCTCTTCTGTCATGTAAGTAACCAATCCTGAGTTTATATTTCCTCTATTTTAAAGACTTGGTGCCATCTTAATTCCCTAGAAATAATAATTCCCCTTATTTCCCATACAACAAAATGGCAAGAAGTGTGATGGTGGTTGCTATCTGGCAAACTCTATCTTAGTTGTTAAGCATAAACTTTGAAAAGAATAATCTTGGAATCCAATTTTGACTGTTTTTCTTACCTGTGTGACCACTGGGACATTATTAAACATAATTAAGTTTTCTTCCTCTGTAAAATAGAAATAACTATTTCTCATAGTATATGCAAAGTTTAAAGAATAAAGTGTGTGTATAGCATCTTGCACAGTCATTAGCAGTTAAGAACTATGCAATCTTTACTTTTATTCTGCTTCTTATTATTGTTACTAATATTGAGGTCTCTCAAATTGTGATTTAGGGACTTCCTTATAAGAGCTTTTCCAATATGGAATCTTATAATTTTATAACAGGAATAAACAATGAAAACAAAGATTTTCTTTACATATTCCAAGTAAATAACTCACAGAGCATATAACCATGGCCTAGCTGCTGTTACAAGTTTTTTATGCATTTGATTCATTTGTCACCATGATTCAATGGGGTAGGTACTTTTATTATCACAATCCCTATTTTACATAACAGGAAATAGAGACAAAAATTTTAAGTAACTCTCAAAATTCACAGTAAGTTGTAGAACATGATTTTGAATCCAGGAAGCCTAGGTCCAGAACCTGTGCAATAAGTATTCAGTTATATTGCCAAGACCGAGAATTTTGAGGTGAAGTAAGCAGAAACATTCCATAAAACTTTTTAATCAACTGGCAAAACAATCTAATCTAACTTAACATTTGAAGAAATTATCTTTGGGTCTGCTTCTCTATGCTTAAGCGCCAAAGAAATATGTTTAGTGTTCTTTTTCTATATGCTTTTAACTCTCATGTCTATTTTTCCTTTGAAAGCAGGTAATTCCTCTAGTAACAAGTAAATTTTAAGGTGAAATATTTGAGACACAATAATCAATTCTCTAAAGAGATTCTCTGGTTTGGATAAAGATATAGTTAACACTACTTCTATACGTTATGTTCTTAGGGATATCCACATTCTCCAGGAAATGAATATATTATTCACCCTTTAAATGGTATTCCAGTGTGTGTTTTCAGTGTCTGTTACAGGGCCCTAAGACCCAAACCGCTATAAAGTTAATTTTTGTCTATAAAGTAGTATTAACATGACCTCTCTTTGGCCTTGTTTAATATCTCAGTAAGGTCAGAATGTGAAAATAAAATGCATAAGTATTTCTAAATGATTTTCCTTTCACCAAAAAGTCCTAACCTGAAACAAAAAAAATCACTGAAACCTAAATTCCATGTAGTGATTTGTTTTACTGCTGTGTCATCAGAAAATATCATTTCCAAAAGGAAATCTACTTTAATTAAACTTGACAATAGCTTAGAATAACCTACAAGAAAACATTTGATAAATTTTATAAAGATTATTATGCATCATTATTTTTTTCTTCTGAATATTAATTGCAAGGTTCTTTTGGAGTTTAAAACCAAATATGTGTTCCTTCATATTCTATCAAATAAATTCTACCTAAATGAAATCATCCTCTTTCTGTGTACTAAGCTTATTTCAGTCTACACAGAATCAGTCCCCAGGAAAAAGAAAAGGAAGTTTAAGATTCCATTAAAGGACAAGTTCTAGGTGATCAAATGCTGACACATCTTGAATTAGAGACTTTCCTACTAGAAAATACCTTTCAGAAGCTCAGTTACTTTTTTTGAACACTGTAGTATTATAATTTAAATTGTCTTAATGAAGATGAGGGGGTAGGAACAGGCTTCTTTGTTGCTTTTATGACTTCAAGTAACACTTTACCATGCTTAAAAGGAAAAATTTTAGAGTTTTCAGGAAATCTGCCAAAGTACTGATTAAAATATGCCTCAGGATCCGGCAGACTGGTCACTGCTTACCAAGCTTTAAGAGAAGAGTAGATGGTATAACTATTTCTAAATAGATAACTCCAGTTTCAACAGGATATATGTGTCACAACCTCTAACAATCCTCATCATTTGGCACAGAACTAAGCAATAACAATTATTTCTATAATGAATAGTACTTGTTATAGCTTGTACCATTTGTTAAACACTTACTGTGTACCAGGAACAGAACTAAGGCCTGGACACGTGTTACCTCATTTAATCCTGGGGACAACTCACAACGCAGATGCTGGTATAACATAAAATATTATAAATTATAAGATATAAAACATTATTCCTTTCTCTGCTCCTGTAAGCAAGAATGTGTATACACAAGTTATTAACCAAGAAATTGTCTCCAAGGTCTCCAGACAGGTAAAAATAAAGCACATCACTGTGTGTCTGGTTTACTACTATTAGTGTACAAGACAGAAAACGTGTGTTTGATTTTGTACATGCATAAAAAGTCTCCAGAAGCTACATGAGAAACGAGTTACATTATTGTTGTGGGAAAATACAGGTTCTTGTCACACGACCAGGAAAGATTAGGTACACAGAGGCTTTGAAGAATGAGGGGTTACAGAATTTATTGGGTGAAAACGAAAAGAGGAAAAACAATACAGCAAATCAAGAAGGGATCCCATTAACAGGCCCCCATCTCAGTTTGAATCCCAGGTTCCACACAGGAACAGCAGGGGCCAGGCTCCTCCCCTCTACAAATGACGCCAACTTGGGTGCGTCCACCGTATTCCCCCAGTGTGCAGCCTGGTTGTAGCTGAGGATCCCTTTATGGTTGGTTGTCTCATGATGATCACTAAGAAGGGGAAAAAGGAGAGATGCCTCGCTTTTCCTTTTGTCCTTTTGAATTTTAAGCCATGCAAATGGATGTATTTATAAAATTATTTATTTATTAATTATTAATTTTCTAAGGAAAAGAAGGAATAGAATACAGGAAGCATCATTAGTGGAAATTTCCCTATGGGCCAGTCATATATTGATCACTTCATCCAAATGTTGTCATATTCAACTACAAGATACATTCCAGTTGCCCTTTTCACAGAAAGCAAGACACTGGGAAAGACTGAATTGTCTAGAATCAAATAACCAGTAAGTTACAGAGAATAAAGTTGAATCTGGGTCTATCTGATATGAAGGCTTATGTCCTTTCTAACACCTTAGTTTATCTGATTACAGCTTTGTTTTAATGCATGATTATTATTATATAAACATAGTTAAGTGTGGACAGTACTCTGAAGTAAATTATTAAAAAATAATAAACTGACAGATTGTTATATTGAATTAATTCAGTAAATCCATCAAACCCATGCCCAATGTGTAGGCATGTTTTTCCAGTAGGAAAGCAACTGTTTGAAAGCTGAAATTATCACAATCTTCTCTGATCTATATAACATGAAACATTTTTATTCTAAATTGATGTGAAAACTTTGGATTAAAAAAAGCTTAAAATGCTTATTCCTCAATTTATTCTGATTTCCAAATTTCCTTTTTATAACTTAATAGTTTGTCCTAACTCTACATTTGGGATACATCTATTTTTTTCCCCCAAAGAAGATTATTTTTTTCTTTTTTACTCAAAAATCACCTTTGTTTTATTCTCAACATTTGCTCCTATTTCTTCAGGAAAAAAAATATAGATTTTTAAAATAAAGATTAATTATAATTATCAATTTTCTCAAGTAAATCAAGTGTATTAACTAAAACTTCTAGGTTTAGTTAGTGTGTGCGTGTGTACCCTTTTCAGTTTATCCTCTTCATGATCAAAATCAAAACTTTTTGTTCTTTTAATGATGAATAGGATAGAGGATGGAGAACACAGGCTTTATCTTTAGCTTCTAATATCCAGTAAACTTTAAGTACATTATTATAAATCTTTTAGCAGGGAAAGGAAAACTTTTGCTTATGATGACTTAATGCAAGATATTAGACCAGAGAAATGAAGGGCAGAAGTGGGGAGAGTTTAGGGAATGGAAAATTATTTAAAAATATGCCTTGCTTATTATGTTGGAAGAGTTCATTCTCTTTCTCTCACACTGTTTCTCTATCTCTACCTCGATAAACTGGTGCTATTTCTTCTGAGATTTCATGGGTTTTGCTTTGTTTTGTTTTTTAGGATCAAAACAAAATATCCTATCAGTTTCCAGGTAGACAAACGATATGGATTATTTTCTGCTAAAGGCCATTTAATAATTTGACTATGGTTTCTGGAAAATAGAACCAGAAATCAGGAACACTGAAGAAATGGATTATATTCTCTCAAATCCAGTAAATGTTAGTACAGAAGCAACATCTATTTTCCTTTAAGTGTTTCTGATAAAGGGAAATTTTTCATGATAATGACTTTATTTATTTCTCTTAGGAAAAATTGTAGGTACAATATAATGACATTTGATACAAACTGATTTTTAAATGTAAAGCAGAGAAATAGTCTTTTTGAAAGATATAATGATTTCTTTGGGATACACTTCCAAATTTATTTGAGGTTATTATTTCCTTTTATCTTTGTTTTTTGTTGTTGTTTTTTACATTTTCACTCTTCTTTAATCTAAATCTATTTATATATTTGGCCACTAATTTGAGCCTTCTATTTTCTTATTTATCATGTACCTGTTTAACATTAAACAAGAATTTTCTCCTAAAGATTTCAATGGTGTTTAGACCTGGTTGAAAATTATATCAAAGAATTTAGTCTAATTCAAAGCCCCTAAATATATATTCATTAGCCCTAAGAAAAAAAAAAAAAAACCTTTAGAAGTACATTTTCGAAGGTAAAATTAGTGCAATTTAGTGGAATCAGCAATTCACAAGTTTTCAAATTTAACTCTTTTGTGACCATCTAACTTAGTGATTGTCTCAGATTTTTTATGAAAATTAGAATAAAAAGCATAGATGGCACCATGAAATCTTTAATATAGTGTTAGAACCAGTGTTTCTCTGAATTTCTCCCTTTTCATCCACTTTTTCAAATTACTTTTTTAATACATAAGCAGTTTAGCAAAACAGTCTTCCTAAAATTTTTAAAAACATTACAAATAAAGCTAAACCTTTCGATAATCATTCCCTATCACATCCTACCTCTGCTGCCTCCTTACAATAACTAGTTACACTTCAGTGTACTTCTAAGATTTATCTGTACATTTATATGCATTCATGCATACACAAAAATATAAAGAACTTATATAAGGTTTTTATATTAATATATTCCTATTAAAATTTGATTTTTACTTTTACTCAATGTATTTTGGAGTGCTTGTTATTTAAATATCCAGGGATTTGTCTGAATGTTGAAGGAAGAATTTCTTTTATTGGTAGTCAACTTGTTAAACTTTTTCTTAGTTAATATAAGGATAACACTTAAAGTCTGGTATATATTTAAAGTTGTAACAACTATACTATTAAATATTATTTGTGCATATGTATTAATGTTTCTTTTGAGTACTTACCAAACAAACTTAAAATAATAAGAAATGGAGTAACGGACACGCAATATACTGCCTGATAGGAATGCAAAGTCATAACCTGTTTGAAAAAGTTTGTTAATTTCTCAAAGTTAAATATACATCATATCATTCCTTTCACTTCTAAGAATTTACTCAAGGTAAATGAAAACCTGTTTACTCAAAGACTTGTACATAAAACTTCATAGCAGTTTTATACTTAATAACCAATACTGTAAAGAACCCATTAATTATTAGGTGAGTGAATAAACCAAATGCTATATCCAAACAATGGAATAACTTAGCAATACAAAGGACTAATTTATAAGATGTTAAAACATAGATGAATCCTAAAATTATGTTGTAAGAAGCCAGACAAACTGCATGCTATTTATTACATTTTTATAAAATTCAAACACAAATTAACTTATACTGGTAGAAGCAGATCAGTCATTGCCAGGTAATGAGGTGGAGGAGAGAGAGAACTTATTAACATGAAGACACTTTTTGGGATGGTAGAATTTCCACTATTCTAATTGTGGTGACTTCATGGGCATATGTGTAGGTCAAAATTCAACAAGTTATAAAATACATGCAGTTTAATTTAGCCAATTACACCTCACAGTTACAAAAATAACAAGAGACTACTGTGTATAATATCGTTCCAATAAATGTGAAAACCATGTGAAAAGAACAAATTTCTCAAAATTGATCCTAAAAAGAAAAAGAAAACTTAAATAGACCAATAACCTTAACATAATTGAAACTAACTAAAAATCTACAGTTTCTTAAGTACCAAACTAAATTATTTTTATGTTGCTGCCTTAAAAAAACACGAACTTAGCAACTTAACAACACAAATTTATTATTGGACACTTCTGTAGGTCAGATGAGAATAGGTCTCATGGGGCTAAATCAAGATGTCAGCAAGTCTGTGTGTGTGTGTGTGTGTGTGTGTGTGTGTGTGTGTGTGTGTTTCTGGAGGCTCTAGGAGAAGATCCAATCCTTGCTAATCCAGTTTGTTGGCAGCATTGTTTTTTTACGGTTGTGGGATAGAGGTCCTTATTTGCTTGCTGGCTGTAGCCACAGAGACATCCCTACCTTCCAGGTGCTGCTCACATTTGCTGTCCACATTCCTTGGCTTTTGAATTTTAAAAGTCAGAAAATGTCAGTCAAGTCATATTCAGTCTTCTACTTTGCTGCTTCCAAGTTTTAGCAATTATGAATAAAGCTGCTATAAACATTAATGTACCTGTAATTTGGGTACATACTAAGGAGTGTGACAGCTGGATTCTGTGTTAAAAGAATGGTTTTGTAAGAAATTGCCAACTTGTCTTCCAAAGTGAATGTATCATTTTGCATTCCTTCCAGCAATGAGGAGACATCTCACAAATTTGGAGGGAGGGAGGAAAGGGTTATTTATTTTAATTTTCAATAAATTCATGTGGGTAACAAATCCTAAATGATACCATTTTTATAAGGTTATAACTTGTTTATCCAAGGCATTGTTTTCTATAGATACTGGTCACTTAAAAATGAGAAAATACTATTATTGGTGGCTGGGTATGGAGTAATTTAGAAAGACAAAATCGTCTAGACAGAAATATATAAACTTTTTAAACTGCTCATGAGTGATAACTAATGTAAATTTGATCATAAATACTTTGTTCTCAGATGAAGTCATTACTTTACATATAAAACATTTTTATGGTTATAATTAGATAGCTTTTTGTTTAGCTCGTAACTATTTCAAATGAAAAAATTATTTTTAATTCTTATTTAAAACTGACTGCCTTTGATGATAGGTAAATTATACATGGGTTTATTTGCTTCACAGTGAGAAAATTAAAATATTCTTGCTCTCTAGCTTAAGTCAAAAAGAAGAGTTAGCCATAATACATTGTGCATTTCAACAGTTTTAGAAGTAGGAAATCATCTGTGAAGTGTACTATATTGGTGTAGTGAACTAATACTATTTTTTAAATAATGATTATTTAAAAAGTGACCCTTGACTACTGAATTTATGTCCCTTTTTTAGAGAATCCACAAGTTTCCTCCTTTTTTCTAGTAAATTATCCATTCCTTGTGAATGTTCTGTTTTTGTTGACTGAACCAAACAATTGTCTGCATCTCTCTTGAGACACAAGGTTTTTGCACATACAGAAGCCATTAAGATTTGTTCTATAGAATCAGATACCTTAGATTCAAATATTGGTTTAATAACACACGTTAAGAAAATTACTACCAAAACTTTACTAAGCTTCATGCCCCTCAGCTGTAAAATGTGAACACTTAGCTTGTAGTTTTCTCATGGCTGAAGATTGGCTTGGAGCACCTATCTTGCTCAGTGGCACAATAGGGATATATAAATGCTGACTGCTCTTACTATAATTATGGAAGTGACACATAGCACATAGTTGAATGAATGAATAAAGGAACATATGGAAAGAAGCAGAAACAGATATTATTGCAATGATATCTTTATATTTAAACAAAAACACTCTACTAAAAGATTTTCTTTGATCTTCCATTTTCCAAAGGAAATGAATCAACAGAGCTGGTAGTTTTCATCTTATGGAAAATACCCTTGCTATGACTTCATCAATTTTACTCAAATTTTTCACTATGTACTCTTTTTAAAGTGAACTCCCTTGTGCATATTTGCTGGTACTTCCTTCACACATTGGAACATTTGAGCCAACATTTGAATCAACTCAGAAAAACTCTGCCCACATAAAATATCAATGTAAACTGTATTAAAGTGCAATTTAGTTGCTGAATTGGGCATGTAAAATATACCCTCATATCCCACATAAAAGTTTTGAAGATGTTGACCATCTTCTTTGATGGCAAGAAACCCTCTGTCAGTCACCCATACCACGTCTCAAACCTCATTTGCAGTGTGGAAAATAAGTTCCAATTGTGCCATACTCCAAATTTCCTATCCTTTGAGGGCCCTGGCAAAATAGATTTTATCATTTGCTATTCATGTGATAATACTTCCATGATTTCATTGAAGTTACCTCATAAAATATAATGATAAACAGAAGGTTACTCTTTTTTTCTAGTGGGAATGCTTTATAAAAAGAAGTGTAATTTCCCTTGTGGTTTGGAGTACCATATGGCTTTTTCCCACTGGCTTTAGACTTTTTTTAAAAAGGACAATAAAGATTAGACTTATCCTTTAAGGTTTAAGAGACCCCAAAATTTATCTCAGCTTTCATCATCAGGCCACAACACATAGCTAATATATTATGCCCACTCCGAAGGAAGCTGAGATAAAATGGCAGTGTTAACAGGTTCTGAGAGCTGTCATGAGCATTAAATCAGGTGTGGGTTGTTCAATAGCAGATTTTTTTTCTTTAAATAGATTTTTCAACTGTAATAGATTGAGCTATTTATATAACATTTGTAAATGCACACTTATATGACTATATTTTCAAACGCCACAAAATGCCTGATCAAAGCCACCCCAGTTTGGCTATCAATGTAAGTGGAATGTACTGGCTTTTCTAGTGCATCTGATTCAAGCTCAAAAGAAGTATTTATCTTACTGCTTTTAAAACAGGGTTTGACAAGAGCATCCCACACCCCTATTAGGCCAGAATTTCTAAATAAACTTAAAAAAAAATCTGCCTTGATTTGTGACAACACATTTTACCTTAGCCACATGTATATATTTTAAAAGTTAGTTGAATTATTTACCACTAAAACCTGAGTTAGCTAAACCAGGAGGCCTTCAAGTATTTACTCTTTTTTTTTTTTTTTTTTTTTTTTTTTTTTTTGAGATGGAGTCTCACTCTGTCGCCCAGGCTGGAGTGCAGTGGCCTGATCTCAGCTCACTGCAAGCTCCGCCTCCCTGGTTCACGCCATCCTCCTGCCTCAGCCTCCCAAGTAGCTGGGACTACAGGCACCCGCCACCACGCCTGGCTAATTTTTTTGTATTTTTAGCAGAGATGGGGTTTCACCGTGTTAGCCAGGACAGTCTTGATCTCCTGACCTCGTGATCCACCCACCTCGGCCTCCCGAAGTGTTGGGATTACAGGTGTGAGCCACTGTGCCCGGCCCAAGCATTTACTCTTAATGTACCATTCTCATGTTGGGAAGGAAAGCTAAGTTGCAGCACTTTATTTCATATGTCGTATTTCTACTATTCTCTGCCCAACCCTGACTCATTGTGGGTCATTAGACTCATTTCTCTGCTTTCTCACAAAATTCTGTATGCTCCTTGACATCTAATATAAGACTATGGTTCTTTGACTCTTCAATCCATGTTATATTATCTAATTATCACCTTGGCTCTTCTTTGGCTCTTAATGGCACTTTTAAATTATTTTCTAAATTTTTTTCTTTTATACTTTCTTAATTGAGATAACACAAAATTTCTATCTTTGCCATTTTTACGTATACAGTTCAGAGATAATATATTTGTATTATTTCATCCCTCCCTCCCCGCTAAGACACCCATTAAGTCTTAAAAGCCACATGAAAGATCTCATTGTGCCATTGTCAAAACTTCGAACTTTTATTGATGGTACTTAAACTGTGCCTCATACCTTCTCTTGGTAGGCTAGTACATTTTGAGACAAAACCTCTACAAATGAGTGCCCAGACATAGGAATTTATATTTTGTCAAAGGCAGAAACTCACCCCGAGCTTTGTGACATCGTTAACAATGTGCAGCAGTACAATGTACATAGCCAAAGTTTAATGAACATTTATTAAATCAATTAGAGTAATATTTATCCTACAAGTTAAGTTTGACTAATTCACAGAAGAAAAAAGTCAAATATTTTACATGTTTTCTATTGAAAATATAGACATACCTATATTCTCTATTGATATTCTTTTTCTTGGGATGAGAAAACAAGAAAAATATCTTATCAGGCTTTCATACTTTCATATTCATGTGGCAAAGACATTCATCTATACCCATTACCTTAGGATAAGGAAAAAGTAACAAAAAAAAAACACCTCATTTTAGAAAACAGCTTTAATTTTCATTGGTTTTACTCCTTAGTTCCAGCGTGACTTCAGAGTATGTTAGAGTCTGAAGAGAAACAGAATATTAGCTTTTTAAACCACTGGAGTATTACGTAATTCAGAGAAAGCGTAATTTTCAAGAAAGCCCTAAGAAAACAGTATACCAGTCTCATAATAACATGTTACTAAAGAGAAGTAAGTTTTGCACTATCACTAAGAAAATGGAAGGCACATTATTTGAGCTCCTCAAGACTAAGTTAAAAAATCAGTACTTTTAAAAATGTTGAATAATTTGGGAACTTAAAGACAAAATAATGTTAACTGATATTGGCTATCTAAAACACTTTAAGTTGTTCATTTTCATCCCAGTAATGATATTTATTAATGATTGGAATTGACTTTATTTGGTGAGCAAATATTAAATGAGCTATCAGTAATGGTCCTACTGATTTAAGTCTGAGCTTAAGTTACACAATTATGGTAAGCTAAAAATGCCACATATATGTATGTGTATTTGTATATATAGATATATACAAATATATGTAAGATTTACCAAATTTATTTTCTGTAATTTAGTTAAGAACCACCCTAAGACATTACAATATGTGAATAACTTAATCTTCTGTTTTTAAACTTTAACATTCAAAGACATTTTTATTCCAATATTTAATAATCCATTTTCAATTCATTAATTATCTATGTGAAGTGTTGAACAATGCTTGTCACAGTGGAGGCACTCAGTAAAATGTATGTATATGTAACCAAAATGTAGGTTTAGCCACACACAGCTTGCAGAGGACAATTAACAAGAGTGGGGTGTGGTATGAACACAATGAGTTTATTCCAAAGCTAGCTGAAGTACAGGCCTGTTTACTTAAGGATACCTCTTTGCTTTTGAAGCAGAAAACAGGTGGCTTTAAAAGGGGGGAACTAGCATGAATGGCATGCAGAAGAGGAAGAAAGCAGGTGTAGGGGTCTGCATACTGGCTTCTGTACCTTACCTACCGAGCAGTTGAGTTGGCATCTTCATGGGCAGAGCTAGGTTGTAAAGGTGCCCATAACTCTCCAGGGGGAAAGAGTTTAGCAAAGAGCACATGTTGGTTTGTAAATGGACTGTTGGCCCTTAAGGTAGTCTCCTGGTTGGAGAGTTCCACTCTGAAGCTTTTAAGCACATAGTTAGATGAACTTGTCCTGTAGGGAGCACCTGGAGAGGGGGAGATAAAAGGCAATAATTGCCTTTCTAAATGGCTAAATAGGAAGTGAAAAATAGGGGGAAATGGAGAAAAGATTAAAAAAAATACTATCTTTTGCTTGGGAATATGGGGGTAATTGATTATAAATATATAAACGCTATAAAAGTATATAGAGAGTACAAAAGAGTGGTCAAATTTAGGCATCAACAAAGACTCCCTCAATGTGTTTATTTTGTGACTTATAAAATGAAAACCTATGCTGTTAGAAATTAAAAGATGGTCAAATAGACAAATGGCTGAGAGTCCAATATATCAATCAAAATACTTTGGCACCAAGAAGGGCAGCATATAAACACCAAAGAATTAAAGACCAGTGTCAGACCTATGGCAATATGACATAGGAGCTTAGAGCAGAAGTTAAGAGACAAAATGTCTCTTAGAGCCCTGGGTTTGCCATTTACCCTGATGGCAAATTTATTCAACATCCTTGTGCTTCAGTTTCCCATATGTAAAATGCTTTTTTAAAAATTTAAGTTCTGGGATACATGGGCAGAACATGCAGGTTTGTTACATGGGTATACATATGGCATGGTGGTTTGCTGCACCTAGCAACCTGTCATCCAGGTTTTAAGCCCCGCATGTATTAGGTATTTGTCCTAATGCTCTCCCTCCCCTTGTCCCCCACACCCGACAGGCCCCGGTGTGTGATGTTCCCCTCCCTGTGTCCATGTATTCTCATTGTTCAACTCTCACTTGTGAGTAAGAACATGCAGTGTTTGGTTTTCTGTTCCTGTGTTAGTTTGCTGAGAATGATGGTTTCCAGCTTCATCCATGTCCCTGCAAAGGACATGAACTCATTCTTTTTTATGACTACATAGTATTCCATGGTGTATTTGTGTCACATTTTCTCTGTCCAGTCTGTCATTGATGGGCATTTGGGTTGGTTCCAAGTCTTTGCTATTGTGAATAGTATTGCAATAAACATACATGTGCATGTGTCTTTATAGTAGAATGATTTATAATCCTTTGGGTATATACCCAGTAATGGGATTGCTGGGTTAAATGGTATTTCTGGTTCTAGATCTTTGAGGAATTGCCACACTGTCTCCACAATGGTTGAACTAATTTACACTCCCACCAACAGTGTAAAGGTGTTTCTATTTCTCTTCATCCTCTCCAGCATCTGTTGTTTCCTGACTTTTTAATAATCGCCATTCTAACTGGTGTGAGATGGTTTCTTGTGGTTTTGATTTGCATTTCCCTAATGACCAGTGAGCTTTTTTACATATGTTTATTGGCCACATGAATGCCATTTGAGAAGTGTCTGTTCATATACTTCGCCCACTGTTTGATAGGGTTTTTTTTTTTTCTTCTAAACTTGTTTAAATTCCTTGTAGATTCTGGATGTTAGACCTTTGTCAGATGGATGGATTGCAAAACTTTTCTCCCATTCTGTAGGTTGCCTGTTCACTCTGATGGTAGTTTCTTTTGCTGTGCAGAAGCTCTTTAGTTTAATTAGATCTCATTTGTCAATTTTGGCTTTTGTTCCCATTGCTTTTGGTGTTTTAGTCATGAAGTCTTTGCCCATGCCTGTGTCCTGAATAGTATTGCCTAGGTTTTCTTCTATGGTTTTTATCATCTTAGGTTTTACATTTACGTCTTCAATCCATCTTGAGTTAATTTTTGTATAAGGTGTAAGGAAGGGATCGAGTTTCAGTTTTCTAAATATGGCTATCCACTTATCCCAGCACTATTAAATATGGAATCCTTTTCCAATTGCTTTAGAATAAATGCTATGTGACGCAGAGAAGAATGTATATTCTGATGATTTGGGGTGGAGAGTTCTGTAGATGTCTATTAGTTACACTTGGTCCAGAACCGAGTTAAGTCCTGCATATCCTTGTTAAGTTTCTGTCTCATTGATCTAATATTGACAGTGGGGTGTTAAAGTCTCCCACTATTATTGTGTGGGAGTCAACATCTTCTTGTAGGTCTCTAAGAACTTTTTTTATGAATCTGGGTGCTCCTGTACTAGATGCATATATATTTAGGATAGTTAGCTCTTCTTGTTGCATTGATCCCTTTACCATTATGTAATGCCCTTCTTTGTCTTTGATATTTGTTGGCTTAAAGTCTGTTTTATCAGAGACTACAAGTGCAACCCGTGTTTTTTTTTTTTTGCTTTCCCTCTGCTTGGTAAATATTCCTACATCTCTTTATTTTGAGCCTTTGTGTCTTTGCACGTGAGACGGGTCTCCTGAATACAGCACACCAATGTGTCTTGACTCTTTATCCAATGTGCCAGTCTGTGTCTTTTAATTGGGCCATCCAAACCATTTACACGTAAGGTTAATATTGTTAAGTGTGAATTTTATCCTGTTATCATGATGCTAGCTGGTTATTCCAGAGAGGCAGTCTGACCACAGCCACATTGCCACACTGAGGTGAGTTCCACCCAGTCAGAACTTTGGGTTGGCTTCTTTAATACTGTGAGGGGAAAACTGCCTACTCAAGCCTGAGTAATGGTGGATGCCCCTCCCCGCACCAAGCTGGATCTTCCCAGGTCAATTTCAGACTGCTGTGCTAGGATTGAGAATTTCAAGCCAGTGGCTCTTAGCTTGCTGGGCTCCATGGGAGTGGGATCTGCTGGCCCAGACCACTTGTCTCCCTGGCTTCAGCCCTTTTTCCAAGGGAGTAAATGGTTCTGTCTTTCTGGGGTTCCAGGTGCCACTGGAGTATGGGCGGGGGGTGGGGGGGGAGGAAAAAACAACAACAACAACAAACTACACTTAGTTTGGTGTCTGTCCAAACAGCCGTCCAGTTTTGTGGTTGAAACCCAGGGCCCTGGTGGTGTAGGCACATGAGGGAATTTCCTGGTCTGCAGGTTGCAAAAACGTTGGGAAAAGCATACTATCATACTATCTGGGCTGGATAGCACAGTCCCTCATGGCTTCCCTTGGCTAGCAGAGGGAGGTCCCCAGCCCTTTCCAATTCCCAGGTGAGGCGATGCCCCACCCTCTTCTGTTTGCCCTCCATGGGCAGCAGCACCACTGTCTAACCAGTCTCAGTGAGATAAACCAGGTACCTCAATTGGAAATGCAGAAACCACGTGCCTTCTGCTTTGGTCTCACTGGGAGCTGCAGACCAGAGCTATTCCCACTCAGCCATCTTGCCAGATCCCATAAAATATTTTTTTAAAAAGTTAAATAGTCTTATATGTAATTACACATGAGTAATTGGTTAATCACAGGCTGTTATTGGAAAGAACTGCCACCTTTGGGACACAGAAGAGAAAGATATACTAAGGCACCAGAAAAACAATTCAATCTTTTAGTGAGGCAATTTTATTTGTATATTGAGTTGTATAGAGTGCTTATTTTTCTTTTTATTAAAAATAAACCACATTTGATTTAAATATAATACAAGGTTTTCAGGATAGTTGCCCGTTCTTCATAGCTTTAAGTATTTATTTTTTGGAAAAGATAAAAACTTGCAACATTGGCCACATTCTGGCGAGACACCAATTCTCAGTACAAAGGAACTGGCAGTCAAATAAGATCAAATCTGTGTAATAAATATTTAGTTAATTTATCTGACTGATTTTACTAAAAAGCATATCTAGATGGGATTTTTAATAGTATTATTTGTGGGTTTGTTTCTTTCTGAAGTCTTAGATTAATATATTATTTTAAACCAAGATGAACTAAATTTAATATAAGCAAATGCAGGAAAATTTTTGTATTTGGAAATTTCAGTTGTACTCCAAAACTAAAATCAATAGTTATGAAATGAATGCATACAGTGGCAAGAAACTGTCGGAATCTCTCATGTAGGATTACTAAAAAGTGGCCAATCTAGGCCCTCACACATCACCCTATCAATTGCCTACTTTCAGCCTGTATAAAGAAGAGACTAAGCAAGAGAGCTTCCAAATAAAAACAGCCAAAGAGTGTTGTGTTAATCATGTGTTTATAGACACTGGCAGCAACAAGACTCTAAAGTCACAGTTCACCTACAGCCAAGGGCTTATAGCATACATTGTCAGAACTCCAGGAAACTTGTCAGTTTCAGAAGCATGTGGACTGATAGACTGGAGGCAGGCCACGGTGGAATAAGGACAGGCGTAGGGATAATTTTAGACAAATGAGGAAAGACGTTGAAATAATTAACTCTAGAGATGGAGGCAGGTTCAGAATTAGCAGATAGCAATGTCCATACCATCTGGGTTTCCATCAAGAGCAGCTGTGAAAGGAAAAATAGGGAAATATAGTTCTTCCAATAGAGAAAGTCCTTAAGTGGCTTCTTAATTTCCCTCCCAGTACCATAGATTACAGCTTTATTTTTTATTTAATCTGTCCCAAAATTTACTCAGGAAGAATCCCATATCCAGCAGTAGCAGGCTAGATTTTTTGCAACCAAAACTCAGAATTCAATAAACTGATTAATTTTTAAAAATCTTTGTAAGTCTCAGGAAAGTACCAACACGGTGAGAATACATTGGGCTGAGAAGAGAAGCTGGGAGAGGTCAACTCAAAATTTTTGCCTACTTTTTGCTCTACAGCAAGTGTTGATTCTAAAAGTACAACTAGTGGCAGAAAATATAATCTAAGTAGAGTTTTAATGATCTCATAGGACTGGGCAGAAAAGTTAGGGGTCTGAGAAGCATGGGCCTCTGGTTTAAAAAAATAAAAAAATAAAAAACTGTAGGCTTCTGATGGGAGCCCCAAAGCACTCCAATCCAGGAATGAGAGTGAAGCAGAAATAAGCTAGTAGTTACAAGGAATAGAGTCAGTATTTTAACCATCTCAGTCCGTAATTGGACTGAGGATAATTTAGCCCCAGAAAAGTTTCAGGCCACAAGCAAAAGTCAATCTTCTCTAAGAAAACAATATAATTGATCAGTCTTCCCAGCAAGTTATACATCTTATTAGTCTATTCTTTCTTTTGAGAGTTTGGTTCTTTTTCACAGATTGCTGCCTTTAGTTTTATTTTGTTTCTTTCACTTTGTTTTCTTTGTTTAATTTGCTAAGATTTCTTTTCTTGACTTCTTGGGATGAATGTTTAGATCACTGATTCTTAGTCTTTCTTTTCTCATATAATGCTAAAAATTTTCCTTGAAGTATAGTTTAAGTTTACATTTTCTGAGTGAAAATTTGAGTTCACTATTTTTGTATATGTCTATCAAATCATCTTTACTAATTATATAAGCCTAAGTCTTTATGATTTTTTCTTATTTGATACTTGATCTGGCCAAGTGTGGAGAAAAAAATTCCTCCAAAATTTCTCTATACCTGTTTCTTTTGTATGTCATATAGTTTTTGTTTTACATGTTTTGCTGTGGAATTACTGTTGTCAAAACTTAACAGCTATATTGTCATTGTACACTTTCTTTATACTCATGATAAAATGACCCTTTTTGTTTCAATGAAGGTTTGTGTCTTCAACTATTTTAATATATCACAACTGCTACTTTCTAGTATTAAAGCGTTTGCTTGGTATATTGGTCAAGGCTCCTGCATTTTACAAGTCCCCAATAAGTTTAACTGGTATAAGAATAAAAGGAAATTCATTGTCTCAAAGAACTGGTGTTAACACAGGATCGAAGAAGCAGCTATAAAAATGTTGCCTTGGTGACCAAATTAAGATTCAATTTAGCCAGTATTTCTTTATATCCAACTTCAGTTATTCCTTAGCCCTACTTGGACTTATTTTCTTTGAATTTCAGCAGTTCTTCCTATGTGACAAGTAATATAGCAGACCCACAATCATATCTTTTCAGCATGGAGTGCAGAGGCAAACTCTCAAAATCTAGACTGATATTGAAAGGGAAGAGCTCTCCTGGGCTGCCTTATATCAAATAAACCAACCCCTCAGGTCTGAGCATTTAGGATTGCTGATGGAGAGAAGGATATATGAAAGTTTGCTTAGAAGTTAAAGATAATAAATACAACAGTCCATATGCCTAATTTCCAGACCAGGAAATTCCCTCATTTGCCTACACCACCAGGGCCCTGGGTTTCAAGCACAAAACTGGGTGGCTGTTTGGACAGACACCAAACTAACTGATATGCCATTATATTTTTCTCAAACTCTTTGATTCCTTTGGTTTAAGGTATGTCTCTTAAAGATAGCATATACATAGTTTTGTTTATGTAATCCAATTGAAAAGTCTGTTTTTTCTCTTCTAGGAGGTAACTGTATCTCATTCACATTTTCACTTTAAGAAGGCGTGTTTACCTTTATTCTGTCTTGTGATTTTGTAAAATTGCATGTATAATACTTTTGAGCTTTTTTTGCTGTTTTTCCTTTATCTTTTCCATATTTTTCATTTTCTACTTTTTGTTCTCCCTCTTATTCTTGCCATGGAAAAGTAAATAGTATAGGCTCCTATTTAGCTCTTATAGTGAATAAATTTCTATCTTTAATATGCTTGAGTCTATATTTCTCAGTTCATCAATTTCAGAAACAAGTCTTTTTTGCTGCCTCCTATAAAAGACAAATTATCAAGCTCATCCTACCTTCTCTTTCATCCCCACATTTATTTTTCAATTGATTTTTGTGTTCCATTAAAACAAAAGTGCCTTAAGAACAGAGATAATTCGAAATTGTATTTTCAGTTCCTAGAATAATTTCTGAAGAAGAATAAATGTTAAGTAACAATGCTTCATAACTGCAAACAAGAACAGGAAGGAAATACATCATACTGATAATAATTACTTCCTCCAGGAAGAGGGAGACACTTGGCAAGTAGGGTAGAGAAAAAATAAGATTTTAGTTTGCCTATAAATTTAATTTGTATAACACAGCTAATTAAAAATCAAAGAATTAAAACTTACCACATGTTTATTATTAATTTTATTTGCATAGAATTTACATTATTTTGTGCTTTCTCTGAGGATATATATAAATGTGAGATTCCCTGACAATTTTTTGTTAAATGTAATTTTTAAAAAGTTAGTTTTAAGTTCACAAAAAGTAAGGGAAAGATAGAGATTTTCTATATACACTCTCCCCCTACACAACTATAATATTCCCTATTATCAACATCCCTTACCAGAGTGGTACATTTGTTATAACAGATAAACCTACATTGACAAATCATAATCTGCCAAAGTCTATAGTTTACATTAGGATTCACTTTTGGTTTTGCACATTCACTGGGTTTGGAAAAGTATATAATGACACATATCTAATACTATAGTATCATACAGGATATTTTTACTGCCTTAAAAATCCTCCGTACTCCACCTATTTGTCATAACACACCACCCCCCCAACCTCTAAGAAAATCTTTTCATTGCCTCTTTTTACTGTCTCTCTTGTTTCCCATTTTTCATACAGTTGGAATCATAAGTAGATAGGCTTGGTGGAAACCACCACAGTGTGGCGAAGCTGCTGTAGCTAGACTGCCTTTCTAGCTTCCACTTCTCTGGGCAGGGCATCTCTGAAAGAAATGCAGCAGCCCCAGTCAGGGGCTTATAGATAAAACTCCCATCTCCCTAGGACAGAACACCTGGGGGGAAGGGGTGGCTGTGGGTACAGCTTCAGCAGACTTAAACAAGTTCCTGCCTACCAGCTCTGAAGAGAGCAGCAGATCTTTCAGTACAGTGCTCGAGCTCTGCTAATGGACAGACTGCCTCCTCAAGTGGGTCCCTGACCCCGGTGCCTCCTAACTGGGAGATACGTCCCAGCAGGGGTTGACAGACACCTCATATGACAGAGCACCATCTGGCATCTGGCAAGTGCCCCTATGGGATGAAGCCTCCAGAGGAAGGAGCAGGCAGCAATCTTTGCTATTCTTCAGCCTCCACTGGTGATACCCAGGCAAACAGAGTCTGGAGTGGACCTCCAGCTAACTCCAGCAGACCTGAAGAAGAGGGGCCTGACTGTTAGAAGGAAAACCAGCAAACAGAAAACAATAACATCAACATCAACAAAAAGGATGACCATGAAAAAAACCCATACAAAGATCATTGGCATCAAAGATCAAAGGTAGATAAATCAATGAAGATGAAGAAAAACCAGCACAAAAATGCTGAGAATTCCAAAAACCAGAATACCTCTTCTCCACCAAAGGATCACAACTCCTCACCAGCAAGGGAACAAAACTGGATGGAGAATGAGTTTGACAAATTGACAGAAGTAGGCTTCAGAAGGCGGGTAATAAAAACTCCTCTGAGCTAAAGGAGCATGTTCTAACCCAATGCGAGGAAGCCAAGAACCTTAATAAAATGTTACAGGAACTTATAACTAGAATAACCAGTTTAGAAAAGAACATAAATGACCAGATGGAGCCGTAAAACACAACACAAGAACTTCGTGATGCATATATAAGTATCAATAGACAAATCGATGAAGTGGAAGAAAGGATATTAGAGATTGAAGATGAACTTAATGAAATTGTGAAGGTGAGAGAAAAAAGAACGAAAAGAAACAAACAAAACCTCCAAGAAATACGGGACTATGTGGAATGACAAACCTACATTTGATTGGTGTATCTGACAGTGATGGGGAGAATAGAATTAAGTTGAAAAACACAATTTAGTATATTATCCAGGAGAACTTCCCCAATCTAGCAAGACTGGCCAACATTCAAATTCAGGAAATACAGAGAACACCATAAAGATACTCCTCAAGATGAGCAACCCCAAGACACATAATTGTCAGATTCACCAAGGTTGAAATGAAGGAAAAAATGTTAAGGGCAGCCAGAGAGAAAGATCAGGTTACCCACAAAGGGAAGCTCATCAGACTAACAGCATATTTCTCTGCAGAAAACCCTACAAGCCAGAAGAGAGTGGAGGCCAATATACAACATTCTTAAAAGAATTTTCAACCCAGAATTTCATATACAGCAAAACTAAGCTTCATAATGAAGGATAAATAAAATTCTTGACAGACAAACACATTCTGAGGGAATTTGTAACCACCAGGCCTGCCTTACAACCACAATGAGATACCATCTCACACCAGTTAGAATGGCCATCATTAAAAAGTCAGGAAACAACAGGTGCTGGAGCGCATGTGGAGAAATAGGAACACTTTTACACTGTTGGTGGGACTGTAAACTAGTTCAACCATTGTGGAAGTCAGTGTGGCGATTCCTCAGGGATCTAGAACTAGAAATACCATTTGACCCAGCCATCCCATTACTGGGTATATACCCAAAGGATTATAAATCATGCTGCTATAAAGACACATGCACACGTATGTTTATTGTGGCACTATTCACAATAGCAAAGACTTGGAACCAACCCAAATGTCCAACAATGATAGACTGGATTAAGAAAATGTGGCATATATACACCATGGAATACTATGCAGCCATAAAAAATGATGAGTTCCTGTCCTTTGTAGGGACATGGATGAAATTGGAAATCAGCATTTTCAGTAAACTATCGCAAGGACAAAAAACCAAACACCGCATGTTCTTACTCATAGATGGGAATTGAACAATGAGAACACATGGACACAGGAAGGGGAACATCACACTCTGGGGACTGTTGTGGGGTGAGGGGAGGGGGGAGGGATAGCATTAGGAGATATACCTAATGCTAAATGACGAGTTAATGGGTGCAGCACACCAGCATGGCACATGTATACATATGTAACTAACCTGCACATTGTGCACATGTACCCTAAAACTTAAAGTATAATAATAATAAAAAAAAACAAGAGCTCCTGAAGGAAGTACTAAATATGGAAGGGAAAAACTGGTACCAGCAACTTCAAAAAAAAAAATACCAAAATGTGAAGACCATTGACACTATGAAGAAACTGCATCAACTAATATGCAAAATAACAGCTAGCATCATGACAGGATCAAATTCACATATAAAAATATTAACCTTAAATATAAATGGGTTAAATCACCCAATTAAAAGACACAGACTGACAAATTGAATAGACTCAAGACGTATCACTGTGCTGTATTCAGGAGACCCATCTCATGTGCAAAGACACACATAGGCTCAGAATAAATGGAAGAATATTTACCAAGCAAATGAAAGCCAACTAAAATGGGTTGCAATTCTAGTCTCCGATAAAACACACTTTAAACCAACAAATATATAAAAAAAAAGGTCATTACATAATGGTAAAAGGATCAATGCAACAAGAAGAACTATTTTAAATATATATGCACTAAATACAGGAGCACACAGATTCATAAAGCACGTTCTTAGAGACCTACAAAGAGACTTAGACTCCCACACAATAATAGTGAGAAGCTTTAATACCCCGCTGTCAATATTAGACAGATCAACGAGACGGAAAATTAACAAGGATATGCAGGACTTGAACTCAGCTCTGGACCAAGTGGACCTAATAGACATCTACAGAACTCTCCACCCCAAATCAACAGAATATACATTCTTCTCAGCATCACATAGTACTTATTCTAAAATCATCCACATAGTTGGAAGTAAAACATACAACAAATACAAAAGAACAGAAATCATAAACAGTCTCTCAGACCACAGGGCAATCACATTAAAACTCAGGATTAAGTACTTAAAACCACACAACTACATGGAAACTGAACAACCTACTCCTGTATGATTACTGGGTAAATAATGACATGAAGGCAGAAATGAAGAAGTTATTTCAAACCAATAAGAACAAAGACACAACGTACAAGAATCTCTGGGAGAGACATAAAGCAGTGTCTATGTCTATTCCATCTAATGGAAATTCATAGCACTAAATGCCCACATGAGAAGGTGGGGAAAAAGCTAAATTCGACACCCTAACATCACACTTAAAAGAACTAGAGAAGCAAGAGAAAACAAATTCAAAAGCTAGCAGAAGACAAGAAATAATTAAGATCAGAGCAGAAATGAGGTAGATAGAGACACAAAAAACCCTTCAAAAAATCAATGAATCCAGGAGCTGGTTTTTTTTTTTTTTTGAAAAGATTTACAAAAATAGACTACTAGACAAACTAATAAAGAAGAAAAGAGAGAAGAATCAAATAGACACAATAAAAAATGATAAAGAAGATATCACCACTGATCCCACAGAAATACAAACTATCATTAGAGAATCCTATGAACACCTCTCTGCAAATTAACTAGAAAACCTAGAAGAAATGGATAAGTTCCTAGACACATACACCTTGCCAAGACTAAGCCAGCAAGAAGTCAAATCCCTGAATAGATCAATAACAAGTTCTGAAATTGAGACAGTAATTAATATCCTACCAACCAAAAAAAGCCCAGGACCAGATGGATTCACAGCTGAATTCTGCTAGACATTCCTGGTACCATTCCTTCTGAACTATTCCAAACAATAGAAAAAAGAGGGACACTTTCCTAACTCATTTTATGAGGCCAGCATCATCCTGATACCAAAACCTGGCAGAGATACAACAAAAAAGAAAACTACAGGCCAGTATCCCTGATGAATATTGATGCAAAAATCCTCAATAAAGTACTGGCAAGCCAAATCAGCGGCACGTCAAAAACCTTATCCACCACTGTCAATTCTCGGCTTCATCCCTTGGATGCCAGACTGGTTCAACATATGTAAATCAATAAACATACTCCATCACATAAACAGAACCAATGACAAAAACCACATAATTTTATCAATAGGTGCAGAAAAGGCCTGCGATAAAATTTAACAACACTTCATGCTAAAAACACAATCAACTGGGTATTGATGGAACATATCTCAAAATAAGAGCTATTTAAGACAAACGCATAGCCAATATCTACTAAATGGGCAAAAGTTGGAAGCATTCCCTTTGAAAACTGGCACAAGAGAAAGATGCTGTCTCTCTTACCCCTGCTAATCAACATAGTATTGGAAGTTCTTGCCAGGGCAATCAGGCAAGAGAAAGAAATAAGTGTATTCAAGAAGAAGAGTAGAAGTTGAATTTTCTGTTTGCAGATGACATGATTATATACTTAGAAAACCCCATCATCTCAGAACAAAAACTCCTTAAGCTGATAAGCAACTTCAACAAAGTCCCAGGATACAAAATCAATGTGTAAAAGTCACAAGCATTCTGATACACCAATAATAGATGAGAGAGCCAAATCATGAGTGAATTTTCATTCACAATTTCTACAAAGAGTAAAACACCTAGGAATACAACTACAAAGGAGGTCAAGGACCTCCTCAAGAGAACTACAAACCCAACTGCCCAAGGAAATAAGAGAGGATACAAACAAATGGGAAGACATTCTATGCTCACGGATAGGAAGAATCAATGTCTTGAAAATGGCCATACTATCCAAAGTAATTTATATATTCAATGCTATTCCCATCAAGCTACCATTGATTTTCTTCACAGAATTAGAAAAACTACTTTAAATTTCATATGGAACCAAAAAGCCTGTATAGCCAAGACAATCCTAATCAAAAACAACAAAGCTGGAGGCATCACGCCATGTGACTTCAAACTATACTACAAGGCTATGGTAATCAAAACAGCATGGTACTGGTACCAAGACAGATATGTAGAACAATGGAACAGAACAGAGCCCTCAGAAAAAACACCACACATCTGTAACCATCTGATCTTTGACAAACCTGACACAAACAATGGGGAAAGGATTCCCTATTTAATAAATGGTGTTGGAAAACCTGGCTAGTTATGTGCAGAAAACTGAAACTGGACCCCTTCCTTACACCTTATACAAAAATTAACTCAAGATGGATTAAAGACTTAAACGTAAGCCTTAAAACCATAAAAACTGTAGAAGAAAAGCTAGGCAATACTATTCAGGACATAGACATGGGCAGAGGCTTCATGACTAAAACACCAAAAGTAATGGCAACGAAAGCCAAAATTGACAAATGGGATTTAATTAAACTAAAGAGTTCCAACACAGCAAAAGAAACTGTCATCAGAGTGAACAGGCAACCTAGAGATTGGGAGAAGATTTTTGCAATCTATCTATCTGACAAAGGGATAATATCGAGAATCTACAAAGAACTTAAATTTACAAGAAAAAAAACCTCATCAAAAGTGGGTGGAGGATATGAACAGACATTTGTCAAAAGAAGACATTTATGTAGCCAAAAAACATGAAAAAAAGCTCATCATCACTGGTCATTAGAGAAATGCAAATCAAAACCACAATGAGATACCATCTCACACCACTTAGAATGGCCATCATTAAAAAGTCAGGAAACAGATGCTGGAGAGAATGTGGAGAAATAGGAACACTTTTACACGTTGGTGGGAGTGTAAAGTAGTTCAACCATTGTGGAAGACAGTGTGGTGATTCCTCAAGGATCTAGAACCAGAAATACCATTTGACCCAGCAGTCCCATTACTGGGTATATACCCAAAGGATTATAAATCATTCTACTATAAAGACACATGCACATGTATGTTTTTTTGTGGCACTATTTACAATAGCAAAGACTTGGAACCAACCCAAATGCCCATCAATGATAGACTGGATAAAGAAAATGTGGCACATATACACCTTGGAACACATGCAGCCATAAAAAAGGATGAGTTCATGTCCTTTGCAGGGACATGGATGCAGCTGGAAACCATCATTCTCAGCAAACTTACACAGGAACAGAAAACCAAACACCACATGTTCTCACTCATAAGTGGGAGTTTAACAATGAGAACACTTGGACACAAGGAGGGGAACATCACACACTGGGACCTGTTGGGGCATGGGGAGCAAGAGGAGGGATAGCATTAGGATAAATACCTAATGTAGATGATGGGTTGATGAGTGCAGCAAACCACCATGGCACATGTATACCTATGTAACAAACCTGCACGTTCTGTACATATATTGCTGAACTTAAAATATAATAAAAAAGTTAAACTTGGGTCAGACCAAGTCTATGCCATATATTTCAGGAGCAAGTTGCCAAGTATCTTTTACTCTCCCTTCTTGCTGACTATACATAGCCTGCCTATACGTGTTGAGCATCTCAAAATCCAAGCATTCCAAATCTGAAATGCTCCAAAATCCAAAACTTTATTTTTTTTATTTTAATTTTTGAGATGGAGTCTCTGTCGCCCAGGCTGAAGTGCAGTGGCATGATCTCGGCTCACTGCAAGCTCTGCTTCCCGGGTTATGCCATTCTCCTGCCTCAGCCTCCTGAGTAGCTGGGAGTACAGGCAACCACCACCAAGCCCTGCTAACTTTTTGTATTTTTAGTAGAGATGGGGTTTCACCGTGTTATTCAGGATGGTCTCGATCTCCTGACCTCATGATTCACCTGCCTTGGCTTCCCAAGTGCTGGGATTCCAGGCATGAGCCACCGCACCCTGCCACAATCCAAAACTTTTTGAGTGCCAACATCATATTCAATGAAATGCTTATTGGAGCATTTTGGATCTCAGAATTTTAGGTTTGTCAAGTAGATAAACTACGTGTGTATATGTGTGTGTGCGTGAGTGTGTGTGAGTGTGTGTGTGTATATATATACATACATATATGATGGAATTCTACTCAGCTATAATAAGGAATGAATTAATGGCATTCACAGCAACCTGGATGGGACTGGAGACTATTATCCTAAGTGAAGTAATTCGGGAATGGAAAACCAAACATTGTATGTTCTCACTCATGAGTGTGAGCTAAGCTATGAGGATGCAAAGACATAAGAATGACACAATGGGCTTTGGGGACTTGGCAGGGAAAGGATGGGACAGGGGTGAGGAATAAAATACTACTAATTGGGTTCTGTGTATACTGCTCAGGTGATGGGTGCACCAAAATCCCACAAATCACCACTAACAAACTTACTCATGTAACCAAATACCAACTGTTCCCCCAAATGGAAATAAATTTTTTTTAAAAATGTACAAAGGCTTTTCATACTGGCATCATTCACTTAGTGAAATGCATTTAAGTTTCCTCCATGCCTTTTCATAGCTTGACAGCTCATTTCTTTTCTTTCATTTTCTTTTGAGACAGGGTCTCACTCTGTCACCCAGCCTGGAGCACAGTGGTGCCCTTGTAGCTCACTATAACATTGAACTGTGAACTTGAGCTATCCTTCATCAACTTCCAGGGTAGCTAGAACTACAGCACCATGCCTGGCTCACTAGCTTACTTATTATTTATTTATATATTTATTATTTCAATAGTTTGGGGAAAACAAGTGGTTTTTGGTTACATGGATAAGTTCTTTAGTGGTGATTTCTGAGATTTGGGTGCACTGATCACCCGAGCAGTATACACTGTACCCAGTTTGTAATCTTATATCCTTCACTCCCTCCCAATGTTCCCCCCAATATACAAAATCCATCATATCATTTTTATGCATTTGCATCCTCATAGCTGAGCTCCCATTTATAAATGAGAACCTACAAAGTTTGCTTTTCCATTCCTGAGTTACTTCACTTAGAGTAATGGTCTCTGACTGCATCCAGGTTGCTGTGAATGCCATTGTTTTATTCCTTTTTATAGCTGAGTGGTATTCCGTGGTGTGTATATATATGTGCATACCACATTTTTTTGTATCCACTCATTCATTGATGGGCATTTAGGCTGGTTCCATGTTTTTGCAATTGTGAATTGGGTTGCTATAAATATGTGTGTGCAAGTGAGTGTCTTTCATATAATGACTACATTTCTCGTGGGTAGATACCCAGGAGTGGGGTTGCTGGATGAAATGGTAGTTCTATTTGTAGTACTTTAAGGAATCCCGATTCTGTTTTCTATAGTGGTTTTACTAGTTTACATTCCCACCAGCAGTGTAAAAGTGTTCCCTTTTTACCACATCCACACCAACATGTTATTTTTAAATTTTTTTACTTATGTCAATTCTTGCAGGAATAAAGTGGTATTGCATTGTGGTTTTGACTTACATTTCCCCCAAAATTAGTCATGTTGAGCATTTTTTCTCATGTTTATTTGCCATTTGCATGTCTCTTGAGAACTGTCTATATCCTTAGCCCACTTTTTGATGGGATTATTTTTCTTCTTGCTGATTTGAGTTCCTTGTACATTCTAGATATTAGTCTGATATGGTATTGCTGTGTCCCCATGTAAATCTCAACTTGAATTGTATCTCTCAGAATTCCCACATGTTGTGGGAGGGACCCTGCCACAGGCTACAAGCCTCCCTGCTGAGAAAGCAAGCACAGTTTTCAGGCCTCACATCTCTGCACCTGCCCACACCATGAGCTGCAGCTCATGCAGCAATTCCCATTTTTTCCCCTGGATTCTGCTCAAAAAAACTGTGCTAGATTAAAATTATTATGAAGTTCATCTGGAAGCTTCTTTCACCCTGTGACTATTTTCTGGTTCCCCTGTCTGCCTTCCCCCAAGGACCTCTGTGAGATATCATCAGGGATGTCTTCCCTGGGCTCAAGCTGGGAATTGAAAGTGCCTGTACAGGGTTCTTCCAGCTGCTATTTTGTATTAGTCCATTTTCATGCTGCTGATAAAGACATACCTGAGACTGAGCAAGTTACAAAACAAAGAGGTTTACTGGACTCAGTTCCACGTGGCTGGGGATGCCTTACAGTCATGGCAGAAGGTGAAAGGCACATCTCACATAGCAGCAGACAAGAAGAGAGCTTGGGGAGGGAAACTCCCATTATTAAAGCCATCAGATCTCATGAGACTTACTATCATGACAATAGCATGGGAAAGACCTGCCACTATGAATGATGGTTCCCAGCTTCATCCATATTCTTGCAAAGGACATGAACCCATCAGGTCCCTCCCAAAACAAGCAGGAATTCCAGATGAAATTTAGGTAGGGACACAGCCAAACCATATCATTCTTCCCCAGCCCCTTCCAGATCTCATGTCCTCACATGTCTAAACCAATATGCCTTCTCAACAATCCCTCAAAGTCTTTATTTAAAGATTAACCCAAAGGTCCATAGTCCAAAGTCTTCTCTGAGACAAGACACTTCCCTTCCACCAATGAGCCTGTAAAATCAAAAGCAAGTTAGTTACTTCCTAGATACAGTGGGTACAGACATTGGGTCCAAATGGGAGAAATTATCCAAACAAACAGGCTACATGCCCCACGCAAGTCTGAAACCCATCAGGCAGTCAAATCTTAAAGTTCTAAACTGATCTCCTTTGACTCCATATCTCACATCCAGGTCACGTTGGTACAAGAGATGGGTTCCCATTGTCTTGGGCAGCTCTGCCCCTGTGGCTTTGCAGGGCACAGGACCCCTCTCAGCTGCTTTCATGGGCTGCCATTGTGTGTCTGTGGCTTTTTCAGATGCATGGTGCAAGCTGTTGGTAGATCTACCATTCTGGGGTCTGAAGGATGGTGGCCCTCTTCTCACAGCACGACCAGGTGGTAACACAGTAGAGACTCTGTGTAGGGGCTCTGACCCCACATTTCCTTTTCATACTGCCCTAGCTGAGGTTCTTCATGAGACCCCCACCCCCACATCAAACTTCTGCCTGGACATCCAGGTGTTGCCATAAATCCTCTGAAATCTAGGCAGAGGTTCTCATATCAGTCAGGGTACTCTAGAGGGACAGAAATAATAGGATAGATATAAATATGTAAAGGGGAGTTTATTAAGTATTAACTTATACTATCACAAGGTCCCATAATAGGCCATTTGCAAGCTGAGGAGCAAGGATAGCCAGTCCAAGTCCTAAAACTGAAGAACTTGGAGTCTGATGTTTGAGGGCAGGAGGCATCCAGCATGGGGGAAGATTTAGGCTGGGAGGCTAGGCCAGTCTAGTCTTTTCACATTTTTCTGCATGCTTTATATTCTGGCTGCACTGGCAGCTGATTAGATGGTGCCCACCCAGATTAAGGGTGGTCTGTCTTTCCCAGCCCACTGACTCAAATGTTAATCTCCCTTTGAAACACCCTCACAAACACACCCAGGATCAATATTTTGCATCCTTCAATCCTGTCAAGATGACACTCAGTATTAACCATCACAAGTTCATGCATTGTCAACAAGAACCCAGGCACATCTCCTGAGATCATACATAATGTTCAAATAAAGAGAGTAAGGTCATAATTACACCTAACATAATACAACTATCTTTTATACAACT
Source organism: Homo sapiens (assembly GCF_000001405.40). NCBI lineage: Eukaryota > Metazoa > Chordata > Mammalia > Primates > Hominidae > Homo > Homo sapiens. The sequence goes on along the minus strand of NC_000012.12, from coordinate 83,725,877 downwards.
GGAAATGTACCAATCCCCAACCCAAATACTATAACATAAAGTTAATAATACTTAAATGCTGATATAATGTCTGCAGTAGTGCCCCTCACACAGGGGCACCAGCTGCAGGGGGTCTGTCCCTTGCAAACCCCTGACCCAGTGATGGATGAATAATGAACACTGACACACAGATATTCTTCTTTGCCCGTCCAGGTGACTCTGTCCAGGCCGCTTACACACTCCTTGCTGAGTTCTATAAGCAATTGCCACCGTGGCCCTGATCAGCTAGTGAGAATCACATTTATTCAGTAAGATTAATTAACAAAGGCTTGAGTCAACACCATTACAAGATAATTGACATTGTGGGCTTTCCAAGTAAAAAGCAATTAAGCACCCATGGTACACCAAAGGTTAGTCTTAAGACCACAAGATTAAACAAGCTAGCTAGATAACTACCCCCACGTTCCTTTGTTACTACTTTAATTTGTTTAACTAAAGGTAAAGGGACCAGGCCACCTTCAGCCAGATCTGTTACCGAAGTTATGCAAACTTCTTGGCCTTCTAAGAATTGTGTCTATCTCTATAACAGTCTTTAATATTTTTCCCACCAGCCTGATCAAGTCTCTACAAAAGTCAGTAAGTTTTATGTCACATGATAAAGGAAAAAGAAAATAAAATGGAAATATTTTCTTAGTACAAGTGTATAATGCACAAACATGTTTTTTACAAAAGGAGGAAATATTCATGACAATTACAGTCCTCCTTTCTGTAGCTGGTCATGTGGCCATATCTGGTATTGGTGACTACCTTCTTCTGCAACACATTCTGTATTCCCTTTGCCTTCAGCCAGCATCTCAACAGGTTGCATTTTATTTTGTTTTGTTTTCCTTGTGGAGTGACCCAAACCTTGATTCCTGAAGTATCAGGGCCATTTGTTGTCCTGCCTGGATTGGGCTGTTGTAGTTTCCCATTGACCTTAATCACAGGGTTGGTAATACTAAGAGATGCCCTAATGGATCCCCTGTAGTCCATGAATATTCTGCCTTAACTCCGTTATGGAGTAATAGACTGATTTCATCTTAATAGTCTGATACAATCACCCCAGCCAAAATTGTAAATCCCTTCTTAGCCTGTTGACTTAAAGGTAGGAGGACCCCAAAGTGTCCAGTTTAATGGAATCATTGTTGTGTCTCCTCATGGCAGTGTTCCTCCCTTTAGAACTAAGACCTCTAGGCAGCACAATGTAATGTTGCAGGAACAGGAAACAAACATTTTGCTAGTGGATCACTAGGGGTGATGGTGAGTAATGTCACTTCCACTTCCACCCCTTTATTCTTGGACCTGTGAATCCTGGCTATGGGAGAAACAGTACCATATATTGGATGCTGATTCAGAGCATACATGGCCTTCTGGAGAACTTTACCCCAGCCCTGCAAATATTGTCACTTAGTTGGTGATGTAATTGTGACTTTAAAAGGCCATCCTACTATCAAGTTGCTTCAGGATGATGGAGAACATGGAAAGACCAGTGAAATTCCATGAGCATGAGCCTATTGCCATACATCTTTAGCCGTAAAGTGAGTCCTTTGGTCAGAGGCAATGCTGTGTGGAATACAATGACAGTGGATAAGGCATTCTGTGAGTCCACGGATGGTAGTCTTGGCAGAGGCATTGCGTGCAGGATAGGGAAACCCATATCGGGAGTAAGTTTCTATTCCAGTGAGGACAAACCTCTGCTATTTTCATGATGGAAGAACTCTCATACCTCTTCCATTTTCATGATGGAAGAACTCTGCCACTAGATAGCTGACTGATCATCCCAAGGAATGGTTCCATATCAAGGGCTCAGTGTTTGTCTCTGCTGCTGGCAAATTGGGCACTCAGCAGTGGCCATAGCCAGGTCAGCCTTGGTGAGTGGACGTCCATGTGGCTGAGCCCATGCATAAGCTCCATCCTTGCCATCATTGCCACTTTGTTCATGAGCCCATTGGGCGATGACAGGGGTGGCTGGGGAAAGAGGTTGAGTGGTATCCACAGAAAGGGTCATCCTATGCACTGGCTTATTAGAATTCTCCTCTGCTGAGGTCACCCACTGGTTAGCACTCACATGGGATACAAATATCTTCAGTTGTTGACCACTCAGAGAGGTACGTCCACACACCTGTTCCCCAAATTCCTTCCTTACCAGTTTTCCAATCATGCTTCTTTCAAGTGTGACCATCCGGCCAAACTATTAGCTACAACCCATGAATCGGCATATAATTGCACATCTGGCCATTTCTCTTTCCATGCAAAGTGCACTGCTCAAAATTCTGCCCACTGGGAAAATTCCCCTTCCCTGCTGTCCTTCAGGAAGGTCCTAGAAAGGGGCTATAGTGTTCCAGCTGTCCACTTTCGGGTGGTGCCTGCATATCATGCAGAACCATCTGTGAACTAGGCCCTAGTCTTCTCTTCCTCTGTCAACTGAACATAAGGAGCTTCCCATGAGGACATCGGTGCAGGCTGGAGGAGAGAAGGCAGGGTGGCAGGAGTGGAGACCATGGACATTTGAGCCACTGCCTCATGTAACTTACTTGTGCCTTTAGGACCTGCTTGAGCCCAAAAACGTATATATAATTTCCATTTGATGATAGAATGCTGTTCATGACACCTTTTATGGCTAGATGGGTCAGAAAGCCCCCAGTTTTTGATAGGCAATTCAGGTTGCATGTTGACTTGATGACCCATAGTCAAATGTTCAGTTTCCACCAAAGTCTGGTAACAGGCCAGCATGCGTCTCTCAAAAGGAGAGTAGTTATCTGCAGAAGATGGCAGGGCCTTGCTTCATAATCCTAGAGGCCTCCACTGTTATTCACTTATGAGGGTCTTCCAAACAGCATCCCTATCTGCCACTGAAACCTCCAGCACCATTGTATCTGCTGGGTCATATGGCCCAAGTGGCAGGGCAGCTTGCAAAGCAGCCTTGTCTTGTTGCAGAGCCTTCTCCTCTTCTGGACCTCCTCAAAACTGGCAGCCTTTCAGGTAACTCAATAAATGGTCACTCAATAAATGGATATGTTGCCTCCAAAATCCAAATAGGCCCACTAGGCATTGTGCCCCTTTCTTGGTTGTAGGAGAGGCCAAATGCAGCAACTTATCCTTCATCTTAGAAGGAATATCTCTACAGACCCCACACCACTTGACCACTAAAAATTTTACTGAGGTAGAAGATCCTTGAATTTTAGTTGGATTTATTTCTCATGCTCTGCCATGCAAATGCCCAACCATAAGTCCAATGTGTTTGCTAGTTCTTGCCCACTGGATCCAATCAGCATAATGTCATCAATGTAATGGACTAGTGTGATATCTTGTGGAAGCAAAAAGTGATCAAGATCTCTCTGAATAAGATTATCACACAAAGGCAGAGAGTTGATATACCCTTGATGTAGGACAGTAAAGGTATATTTCTGGTCTTGCCAGCTGATGGCACATTGCTTCTCGTGGGTCTTACGGACAGGAATGGTGAAAACAGGCATTTGCCAAATCAATGACTGCATACCACATATCAGGAGATGTGTTAATTTGCTCAAGCAATAAAACCCCTTTGGTACAGCAGCTGAAATTGGAGTTACCACTTAGTTAAGCTTATGATAATTCACTGTCATTCTCTAAAATCAATCTGTCTTCTGCACAGGCCAAATGAAAGAGTTGAACTGGGATGTTGTGGGAATCACCACCCCCGCGTCTTTCAAGTCCTTGATGGTGGCACTAATCTCCACAATCCCTCCAGGGATGCAATATTGGTTTTGATTTACTATTTTTCTAGGTAAAAGCAGTTCTAATGGCTTGCATTTTCCCTTTCCCAACTTAATAATCCTCACCCTACCAGTCAGGGAGCCAATGTGAGGGTTCTGCCAGCTGCTAAGTATGTCTGCCAGTTATGTATTCTGACACTGTAGAAATGACCACAGGATGAGTCTGGGGACCCACTAGACACACTGTCAGTCAGACGTGAGCTAAAACTCTATTAATTACCTGACCTCCAGAAGCCGCTACTTTAACTGGAGGACCACAATGACGTTTTGGGTCCCTTGAAATCAACGTCATCTTAGAGCCAGCATCCAGTAGTCACCAAAATACCTGATCATTTCCCTTTCTCCAATGCAAGGTCACCCTGGGAAAAGGCCAGAGGTCTCCTTGGGGAAGGATGGGAGAAAGATTAACAGCATAAATTGTGAGCAGTGTAGGGAGTCTTTCCTCAAGGGACATGGCCTCCCCTTCATTCAAGAGGTTCTGGGTCTGTAAACTGGCTCAAGTCTGGAAATTGATTGAGGGGCTGTGATTCTGTTTTTATAACTCAAATTAGTCTTTTTGTCCACTCGACCTGGAAGTTTTCTGCTTATATAAATTAAGTAGGAATGCAGTAGGCTTCCTATCAATTTCACTTCTGGGAACACCGTGATTAATTAGCCAATGTTAGAGCTCTACACGAGTCAGGCTATTCTGTTTGCAGTTTGCCTTTGCTGTTCATTAAGGTAGCTATGCCCCCCTTGCCTTTCATCCCATGCCACCTTGGGATCCAATTATTCCCATTGTATTTAAATTTTGTAGTTGAGGACTGCATTTCCCATTGTTAGATTTAACCTACAAGGAAGAGCAATTACAGGGCTCTTCAAAGATGTAGGTGCTGCCCTCACAAATCTATTTCCCAAGGCATTGGTCAAGGGTATATCTTCTGTACCCTCCCAGCTGGTAAGAGTAGGTCTAAAGTGACTAATCCACTCCACCATCCCAATCTCCCTAAGCCCCTAAGCCTTTGGATCCCTTCCTCTACATTAAGCCAAGGGAGATCAGGCATTTCCAGCTCACTCACAGTGGGCCATCTTTTAATCCATATTTCAGCTAACCAAGCAAATAAACTATTAGAACCTTTTTTTAACTCCCTGAGCTGCAACATTAAATCTAGAGACCCTACTTAGTGGGCCCAAATTAATAGATTCAGCCTGATTCACTCGTTCCTTCCACCATTATCCCACACTTTTAATATCCATTCACATGCATGTTGTCCAGATTTGTTTGTATAAAGTAGAAAAAACAAGCAGTTCTTTTCAAGTGTAGCATACCACCTCATGGTTCACACTCTCAACATCAGGTCTAGGGGCCCACTGGGACTTGCAAGTCTAGAAGCAAACAGGGATTTTGGGCATGGCTCCTAGGGAGAATCAATGAAAGGCCATCACTTTTGCCACAGGAAGTGCAGGGTTTATCTCCTCAGACGAAGGTGGAAAGGCTGATGGCAGCATGGGTCAGGGAGGGGATGTTGCCACTACTGGGGATGGAGAAGTTGTTTCTTCTGGCTAAAAAAGATTCATCAGAGTTTACAAACTCAGTGACCCAGCTTCATCAGGGTCCTCCCACACATCCCCATTCCAAGTTGAAGGGTCTCATTCCTTTCCAATCGATGCCTTCACTTTAACAGTAGACACCTGGAGAGGCTGTGCATGCACCTTCCATTGCAGGTCAGCCACTTGCATGATAAGAGTTTGTGTCTGTTTTCCCACAATTTCTGCTCTTTCTCTACAGGAGATAAGACTCTCATTCGGGCAATCCTAGTAGATTTGAGAGTCAGTATATGCTTCTGAAGCTGGGCATTAGAATCCTTGAGTTCATCACTTTCTTTCATTACTTTGTCTACTGAACTTAGGAGCAACCAAACAACTTTATTATGTTCCTTGGTTCTTCACATATGGTCAAAGGTATTATTTATAGAGTCACTAAATTCCTTGCCTCTCATGAGCAGTGAATCAGAAGTGTCAAATACATTTATTGCGCATATTTCTCTAAACAGTTCACACCAAGGATTCTCAGTGTTCTCCATAGTATTAGAAATAGAGTCCTTTAGCATTTTGGGGTCTAATCATATTGAGCAGCCAACCCCAGAAACTCCAAAACCAACACAAGAACTCCATCCTTAATATTCTATTCCTCTAGAACCACTCCTGTTAACCAAAATCTGTATGAGGTTCTCTAAAGGAACAGAATGAATAGGATACATAGATAGAGACAGATAGAGATAGACAGAAATACAGGTAGAGGTAGATAGAGATAGAGGTAGAGACAGAGAGAGGTGTAGAGAGAGAAGAGAGGTAGAGAGAGGTGTAGAGAGAGAGAGAGAGAGATGGGAGTTTATTAACTCACACTATCACAGGGAGTCCTCAGAATAGGCCATTGGCAAACTGAGAAGCAAGGACAGTCAGTCTGAGTCCTAAAGCTAAAGAACTTGGAGTCTGATGTTTGAGGGCAGGAAGCACCCAGCATGGGAGAAAATGTAGGCTGGGAGGTTGTGCTACTCTAGTCTTTTCACATTTTTCTGCCTGCTTTATATTTTGGCCACACTGGCAACTAATCATGTGGTGCCCACTCAGATTAAGGGTGGGTCTGCCTTTCCCAGCCCACTGACTGAAATGTTAATCTCCTTTGGAAACACTCCCAGGATCAATACTTTGCATGTTTCAATCCAATCAAGTTAACACCCAGTATTAACCATCACAGTTCCCAAACCCAAATTCTTGACTTCTGTGCACAGGTAGGTTCAACGCCACGTGGAAGCTGCCAAGGCTTGAGGCTTGCACCCTCCGAAACCATGGCCTGAGCTCTGTGTTGGCACCTTTCAGGTATTTCTGGAGCAGCTAGGACATAAAGCACCAAGTCCCTAGGCCGTATACAGTGTGGGGACCCTAGCCTGGCCCATAAAACCACTTTTTCATCCTAGGCCTCCAGGCCTGCAATGGAAAAGGCTGCTGGGAAATCTCTGATAGGCCCTGGAAACATTTTCCCTGTTGTCTTGGGGATTAATATTTGGTTCCTCATTACTTATTGAAATTTCTGCAGTCAGCTTGAAATTTTTCTAGAAAATGGGATTTTTTTAAATTATACGTTAACTTGTGGGGTACATGTGCAGATAATGCAGGTTTGTTACATGTGCAGAATATGCAGGGGGTACATGAGCAGAAATGCAAGATTTTCTATCACATTGTCAGGCTGCAAATTTTCAGAACTTTTATGCTCTGCTTCCCTTATAAAACTGAATGCCTTTAACAGCACCCATGTCACATTTTGAATACTTTACTGATTAGAAATTTATTCCGCCAGATACTCTAAGTCATCTTTCTCAAGTTCAAAGTTCCACAAATCTCTAGGGCAGGGGCAAAATGCCACCAGTCTCTTTGCTAAAACATAACAGGAGCAACATTTGCTCCAGTTCCCAGTGAGTTTCTTATCTCCATCTGAGACCACCTCAGCCTGGATTTCATTGTCCATATCATTATCAGCACTTTGGTCAAAGCCATTCAACAAGTCTCTAGGGAGTTCTAAACTGTCCCACATTTTCCTGTCTTCTCCTGAGCCCTCCAAACTCTTCCAACCTCTAACTGTTATGCAGTTCCAAAGTCACTTCCACATTTTTCAGTATCTTTTCAGCAGCACCCCACTCTACTGGTACCAGTTTACTGTATTAGTCCATTTTCATGCTGCTGATAAAGACATACCCAATACTGGGCATGTCAAATAAAAGAGGTTTACTGGACTCACAGTTTACAAATAAAAGAGGTTTACTGGACTCACAGTTCCACATGGCTGTGGAGGACCCACAATCATGGTGGAAGGTGAAAGGCACATCTCACATGGTGGCAGACAAGAGAGCTTGTGTTGGGAAACTCCTATTTTTTAAACTATCAGACCTCATAAGACTTATTCACTATTATGAGAACAGCATGGGAAAGGCCTGCCCCCGTGATTCAATTATTTCCCACCAGGTCCTTCCTGCAATGCACAGGAATTCAAGATATTTGAATGGGGACAAACAATATCATGCTTCTACTTTAATATTCTGCTTGGCTTCCTACATTTATTTCAACTCTAAGATTAAATCCTTCTCCCATGATCTGGATTTTCAGGTTCACCAGTGGGAATGTGGGTTCAGAGGCAGAGTTTTCCCTCTCACACTTGGGGAACTCGGTTTTTTTGGCTGTCTCATGGAGTTTGCAGCAGCAAGCTGCTGCTTCCACAGGGTTTCTGAACTATTTTGGTCTGACAATCTTTTTAACAAATGGTACTGGAACAACTAGACATTCATATGCAAAGAAAACAGATCTAGACACAGATCTTACATTCAGTATGTTCCTGTGTTGGTTGTTGGAGCAAATGTTCATGGTGTGAGTCTCTACACACTGTTCTGTCTGTGCAAGTGGGAGCTGCACGTTAGTCCTCTCTCATATCCACCAATTTTCCTGATTACCTCATTTATTTTTAATGCTAAATAATAATCCATTGTCTGAATGGTACCACAGACTATCCGTTCACGTACTGAAGAACCTCTTGGTTATTTCCCAGTTTTAGCAGTTATTTAAAAAGCTTCCATAAATATTCATGTGCAGGTATTGTTGTGGACATAAATTTTTAACTCCTTTGTATAAATGCCATGAAGTGGGATTACTGTATTTTATGGTAAAAGTGTGTTTAGTCTTGTAAGAAGCCACTGGACTGTCTTCCAAAGTGACTATACCAATTTGCATTCCCATCAGTAATGAATGAGAATTCCTGTTGCTCCACATCCTCACAAGCATTTGTTGTTTAAGGTAGGTTCTGGATTGTGGCCATTCTAATAGATGTGTAGTGGCATCTAACTGTTATAATTTGCCATTCTCTAATGGCATGATGTTGGGCATCTTCTTATGTGCTTTTACATCTATATGTCTTCACTAATAAGGCATCTCTTTAGGTCCTGTACTCACTTTTTAATTGGGTTCGTATTCTTATTATATTTCAAGAGTTTTCTTTTTTATTTTTTTGGATAACTTCATTATCAAATGTGTCTTTTGCAAATATTTTCTCCCAGTCTTTAGCTTTTCTTTTCATTCTCCTGACATTGTCTTTTACAGAGCAGACTTTTTTCTTAATTTTAATGAATTAAAATTAAAATTTTAATTAAAATTTAATGAATTTTATCAATTCTTTATTTCACGTATCTTGCCCTTAGTGTTGTATCTGAAAAAAGTCATATTGATATCCAAGTTTATCTAGATGTTTTTCCTATGCTATCGCTAGGACTTTTACATTTTGGTTTACAGTCCATTTTGAGTTAATTTTTTGTAATGAATGTAAGGTCTGTGTCTAGATCTGTTTTCTTTGCATGTGAATGTCTAGTTGTTCGAGTATCATTTGTTAAAAAGAATGTCTTTGCTGCATGTGTTGTCTTCCCTCCTTTATCAAAGATCGGTGGACTGTATTTATATGGATTTATTTCTGGACTATATATTCTGTTCTATTGACTTGTTTATCATTTTGGTAATACTACATTCTCTTACTATATGTACATAGTAAGTATGAAAGTCAGGTAGTGTCAGTTTTTCAACTTTGTTCTATTTCAATATTGTATTGATTGCTCTGAGTCTTTTGCATCTATATAAACTTTAGGATCAATTTTGTCAATTTCTGTGAAATAATTTGCTGGGATTTTGATTGGAGTTGTATTTAATCTAAATATCCAGTTGGAAAGAACTGTCACCTTGACAATATTGTCTTCTGATCCATAAACATGGAATATCTCATTTATTAGTTTTTCCTTTAAATGTTTAGTAGAATTCACTAGTGAACCCATCTGGGTCCCTGCTTTCTGTTTTGGAAGGTTAACATTATTAATTCAATTCTTTAAAAGGTGTAGGCCCCCTCAGATGGTCTATTTCTTATGTGAGTTTTGACAAATTGTGTCTTTCAAAGGATTGGTTCATTGCAGTTATCAAATTGTGGACATAGGGTTGATTATAGTATTCATTGATTATCATTTTAACATTCCTAGAATTTGTATTAATGCTCCCTCCTTTATTTCTGATATTAGTCATTTGTATCCTTTCTTGTTTTCTCAGTTAGATGAGTTTGAGGCTTATCAAATTTACTGATACTTCTTTTCGAAGAACCAGCTTTTAGATTTGTTGATCTATTGATTTCCTGATTTTAATTTCATTGGTTTATTCAATTCTTATGATTTTTCTTTGAATTTAATTTTCTTTTTTTTCAAAGGTGGCAACTTAGTTTATTGATTTTAGATTGTTATTTTCCAATATATGTATTCAATGTTTAAAATTTTTCTCTAAACAGTTTTTGCTGTATCCCACAAATTTTGATAAGTTTTGTTTTCATTTTTATTAAATTTAAAATACTTTAAAATTTCTCTTGATGTTATTTAACTTATGTATTATCTAGAAATATGTTGTTTAATCTCCCATGTATTTTGAAATCTTCTGGTAATGCTTGTTATTGATTTCTAGTTTAATTCTATTGTGGTCTGCAAACAGACACTGTATGATATCTATTCTTTTAGATTTATTAGTGTGTGTTTTATCGCCCAGATGTATATTATTGATACAGTTGAATTAATATCTGCCATAATTCTTTACTGTTTTGTATTTGTTGCCCTTGTTCTTTGTCTTGTTTTTGTCTTTCTCTCTTTTTCTGCCTTCTGTGGTTTTAATTGTGCATTTTATATGATTCCATTTTCTTGACTTTCTACCATAATAGTTATGCTTCTATTATACCTTTTCTCAGTGGTTACCCTGGAGTATGCCATACATATTTACAACCAGCCCAAGTCTACTTTCAAATAACACTATATCACTTCACAAGTAGTGTGAATATCTTTTAATAACAAAATAATCCTAGTTCCTCCCTCCCACCCTTTGTATTATTGCTGTTATTCATTTCACTTATAGATAAGCATGTGTAAACGTTGTGTGTATAAAATATACATAAGCATACATAATCAACCTTGTTTCTGTTATTTTGAATAAATGGTTAAATCAATTAAGAATAAGAAAATTAAAAGTTTCTATATTACTTTCACTTATTTTTGTTATCTCCTTTCTTCTTTTTATATATCCAAGTTTCTGACCCATATAATTTCCCTTCTTTCTAAGTAACTCCTTTTAGTATTCCTACAAGGCAAGCCTACAACTAATTTTCTAAATTTTTGTTTGTCTAAGAAAGTATCTCTCTCCTTTGCTTTTGAAGACAAATTACATAGAATCCAGAATTCTAGATTGGTAACATTATTTTTCTTCCAATATTTTACATATTTCACTTCACTTCTTGATTGCATGGTTTGTTAGAAGTTGAATGTAATTCTTATCTTTGTTTCTCCATAGTGTGTTGTCCTCCGGCTTTTCTCAGAATTTTTTAAAATCTTATTTTCTATGCTATGAAGACAATATGCTTAGTAGCTTTTCGTTCCTTTGTTTGGCTATTTTGTTAGGTGTTTTCTGAGATTCCTGAATCTGTGGTTTTATATCTGACATTAATTTGAGGGGATTATCAGTCATTATTGCTTCAAATATTTCTTCTGTTACTTTTTTTAAATTACATTCTGGTATCCCTATTGTGTGTATGTTATATTTCTTGTAGCTGTTCCTCAGTCCTTGGATATTCTGTTCCTTTTTTTCTTTCAGTCTTTGTGCTTTTTCCTTTGTTAAATTAAATTTGGCCTGATGATGCATCCATGCTTTGAGTTCTTATATAAGAAATTGCATCCTAACTTAGGTTTTTAATCAGTTTTTATATTAAGTTATGAGTATACTTTTGTAGCAAATAGCCGAGTCCCACCCATCACATGAATTGAGCTTTAGTCAATCACAGATGGCTAAGTGATCACACCATGTTTAAATAAGGTAAATGCCAAGCTGTAACCAGTCTACCTCTTTCTCTATCTCACCTCAGTTGCCATCCATAAATGCTGCCTGCCCACATTTGGAAGCTGAGCTCTTTGAACCTCTTCTAATTCTAAGGTGACCTAATTGTTCTTTGCTCAATTAACTTCTGCTAAATTTAATTTGTGTAATTTTTTTTGACAGTTTTTAAAGTTTCTACTGATATATCCTCAAGCTCAGATATTGTTTCTACAACTGTGTACAGTACATTAATAAGTCCCTCAAAGACATTCTTCATTTGTTTTTCTTTTTTAATTTCTAGCATTTCTTTTTGGTCTTTTTTAGAATTTCAAATTCAAATTCTGTTTAGTTCCTCATTTGCATACTGTCTATCCGTTAGAGCCCTTAGCATATTAATCATACTTGTTTTAAATTCCCTGGCCTGATAATTTCAACATCCTTGCCATGTCTATTTATCATGCTTGTTCTGTCTCTTCAAAGTGCTTGTTACCTTTTATTATGTCTTGAATTTTTTCTTCATAGCCATATGTAATGGACCAGGTAAAAGAAACTACTATGAATGGGCCTATAGTAAAATGGTGGTAAGGTATTCGGAGAGGAGAAGCATTTCATAGTCCTATGATTAGGTCTCAGTCTTTTAGTGAGTCTGTGCCTCTGCTCCGGTAAACTTTAAGTTTAGTTTAGTTTAGGTTCCCCCCAACTTATTAGGTGCGGGGATGGCGGGGTGGTATAATTAGAGTGGACTGGAGTTAGGTATATTCCTTCCCTTCAGGTCAGTTAGGCTCTAGTTAACTAGTTTCTCCTGAGGGCATGCCTTGTTTAAAAGAGCAGAGTGCTCTGGAATGTATCAAAATGTTACTTTTTCTCCTTCCTATGCTAGAAGGAAGAGGGGATTTTTCTTTTATGTTTAGTGTGGGAACCTGGTTGAACTCCTAGTTGTAAATCTCATAATATTGCGGGGTATGCCCATGACTGGATCACCCTGGAGTTTGTAGCTCTTAGACTTCTCTGCACTGATTCTCCAGCAATTCATCAATTACAGTTAAGGTTTTCCTACCCCTCACTGGTTCCCTCAAGCCCTGTCACTCTGTGTCAGTAAGCAGTGACTCCTAGTGTTCAATTGTCAGTCTCTCCAATCTTGGGGGCAGTGCTTTGCCCTGTGTTCTCCCCACTTTTACATATTCAATAATAGTTTTTGATTTTTCAGTCTGTTCAGCTTTTTTTCTTCTTGTTAGGATAAAGTGGCAACCTCTAAACTCTTTAGTTGCAGAACTGGGGACCAGATGTCCTCTTAATATTTTCACATTTGTAAGTCCTGTTTTTTCTGTCTGAATGTTCATAGTATTCATTTGTTTTTGCTTTAATGTTTAGTAATGTCACCAGGATCTGTTGAAGTGCTTGTGATGTTGACTGTTCCTTTCATTTTTTTATTTGATACACTGTGATACCTTTCAATCTACTGGTATATAATCTCTCTTTAATAACAAAAATTCCCTTATATATTTTTATATCTATTTCTTTGTTATATTTCATTTTTACTCTTAAATTTGTACTTTTTACATTAAAATTTTCATTGCCTGCCTTTTATATATATTTTATCATTTTCTCTCCTCTGAGTTTTTTGTACTTTACCACTGAATTCTGACAGTTTTTTAAAACCATGTTACAAAACAGAGTTTCAACAACTTGAATTTTAAAGATCTAATTGATTTTATTTGTAATTCATAAACTGAGCAGCATCCAATTTACAAAATAGAAAGGAACTCTGAGCTGAGCAGAGGGGTGGGCTCTATAGGCAGAAAAACCTAAAGAAACTAGGAACAGAAATTGAAATAGTTATTTCAAAGTTACTTTATAGGCTATCATTTTTCCCTTGATTTTTCTTTGGAAGTTCAGATCATACAATAAATAGCTTGGGTATTGATTTGGTACATAGAAAATTATTGTAAGTGATCCTATTTTTGGTATCTCTTGGGGCCAAGTATAGGAGCTCTGTCCAAACCAGTGGCATCCCGGAAATTTTATTTAACAATCCTTTCCATTTTTCTCAAGTCTGTCTTCATGGCCCACTTTGTTTTTATATTATGAGTTGTTATGAGACTACATTCACTACTTATAATATTTTTCAAATTCCTTGAGTAGTTTTAATTTTTCAGATTTTCAATTTGTACTGTGAGGTATCATTTCATTTTCTGTTCTTTATAGCACTTTTTATACAGTTTCTTCTACTTTGTTTTATAAAATCCGTATTTTTAAATTTCTTTTAGAAAGTTTTTAGTCTAACAGTATCTCAAATTTTCTAATTGTTCTTGGAAAGCATATAATTTTTCAAAAAATTCTTAGAAACACTCGCTCTGTCACCTAGGCTGGAATGCAATGGCACCATCATAGCTCACTGCAGCCTTGAACTCCTGGGCTTAAGTGATCCTTCTACCTCAGCCTCTTGAGTAGCTGAAATGACAGCCACACACCACCACACCCAGCTAATTTTTTAAAATTTTAATGTATTTTATTTTTATTTTATAATTTTTTTAAATGTGTGTTTATAGAGATATAGAATAAATTTCTAAGCATCAAAGCATTCAAGACATCACCTGACTGCTTCTAACTGTGTATGCTCATATGCATGAACAAAGATTATCTGAAACTGGAATTTACATTTAAAAGGATGCAGAGCATAAAAGCTTGGAGAATTTGAAGCCTGGCCATGTGGTAGAAAAGAAAAACCCATTTTCAAAAGAGAAATTCAAGCCTGCTGAAGAAATTTGCATAAGTAAAGAGCCAGATGTTAATAGGCAAGACAATGGGGAAAATGCCTCAAGGAAATTTCAGATACCTTCACACCAGTCCCTACCATCACAGGCCTGCAGGCCTAGGAAGGAAGAATGGCTTCATAGGCCAGGTCCAGGACCCCACTGCTCTGTACAGCCTTGGGACATGGTGCTCTGCGTCGTGGCCACTCCAGCTTCAGCCATGGCTAAAAAGGGTCAAGGTACAGCTTGGCTGTTGCTTCAGAAGTTGCAAGCCCCAAGCACTGGTGGTGAATTCCATGTGGTGTTGGTCCTGCAGGTGCACAGAGGGCAAGAGTTGAGGTTTGGAAGCCTCTGCCTAACTTTCGGGGGATGTATGGAAATGTCTGGATGTCCAGGCAGAAGTCTGCTGCAGGGGTGGAGCCCTCATGGAGAACCTCTACGAAGGCAGTGCAGAGGGGAAATGTGGGGTTGCAGCCCCCACCCAGAGCCCCACTAGTGGAGCTGAGAGAAGCAGGCCAACAAACTCCAAACCGCCAAATGGTAGATCAACAAACAGCTTGCACTGTGCACCTGGAAAAGACATAGGCACTCAATACCAGCTGGTGAAAGCAGCTATGGGGGCTGTACCCTGTAGAGCCACAGGGGTAGAGCTCCCTAAGGCCTGGGGAGCCCACCACTTGCATCAGCATGACATGGATGTGAAATGTGGAGTCAAAGGAGATTATTTTCAATCTTTAAGATTTAATAACTGCCCTGCTGGGTTTTGAACTTGCATGGGGCCTGTAGCCCCTTTGTTTGGGCCAATTCTTTTGTTTTGTTTTCTTTTCTTTTTTCAAACAGGAGCATTTACCCATGCCTGTAACTCTATTGTGTCTTGGAAGTAACTCACTGTTTTGATTTTACAGTCTCATGGGCTGAAATGACTTGCCTTGTCTCAGATGTGACTTTAGACTTGGACTTTTGAGTTAATGTTAAAATGAGTTAAGACTTTGGGGGACTGTTGGGAAGGCATGCTTGTATTAAGAAATATGAGAAGGACATGAGCTGTGGGAGGGGCCAGGGACAGAATAATTTGGTTTTGTTCTATGTCCCTACCCAAATCTCACGTCAAATTGTAATTCCCAGTGTTGCAGGAAAAGCCTGGTGGAGGGATTGAGACATTGGGGCAGACTTCCCCCTATCTGTTCTCATGATAGAGTCCTGATGAGGCTTGGTTGTTTGAAAGTGTGTAGCACCTACTCCTTTACACTGTCTCTTGCTGACCATGTAATGTGTCTGATTCCCCTTTGCCTTCTGCCATGATTGTAAGTTTCCTAAGGCCTCTCCAGTCATACTTCCTGTATAGCCTGGGGAACTGTGAGTCAATTAAACCTCACTTTTTCATAAATTACCCAGTCTCAGGTATGTCTTCATAGCAGTGTGAGAATAGAGTAATACATTGAACTATTTTTGTTTGTTTGTTTGATGTGTATTTGTCTGGTTTTGATATCAGGGTAATAATGGCCTCACAGAATGAGTATGTAAGTATTTCCTCCTACACTATATTTTGAAATAATTTGAGTAGGATTTTTATCAGTTCTTTAGATATTTGGTAGAATCCATCTGTGAAACCACTGGGTCCTGGAGTTTTCTTTAGGAAGAGTTTTTATTACAGCTTCAATCTCATTACTCACATTCCAAATTTCCTGATTCAATCCCAGTAGGTTGTATGTATAGAAATTTGTTCATTCCTTCTGGATTTTTTAAATTTATTGGCATATATTTGTTCATAGTAGCCACTAATGATCCTCCTTTGAATTTCTACAGTATTAGTTGTAATGTCTCCTTTTTTATTTCTAATTTTATTTATTTGGATTTTCTCTCTTTTTCTTGGTTAGTCTGGCCAAAGGTTTATCTACTTTGTTTACCTTTAAAAAAATTATTACATTTATTTTTATATATTTTTTCAATTTTATTTCTGCTCTGATCTTTATTATTGGTTTTATTCTACTTGTTTTGAGTTTGGTTTGCTCTTGCTTTACTAGTTCTTTAAGATGAATCATTAGATTGCTCATTTGACGTTTTTCCTCTTTTATGATGTAGGCACTTACAGCAATCATGTTCACTCTGAGTACTTCTTTTGCTATATCCCATAAATTTTGGTATGTTGTATTTCCATTATTTGTTTGAAGACATTTTTCAATTTTTTCAATTTTCTTCTTAATTTCTTTTTATTTATTTATTTATTTTTTGAGATGGAGTCTCACTCTGTCTCCCAGGCTGAAGTGCAGTGGCACAATCTCAGCTCATCATAAGCTCCGCCTCCCAGGTTCACACCATTCTCCTGCCTCAGCCTCCCAAGTACCTGGGACCACAGGTGCCCACCCCCATGCCCGGCTAACTTTTTTTGTATTTTTAGTACAGATGGGTTTTCACCGTGTTAGCCAGGATGATCTTGATCTCCTGACCTCGTGATCCACCCACCTCAGCCTCCCAAAGTGCTGGGATTACAGGCGTGAGCCACCACACCCGGCCTTTCTTTTCAATTTCTTTATTGACCCACTGGTCATTCAGGAGCATATTGTTTAATTTCCATGTATTTGTTTAGTTTCCAGAGTTCCTCGTGTTATTTCTAGTTTTACTTCATTGTGGTCAGAAAAGATGCTTGATATTATTTCAACTTTTAAAAATCTTTTAAGACTTGTTTTATGACTAATAAATGGTCTATCCTTGAGAATGGGCCATATGCTGAAAAAAATATATTCCGCAAATCTTGGATTAAATGTTCTGTAATATCTATTAGATCAATTTTGTCTATAGTACATATTAAATATGATTTTTTGTTGATTTTTTCTGTCTGAAAGATCTTCCCAATGCTGAAAGTGGGGTGTTCAAGTCTCCATCAATTATTGTACTAGGTCCTATCTCTCACTTTAGTTCTAATAATATTTTCTGTAGGTATCTGGGTGCTCCAGTGTTTGGTGCATATATATTTAAAATTGTTTTATCCTGTTGCTGAACTGACCCCTTTATTATATAGTGATCTTCTTTGTCTCTTCTTACAGTTTTTTTTTTGAAACATAATTTGCCTAAGTATAGTGACTCCTGTTATTTTTCGATTTCCATTAGCATGGAATATCTTTTTCCATTCCTTCATTTTCATTCTGTGTGTCTTTATAAATGAAGTGTGTTTCTTGTAAGCAACAGATCAATGGTTTTTTTTATTATTCATTCAGCTAGTTTGCGTTTTTTGATTGGAGAGTTTCATCCATTTACATTTAATATTATTGATAAGTAAGGACTTACTCCTGCCATTTTGTTATTTGTTTTCTGACTGTTTTGTGGTCTTCTTTTCCTTTTTTATTTTCTTCCTGCCTTCCTCTAGTAAAGGTAATTTTTCTCTGGTGATATAATTTATTTTCTTGCTCTTAAAGTTTTTTGTGTGTCCATTGTATAGATTTGGTTTGAGGTTACCATGAGGCTTGCTAATACTGTCTTATAACCCATTATTTTAATGTGATAGCAACTTAACACTATTTGTAAAAACAAACCAATAACAATATTATACCTGAACTTCATCCTCCTACTTTTTAACATTTTGTTGTATCTATTTATATCTTATTGGATTGACTATGTCTTGCAAAGTTGTTGTAGTTATCATTCAGTCTTTCTACTTAGGATAAGAGTAGTTTACACACCACAATTACAGTATTATAATACCTGTGTTTTCTGTGTATTTACTATTACCAGTGAGTTTTATACCATTGCTCATTAATGTCCTCTTCTTTCTGATTGAAATATTCCCTTTAGCATTTCTTGTAGGAGATATCTGGTATTGATAAAATCTCTAAGCTTTTGTTTGTTTGGGAAACTTTATTTCTCCTTGATATTTCAAGGATATTTTCACTGGATATACTATGCTGGAGTAAAAGTTTTTGTTTCCTTCAGCACTTTATGCTACATCAGTCTCTTCTGGCCTATGAAGTTTCTACTGAGAAGTCTGCTGCAGGTATATTGGAGTTCCATTGTATGTTGCTGTTAGGATCCTTTATTTTTGACCTTTAGAAGTTTTATTATTAAATGCCTTGAGGTAATCTTTGGGTAAAATCTTCTTGGTGTTCTGTAATCTTTTTGTATTTGGACACTGATATTTTTATCTAGGTTTGGGAAGTTCTCTGTTATTAGCCTTTTGAATAAGCTTTCTACCCCCATCCCTTTTTCTACCTCTTTTTAAGGTCAATAATTCTTAGATTTGCTCCTCTAAGGCTATGTTCTCGATCCTGTAGGCATGGTTTGTTGTTTTTTACTCTTTTTGTTGTTCTTTCCTCTGACTGTATATTTTCAAGTAGCATGTCTTCAAACTCAATAATTTTTTCTTCTGCTTGATCATTTCTGCTCTGATGCATTCTTCAGTATGTGGATTGCATTTTTCAACTCAATAATTTTTGATTATCTATAATTATTTTAATTTCTTTGTTAAATTTACCTGATAGAATTCTGAATTTCTTTTCTATATTCTCTTGAATTTAAGTTTCTTCAATACAGTTATTTTGAATTCTCTGTATGATAGCTCATGTATCTCTGTTTCTCCCAGATTAGTCCCTCGTGACTTATTTAGTTCATTTAGTGAGCTCATGTTTTCCTGGATGGTGTTGATGCTAGTAGATATTCTTCACTGGGCATTGAAGAGCTAAGTATTAATTTTAGTCTTCATTGTCTGGGCTTATTTGTAGCCATACTTCTTGGGAAGACTTTCCAGATATTTGAAAGAACTTGGGTATTGTGATCAAAGCTGTATCTGCTTTATGGGGACCCCCAAACCCAGTAACACTGCAGTTCTTGAAGACTTGTAGATGTATCTTGGGATACATGTACATTGATGGTCTTGGGAAAGATCTGGGGAATTGTCTGGATTACTAGGCAGGGAATCTTGTTTTCTTCCCTTTATCCCAAACATACAGAGTCTTTCTCTGTTTGTGTTCTAAGCCACCTAAACCTGGGAATGTAGTGACACAAGCACCACTGTCACCACCACCACTTCAACTGTGCTGGATCAGACTGGAAGCCAGCACAGTGCTGGGTCTCACCCAAGACCTGCTGTAACCACTCCTTGGCTCACTTTGCTCAAGGCTCTGGGGCTCTATAATCAGCATGTCACAAAGCCAGCCAGGCTTGTACCCTTCTGTTAAGGGCAACAAGTTACCCCAAGCCCTGGGAGGGTTCAGAAGTATTGAGTCAGGGACTAGAGTCAAAAACCTTAAGAGTCTACCACCCACAGAGTTGTACTGTGGCTGATCTGGCACTAAAACCACAAGACAGTCTTTCCCACTCTTCCTGCCCCTTCCAAAGTCAGAAGTGCCTCACCCATAGCCACCCACCCCAGGCACAAGAGAGGAATACTGCCAGATTACTATCAATGTTGCCTTAAGGCCCAATATCTCTTAAGTTAGCTTTTTCTGAATGTTACCTGGACTGGGACTCACCCTTCAGGGTGAAGGGCTCCTCTATGACCCAGGCCAGGTCCAGAAATGCTGTCCAAATGTCAAGTCCTGGAATCGCAGACCCTGAGAGCCACTTGGTACTTTACTCCCCTGTGGCCACACTAGTACCTAAGGTGTAAGAGAAATTCCCCTTTACTTTTCCCTCTGCTTTTCTCAAGCAGAAGTTTTGTCCCACAGCCACCACAGGTAGGAATGTGCTGAGTCTCAACTGAAGTAATGAAGTCTCAGAGACTCACACAATGCCCTTGATGTAGTATCTGGGTGTCACTGCTGGTCATTCAAGGTCCAAGCGCTCTTCATTTAGTAGGTGATGAATGCTGCCAGGACTGGGTCTTTTCCTTCAAGGCAGTAGGTTCTCTTCTGGCGCAGGGTGTGCCTTGAAATATTCTCTGGGGGTTAGGGCCAGAAAAGAGACCTCATGACTGTGACTGATACCTTATCCTCCTGTGGCTGAGCTAGTATCTTAGATGTAAGACAAAGTCCTCCTAACTTATCCCTGTCCACTCCTTAAGTGGAAGGAAGGGGTCTCTTTTGGTGCTCGGAGCTGTTCAGCCTGGGGGGTTAGGGGAGGGGTCATGCCAGCAGAGCCTTGGCTGCCCCAGCTGGTGTCTTAGTATGTTTTTACCCATTCCCCC
Source organism: Homo sapiens (assembly GCF_000001405.40). Taxonomy (NCBI): domain Eukaryota; kingdom Metazoa; phylum Chordata; class Mammalia; order Primates; family Hominidae; genus Homo; species Homo sapiens. The sequence goes on along the minus strand of NC_000012.12, from coordinate 83,705,334 downwards.
AGCCCAGTCCATTGTCTCTGGGCCTAATTCAGCACTAGGACTCACCTATGACTTGCAGTCCTTATGGTCTAGACTACCTTTCAAGTTTACTTGAATACAGCAGTGTAGCCCTCTGTGGCCAGGTTTGCAGGCACGCAAATTCCAACTGCTGGAATCAGTGATTTACTCTCTGACTAGGGCTGGTTTAAATGCTTTCTCCACATGGGAGGCATCAGCTGAATTTGGTCTGATTTTCCTTTCTTCTCTAACAGGACAGCAATGATTTTAATGCCTTATAATTTTTGTGTTATCTCTCCCCCAGTGACCAGAGATGCTCTCTGCATGATGCCTCCACTGCCTGGAGTTGGGGAGAGGTGGGGAAGGGGGGGAACCAGAGATTCAGTATTGTTTTTCTATCTCTTCAGTGCCTCTTTCAGCAATATAAAGTTTAAACCAGCTACTATGAATACTCACCTGATTTTTCAGTTCTTTTGAAGGCGTTTCTTCTGTGTAGATAGTTAACTTGGTGTCCTTGAAGGGGGAACGATTGGAGTTCTCTATTCTAGCATCTTGCACCACTGTCTGCCCCCAATGCTAATTTAACAAATTTTGGAGGTTTTTTTTTTTTTTCTTTTTTCTTTTTTCTTTTCCTTTTTTTTTTTTTTTTTTTTGAGTTGAGAGTATCCCTCTGTTGCCCAGGCTGGTCTTGAACTCCTGGCTGCAAGCAATCCTTGTACCTCAGCCTCTCAAAGCACTGGAATTACAGGCGTGCGCCATCATGCCCAGCCAGAAAGCATACATATTTTTTATTGGCCTTTGGTTTCTTATGTCTTTCTCCTCCATCTATTTTCTCTTTCTTTCTCTCTCTCTTTCTTTCTTTCTTTTCTTTCTTTCTTTCTTTTCTTTCTCTCTTTCCTTCTTTCTTTCTTTCTTTCTTTCTTTCTTTTTCTCTCTCTCTCTCTCTCCCTCTCTCTCTCTCTCTCTCTCTGTGTGTGTGTATGTGGTTTCAAAATACTGTTTATATATAGGGCCCATTTTGGGATTTATTTTTTAGTGTTCTGTATGTTTTCATGGGAATGTTTATATCCAGGCATACCATTATCTCTGTAACAATATGAATATGTTTCCCATAAGGATCATATCTTTTAGTTTTACCCTTAGAACTTGAGCTAGGAAGGTGAGGACAGCTATCTGTACCTTCAGCATTCAGGTTGGTGAGAAGACAATGGGCAGGATTAAAGAGAAGCAAGAGCAAAGGTGAAAGGGGTGTGGTATTTAATAACTGAACATTCCCACAAAATCTAAAGTTCTTAGCCATTAACCCCCTGGTTCTATGTAAAAATACTTCTGGATTTCAACTATGACCCTATTTTCAGAGCAGTATCACTGGCAGGCTATCCTGCTAAAGAAGCTGATTCAAATAAAATAAGGAGGCATTGTTACGTTTTCCTCCTTCCTTCCAGCATATTGTGCCAACTTTTCACTCTGATTTCCTAGATTTGATCTTCTAGCTTCTCTATTGACTATCAATAATAGTTTATTTGACTAAGTTTAGAGAAAACTTAATGGGACCTTTATGTACCCCCTTGATTATATTTCCAAATGTGCACTCTGCTCAAAAGATGAAGGTGATTTTTAGGTACAAATTTTATATATTTATGTACTTATCACACACAAACATTGTCATTTCCACATTCTCATGCATTAAGATAAATATATTTAATATATTTCCAGGAAGAACGCAACATAAACACAATGAAACCAAATATTGTCTTAGAATTCAAAATTTCAATAAGTTTACAATTATACATTCTTAAAATTGTCTTTTAAAGTTGCCTTAAACATGGTGACCTTAAAAAACCCTTATTACATTAGAAAAGTTTCTATTCCCTGATTCTAATTAAATTCATTGTTTCTGTTGCTTTTTAGCCTTATTTTTTTAAAAAAGCATGTATTTCATATTCTTATATTTTTTGTCTTTTGACTAAGAATTGTAGGTATTCTCAGGTTGGTTTCCTAAACCGTTGATAATCGTCTGGGCATTGCTGATTCTATTTTGTTTTGTTTTTTTTTGTCTTATTTTTAAATTTATGATGGGTACAGATTAGGTGCATATATTTATGGGTACATGAGATATTTTGATGCAGGCACACAATGTGTAATAATCACATCAGGGTAAATGGGGACTCAGTCACCTCCATGTGTCATTACTTTGTGTTATAAACATTCAAATTATACTCTTTTAGTTACTTTTAAATGTATAATAAGTGATTGACTGTAGTCACCCTATTGTGCTATCGTATACTAGATCTTATTCTATCTATAATTTTGTGACCATTAATCATCCTTACTTCACCACACCCAACTACCCCTCCCAACCTCTGGTAACCATCATTCTATTCTCTAGCTCCATGGGTTAAATTGTTTTAATTTTTAGCTCCCCCAAATGAGGGAAAACAGGTGAAGTTTTTCTTTCTGTGCTAGCTTAACATAATGTCATCCAGTTCCATTCATGCTGTTGCAAATGACAGGATTTCTTTTTTTATGGCTGAGTAGTACTCTATTATGTGTATGTGCCACATTTTTCTTACCCATTTATCTGCTGATGAATGCATGTTGCTTCCCAATCTTGGCTACTGTGAATAATGCTGCAATAAACATGAGAATGAAAATATTTCTTCAATATACTGGTTTTATTTCCTTTGGGTATACACACAGTAGTGGAATTGCTGGATCATATAGTAGTTATATTTTTAAATTTTAAGGAACCTCCATACTTTTCTTTATAGTGTTGTACTATTTTACATTCCTACCAGCAGGATACAAGGGACCCCTTTTCTCCACATACTACCAGCATTCATTATAGTTGTCTTTTGGATAAAAGCCAGTTTAACTGGGGTGAGATGATGTATCTCATTGTAGTTTTGATTTGCATTTCTCTCATGATCAGTCATGTTGAGCACCTTCTCATATGCCTGTTTGCCATTTGTATGTCTTCTTTTGATAAATGCCTATTCAGAACTTTGGCCCATTTTGAAATATTTTCCTTTTTGAGGTGTTTGAGCTTCTTATTCTCATTATTAATACCTTGTCACATAGATAGTAGGCAAATATTTTTCCCAATCACTGGGTTGTCTCATTATTTTGTTGATTATTTCCTTTGATATGCAGAAGCTTTGCAATTTGATGTGATCCCATTTGTCTTTATTTGCTTTGGTTGCCTGTGCTTATAGGGTATGACTCAATAAATTTTTGCCTAGTTCAATGTCCTGAAAATTTTCCCCAATGTTTTCTTGTAGTAGTTTCATAGTTCAAGGTCTCAGATTGAAGTCTTTAATCTATTTTGATTTGATTTTTGTATATGGCAAGAGATAGGAGTATAGTTTTATTCTTCTGCATATATATATATTTTTCTCAACACAACTTTTTGAATAGAATGTCTTTTCTCCAGTGTATGTTCTTGGCACCTCTTTCAAAAAGGAGTTCACTGTAGGTATATGTATTTGTTTTTTGTTCTCTATTCTGTTCCAGTGGGCTAAATGGTTTTTTGTTGTTGTTGTTATTGTTAGCAATATGCTGTTTTGGTTAGTATAGCTCAGTAGTGTAATTTGAAATCAGTTTGTGTGTTTCCTCTAGTTTTATTCTTTTTGCCCAGGATAACTTTAGCTATTCTGGGTCATTCGTGGTTCCATATAAATTTTAGAAATTTTTTTTCTATTTCTATGAAGAATGTCATTGGTATTTTCATTGAGATTGCATTGAATCTGTGTATTGCTTTGGGTAGTATGAACATTTTAATAATATTGATTCTTCCAATTAATGAACATGGAATATTTCTCCATTTTCTGTGTCCTCTTCAATTTATTGCATTAATGTTTTCTAGTTTTCATTGTAGAGATATTTCACATCTTTGGTTTAGTTTAGTCCTAGGTATTCTCTTTTATTTGTAGCTACTGCAAATGAGATTATTTTCTAGATTTTTCAGTGTTTGCTGTTGGCATATAGAAATGCTACTGATTTTTATATGCTGATTTTGTATCCTACAACTTTACTGAATTTGTTTTATCACTTCAAATAATTTTCTTGTGAGGACTTTAGGATTTTCCAAATATAAAATTATATCATCTGCAAACAAGGATAATTTGACTTCTTACTTTCCAATTTGAGTGCCCATTATATTTTTCTCTTGTCTGACTGCTCTAGTGAGGCCTTGTCTTGTTCCAAATCTTAAAGGAAAGGCTTTCAGTTATTCCATATTCACTATGATTCTAGCTGTGGGTCAGTGTGAGTCAGCGAGTGAGTGTGTGTGTGTGAGTGAGTCAGTGTGTGTGTGTGTGTGTGTGTGTGAGAGAGAGAGATGTCCTTTGTTTTAGTGTCACGGTAATAAGGCCTTGGAGAATAAATCTGAAAGTATTCCCTCCTCCTCTATTATGCAGGTTAGTTTGAGTAGGGTGGGGACTAGTTCTTGCATAAATGTTTGGTAAAATTCAGCAGTGAAGCCATTTGGTCTTCAGCTTTTCTTTGCTTGGAGACGTTTTATTTTAGCTTTAATGGCATTACTGTTGGACTGTTCAGGTTTTATATTTCTTTAGGGTTTAATCTTGGTACATTGTGTGTGTCTTGAAATTTATCCATTTGTTTTAGGTTTTTCACATATAGTTGCTAATAGTAGCCTGTAATGATTCTATAAATTTTTACAGTATGTGTTATAATATCTTCTTTTTCATCTCTAATTTTATTTATTTGGGTATACTTTTTTCTTAATTAGTCTGACTAAAGATTTATCAATTTTATCTCTTTTTGAAAACCATCTTCTTTTCACTGATCTTTTGTTTTGCTTTTATAAAAAATTATACTTAAGTTCTGGGGTACATGTGTAGAACGTGCAGTTTTGTTACATAAGTATACACGTGCCATGGTGGTTTGCTGCACCCATCAACCTGCCACCTACATTAGATATTTCACATAATGCTATCCCTCCCCTAGACCCACACCCCCTGACAGGCCCTGGTGTGTGATATTCCCCTCCCTGTGTCCATGTGTTCTCATTGTTCAACTCCGACTTATGAATGAGAACATATGGTGTTTGGTTTCCAGTTCTCGTGATAGTTTGCTGAGAATGATGGTTTCCAGCTTCATCCATGTCCCCGCAAAGGACATGAACTCATCCTTTTTTATGGCTCCATAGTATTCCATGGTGTATATGTGCCACGCTTTCTCTATCCAGTCTGTCATAGATGGGCATTTGGGTTGGTTCCAAGTCATTGCCATTGTGAATAGTGCCACAATAAACATACGTGTGAATGTGTCTTTATAGTAGAATGATTTGTAATCCTTTGGGTGTATACCTAGTAATGGGATTGCTGGGTCAAATGGTATTTCTAGTATCAGATCCTTGACGAATCTCAACACTGTCTTCCACAATGGTTGAACTAATTTACACTCCTACCAACAGTGTAAAAGCATTCCTTTATCTCCACTTCTTCTCCAGCGTCTGTTGTTTCCTGACTTTTTAATGATCACCATCCTAACTGGCATGAGATGGTATCTCATTGTGGTTTTGATTTGCATTTCTCTAATGACCAGTGATGATGAGCATTTTTTCACATGTTGTTGGCTGCATAAAAGTCTTCTTTTGAGAAGTGTCTGTTCATATCCTTCACCCACTTTTTGATGGGTTTTTTTTCTTGTAAATTTTTTAAGTTCTTTGTAGTTTCTGGATATTAGACCTTCGTCAGATTGGTATATTGCACAAAATTTCTCCCATTCTCTAGGTGGCCTGTTCACTCTGATGATAGTTTCTTTTGCTGTGCAGAAGCTCTTTAGTTTAATTAGATCCCATTTGTCAATTTTGGCTTTTGTTGCCATTGCTTTTGGTGTTTTAGACATGAAGTCTTTGCCTATGCTTATGTCCTGAATTGTATTGCCTAGGTTTAATTCTAGGATTTTTATGGCTTTAGGCCTTACATTTAAGTCTTTAATCTACCTTGAGTTGATTTTTGTATAAGGTGTAAGGAAGGGATCCAGTTTAAGTTTTCTGCATATGGCTACGTTTTCCCAGCACCATTTATTAAATAGGGAATCTTTTCCGCATTGCTTGTTTGTGTTATGTTTGTCAAAGATCAGATGATGGTTGTAGATATGTGGTGTTATTTCTGAGGCCTCTGTTCTGTTCCGTTGGTCTATATATCAGTTTTGGTATCAGTAGCTTGCTGTTTTTGTTACTGTAGGCTTGTAGTACAGTTTGAAATCAGGTAGTGTGATGCCTTCAGCTTTGTTCTTTTTGCTTAGGATTGCCTTGGATATGTGGGTTCTTTTTTGGTTCCATGTGAAGTTTAAAGTAGTTTTTTCCAATCCTGTGAAGAAAGTCAGTGGTAGCTTGATAGGAATAGCATTGAATCTATAAATTACTTTGGGCAGTGTGGTCATTTTCACAATATTGATTCTTCCTATACATGAGCATGGAATGTTTTTCCATTTGTTTGTGTCCTCTCTTATTTCCTTGAGCAGTGGTTTGTAGATCCTTGAAGAGGTCCTTCACATCCCTTGTAAGTTGTATTCCTAAGTGTTTTATTCTCTTTGTAGCATTGTGAATGGGAGTTCACTCATGATTTGGCTGTCTGTTATTGGTGTATAGCAATGCTTGTGATTTTTGCACATTGATTTTCTATCCTGCTACTTTGCTGAAGTTGTTTATTAGCTTCAGGAAATTTTGGGCTGAGACGATGGGGTTTTCTAAATATACAATCATATCATCTTCAAACAGAGATAATTTGACTTCCTCTCTTCCTATTTGAACACCTTTATTTCTTTATCTTGCCCCATTGCCCTGACCAGAACTTCTGATACTATGTTGAATAGGAGTGGTGAGAGAGGGCATCCTTGCATTGTGCTGGTTTTCAAGGGGAATGCTTCCAGTCTTTGCCCTTTTAGTATGATATTGGCTATGGGTGTGTCATAAATGGTTCTTATTATTTTGAGATATGTTCCATTGATACCTAGTTTATTGAGAGTTTTTAGCATGAAGGGCTGTTGAATTTTGCCAAAGGCCTTTTCTGCATCTATTGAAATAATCATGTGGATTTCATCATTGGTTCTGTTTATGTGATGGATTACATTTATTCATTTGCGTATGTTGAACCAGACTTGCAACCCAGGTATGAAGCCTACTTGATCGTGCTGGATAAGCTTTTTGACGTGCTGCTGGATTCTGTATACCAGCATTTTATTGAGGACTTTCACACTGATGTTCTTCAGGGATATGGCCTGAAATTTTCTTTTTTTGTTGTGTCTCTGCCAGGGTTTAGTATCAGGATGATGCTGCCCTCATAAAATGAGTTAGGGAGGAGTCCCTTTTTTTCTATTGTTTGGAATAGTTTCAAATGGTACCAGCTCCTCTTTGTACCTCAGTAGAATTCAGCTGTGAATCCGTCTGCTTCTGGGCTTTTTTTGGTTGGTAGGCTATTAATTACTGCCTCAATTTCAGAACTTCTTATTGGTCTATTCAGGGATCCAACTTCTTTCTGGTTTAGTCTTAGGAGGGTGTATGTTTCTGCAAATTTATCCATTTCTTCTAGATTTTCTAGTTATTTGTGTAGAGGTGCTTATAGTACTCTCTGACGGTAGTTTGTATTTCTGTGGGATTGGTAGTGATATCCACTTTATCATTTTTATTGTGTCTATTTGATTCTTCTCTCTTCTTTATTAATCTGGCTAGCGGTCTACTTTGTTGATTTTTTTCAAAAAACCAGCTCCTGGATTCATTGATTTGTTGTTGTTGTCATTGTTGTTGTTGTTTTTGAAGGGATTTTCGTGTTTCTATCTCCTTCAGTTCTGCTCTGATCATAATTATTTCTTGTTTTCTGCTAGCTTTTGAATTTGTTTGCTCTTGCTTCTCTAGTTCTTTTAATTGTGATGCTAGGGTGTCAATTTTAGACCTTTCCTGCTTTCTTTTGTGGGCATTTAGTGCTATAAATTTTCCTCTAGGCACTGCTTTAAATGTGTCCCAGAGATTCTGGTACGTTGTGTCTTTGTTCTTATTGGTTTCAAATAACATCTTTATTTCTGATTCATTTCGTTATTTACCCAGTAGTCATTCAGGAGCAGTTTGTTCAGTTTCCATGTAGTTTTGTGGTTTTCAGTGTTTCTTTATTTTTTTGAGATGGAGTCTCACTCTGTTTCCCAGGCTGGAGTGGTGGCACAATCTTGGCTCTCTGCAAGCTCTGCCTCCTGGGTTCACACCATTATCCTGCCTCAGCCTCCTGAGTAGCTGGGACTACAGGCCCCCCCAACCACGCCCAGCTATTTTTTTGTATTGTTTAGTAGAGATGGCATTTCACCGTGTTATCCAGGATGGTGTCAATCTCCTGGCCTCATGATGTGACTGCCTCAGTCTCCCAAAGTGCTGGGATTAAAGGCATAAGCCACCACGCCTGGCCTTCAGTGAGTTTCTGAATCCTGAGTTCTAATTGGATTGCACTGTGGTCTTAGAGACTGTTTGTTATTGAGAGGTGACAGCGTGCTGGCAGTCCTCAGAGCCCTTGCTTGGTCTCGGCACCTCCTCTGCCTGGGCTCCTACTTTGGCGGCACTTGAGGAGCCCTTCAGCCCACCACTGCACTGTGGGAGCCCCTTTCTGGGCTGGCCAAGGCTGGAGCCCACTCCCTCAGCTTGCAGGGAGGTGTGGAGGGAGAGGTGCGAGCGGGAACCAGGGCTGCGTGCAGCACTTGTGGGCCAGCTGGAGTTCCAGATGGGCGTGGGCTTGGCAGGCCCCACACTTGGAGCAGTCAGCCAGCTCTGCTGGCCCCAGGCAATGAGGGACTTAGCACCTGGGCCAGCAGCTGCAGAGGGTGTACTGGGTCCCCCAGCAGTGCCAGCCCACCGGCGCTGCACTCGATTTCTCCCCAAGCCTTAGCTGCCTTCCTGCGGGGCAGGGCTCGGGACCTGCAGCCCGCCATGCCTGAGCCTCCCACCCACTCCATGGGCTCCTGTGCCTCCCTGACGAACACCACCCCCTGCTCCATGGCGCCCAGTCCCATCGACCACCCAAGGGCTGAGGAGTGCGAGCGCACAGCGCGGGACTGGCAGGCAGCTCCACCTGCAGCCCCAGTGAGGGATCCACCAGGTGAAGCCAGCTGGGCTCCTGAGTCTGGTGGGGACGTAGAGAGTCTTTATATCTAGCTCAGGGATTGTAAATACACCAATCAGCACCCTATGTTTAGTTCAAAGTTTATGAGTACACCAATTGATACTCTGTATCTAGCTGCTCTGGTGGGGCCCTAGAAAACCTTTATGTCTAGCTCAGGGATTGTAAATACACCAATCGGCACTCCGTATCTAGCTCAAGGTTTGTAAACACACCAATCAACACCCTGTGTCTAGCTCAGGGTTTGTGAGTGCACCAATTGACACTCTGTATCTAGCTACTCTGGTGGGGCCTGGGAGAACATTTATGTCTAACTCAGGGTTTGTAAGTACACCAATCGACACTCTGTATCTAACTACTCTGGTGGGGCCTTGTAAAACCTTTATGTCTAGCTCAGGGATTGTAAACACACCAATCGGCACTCTGTATCTAGCTCAAGGTTTGTAAACACACCAATCAGCACCCTGTGTTTAGCTCAAGGTTTGTAAATACACCAATTGACACTCTGTATCTAGCTGCTCTGGTGGGGCCTTGGAGAACCTTTGTATCAATACTCTGTATCTAACTAATCTAATGGGGACATGGAAAACCTTTATATCTAGCTCAGGGATTGTAAACGCACCAATCAGCACCCTGTCAAAATAGGCCACTCAGCTCTACCAATCAGCAGGATGTGGGTAGGGCCAGATAAAAGAATAAAAGCAGGCTGCCCAAGCCAGCGTTGGCAACCTGCTTGGGTCCTCTTCCACACTGTGGAAGCTTTGTTCTGACGCTCTTTGCAATAAATCTTGCTACTGCTCACTCTTTGGGTCCATGCTGATTTTATGAGCTGTAACACTCACTGCGAAGATCTGCAGCTTCACTCCTGAGCCCAGCGAGACCAGGAGCCCACTGGGAGGAACGAACAACTCAAGACGTGCTGCCTTAAGAGCTGTAACACTCACTGCGAAGGTCTGCAGCTTCACTCCTGAGCCAGCGAGACCACGAACCCACCAGAAGGAAGAAACTCCGAACACATCTGAACATCAGAAAGGACAGACTCCAGATGCGCCACCTTAAGAGCTGTAACACTCACCGCGAGGGTCTGCGGCTTCATTCTTGAAGTCAGTGAGACCAAGAACCCACCAATTCTGGACACATTATGATTTCCATTCTTTTGCATTTGCTGGGGAGTGTTTTACTTCCAATTATGTGGTCAATTTTAGAATAAGTGCGATGTGGTACTGAGAACAATGTATATTCTGTTGATTTGGGGTGGAGTTCTGTAGATGTCTATTAAGTCAGCTTGATCCAGAGCTGAGTGAATACAGCATAACAATGAGCCTTGACTCTTTATCCAATTTGCCAGTCTGTGTCTTTTAATTGAGGCATTTAACCCATTTACTTCTAAAGTTAATATTGTTGTATGTGAATTTGATCCTGTCATAATGATGCCAGCTGGTTATTTTGCCTGTGAATTGATGCAGTTTCTTCATAGTGTCTATGGCGTTTACAATTTGATATGTTTTTGCACTGGCTAATACCGGTTTTTCCTTTCCATGTTTAGTGCTTCCTTCAGGAGCTCTTGTACGGCAGGCCTAGTGGTGACAAAATCTCTCAACATTTGCTTGTTTGTAAAGGATTTTATTTCTCCTTAGCTTATGAAGCTTAGTTTGGCTGGATATGAAATTCTGGGTTGAAAATTCTTTTCTTTAAGAATGTTGAATATTTGGCCCCCACTCTCTTGTGGCCTGTAGGGTTTCTGCAGAGAAATCTGTCATTAGTCTGATAGGCTTCCCTTTGTGGGCAACCCAACCTTTCTCACTGGCTGCCCTTAAAGTTTTTTCCTCCATTTCAACCTTGGTGAATATGACAATTATGTGTCTTGGGGTTGTTCTTCTCGAGGAGTATCTTTGTGGTGTTCTCTGTATTTCCTGAATTTGCATGTCAGCTTGTCTTGCTATTTTGGGGAACTTCTCCTGGATGATATCCTGAAGACTGTTTTCCAACTTGGTTCCATTCTGCCCGTCACTTTCAGGTACTCCAATCAAATGTAGATTTGGTCTTTTCACATAGTCCTGTATTTCTTGGAGACTTTGTTTGTTCCTTTATATTCTTTTTTTTTTTTTTTTCTAATCTTGTCCTCTGGATTTATTTCAGTAAGTTGATATTCAATCTCTGATATCCTTTCTTCTGCTTGATCAATTTGGCTATTGGTACTTGTGTATGCTTCACGAAGTTCTTGTGCTGTGTTTTTCAGCTCTATCAGGCCATTTATGTTCTTCTCTAAACTGGTTATTCTAGTTAGAACCTTGAAGAAAAGTTAGATGAATTGCTTAGCTTCCTTGCATTGGGTTAGATCCTGCTCCTTCAGCTCAGAGGGGTTTGTTATTACCCACCTCCTGAAGCCTACTTCTGTCAGTTCATCAAACTCATTCTCCATTCAGTTTTGTCCCATTGCTGGCGAGGAGCTGTGATCCTTTGGAGGAGAAGAGACCATGCACCCATTGTCCAACCAGTCCCAATGAGATGAACCAGGTACCTCAGTTGGAAATGCAGAAATCACCCACCTTCTGCATCAGTCTCGCTGGGAGCTGCAGACTGGAGCTGTTCCTATTTGGCCATCTTGCCAGCAATCCCGTTTTGCTTTTTTTAAAATTCTAATTTCATTTATTTCTGCTTGATCTTTATTTATTTTTCTCTACTAAATTTGGATTTAGTTTGTGCTCACTTTTCTAGTTCTTTACGTTGCATTGCTAGGTTGTTTATAAGTTTCCCTACATTTTTGATGTAGGCATCTATTGCTATAAACTTCTCTCCTAGTACTGCTTTCCCTGTATCCCATATGTTTTTATATTGTGCTTCAATTTTTGTTTCAAGAAATTGTTTAATTTCCTTAATTTCTTCAGTGACCCACTTGTCATATAGGAGTATATTGTTTAATTTCCATAAATTTGTATAGTGTCCCAAATTCCTCTGGTATTGAATTCTAGTTTCATTCCATTGTGGTTAGAGAAGACGCTTGATAATTCAGGTTTTTAAAATTTTTTAAGACTTGTTTTGTCATCCAAACTATATATGGTCTACCCTTGAGAATGAGCCTTTGTGGCTGAGAATGTATATTCTGTAGTCATTGAATGAAATGTTCTATGAATATCTATTAGGTCCATTTGACCTATGGTGCAGATTATGTGTGATGCTTTTTTGTTGATTTTCTTTCTGGATGATCTGCCCGATGTTGAAAGTGCGGTGTTGAATTCTGCAGCTATTAGTGTATTGGGGTCTTTGTCTCTTTTGCTCTAATATTTGCTTTATAAATCTGGGTACTCTAGTGTTGGGTGCATATATATTTACAGTTGTTGTATGCTTTGTTGAATTCACCCTTTTATCATAGTATCATGACTTTCTTTGTTTCCTTTTATAGTTTTTAAATTGAAATCTATTTTGTCTGATACATGTATAGACTTCTGCTCTTTTTTTGTTTCTAAAAAGAGGCATGAAATACCTCTTTCCATTCCTTTATTTTCAGTCTGTGGTGTCTTTACAGGTGAAGTGTGTTTCTTGTAGGCAACACATCAATGGGCATTATTTTTTCATCCATTCAGCCAGTCTTTGTCTTTTGAAGAGTTTAGTCTATTTACATTCAATGTTATTACCAATAAGTAAAACCAATAAGTAAGCAAGTTTTTACTCCTGCCATTTTTTTATTTGTTTTCAGGTTGTTTTGTGGTCTTCTCTTCCTCCTTTTTATCTTCCTTTTTGTGTAGGTAATTTATTTCAGGTGGTATGTTTTAATTTCTTGCTTTTGTTTTATTGTGTATCTGTTATAAGTTTTTGATTTAAGTTTACCATGAGGCTTGCAAATAATATCTTTCAACTTATTTTTTTAAAAAACTGGTGACAGCTTACTGCTGATTGCATAAACAAGCAAAGAGAAAACTAACAACAAAACTTTACAGTTTAACTTTATTCCTCCACTCTTTAAACTTTTTGTTTCTATTTATATCTTATACTGTCTATGTCTAGCTTTTCTACACAAAATTAGTAGTTTACACACAATTACAGTGTTATCTGAGTTTTAAGTGTATTTATCAGTGTCAGTGAGCTTTGTACTTTCAAATAATTTCTTATTGATGATTAGTATCCTTTTTTTTCCCAAATTGAAGAATTCCTGTTAGCATCTCTTATAGGACAGATCTAGTATTAATGAAATCCCTTGGCTTTTGTTTGTCTAGGGAAGTCTTTATTATGTTTGAATTATATTTTCAGTGGAGGTACTATTCTAGGATGAAAATTCTGCTCATTCAGCACTTTAAATATGTCATACCACTCTCTCCTGGTCTGTAAAGTTTCCACTGAGAAGTCTGCTGTCAGACATATTGAAGCTCCTTTATATGTTGTTTGTTATTTTTATCTTGTTGTTTCCATAATACTTTTGACCTTTTGGAGTTTATTAAATGTCTTGAGGTTGTCTTATTTGGGTTAAGCCTGCTTGATGTTCTATAACCTTCTTGTACTTAATATTGATATCATTCTCTAGGTTTGGGAAGTTCTCTGTTATTATTCCTTTGAATAAATTTTCTTTTCTGATCTCTCTTTACCTTCTCTTTCAGGCCAATATCTCACATTTGCCCTTTTGAGACTATTCTCTAGGTCTTGTCAGCATGCTTCATTGCTTTTTTTTTTTTTTTTTTTTGTCTCCTCCGTGTATTCTGAAATACCCTGTCTTTAAGCTCATGCATTCTTTCTTCCACTTGGTCAGTTCTGCTCTTGAGAGACAGATTCTTCAGTATGTTAACTGAGTTTTTCATCTCCAGAATTTCTGCTTGATGTTTTAAAATTATTTCAATCTTAGCTAAATTTATCTGAAAATTTTCTCAATTCCTTATTTGTGTTATGTTGAATGTTGTTCAACATTCACTCCAAGATTTGTCACTGGTCCCTTATATAGTTTGTGTTGTAAGGTCATGTTTTCCTGGATGGTCTTGGTGCTTGTGGATGTTCACCAGTGTCTGTACATTGAATAGGTAGGTATTGTAGTCTTTGCAGTCTGGAATTGTTTGTACCCATTCTTCTTGAGAATGTACTTCTAAGTAATTGAGTTTTGTCTTCTAACTCTTTGGACACTGCAGCCGTATCTGCATTATGGGGCAACACATGCCCCGTAACACTGTGAGTCTTACAGGCTTGTAGAGATACCACCTTGGTGGACTTGGGTAAGATCTAGGAAAACTCCCTTGACTACCATGCAGAGACTTATTCTCTTTTCTTACTTTTTCCTAAACAGATAGAGTCTTTCTCTGCTGAACTGCCTGGAGCCTGGGGGGAGGGTTGATATAAGCCACCCCCATGGCCAGCACCACTGGGATTGTGCTGGGTGAGACCCAAAGCCAGCACAGCCCTGGATCTTGCCCAAGGCCCACAACAACCACTGCCTGGATACCACTGATGTTCACTCAGTTCCCGAGGGCTCTTCAGTCCACTACCACTGAACATGGATGGTAGTGAATCCATCCATGCTTGTGTTCTTTCTTCATGACAGTGAGCTCACCCCTGGCTCAGGACAGGTCCCAACATGCTATCAAGAAGCTCAGGCCTATAGTCAGGAATCTTAGGAATCTACCTGGTACTCTATTTTACTGTGGTTGAGCAGTCTCCCAAGGTCTAAGATAAAGTCCATTCTACACTTCTGTCTCCCTTTTCATACAGAATGGGTTTTACCCATGACCCCCACTTCCCCCATGTCTGCAGCAAGTACTGCCTGGCTAACACTGATATTTCACTCATGTCACAAGGCTCTTCAGTTAGCTGTGGTGATCTGTGTGCTTGAGGGAAAGATGGTGCAGTGACTGTGGAAGTGGAACTTTGTGTAATTGGGTCTCTCTCTTCAGAACAGTCATCTCTGGCCCAGAGCAGTTCCAGAAATGCCATCCAGTATCCAAGGCCTAGAATCGGGAACCCCAGCCTTGGTGCTCTATCCCACAGCAGCTGAGCTGGTGCCCAAGTTGCAAGACAAAGTCCCCTTTACTCTTCCCTGTTCTTTTCTTAAGCAAAGGGGTCTCTCCTCCTGGCCACTACACCTGCAAATGCACTGGGTCACACCTGAAGTCAGTATGGCCTTAGGTTTCATCCAAGGCCTACCGTGAGTACTTCCTTTCCACCGCTGATGTTTACTCAAGGCCCAAGGGCTCTTTAATCAGCAGGTTATCAATCCTTCCAAAATTGGGCACTTCCCTTCTAGGCAATGGATTCCTTTCTTGCCCAGGTTGTGTCTACAAATGTCATTTGGGAGCTAGGGCCTTGAAGGTGGACCTCACTCTGCCTGGTGCTCTGTTCTATTGTGACTGAGTTGGTGTCCAAATTTCAAGACAAACTCCTCTTTACTCACTTCTCAAGTGGGAGGATAGGAGTGCCTCACAGAGCTGCAAGCTGTACTGCTAAGGGGTTGGGAGAGGTGTGATGCAAGTACAGTCTTGGTCACCACTGCTCAGGGTCTCCTTAGGCAGCATGTACCCCAAGTCCAGTTGCTGAGTCCAGCACAACACCAGAAATTACCCAGAACCTGCAGTCCTTGTGGCCTAGAGTGCCTTTCAAGTTTATTTAGAACCCCAGAGTGTTTTATCTGTGGAGGGAGGGCTAACTGGAACTTAGCTTCTGACCACCACTGCAATGAATGATTTCCCTCTGGCTAGGGCTGGTCACAATTAATTCCTCCATGGGTGTCAGCTGGATTCTGTCTCATGTTGCTTTCTGCTGTGACAGTGCAACACTAAGTTCCAATACAAAGTCCCACAATCACCGCACTGTCTTTCCCTCAAGCACAAAGATTCTCTCTCCGCACTATGGGCACTGCTGCCAGGGTGGGTGGAGGATATGGGAGGGATGGTGTTAGCAATTCAAGACTGTCTTTCCTACTCTCTTTGGTACTGTTTTCCTTGATACTATGTTAAAACTAGATACTGTGATCACTTAGCTGATTTTTGGTTTTTGTAAAGGTACTTTATTGTGTGAATAGTTGTCCAATTTGGTGACTTTGCTGGGGGTGGGGAACAATTGCTGAAGGGTTCTATTCAACTGTCTTGCTCTGCCTCCAGATCCAATTTTGTTTTTATTTGGCTTCCAACTATTTTTTTTTAATTTTTATACTCTAAGTTCTAGGGTACATGTGCACAAGGTGCAGGTTTGGTACATAGGTATACATGTGCCATATTGGTTTGCTGCACCCATTAACTCATCATTTGTATTAGTATTTCTCCTAATGCTATCTGCCCCCAGCCCCCCACCCCCGACCAGCCCCGTTGTGTGATGTTCCCCACCCTGTGTCCATGTGTTCTCATTGCTCAACTCCCCAACTATCTTTTTAATTTAGATACTATGTGAAGCTGTTTTTCTTAAAAGGGCCTTTTTAGAGAGTTGGTCCTGACTATTTCTGGGAAATTGGCTTTTAAACTGTTTCTTCATTATCAGATTTTTACTTTTATCATCAGGAGCATTAGTTTCTTTCCTTTCTGGGAGAATAGAATTAAATACTTATGGTTATTTTTTGTGCCTATGTGACCAGCACCCCTTACCCAGAAAATAGGCTCAAACAGGTTTCCTTGGGCAAAACCATTTTGCACATGTTATTGCATTTCGTGGCTATAAGAGAGCATGTTCTGTTAGTCTTCAGGGAGAGCTTAACTTGCCTGCATAGGGATTTGTCCAGACTTTGCCTGATGTGTCTTTTTCTCCTACAGACTTGGCTATATATTCTTATGTGACACTGTATTAAATCTTAGTCATTAAGTTTATTATATGCTAAATCCTGTGAGTCTTTCATGAAGGAGTCTGGTCATGGGGCCTCTTATAACTCTCACTTTCTAACAATTTTTTAAATTTAATTATTCTGTTCTTTCCTCAAAATACCATATTGAATCTTTTCAAGGGCAAGAAATGGGTAATTGCTAAAATGTTTGATCCTTAATGTATTTTAGAAGAAAGCTCAAATAGTAAGAACTTCAAATACAGTTGCCCTCTTCATAGTATGGTTTACCATTGTTTTGGGGGAACAGATTATTATGCTATTCTACTCTACCTATTCATCTTAAAGGGAGATCAGTGCAAATCTAATGACCTTAAAATCTGTAACTCTGTAAAGATTGGTCAATAAAAAATAGATACTATAACACTGACGAAAGTTAAAATAATCACTATACCAGTTCTGATATTAGACCTCAAGGGGTCTAATGCTTTCTCTTCTCTTTCTTGGAACCTTTCCCTTGTCTTGAGAACATACCCAGACTATTCTCCTAAATGATGACATGAATCAAAGGTAATAATCTCATCTGATGCTCTAACTGTCCACAGAGGTATGAAGATGGTTGGTGTTAGAACCACACAGCTAAAATGTAGACTCATGAGAAGTAACCAGTATTGTTTTTCTTTATTTTTTAATTTATTTTCTCTATTGTTGTTTCTATCCTTTTTTTTTGTTTCTGGTTTTTGTTCTTCGTTTTTCTTTGTTTAATTTGAATTTTTATATTTTGTTTTGTGTTTTTGCTTTTTCTTTTTTTATTATACTTAAAGTTCTGGGGTACATGCGCAGAACGTGTAGGTTTGTTACATAGGTATACACATGCCATGGTAGTTTGTTGCACCCATCAATCTGTCATCTACTTTAGGTATTTCAACTAATGCTATCCTTCCCCCAGCCTCTCACCCCCCGACAGGCCTGGTGTGTGATGCCCCCGTGCCCCATGTCCCTGTGTTCTCATTGTCTCACTCTCACTTGTGAGTGAGAACATGCGGTGTTTGGTTTTCTGTTCCTGTGTTAGTTTGCTGAGAATGATGTTTTCCATCTTCATCCATGTCCCTGCAAAGGACATGAACTCATTCTTTTTATGCCTACATAGAATTCCATGGCATGTATGTGCCACTTTTCTTTATCCAGTCTATCATTGATGGGCATTTGAGTTGGTTCCAAGTCTTTGCTGTTGTGAATGGTGCCGAAATAAACATACGTGTGCATGTATCTTTATAATAGAATGATTTATAATCCTTTGGGTATATACCCAGTAATGGGATTGCTGAGTCAAATGGTATTTCTATTTCTAGATCCTTGAGGAATTGCCACACTGTCTTCCACAACAGTTGAGCTACTTTACACTCTCACCAACAGCGTAAAAGCATTCCTAATTCTCCACATGCTCTCCAGCATCTGCTGTTTCCTGACTTTTTAGTGATCACTGTTCTAACTGGAGTGAGTTGGTATCTCATTGTGGTTTTGTTTTTTATTTCTCTAATGAAAGTGATGATGAGCTTTTTTTAATATGCTTGTAGGCTGCATAAATGTCTTCTTTTGAGAAGTGTCTGTTCATATCCTTCACCTACTTTTTGATGGGGTTGTTTTTTTTCTTGTAAATTTAAGTTCTTTGTAGATTCTGGATATTAAACCTTTGTCAGATGGATGGATTGCAAAAATTTTCTTTCAATTGTAAGTTGCTTCTTCACTCTGATGATAGTTTTTGTGTGTGTGTGTGCAGAAACTCTTTAGTTTAATTAGATCGCATTTGTCAATTTTGGCTTTTGTTGCCATTGCTTTTGGTGTTTTAGACATGAGTTCTTTGCCCATGCCTATGTTCTGTATGGTATTGCCTAGGTTTTCTTCTAGGGTATTTAGGGTTTTAGGTCTTATGTTTAAGTCTTCAATCCATCATGAGTTAATTTTTGTGTAAGGTATAAAGAAGGGATCCAGTTTCAGCTTTCTGCATATGGCTAGCCATTTTTCCCAACACCATTTATTAAATAGGGAATCCTTTCCTCATTTCTTGTTCTTGTCAGGTTTGTCAAAGATCAGATGGTTGTAGATGTGTGCTGTTATTTCTGAGGCCTCTGTTCAGTTCCATGGGTCTATATATTTGTTTTGGTACCACTACCATGCTGTTTTTGTTACTGTAGACTTGTAGTATAGTTTGAAGTCAGGTAGCATGATTCTTCCAACTTTGTTCTTTTTGCTTAGGATTGTCTTGGGTATGCTGGCTGTTTTTTGGTTTCATATGAAATTTAAAGTAGTTTTTTCCAATTCTTTGAAGAAAGTCAATGGTAGCTTGATGGGAATAGCATTGAATCTATAAATTACTTCAGGCAGTATGGCCATTTTCATGACATTGATTCTTCCTATCCATGAGCTTGGAATGTTTTCCCATTTGTTTGTGTCCTCTCTTATTTCCTTGAGCAGTAGTTTTTAGTTCTCCTTGAAGAGGTCCTTCACATCCCTTGTAAGTTGTATTCCTAGGTATTTTATTCTCTTTGTAGCAATTATTAATGGAGTTCACTCATTATTTGGCTCTCTGTCTGTTATTAGTGTATAGGAATGCTTGTGATTTTTGCACATTGATTTTGTATCCTGCGACTTTGCTAAAGTTGCTTATCAGCTTAAGGAGATTTTGGGCTGAAACAATGGGGTTTTCTAAATACACAATCATGTCATCTGCAAACAGAGACAATTTGACTTCCTCTCTTCCTAATTGAATACCCTTTCTTTCTTTCTCTTGCTTGATTGCGCTGGTCAGAACTTCCAATATTATGTGGAATAGGAGTGGTGAGAGAGGGCATCTTTGTCTTGTGCTGGTTTTCAAAGGGAATGCTTCCACTTTTTGCATATTCAGTATGATATTGGCTGTGGGTTTGTCATAAATGGCTCTTATTATTTTGAGATATGTTCCATTGATACCTAGTTTATTGAGACTTTTTAGCATGAAGGGCTGTTGAATTTTGCCAAAGGCCTTTTCTGCGTCTGTTGAGATAGTCATTGTGTTTTTCTTATTGGTTCTGTTTATGTGATGGATTACGTTTATTCATTTGCATATATTGAATCAGCCTTGAATCCCATGGATGAAGCCGACTTGATCGTGGTGGATGAGCTTTCGGATGCGCTGCTGGATTCAGTTTGCCAGTATTTTACTTAGGATTTTTGCATTGAAGTTCATCAGGGATATTGGCCTGAAATTTTCTTTTTTTGCTGTGTCTCTGCCAGGGTTTGGTATCAGGATGATGCTGGCCTCATAAAATGATTTAGGGAGGAGTCCCTCTTTTTCTATTGTTTGGAATAGTTTCAGAAGACATGGTACCAGCTCCTCTTTGTACCTCTGGTAGAATTCGGCTGTGAATCCATCTGGTCCTGGACTTTTTTAGGTTGGTAGGCTATTAATTACTGCCTCAATTTCAGAACTTGTTACTGGTCTATTCAGGGCTCCAAATTCTTTCTGGTTTAGTCTTAGGAGGGTGTATGTGTCCATGAATTTATCCATTTCTTCTAGATTTTCTCATTTATTTACATAGAGGTGTTTATAGTGTTCTCTGATGGTAGTTTGTATTTCTGTGGGATCGGTAGTAATATCCACTTCATCATTTTTTATTATGCCTATTTGATTCTTCTCTCTTTTCTTCTTTATTAGTCTGGCTAGTGGTCTATTTTGTTGATCTTTTCAAAAAACCAGCTCCTGGATTCATTGATTTTTTTTTTTTTTGAAGGGTTTTTCATGTCTCTATCTCCTTCAGTTCTGCTCTGATCATAATTATTTCTTGTCTTCCGCTAGCTTTTGAATTTGTTTGCTCTTGCTTCTCTAGTTCTTTTAATTGTGATGCTAGGGTGTCAATTTTAGACCTTTCCTGCTTTCTTTTGTGGGCATTTAGTGCTATAAATTTTCCTCTAGGCACTGCTTTAAATGTGTCCCAGAGATCCTGGTACGTTGTGTCTTTGTTCTCATTGGTTTCAAAGAACATCTTTATTTCTGTCTTCATTTCTTTATTTACCCAGTAGTCATTCAGGAGAAGGTTGTTCAGTTTCCATGCAGCTGTGCAGTTTTGAGTGAGTTTCTTAATCCTGAGTTCTAATTTGATTGCACTGTGGTCTGAGAGACAGTTTCTTATGGTTTCTGTTCTTTTGCATTTGCTGAGGAGTGTTTTACTTCCAATTATGTGGTTAATTTTAGAATAAGTGTGATGCAGTGCTAAGAAGAATGTATATTCTGTTGATTTGGAGTGGAGAGTTCTGTAGATGTCTATTATGTCCACTTGGTCCAGAGCTGAGTTCAAATCTTGGATATCCTTGTTAATTTTCTGTCTCATTTGTCTGTCTAATATTGACAGTGGGGTGTAAAGTCTCCCACTATTATTGTTTGGGAGTCGACAGCTCTTCGTAGGTATCTAAGAACTTGCTTTATGAATCTGGGTGCTCCTGTATTGGGTGCAAATATTTAGGATAGTTACCTCTTCTTGTTGCATTGATCCCTTTACCATTATGCAATGCCCTTCTTTGCCTCTTTTGATCTTTGTTGGTTTAAAGTCTGTTTTATCAGAGACTAGGATTGCAACCCCTGCTTTTTCATTGCCTTCTATTTGCTTGGTAAATATTCCTCCATCCTTTTATTTTCAGTGTATGTGTGTCTTTGCACATGAGCTGGGTCTCCTGAATACAGCACACTGGTAGGTCTTGACTCCTCATTCAATTTGCCAGTCTATGTCTTTTAATAGGGGTATTTAGCTTGTTTAAGGTTAATATTGTTATGTGTACATTTGATTGTGTCATTGTGATGCTAGCTGGTCATTTTGCCCATTAGTTGATGCCGTTTCTTCATAGCATCGATGGTCTTCATAATTTGGTATATTTTTGCAGGATCTGGTACCGGTTTTTCATTTCCATGTTTAGTGCTTCCTTCAGGAGCTCTTGTAAGGCACACTTGGTGGTGACAAAATCTCTCAGCATTTGCTTATCTGTAAAGGATTTTATTTCTCCTTCACTTATGAAGCTTAGTTTGGCTGGATGTGAAATTCTGGGTTAAAAATTCTTTACTTAAGAATGCTGAATACTGGCCCCCGGTCTCTTCTGGCTTGCAGGGTTTCTTCTGAGAGATCCATTGTTAGTCTGATTGGCTTCCCATTATGGGTAACCCGACCTTTTCTCTGATTGCCCTTAACATTTTTTCCTTCATTTCAAACTTGGTGAATCTGACGATTATGTGTCTTGGGGTTGCACTTCTCAAGGAGTATTTTTGTGGTGTTCTCTGTATTTCCTGAATTTGAATGTTGGCCTGTCTTGCTAGGTTGGGGAAATTCTCCTGGATAATATCCTGAAGAGTGTTTCCAACTTGATTGCTTTCTCCCTGTCACTTTCAAGTATACCAATGAAACGTAGATTTGGTCTTTTCACATAGTCCCATATTTCTTGGAGGCTTTGTTCGTTTCTTTTCACTCTTTTTTCTCTAATCTTGTCTTCTCACTTCCTTTCATTGAGTTGATCTTCAATCTCTGATATCCTTTCTTCTGCTTGTTCTATTTGGCTATTGATACTTGTTTATGCTTCACAAAGTTCTTGTGCTGTGTTTTTCAGCTCTATCAGGTCATTTATGTTCTTCTCTACACTGATTATTCTAGTTAGCAATATGTCTAACCTTTTTTCAGGGTTCTTAGCTTCCTTGCATTGGGTTAGAACATGCTCCTTTAGCTCAGAGGAGTTTGTTATTATCCACCTTCTGAAGCCTACTTCTATCAAATCATCAAACTCATTCTCCATCAAGTTTTGTTTCCTTGCTGGTGAGTTGTGATCCTTTGGAGGAGAAGAGGTATTCTGGTTTTTGGAATTTTCAGCCTTTTTGGACTGGTTTCTCCACATCTTCGTGGATTTATCTAACTTTGGTCTTTGATGTTGGTGACCTTCAGATTGGGTCTCTGAGTGAACATCCTTTTTGTTGATGTTGATACTATTCCTTTCTGTTTGTTTGTTTGTTTTCCTTCTAACAGTCAGGGCCCTCTGCTGCAGGTCTGCTGGAGTTTGGTTGAGGTCCACTCCAGACCCTGTTTGTCTGGGTTTTGCCAGAGGAGGCTGCAGAATAGCAATGATTGCTGCCTGTTTTTCCTCTGGAAGCTTTGTCCCAGAGGGGCACCCACCAGATGCCAGCCAGAGCTCTCCTGTATGAGGTGTCTGTTGGCCCATACTTGGAGGTGCCTTCCAGTCAGGATACACAGGTGTCAGGTACCCACTTGAGGAGGCACTCTGTCCCCTATCAGAGCTCGAACACTGTGCTGGGAGATCCACTGTTCTCTTCAGAGCTGTCAGACAGGGACGTTTAAGTCTGCTGAAGCTATGCCCACAGCTGCCCCTTTCCCCAGATGCTCTGTCCCAGGGAGAAGGGAGTTTTATCTATAAGTCTCTGACTGGGGCTGCTGCCTTTTCTTCAGAGATGCCCTGCCCCAAGACGGGGACTCTAGAGAGGCAGTCTGGCTGCAGTGGCCTTGCTGAACTGTGGTGGGCTTCACCCAGTTGGACCTTCCCTGAGCCTTTTTTTTTACCCTGTGAGGGTAAAAATGCCTAATCAAGCCTCAGCAATGGTGGATGCCCTTCCCCCCACCAAGCTCGAGCTTTCCAGGTCAACCTCAGACTGCTGTGCTGGCAGCAAGAATTTAAGCCAGTGGATCTTAGTTTGCTGGGCTCCATGGTGGTAGGATTCGCCAAGCCAGACCACTTGGCTCCCTGGCTTCAGCCCACTTTCCAGGGGAGTGAAAGGTTCTGTCTCACTGGCATTCCAGGTGCCACTGGGGTTTAAAAAAAAAAATCCTGCAGCTAGCATGATGTCTGTCCAAGTGGTCAACCAGCTTTTTGCTTGAAACTCAGGGCCGTGGTGGGTTAGGCACCACAGAGAATCTCCTGGTCTGCCAGTTGCAAAGACCATGGGAAAAGTACAGTATCTGGACCAGAGTGCATCGTTCCTCCTGGTACAGTCTCTCACAGCTTCCCTTGTCTGGGGGAGGGAAATCCCCCAACCCCTTGTGCTTCCCAGGTGAGGTGATACCCCACCCTGCTTCAGCTTGCCCTCCACGGGCTGCACCCGCTATCTAACTGGTCCCAGTGAGATGAACCTGGTACCTCAGTTGGAAATGCAGAAATTACCCAACTTCTGTGTCGATCTTGCTGGGAGCTGCAGACCGGAGCTGTTCCTATTTGGCCATCTTGCCAGCAATCATTTGCTTTTTCAAGACACTAAATTTTGTGTAGCATATTAAACAGCAATAGCTAACTGATATATTCAGGAAGACTGTCAAAAACATCACCTTGTTCAGTAGATTAATAATTTTTTAAACTGTAAATCAAAGTAGTTAAAGGCATTTTTAACTTTAGTATATTTTAAAAGAATTGGCTGGGTGCGGTGGCTCACACCTGTAATCCCAGCACTTTGGGAGGCTTAAGCAGGTGGATCACTTGAGGTCAGGAGTTTGAGACCAGCCTGGCAAACATGGTGAAACCCAGTTGCTACTAAAAATACAAAAATTAGCCAGGTGTGGTGGTTCACATCTGTAGTCCTAGCTACTTGGAAGGCTGAGGCAGGAGAATTGCTTGGCTCAGGGAGGCAGAATTTGCAGTGAGCCAAGATCATGCCACTGTACTCCAGACTGGGCAACAAAAGTGAAACTCTGTCCCAAAAGAATTAAACAGCAATTATCAATGTTATTCCAGGAATAGCTATCCAAGGAGTCTATGGTATAAATAATCTCTCATAACACGAATCCCTACTTGCATTTTATATTGGTAATTCAATTGGTCTTAGTAGTCCCAGTAGTACATAATTCATATTACTAGTCTAGTAAATGAAATAAGTGAGCATGATGCTATAGAGTTCAGTTGAAATATTTGGACTTAAGATATAATTTCTGAAGAGTTTACATAATTAAAGTCATGGGGACAAGGACTGAAGACATTGCTTTCTTTGACAGACTGAAGATTTTCATATATTTCCTGTGTTGTGGAATATCATGAGACAATGGAACTCTGTTTGTACTTTTTTATTATGAGTTTTACTGCAAGGCACTTACCAGAAGAAAAGGGCTAATAATAGAAATGAGGTGATTTGAGAATATGTTCTATTTTTACAACAATCTGTCTGTGGGATTTGGCATGTCACAGTGCCTAATTTCAGCCTAAGTTTTCTCATTACATTAAAAATTTCAAATCCTATCCTTTACTATGGATGATGTTTTTGTGTGGAAGTAATTAAAGATAAAATTCATATTGACTTCATAAGATGAGAAATTTTCTTTTCTCATATAATGTGAAGTCCAGAAGGACAGAGTATTTCATATTCAAACTACTTTCTATGTCACTATTAACGGCTTTCTTCTATATATTGGCTTTATCTTCACAAGAATGAGAAAATAGCTATGGACATTTTGAGCCCACCCCTGTTGGTGACTTTTCTTGTGTCAAGAAGGGTTCTGTCCTAGAAAAATATAAATCCAGGTAAAATCAAGTTTCTGTTACAACAAAAAAAAAGCTCATGGAAGCTTGGTTGGTGACCTAGAATGCCCACTATGTGTTTTCTATCATTAACACTTCGTTTTAGCTTTAATATATCTGTGGTTGGCTATAGTGTGAAGCATTATGAATTTGACCTTTATATTTTGAAGAGTAACTTTCTTTTTAAAGAAATGTTAATTTTTAATTTTTATTTATTTACCTATTTTCTTTTTTGAGATGGAACCTCGCTCTGTCACCCAGTCTGGAGTATAGTGGCGAGATCTCGGCTCGCTGCAACCTCCACCTCCTGGTTCATGTGATTCTCCTGCCTCAGCCTCCCAAGTAGCTGGGATTACAGGCATGAGCCACCATGCTGGGCTAATTTTTGTATTTTTAGTAGAGAGGGGGTTTCACCATGTTGGCCAGGCTGGTCTTGAACTCCTGACCTCAAGTGATTCACTTGCCTTGGCCTTCCAAAGTGCTGGGATTACAGGCATTAGCCACCATGCCCAGCCAAGAAATTTTTAAATAGTGGAAAATATAACATTTCATTTTTCCGTATTGTTTTGGGGCTTACGAGAAAATGAAAGCTGTGGCCCTTTCAAACCTTGACCAGCTCTAATACTGGATGTTTTCCATTTCACCTTTCTTATAAAGTGGCTTTGAAGAATAGGTATAAAGGGAACATGTAGAGAAGAAAGAATAAAAAGTAGAGAAACAACTAAAGTAATGGAGAAAATTTCTTCTAATAGGTAGCACATGTTTAAAGCAGAAACCAAATTTAAAAGTAATAGAATAGTGACAGTAATTCTCCTGTTCCTCTATCTTCTAGTCACCCTGCATGAAATTCAGTATTTGTGGTAGGCATGATTTTATCCATTTTACAGATGATCAGTTTGAGATATGTAGAGGTTTAAAATTTTCCCATTGACTGATAATTCTGGGAAATGTCATGGGCATATGATATAATATCCTTACTCTCCACATCAGCATGTTTAAAAACTAACACAAAATCTATATGAAAATTTATAATTTTTTACACAATTGAATATAATTTCAGAAATTTTTTCAGGCAGTTATAAGGTTTTCCTATTAAAATATCTTGTAGGATCTTCACTGTATATTATTGAAAGTGAAAGTGAAATGTTAATTAAAACATGTATAGAAAATATTGGTCTCATAGATAAAAATAGCTGCTTGTTGCAATGCAACCTAAGGTAAGAGTGTGTTCATGATGGCATTTCAATCAGTAGTTTCAAAATCAATTTTCTGACATATTTAGCTTTAGAGCAATTAACCTAAAACTCTGAAACTTTAGGTACAGGGAGTGGAGTTTCAATATTTTTATCAGATGTAAATAGATTTCACCTGATGTTTGAGTATGTTGACAGTCCCTTCAATTTCTTCTACGCTTACCATTCTCTTGATGAAAACTATTCTTTTTCCTTTTTAGCTGTTTACAATATATTGTTCGATCCTCACATTCTCCTAATAGTCTGTACCTATACTTTGTACCTTATGCATTAAATAGTTCATTCAATAAATATATTTGATTACTATAAAAAAATAAATCCTGATGGCTAACAAGAGGGTAGATGATCAGCTAAGACTTTGAATAAAAAATAACATGAGAGCTGAGATTTGAAGAATTATTTGGAAATAAGTACAGAATGAGCAAAGAATGGATTAAGCAAAGGCACAGAGACTGAAACGGACTTAGAAACTTTGAGTAACTGAAAGGTTAGTATGGCCGAAGTGCAGACACGAAAAGGAAGAGTGATAGGCAATGAGGCTACAGAATAAGGGAGGAATTCAGCTTCAGGTTTTCCCATTGCCTTCCAGATAAAGGTCAAATTTCTTAAACCAGCATGAGAGGATCTTCAGTGTCTAACCTCTAGCCTTTTCCATTAGAACTAAGATAACACGCTACAGTGAAATAAATGCAGAAGAAGAGGGTATGTCTAACAAACATGAGTTTGAATTGCAATGTCAACATTTGCTATATAATTTGGGGCAAGTTAATTTACCTCTCTGATAACTAGCAAGCTACTTTACTCTCTGAATCCTAACTGGAAAATGGAATTAATAATATTTTGCAAGGGAGATGAGAGTATGAAATAATTTAGCACAGGTAAGGTATCTCACTTTTAGCAACTAATACATTAAAATAACATAAAGCTCAAAAAGGTAATACTTTTATTTTTGCTTCCTTCACATTCAATGTCAAAGTTCCAAAAGCAATTTAAAAATTATTTTATAGTGTTACAGTTGATGTGAATAACTAAGAACTTAGATACTGACGTTGACCTGATCTTAGAATTGTAAAAGATTACGACCATCATTGAGGGTTCTTTAGCCCACAATTTAGTGGCTTTTGAGAATAAATTAATTGCATTATTAGTGAATTATTTAGATTATCCTTAAACATCTTCCAAAAGAAGCAATTCTACAATACTTACCATCAATACTGAGATATATTCAGACTTACATGGATGAATTTATTAAAATATGCTATTGTACACCTTAGTTTTTCATACTGCCCTAAACTTACCATTTAAAATTTTCTGAACAATCAGAATAATTAGGCAGAAATCAAGATTTTAGAACAAAACATTATTTATTGGTGTTACTTAATTTTACTAAATAATAATTTGCAAAAATTAATGATTATAGCTACATATACAATACTTTTTTTGTATTTAGAGAAGTATCCAACATGATAAACATTTAATAAACTACTTATAGCATTATTCAAGAGCATGTGGTAAAAGGTTAAGCAGTATAATTAATGCTACAGTTTGAAGGCCATGATAGAGGGGAGGCAGTGTAATTAAGAAAGGCCTGCCATCTGGTCAGGTTGTTTTTCACAGGGTGGCATTAACTTAATGAAACGATCAGATTTAAATCTTGTTCTCGCCAAGCAAGGCCTAGACACATAGATTAATACAAACGAAACCTGCGAACAACTGCCACAAACCGAAACAAAACAAGTGAACAAACACAAAATAAAATCTGATCCTGGTCATTTACACTTAGAGTATTTCCTCCAGTGGTCATGTAATTTACAACTGGCTTCCCAATAATGCACTGTGGGAATTTGTAATGGCAGAGGTACTTGATAGCTGCAATCAGATCAGAGGACATAGTTAAAATATTTAAATCAAAGACAGTAAGGACAGGTGTAAATACCCTGCTCTCAGCTCCATATTGAGACATACTTGTGTCAGATTAAACAGAAGTTCATCTGGACAATAGTAAACAAACTAAAAAGCATAATCTCTAACCTATTATCACTAGAGCAGGTACTCTGTCTTAATCATCTTTTGGTCCCTGGCACTTAACCTACTCTTGACACAAAGTACTTAACCTTTTTTTTTTTCTTCTTTTATTTTATGTTTATAAAATGGCATATTCCCCTGGGGGAAGACTCTTTTTTTTTTTTTTTTTTTTTTTTTAATTTTTTTTTTAATTTTTTTTTTTTTTATTATACTCTAAGTTTTAGGGTACATGTGCACATTGTGCAGGTTAGTTACATATGTATACATGTGCCATGCTGGTGCGCTGCACCCACTAACGTGTCATCTAGCATTAGGTATATCTCCCAATGCTATCCCTCCCCCCTCCCCCGACCCCACCACAGTCCCCAGAGTGTGATATTCCCCTTCCTGTGTCCATGTGATCTCATTGTTCAATTCCCACCTATGAGTGAGAATATGCGGTGTTTGGTTTTTTGTTCTTGCGATAGTTTACTGAGAATGATGGTTTCCAATTTCATCCATGTCCCTACAAAGGACATGAACTCATCATTTTTTATGGCTGCATAGTTTTCCATGGTGTATATGTGCCACATTTTCTTAATCCAGTCTATCATTGTTGGACATTTGGGTTGGTTCCAAGTCTTTGCTATTGTGAATAGTGCCGCAATAAACATACGTGTGCATGTGTCTTTATAGCAGCATGATTTATAGTCCTTTGGGTATATACCCAGTAATGGGATGGCTGGGTCAAATGGTATTTCTAGTTCTGGATCCCTGAGGAATCGCCACACTGACTTCCACAATGGTTGAACTAGTTTACAGTCCCACCAACAGTGTAAAAGTGTTCCTATTTCTCCACATCCTCTCCAGCACCTGTTGTTTCCTGACTTTTTAATGATTGCCATTCTAACTGGTGTGAGATGATATCTCATAGTGGTTTTGATTTGCATTTCTCTGATGGCCAGTGATGATGAGCATTTCTTCATGTGTTTTTTGGCTGCATAAATGTCTTCTTTTGAGAAGTGTCTGTTCATGTCCTTCGCCCACTTTTTGATGGGGTTGTTTGTTTTTTTCTTGTAAATTTGTTTGAGTTCATTGTAGATTCTGGATATTAACCCTTTGTCAGATGAGTAGGTTGCGAAAATTTTCTCCCATGTTGTAGGTTGCCTGTTCACTCTGATGGTAGTTTCTTTTGCTGTGCAGAAGCTCTTGAGTTTAATTAGATCCCATTTGTCAATTTTGGCTTTTGTTGCCATTGCTTTTGGTGTTTTGGACATGAAGTCCTTGCCCACGCCTATGTCCTGAATGGTAATGCCTAGGTTTTCTTCTAGGGTTTTTATGGTTTTAGGTCTAACGTTTAAATCTTTAATCCATCTTGAATTGATTTTTGTATAAGGTGTAAGGAAGGGATCCAGTTTCAGCTTTCTACATATGGCTAGCCAGTTTTCCCAGCACCATTTATTAAATAGGGAATCCTTTCCCCATTGCTTGTTTTTCTCAGGTTTGTCAAAGATCAGATAGTTGTAGATATGCGGCATTATTTCTGAGGGCTCTGTTCTGTTCCATTGATCTATATCTCTGTTTTGGTACCAGTACCATGCTGTTTTGGTTACTGTAGCCTTGTAGTATAGTTTGAAGTCAGGTAGTGTGATGCCTCCAGCTTTGTTCTTTTGGCTTAGGATTGACTTGGCGATGCAGGGTCTTTTTTGGTTCCATATGAACTTTAAAGTAGTTTTTTCCAATTCTGTGAAGAAAGTCATTGGTAGCTTGATGGGGATGGCATTGAATCTGTAAATTACCTTGGGCAGTATGGCCATTTTCAATCAGTCAAAGAAAGGGGTGATGGACGCACCTGGAAAATCGGGTCACTCCCACCCGAATATTGCGCTTTTCAGACCGGCTTAAGAAACGGCGCACCACGAGACTATATCCCACACCTGGCTCAGAGGGTCCTACGCCCACGGAATCGCGTCGCGCTGATTGCTAGCACAGCAGTCTGAGATCAAACTGCAAGGCGGCAACGAGGCTGGGGGAGGGGCGCCCGCCATTGCCCAGGCTTGCTTAGGTAAACAAAGCAGCCGGGAAGCTCGAACTGGGTGGAGCCCACCACAGCTCAAGGAGGCCTGCCTGCCTCTGTAGGCTCCACCTCTGGGGGCAGGGCACAGACAAACAAAAAGACAGCAGTAACCTCTGCAGACTTAAGTGTCCCTGTCTGACAGCTTTGAAGAGAGCAGTGGTTCTCCCAGCATGCAGCTGGAGATCTGAGAACAGGCAGACTGCCTCCTCAAGTGGGTCCCTGACCCCTGACCCCCGAGCAGCCTAACTGGGAGGCACCCCCCAGCAGGGGCACACTGACACCTCACACAGCAGGGTATTCCAACAGACCTGCAGCTGAGGGTCCTGTCTGTTAGAAGGAAAACTAACAACCAGAAAGGTCATCTACACCGAAAACCCATCTGTACATCACCATCATCAAAGACCAAAAGTAGATAAAACCACAAAGATGGGGAAAAAACAGAACAGAAAAACTGGAAACTCTAAAACGCAGAGCGCCTCTCCTCCTCCAAAGGAACGCAGTTCCTCACCAGCAACAGAACAAAGCTGGATGGAGAATGATTTTGACGAGCTGAGAGAAGAAGGCTTCAGACGATCAAATTACTCTGAGCTACGGGAGGACATTCAAACCAAAGGCAAAGAAGTTGAAAACTTTGAAAAAAATTTATAAGAATGTATAACTAGAATAACCAATACAGAGAAGTGCTTAAAGGAGCTGATGGAGCTGAAAACCAAGGCTCGAGAACTACGTGAAGAATGCAGAAGCCTCAGGAGCCGATGCGATCAATTGGAAGAAAGGGTATCAGCAATGGAAGATGAAATGAATGAAATGAAGCGAGAAGGGAAGTTTAGAGAAAAAAGAATAAAAAGAAATGAGCAAAGCCTCCAAGAAATATGGGACTATGTGAAAAGACCAAATCTACGTCTGATTGGTGTACCTGAAAGTGATGTGGAGAATGGAACCAAGTTGGAAAACACTCTGCAG
This sequence comes from Homo sapiens, assembly GCF_000001405.40. Taxonomy (NCBI): domain Eukaryota; kingdom Metazoa; phylum Chordata; class Mammalia; order Primates; family Hominidae; genus Homo; species Homo sapiens. The sequence goes on along the minus strand of NC_000012.12, from coordinate 83,673,669 downwards.
GATATTATCCAGGAGAACTTCCCCAATCTAGCAAGGCAGGCCAACATTCAGATTCAGGAAATACAGAGAACGCCACAAAGATACTCCTCGAGAAGAGCAACTCCAAGACACATAATTGTCAGATTCACCAAAGTTGAAATGAAGGAAAAAATGTTAAGGGCAGCCAGAGAGAAAGGTCGGGTTACCCTCAAAGGAAAGCCCATCAGACTAACAGCGGATCTCTCGGCAGAAACCCTACAAGCCAGAAGAGAGTGGGGGCCAATATTCAACATTCTTAAAGAAAAGAATTTTCAACCCAGAATTTCATATCCAGCCAAACTAAGCTTCATAAGTGAAGGAGAAATAAAATACTTTATAGACAAGCAAATGCTGAGAGATTTTGTCACCACCAGGCCTGCCCTAAAAGAGCTCCTGAAGGAAGCGCTAAACATGGAAAGGAACAACTGGTACCAGCCGCTGCAAAATCATGCCAAAATGTAAAGACCATCGAGACTAGGAAGAAACTGCATCAACTAATGAGCAAAATCACCAGCTAACATCATAATGACAGGATCAAATTCACACATAACAATATTAACTTTAAATATAAATGGACTAAATTCTGCAATTAAAAGACACAGACTGGCAAGTTGGATAAAGAGTCAAGACCCATCAGTGTGCTGTATTCAGGAAACCCATCTCACGTGCAGAGACACACATAGGCTCAAAATAAAAGGATGGAGGAAGATCTACCAAGCAAATGGAAAACAAAAAAAGGCAGGGGTTGCAATCCTAGTCTCTGATAAAACAGACTTTAAATCAACAAAGATCAAAAGAGATAAAGAAGGCCATTACATAATGGTAAAGGGATCAATTCAACAAGAGGAGCTAACTATCCTAAATATTTATGCACCCAATACAGGAGCACCCAGATTCATAAAGCAAGTCCTGAGTGACCTACAAAGAGACTTAGACTCCCACACATTAATAATGGGAGACTTTAACACCCCACTGTCAACATTAGACAGATCAACGAGACAGAAAGTCAACAAGGATACCCAGGAATTGAACTCAGCTCTGCACCAAGCAGACCTAATAGACATCTACAGAACTCTCCACCCCAAATCAACAGAATATACATTTTTTTCAGCACCACACCACACCTATTCCAAAATTGACCACATAGTTGGAAGTAAAGCTCTCCTTAGCAAATGTAAAAGAACAGAAATTATAACAAACTATCTCTCAGACCACAGTGCAATCAAACTAGAACTCAGGATTAAGAATCTCACTCAAAGCCGCTCAACTACATGGAAACTGAACAACCTGCTCCTGAATGACTACTGGGTACATAACGAAATGAAGGCAGAAATAAAGATGTTCTTTGAAACCAATGAGAACAAAGACACCACATACCAGAATCTCTGGGACGCATTCAAAGCAGTGTGTAGAGGGAAATTTATAGCACTAAATGCCTACAAGAGAAAGCAGGAAAGATCCAAAATTGACACCCTAACATCACAATTAAAAGAACTAGAAAAGCAAGAGCAAACACATTCAAAAGCTAGCAGAAGGCAAGAAATAACTAAAATCAGAGCAGAACTGAAGGAAATAGAGACACAAAAAACCCTTCAAAAAATCAATGAATCCAGGAGCTGGTTTTTTGAAAGGATCAACAAAATTGATAGACCGCTAGCAAGACTAATAAAGAAAAAAAGAGAGAAGAATCAAATAGACACAATAAAAAATGATAAAGGGGATATCACCACCGATCCCACAGAAATACAAACTACCATCAGAGAATACTACAAACACCTCTACGCAAATAAACTAGAAAATCTAGAAGAAATGGATACATTCCTCGACTCTCTTTAACTTTATTAATGACAGCAAATTGGCTAATAATAGAATGAAGCTACAATAACATATAAACCTCCAAATCTCAGTGTCATAACAAAATAAAAGATCCTTTATCACAAGTAACAGTCTAATGCCAGTTATCCCTGTAGGTAAGCTCTAAGTAGTGATTTGAGGATCTCCTTCTTGCATCTGATGTTTTTGATATACCTTTAGCTCAAAATAATCATTATATGAAAGTGGCATATTGTGGGGTGGCATATTCTGCCATCCTTCAGAGCCAAAAAGGAAAAGTGGTAAGAACTTCAAATGACAGTTTATTGAATAGGTTTTGGGAGTGACACTTCTCTCTTTCATTAACCATGATCCAGTCACATGGGGACACCTGGTTGCAAGGGAAGTTGGACAAATTTACTCTGTGTGCACTGATGAGCATCCAGCCAATTCTTCCAAAACATACAATTAATTTATCCCATTTTCATTTCTGCCACTGTTGTATTATTTTTCTTATGCAGGTTTTGATGATGATTCTTTCTCACCTGTGTACTTTGAGTTCTCATAATTTATTTTTCTCACTCTTATGTGTAACCTGCCTTTAGACTGTGTTTTCCCAAAGGTATGACTTGATCCATACCCTTCAGGCATCTAAAACTTGGTATCTCCTTAGTGAAGTTCTATAGATTGCCTAAACTAGAATAGTAATCACCACCGATTCCTATCATTCTCTATACCTTTACCCAATTTAATTTTTCATAACATTTCTTCATTAAATGGATTGTACCATTTATTTATTTGTATAGTATTTTATTTTATTTTATTGCCTGTCTCTCTCATTATAATGTGCATACTGTGGCCATATAGTGGTGTTCTTTGGACTTTTAAATATCTTCAGGCACTAAAATACTGCATTTTCTGGTTCTTATTAAATATGTTAATCATCAATTAAGCATTCTTTTTCTTACTGGGGAAGCCTAGTAACCATAAAATAAATTTAAAAATTAAAAATAAAAAAACTTGATAAGATGATTAAACAAATCCATACGTATGCTTGGAATCATATCTATAGATATAATTAAAATTTTGATAATATAAGGTAAAGGCATAAAACAAGAGTAGTGACAAAATATTTTTATACAACGATTATGAGAGTATTTTATTTTTAAAAGGTTACTGATTTTCTGACATGTAGTGATATGCCATAGAATCATGAGGCTGAAAGAGTCTTGGTATCGCTAGTCTTCTAAATTTAGGTGCAGCCGTATTTTGAATACTATTGACAAGTAGACATAAAAATACTACAGATAAGTAGAAATGAAAAAATAATCATTGTAAGAACATATCTTAAGTAACTTTAGGAAACAGTTGACCATCATGTTGATCCCCACTTTTCAAAATATATTTTTTAAAATCTTTTCTTATTAACCTTCATTTTGTATTTCTTAAATCATACTAGAAAATAGGCAAACATACCTGGAAAAATAGCTATCTGTCATCTTCTTTACCTTACTGTAATATACACTTGAATATCTTGACAAAATTATTCTTCTGACTTCTCATTATTGACCTGCATAGTTCCTTTGATATTGATAGTCTCCTAACAATCTTGAGAAAATCTTTGTGCTTGGGTATTTGAAAAAAAATTCTAAAAATGAGAAAAGGAGATCTATGGTTTTGATTGCCATTCTACAACTTAGTTGTGTGACGTTGTACAAATGATTAACCTAATATATCCTGACCATTATTTTTTCTCTTCTGTAAAACTAGACAGCACTACATTTGGCAAATTGTGAGAATTGGATAAAATACAGGAAAAGTACAATTCACCATGTATACTCAATAAAAAGCAACCTTTCCTTTTTTCCATCATATTATTAACAATGGTCATAAAAGATTCAAATCATAGATATTCCTTTTCATTTTCTCTTATTTCCTTTTAATATTATTTTGCTTTGTGTATTTTTACTTTTTTTAAATGATGCAAAAATGCAAAATTGAATAGTATCTATGAGGGATTCTCAGTTGCGCTTCAAATTGCAAAGTCATTAGGATTCAATATTCTAAAAAATTACTTTTTATTTTCAATTTCAGTTGCTTGTTTTAATAATTCAAGTGAAGCTCTTCACAAAGCCTACTTTTCAAGTCTAACAGCCTTCTAAGAAGGAAAAAGATAAGGCTTTAATTTGCTTCCTATGGGGCATATTAAATTGGTTCACTTTACTTCTTATTTTATTATTGACACCTTTTGTTAAATAGAAGTATTATTTTTAATGCAAATCTCAAGATGTGAAAAATACTTGGTTGAATTTACACTGAAGTCTTCCTAAGAAATCATAATTATAGTCCTTTCCTTAAGATTTTAAGTACTTCTCTGGAACTGGTACACCATTAACCTTTGCCAAGACTTTGAATTCTAAAATAGAGTCTGAAAAATATCTCTTGCTGAGATTAGCAACATTTTCTCCTCAAATGCATGTCTACCTCACCTAATAGCTTCAGAAGTTAAGCCAAAGATAACAATAAATTTTAAGACAATGAAGACGACAGCAAGGCTCACATGTGTTCCACTTGTGCATATACAAAAGGAGGTAGAGAAGGGAAAGTAGTATGTGTATTATCTTTTGAATTGGGATGACAATAAAGGAACTATTTTCCTGTGATGCTTCTGTGTCGGTGTGCAAAGGAGAGAAAATCAGAAAAAATGCATGCTTGAAAATTTGAGTGGAGTGTTGACAGTCCCAGAAAAAGGCAGCTAAGGCACATGGAAGAAAAATTAATCATATTAGGAAATTTATCCAGTGCTATGGTACATTGGTGTCTAAAGTTAAAGGAATCACAAAGCACTCGTTGACTTTATTGTGTTAACTTCTTTTTTTGACTCACATACCTTAATTGAATCTTGACATTGATGGGTGCTATTCAACCTTTATATTATTATAAAAAAATCTATAGATAATCTCATATGATCAATCAAATTTCTAAACAGACTATAATAGTCAATTAGTCTTTTTCATATTTGCTTCAGCTCAGAGCATTGAGAAGAAAGATATTTTAAAAGGCAGCATTAGAGTGGAGAATATGAGATACAGTCACAAATAATTATAATATATACCATAAGTGCCACAAAAGGTAAACATTAAAATAGCATTTTATAAGTTTAGAAGAGCAGTGATTAGGTGCTGGGATAAGCTGGAATTAATGTGTGAAATCAAATGACAAATGAGACACACAGGAATTTGATTGGCAGAGACAGAGAGGAGCGGGAAGGAGGGAAATATAAAGCATTTTTTCTTAAGAATAGTAAGTTTAGAAAATCATCTGCTTTATACACATCCTATTTCTGAAAATCTGCCTGAAATCCAAATGTATGAAAGTTAAATAAGACATATTTAAAAAGGAACTGTTACTAGAATCTTTATATATGCATGTATATATAAATAAAGACACACACACCGCATTTACCACTATATTTTACCAAAAATAATTCTATCTCAGCGATGTTTAAATGGCTTGGGTAAACAAGCAACAAGCACATTGATCTGAAAGACCTCCACTGACCAGCCTCAGAGGAAGCCTTTATTAAGCACCCTGGGAGAAGGACAATCACCCTACCTCCCTGGTAGGATGCCCACATTGCATGGACATCCTCTCTCTTAATGAGGCTGTGTCTACTCTCTCTTCTCCCTGCCCCAAGAAATGGGACATACCTTTTTGTGTGTAGCCCAGAGTCTAGCTGTGGTACTGCTAGATTATGGGAGATCAGATCATGAAACAATTATAAAAGAGAAGGAAGGGAAGAAGAGAATATGGAGAAGGAAATCACTCCAGATTCTGATTCAACGTTTCTCATTCTCAAAGCAAAATACTCTTGCCTTCAATATTAAATAATTACAGGTGTGTTGAGGGGGGGGAGGTAGTATAGTTTCTTATCTGTACTATCCCAGAGGTCACAATCTGGCTGGATTCTGGAAGAATCTGACTTGTAGTAAGTTTGGATTGGCATGAACAATTAAATATATGTAGATGGATAGATTTGCTAGATTAGGTAGCTAGGTAAATACCTAGGTAGATAAAATAGATTAAGTAGATTAGATAGATTTGCCAGATTAGATAGGAAGATGGATTAGACACACATATTAATTCAAATGAAGACTGGACTCTCCAATATGCATTTGTTGCCAATACTCTCTATGCAACATACTGGTTTACTGTACTTCATTATTTGTTGTAATCCTTGAAAATGTGTATTTGGGACTACATATCTAACACTTTAATATTAGGTCCAAAATTTTGAATTTTTGAACCTGTCTAGTTTGATTCTTTGAATTTCTGGATTACCTCCTTCAAATAACAATTTTTCTCGTTTGTTTTTGTTTTACTTTGTGTTTTCATTTCCTTTATTAAAACATATCTCACACAGAAAGCTGCAGAATGCTACATAAATCTGCTTTTGTCTAGTAAGGACATTTGAAGTAGGGTGTGGGCAGGAAGAAAATCTTCACTCCATTGGGCTCTTGAAAATATGCTGGAGATGCTGTTTAAAAGATTCTCTAGAATTAAAAATAAATGAATAATCAAAAACTCCTGAGAAATATAGGGCTTCTGACCAACAAATAATAAAGATAAGCAGTGTCTTTTTAAAAACTCAAAGTCATTATCAGACAACTGATTTACAATGAGACTAGTTTTGACTTAAAGGTCTAAAAACGGTTCACTTTTAATGTGAAAAAGTAAACTTTGTGCAAAAATCAATACATGAAAATTGAGGACTGCGTATCAACAAATTTAGCTCAAGTGCCACTTTTGAATGGGGCATTGTAGGGCATCAAGCTGAAAGAATGGTGTGGGAGCAAGTTAGAGGAGGCCTGGAGCATCAGGCCGAGACATTTTCAGTAAGCAATGAAATACACAGGAAAGTCAAAGTAGCACAATTCAATGCTTTCAATGTGGCAACCACTTCCTTTCTACTTATCTGAACTTCACAAGAAACATATGAAACTGATGTCATTATCATTCTGCAACTAAAAAATCAGAAGAAAAGTTAACTACTTATCTAGAAATGCACAACTAGCAAGTAGCTAGTTGAATCAGGATTATTCCTCAAGTGTATTTGTCTTAAAATCACTTAGACTCAATTCTTAGCACTAAACCATACTCTTGTGGATTAGTGCTTATGCATCTGCATTACCATAGATTTAACTGAACCATATTCTTCCTCCTTCTGTAACTTTGACTTGGTTTATTATTATTATAACCTTTTATTATTATAACCTTTTGTATTCACCCAATAAATTAACTTGTTTATTTGCCTGATACCAGTAAGGGATCTGAGGTCTACAAATAAAACTAGGAAGTGTATTTCATTTATACCAAGTAATCTTAAATAATGAATTTAACCCACCTTTGCATGTTGCATTTTCTGTATTTTAAAGTTATTTTGTTGCTTTCAATGTTTCTACTATTAATTAGTATAGAATATGCTCATTAGTGTACTGAATATTTTGATTAATAGACTGAATATTCTCAATATTGATTGTGCTTGTGGGCTTTAGAGCCAGTCCTAAAAAAATGAGTCAGTATCTTCTACTCCATTCTCCCTTCCAGTGTAATTTGGCTACATGTACTTTAGTGTAAACAGCCAAAAGCTGATTATAAATCATTCTACCTATCTTCCTACTGACAGTCTGCAACCAGGTTGGTAGATTTTCCCCAAGGGAAAGGAAAGCAGGGCAACTAAGGGGCACAATATGCATTCCAACTACAAGTGCTTACAGCTAGAATGTGCCTGCATTTTACTGAACAGAAGGAAATGTCCACAGGGAGTGATTTTTAAAGGATGCAATTCAATTTTAAATGTAGCCATGCATTTATGTTTAGAGGCTTTAAATTAAATTATCATTTAAAGTTCACATAGATATCCTATTAATGGCATTGAGATCATCAGCAGTTGAGTGTTTAAAGATCATGCCAAGAATGTTACAGCAAAGGAGCAGTGTCTGTCATTGCAAGTGTGTGCAAATATGATTAAGCAAGTCTATCTCATCTCACTTGCTGAGTGTTTTGTCAATCCTTTATGAAAGCAAGACATACTCATGATGAAAAAACATACTCTATAAATTATGTGTTAAACAATGTGCTTAAACAAATGTACTGTCCTTTATTATGATATACCTTAAATTTGCATAAAGCTTTTAATTTTTCTAAGTACATTCATATCACTATGAAAAGTACTCTGGTTATTTAATGGGTAGAGTGCATTTTTGTCATCCATAATTATTTTCTGATCTTACCTATGACACACAATTGTAAGAATTAAGGATATAATCCTCTTTGAATAACATTTTCTTCTGGAAGGCAAAAAGGGATTCTTGTAACCTTGATCTCAATATAACCATGTTATGAATAATATATCTTACCTATGTAATCTATTGTAATAGAAAAATAATCTATCATTTACTAAATAACCTATACTAAGGCATTCTAGAAAATGAAATTCCTAGAGAAAATGGATAAAAATGCAGTATACACAGAGGTGACAAACTGATTGACTACCTTGATTCAAGTTTCTGCTCTCACACTTACTATAACTTAAAGTAAGCTTAAGCAAATTTTTTATTCTCTATGTATAAACTGTATTATTTTTAAATGAAGTTAAAATTGTGCCTACCTAAGCAAGTGGTGGTCCGAATAAACGTGTAAGTATAAAGTACTCGGGGATGACACATAGTGCTCAACAAATGGTCTACCATCAATGAATTTCCACGTTATATTTGTAGATAATTAAAATCAAAACAACACTGGTTCTTTTTTTTTGTTTATGTTAGATAGGATTTATTTTCTTGTTTAATGAAGGATTTTTCACTGTCAAAGGCTATCATGTGAATGCTTAGTATCAAAGGTCCCCAGACTGTTGTCTTTCTTTAAGGCAGATGGTAAATCTGTCAGCAGTAGCATGCAGAACAGCAACCCAGATGCTTTTAAGCTCTGTGTGTGAAGCTGCTCCTCCCACAAAGAGTACCAATGGGCAAGATGCCAAAGGAAGGTCCCCAGTTCAATTAGTTGCTTCTGAATTCAGCTCTGGCTGTCTGGGAAGTCAAATGAATGGAGTTTGCTTGGCCATATACCATTTAATGCAAAGAGCATGCTTTTTTTTTTTTAATCATCAAGCTAAGCTCCCATATTTTAACATAGCTGCATTGTAACAAGAAATCTGGATCGTCTTTATCATTCACAGAAGAAAATTGTACATTATTTTATAGATATCAGTATCCTCTGTCAAACTATCCAACTTAAGGACCACTTATCTGCAATTTTTGCACATACACAATTACTTTTAGTGACTTATAATAAACCTGATTATTTTTGAGTCTCTAGGTGTAATTTGAACTGTGATGACTATAATAAGCACACACACACACACACACAAAAACAACTGCTCATAACTGCTGGGAAAAGTCATTAGGCCCTTGTTCAGTATGATTGGAATACTCCATAAAAATAAGAGGAGTAGAAAATAATATCATCCAATAAAAGCAAAGTAATATTCCTACTTATAAAAATATCTCTTCTACTTAAAGGACATGCTTTTAAAATTTATAGGTTAGTCAAATGTCTCATAGCTTCTGGTAAAATTCAATAGAACGTAATATTCATTGCACATTTATTACCTATCAAGCACAGTTCTAGGTACTTTGTATTCATTTCCTATAAACTTCAAAAGAAAAATTCACCTAGATTCATTATCTTCTTTGTACAGAAAAAACTCGACCATGGCCACAGAGTTTAATGGGTACTAGAGGTGGTATTTAAATCCTGTAAGTTTTTGTTCCAAAGCCAGGGTTTTGTTTTAATTATATCATCCAAAGAGAAAATACAAGATATTTTATGTTTTGGAATGACGAATTTTTTGTATTTGAAGGCAGAGAGTACTTTTTTTTAAATGAACAATCAATCAAGACAACAAGCCCCGTGGTGAAGATATGGGAGAAAGTCTGAAGGCTTCAGGGCTAGCCAGCACTGGTTTTAATTACTAGTTATGTGATATTGCTAGACTGCTGCTTTCTGAGCTGTGAAGGGAGGATGACACTTATCTTAGGGTGTGGCGAAGACTTAAGAGGATGATCAAGAGTTTCATGGTACCAGGAATATAAAGTTTGAAGAATTTAAGGAACTCAGTCAGGGTTACATAAGGGAGTAGAAGAGCCACCTTCAAATCCATATCTTCTAGATGCCTTCTTACTGAGAAACCACAAGCCTACTGAAATATCTAGCATGTTTAGCATAGATTATAAAACTTGAATACATTATAAACAGGCTAGATATTATTCATTACCATAGCATGGTAATATTCCTAATAAAAGGAAGCAATATCCCCCAGAGTACTCAACTAACATATTTAATGCATGTTATCACTCATACTATCATATCACGTGTGCTATCATAGCAAGAAAAGAGAAGGAGTTTGGAAAAACATACCAAACTTTAGTTGACCTATTCTTTTTTTATTTTTTAGCTGTATTTTTTACCCATTTATTTTTCATAATGAAGACACATTACTTGAATTTTTACTCAAGGAATATGATCTGAAGTAACTACATTCTGAGTCTCAATTTTATTTTTCTAAACAAGCTTTTTAAAAATTTCATTTAATTTTGAAAACTGAAATGTTCTTAAATAATTTGTATTGGAATTTGATTTTTTTTCTTCTGTGGTCATCACTTACTACAATGATATTAAACTGATGCCTAGAGATAGAGCCTGCCATGTTGCAAGAAGGGGAAAAGACAAGAACTTAGTTATGACAATAACCATTGCCTTCTAATACCCATGGCATTAATTCTCAAACTTTCCATGAGTCTCCTGTAAGCTATTTGTTAAAAATCTAGATTTCCTGACCTACTCTAAGGTTTTAATCTGGTAGATTTAGGGTGGATTCCAGACTGCATTTTTAAAAAGCTCCCCAGGTGATTCTGGTTAAAGGGTCTTCAGGTCTCTCAATGAAACTTTGTCCTGTAAGAATTGACCCTCCAAGTATTACAGCATCTGAATAAATATAATGTTGAAATCATGTTATAGGGGCATAAAGAGATTGCTATTCAATAAGAAACACAGGTAACTGAAGAAAAAGACATTGAAACATAGGGCAGATATTGCTATTTCAATTAGGATGGATTTAGTTGAGTTTTAGTAATAACCCCAGTATGTCATGGCTTAACACAATAATTGTTCTTCTCATTGATTGTATAGGCACAACATAGGCCAGCATTAGGGCTGTGCTAGTTGCAGTCACTCAGACTCTGGCTGACAGAAGTGCCTAGAGTCATCTCAGCAGTGGGAAGAGAATTTGGGAGATTATACATTGACAAAGCTCCTGCTAGGGAAGAAACCATCACTTCTACATATATGAAGAAGTCACATGGCCATGCTGAAATCAAATAGGGTGGGAAAATTCAGTTAGGCCATGTGTACATAAATAAAATACCCAGAATGTTAACCACTTTAATGACTACGTCACATGCCAAACTTAGGCAGTTACAACATAGTGTAGATGAGTCTGAAAGGTCAGGAGTTAAATTCTAATTTTACCATTTACTAGATCTCTGAATTTGAACACGCCTCTTAACTTCAATAACCCCCAGCTTCCTAATCCTATTGTAACTCCCAGGTTTATTGTCAGAAATCAATGGAAGAATATGTATAAAGTATGTTACAGTGTCTGACATAACAGTATGAACTCATGATTATTAGTATTATTCATAACTGAGTTATAATTGATGCACCAAAATATTCATATTCTAAAACAAGTAAGTAAATGTAAAAATATAAGGGATAGTCTTTATCACTAATTTAATATATATTTAGCTGTGACTATTTACAATGAACTAGGTGAGAAAGAGTGAAGGACACAGAAATGAATGAAAGATAGTCACTGTTATGAAGAATCTTGCCACCTATTTGGAGAATCAGGCAATTAGGCAATAAACACTAGATAGTCTAGTATATGACATAATAGAGGAGCTATGGAGAGCTATGAAGGAGATAAAATCAGACCTGAGGAAATTGTAAGGTTTTTTTACTCTTGCAGAGAAGCTAGCATTTGACTTAGTGCTATGCATGAGAAAATGTTAAAAACATACTTTTAAAAGAAATATTTTGCTAATACAAACAAGTGGAAAAATAGTCAACAGGCTTTACAGTAGGTACTATAGGAGGTAGGGAGAGAGATCAATCAACCAATTAATAGACAGATGAAGGGTATAGCCTGCTGAACCTGTTATTTGAGAGACTATTTAGCCTAATTACCAGCATGTCAAAGAAAAGATGACACTCACAACTTTGTCCAAATCTGAGGCAAGACTCACTCACAGAAGCAGTAGAGACATATTTCTTTATGTATCTTTGCTTCAGTGTAAGTAGATAGCTATTTCAAGTATATTGTGTTCACTTTAAGAAACTAAACCTGTTCTCTAAATTCAATTTGCATGTTAAGTGGTGTTTTGTGCAGTCAGACCTTGTTCCCAAAGTACTGTTCATTTTTACTGTACCCACAGCACCTGGCGCTGGGGACAGAAGTACCGTGAAGAGATGAACGTTGCAGAACAATGTCTCAGGTATTCAGGCATGCAATACTTTCCACAGATGTCAGAAATGGCAACTTGCTGCAGGGAGACACAAGGTCATTCCATGCACCATTATCAGGATTGTGGTGCACAGACTGTGAGCAGACTACTTAATGCATCTCTGATTCAGCCAGCCATTCTTCTTGTCTTCCAAATGCTTTGTATTAAGTCATTGTTGAGCTCTATAAAGTCCTTTGAAAACACAAAAACCATTAAAATATACTATCTCCTTTATTAGACTGAAAGATTGAAATCATTCAAAATTCTACTCATAAATGTCTACCAGCCAGGAAGCTATTTAACTTGATATATAATTTAAATGGGCCCAGACACTATCAGATAGGAGATTGAGGCCTCAAGCTATCTAATGCAAGAGAAATTTCCTCTTTTCAGTAGGTAAAGTATTAAATATAAAACCTTCTATTTTCAATTATGGCACTTGAGCTCCTGACTGAACCCTTTCTACTGCTGCCTAGGAGAAATGCCAACCTTGCTTGTAGTATAAATCAATCAATTATATTTCATTTTGATGAAGCCTTTTATTACATGATTCTCAGGGTTCCATAATAAGACATCCATGTTAGGAGCTCAGATACTCAAAGAGTGGACATTAAAAAAAAATAAGGCAAAGTGAAAACTTTGATTTAAAAGATAAAATGGAGGATAAAAATTGCAAAAATGAGGTCCACAAGATCTGAAAACAAAAATAAAAGAATTTATAACAAAAATGCAAACTTTGTCTCTGTACTTTTCACTTACTTTTTCTGTAAACCTAAAACTTCTCTAAAAACAAAGCCTATTTTTGAAAAAATGCAACCATCAATTGCCTATAATGAGTATTTAAGAGTGTCATATCTATAAAGTGAATGCAAATGAAAAAGTTGCTGCTCTTAACTTCCATATTACAAATTACTTGTGCACACACACTTATAAATGTTAAATGTGTTCATGACATCTGAAAAAAAAGATTGAAGCATATGGGGAGATGAACTGGAAAAATACTAAAATGTTCTCTACCTCATCATATATTTTAAGTGATTTGAGGGTTTCTAATGCATTAGAAAAGTCCCAGGCCCAAATATCTTCCCCCAAAATTAATATTTCTACCTGTGGTGATATCTGCATATTTTATTAAAATACATCGATTTGTATTAAATAAAATACCTAACCTGTTATTCAGTAATGTATTCACAAATATTTTCTGTTACATTCCATTTTAAAGGTTCAGAAAAACAAAAATGAAAATGACATATAATGGACTTTAAAGGTTTATAAACTAAAAGTTTAGATGAAAAATGAACATCTATGACTAAAAATGAATCTGCATATGGCAAGCGTAATGATTCTGTGTCATGACAGTGGTATTCAGAAGCACTGTTCAAGACCAAGCACTAAACATGGCTGATTTTCTCAATACAGAGATTCAGTAAATCATTATTTGAGCTCAAATTCCAGACAGTTTATATTGAAATAGTCAATATACTAGGATAATTATGAAAGTAAGGAAAACAACTCATTTTGCAAGCCCTGGTGCTTAATGATAAGAGTCAGTATTGCAAGGGAGAGAAATCTCAAGAGACCTGAAGTATGCTCGTCGTTTAAGTTGGAGGATATGGACATATGGCAATCAAATTTCTGATCAAAATGTTTTCAGGCACTTTCATGACAAAAATATTCTTTTGAGCATCATCTATTTAGACACTCATATGCCTCCAGAACATGTTGGCCAATAAAACATATTTCCATTTATGTCCTGCCAAGTCTCACTCATTAGCTAAAAATTCTCATTTTGCAGCTTTTATAAAAAGGACTTTGGCTTAACAGGACCATATTTCAAAATTAAGGTTTTTATAATTTGTTTTAACTTGCCATGTTACCACAAGTACTACAGTACTGTAACTCAATTTTCAAACATTAACTTCATCCTTGTCCTCACTAAATTCTTGATCACATATGTTAATAAAATTTAAAAGATTTTTTTGAGAATATTCCCTGGCATTGTTCACGTTCTGCTCAAAAACAATAAAATAATCAAAATTCTGGAGGAAAGGAGAAAGGAATAGTGCAAGATTATAATGCAAATGAATCTGAATAATCTACTTATAGGTAAGCTCTAATAGAATTAAAATGTGTTTGCAAAATTATTGCAACCAGCTTTTGAAGTATTGATTGAAAACGCAGTCCTTCAATTTTTCCTTTGTAAAGTGTGTATTTCACCCAATCTAATTTATGATCCTTTTTTAAACTTCTAGCATGTTACATACTTCTAAGCAGGATAGACCCAGAACTTGTATTCTCTTCTTCACTACATAGAAATACATGTTTGAGTAAACATAAAACTAGTATTTAGCAGGGATAATGACTGCCTGAAAAGTCAAACTGCATCAGGTTTGTTACTTTAGAAACTGACATTACCAGAGAAGACACTATACTAGTTTTCTATTGCTGTGTAGCAAGATAATGTAAACCTAGTGGCTTGTGGACATAAGTCTCTATGTACCACACAGTGGGAGCTCCCTGACCACCAGTTATCACAAACATAGTGACTTCAAAAGACACATTATCCCATATTTTCTATAGGTCAGAAGCCTGGGAATGGTGTAACTGGGTTCTCTTTTTAGGGTCTCACAAGGCTGAAACAAAAGTGTCAGTCTAGCTGTGTTCTCATCTGGATCTCAGCATCCATTTCCAACCTCATCTGTTGTTGGCAGAATTTAGTTCTTCATGGTTGTAGGATTACATTCTCAGCTTTCTTGCTGGATGTTAACTAGGGGCCCTTTTGAGGCCTTAGAATTTCTTAACACATAACCTCTCCAAAACATGGCAGCTTGCTCCTTTAAGGCCAACAGGAGAATCTCACTTTGAACCTCTCTGGCCACTTTTAAGGGCTCATCTGATTGTTTCAAGCCACCTAAGATTATCTCTCCTTTTAATAATTAAAAATCAATGGATTAAGTACCTTAATTACATCTGTAAAATCCCTTCTGCCGTATAACTTAATATAATCACCAGAGTGATTTCTCACCAGATGGATAAGGCCTGTATATTCTCAAGAGAAGGAGATTACACAATGAGGCAGGAATATTGGGACCTTCTTAGAATTCTGCCTATCACAGTTGCCAAAAAA
This sequence comes from Homo sapiens, assembly GCF_000001405.40. Classification (NCBI taxonomy): domain Eukaryota; kingdom Metazoa; phylum Chordata; class Mammalia; order Primates; family Hominidae; genus Homo; species Homo sapiens. The sequence goes on along the minus strand of NC_000012.12, from coordinate 83,658,090 downwards.
ATGAGTATAATGATGCAGGATGAATCATTTTGATACAACTTTGCCAATGTAGAAGTTAAGAGAATTGAAGACAATGTTGGCAAAAAATTAGAAAAGTCTTTGTAGCAGTGAAAACAAATTAGTTGTCAGATGATTTTTTTTTTCTGATGTGAATACACAGTTTAGCAAGATATAGTAAAATTCACTAAATTATTTAGGAAACGATATCAAAGTTTCAGTGTGGATACACAAAGCAACATGTTATGAAAATACTTTTCATGAACCTACACATAGAAATGCATTTTGGAGAAAATAATGTGGTTATGTTTACATTGGAAGAGAAACAGAGTAAGAAAGAATGCCAGGTAGGGGGAGGGGTAAATTAAAGGCCCCAGATTCCAAAACTTTAAAAAAAAAAAAATCATTTTTGTCACTTTCTATAAGTTAAAGAGATTTTCATTGCTTCCTGTAATGCACGTTGAGCAATATTTATGGAGTGAAAAGTCATAGGAAAACCAATGGCATATGTAAGTAGTTTATATAAGCTTAATATTATCATAGTAATGCCATTTTCTTTACAGAGGCCAATGACCTCTTTCAATATTTTAATCCTATTACTTGCTGAAGATCAGGTGTTTAGCTTAGCTGAACAATGATATGCTTAAGGAGATGAAGCATCAGAAATTCTCTTATCCTCTGAGTGTTTTTAGGAGGGGAGGCATACAGATGAATAATTTTGAACCTCTCACTGTATTAAATTTGTGACTAACAATATATGCCTCTTTCCGAGAATTCCACTGGGGCCCAGGATATAACGGTATGTTATTCAGCAAATGTAGTTGTTTGGGAAACATGACATGTAATTTACCTTAATTCTCTCCAGGGTCTCAGTGCAGTCGTTAAGATCCATTCTCTTAATTACTTATGGCTCCAGATATCAGTATTTAGATTTAGGATTAAATTAGCCTCAGTTTGCCAATGTCCATACAGCAGAACTGTTAGACAACCACTGCAACTGAAATTACCACGTTTTCTTGTCACTGAATGGGCTGGACAAGATGTATCTTTTCTTTCATAAGATTGTGCTTGAAAATATTTGCATAGTGGGTGTATCACACTGTATAAACAGCCTCAGGTGAATTAGTTATCACAGTTTACAAGCTGATATATCCTTTAATTTGAAGGCTTGCATAAAATTGTCAGAGGAGTAAAGGCTCAAGATGTCATGAACTCAAGGAGAAAAAATGTGCACAAAATTAAGCAGTTTAAAGCCAAAACAAAACTTCAATAAGGCATTATCAAAAGAGGTGGCCAAAACCAAATTCACATGAAAGACGAAAGTTTCATAGAGTTACAATTGTAGTTAAGTGGGATTAATGAGGTGGTACGTGCCACATAGCCCATAAGAAAAATGTAAAATAAAAGTAATGTTTGTAAACTGGAATTCTTTAACAAAACATGCTATTTAAGAACCAAAATTAGGTCCTGACTCAGTCTATCTTTCTTATGGTGTGTTTACAGTTTTTAAAATTAAAACAAATATTACATGCCTATTCTAAAATATGGAAATCACATCATAAGCATAAACTATCATAAGTTATTCATTTAGAGACCAAGAATGAAATATAATATGTATTGTGGCTGGAAGTTACATGGAATGGTGGGGGGTTGCAGATTCTATCTGTAATACTAAATCTTGACTGTATTTTATAAGCAATCATTCATTATGAACTCTTTTATACAAATCACACACATTTCAAGCTTATAAAGTGGCCCAGAAACACTTCTCTTTTTTATATTGTTCATGACTAAGTTACCAAGTCATATAAAAAAATGGATTAAAAGTCTCTCTCGGAACAAACAGAAGACTAGTCAGCATAGGATGTCTGTGCTGACTTCAGAAATGTGCAGAGGCTCACGTGCAAGCACAGGATGTTTTTCATGTAGAAAGCATGAAGATGGCAAGAGCAGACAGGCAGCTCTGAATGTGCTATGGGAGCAGAGGTGCTCAACCCTTGCAGAAAAGCTCAAAGTTGGCCAGAGTTAGTGAGCAGAAGGGCTGTCACAAGCAGATCCTCCACCTATACTATTCAGTAGCTGAGCACAATCCTTCTATCCCCAGCAAGGAAAGACTGACTTACATATTTGCCTTCACGTGTTCTCACTAATTATAGGTTTCCTCTACAACCTCTCGAGGTCAGCCTTCAGAGAGAGGAGAAAATCAGCTAAAATGGTTATTTGAAATAATGGCAACCTAAAAAAATAAGGATATTCAATGAACACAAGTGATTGTCTTACTGAATTAAGCCAAATCAATTAGCACATAGATCTGTGGCTCTAGAAAGCTATTATTCACACTTCAATCTATTATTTTTTTTACCATAGCAATAACCTCATGATATTCTTTTGCTTCTCTATTGATTGTCTGTCTTGATTCTAGCTCTAATGAAACATTAAGTAAAAGCATGTAATTTGTTTGTATTGTTCAAATGCCTTTAACCTGGAAGACTATGCAAAAACCTGTCACATACAACTCTTTGTTAAATAGATAAAATAAAAGATGGAGTATGTGCAGTTTTGCTACCAAAGTGCATTTATTAGGATTTTACAAACTATTAGTCTGCTCAGGCTTCTACAACAAAGTACCACAGACTAAGTAGCTTAAACTACTTATGTAGTTTATTTTCTCATGTTCCCATAGTCTAGAAATTTCAGATCAAGTTGTGGGCAGGATTGTTTTTTCCTGAATCCTCTTTGATTTTCAGGGGGTTTGTGTATTTACATGATCTTCCTTCTGTATGTCTGTGTCCGAATATTCTAATGTCCTCCTTTTATAAAGATACCAGTTAGATTAGGTCCTACTCTACTGACCTCATTTTAGCTTTATTACCTCTTTAAAGACCATTTCTCCAAGTACAGTTACATTCTGAGTTAGTAGGGCTTAGGACTTTAAATGAAATTTGCGGGGATACAACTCGGCCCTAAACAAAATGTATCACAAAGTAGATTTTACTTTTGTTTTGGCAATATTTAGCTGTTCTTCATGTGGTTGATGAATATGTATCATTTCACTACTATATACAGGTCTAGGAAGTTTTATAGACTAAATTTATTGGTGATTGCTTTTGTTAATCAGTTTCATAATAAAAAAATTCCTGTTCACAGGTTGTATGCAGTAAAATCAAACATCAATTAAGCTTAAAGTAAGTGATATATTTTGGCTGTGTCCCCACCCAAATCTCATCTTGAGTTGTAGTTCCCGTAATCCCCACATGTCATGGGAGGGACCTGATGGGAAACAATTGAATCATGGGAGCAGTTATCCCCATGCTGCTGTTCTCATGATAGTGAGTTCTCGCAAGATCCAATGGCTTTATAAGGGGCTTTTCCCCCTTTTGCTTTGCACTTCTTGCTGCAACCATGTGAAGAAGGATGTGTTTGTTTCCTCTTCTGCCATGATTATAAGTTCCCTGAGGCCTCCCCAGCCCTGTGGAACTGAGTCAATCAAACCTCTTTCCTTTATAAATCACCCAGTCTCGGGTATGTCTTTATTAGCAGCGTGAGAACAGACTAATACGGTAAGCATGAGAAGGTTTAAGAATTGAACTTCTAAAACTATAGGTATGCTCAAGTTTATTGAATACTTTTAATAGTTTGTGAGTCATATACATATGTATGTATCATACACAAATAATTATGAGGCACAATGCCTAGAATAAATAAATATATGATTTTCAAATAAACTTGTGTATCAAGTAAAAACAAAATATCTGAGGCAATATGTAAGAGATTTGAGGCAATTCTTTACTCAGAATCATATTTTGTACAGAATTTATTTAAATTGGCATACATTATATTAAAAACTTACAGCCCCAATTTTAGTTAATGTTTGATGTTATACAAAAACAAGTTACACTAGTTTTTGTGCTTTTAAAATGATATATAATAGTTGTACATATTTTGGGGATGTGTGTGATATTTTGATTTGTATACAATGTGTAATTATCAAATCTTGGGTAGTTGGGATCTCTCTCACCTCAAATACTTTTCTTTGTGTTGGGAATATTACAATTCTCTTCTGGCTATTTTGAAATATAACTCATTAACTATAGTTTCCCTACTGTACTATCAAATAATAGAAATTCCCTCAGCCAAACTGTATTTTTTACACCTTAAGCAACTTTTTTTTCACAACTCCCCACCCCCTGCCACCTTCCCAGTCTCTGGAAACCACCATTTTTTTTCTCTGCCTCCAAGAAATCATATTTTAGCACCCATATTTGGATGAAAATGTGCAAAATGTGTCTTTCTGTGCCTGGCTTATTCCACTTAATGTAATGACCCCTATTCCATCCATGTTGCTACACATGACAGGATTTCAGTCTTTTTATGGCTGAATAGTTCTCCATTATGTGTATGTACCATATTTTCTTTATTCATTCATCTGTTGATGGACATTTAGGTGGATTTTATTTCTTGGATATTGTGAATAGTGGTGCAATAAACATGAGAGTGCAGATAACTCTTTGATACACTGATTTCCTTTCTTTGGAATATATACCTAGCTGTGGGATTTCTGGATCATATGGCACTTCCCTTTTTAGTTTTTAGAGGAACCGCCATAATTTTTCATAATTACTATATTACTTTGCATCCCACATACAGTGTATGAGTGTTCTCCCTTCTCCACATCCTTGCCTAGATTTCTTGTTTTTCTGTCTTTTTGATTGGAGTGAGATGATTTGCATTTCCCTGATGGTTAGTAATACCATTTTTAAATGTACTTTTTGGCCATTTGTATGTTTTCCTTTGAGAAATGTCTATTCAAATTTTCTGCCCATTACTAAATAAGATTATTTGTGGTTTTGTTGCTAATGTGTTGTTTGAGTTTCTTATGTTCTGGAAATTAATCCATTGTCAGATGGATAGTTTGCAAATATTTTCTCCCATTCTGTAGGTTCTCTTCACTCTGTTGACTGTTTCCTTTGCTGTACAGAAGCTTTTTAGCTTGATATAATCCTGTTTGTCTATTTCTGCTTTTGTTTCCTGTGCTTTTGAAGTCTTACCCCTGCCCCCCAAAAAATTTGCCTAGACCAATGTCCTGTAGCATTTTCCCAGTAACTTCTTTTAGTAGTTTCATAGTTTCAGGTCTTACATTTCAGGCTTCAATTCATTTTGAGTTGATGTTTGTAGATAGTAAAGGATCGGGATGTAGTGTCTTTCTTCATGTGGATATTGTGGATATCCAGCTTCACAGAACCACTTATTAAAAATATTGTCCTTTCTCTAATGTTTGTCCTAATGTTTAATCTGGTTCATGGGTATTTGTGTCTGTTTTTATTCCAGTACCATGCAGTTTTGATTAGTACAGCTTTGTAGTATAATTTGAAATTAGGTAGTGCAATGCCTCCAGGTATTTTCTTTTTGTTCAGAATATTTTTGGTTATTCTGGATCTTTTGTTGTTCTACATGAATTTTGGGAATTATTTCTATTTCTGTGAAGAATGTCATTGGAATTTTGATAGGGATTGCATTGAATCTGTAGATTGCTTTGGATAGTATAAACCTTTTAATAACATTAATTCTTCCAATTCATAAGCACATATTTCTATTTTTTGTGCATATACTCCTAAATTTCTTTTATTGGTGTTTTTAATTTTTCTCTATAGATCTGTAACTTCCTTGGTTCCATCTTTTCATGGGTATTTTATTTTACCATAGCTAAAATAAATGGAGTTACTTTCTTGATTTTTTTTCAGATTGATCACTGTTAGCATATATAAACACTATACAAACTCATTTTGTATCCAGCAACTTTACTGAATTTATCAGTTCTAAGAATTATTTGGTAGAGTTTTCATATTTTTCTAAAAATAAGATCATGTCATCTGCAAACAATGATTATTTGAGTTCTTCCTTTCTAATTTGGATGCCTTTTTTTTTCTTTCTCTTGCATAATTGCTCTGGCTGAAACTTCTATTACTATGTTAAATAGATGTGGTGAAAGGAAGCACCTTTGCCTTGTTCCAGATCTTATGGGGAAGCTTTTAATTTTGTCCAGTTTGGTATGAAACTAGCTGTGGGTTTATCATATATGGCCTTTATTATGTTGAGGTATATTCCTTTTATACTCAATTTGTTGAGAGTTTTTATTATAAAGATATGTCCAATTTTATCAAGTGCCATTTTAGCATCTATTGAAATGATCACATAGTTTTTACTCTTGATTCTGTTGATGTGATGTATCATATTGATTTTGCATATGTTGAGCCACCCTTGCATCCCTGGGATGAATCCTACTTAATCATGATGAACTATCTTTTTAATGTGTTGTCAAATTTTGTTTACTAATATTTCATTGGGAATTTTTGCACCTATGTTCTTCAACAAATTGATCTGTAGTTTTCTATTTTGTGTGTGACCTTGTGTGGTTTTGGTATCAGGGTAATGCTGGCTTTGTGAAAACAGTTTGGAAATATTCTCTCCCCCTCTTTAATTTTTGAAAAACTTTGCTTTTTTTTTTGAGAGAGAGAGACACCTTTTATTACTGCATTTATTGGTCTATTCATATATTCTATTACTTCATAGTTAATTCTTGGTGGGTTTTATGTATCTAGAAACTTATCCATTTCTTCTAGGTTCTTCAATTTGCTAGTGTATAGCTGTTCATAATAGTTCATAATGACACTTTTTATTTCTGTGGTATCAGTTGTAATAATTCCTTTTTAGGCTTTAGTTTTGTTTTCTCTTTCACTTAGTCTAGCTAAAGGTTAGTCAATTTTGCTTATCTTTAAAAATCTTATGTTTCTCTATTGCATTTTTTATTTCATTCACTGTATTTTTACCTCCAGTATATCTGATTATTCTTCCAATATCTCTGTTAAAATTTTCTGGTACATTTCTGAGCTGATTCTGTGTTTTCTTGAAGTTGGCTGAGTTTCCTTAAGACAGCTATTTTGAATTCTTTATCTGATAGATAATACATTATCTTCATTACTTTAGGGTCTGTCTGGAGCACATAATTTTGTCCATTTTGTGAGGTCATATTTCCTTGAAGTTTTTTGATGCTCGTGGACATGCAATAAAATACAGGAATTTGGTATTTATTATATTCTTTGCAGTCTGACTTTGTGTCTGTTTTTCAGAGGGCCTTCAGTGTGCCTTCTAAGCAGACTATTGAGTTCCATGAATCTGTGACCACTGCAATCATCTCAGCACTAGAGGATTCTCTAAGCCCAGGTATACAGGGAATGTCCCAAGGACTCCAAGGTTGAGGTGGCTTTCCAACCTAGATGAATCTGTGGAAAAACCAAGGAGAATACTTGGGCTGAGTGGGAATATTAGCCAGGGACTTGAGTCCAGAAGACTGTCACAGTGGGCCAGATAGGCATGCCTCCCAACAAGTCCCTGAACAGACAGTATAGTTCCCTGATTGTAGCAGGAGGAGGTGGAGCTGGGACTGGGGACCTTCAGGATCTCCTGTGAAATTAAGGTTGAAAAGATCATTTCATTGGCCAGACAGCTATCCATCACCCAGAATGTCTCAGCATGGCCTGTCATACAGGTTCAGACTTCTGGGCTGTGAGGTATGGTTAGTCTCCCTCTATGAGCTTGTATGAGCAGCTCTGAGTTGTACCTCAACTGAGGTGGGCTGGAGCCAGATCATGGCAACTCTCAGGTTCAGTGCAAAGACCAATGTTGGCATAGAGATGAGCCTTTCCACTAAGGAACTAGTTTGTGCAATTTCTTCTAGGCAGATGGTTTTGGTTGGAGGTTAAAAGCCAAAAGGGGCTATAACCAAACCCCTTGGGACACTGGGCCATTTCTGAGTTTAAACTCAGGAGGAAATAGGATGGATCAGCCACCTGGGTGTTGGTTGGAATTCTCAAAGCAATTATACAATGTCTTGGGCCCCACTAGCATTTTACAAACTCCTACCTAAGCCCCAGGGCTCCTGCAGAGAAACTTTGAACTTTAGATGTGTGTGGAATTCTTGCTGTGGGAGGATTAGACCAGGTTACCTTGGATTTCATCATGTTGGTGACATCATTCCCCAAATTACACTATTTCAACAACAAAACCATATATTTTGCAGAAAGACCACGTTTTTTAATGTGTGAATGTCTTAAAAATTTGACGTTTAAAAAATTGATACAATTTTTTTTTTCATTTTCTGGTGTTTCATTCTTCTTGTTGGTGGTAGTGTTTTACAAAACTACCCCCAAGAGGCCGGGCGTGGTGGCTCACGCCTCCCAGTACTTTGGGAGGCCGAGGTGGGCAGGCCATGAGGTCAGGAGATGGAGAACCTCCTGGCCAACATTGTGAAGCCGTCTCTACTAAAAACATAAAAATTAGCTGGGGTTGGCGGTGCATGCCTGTAATCCCAGCTACTCGGGAGGATGAGGCAGGAGAATCGCTTGAACCTGGGAGGCAGAGGTTGCTGTGAGCCGAGATTGCACCACTGCACTCCAGCCTGACGGAGCTAGACTCCGTCTCAAAAACAAACGAACAAAAAACTACCCCCAAGAATGAGAGCAGAGTTAGTATTTATGGTCACTAACAAAAATAAAAAGTTAGAAAAATGACTTTACATGAACATATTGGGAAATTACTTAGAAATGCAATAAATAGTGATAATTCACAGAATTGGTGATAACATTATTTTCTCTATAAAACATTTGCAAATAGATTTCCCTAAAAACAAAAATGAAACAAAGTAATGTGGCTTACATTTCATTCACTAGGTCAAAGAATAATTTTACTGTATTAAGTAGAAATTATACATGTATCATTTTACAGTTTACAAGTACTTTCTGTACTAAAAGATATTCATTTTAATATGTAACATTCATCTAAATGTTAAGAACATTCTTCTAAAGTCCCAAATATTTTCAAGTGAATTTGTTAGTGTGGTCTAGGTTTAGGTTCCTTTGCTTTAGGATTTTATAAAGATAAGGATTAATTGAGGACTGTGATGAGCTGAATTTCATCTCCACAAAATTTATGTTTAGTCCTAACCCCTAGTACCTCAGAATGTGATTATATTTGGCGATATAGGCCTTAAATAAGTAGTTAAGTTAAAATACAGTCATTAGTGTGAGACCTAATCTAATATGACTGATATCCTTATAAGAAGAGATGATTGGAACACAGACACATGCATAGAGGGAAGACAATAAAAGACACAGGGAGAAGGTGGCTGGTCACCTGCAAGCCAAAAAAAGTCTTCAAAAAGAATCAACTTTGCCCACACTTTGATCTTAGACTTCCAGATTCTAGAACTGTGAGAAAATAAATTTGTTTTTTTTTTTTTTTTTTTTTTTTGAGACGGAGTCTCGCTCTGTCGCCCAGGCTGGAGTGCAGTGGCGGGATCTCGGCTCACTGCAAGCTCCGCCTCCCGGGTTCATGCCATTCTCCTGCCTCAGCCTCCCAAGTAGCTGGGACTACAGGCGCCCGCCACTACGCCCGGCTAATTTTTTTGTATTTTTAGTAGAGACGGGGTTTCACCGTTTTAGCCGGGATGGTCTCGATCTCCTGACCTCGTGATCCGCCCGCCTCGGCCTCCCAAAGTGCTGGGATTACAGGCGTGAGCCACCGCGCCCGGCCAAATTTGTTTTTTTTAAGCCACCCAGATGATATTTTGTTATATCAGCTCTGAAAACTAATACCAAAACCAATTAACTCATACTATAAAAATAAAAATACATATATTTGAACATACAGTTGATGCTTGGGCAACACAGGGGTTAGGTGGACCAACCCTCCATGCAGGTGAATATCCCCTTATAACTTTGCCTCCACCAAAATATCACAACTAATGGCCTACTATTGACTAGCAGCCTCACTGATGACATAAACAGTGAATTAACACATATTTTATATAAGTATTATATACTGTATGTTTACAATAAAGTAAGCTGAAGAAAAGAAAATGTTAAGAAAAAAGGAAGAGAAAATATACTTACTATTAAGTGGAGGTAGAGCATCATAAAGGCCTTCATCTTCATCATCTTCATGTTGAACAGGCTGACGGAAAGGGTTTGTCTTACTGCCTTATGGGTGGCAGAGGCTTAGGAAAATTTGTGTTTGAGAACATAACCTGTGTTGTTCAAGAGCCAACTGTATAAATGATTCATAAATATTTATAAACAAGGTAAAAATAACATACAATGTTGTTCCGATGTTAAATTCTAATTGCTTCTTTCTAAAGAGTTGTGGAAATTTTTAGCTAGGTAACATCTCCATGTCTTTGTCTTGTTCTCAATGGGATTTTCTTTGTTATAGTCTATTTTGACATCATGCACTGACCTATGTATTATTTACATCCCACTCTACATCAAAGTGACTTCTTAAAAAATACACTGTATGATTACATTTATATCAAATTCTAGAAAATGCAAACTATTACTGACAGAAAGCAGACTAATGGTTGCCTGGGGATAGGAAAGAAATTATGGCACAATCTCTATTCCAACTGAAAATTATTTGTAGTTTTACTATTATGTAAGTACAGTAAGTACACAATGTTGTCAATAGGTTCTTCAAAATGGTGACTTTATGTATACCATGGTAAGTATACCACGTATACTTTACGTGGGTCTTCGAATAACATCATTTTGTTCAATGTCATTTTGTTTAACATTAATAAGAAAAAACATTAATTTTGTTATATATAGTTTTGCTTAAAGTCAGAGTTTCCAAGAACCTATCAATGAAATAAGTGTGGAATTACTGCACTCCTATTTGGGCTTTTAAATAGAGTCTTAATTTCTGTTTTTAAAGTTATTCATAAGTTCGTATAATATTTAAATGTAAGCTCTGCTTCAATATCTTTTTTTAACAGGTTGAAAATATTTATTATTTGCATACAGAATTAGATTTCTATCTCACAGTATATACGAAGATTAATTGCGAGTAGATTCAACTTCTAAAAGTGAAAAGAAAACTTAAAATTTTATAATTTACATGAAAATATAGCTATGATGTTGGTGTGGGGAAACCTAAGACAGATAAGATGATAAGATACATGAAAAAGACCAACTAAAAGAAAAAAATGGAAATGGAACACATTAAAATTTGAGTCTTCTGAAGAATGATAAGGTAAAGAAGGAAGATAATGGGATTCAGAACTCACTTTGTATAACCTAATATTTATGGACATCTATCAAATTATTAAAGACTTTTTTGTGAGATAGAAATAGGCACAATCACTGGGTCATAACATTCTAGATGGCCCTTGTTTTCCAATTTACAGTATTTTTATTCTATTTTATCATTATTATACTTTAAGTTTTAGGGTACATGTACACAATGTGCAGGTTTGTTACATATGTATACATGTGCCATGTTGGTGTGCTGCACCCATTAACTTGTCATTTAGCATTAGATATATCTCCTAATGCTATCCCTTCCCCCTCCCCCCATCCCACAACAGTCCCCAGAGTGTGATGTTCCCCTTCCTGTGTCCATGTGTTCTCATTGTTCAATTCCCACCTATGAGTGAGAACATGCGGTGTTTGGTTTTTTGGTCCTTGCGATAGTTTGCTGAGAATGATGGTTTCCAGTTTCATCCATGTCCCTACGAAGGACATAAACTCTTCATTTTTTATGGCTGCATAGTATTCGATGGTGTATATGTGCCACATTTTCTTAATCCAGTCTATCGTTGTTGGACATTTGGCTTGGTTCCAAGTCTTTGCTATTATGAAGAGTGCCACAATAAACATACGTGTGCATGTGTCTTTATGGCAGCATGATTTATAATCCTTTGGATATATACCCAGTAATGGGATGGCTGGGTCAAATGGTATTTCTAGTTCTAGATCCCGGAGGAATCGCCACACTGACTTCCACAATGGTTGAACTAGTGTAGAGTCCCACCAACAGTGTAAAAGTGTTCCTATTTCTCCACATCCTCTCCAGCACCTGTTGTTTCCTGACTTTCTAATGATCACCATTCTAACTCGTGTGAGATGGTAAATCATTGTGGTTTTGATTTGCATTTCTCTGATGGCCAGTGACAATGAGCATTTTTTCATGTGTTTTTTGGCTGCATAAATGTCTTCTTTTGAGAAGTGTCTGTTCATATCCTTTGCCCACTTTTTGATAGGGTTGTTTGTTTTTTTCTTGTAAATTTGTTTGAGTTCATTGTAGATTCTGGATATTAGCCCTTTGTCAGATGAGTAGGTTGTGAAAATTTTCTCCCATTTTTTATGTTGCCTGTTCACTCTGATGGTATTTTCTTTTGCTGTGCAGAACCTCTGTAGTTTAATTAGATCCCATTTGTCAATTTTGGCTTTTGTTGCCATTGCTTTTGGTGTTTTAGACATGAAGTCCTTGCCCATGCCTATGTCCTGAATGGTATTGCCTAGGTTTTCTTCTAGGGTTTTTATGGTTTCAGGTCTAATATGTAAGTCTTTAATCCATCTTGAATTAATTTTTGTATAAGGTGTAAGGAAGGGATCCAGTTTCAGCTTTCTACATATGGCTAGCCAGTTTTCCCAGCACCATTTATTAAATAGGGAATCCTTTCCCCATTTCTTGTTTTTGTCAGGTTTGTCAAATATCAGATGGTTGTAGATATGTGGCATTATTTCTGAGGGCTCTGTTCTGTTCCATTGATCTATATCTCTGTTTTGGTACCAGTACCATGCTGTTTTGGTTACTGTAGCCTTGTAGTATAGTTTGAAGTCAGGTAGCATGATGCCTCCAGCTTTGTTCTTTTGGCTTATGATTGACTTGGCAATGTGGGCTCTTTTTTGGTTCCATATGAACTTTTAAGTAGTTTTTTCCAATTCTGTGAAGAAAGTCTTTGGTAGCTTGATGGGGATGGCATTGAATCTATAAATTACCTTGGACAGTATGGCCATTTTCACAATATTGATTCTTCCTACCCATGAGCACGGAATGTTCTTCCATTTGTTTGTATCCTCTTTTATTTCATTGAGCAGTGGTTTGTAGTATTCCTTGAAGAGGTCCTTCACATCCCTTGTAAGTTGGATTCCTAGGTATTTTATTCTCTTTGAAGCAATTGTGAATGGGAGTTCACTCATGATTTGGCTCTCTGTTTGTTATTGGTGTATAGGAATGCTTGTGATTTTTGTACATTGATTTTGTATCCTGAGACTTTGCTGAAGTTGCTTATCAGCTTAAGATTTTGGGCTGAGATGATGGGGTTTTCTAGATATACAATCATGTCATCTGCCAACAGGGACAATTTGACTTCCCCTTTTCCTAATTGAATACCCTTTATTTCCTTCTCCTGCCTGATTGCCCTGGCCAGAACTTCCAACACTATGTTGAATAGGAGTGGTGAGAGAGGGCATCTCTGTCTTGTGCCCATTTTTAAAGGGAATGCTGCCAGTTTTTGCCCATTCAATATGATATTGGCTGTGGGTTTGTCATAGATAGCTGTTATTATTTTGAGATATGTCCCATCAATACGTAATTTATTAATATCTGCTGTATCTGCTTATAATCTCTCTCTCTCTTTTTTCTCTTACACACACACACACACACACACACACACACACACACACACACGGTTTTCTAACTCTGGGCTATGGCTGTCTACTTCATAGGATTATTTTTTGCTATGCCCAGTTATGCATTCTGTTGAATGTACATTGGAGGAAATACAGTTTCATAACATCAGATTTTTGTCATGAGTTTTTCTTTTTTTGGTACCTATTTTTCAGTATTTTTGTTTATTTTTAGATAATGAAAGATAACTTAACTTTTAGGTCTAATATTAAAATTATTGCACATATTTATTGTATATAATTTGATTTTGGACATTTGTATATACTCATGAAACCATCATAACAAGATAATAGAACAATTAAGATAATAGATTTATTACTTCTAAGAGTTACCTTGTGCCTCTTTAGTTTTCTTGTTGTTATTGTAAGAACACTTAACATGAGATCTACACTTCTGACACATTTCTAAGCCCACAATATAGCATTGTTAACTATAGCCACTACATTCTACAGCAGATCTCTAGAAGTTACTTACAATATATAACTGAAACTTTATAGCCATGAGGGACTACTCTTTTTTTCTAATTCCAGCCCCTGTCAACCACCTTTATATTCTCTCTTTCAGTATGATACAAGCATAAAGACAGACATATAGACCAATGGAACAGAGTAAAGAGACCAAAAATAAACCCATGCGTATACACTCAATGGATCTTCAATAGTGTGCCAAGAATACAGAAAGGGAAAAAATCTTTTCAACAATTGGTTGAAGAGTGACTGTTCACATACCAAAGAGTGAGATCAGCCCCCTATCTATACCATACATAAAAATCCATGCAAAATAGATTAAAGACTTAAACATAAGTCCTAAAACTGAAAAACTCCTGGAATGAAACATAAGATAAAGCCTTCTTGATATTGGTATTGGGAATGATTTCTTGGCTATAACACAAAAAGCACAGGCAAAAAACGCAAAAATGGACAAGTAGGACTACATGAGTCTAAAAACATTCTGCACAGCAAAGAACAAAAGAAACAACCAGCAGAGTGAAAAGGCAGGCTACAGAATGGGAAAAAATATTTTCAAACCATATATCTGATAAGGGGCTAATATCCAAAATATATGAGAAACCCTTGCAACTCAATAGTAAAAGAAAAGAAAGAAAAACAATTTTAAAACGGGCTAAGGAATTGAACAGACTTGAAAAGAGACATACAAATAGCAAATAGGTAAATTAAAAGCTGCTAAACATCACTAATCCACAGGGAAATGTAAATTAAAACCACGAGATACCACCTCACACCTGTCAAGACAGCTACTTAAAGAAGATAAGTGTTGATGAGAAAGTGGAGTAATTAGAACATTTGTACACTGTTGGGAATGTAAAATGGTGCCACTGTTATGGAACACAATATGGAAGATTCTCAAAAATAAAAAATGGAACTGCAATGTGATCCAACAATTCCACTTTTGGGAAATATCTTAAATAATATAAATCATTATCTCAGAGATATCTGTGCTTCCATGTTCACTGCAGCATTATTCCCAGTAGCAAAGATACGGAAACAACCCAAATGTCCATTGACAGATGACTAAAGAGAATATTCATACAATGAAGTATTAAGCATTAAAAAAGGAAATCTGGAAAATCTAGGAGAGGGGCTTCAAAATAGATGACTAAAGGCATTTCATACTCACCTTTCCATTAAAAAAACAAAATAGTGAGTAGATAATCATACTTTGAATAGATCATCCAAGAGAAAACACTGGAATTTAACAGAAAAGTGACAGGAAAGTCCTATCACAAGGAAAGAAAGGGAAGCAAGGCAGCATGCTAGGCTGGGATAGGCTTTGAGCTGAGACAGACTCCCCAGTGTGGCAAAAGGGTAAGTGAGAGACCCTTAGCAACCTAATTTCCCACCATGGACTCCTACAATCCTAGCCATTGGTTAGTCCCTGGATGTTCATGGATCCTGAAATTAACATAGTGAGCTGCCAAGAGATTCTGTGATGGCACTATTTCAGAGAGGTAGCATAGGCTAAGTTCCACACACGTCCTGAGAGCTAAATAGCTACAGAAAGGTGCCATTTTAGAGCCCACCCCCAACAAATTGTGCACTGTCCTGGGCTGAGATGCAAAAGAAGCAGGGCCTGCCACGGCCAGGGCTGAGGCATGAGCAGTGTACCTGTTCCCCACCCACTGGCATAGGCTGTCACCACGGAAGGAGGTGCTGCTCACCTCCACCCAGCAGCAGGGAAGCAGCATGGTGGTGCCTGCACACACCATTATGGGCCTAATGACAAGCCCATCCAGCCTAGCTTTGCTCCTAATTATCCCCACCTGCCCTCAAGCACAGAGTCCAAGGGCCCAGCCCTTCTACCTGTGTTGGCACCTGAACATTACTCCTGGAGATGTGAAATTGTGCTACCCGCCCTGTTGTGACTACTACAGCTATCATCTACCTGCACATTCCACTTGCCAGCATGGCGATAACCTGGCCCATCCGTCACAGTCACCACCAATACCAGCATGCACTACTTGGCACCTAGAAGGTTGTCCTTCCACTGCCACCACCTATCTTGTGCTGGGTGCTGAGGGGCCCAGGTCTACTGCTGCTACCACCAGCATCTGAGTAAGCCACTTGAAGGGCCAGGAGTTAGCCTACCTGGACCCACTAACACCAGTGCTGGCATATACCTCCCTGGGGCCCAAAGTCAGCCATGCTTAGCCCACCACTGGGGACTGAAGACTGGCCTACCTGGAATCCCAGTCCCCAACAAAACTTCAGCATAGCATTCACTAATAGTTGTATCCTACACCATAGAAGAAATCACGGAAACCAGTCACACGTTTATAGCCAAAGAAATCATACAGAAACTATACTACTGTACACATCTGTAATCAAAGCTAATTGCCCTATCCAACCAATGCTATAAATACGTCTTCAGGAAAAAGTTCTTCCCCATGAAAGCAATTCAAAAAAATGGAAGAAATGACTGTTAGACAAATTGCACAAATATCAATGTAGGGATATAAGAAATATCTTTAAAAAACAAGGAAATATGACACCTCCAAAGGAACACAATGATTCAATAGCAACAGATCCCAATCATAACATTAAAAAATTCTGGAAGAAGAATTCAAAATATTCATACTAAGGAAGCTTAGTGAGACACAATAAAATTCTGAAAATGCAAAGAAATTAGAAAAAAATATTCAGGATATGAATGAGAAGTTTACCAAAGAGATAAATATCATTAAAAAAAAGAAATGTTAGAACTGAAGAGTTCAATGAAATACAAAATACAACCAAAAACTTCAATTATAGACTACATCAAGTAGAAGAAAGAATCTTAGAATTTGCAGACAGGTCTTTTGAAATAAGTCAAACAAGATAAAGAAAAAAGTGATCTATAGAAAATCATAGTGACGAAATACTCAATTGGAGTCATGGTATGCAAAGAAAGAATTAAAGGGTTAAAAATTCTATTTAACAAACTAATAGATGAAAATTTTCCAAGTTTAGCAAAAGTTTTAGTCATTCAGATTTAGGGTGACAAAAGATCCCCCAGATACAATGCAAAAATCTCTTCTCCACACCACATTGTAGTCAAACTGCCTAAAGTCAAAGACAAAGGGAGACTTTTAAAAACAGCAAAAGTTTCTGGTGACCTAAAAAGAAATGCTTGTCATATTAACAATGGATTTCTCAGCAGAAACCTTCTTTCAGACCAGGAGAGAACAGCATAATATGTTCAATGTGCTGAAAGAAAGGACACTGTTTGCCAAGGATACGGTATCCAGCAAAAATTATCCTTCATAAAGGAAAAAGAAATAGTCTTTTCATGACAAGAGAAAACAGAGAGTTCATAGCCATTAGAATGGCTCTATAACAAATGCTAAACCTGGAAGCAAAAGAATGATACTTACAATCATAAAACATATGAAAGTATAAAGCTCAATGGTAAACACATAAATGAGGAAGAAAATGGACTCAAATGACACCACTACAGAAAATTGTCAAACAATGACAGAAAAGAACAAAGGCTACACAAAACAATGAGAAAACAATTAGCAATGTGACAGGGAAAAAACTCCACATATTAATGTTAACCTTGAATGAAAATGGGTTAAAATCTTCATGTAAAAGATGAACACTGGCTGAAGGAATTTAAAAATAAACATATAATTCAACCATATGCTATCTAAATTACCTTTAAAGACACATATAGACTGAAAATAAAGGGATGGGAAAGGTATTTCATGCAAATGGAAACCCAAAGAAAACAGGAGTAGTTACACTTATGTCAGCTTAAACAGATTTTAAGTTGAAAACAGTAAAAAGAGACAAATAAGGCATGATGATAAAGGAAAAATTTCAGCCAGATGATATAACAATTATAAATATGTATGCACCCAACACTGGAGATGCCTATTCAGAAAGCAAATATTACTAGAGTTCAATAAAATAATAGTGGGGGATTTTAACATCCCACTTGCAGAATTAGGCAGATCATCTAGACAAAATAAAGAAATATTGGATTTAAACTGTACTTTAGACCAAATGGACTTAACAAACATTTACAGTATATTTTATTCAATAACTGTGGATATACAATCTAATGAGCACAGTAGGTACATATTCTTATGAGATACACATTCTTATGAAATATTCCTTGGGATAGACCATATGTTAAGCCACAAGTCTCAACAAGTTTTTTTTTAATTGAAATTATATAAAGTGTCTTCCTAAACTATAGTGGAATAAAACTAGAAATCAATACCAACAGTAACTTTGGAAAATATACAAATACATGGAAATTTAAACAATATACTCCTGAATGACCATTGAGTCAATGAAAAATAAAGATGGAAATGAAAAAAAAATTCTTGAAAGAAATTAAAATGAAAAAACAACATATCAAAACCTCTGAGGTATAGTAAAAGAGATACCAAGAGGAAAGTTTATACCAATAAACATCTACATTTAAAAAGTAGAAAGATTTCCAAAAAAGCAATGTAATGATGTGCCTTAATATACTAGAAGAGCAAGAAGAAACCAAATCCACAATTAGCAGAAGGAAACAAATAATAAAGATCAGAGCAGAACTAAATTAAACTGAGTCTAAAAATCAATATAAAGTATTAATAAAAGGAAAAGTTGCTTCTTTAAAAAATAAAATTAATAAACCACTAGCTAGACTAACAAAGATATAAAAAATTAAGAAATGAAGAAAGATGTTACAACTAATACCACAGAAATATAAAAGATCATCAGAGAACATTATAAAAAACTATACGCTAACAAAGTGGAAAAACTAGAGGAAGTGAATAAGTTCCTAAACACCTGCAACCTACCAAGATTGAATCAGGAAGAAATAGAAAGCCTGAACAGACCAATAATGAGTAGTGATAGTGAATCCATAATAAAATGTCTCCCAATAAAGAAAAACTGAGGACTGGATGGACTCACTGCCAAATTCTACTAAATATATAAAGAACAATACCAATTTTTCTGAAACTACTCCAAAAAATTGACAAGGTGGAGATTCTTCATAACTCATTTTGTGGTACCAGCATCGATACCAAAACAAGACAAGAATACAACAACAACAACAATAACAACAAACTACAGGCCAATATCCCTAATCAACATAAATGCTAAAATCTTCAACAAAATATTAACAACTAAATTTGACAGCGCATCAAAAAGATAATACACTGTGATCAAGTGGAATTTATATCAGGGATTCAATGTTGGCTTAATGTATACAAATCCATAAATATACATCACATCAACAGCATGAGGGACAAAAACCATAGGATCATCTCAATAGAGGCAGAAAAATCATTTGCTAAAATTCGACATCCCTTCATGTTAAAAATTCCCAAACTAGGCATAGACAGACATAACTCAAAATAATAAAGGCCATATATGCCAAATGCACAGCTAACATCATTCAGAATAAGGAAAGTTAAAATCCTTTTCTGTAAGAACTGGGACAACACAAGGATGCCCACTTTCACTACTGATATTCAGCATAGTACTGGAAGTCCCAGCCAGAGTAATCAGGCAAAAGCAAAGAAATAAAAAGCATCCAAATTGGAAAAGAGGAAGTCAAATTGTCTCTGTACAAATAACACGAAGTTATATTTATAAAAACCAAAAAGTTCTACCAAAAAACCTAGAACTTATTGTTCCAGTAAAGTTCCTGAATACAAAATCAACATACAAAAATTAGTAGCACTTCTAATCACCAGTAATGAAACGGACAAAAAATCAAGAAGGCAAACCATTTACAATAGCTTAAAAAATACCTAGGCATTAATTTAACACAGGAAGTAAAAGATCTCTACAGGAAAAATTATAAGGCGGTGATAAAAGAAATTGAAGATGATGCAAACAAATGGAAAGACAACCCATCTTCATGGATCAGAAGAAGTAATATTAAAATGATCACACTGCCCAAAGCAATATACAGATGCACTGCAATTTCTCTCAAAATATTAGACATTTTTCACAGAAATAGAAAAAACAATTCAAAAATTTTTATGGAACCAAAAATGAACCAGAATAGCCAAAGCCATCTGGAGCAAAAATAACAAAGCTGGGAGCATCACACTACCTGACTTTAAAATGTATTTCAAGGCTACAGTAACCAAAACAGCATGATATTAGTAGAAAAATAGACACATAGAACAATGGAACAGAATAGAGAACACAGAAACAAATCCACATATTTACAGCCAACTGAATTTTGACAAAGGTGCCAAGAACGTACAGTGGGGAAAGAAAATACTCTTCAATGAATAGTATTGGGATAATTGGGAATCCATATGTAGAAGAATGAAACTGGACCCCTAACTTTCACTATATGCAAAAATCAACACAAGATGGCCTGAAGATTTAAATGGAACACTCAAAACTGTAAAACTACTAGAGGAAAACATACGCTTCATGACATTGGTCTAAGCAAAGATTTTTATGGCTAAGACCTCCAAAGCACAAGCAACTAAAACAAAAATAGACAAATGGGACTACATTAAATTAAAAAGCTTCTTCACAGCTAAGGAAAGAATCAGAGTGAAGACACAACCTGCTGAAAGGGAAAAAAATATTTCATCTGACAAAGACTAATATCCAGAATAGACAAAGAACACAAACTGAATAATAATAAAAAATCCTATTAAAAAGTAGGCCAAGGATTTGAACAGACATTCCACAAAAGAAGATATAAAAAAATAATGGCCAACAGACATGTGAAAGATGTTTAGCATCAGTAATCATTAGGGAAATGCAAATCAAAACGACAATGAGATACATCTTCCATTAGTTAGAATGGCTATAGTTAAAAAGGCAAAAGGTGACAGATACTGGCATTGACATAAAGAAAGTGTACTCCTATGCACTGTTGGTGGGGACATGAATTAGTAGAACCACTATGGAAAACTGGAGATTTCTCAAAGAACTAAAAATAGAACTACCATTCAATTCAGCTGTCCCACTGCTGGGTATTTATCCACAGGAAATGAAATCAGTATATCAAAGTAATACCTGCACTCACATGTTTGTTGCAGCGCTATTCACAATAGCAAAGATATATAAAATCACCTGTGTCCACCAATGAATGAGTGGATAAAGAAGATGGCTATATTTCTACAAATACAATTTAGCCAAATAAAAGAATGAAATCATGTTGTTTGCAGCAGTGTGGATGAAACTGGAGGTCATTATGTTAAGTAAATTAAGCCAGGCACAGAAAGACTAATACTGCACGTTCTCAGCCATATGTGGGAACTAAAAAGCTTGACCTAATAGAGATAGAGTGATAGATACCAACTGCTGGGAAGCACATGAGGGTGGGAGGGGGAAATTTTGAGAGGTTGGAGAGTGGGTACAAATATATAATTAGATTATAAAAAAGTTATAATGTTCATTAGCAGATTAGGAGGACTACAGTTAGCAACAACATATCGTATATTTCAAAGTAGCTAAAAGATAGATAGGACTTGAAATGTTACCAATATACAAAAATGGTAAATTCTCAAGATGATGTATACTCCAAATACCCTAACTTGATCATTACACATTCTATGCATGTAACAAATATGTGTACCGCATAATATGTAAAATATTATGTATCATTAAAAGAAAAAAGATTGTAAAAGGAAATTCTGTCATTGGTGACAACATAGATGAATATGAAGAACACTTTGCTAAGTGAAATAAGCCAATCACAGGATAAATACCACATAATTTACTTGCATGAGGTATCTAAAATAGTCAAACTCATAGAACTTGATTTTACTTTGACAGGATTAGACCAATTTGCAACTTGAGTACAACTGCCAATATTTCAGCTAGTTCTTGGAAAATTGTGCCATTGTGCAAAAGTCCTTGAATTTTTTGATGACTTTTTAACCTAAAGATCAAACACCTGACAGGAATGGAATTCACTGGACTTGTGCCTAACTGTTTTACACTATTTTCTATGGGTTACACTTTTATTGCCACTGTAACCTTTATCCACACTCTAACTCTGTAAAATGAATTTTACTATTCTCATTTTATACTCATCGGTAAGGGATTCTGACAGATTCTGACTTGTAGTAGTTTACATGGATAGTATAGGAATTAAAGAATTGGCATTCTTTCTGACATACTTTTTTTGTTTTCTTCTTATAGTCATTTATATTATGTCCTACTCATAAAGAATGTTTCAGTCTCCATTTCAGTAGTCTGTGATTAAGGTTACTAATACATGTACACAAAGAAAGATTCAAAAGCCCATTCAGATGTCTTTTAGAACATTATCACTAAATATTTATATAGTTGACATAATGCATATTATGCCCTTGAATAATAGAATTTGTTTTTTTTTTTACTTCTTATCCATAAGCATTGGGCTTACAGTGCCTCAACAGGAACAGTATTTATTATTAAACAAGATTCCTAAATCCATAACTTGTGACTTCAGACATTTTGTAACCCTAGTAGTGAATATACCCTAAAAACCTATAAATCCCCTAAGTAACTTTATTGATTTAATAAAATTAACAACATATAAGATGAAAATTTCTACTACTACATTTCTTTTGTAGAAACATCAATACTTTATTCATTCTAAGGGAAAGACTTACCAGGTTTTTATTTTTTTTGGTATTCTCAATAAAATGGTTTTTTATCATCTGAATAATAAACTTAGACAAGTTACCCTCTAGGCAGAGTCCTTACTTCATTTCTAGTTAAAATTGCATTTCTCATATTGATTCATACTTCATAATGCACCTCCAAGAGCTGAGTTTTCCAGGAAAAAATTGTCAAGGACAAAAAAGACTATTATTTATTAATTAGGCCTCATACAGAGTTCATTGCTGATTTGGCATATTGAGAATTCAACTTTTTTTTCCAAGAACATGCCATTAATTATAACTAAAATTCCATAAACACTATTTTAAAACATCACAACCATCTTTATGATTTAAACTGCCTTTAACATCATGCCATTATATGTGTATTTATACATATCTTTTTATCAAAACCCAGAGAAGATTTATGATTTAATCTCTCATAACTTCATAACCTCTCATAACCACAGAGTTTTTCTCACTTGATCTAAGCACGTTTTTTCCTCTTTTGGTTAAAAAAAAAAATCCGGGCGTCGTATTTTGAAAGATTATCTTAAAAATGTGCATACCAAAAGGGGAATGCTGGTTCTTTGGTGCACATCATTAGCAGAGATGAGTTTATCAGATGGGTGAGTCACACTGAAAGTCATAGAAGAAATGTCTGTGTGTCCATGATCATATGACTCAAAAAAAATCCTAAGCCTCAGTTTCCTCATCTTCAAAATGATAGTGGCACTAAACACCTCACAGGTTGATGTGATGAGGCAAGGTGATCTGTGGAAGCACCCAGCAGTGTTTGAGGCATATTAATGTTGACTCTTGAATCTAAAATAGGCAGAGCAATAATGAACCATGGCAGGGAGAAAAAAATGAATGCAAACCGTAATAGTGCTCCCAGTACCAACTCTTGGCATTGGGAAAGCAACATAATACTTGGAGCAAAGAAGACGTGTCCTGGATATCAGAATGCCATGGGAAAATAGAAGATGACTAGTAACAAAATAATGGAGACACAGACCAGGAAGTCATCCAAAAGATATATTTTCATGAAGTATAGTTTGGTTTTAACTTCAAATTTTCTATAAAGTGTGTTTTAAAGCTTTTCTTGATAGTCTGAAATAATATTAAAATGCATTTAATTTTTATGACTGCTCACTGAAAGAAGGAAAAAATATACAAGTCTCAGTAACAATGTAATACACATGCAGAGCTCCACATTAGAAACCATCTGTGAGCTTTGATTTAATGTCACCTTTTCCAATGTTAACTGTTAAGGTGAGGAATTTAAGACAGAAATTCAGCTTTAATATGTATTAAATTGACAGTCAACCTTTGGAGACTGGAGCCTTTATGGCTCAGGTACAAAGAAAAGACATTCAGTGTAGAAAACAGGAAGAAAATAATGAATAGTTATTACTATAAGAGCAGAAGCTATAATTAAAACTGCAGCTGTAAGGGCAAAGGGAACTCAGTGTTGTGGAAGCATAGTGTTATTCATGTCTTTCAACAGATTAAATCAACTAATTTTCTGTAATCATCAACATAAGAATGTAGTTATTTACATTGTTTAATGGTTTTAATTATATTAACATACAGTATAAAATTTTTACGGAATAAAATACCTCAAAGCTAATAATTGAGTATGAGATACAAAGGTGAGTTTATTTCCTGATGTTAGTATATCAATACTTTACTAAAATACCATACTATACTGCACATATACTATGAAAATAAAAATATTAATTAGCTAAAGGCAGCAGCAAACCTTACATGAACCCCCAAAACAATTGTAAAATGTGAGGTCCCATTTTTTAAGGTTAAGAAACCGCATCACTTTTTCCTGAAATAGAAAGCCTAACCTATGTGACATGCTAGGAATATCCAGATTTCTGGATACTTCAAACTTTGTCCCCATAAGTTCTGCTCTGTGTAACAAATTACCTATGCCAATTACTTAGGACACATGAACGTATATATATATATATATATATATATGACAACTGCCATACTGATTTTCCTGTTTTTTTTAGGATATGTCTTCCACTGTAAAATAACTTATTATGTTTTCATTCCCTTTATGTTTCTAATACCATAAGCCCTGAAATTCCCAAACTATCCTGTAGGTCATTGGCTTACAATGCCTACTGAGTGACATTTGGCAATATCTGAAGACATTTTTGATTGTCACAACTGGGTGCTATTGGCATCTTTGAATAAACAGGGAAGAGATGCTGCCAAACATCATAATACATAGGATCACCTCCCACAAAAAAACAATTATTTGGCTCTGAATATCAATAATACCAAGCTGGAGAAACTCTGCTATAGAATAAATAAGTAAATATGAAACAAGACTGCAACAGTAACTACAGATTTTTTTTTTTTTTGCCTTGGAGAATAGAATGTACAGGTTATTTTTTAAGCTAAATAATTATGTTGTCCTATTTTTTTTTTTTGGATATAACAATGAGTCCTCTTTCTTGTAATCAAGATTTAGGGATTGAAGAAGGAAATCTTCACCATCAAAAGGAATTAATAGAAATGCGAGACTGAGAAATAGCTATGAGGATAGTGTTAAATATTGAAATATATGGCATAAAAACTTGTGATGACCTTTTTTTCTTTGAAAAGTGCATCAAACTGTAGTGTTGTTTTTGGGGTTTAGTTGGGTTCAATTTTCTATACACGTACAAGTTGAGATCTTGAGATTGCCAAAGCTTCACTAATTTGAGGTTAGTTTGGCCCCATCTTCTGCAGACTATATAGCTACAGAATCCAGTCTTCTTAGGAGAAGTGCTTAAAAGTTTTACCATATAAATACAATGTTTAGACTTGTTAGCTGATGTAAATTATCACATTTTTTCCTAACGACTACACTGACATTTATTTAGCATTGGCTTCAGCTTTTAAAATTTATATAATCATATATGCTAACAACTCACAAAGTTTTAAAACCTCTTGTACAAATTTCAAATCAGGATACATTAAACATAACATAAATATTATTTTTAGAATTATAACACCATTGCAAATATGCTCAAGTGAAAAACTGGCTGGGAATTTGCTTTCATGTATTTTGAAAATCTCAAGATTTATTTTTAGAAACTATAAAAAGCAAGGGGAAAATTATTGCCAGACACAAAAATAGAGAAAGACAAAATTACTACTTAGAAAAGATGCCATTGATTGTCATATTTACAAGTTCAAAACTGGGATCTACACCTAAATATATTCTAAGTTCAAAAATATTACAATCAAATCTTCCTGCTCTTTAACATAAGTGTGAGCATTTTCTAGCATCTGCTTGTGTGTTGTTACAGGGGTTTCATGTGCATTTATATATGGTCACCAAATCTAACCCTTAATGTACAGAGAAAGATATTTGCCTTTATAACCTTTTAAATCTTTTGAGCAATTCATTGTCTGAACAACATGATATTCCCCCATATGTGAGTTATATAAACCCAATTTAAATAGAAATGGAGAAAAACTCCAACACACTACCATAAGAAAGGCCGGCCGGGCGCGGTGGCTCACGCTTGTAATCCCAGCACTTTGGGAGGCCGAGGCGGGTGGATCATGAGGTCAGGAGATCGAGACCACGGTGAAACCCCGTCTCTACTAAAAATAAAAAAAAAATTAGCCGGGCGTGGTGGCGGGCGCCTGTAGTCCCAGCTACTCGGAGAGGCTGAGGCAGGAGAATGGCGTGAACCCGGGAGGCGGAGCTTGCAGTGAGCCGAGACTGCGCCACTGTACTCCAGCCTGGGTGACAGAGCGAGACTCCGTCTCAAAAAAAAAAAAAAAAAAAAAAAAAGGCCAATGTACAACACTTTTTAAATGAACTTACATTAAATAAAAAGCAAAGTAAGACTAGTCTACACATATTTAAAATGCTTCCACTTTGGATAAGCAATGTATCTGGTTCTACAGAGAAATGCAAAAGTAAGAAAAAATCATATTTAAGAAAGTGTTCAAGTGCTGCTTACATAAATCAGTATCTTCCATAGAAATAAGTTGATGCTAAAATGGGTTGGTGTGAAATGGTTAAAGGGCTATCTTTTTGTTGCCATGTGTAAATCATGGCACAAAATGTGCTTAGCATGGCTTTATGCAAAGGTAATTGCAAGGATTATATTTTACTATTGATTAATGGATTACTGTTCAGAGGCAATTTAATAATATAAAGCAAGGAGACAAGGAAGGAATAGTCAGTTGCTAATAGGAGAGAAAAAATAATGATTATGATCTTAATCTTATTGTCAAAGCCCTAATACTAGGGCTGTAGTAAAGTTTTGTGAAATGTTAACATACATAATTATATACATGTAAGAAGCTTAAGCCAATGCTAAATCAATGTCAACATTACTGTTACAATGCTAGAGGGTTTCTGTTGCAATTTCTTTTGCTGGACTCAAAAATCTGTACAATCCTTTGACACCTTTATTGACTCATACAGCTCTGAGAATATTGAGGTTGAACTGTTATTACTGCAGAATCAGATAATTTTAGCTGATCTTTCATTTCTTAACATAAAATTGTTCACTGGAAGAACTGTCAATAGAATGTTAACAAGGCAATGCTTCAAACTTTATCTTTCTTTCAAATTACTTGATGTTTCTCTTTTAAGTCACATAGGAGTTTCTGATTACCTACTTTAACATTCACATGTTTTATCTCACTTTTTAGAAAATTAAAATGGTTACAATTGAGTCAGAATGGGGCTGGACCAACACTCACAATTTCCAGGAAAGAAAAAAAATCCCTGCTGCCAGAAATTCTGTAAATGTCACAAGGATTCCACAAACCCTTTCTGTACCTCCCAGAGAAAAAGGATAGCCTTTTTTTTTATGGTTATTGTCAAGCAGAACACTGTGTATTGGTTATCAGTGCCAGAGGATGGCTTCAATGACATGCGGGGTAGCAAAGATCATTACTGTGCCAACCATCATAAGTAGAAGTTCACACACTTCTGCCCACTGCATCTTGGTATCAGAGTCGCCAAGGAAAACACTTTATTCACAGAAAAAAGGCAGAGCAACATCTGCTCCAAGAGTTTGTCATGGTCCCTAGTGGCTAGCACTCCACACTCTCATCCCTCACACCCCTCTGACCCCCTGCAGTTAGGCAGGGTAATTGGCTTATATGTACCCCTCTCCTCCCCACAATAGAAGGATCCCGACCCTCTCCCACAGATTCTGAAATACTAAAAGCTGGGGGGTGTGCATGCCTGAGGGATATTACCATACACATTTAAGCCAAACCAAAAAAACACTCACCGAGCCAGAAATAGAAAAAGATACCCCACACAAGGTGGTAAACCAGCACAGGCTGCATGGGCCCTTGATCTCTTGGCAACTAAGTATTTTGGGCCCAAAGCCCATTTGAATGTGGCCCAGCACAGATCAAAAGACTGCTCTTATGTGAGTGCCTTTCCACTAGTGATGAGCAGCATCACCTTGGAAAAATTTACTGATTTTTTTTCCATATTTATTAAGCATTACTTGACCAGATGATCGGTGCATTCAAAGTCTAGCTAAATTGTTCTAAAACCCCAAGTTTCTTGGCTCATATTATTTGGCATAGTTATGTCCTCCAAATGTTTGATTTCTCCTGAAATTTTGATCACTTGAAATGCTCTCTGACTTAAAAGTGATTCACATCACTCAGATCATCAATGTTACTGCCCCCGTATTCAACTGAACCTAATGTGGAAGAATGACATCCTTCACCTCATTCTATTTGGATCAGCAACATGCTTATATGTCATTTACTTTAGATTAGCTCTCTTCTTTCCTCCATTAGTTCTGCTGTACCAGATGGTATAGTGTAAGTGTGACTATTTGCCATTGGCACATTCTACACTCCCTTCTGATGACCAGATGTATCTTTTAGGCTTCAGTTCTCATAGGTCTGCATGTTGTTATTCTTTTCTTCATGTATACTGACTAGGTTAAGAGGTCAAAACCACAGAATTAGCAAGAGAGTTGTCCCTATTTTGTTATGGGGGGGAAGAGACCTTCAATGAAAAACAAACTTTATAGAGTAAATATCCAGATAGTTGATTTTTGTTGATCTGTTGACATATGCCTAGATAAGTCTTCAGTATTTTATTATCTCCCCTAATAGCATGGAAGTTGCACACCAACCCAAAACAAAATTTTAAAGCCTTGTCCTCCTTTGCCAGGGAAAGTTGTAAAATACAAGAAAAGAGAAAAACAACATTTACCCCCAAATGTAAAATTTTCAAGTTTGATTTCCAAAATATGGACAAAATATTGAATACATCTTATGTTTTGATATCACTTAGTTGTATGCTCATGTTGTTTTATGACTACATTTTAAGAAGGCAAAAATATGTATATTTTACAGGAAATTGGCTTTGTCTCTTCAATAATTATTTACATTTTCCTTTAAAGTGGAAGTGGACCGTTGTAAGTAAAAGGAATTTCTCATACATAAAGAACAGGGGCAGCAGGTGGTCCTGAATTGGAATGTGTCTGATACAACTTATTCAAAGTGTTTTTGGTGCGGATTTTATGTAAATAACAAAAAATATACTGATAGAGAAGAATGTGAAATCAAGAGATGGTTCATGTAAGATGAAATAAATGGTTCACATGTTCCTGTAAATTACTGCATAGAAAGGAAACCGTGGAACATTTGGATGAGAGAGGGAAAATAGCTAAAAGGATGTTCTTAAACAGGCAAGAGGGATCTGATGCATATGTGAAGGGCATGGCCTTAGACTGGGGAATGGAAAGATCATTCTGAAGGAACAGGAGGGAAGATGAAGTTATGAGCTCCATGGAAATAAATTTATGGATGTGGTGGTGGAAATTCAGAGAATTTCTCTTCTGATTTTTTTTATTGAAAGAGAAAATTATAATCACCATCTGGATACATAGATGGGGAAGAAAATATTGGACGTTAGAAGAGAGAAAGGCAGTTATTTGGGAGAATGGTAGAATGAACAGATATGGAAATGTTATAGGACTTTTGGAAAACACCTAAAGCCTGACACGAGGTTAATGATCCTGAATTTCAAATGATTAGATAATGTTCAACAGATGGCCATACTCAAAAAATAGGTGATGGGTTACAATTTAGATATAAAGACCATGCAAAACTCAAATAGGCAGACTCATGCTTAGGAAGATGGTCTTTGCCTTGACTCAAAGGAGTGGCAAATCAATGCCGATATATATGCTTTAATTAAAACCTTTAAATACAGCTGCATTTTCCGTACTTATTGTTTTAATTAAATTTATCAGTTAATGATTATATACTATTGAGAATTTCCTTAAATAAATTTACAAGCTTCAGGAACATCCAAGATATACAAGTTTAAAATGTAAGAATCAAGTGTAGTTAAGAAGGATTTTTAAATGGTTAATCAGAGACATATATGAGTGCTCAAGACAGTCCTCATCTACCTTTTTTTTTTTTTTTTTGAAATGGAGTCTTGCTCTGTTGCCCAGGCTGGAGTGTAGTGGCATAATCTCAGCTCACTGCAATCTGCGCCCCTTGGGTTCAAGCAATCCTGAGTAGTTGGGATTACAGGCGCACACCACCACATCTGTCTAATTTTTGTGTTTTTAGTAGAGACAGGGTTTCACCATGTTGGCCAGGCTGGTCTCAAACTCCTGACCTCGTGATCTGCCCACCTCAGCCTCCCAAAGTGCTGGGATTACAGGCTTGAGACACCACGCCTGGCCAGGCCTCATCTAGTTTACAATTTTGTCCTGATATAATCCTCTTGATACAGAGTTGTTACCAAAGATTTGTGGTTATAGTATCTGAGAAATTATTATAGTGAGTAACAGCTTAAGATATTTAGACTATCCATTAGTAAAATTATGTATAGATGCTCCTTGACTACAATGGGTTACATCCCAAAAACCTGTCATACGTTAAACAATCATAAAATTTAGTTTAATATTTAATACACCTAACATACAAATATCATAGCTTAGCCTACTCTACCGTAAACGTGCTTAACTTAAACTAATGTAAATACACTTACACTTAAACTCTACCTTAAACTAATGTAAGTACACTTACATTAGTCTACCACTGAGTAAAATCATCTGGCAACATGGTATACTGTTGGGTATTGGCTGTTCTTGCTCATAATTGCATGACGGGGAGCTATGGCTCACTGCTGCTGTCCAGCAACCTGAGACTATTGTTCAGCCTACTGCTAGCTCAGGAAAGGCTCAAAATTTGAAATATGGTTTTTAATAAATATCTTAAATTTTTTCCCGAAAAACTGTAAGTTGAACCATTATAAGTCGGGGATTGTCTATATAGCTGTGGTATAGTAAAACCAATTACTATCATTTAAATTAAGCAGACACAAGATAGCAAGATAGCATCTAGTTTTACATTTTTTAAGGGACTCTTCCAAGGCAGCTTGGGACAGTGTAATAGAATACAGATATCTCCTTTCAAAACTTTGACTTTACAAAACATAACTTTAACCCATCTGCAAATGAAATGGCTAGCCATAAAGTCAACTGGTGGAAAAAAGGATAAATTGGTTCAGTGAATTTAAATGCATTTTTAAGTATATTAAAACCTACTGTCAAGGTGTATATAGATGAAGTATGGACAGGTATAGGCCCCATTTATGATTCTTATATAATTTAAAGCATGAGAACCAAAACAGAAAGACAGTTTAACAACTTTCCTATATACATTAAAATTACTATAAAAATACCATAATTTTGAAAGAATAAATCATTTCAGGAAGAAAGAATAAAGGTGCACATATTCCCATCCCTTAGGAGTCCTCAAACATCCAATTATACTACCTCCTACTAGGAGGATAAAGATATAAAACAAAGAAA
Source organism: Homo sapiens (assembly GCF_000001405.40). Taxonomy (NCBI): domain Eukaryota; kingdom Metazoa; phylum Chordata; class Mammalia; order Primates; family Hominidae; genus Homo; species Homo sapiens. The sequence goes on along the minus strand of NC_000012.12, from coordinate 83,626,650 downwards.
TAATGCCCGGCCTATATAATTTACAGTCAAATGTTAACAAATGTACAATGGTGAGAAAAAATTTTCAGATAAAATATGAGTACAATATAATGCCATATGGCAAGTGTACTTTACTGCACAGATGGCTCATAGAAACTTAATGAAGATTGTTTGGAGATTTACTGTACACACATAAGCTAGGGTCTTTAAAATTAGACAATACAAGGGAGGAAGTTTAACAGTCAAATGAATAAAATAGGTGTAGAAAAATGTGCTATGATAAAGGAAATGAGAGGTGATGTCAGGAAAAGAAGAATTATAATAATTTGAAATATTTTATTACAATAATTTGAAAACATTTTGTTCTTAAATAATAACAACCCATATTACTATGACTTAAGGTTGAGAATACTGAGGATATTATAATGGATAAAAGCAAATAAAAATTAATAAGAGTAATCAATTCAGATTAAATTAATACATTACTACCCATGATATGATCACTCTGAATCGCTTAAGGGTGACACAGATTTATTTTAATAACATTGGCTATATTGCTTCAAATATGTGGTAGAAGTTTTATTGTCTTAAAGACATTTGTCTTTTAATTAACTGCCTTGAGAAAGGAAGAAATGTGTTCTATTTAAGATGATAAAGCAGTACAAAAAGTCCCTAATGAAGATCATAGATAATTTCCTAGTGATTAATGAGGCAGTTGGACACTGAGGCATCCTATTTCAGGTCCTCTTATAAAAAGTACCTTTAGAGTTTTTTTAATTCATTAAAAATGATATAGTACATTGCATTTGCTTCATTATTTATGTCATCAATTTCAAATCATATTATGTATTCAGGCATTTGTATTTAATAGTTATATGGCTAACAAATGCCTCTAAAATACGTTTTGTTGTCTGTGCACAAATCAAAATTTATTTCAAACTTATTTTGTAGTTAATGTACATAAAGCCAGATATATAAAGAATTTAACTTGGTAGAAAAGGCCAATATATAAGGTTAATACTTTATTAGTTTAACATTGATAAATTTAATGCAAATATATTCATAAGAAATTAAAGAGTTAAGAAGTAACTCTTTAAAAGAAAAGCAATAGTCACTTTCCTGATACACTTCACTCACCCACCTAACCATTTCACAATCCATTTTCCATAGGTAACAACTATTAACTTTGTCTTATGTATACTTTAAGAGATATTTTTATTCACAGGAAAGTACTGTGCGTGTGTGTGTGTGTGTGTGTGTGTGCGCGCGCGCGCACGCGCATGCGTGTATTTGGGTGTATACATATATACACACTTTGAATATAAAAAATTTTCAATTGCTGTATTTTACACTACTGTTATATCATAATTAGTTTATTTTTATAAATAGGGATTTTTTTGTATAACCATTTTTATAGATTGGCCCAGTTTTACACTGTTATAAAGAATGCTGTAATGAACATCTTGGTATTAGTATCTTTGGATTCTTTTGTGGTCAAGTACTTTAGATGGAATTTTTCAAATATTATGTACTTATATACAATGCTAAACTGACTTCTAAGATGACTATACCAATTTACATTCCTATCATTTTCCCATATCCTTACAGTTCCCTCTCGTCCACTCTCCAATCAGTTTTCCACGGAACACAGTGATCACTTTAAAATATAAGTCTCTTATTGCTCTGCATAAAATCATCAAATCTTTCTTGCTATATTAACCTGCTTAGAGTGCCATAACAGAACACCACAGACTGGGTGAGTTAAACAATAGAAATTTATTTTCTCACAGTTCTGGGGCTGAAAGTCCAAGAACAAGGTGCCGGCAGGAATGGTTTCTGGTGAGGCCTCTCCCCTTGTAGATGGCTGCTTTCTCACTGTGTCCTCACATGGCCTTTCCTCTGTGCACTGACTGTGAGAGGGTGTGAGGGAGTAGGGGAGAGAGGCACAGAGAGGGAAAAAGGATAGTTCTTACAGGGAGACTAATTCTATAGACTTAGGACCCCACTCTTATGACCTCCTTTAACCGTAATTACCTCCTTAAATGCCCCATCTCCAAATCACATTGGTCACATTGGGAATTAGGAATTCAACAGATCAACTTTGGGGGGACAAAATTCAGTCCATAACAACTGCTGACATTCAAGCAAGATGCACACTTCTTACCATGTCAGACATGTATGATTCCAACTGAATGAACTGGCCCTTATTACCTCCCTTAACTTATGCCTTCTATTCTTCCTCACACTTCAGGAACATTGGACTTAAGCTAGCAGAACTTCTATACTCTCTACATGGTAGGATTTTTACTTAATTAGGCCTTTACAAATGTTCCATTACCTGGAATACCCACCTACTCGACCAACCCCACCTGCAACACAACTTTCTCTGTGGTTACTTAGAGTTCATGCTTCAAGCCTCACTTTAAAAGCAGCTCCTCGGGGTAAATTTGCCTAGCCATCCTAAGCAGGTACTTCTCTTGTCTTCTCTTCTAACTTCATTGTCTTTGCTTTAAAATAATCCACAATGTTTTTTGTTTGTTTGTTTGTTTGTTTTTGTTTTTTGACACGGAGTCTCACTCTCTCACCCAGGCTGGAGTGCAATAGTATGATCTCAGCTCACTGCAACCTCTGCCTCCCAGGTTCAAGCGACTCTCCTGCCTCAGCCTCCTGAGTAGCTGGGATTACAGGCCACCATGCCTGGCTAATTTTTGTATTTTTATTAGAGACAGGGTTTCACCATGTTGGTCAGGCTGGTCTCGAACTCCTGACCTCATGATCTGCCTGCCTCAGCCTCCCAAAGTGCTGGGATTACAGGCATGAGCCAATGTGCCCAGCCAATTCAGATATTTTTATTGCATAATCATTCTATTTAATATTTCAACATCCCATGTGTACTAGTTTTCTATTTGTGCTATAACAGATTTCTACAAACTTGCAGGTAAACACGAATTTATTTTACACTTTTGAAGGCTGAGAGTCCAAAATGTGTCTTATGGGACTAAATTTAAGGCACCTGCAGTGAAGGCTTCAAGCGAGAATGTTTCATCTTTTGCAGCTTCAAGAGGCTACTACATTCATTGGCTAGTGGCTTCTTTCATCTTCAAAGCTCATCTCTCCAACTTCTGACTCCCTCTTATAAAGAACACTTATGATTACATTGGGTCCACCCAGATATTCTAACATAATACCCCCATCTCTAGATACTTAACTTATTCACATTTACAAATTCTCTTTTACCATGGAAAGTAGAATATTCACAGGTTCCAGGGATTTGGGCATGGATATCTTTGGGGGTCCATTATTTAGTTTATAACACCACTCTAGACTTAAAGTTCCCTCATATATTTTGTTCACAGTTGTATTTCTTGTACTATTTTGTTGAATAGCTGATTGGCTAAGCTAATGCTCGGCAATGTTGGATCATATTGTTAATATTAGTTTTTTGCCAATGTGAATAATGAAAAAAGAGATGTCTAAATAATTTTTTATTTGCATTTGCCTCATTATTGAAGAGAAAAGCATATTTTTGCTCTTTACTGGAGGAGACAGTAATTTTTATTTCTTCAAGCTGCTTGTTCATATTCTTTTCTTTAATATCCTTGGGCTCCTTGCCATTTTTAATTATTTTAACAGCTTTTGTATATTAAGAAAACTTGTCCTTGTTCAAAATGGGACAAATATTTTTTGCTAGCTGTCTTTTCACTTAAGGTTTTTTTGCTTTTTTTGTTTTTTGCCAGAAGCATTGTGTACTTATAATAAAATTCCTATCTTCTGAAAGTTATAACCATTATATTTTGTATGTTAAGGTTACCATAAATCCCTTATCTGTTTTTCTTCACTTTTACTTTTAATATTTAATTTTTTTTATTTTTTAGTTTTTGAGATAGAGTCTCGCTGTGTCCCAGGCTGGAGTGCAGTGGCACAATCTTTGCTCACTGCAACTTCTACCTCCTGGGTACAAGCAATTCTCCTGCCTCAGCTTCCCAAGTAGCTGGGATTACAGGCACACACCACCATGCCCAGCTAACTTTTGTATTTTTAGTAGAGATAGGGTTTCACCAAGTTGGCAATTTCCCTGTATTTTTCCCCAGGGGCCTTTGATTTTTTATTCCCTTTTTTTTTGTTATACATGGGAATAGATATATTAAATTACTTATGATTATTGCTCATATACAAATGGGAGCAGTTTTATTCATCCTGATTTTTAAGACAAGCTGAGTCATCTTCAATTTAAATATGTAGTTTAGAAAATATTTCCCTCTGATCTTACCCACCCTAGGGAGGACTTACTACTCAGTTTTTAACGTTCACATTTTCTAATTATTCATTTTCTGTGTAAGAGGTCATCATACTTATGGCAGGCTTATAAGGAATTCCCAAAATATATCTCTCCCCTGATCCCTGAATCTAGTGAATGTTTGAGAAAAAAGATTGCAGATGAAATTAAGGATTTTGAGATTAGGACACTATCCTTGATTAAGTAGGTGGGTACTAAGTGCCTTCATACATCCTGATAAAGGGACTACAAAGGGAGATTTTACACACACACACATGAAGGTTGTTTGAAAGTGAAAGCAGAGACAGGTTGTGCAGCTACATGCCAAGGAATACTGGCAACACCAGAAGCTGAAAGAGGAAAGGGGTAGATTTTCCCCTAAAACCTCTAGAGAGAGTATGATCCTGTCAACACTTGAATTTCAGAGTTCTGGACTCCAGAGCTGTGAGAAAACTTTTGTTGTCTTAAGTTACACTTTTTGTGGTAACTTATTACGCATCCACAATAAACTAATACAGTTCTCTACCTAGAAATTACTTCTTTTGGTGATTTAATGCTCATGTTTCTCTGATCAGCTGACTTCCAAGGCTGATTGCAAGTGTCTTTCTCTTCTGCCCCTCTTACCTTTAGCCTCCTTCTTATGGATAATAATCACATAAAACACTTAGATAGTGTATGTGTAGAAGTCCCATTTCTTGACTTTAGCTACAGTGATTTTAGCTGCTTCACCTGGAACTAACCTTCTATGTGACTAATTCTTAAAAAATAGTTTCTTCAAAATGTCCATAATTCAATTACTTTTATGAAAACTTCTGGTTTACTAGAGATCAAGGTAAACTAAATTTTTATACTGATAAAATCGAGCACCTTATCTGCATATTGTTTTAACCAAAAAAAAAGGTATCACAATACTCTGTCTTGAGGGGAAGAATTATGGATATAGATACTTGAAATCTATAACTACTGCAATTATTAAAGCAGCAGCATTCCCTAATATCTCCTACGTACACTGCCACTGAAAAAACTAGCTATCTACAAAATGGGTTGGAAAACTGCAGCTGGTAGGCCAAATTTGGACCACTGCCTGTTTTGGTAAATAATGTTTGATTGGTACACAGCTACACACAGTTACTTACATACTTTATATGGCTGTTTTTAACAGAAAAAATGAGTAACTGTGACAGAGACCCTCTACCCTACAAAGTCTATAGTATTCGTTATCTGATCCTTTACAAAAAAAGTTTGCTGACCCCTGATCTACAAAAAGAAGGTAAAAAGAAATGTGATAGAAACTGTACAAAGATACTTTTCTTGGTCTTTCGAGCTCTAAAATTTCTGTCCAGATTTGCAGGAAGTTTATTATTTATTTTTAATAGATCATTACAGATAGTTTGTAAACATCTTGGATGGAAACACATTTATATTGGTATTGCATTTGAATGAAATTTTGAGAAAAAATGAGTATAGCTGAAATGTGCAAATGTATCTGGGATCTAAATGAATGAATACATTTGGAAACACCAATCCCAAAATATTTCTCTCTACAAAAAATATAAATAGCTCAAATACAAGCATGTATCTGAGACTTTCTTAAAGTTATTTGGTCTTTTTAACAAAAAAAATCCTATTTCAAGTGGAATACATTATTTTTTTAAAATAAATGATAGAATTGTTTACAAATATATCAATGGAAATGACAAAATAAATTTGCTGTTTTAGGAAGCAGAACATTTATTTTTTTACTGTTAAATTTATAATTTATTTTTCTGCATGTGAAAAAAAGAAATAAGAATAAAATCCACATATTCTTCATTATTAGAGAGCCAGGCATTGCATGCACAGTTTACAAGAGCAAAACAACAAAACACCAAAACAATCCCAAAACATGGGTATCAGATTTGTGTTTCTAACATTGAAAATAGAAGGCACCTTCAGGTTGCTTGCAAGGATTTCTATGTCGATTTCATATCAAAAACTCAGAAATGCTTAGATTGCTAATATACACTTGAGTATATGTAGCACAGCTGAAAATGTTATCACAAATTGCAAGTAGGATTAAAAATGTTTAAAATATACTTCATGTCTGATAAAGAAATGAAAAGAACCATTTACCTATGTGTTAGTAAAGATACATCATTCTTTTGTAAGTTGCAAAAATCCAACTCAAACTGCTTTAACAACAACAAAAAAAGGCATTTACTGACATGTAATATAAAATGCTAGAATTTAGATGAGGTCATCAGAATTTGGATTTTCTCCAAACCTGTCTCTTCTTTTCTCTGTGTTAGTTTTATTATGCCCCAGTTAGGGTCCTTGGTCACTGTGGCCTCCTAGCTTCAGAGTATAAGAAAGTATATCTTCCCCAGTACTTCTAGAAATGGTTGCCAGAGACTATAATTCTATCAATTCCTAAATAAAACAATTAAAATACTCAATATGGTTAAAGCCCAATAAATTGTATTGTTAATAGAGTATAAAATAATAAAACTATTTAAGAGAGCAATTTGCTGATATTTAGAGGCAGGCAGTATACCATAAGAGACATGAATAAACATTTAGAAGTCAAATAGTATCTCTAAATTTAAGAATCTGTGGCCAAAATACCTAATTTCTGGAACATAACATAAGGAAATAATGAAAATAGGAACATGTTATTTATCAAGAAGTTAAAACCTTACTTATAATTTCAAAACATGGAAACCACTAAAATATTCAGCAATATTAACACTTAAAACTGGGTGCATTGGTGTGGGTCTGTAGTCCCAGCTACTCGGAGGCAGGAGGATTGTTTGAGCCCAGGATTTTGAGGACAGCCTGGGCAACATAGTGAGACATTGCCTCCATTAAACAATAAATAGCACTTAAAGTTGTGGTATATGCTTTGAAAAAAGTATATCATTAATTTTCCAAATTTGTATTTTACTATGACACACACACATCTCATATCATTACCCTTTTACCCAGTTCTGTGGTGTTATATCTTTCATTAATCCCCCTCCTTGCTTATAATTTTTTATATTGAGTTTATCAAATGGTTTTCTGGAGATGGTTTTGTATTTAATAGTAGAATACGTTAAGAGATGCTTTTCCCTTTGAGTGTATGAAGTGCTTTTCCAATATCTTTCCTCATGCCCCAGAGCACTTTTCACGGGTGAGTTCTATGATGTTTGTATTGCTTTTTCTCTTCACTGATCATCAGTTAAGAAAACAACTGTCTAGAAGTAGTGTTTACCAGCAGAAGGGCCCATAAATTTTTCTTGATCTCAATCTCACTTCATTTGTATGGTGGTCTTTTTGTAGATAAAATGCAAATTAAATTCCCCCAGTCTAAATCTTCATCTTTAACTAGATTTAATCAGCTTTGCCCCTACTCAGGTGGTATTTTACTTCTGTCTTATGATTTTCTTCTGTTATAGACAGATATAGTATACGACAAAATACAATTCCTAGCACACTCTACTATCAAAGTATTCATGGGGCGCACTTATCTAAAGAAAGTCTTGTGTTCCTGGTGCCTACATTTCTTAGATTTTCCTGAACTACACATCAGTTCCTCTCACCAATTCAAACCTCCCGCTAATTCTGTTTTTGTTTTAATCTGAAGTCTCTGCCTGCAGCATTCCTTGCAGGGATGGCTGAAAAAAATATAGTGTAAAGAATATACCATCCTCTTCACCAAATAACTATTGAGAACTAAGAAGAAATACTTTGTGTCCCTAAATCAGAATTTGTTTCCCAGCCTTGCACATTTCTAGGTAATCTCTGTGCATTAGTCTGTTTTTACTGTTAAATAAGCTACTCAATATTTCAGTGACTTAGAGCAACATCATTCATTTTGCTTTCTCCTTGATCTGTTGGTCAACTGGAGAGACTTTGCTTCAGGTATGCTCCATGTGTCTCCTCCCCTGCTTGGACATGCCATCCTTGTGTAGAGTGGTATGAGTAAAAATGGAGCAATTGTAAATACAGTATGTGCTGTAGTTAGAATGTTCATCCCTCAAACATTATGTTGAAATTTGATTCCTAGTGGTGGAGGTGAGGCTTAATGGGAGGTGTTTGAGTCATGGAGGCAGATCCCTCATGAATGGCTTGGTGCTGTACTCACAGTAATAAGTGTGTTTTCAGTCTGTTGTTTCCATGAGATCTGTTTTTTAGAAAAAGCTGGGCATCTCCCCTCTCACTATTTTGCTTCCTCTTTCGCCATGTAATCTCTGCCATGTGGGCTTTGCTTCATCTTTTACCATGAGTAGAAGCATCCTGAAGCCCTCAGCAAAAGCAGATACTAGTGCCATTCTTCTTGTACAGCCTGCAGAACCATGAGCCAAATAAACTTCTTACTCTTTATCAATTACTCAGTTTTAGGAATTCCTTTAGAGCAACACAAATAGATGAAGACAATGTGCTTCTTAAAATCTTGGCTTGGAAGTACTATACTGTCCCATCTGTACACATTCCTTTGGCCAAAGCAAGTTATATTGCCAAGTTCGAAATAAATTGGGCACGAAAACATACTTTGCTCACTCTAGTAAGAACTACCTGCTGCAAAGTCAAATGAGAGAGTGCCTCACTTAATTTTATTATAGAAAAGGAGTAAAGAATTGGTTTAAAAAGTGTAATGTTAGCATCTTCTACACTTTTCATGAGGCAAACTCTAGGTTCATCTTGTGTTGAAATATAAGCAGGTCTTATTAACAAGTTCAATGTGCTTTATAATTCATGTCAATTCTTTCTACACTCTCTCATTGTTATGTCAGTCTGAGCTTTTGTGCTGTAAATTTTGATTTGCTTTCTGTCTCCAATAACATGTTACTGAAAAATTGAATGAGACTGTGTTGGAGCTTGTTAAACAGTCATCAGCTTGAACCAATGACCCGTATACTGCTTTGTTTTTTAAACTAGAACTGACGTAGACGTCTGTTTAAAGATAAAAATGATTTTCAAGTTATGTGTTAAAATCCATAATTTCTAACCCTACTGACGGTACAAAGAAGTTGTGGGAAGTGAGATGAGCTTGAATCATCTCTCAGCTTCAGTAGTCTTATCTGTAAAGAGAGAGAATTGGAGTTACTGTATTCAAACATTGTAGAATTCCATATTCCTCAATAGTGTACTTCACAGAATACTTTTATATTCTCCAATTATTTTAATCACACAAACAAAAAACATTTTCTTCTTTCCAGACTATAGCTTGGGAAAAACATATTTCATCAGTCACTTTAGTTATTAAAATTTAGTTCAGTACATTTTAAAATTCTAATCTCCAGTCTGATTTAAAATCATCCTCTCTGACTGGGAAGAGGCAGAACAGAATTTTCTCAGGTATGTCTTGATAAAGGTGTGGGTTAAATAGATGTTTGCATTTGTCAAATCAACAAATGGACATTTATAATTTCAGCATTTTTTGTTATGTAAATTTTACCTTAAAAGGGCTACAATTTTGGATTAGGAGATTTGCTTTTGTAAGATGGCAGAACATGCCACTCCAAAATATGTCACTTTGACATAATTACTACATGTAAAGGCAACTTGAAAAACAGCAGATGCAAGGAGGGCATTCTAATTGTCCCTTTTCTTCCCAAAACAGAAGATAAAAATTCCTATGTGAAAGATGTCCTCCTTGTTCCAGGAAAAAGGAAACATTCTTCCATCAGAAATTACAGCAGAGGAAATTCTGTACAGACAGACCTTGTTGAAATAATTATCTTCCTTTGGCTCCAGTGTAATTGAGTTACTTTTCCATAATGGTCTTTCTTTGTACAACCTAACACAAAGCATATAGGTTTAGCATCTTCTTTGGGTCCTCATTTTCCTATGAATGCTCCTTTGTCTATAAGACATTAAATTTGTATGATTTTCTCCTGTTAATCAGTCAAATGTCAATTTACTTTTCCAGGCCAGTCAGGACCCTAAGAGGGTGAATGTAATTTTGAAAACTTGAGGGAGCCAAAATGGCATGATTTATCAATTTCCAAACTACATTTGTTTTATATTTACCAAATAAATATACTAAAGATAAGGAGAGAGAGGGAGAACATATTTGAATATTCCTTAGCTTTGTCCACTGAAGGGGCTTAATAACAATGGCATATCAGTAACAATAAGCATATTCAGAATCCAAATTTGGCTCTCTAAAAGACATTCCCGACTAAGGGAAAAAAGGACTCTTGGAAAAAAGACTGATTAGTGGCCAAAGAATGTTGAGAGCAATAAAAAGTACATGGATGTCAGCTTGAAGGTACTCAAATTGGCCAAAGATCTTTAGAATATCAAAATAGTACCAGTAAAGAGTTAAAACTCATTGAATGAAACAAGGACCCCTGAAGCCATGCAGGTATAAATAAGAGTTGTTCCTTGCATTAGAATGCCAAACAATAACCATAGAAGAAATGGCGTTATCAATGAATGTTAAAATGACTGAAGGCACAAATGTGACATGGAATACAATATTTACAGAGTTTCAAAATATCTTTCCATGCATTACTCAGTAATTTCACAGGAGAAAACCTTTGCAGATAACATTTTTAACCACCTGATCAAATTAATATCACCAATATTTGACAAATTATCATGTGCTTCTTCTATGAGGCCTTCCACAGGACACAATATCCCTTCTGTGATATTCCTGCCAAAAATGTAATCATGAGTAAATATCAAACCCATATTAAAAGGTATTCTACAAGATAACTAATGGAAATTTAAATATATATATATATATTTTTTAAGAATTCTGACAAACTATACCAGATTAAAGGCATATAACAAATAAATGCCTTGTGTGATCCTGCATTAGATCCTCTACTGAGAAAATGAAAATAAAATTAAGGGCATTATTAAGACAACTAATGAAACTTTAATACAGACAGTAAAGGAGAAAATAATATTGTAGCAATGTTAAATTGCTGATTTTGGTAATTATACAGTTATGTAAGAGAATATTTTTGTCCTTAATGTTATTGAAACACTGGGGTTTGGCCTTGGTCCTGCTGCTCTCTGTACAGAAAGCCAGTCACTGAGATGACAAGTATTGTCAAGGAAAAAGGCTTTAATCGGGTGCTTCAGCCAAGGAGATGGGAGTTCAGTCTTAAATCCAACTCCCTGACAGACTAAAACTAGGTTTTTATATAGCAGGGAAGATATGTAACAATGTGTAAGAAAACAGAAACTTAGGAGGGGCAAGGAAGCAATTATGATAAATGAGGGGTCCAGCATCTCACTGTCATGATGTGGTGAATTGGTGAGTTTCAATTCTTTCTTTGATACTTTTTTGAGAGGCCTCTGAAGGTCCTTTCCTTAGGAACTTAGAGAAAACAAATACAACTTTAAAGCTTTAACAGAATGGTCAATTTTCTTTTTTTTTTTTTTTTTTGAGATGGAGTCTTGCTCTGTTGCCCAGACTGGAGTGCAGTGGTGTGATCTTGGCTTACTGCAACTTCTGCCTCCCAGGTTCAAGTGATTATCCTACCTCAGCCTCCCAAGTAGCTGGGACTACAGGCACATGCCACCATGCCCAGCTAATTTTTGTATTTTTAGTAGAGTCAGGGTTTCACCATGTTGGCCAGGATGGTCTCGATCTCTTGATATTGTGATCTGCCTGCCTCGGCCTCCCAAAGTGCTAGGATTACAGGCGTGAGCCACCACACCCGTCCTAGAAGGGCCAATTTCTATCTTTATTCAAAAACTGTCTATGAGACTTTTGGGCCCATTTCATAAAAAGATACAAACTGAAGGATTTATAAACAAAAGAGCAAATCTCCAATTTACACACATACACATATGCACATTTATTCCCTTCTCCATCTTAGGCAAAATCTATGCCTTAAGGGACTTGCAGTAGGAACAAAAGCATGACCTATACTTTTATTCCTTCTTTTCTCTGCAACTGGCAAGGAATAGTCAGAATGAAGGATGTGGTTGATGGTTGAGTGTGGCACCTCTCACTGTACGGCCTCTTAATAAATCCTGAAGAAAAAAATGTCTCCAATTATTTGTTGCTATCTTTAGAATGCCTCTGTTTTCAGCTGGAGACTTACTCATGAAAAATCCTATTTAGGACTCTGTGATACTAGCTTTTATCTCTAACAGTCAAACATGAAATTGTATTCTGATTTGTAAAATGCAGAATATTTACAAAATTGAACTCACTCTATGCCCTGACCCTAATGTAAACATCATTCCACACTCTTATATGTGGATGATCAAATTGTTATCCTTGGAACTAGAAATATGACATGACATCTAAGTTATATAACCTTAAAAACAACTAAATCACTTGAAATCTTTTTAAACTATCAATATCTAAGCTTTATTTTAAAAAAACGTACTTAGGTCTGATATCTCTGAGTCAATTAACTTTGTTGCTAGAAATCTTTAAGGGTATGAGTCCAAGTTTCTGCTGCTCTACACACCAGTTAAATTTCCCAGATACACTTATGGTCCTTGGAGAGCTATTCTCTAAAAAGTATTGCCAAGTAGGAAGAAAATTTAAGGAGTTGCTGAAGTGTGGTGTCAGAGAACTCTAGATAAACAAGAAAAACAAAGATTTATAGAGTAACTGTAGAAAGAGAATATGTGGGTGTGAAAAATAAAATTGGCTTCTGAGGTTTTACTACAAATATATCGCCATTGGTTTTTCTAGAGAGGAGGCAGAAAATTGCCTGATGACAGTAAAATGAGTGCAGATTGAAAGCAGAGAACGTGTAAGAGACCAGAATGACCCCCAAATTTAACTTAATCTCATTCATAATGTTTATATAGCTGTGAACCAGCCACCCACTTACCAACTTCATTTTCCTTTTGTAACTGGATAATATATGTCATATACACATAGAATTAGAATATGTGACTTTAAGTAGAAGAAAACATTGTTTGGCTTATGTACCAAGAATACAAATTAATGGTTCTCTGAAATACTTATGTAATCATCCAGTATATAATAAACAATGGCTACTATTAAGACAAAATATCCTAGAGAAAAACATTAACCATTTAGCCAAGCAAACTACCATCTGCTTTGAACTCTGCCATTTATAATTTCCAAGACCCCAGCTCTGTGTTTTGGTATCCTTATTTGTAAAATAAGAACATTTTCAGGATTATTCCTATAATTTCCAACAACTCTTTCTGATTGATTCCAAATTTATAATCATTTAAAAGATATTTTATATATGTATTTGATATCTAAACTATGGATTCCAAATATATATAGGAAATTATAATTTAAAGGATTATATCAATGTTATACTTATTTTGCTAATTTTTCTATGATTAAGAGAATGTCCTTGTTAAGAATTATAAAATATTCAGAATTAAATAAACAAGTTAGCTCCAAGTTTCAAGTTCTTTAGAAAAAGATGTATATACACACAATCACATACTGATTGAGAAAGTTGATGAAGTTAGAGCAAAACATAGGCAATTGGGGAACCTGAGTAAGGAGTATACCACAGTGCCTTGTACTGCTATTTTTCTAACTTTAAAGTATATCAGAACTAAAAATTACATGTTGGGGTTGATTGTATCATTATTCACAATAGCCAAGATATGGAAATAATCTAAATGTCCATCCACAAATAGATAAAATGTAGTTGGTCTACACACATACTCACACACACAAAATGGATCATTATCCACCCTTAAACAAGAAGGAAATCCTGCAATTTGTGACCACATAGATTAACTTGGAGGACATTATGCTAGGTAAAATAAACCACAGAAAAACTACCGCATGATTTCACTTATCTGTGGAATTTAAAATAGTTAAACTTATAAAAGCAAATAATAGAATTGTGGTTGCCAGAGGAAGAGGAGATGTTGGTCCGAGGTAAAGGAGTTAAAAATATACCACTGTGACATATTGACTATTTTGAATTAAAGGCTCTTGGAAAATAGCAGAAAAAAGTTTATTCTGATCTTCCTTCTGTTTCTTAAAAGCAGATAAGAAAGGTATTCCCTCTATACTAGAAGTAAAGCAACATTTTTATCAGGAACAGGAAGTTGAGACCAGGAGAATTCTGTACAGACCTTGTTAAAATAACTCATCTTTTAAGCCTCCCCCCATAATTTAGTTGCTTTTTCACAACTTACTAATGTTTGCTCAATTTAATATATAAGTGACTCTACTTCTTAATTTCTTTCATGAAGGCTCCTGTCTCACATGAAACTTGAAATACATTTGAATGCTTTTCTTCTTTTGATCTGTCATGTCAATTTAGTTCTCAGCCAAGCTAAAAAGAAAGCCAAAAAGGAAAGATGTAAAATTCTGCCTTGCTCCCCTACAAATGTTGCCAAATTTCAGTTGTGTAAGGTGAAGAATTCCTGAGATCTAATGTACAGCATGATGACTACAGTCAGCCATATTGTATACTTGAAATTTTCTATGACCAAATCTTGTGTTTTTACCATAAAGAAAAAGAACTATGTGATTTGATTGATGTTAATTAGCTTCACTGTGAAGCTAATTATTCATGATTATTTCATGGCGTACACATATCATAACATTAACTTGTATACCTTAAATGTATGTAATTCCTATTTGTCAATTATACCTTGAAGTTAAAAAAATAAATACTAGATACAAATAAAGACTAGGGGAGCTGATAGCTGCTGCAACAGAAAATTATGAAACCCTTCCTATAGCTACAGCTGTCTTTGTTCTCAACCTAGGAGCCAGCCTTTTTTTTATTGCTCTTGTTGCCCAAGCTGGAGTTCAATAGTGTTATCTCAGCCCACTGCAACCTCTGCCTCTCAGGTACAAGCTATTCTGTCTCAACCTCCCAAGTAGCTCGGATTACAGGCATGCACCACCACAACCAACTAATTTTTTTGTATTTAGTAGTGATGGGGTTTCACCATGTTAGGCTGGTCACAAACTCCTGCCCTCAGGTGATCCACCCACCTTGGCTTCCCAAAGTGCTGGGATTACAGACGTGTGCCACCAGCCTGGCTGGAGCCAGCCATTTAAAGGAGTATCTGGGTCCTCTTGATGAAGGAACCTGCAACATCTAATAAGTATATATAGTACTAATTACTCTAGCATTTCACCAAAGAGACCTATAGCAATTTACCAGAGTAACTGTCTCTGTGGAAAAGAGACTGACCAATTTTTCAAGGGCTATTGCTATAGGGTATAAACTGACATTGATATATTAGAGAACTCACATGCCACCATGGCTCCCTAATAGATTTAAGCTGGATGAAGACCAAGTCTTTTTCTCTCTCTAGATTCAATTCATCTATAGACCTTTCCTGTGATTTTTTCCTATTTCTGAGTGCTAAATTGAGACAGATGTACTAAACAGCTGTTGGCGCTGTCTCATTAATTGCCTGAACTGTGGATTAAGAGCTATCATGATAGCAAAGGCTGAGTGGAAAAGCCTAAATGCATATATCCCCCTGGCCAAAAAGTGAGTGGTAAGTACCACCATATTTCAAATGGAAGGGCAGAGATTATTGTCATGCTACAGGTTGATAAGATTTAATTATGCATCACTGGTTGTATCTTTCATGTCCCTGTAAAAGCTAGGATAATGGTGGTAATTGTGAATGTGTTCACAATCTATTTCTGCAAAGCAAATCAGCACACACTTAGTGGCTGAAAACAACACATTCATTACTCAGTTTCTGTAAGTCATAACTCTGAGCACAGTTTAACTGGGTCTTCTGCTTCAGGATTTCAGGCGGCTGCAATCCACCTTGAGACTGGGGCTGAGGTCTCATCAGAAGGTCAATTAGAGAATCTTCTGCTTCCAAGCCCCTTTAGATTGCTGGCAACAGTCATTTCCTTATGTCTGCATGACTAAGATATCCATTTCTAGCTGAAGAAAGCTCTTACAGTCTGCCTGCCCTTCCTTACCATGTGGGATTCTCTAACATGGCCTTTACTTCCTGGCAGTTTGCTTCATCAAAGCCAGTGAAGGGAAATCACTCTAGCATATCAGCTGGCAAGATGGAATTTACATATATCATACATCATGTTCAGGGCTCTCAGATAGTCCTGGTAAATCAGCTTCCTCAGAGGTTATTTTTTTCCTTTGGTATGATTTGTGTCAAAAATGAGTCCTAGATGCTGTCTGATGTTCAAGCAGTTTATTTTGGTAGCACTCTTACAAGTGAGCTGGCGCAGGCCAGCAACATGGGTCAGGGGTTAGATGATCACTACCAGGAGGATCTCCATCCAGAGACCATTCTCAGAGTTTGAGGGATTGTTCCCCCTTTCTTGTAACTGTATTCAGTTTGGGTCAGTTACCAGGTGTCTTTCATAAGGGAGTTTTTAAGTGATTCTTGTGAGGATACATTTTGTTTTAATGTTCCCAAAAATTGCATCTGTGCTGAGGTGGCCTTGTCTCCTGGAAAGCCTTGGGCCAGGTTACATCATATTGTGAAGAGATATGTAGTGTCAGCTTTGCAAGATGTTTGAGTGAGCCTGTGGTTATTATTAATCTTATAGCTGTGATTGGTCTCTTGTGGTATACTACATCATGACATCTCAATACCTTTGTTATATTCCATCATGACATCTCAATATCTTTGTTATATTCCATTAGTTAGAAGGAAGTCAAGGGAAGGGATTATACAAGGGCATGGATAGCAGAAGACGGAAATCAATGGAGGATAACTCAGTGCCTGGTCACTAAAGTGTACTTCTGTAAACGTTTCTAATCACAGCTGCTGCTGTACTAGACATTGTGTACATAGCTAAAGAGAAAGAGAAAATTCATAGTGACAAAGGGGTTTTCTCTTAGGAGGATAATACAGTTCCAAATTGTAAACTATCCAAATTCTTATAAACAATAGGATAGGGCCAAGGCAGGTGGATCACATGGCCAGGAGATCAAGACCATCCTGGTTAACATGGTGAAACCCCATCGCTTGAACCTGGGAGGCAGAGGTTGGAATGAGCTGAGATCGTGCCACTGAACTCCAGCCTGGGAGACAGAACAAGACTGCATCTCAAAAAAAGAAAAAATAGGATGGATAAATAAATTACAATATAATCACACAATAAAATATTACAGTGCAAAGAGAATGAACAAAGTTCAACATGTTAGGTTTTTTAGGAATGTTTTGAAGTCTATCTAAAATTGTTACATATTTATATGCTTAACAGAAATGAGAACAAAAATACTGACCTTGTGTAACACAGAATTCCAGACAAAGATTATATGTAGTTTATTTTTATTGCTAAAAATACACACTACCATAAATTTTTGTCTTGTGTGATACCAAACAGCTTCAAAATGTAACAACTCATACACAAAAAGGACAAATTTAAAATTTACTAATTATACAAACTTTAACAAAATTTTTAAACTTTTGCTTTAACAAGTAGAAAAAAAGACACAAGTGCCCTTTACATATTGCTAAACAAAACACACAGAGAAGGGGATAATGTAGAGAGTATAATAATAATAAAACAAGGTTTTATGTCAAAAAAAATAAAACATTGCCAACACTCCTGAAAGTCCCCAGCTAATTAGGGATACATAATTAACTTTATATTATATAAATAGAGAATATATATAATTTTACAGTTTTCACTGAACATGAGATTTTTTTCCATAAGTTAATGGGATGCAAGTGGTATTTGGTTACATAAGTTCTTTAGTGGGGATTTGTGAGATTTGGTGCACCCATCACCCGAGCAGTATATGCTGCACCCTATTTGTAGTCTTTTATCCCTCACCCCCCTCCCAGTCTTCACCCTAAGTCCCAAAAGTCCATTGTATCATTCTTATGCCTCTGTGTTCCTCATAGCTTAGCTCCCACATGTCAGTAAGAACATATAATGTTTCATTTTCCATTCCTGAGTTACTTCACTCAGAATAATAGTCTCCAATCTCATCCAGGTCACTGAAAATGCTATTAATTTATTCCTTTTTATGACTGCATAGTATTCCATCATATACATATGTGTACACATGTATATATATGTGCACAGGTATATACACATGTACGTATATGTGTGTGCATGTGCATGTATGCACACACATGCATATGCACACATGCATGTACATATATGTATATATGTATATATATGTAGGCATATACATAGAGTTTCCCTATCCACTTGATTGATGGGCATTTGGGTTGGCTCCACAATTTGGCAATTGTACTGCTATAAACATGATAAACATGTATGTCCAAGTATCTTTTTCAAATAATGACTTCTTTTCCTCTGGGTATACACCCAGTAGTGAGATTGCTAGATCAAATGGTAGTTCTACTTTTAATTCTTTAAAGAATCTCCACACTGTTTTCCATAGTGGCTGTACTAGTTTACATTCCCACCAGCAGTGTAGAAGTGCTCCCTGTCTACCACATTCATGCCAACATCTACTGTTTTTTGATTCTTTGATTATGGCCATTCTTGCAGGAGTAAGCTGGTATTGCACTGTCGTTTCAATTTGCAGTTCACTGATCATTAGTGATGTTGAGACTTTTTTCATATGTTTGTTGGCCCTTTGTATACCTTCCATGAGAATTGTGTATTCATGTCCTTAGCCCACTTTTGATGGGATTGTTGTTTTATTCTAACCGATTTTAGTTTGTTGTAGATTTTGGATATTAATCCTTTGTCAGATGTATAGATTGTGCAGATTTTTGTCCCATTCCGTGTGGTGGGTTGTCAACTCTGCTGACTGTTCCTTTTGCCGTGCAAAAGCTCTTTAGTTTAATTAGGTTTCAGCTATTTATCTTTGTTTTTATTGCATTTGCTTTTGGGTTCTTGGTCATGAAATCCTTGCCTAAGCCAATGTCTAGAAGGGTTTTCCAATGTTATCTTCTAGACTTTTTATAGTTTCATCTCTTAGGTTTAAGTCCTTAATCTATCTTAAGTTGATTTTTGTATAAGGTAAGGGATGAAGATCATTTAATTCTCCTTCATGTGGCTAGCCAATTATCCCAGCACTATTTGTTGAAAAACGTGTCCTTTCCCCAACTTTATGTTTTTGGTTGCTTTGTTGAAGATCAGTTGGCAGTAACTATTTGAATTTACTTCTGGGTTCTCTATTCTGTTCCATTGGTTTATTTGCCTAATTTTATACCAATACCATGCTGTTTTGATAACTGTGGCCTTATAGTATAGTTTGAAATGAGATAGTGCGATGCCTCCAGATTTGTTTGTTCTTTTTGCTTAGTCTTGCTTTGGCTATGCAGGCTCCTTTTTGGTTCCATATGAATTTTAGAATTTTTTGTTCTAACTCTGTGAAGAATGATGATGGCGTTTTAAGGGAATTGCATTGAATCTGTAGATTGCTTTTGGCAGTAAGTTCATTTTCACAATATTGATTCTACCCATCCATGAACATGGGATGTGTTTCCATTTCTGTGTCTTGTCTATGATTTCTTTCAGCAGTATTTTATAGTTTTCCTTGTAGAGGTCTTTGGACTCCTTGGTTACGTATATTCCTAAGTATTTTATTTTATTTTTGCAGCTATTGTAAAGGGGTTGAGTTCTTGATTTGATTCTCTGCTTGGTTGCTGTTCATGCATAGAAGAGCTACCAATTTGTGTACATTCATTTTGTATCTGGAAACTTTGCTGAATTCTTTCATCAGTGCTATGAGTTTTCTGGAGAAGTCCTTAGGGTTTTCAGGATAAATGATCATATCAGCAGCAAACAGCGACAGTTTGATTTCCTCTTTACAGATTTGGATGACCTTCATTTCTTTCTCTTGTCTGATTGCTCTGGCTAGGACTTCCAGTACTATGTAGAAGAGGAGTGGTGAGAGTGGGCATCTTTGTCTTGTTCCCATTCTTGAAGGGAATGCTTTCCACATTTCCCCATTCAGTATTTTGTTGGCTGTGGGTCTGACATAGATGGCTTTTATTACATTAAGGTATGACCCTTGTATGCTGATTTTTCTGAGGGTTTTGATCATAAAGCAGTGCTGGATTTTGTTGAATGCTTTTTCTGCAACTATTGAGATGAGCATGTGACTTTTGTTTTTAATTTTGTCTGTGGTGTATCACATTTATTGACTTGTGTATGTTAAACCATCCCTGAAGCCCTGGTATGAAACCCACTTGATCATGGTGGATTATCTTTTTGATGTGTTTTTGGATTCGGTTAGCCAGTATTTTCTTTAGGATTTTAGCATCTATGTTCATCAGTGATATCCATCTGTAGTTTTCTTTTTTGGTTGTGTCCCTTCCTGGTTTTGGTATTAGGGTGATACTGGCTTCATAGAATGATTTAAGGAGGGTTCCTTCTTTCTCTATCTTGTGGAATAGTGTCAAAAGGATTGGTACCAATTCTTCTCTGAATGTCTGGTAAAATTCTGCTGTGAATCTGTCTGGTCCTGGACTTTTTTTTGTTGAAAAAATTACTTTTTGAGATGGAGTCCCTATCTTGTTGTTCAGGCTGGAGTGCAATGGCATGATCTTGGCTCACTGCAACCTCCACCTACCAGGTTCCAGTTATTCTACTGCCTCAACCTCTAAAGTAGCTGGGATTATACATGTTCACCACCACACCCAGCTCACCCAGCTAACTTTTTTTTGTATTTCCAGTAGAGACGGGGTTTCACCATGTTTCCCAGGCTGGTCTCGAACTCCTGACCTCAGGTGTTCCACCCACCTTGACCTCCTAAAGTGCTGGGATTACAGGCATAAGCCACTGCACCTGGCCTTGTTGATAATTTTTTAATTACTGTTTCAATCTCACTGCTTGTTATTGGTCTGTTCAAGGTATCTTATTCTTCCTGATTTAAGCTAGGTGGGTTATATGTTTCCAGGAATTTATCCATCTCTTCTAAGTTTTCTAGTTTAGTGCATAAAGATGTTCCTAGTAGCCTTGAATGATCTTTGGTATTTCAGTGGTGTCAGTTGTAATATCTCCTGTTTTGTTTCTTAGTGAGGTTAGTTGGATTTTCTCTCCTTTTCTTGGTTAATCTTGCTAATGATCTATCGATGTCATTTGTCTTTTCAAAGAACCAGCTTTTTATTTCATTTATCTTTTGTAATTTTTTTTTTTTCAATTTCATTTAGTTCTGCTCTGATCTTGGTTATTTCCTTTCTTCTGCTGGGTTTGGGTTTGGTTTGTTCTTGTTGCTCTAGTTCCTTGAGGTGTGACCTTTGATTGTCTGTTTGTGTTCTTTCAGACTTTTTGATGTAGGAATTTAGGGCTATGAATTTTCCTCTTAGCACAGCCTTAGCTGTATCCCAGAGGTTTTGATAGGTTGTGTCATTATTGTCACCCCGTTTGAAGAATTTTTAATTTCAATCTTGATTTTGTTTCTGGCCCAATGCTCATTCAGGAGCAGGTTACTTAATTTTCATGTATTTGTGAGGTTTTGAAGTTTCCTCTTGAAGTTGATTTCTACCTTTATTCCACTGTAGTCTGAGAGAGTGCATGATACAATTTCAATTTTCTTAAATTTATTGAGGCTTGTTTTATGGCCTATCATATGGTCTGTCTTGGAGATAGTTCCATGTGCTGTTGAATAGAATGTGTATTCTGCGGTTGTTGGATGAAGTGTTCTGTATATATCTGTTAAGTCCATTTGTTCAAAGGTATAGTTTAAATCCATTGTTCCTTTGTTGACTTCATCTTGATGACCTGTCTAGTGCTGTCAGTGGAGTCTTGAAGTTCCCCACGATTACTGTGTTGCTGTCTATCTCATTTCTTATGTCTCTTAGTAATTGTTTTTTACATTTGGGAGCTCCAATGTTAGGCATATATGTGTTTAGGATTGTGATATTTTCCTGTTGGACAAGACCTTTTACCATTATATAATGTCCCTCTTTGTCTCTTTTAACCAATGTGGCTTTAATGTTTGTTTTTTTCTGATACAAGAATGCCTAACCCTGCACGCTTTTGGTGTCCATTTGCATGGAATGTCTTTTTCCACCCCCTTTAAGTTTGAGTCCTTATATGTTAGGTGAGTCTGCTAAAGGCAGCAGAGAGTTGGTGGGTGGGTTCTTATCCATTCTGTGGTTCTGTATCTTTTTAGTGGAGCTTTTAGGCCATTTACATTTAATGTTAGTATTTAAATGCGAGGTACCATTGCATTCATCATGTTCTTTGTTGCCTGTGTACTTTTTGTTTGTGCTTTTTAACCTGTATTTTTGTTTTTATAGGTCCTGAGTGATTTATGCTTTAAAGAGGTTTTGTTTTGATGTGTTTCCAGAATTTGTCTGAAAACAACTGTATCTTTCCTTCATATATGATACTTAGTTTTGCTAGATACAAAATAATCATAATAAGCATAGTGGTTTCTGTAGTAGCAAAAAATTGTAAGTAATCCACATGTCCAAATACAGAGTAACAAAATATACCTGTGGACGTAATGCTAAATTATCAATTTTTGAACTATTTCAAATCATGAAAATGTAACAGGAAAAAAAGGATATAAAAGTATATTGTTAAGTTGAGCAACAACGTGACCATTTTTTTACCTATAAAAGTAGCAATTTTATATGATTTAATCTAATATATCTGATATTTTATATGGTGAGATAAGGGGTGATCTATATTTCTTTCAATCTATCTTTTGATCTCTCACATGGCAAATATTAATTTAAATGAAGTATTCATCCTTTAGGAAATAATTCTTTCAATACACCAAATAAAAGGTACACCTTAAAATATGTTCACATGCATTTTCTGCCAGGTTAATCTCAGAACACTAACATTTATCTCTGTTTATGTAGGGATAATTTATTGACTCAAGTACAGTCTATTATAAATGACTGCATACCACCCAACTTCTGTAATTAACAGAATTTAGTCTACACATTGTTCAAAAAGTCCAAATTAGGCATTTAAAATATATGATCTTGTATAATAGGAACACAAATATTTCAAAGTAAAAATCATGAGATGGCAAGCCTTGTTATTTGCATTGAAAAGAGGAGGTTGCATTTCAGTAGGTAATTTATAAAAGACCATTTTTGCCCAGTTAATAATCTGTCCTCCTCAAGAAATATTAGCATCTTCAATTGATTCTTAAGGTAGTCTAAAAATAAAAATCTTTATTGTGTATTTGTACAGTTACTATATTATCTGAGGAATTTCTCATAGAATACCTTTACAATATTAATCAGAAAATTAGGGTGTGCTGCTGAATTTCATCTGTTGTAAAAGTGTCAAGTCAGCAGGATTAAATTTACCTCAGCTAGGATGTGCCTTTATGCTTCCGTGGGGATTAGAAATAAAGATATCAAGAGCCACTATTCCCTTCTTTTTCAGATGCCTTAAATAGCTATTAGAATGGAGTTTCCTTTGATAAACTGAGTGGCTGCTTAGAGAAAAAAGATCTGATCTCTAGTAGCTCAAAATCTAATGAATTAGCCATGTTCTTCTCTTGTTCCAAAACCTCACATTGAAGGATATGATACCAATAATAATTTAATTAAATCAACTGCAAAAACTTCAAAGGAAAGAATCTATGATTTCTGTAGAGCAAGCAATATTACTTATTCTGGAATGGATCAGGCCTGCTTGCCAAAATAACAATATTGATAACAGCTCATATTTGAGTGCCTATTATCTCTTCTACATGATTATAAGTCTAGCTATATATTACCTATTTAATCTTTTCAAAAAATAATGAAGAGATCAAGGCACAGGGAATTCATAGAACTTGTGGAGACTTAGGCTGATTCAAACTTGACTAGACTGACATCACAGCTCTGACTAAAATTGGGAATCCTATAAGCAATCAAACATACACAGATAAGATGGTAAATGTTGGATGTGAAATAAGATGTAGTGATTTTTTTCTGGCTTTTTCTTATTTATAAGGACTTTTTATAGGAGGATAGAAGAAAGAGGGATAAAAAGTTTGATTAGTTGAGTCCAAATTGTGATTAACTAATTATGGTTTCTTGAAAACAATGGGACCATGGAAGACTTTCTAACAGAAGAATTACAAAATCAACATGATGGCTGAAGGAAAAGATAACTAATGGTCAGTGTTCATTTTAAAACTGCTTTAAAATTATAACCTTGCTACCACTTTGGAAATAGTAGTATTGAGTTTGCTTTTGAAAAAATAACATTGGTCCATGGCTCTGTTCATAGTTTATAATGAATAGCTCACTTTCTGGTATTTGTTAGATATTTCATGAATGTCTGGGACTATGTAAATATTTGTCCATACAAGTATTTGTGGATACAAAAAATATAAGTCTAAACTAATATTAACAATATACTGATATTTTTAGTATTTTTCTATTTTACAAAAATTAAGTAAGCTAAAACTCCTATCATTTTCTAATTCAAGCCACTATTATCTCATGCTGAGAACAATGCAGTACCTTACCAAATGCTCTTTAAACGTTGGTCTATCCCATCTAATCTACAGTCTCTACAACTCTAATCGCTTGTCACTCTTCTCAATATTATTTCAGTGACTCTCAACCTTCAAAAATAATTTCTGACTTCTTATTCTGGTATTTAAGACATTCCAAAATTTCCCTCAACATGTCTGTTCAGTTTATCTCCCATTACTATATCATTATGAGGTTATTCAGTAAGACGATTATCTCATTCTTTGTTTCTGCAGCGAGGAAGCCTGGCATAACAGAGGAGGGCTAAAATTTGAGGACAGACTAGAGTTTAACTTCTTGAGCTACAATTGACTATTATGTTAAAACAGGATTTCTTTATAATTTACAAAGCTATCCTAAAGATTCAAAAGAAATATTCTGTGTTCCAAGGCCTGTACTAGGAATCATAAATATTATTGAGAACAGGACATAAACACATTTGGACTAATTTTAAAATTTCAGAGGGTATGATAAATTGTGCTCATTGTCCCCTCCTAATCTAAAAACCACACAGAGAGGTAGACAGAGACAAATAAAACTGTAAGAAAAAGTGGCTTGGTTTTAAAGTCCAGTGTGTCCCACAGGCCAGCACTCTATCCTCCTCTCCACCCATCAGGGAGGAATAAACATTGGCAAACCAATATCTGGTGAAGAATGGGGTCTAAAAAGCAAAAGCACTTGCCTAAGAATGCAGCCTCCCATTCTTCTGCAATAAATGGTCCAGTTCTAGTGGGTATCATCCACAATCTGGGTCTTCAGGAAGGGCCATTTTATTACATTGTGTTTAAATTCGTGGTAGAATGCAGCAAAAACAGAAGCAGTGGTAGATATATCACAGACGGCCTAAGCAGTGACCTAATTAACTTAGCCTTGTCCTGATCTCTTCCCTCCAGGAGACAGTTCATTCCCAGGGATTGCTTGCTTCTTCCCTATTTATTTCCAAAATCATTAAGACGGTCTTCCTTCTTTACCTTTATCCTTTCTTGTGGCCATTCCTAAAATAATTCTATCATTTAGTTTATCTATTGAAGTTTCCTGATATGTACCAGAAAATTTGGAAAATAATTATATCCACTGTATAGCTTCCAACAAAATGCTATATCTCTTCTCAGGCTTATAGACCAAAATCTTTCTGATAAATCTAAGTTCTTTTCTCAAGGTCCCACTTTTTATAGAAATCTCTGTGGCTACCATGGAAACAACTGAGTTTGATAATTGCTTAAGGTGATGACTGTATGATTTGTCTTTTAAAAAGGTAACTTTTGGCTGGCCGCGTTGGCTCAAGCCTGTAATCCCAGCACTTTGGGAGGCCGAGGCGGGTGGATCACAAGGTCCGGAGATCAAGACCATCCTAGTTAACACGGTGAAACCCCGTCTCTACTAAAAATACAAAAAAATTAGCCGGGCGTGGTGGCACGCGCCTGTAGTCCCAGCTACTTGAGAGACTGAGGCAGGAGAATGGCGGGAATCCGGGAGGTGGAGCTTGCAGTGAGCCAAGATAGTGCCACCACACTCCAGCCTGGGCCACAGAGCAAGACTCTGTCTCAAAAAAAAAAAAAAAAATGTAACATTTAATCTGAACAAATTGGGAGATAAGATTACCCTACCTGATCTTGACCATACATTTTTCTTTTCTTTTTTTTTTTTTGAGGGTTCTCTAGTAAACAATTATTACTTTATTTTTTATTGTACTTTAAGTTCTGGGGTACATGTGTAAAACGTGCAGGTTTGTTACATAGGTATGCATGTGCCATGTTGGTTTGCTGTACCAATCAACCCATCATCTACATTAGGTATTTCTCCTAATGCTATCCCTCCCCTACCCCCACAACCCCCTGACAGGCCGTGGTGCATGATGTTCCCCTCCTTGTGTCCATGTGTTCTCATTGTTCAACTCCCACTTATGAGTAAGAACCTGCAGTGTTTGGTTTTCTGTTCTTGTGTTAGTTTGCTGAGAATGATGGTTTCCAGCTTCATCCATGTCCCTGCAAAGGACATGAACTCAACCTTTTTTATGGCTAGATAGTATTCAATGGTGTATATGTGACACATATTCTTTATCCAGTCTATCATTGATGGGTATTTGGGTTGGTTCCAAGTCTTTGTTATTGTGAACAGTGCTGCAGTAAATGTATGTGTGCATGTGTCTTTATAGCAGCATTATTTATAATCCTTTAGGTATATACCCAGTAATGGGATGGCTGGGTCAAATGGTATTTCTGGTTCTAGATCCTTGAGGAATTGCCACACTGTCTTCCAGCGTTGAACTAATTTACACTCCCACCACCAGTGTAAAAGCATTCCTATTTCTCCACATCTTCTCCAGCATCCATTGTTTCCTGACTTTTAATGATCACTATTCTAACTGACATGAGATGGTATCTCATTGTGGTTTTGTTTTGCATGTCTCTAATGACCAGTTTGATGAGCTTTTTTTTTTAATATGTTGGCCACATAAAAGATACTTCTTTTGAGAAGTGTCTGTTCATATCCTTCACCCACTTTTTGACGGGGTTGCTTTTTTCTTGTAAATTTGTTTAAGTTCTTTGTAGATTCTGGATATTACAACTTTGTCAGATGGACAGACTGCAAAACTTTTCTCCCATTCTGTAGGTTGTCTGTTCACTCTGATGATAGTTTCTTTTGCTGTACAGAAGCTCTTTAGTTTAATTAGATTCCATTTGTCTACTTTGGCTTTTGTTGCCATTGCTTGTGGTGTTTTAGACATGAAGTATTTGCCCATGCCTATGTCCTGAATGGTATTGCCTAGGTTTTCTTACAGGGTTTTTATGGTTTTAGGTCTTACCTTTAAGTCTTTAATCTATCTTGAGTTAATTTCTGTATAAGGTGTAAGGAAGGCATCCAGTTTCAGCTTTCTACATATGGCTAGCCAGTTTTCCCAATACCATATATTAAATAGGGAATCCTTTCCTCATTGCTTGTTTTTGTCATGTTTGTCAAAGATCAGATGGTTGTAGATGTGTGGTATTTCTGAGGCCTCTGTTGTGTTCCATTGGTCTATATACCTGTTTTGGTACAAGTACCATGTTGTTTTGGTTACTGTAGGCTTGTAGTATAGTTTGAAGTCAGGTAGCGTGATACCTCCAGGTTTGTTCTTTTTGCTTAGGATTGTCTTGGCTCTGCAGGCTCTTTTTTGGTTCCATTGAAATTTAAAGTAGTTTTTTCCAATTCTGTGAAGAAAGTCAGTCAGGGATAGCTTGATGGGGATAGCACTGAATCTATAAACTACTTGGGCATTACGGCCATTTTCATGATATTGATTCTTCCTGTCCATGAGCATGGAATGTTTTTCCATTTGTTTGTGTCCATTTGTGTCCTCTCATTTCCTTGAGTAGTGGTTTGTAGTCCTCCTTGAAGAGGTCCTTCACATCCCTTGTAAATTGGATTCCTAGGTATTTTATTCTCTTTGTGGCAATTGTGAATGGGAGTTCCCTAATGATTTGGCTCTGTTTGTCTGTTCTTGGTGTATAAGAATGCTTGTGATTTTTGCACATTGATTTTGTATCCTGAGACTTTACTGAAGTTGCTTACCAGCTTGAGGAGACTTTGGGCTGAGAAGATGGGGTTTTCTAAATATACAATCATGTCATCTGTAAACAGAGACAACTTCACTTCCTCTTTTCCTAATAAATTGCTTTATTTCTCTTGCCTGATTACCTTGGCCAGAACTTCCAATACTATGTCGAATAGGAGTGGTGAGAGAGGGCATCCCTGTCTTGTGCCAGTTTTCAGAGGGAATGCTTTCAGTCTTTGCCCATTCAGTATGATATTGGCTGTGGGTTTATCATAGATAGCTCTTATTATTTTGAGATACATTCCATCAATACCTAGTTTGAGAGTTTTTAGCATGCAGGGGTGTTGAATTTTGTTGAAGGCCTTTTCTGCATCTATTAAGATAGTGTGGTTTTTGTCATTGTTTCTGTTTATGTTATAGATTATGTTTATTGATTTGTGTATGTTGAACCAGCCTTGCATCCCAGGGATGAGGCCGACTTGATTGTGATGGATAAGCTTTTTGATGTGCTGCTGGATTCAGTTTGCCAGTATTTTATTGAGGATATTCCCATTGATGTTCATCACGGATATTGGCCTGAAATTTTCTTTTTTTTCTTTTCTTTTTTTGCTGTGTCTCTGCCAGGTTTTGGTATCCAGGTGATGCTGCCCTCATCAAATGAGTTAAAGAGGATTCCCTCTTTTTCTATTGTTTGGAATATTTTCAGAAGGACTGGTACCTCTGGTAGAATTCGGCTGTTAATCCATCTGGTCCTGGACTTTTTTTGCTTGTTAGGTTATTAATTACTGCCTCCATTTCAGAACTTGTTACTGGTCTATTCAGGGATTTGACTTCTTCCTGGTTTAGTCTTGGGAGGGTGGACCATATATTTTTCAAGTCCATTTGGGTCCGTATGTGTTGCAGAAGCAAGGCATGTCCATCTTCTTTATGTATATCCACTTCAGTTACTGCTTCTTAGGGTATATTATATTGTTTACACTTTGTGAAAGAGCCTCCTAGGAGTTTCACCTATATAGGGACTGATCAACTACTTAATTATGGGCCCAAACTTTTTTTTTTTTTCAGATGGAGGCTTCCTCTATTGCCCAGGCTGGAGTGCAGTGGCACAATCTAGGCTCACTGCAGCCTCCACCTCCCCGGTTCAAGTGATACTCCTACCTCAGCCTCCCGTGTAGCTGGGACTACAGATGTGTGCCACCATGCTTGATTATTTTTCATATTTTTAGTAGAGACAAGGTTTTCACCATGCTGGCCAGGCTGGTCTTAAACTCTTGACCTCAAGTGATCCACCTGCCTTGGCCTCCCAAAGTTTACAGGCAAAAGCCACCGCACCTGGCCCCAAACATTTTTTTTTTTTACATTGTATTCGTTTGAAATCATTCCTATAACTTCCCTGGGATTCAGCAATTGTGGATGTTTAAGAGATCAGTATGACATTCTTCCTCCCGTATGAATTTTTGTTGCTGAAATCTGTGATGATTCTTAATCCAGGAAGACTTCTAACACTTATTAGGCTAAGATCATTTTATAAATGTACTTCCTCTATATTCAGATTTAAACTGGGCTTTAAAAACTGAATAGCCTCAGAATTCATAATCTTCAAATCTTTCAGTCTTAGGAAGGATATCTTCAGTCTTGGATAGTAAAGCCCCAGCACCAATAATGAAGTCCCATAGACTGCACTTGTCCACTATCCCCTGAGTATAAAGTAGACACTGTAGTCTTAGCAAAGTGCCAGCACCATGGAACTGTTTTGCTCTCCCTCTCATTATGCTTATCAGTTATTCCAGTTGGACTTTTAACTGGTTCTAAACCCCTGATTTCTCCATAGACTGGGGTAATTTATATTTATAGCAGATAATTCTGTTGGCAACATCTGTAGCTTTGTAATGTGGATCACTCCAGTCACTTGCTCAAATGATGCTCTGACCTCATGCAGTCATTTATGGCTGTTTTCAGTTTCGCATGGTCCCCGAATTCCATCAGTTTTATTCTATTTATGCCTCCCCTTTGGAAAGAGTGATCACCTTTGGGGTCCTGTTGATTTATATTTCTGCTATTTAGAAACTTGGACATCTTAGTATTCTTAACTTCTTTCTATGTATCATCCCATAAAGGTATGTCTCCAAATACAACCATATACAGTTGGCTAAAGTAAATGTTTTTAAATTTATGAGTACTGCATTATCGGGGAGCATTCATTTTAAGCAAGAATAGAAATACTGGCAACTCGAAATTGGCTTAGGTTACGTTCACTTTGTTTAACTACTGAAGCACCAACAAGCAATGCACAATATATATAAAATGTGAACACAGCCCCCTAATATTTTCCAGGTTCTTATATAAATATGCTCAAAGTTCTATGGTAAATGTAATCTGCTATAAGTGAGTAAATAGCCAGATCAGAAATATGCAGAAAAGTATAGGCCACAATATTTACACCATTAGACTGGGTATAAAAAGTTTCAGTCTTGAAGAGTTATTTTTAAATCTCAGTTATAGCTGCTGGGTTTGTTATATTTTTTGTGCATTGTCAGGCCTACAGCTGGCCTGGCCATGAAATACTACTCATTCAAAAAATCTTACCTCTCCTGGGTAGAGTTATTTCATCTAGAGGAAATTCCCTCATTCCAATATCTAGCCCAGGATTTGGTTCTTCTAACTGTAGTCTTGCCTGTTTCCCTTTTAGTTTTACATCATGTTCCTGTACTGTCTGTCTGTTAGATTTCTAATTCCATAAATTTATTGAGAATTTTCCCCCAGGGCACAAGAAACATCTGCATCTCAGTAACTGAGTCACCTTGAAATCACCCAATGTTTTCAGTATTTTAGGCTGTCCAAATTTTCTGTAATCATATTCGAGAGCTGTCCCAATCTTCAAATAATGCCTCCCCAATTGGCTTTTAAGTTTAAGGGTACATGTGCACAACGTGCAGGTTTGTTACATATATATATATGTGCCATGTTGGATGCTGTACCCATTAACTCGTCCTTTAACATTAGGTATATCTCCTAATGCTATCCTTCCCCACTCCCCCAACCCCACAACAGGCCCCGGTGTGTGATGTTCCCCTTCCTGTGTCCACGTGTTCTCATTGTTCATATCCCACCTATGAGTAAGAACATGAGGTGTTTGGTTTTTTGTCCTTGTGATAGTTTGCTGAGAATGATGGTTTCCAGCTTCATCCATGTCTCTGCAAAAGACATGAACTCATCATTTTTTATGACTGCATAGTATTCTATGGTGTAAATGTGCCACATTTTCTTAATCCAGTCTATCATTTTTGGACATTTGGGTTGGTTCCAAGTCTTTGCTATTGTGAATAGTGCCACAATAAACATACGTGTGCATGTGTCTTCATAGCAGCATGATTTATAATCCTTTGGGTATATACCCAGTAATGGGATGGCTGGGTCAAATGGTATTTCTAGTTCTAGATCCCTGAGGAATTGCCACACTGACTTCTACAGTGGTTGAACTAGTTTACAGTCCCACCAACAGTATAAAAGTGTTCCTATATCTCCACATCCTCTCCAGCACCTGTTGTTTCCTGACTTGTTAATGTTCACCATTCTAACTGGTGTGAGATGGTATCTCATTGTGGTTTTGATTTGCATTTCTCTGATGGCCAGTGATGATGAGCATTTTTTCATGTGTCTTTTGGCTGCATAAATGTCTTCTTTTGAGAAGTGTCTGTTCATATCCTTTGCCCACTTTTTGATGGGGTTGTTATTTTCTTGTAAATTTGTTTGAGTTCATTGTAGATTCTGGATATTAGCCCTTTGTCAGATGAGTAGATTGCAAAAATTTTCTCCCATTCTGTAGGTTGCCTGTTCACTCTGATGGTATTTTCTTTTGCTTTGCAGAAGCTCTTTAGTTTAATTAGATCCCATTTGTCAATTTTGGCTTTGGTTGCCATTGCTTTTGGTGTTTTAGACATGAAATCCTTGCCCATGCCTATGTCCTGAATGGTATAGCCTAGGGTTTCTTCCAGGGTTTTTATGGTTTTAGGTCTAACATTTAAGTCTTTAATCTATCTTGAATTAATTTTTGTATAAGGTGTAAGGAAGGGATCCAGTTTCAGCTTTCTACATATGGCTAGCCAGTTTTCCCAGCACCATTTATTAAATAGGGAATCCTTTCCCCATTTCTTGTTTTTGTCAGGTTTTTCAAAGATCAGATAGTTGTAGATATGTGGTATTATTTTTGAGGGCTCTGTTCTATTCCATTGGTCTATGTCTCTGTTTTGGCACCAGTGCCATGCTGTTTTGGTTACTGTAGCCTTGAAGTCAGGTAGTGTGATGCCTCCAGCTTTGTTCTTTTGGCTTAGGATTGACTTGGCAATGCAGGCTCTTTTTTGATACCATATGAACTTTAAAGTAGTTTTTTCCAATTCTGTGAAGAAAGCCATTGGTAGCTTGATGGAGATGGCATTAAATCTATAAATAACCTTGGGCAGTGTGGCCATTTTCACGACATTGATTCTTCCTATCCATGAGCATGGAATATTCTTCCATATGTTTGTGTCCTCTTTTATTTTGTTGAGCAGTGGTTTGTAGTTCTCCTTGAAGAGGTCCTTCACATCCCTTGTAAGTTGGATTCCTAGGTATTTTATTCTCTTTGAAGCAATTGTGAATGGGAGTTCACTCATGATTTGGCTCTCTGTTTGTCTGTTATTGGTGTATAAGAATGCTTGTGATTTTTGCACATTGATTTTGTATCCTGAGACTTTGCTGAAATTGCTTATCAGCTTAAGGAGATTTTGGGCTGAGATGATGGGGTTTTCTAGATATACATCATGTCATCTGCAAACAGGGACAATTTGACTTCCTCTTTTCCTAATTGAATACCCTTTATTTCCTTCTCCTGCCTGATTGCCCTGGCTAGAACTTCCAACACTATGTTGAACAGCAGTGATGAGAGAGGGCATCCCTGTCTTGTGCCAGTTTTCAAAGGGAAAGCTTCCAGGTTTTGCCCATTCAGTATGATATTGGCTGTGAGTTTGTCATAATAAGAGCTATCTATTTTGCAATACATCCCATCAATACCTAATTTATTGAGGGTTTTTAGCATGAAGGGCTGTTGAATTTTGTCAAAAGCCTTTTCTGCATCTATTGAAATAATCATGTGGTTTTTGTCTTTGGTGCAGTTTACATGCTGGATTACATTTATTGATTTGCATATGTTGTACCAGCCTTGCATCCCAGGGATGAAGCCCACTTGATCATGGTGGATAAGCTTTTTGATGTGCTGCTGGATTCGGTTTGCCAGTATTTTATTGAGAATTTTTGCATCGATGTTCATCAGGGTTATTGGTCTAAAATTCTCTTTTTCTTTTGTGTCTCTGCCAGGCTTTGGTATCAGGATGATGCTGGCCTCATAAAATGAGTTAGGGAGGATTCCCTCTTTTTCTATTGATTGGAATAGTTTCAGAAGGAATGGTACCAGCTCCTCCTTGTATATCTGGTAGAATTCAGCTGTGAGTCCATCTGGTCCTGGACTGTTTTTGGTTGGTAAGCTATTAATTATTGCTTCAATTTCAAAGCCTGTTATTGGTCTATTCAGAGATTCAGCTTCTTCCTGGTTTAGTCTTGGGAGGGTGTATGTGTTGAGGAATTTATCCATTTCTTCTAGATATTCTAGTTTATTTGCATACAGGTGTTTATAGCATTCTCTGATGGTAGTTTGTATATCTGTGGGATTGGTGGTGATATCCCCTTCAACATTTTTTATTGCATCTATTTGATTCTTCTCTCTTTTCTTCTTTATTAATCTTGCTAGTGGTCTATCAATTTTGTTGATCTTTTTAAAAGACCAGCTCCTGGATTCATTGATTCTTTGAAGGGTTTTTTGTGTCTCTATCTCCTTCAGGTCTGCTCTGTTCTTAGTTATTTCTTGCCTTCTGCTAGCTTTTGAATGTGTTTGCTCTTGCTTCTCTAGTTCTTTTAATTGTGATGTTAGGGTGTCAATTTTAGATCTTTCCTGCTTTCTCTTGTGGGCATTTCGTGCTATAAATTTCCCTCTTCACCCTGCTTTAAATGCGTCCCAGAGATTCTAGTATGGTGTGTCTTTGTTCTCGTTGGTTTCAAAGAACATCTTTATTTGTGCCTTCATTTCGTATGTACCCAGTAGTCATTCAGGAGCAGGTTGTTCAGCTTCCATGTAGTTGAGCTGTTTTGAGTGAGTGAGTTTCTTAATCCTGAGTTCTAGTTTGATTGCACTGTGGTCTGAGAGACAGTTTGTTATAATTTCTGTTCTTTTACATTTGCTGAGGAGTGCTTTACTTCCAACTATGTG
The DNA here is from genome assembly GCF_000001405.40 of Homo sapiens. Taxonomy (NCBI): domain Eukaryota; kingdom Metazoa; phylum Chordata; class Mammalia; order Primates; family Hominidae; genus Homo; species Homo sapiens. The sequence goes on along the minus strand of NC_000012.12, from coordinate 83,592,291 downwards.
GTCAATTTTGGAATAGGTGTGGTGTGGTGCTGAAAAGAATGTATATGCTTTTGATTTCTGTAGATGTCTATTAGGTCTGCTTGGTGCAGAGCTGAGTTCAATTCCTGGATATCCTTGTTAACTTTCTGTCTCGTTGATCTGTCTAATGTTGACAGTGGGGTGTTAAAGTCTCCCATTATTATTGTGTGGGAGTCTAAGTCTCTTTGTAGGTCACTCAGGACTTGCTTTATGAATCTGGGTGCTCCTGTACTGGGTGCATATATATTTAGGATAGTTAGCTCTTCTTGTTGAATTGATCCCTTTACCATTATGTAATGGCCTTCTTTGTCTCTTTTGATCTTTGTTGGTTTAAAGTCTGTTTTATCACAGACTAGGATTGCAACCCCTGCCTTTTTTTGTTTTCCATTTGCTTGGTAAATCTTCCTCCATCCCTTTATTTTGAGCCTATGTGTGTCTCTGCATGTGAGATGGGTTTCCTGAATATAGCACACTGATGGGTCTTGAGTCTTTATCCAATTGGCCAGTCTGTGTCTTTTAATTGGAGCATTTAGCCCATTTACATTTAAGGTTAATATTGTTATGTGTGAATTTGATCCTGTCATCATGATGTTAGCTGGTTATTTTGCTCATTAGTCGATGCAGTTTCTTCCTAGCCTCGATGGTCTTTACAATTTGGCATGTTTTTGCAGTGGCTGGTACCAGTTGTTCCTTTCCATGTTTAGTGCTTCCTTCAGGAGCTCTTTTAGGGCAGGCCTGGTGGTGACAAAATTTCTCAGCATTTGCTTGTCTGTAAAGGATTTTATTTCTCCTTCAATTATGAAGCTTAGTTTGGCTGGATATGAAATTCTGGGTTGAAATTTTTTTCTTCATTCCTCAATTCTTCCCAAATGTATTCTTATTTCTAGAACAAAAGTTTTTTCAAAACATATCCTAGAAAACATCCTATTTCATTAAATGAAGTGGTCCTCAACATAAAGGGTTGATTGGAAAGGAGGCTCTTTGGCTTGTCACAATAAATGAGGACATATTTCACATTTGTGAGGTTAAGAGTGAGTGATTGATAAGCCTATTTATGACATTATATTTGACATATCTCCAACATTGTTCTCCTTAAAATACCAATAGCACATCCAAGAAAAAGTACTAATATAAACAATAATCATGTTTCTTTATCTTCTAATTTAAATATTTTCCTTGCTTCTATGACAATCTAAATTCCCAGATTGAGACATCTCAGATACAGGCCCATTTTAGTTATTTATTTTTCATTTTATTTTTGTGATAATTTAACTTTCTTCTTACCACTGTTCTAATAAGAAAATATTCCCAATGCAGTTTTATTTTTTGGTTAACAAAGACCCCCTGTATTTAGATGGGCAGTGTATCTGTTCTCCAAGTTTCACAACCACAATTTGTGAACTGTGAGTAGTAAAATCTCAAGGAGAAGAGATGGCCTAGTCTATAATTTCCATGCTAGTTCATTGGTCCATTTGAAGATTATCACTTAACCAAAAAAATATTTTGTAATGTGCTTGACACATGGCTGAGAAACAAAACCACAGAAACAAAATGATTCTGTCAACAAATTCCTAGATAGCTTAGGCTCAGAAGCTATTTTTAAGTGGTTCTTAACAACTAAGAAGGACTGCCAAAGAAATATATACAACTGTGCCCATCCATCTAAATTTACCTGCCATGGTTCTAAACAAAGCATCAACCTCCAGGTGTTAGTTGGTTTCCAAATTCTGTTTCTCAAATACTGTAATTGCCTCAAATGTTGGAAAAAACAAAATCCATTTTCAGAACCAATTGAAAGAAATATGAAAATCAACATTTTTTTATTATAAAGTTGTTTGAGAACATTAATAGTGTGAGATTCATAGTTTAGCTGGCTCTTTTGCAGCCCCTATCAATCTTAAAACAGCTTACCACATGGAAATTTTGGTTTTACAAGGCAGACATACCTACCCAGAGTGACTGTTGACACTGATTTGAAGTTCTTTTTTTTTTTCTTTTGGTTTAGAATCTTGTGCTGTTGGGTTTTTCTTTTTTTTTTTTTATTATACTTTAAGTTTTAGGGTACATGTGCACATTGTGCAGGTTAGTTACATATGTATACATGTGCCATGCTGGTGCACTGCACCCACTAACTCGTCATCTAGCATTAGGTACATCTCCCCATGCTATCCCTCCCCCCTCCCCCAACCCCACAACAGTCCCCAGAGTGTGATATTCCCCTTCCTGTGTCCATGTGATCTCATTGTTCAATTCCCACCTATGAGTGAGAATATGCAGTGTTTGGTTTTTTGTTCTTGCAATAGTTTACTGAGAATGATGATTTCCAATTTCATCCACGTCCTTACAAAGGACATGAACTCATCATTTTTTATGGCTGCATAGTATTCCATGGTGTATATGTGCCACATTTTCTTAATCCAGTCTATCATTGTTGGACATTTGGGTTGGTTCCAAGTCTTTGCTATTGTGAATAATGCCGCAATAAACATACGTGTGCATGTGTCTTTATAGCAGCATGATTTATAGTCCTTTGGGTATATACCCAGTAATGGGATGGCTGGGTCAAATGGTATTTCCAGTTCTATATCCCTGAGGAATCGCCACACTGACTTCCACAATGGTTGAACTAGTTTACAGTCCCACCAACAGTGTAAAAGTGTTCCTATTTCTCCACATCCTCTCCAGCACCTGTTGTTTCCTGACTTTTTAATGATTGCCATTCTAACTGGTGTGAGATGGTATCTCATTGTGGTTTTGATTTGCATTTCTCTGATGGCCAGTGATGATGAGCATTTTTTCATGTGTTTTTGGGCTGCATAAATGTCTTCTTTTGAGAATTATCTGTTCATGTCCTTCACCCAATTTTTGATGGGGTTGTTTGTTTTTTTCTTGTAAATTTGTTTGAGTTCATTGTAGATTCTGGATATTAGCCCTTTGTCAGATGAGTAGGTTGCGAAAATTTTCTCCCATTTTATGGGTTGCCTGTTCACTCTGATGGTAGTTTCTTTTGCTGTGCAGAACCTCTTTAGTTTAATGAGATCCCATTTGTCAATTTTGTCTTTTGTTGCCATTGCTTTTGGTGTTTTAGACATGAAGTCCTTGCCCATGCATATGTCCTGAATGGTAATGCCTAGGTTTTCTTCTAGGGTTTTTATGGTTTTAGGTCTAACATTTAAGTCTTTAATCCATCTTGAATTGATTTTTATATAAGGTGTAAGGAAGGGATCCAATTTCAGCTTTCTACATATGGCTAGCCAGTTTTCCCAGCACCATTTATTAAATAGAGAATCCTTTCCCCATTGCTTGCTTTTGTCAGGTTTGTCAAAGATCAGATAGTTGTAGCTATGCGGCATTCTTTCTGAGGGCTCTGTTCTGTTCCATTGATGTATATCTCTGTTTTGGGACCAGTACCATGCGGTTTTGGTTACTGTAGCCTTGTAGTATAGTTTGAAGTCAGGTAGCGTGATGCATCCAGCTTTGTTCTTTTTGCTTATGATTGACTGGGTGATGCTGTCTCTTTTTTGGTTCCATATGAACTTTAAAGTAGTTTTTTCCAATTCTGTGAAGAAAGTCATTGGTAGCTTGATGGGGATGGCATTGAATCTATAAATTACCTTGGGCAGTATGGCCATTTTCACGATATTGATTCTTCCTACCCATGAGCATGGAATGTTCTTCCATTTGTTTGTATCCTCTTTTATTTCCTTGAGCAGTGGTTTGTAGTTCTCCTTGAAGAGGTCCTTCACATCCCTTGTAAGTTGGATTCCTAGGTATTTTATTCTCTTTGAAGCAATTGTGAATGGGAGTTCACTCATGATTTGGCTCTGTTTGTCTGTTATTGGTATGTAAGAAAGAATGCTTGTGATTTTTCTACATTGATTTTGTATCCTGAGACGTTGCTGAAGTTGCTTATCAGCTTAAGGAGATTTTGGGCTGAGAAAATGGGGTTTTCTAGATATACAATCATGTCATCTGCAAACAGGGACAATTTGACTTCCTCTTTTCCTAATTGAATACCCTTTATTTCCTTCTCCTGCCTAATTGCCCTGGCCAGAACTTCCAACACTATGTTGAATAGGAGTGGTGAGAGAGGTCATCCCTGTCTTGTGCCAGTTGTCAAAGGGAATGCTTCCAGTTTTTGCCCATTCAGTATGATATTGGCTGTGGGTTTGTCATAGATAGCTCTTATTATTTTGAAATACGTCCCATCAATACCTAATTTATTGAGAGTTTTTAGCATGAAGGGTTGTTGAATTTTGTCAAAGGCTTTTTCTGCATCTCTTGAGATAATCATGTGGTTTTTTTCTTTGGCTCTGTTTATATGCTGGATTACATTTATTGATTTGTGTATATTGAACCAGCCTTGCATCCCAGGGATGAAGCCCACTTGATCATGGTGGATAAGCTTTTTGATGTGCTGCTGGATTCAGTTTGCCAGTATTTTATCGAGGATTTTTGCATCAATGTTCATCAAGGATATTGGTCTAAAATTCTCTTTTTTGGTTGTGTCTCTGCCTGGCTTTGGTATCAGAATGATGCTGGCCTCATAAAATGAGTTAGGGAGGATTCCCTCTTTTTCTATTGATTGGAATAGTTTCAGAAGGAATGGTACCAGTTCCTCCTTGTACCTCTGGTAGAATTCGGCTGTGAATCCATCTGGTCCTGGACTCTTTTTGGTTGGTAAGCTATTGATTATTGCCACAATTTCAGCTCCTGTTATTGGTCTATTCAGAGATTCAACTTCTTCCTGGTTTAGTCTTGGGAGAGTGTATGTGTCCAGGAATGTATCCATTTCTTCTACATTTTCTAGTTTATTTGCATAGAGGTGTTTGTAGTATTCCCTGATGGTAGTTTGTATTTCTGTGGGATCGGTGGTGATATCCCCTTTATCATTTTTTTTTGCGTCTATTTGATTCTTCTCTTTTTTTCTTTATTAGTCTTGCTAGTGGTCTATCAATTTTGTTGATCCTTTCAAAAAACCAGCTCCTGGATTCATTAATTTTTTGAAGGGTTTTTTGTATCTCTATTTCCTTCAGTTCTGCTCTGATTTTAGTTATTTCTTGCCTTCTGCTAGCTTTTGAATGTGTTTGCTCTTGTTTCTCTAGTTCTTTTAATTGTGATGTTAGGGTGTCAATTTTGGATCTTTCCTGCTTTCTCTTGTGGGCATTTAGTGCTATAAATTTCCCTCTACACACTGCTTTGAATGTGTCCCAGAGATTCTGGTATGTTATGTCTTTGTTCTGGTTGGTTTCAAAGAACATCTTTATTTCTGCCTTCATTTCGTTATGTACCCAGTAGTCACTCAGGAGCAGGTTGTTCAGTTTCCATGTAGTTGAGCAGTTTTGAGTGAGATTCTTAATCCTGAGTTCTAGTTTGTTTGCACTGTGGTCTGAGAGATAGTTTGTTATAATTTCTGTTCTTTTACATTTGCTGAGGAGAGCTTTACTTCCAAGTATGTGGTCAATTTTGGAATAGGTGTGGTGTGGTGCTGAAAAAAATGTATATTCTATTGATTTGGGGTGGAGAGTTCTGTAGATGTCTATTAGGTCCGCTTGGTGCAGAGCTGAGTTCAATTTCTGGCTATCCTTGTTGACTTTCTGTCTCGTTGATCTGTCTAATGTTGATAGTGGGGTGTTAAAGTCTCCCATTATTAATGTGTGGGAGTCTAAGTCTCTTTATAGGTCACTCAGGACTTGCTTTATGAATCTTGGTGCTCCTGTACTGGGTGCATATATATTTAGGATAGTTAGCTCTTCTTGTTGAATTGATCCCTTTACCATTATGTAATGGCCTTCTTTGTCTCTTTTGATCTTTGTTGGTTTAAAGTCTGTTTTATCAGAGACTAGGATTGCAACCCCTGCCTTTTTTTGTTTTCCATTGGCTTGGTAGATCTTCCTCCATCCTTTTATTTTGAGCCTATGTGTGTCTCTGCATGTGAGTTGGGTTTCCTGAATACAACACACTGATGGGTCTTGACTCTTTATCCAATTTTCCAGTCTGTGTCTTTTAATTGGAGCATTTAGTCCATTTACATTTAAAGTTAATATTGTTATGTGTGAATTTGATCCTGTCATTATGATGTTAGCTCATTATTTTGCTCGTTAGTTGATGCAGTTTCTTCCTAGTCTCGATGGTCTTTACATTTTGGCATGATTTTGCAGTGGCTGGTACCAGTTGTTCCTTTCCATGTTTAGTGCTTCCTTCAGGAGCTCTTGTAAGGCAGGCCTGGTGGTGACAAAATCTCTCAGCATTTGCTTGTCTGTAAAGGATTTTATTTCTCCTTCACTTATGAAGCTTAGTTTGGCTGGATATGAAATTCTGGGTTGAAAATTCTTTTCTTTAAGAATGTTGAATATTGGCCCCCACTCTCTTCTGGCTTGTAGAGTTTCTGCCAAGAGATCCGCTGTTAGTCTGATGGGCTTCCCTTTGAGGGTAACCCGACCTTTCTCTCTGGCTGCACTTAACATTTTTTCCTTCATTTCAACTTTGGTGAATCTGACAATTATGTGTCTTGGAGTTGCTCTTCTCGAGGAGTATCTTTGTGGCGTTCTCTGTATTTCCTGAATCTGAACGTTGGCCTGCCTTGCTAGATTGGGGAAGTTCTCCTGGATAATACCCTGCAGAGTGTTTTCCAACTTGGTTCCATTCTCCCCGTCACTTTCAGGTACACCAATTACACGTAGATTTGGTCTTTTCACATAGTCCCATATTTCTTGGAGGCTTTGCTCATTTCTTTTTATTCTTTTTTCTCTAGACTTCCCTTCTCGCTTCATTTCATTCATTTCATCTTCCATTGCTGATACCCTTTCTTCCAGTTGATCGCAACAGCTCCTGAGGCTTCTGCATTCTTCATGCAGTTCTTGAGCCTTGGTTTTCAGCTCCATCAGTTCCTTTAAGCACTTCTCTGTATTGGTTATTCTAGTTATACATTCGTCTAAATTTTTTTCAAAGTTTTCAACTTCTTTGCCTTTGGTTTGAATGTCCTCCCATAGCTCAGAGTAATTTGATCATCTGAAGCCTTCTTCTCTTAGCTCGTCAAAGTCATTCTCCATTCAGCTTTGTTCTGTTGCTGGTGAGGAACTGCGTTCCTTTGGAGGAGGAGAGGTGCTCTGCTTTTTAGAGTTTCCAGTTTTTCTGTTCTGTTTTATCCCCATCTTTGTGGTTTTATCTAGTTTTGGTCTTTGATGATGGTGATGTACAGATGGGTTCTCAGCTGCAGGTCTGTTGGAGTACCCTGCTGTGTGAGGTGTCAGTGTGCCTCTGCTGGGGGGTGCCTCCCTGTTAGGCTGTCGGGGGTCAGGGGTCAGGGACCCACTTGAGAAGGCAGTCTGCCCATTCTGAGATCTCCAGCTGCATGCTGGGAGAACCACTGCTCTCTTCAAAGCTGTCAGACAGGGACATTTAAGTCTGCAGAGGTTACTGCTGTCTTTTTGTTTGTCTGTGCCCTGCCCCCAGAGGTGGAGCCTACAGAGGCAGGCAGGCCTCCTTGAGCTGTGGAGGGCTCCACCCAGTTCGAGCTTCCCGGCTGCTTTGTTTACCTAATCAAACCTGGGCAATGGCGGGCGCCCCTCCCCCAGCCTGGCTTCCGCCTTGCAGTTTGATCTCAGACTGCTGTGCTAGCAATCAGCGAGACTCCGTGGGCGTAGGACCCTCCGAGCCAGGTGCAGGATATAATCTCATGGTGCACCGTTTTTTAAGCCTGTCGGAAAAGTGCAGTATTCGGGTGGGAGTGACCCGATTTTCCAGGTGCCATCTGTCACCCCTTTCTTTGACTCAGAAAGGGAACTCCCTGACCCCTTGCGCTTCCCAAGTGAGGCAATGCCTTGCCCTGCTTTGGCTCGTGCACGGTGCATGCACCCACTGACCTGCACCCACTGTCTGGCACTCCCTAGTGAGATGAACCTGGTACCTCAGATGGAAATGCAGAAATCACCCATCTTCTGCGTTGCTCACGCTGGGAGCTGTAGACCAGAGCTGTTCTTATTCGGCCATCTTGGCTCCTCCCTCCCACTGATTTGAAGTTCTTTGCATGACATCAACAGATAAGCCTTTCTGCCTTAAAACCTGTTAAAAACAATACTTATAGAAAATTTGTAAGACAAAGTTGCAGATGATCAATTTTTCTTGAAACAAAACATGTCAGAGGAGGTTGTAAAAATGCATGCTTTCAAATCTTAAGGTAACCATAAGTGCATCAGATGGACCAAGAGTACAAAGAGCCCTCCATGAGAAGTTGACATGTGCAAATATATAAGCATAAAATGACATGTTACATGCATGTGGGGTACTGTAAGTAATATGGCATGACCGTGAATTAAATGCAGAGTTAGAAGGAGTATTTAGCAGGAATGCATTAATGCAGGAAGAGATCAGAACATTTAAGATCTTACATGACTGACAGACACAGAATCTGAGCATTTTTCCAAAGTCTACAGGAAAAAACTGATGCTTTTAAGCTAACTTAGTAAATCATATATAAATATTAGAAAGGTCATTTGGTTCCATTATGAACAAGGGAAGGTTTGAGGCATCGAAGGCATATTATGAAAGAACCACCTTACCACTGTTCAAATGAGAGATGATCAGAGACTACACCAAGTCAATGGGCCTGTTAATAAGGAGTTAAATTGGGGAGGTGACAGAAGATTTGATGATCATTTGAATGAGGTAAGTAAGAGGAAGAAGTCTTCGCTAACTTCTAGATTTCATTATTTAGTAATTTATAGGCATTACTACCCCAACAGTATAAAGAGAAGTGGCCAAATATGGGGAACATAACAAAGAGTTTGTGAATAAAGTTACTGATTTTGAATGCTTAATAAATACCAAAAAGAGAGACAGTCAGTGTATGTCTGAGTATCATTTTGGATCTCAGGAAATGGGATCCAGATGGAAATATAGGTTTATGATAGAAATATAGATTTATGAGTTATCAGTACATGGGGTTTATGTATAGCTAATTTGGAGAAAAATACAGAATGAGAAGTGAACCAAGAAAAGGTTAACATTTAAAAATGTGGTTAGCAACAAGTACCAGAATACCCAATTAGTAGTAATTTTTTTTAAAAGACTCAGTTTTCTCACATAACTAGAAATCCAGAGGGGATCACTCCAGGGCTTTGCAACTGTTTACACTGGCTTCAGGGTCCTAGGTTATTTTTGTATTTCCACTCTGAATCTACTGGTGTGTTGGCTTTCATGTTCACATTTACCACTTCATGATAATAAGAAGATGCTGCATCTCTACCTCATATCCACAGTCTAGACAGGAAAACAGCTAAGTAGAAAGCAGCAATTTCAATATGAGAAAACCAAAACTTTTTTCCCCTTGATTATCTCTCATTGGCAAAAAATTGTCATGTGACTATAACTATCCGAAAGAGTAACGCAAGTATTATTTCAGCTCATTGCAATCTCAAGCAAGCCTATTTCTGTTAGTAAGAAAAAGTGTTGAAAGTGCTAATGGTAAGTAATTAACAGAATCTCTCCCCAAAAATGTTAGAAGTTTGCTCCATAAGTTATCAGAAGAAGCAGGTCTTCTGAAGGATCTTGATAAGGAGCAACCCAAGAGACTATAGATATTTGAAGAGAACAGTGTCATGTACTTCAAACAACTAGGAAGTAAGCAGAAGCAGCAAACATACACGACATTCACATAGAGAAGTGAGCAAAACTTACATTGAAAAAGCCCTGAAAATAGATGGCTGTCTTCCTAATTGCTCTATTTCATTTGTACATGAACTTGTCTCTACTTGAAGACCTGCTGTTTAAAAATCCTATGTTCTTTCAGGTTCTGCTCTACTTGCTTTTCTACCTTCTTCGATGATCTTCTCTAATGTCTCAGTGAATACGATGCATTTTTATTCATCATGTGGGTCACTATAATCTCTTCATACAGTTTGGAAACTGTTCATTTCTTTGAATCATCTAACCTTGAAAATAATAATACTGGATACTGTGGAGCCTCTTGGTACTAAAACACTTGTTCCTTCAGATACTGTGCAAGTAGGAGGCTAATAGCACATAGCTGACACCCAGGAAGAGATCACCTTTATTCCAACATTGCCTCCTCCAAAACAACTTGCGTTGAATGTCTTCTTGATGCAGGTTATAAATATTCCCCTTATCCTGGCCCCATTTCTGGACAATTCTACAGTGCCGTATGTTCTTGGGATCATAGACTAACTTGTCTTTTCATCTAATTCTGCTTTTTTCACTCAACTCCCAGGAGTTTGTCCTCAGAGTATGCCCCAATAAGATTTTTTTACAACTAATCTTTAGCTCAGACTGTGCTTCCTGGGAACTCAATCTGAAAAGTGGACATTTAATCAATTTTAAGAATATATACCGAAAGAACACTGAAAATTAAAATAAAGAGTATATAGTATTGACTGATTCATTTCTTCATTCAATATGTTATATGTGTGAAGTACTGCCATCTTCTAGGCACTGTTCTTCTGCAATAAGAAAATGAAAGAGACAGCATCTCTACCTCACAATGCTTATATTTTAGTAGTAAAATACAGAGAATAAGCAAATAAAATGTAGTCGTACTGTATATCTAGATTGTCAGTGAAAAGTACTTCGGATGTCAGTGCAATGTATTGAGATGCCTGTTCGATATCTAAGTATAAAAGTTGCCTAGGCAGTTGGATAAACAAACCTGGAGTTCAGGGTGAGATCTTGATCAGAGATCTATATGTGAGTGTCACCAGGACATAGATGGTATTTAAACCCCCAAAATCAATTGAGGTCACCTAAAGAGTAAACAGTAATAAAGGACTGGAGATTGAGTCTTGGGCCACCACTATATGCAGAGGTTAAGGAAATGAAGAGCCAGCAAAAAAGTCTCCAATGTAGTGACTTGTAAAATAATAAAAGAGAAGCAAGAGTGAGTCTTGATCCAGACACGTGAGTGGAATGCAAAACAGTGTAAAGGAAGAAGTGAAGAAGTAAAATGGATTTTAAAACATTACCAAATCCTTACTCTCAAGCACTAGGCAGTTAGACAAAGTAGAGAATAGTGGAAACAGAACATTTGTCAGAAGAAAATAGATGCAGCTTAAATTCTGATTAGATTTTGGGTAAGAGCAAGAGTGAGAAAAAGGATGGCCATGAGTGGATTGTGACAAATTATTAACTGAACTAGGAAGGTTAGTGATGGAGCTGTTTAAAGAAAGCAATTTAACAAGTATGCGTGAAGTAGTAGGATGTACAGAACACTATGGTAAGCACAAGCACACAATTAAGGCACCACTCTTCTCATGAAGAGCCTATCAAGTTGAGGATATATATTCTAAATATATTTTCATCCTTACATCAGAGATTTTTTAATCAACAAATTATACGAAGAATCTCTGAGGAAAGACGAATAAAACAAATGGCTTTTAACAGTGACAATTAAACCCAAAGACTGTTGAACAGAATATATAAATCATTCTATGTTTTAAGAATAACAAGATGAATAAGGCAAAGTCAACAATTACCAATAGAATTCTTACCTACATGGGGAAAAGGGAGGGGCTATATTTATGATGATCATGATGATAACATTATAAAGATGGCCAACTTGTATGTAACACTGGCTTTACAATGTACACTGTGTCCCTGTTCTCACAACAACGTGAAATATAGTATTTCTCTCTCCATTTATGGACAAAGAAATAGGACTAGAAGTTGAGTAACTATCCAAGCTGTTAAATAATGGTATGAAGATTTGAACCTAGACCTATCTGACTTCAACACATATTCTTTCACTGTGTTACATCCCTCTTTACTCAGAATGTGATTCTGTGCATTTTCCAGAGGAAGACATGATATCCTGCTGGGTTAACTTAGGAAGGATTTGTCAATAGTGTTTGTGAACTACTACAGCCATGTTTATACTTTATATTTTAATGAAAATATTAATGTATGTCTATTAAAAATATTTCTGTAACTATAGAATTTCATTCTTAATAATAAAACATAACTCCAGCAAGTTGTATGACACTTTTGGCATCTTGTGCCCTGCATACTTCCTCTTAATCAATAAATAAATTTTCCATATTGGGGAGTGGTCAGAATGACTTGCGAAGTTCAAGGTGTTAGGAACTGTAAGTCAACTGTTGTCATCACACTACAAATTATATTATTTGATTAGAGAGGATATCAAATAAATAATCTGAAAATTATCCATGCCATTTAGATAACATATTTTAAAAGCTGAATTGAAGTTTGAATGAAACAATTTATCTATGATTTTGGTCTCACTGTGTGTGGGACTAGAAGTATCTCCTTTTACGCCTCATTAAAAAATAAAAAAAAACCTCATCCAGGATGGGAAAAAATAAATAAATATTCAGCTAAAAAGAGTTTATTTTGTTTCTGTCCGAGTTTGAGAGAGATGTCTAGTTGTGTTTATTGTTTCTAAGGATTTTGGCAAGACAAAGAAAAGCATTGTTCATTATAAAAACCACAGGGGAAACTTTAAATTAATAGAGAGAGAATGAGAACAATTTTAGGCCATTTCTTTGAAGCTAGCTAGGCAATTCAAAGTCAAGGGCATCAAAGAACCATTGTCTAGGAAGGCCTCCCTTCCCCAGATCAGACCTAAATATGTTTGGAAGAATTCATATATGTAGTCCAATGTGCTTAATTTTTTTTCAGATTGGCTGGAGTTGGAGTTATTGTCCTTTTTTTCTCCTTTCCAGTTGCCATCCTTGGCCTTTTCCAAGTCCTTTGTACATTAATATATCCTTCCCAAAATATCTTCCCTCTTATAACTACTACTTCTGACTTGACCTGTAAAATGATATTTAAAAATCTGAATACGTTACCTTTAAGCATTAATATGTACACACAATTGTACATGCAGACAAAGTCCCTCTCCCAAATATTCACACAAATCTTTGTGTTGTGAAATTTGGTATAGAATTTTATTCAAAAAGAGAGAACAGGCCTTGTATAAAAGCATTTTTTTAGGTTTAAAATATTCGAGAAAATTGAATCTGTAAATCCAGTTTTTATCTGCAAATCTAATCTACTCACACTTTATGTTGATATGTCAATTACAGAACTAAAATTTCAACAAAGAATGATCTTTCCTTAAAGCAGTGCTATCCAATGCAGCTTCCTATGAGGATAACATTCTATATCTATGCTGTTTGATATGGTAGCCACTAGCCATATATAGCTTTTGAGCCCATACAATGTAGCTAGTGCAACTGAGGACCTGCATTTTTATTCTTATTTTAATTATTTTATATTTAACACTCACATGTTATTAGAGACTTCTATATTGAACAGCCCAGCTCTTAGTCATTGAAATTTCTGCAAATTACTGGGGAGTTTGAACATAAAGGGACTTGCTTCACTGTAAAACTAAAATTGAGTATTCATAGAAGGAGAAGTTTAGAGAGGTTATGACTTACGTGCTAGAGCAACATTGTCTTCATTTGTACAATGAACACTTTTTACAAGGATTATATCAGATTATCATAAAGATTAAGTTAATTGAATATTTACCAAGTGCCAAGCAATACAAGATTCTCAAGAAACAATGGTGACCAGACCAGGATCCAGTTTCCATCATAGGTAAGAATGGGGAGACACATAAGAAAAGGTACAGGTATTGGTCAATTGATGGTTGCAAAAATATAAAATTACAAAAGTAGAAAGCTAATGGAGAAAGTGTTATAAGGATCTTGAATAGAGTGATCTGGTATAAGGAGGTCAGAGAAACATCACTAGAGGAAGTGATATGGAAACTGCAAACCGTACAATGAGTAGAAAATATCTAATAAAGGGAAAAGTCTTCCAAGAAAAAGGAGCAATATATACAAATAAATAGTGAGTACAAAAGATAGGAAGAAAGGCATTGGGACTATATAAGAGAGTAGAAGAATGGTACAAGCAGAAGGTAGAGGTTATATGATGCAGGCCGCTGAAGGCTCTGATAAGAATTCTGGAACCTATCGGCAATTTGCATTAAGTAGAAGAATATGATTCAAAATGTACTTTTGACAAATCACTCTCCAATACAGTATAGATAATGAGTTAAAGGAAAGTTTAGGGAAGACTGGGAAAACTTGTTTATAGACTATGGAGAATCCCATGCTAGCAATGAATACAGCAGGGAATGTTGTGTTGGCCATGGACTTTAAACAATCTGACTTGAGAAATACTTAGCAAATACAATTGACAAGAATTGGTAGTGGTTTAGATTCAGTAGGTAGGGAAGAATACTGTATCCATGATGACTGCTAAGTTCCTTGCTTATAGAAATAAATAGAATGCAGTGCCATTCACAGAGAGTGAAAAAGGACTAGAAGTGAGGGAGAATGTCATAAGTTTATTTTTTTTGGATCTCCTGTATTTGGAATGCCATTGAGTTGCCAAGAATAAATATCACAGAAGAGGCCTGGTTAATTGTGTCTGTTACCTCTCTACAGGTAATAATTGAAGTCATGAAGGTGAAAGAAAATACCAGATTAGGAGAGGAGAGGTTCTATAACTAAGTTTAAGTAACTTCACTATTTAGTGCTTCAGACTGATAGACCTGAACAAGATACAAAGAGGTTGGGAGAAGATCAAATAGTATTGTTGCAAAAAATTCAAATATAAGAACGTTTTAAAGCAAGAAAGTAGAAAATAGTGCTCAGTGTTACTGAGGAGCAGACTAAGAAAAGTATTAAAAGTATTCTTTGAATTTAGAGACAGAAGGTAATTGCTGATCCCATGAAGAGTTTTTATGATGGAGTTGAGGAACCCAATGCCAGATCAGAGTTTGAAAAATGAGGTATAATAAATGAATACAGCAGTTAGAAATATCTCTTTTGAGAAAATTTCATTAGAATTTACCTTAAAAACCCTATAAGAAAACCCAGGCAATACCATTCAGGACACAGGCATGGACAAGAACTTCATGACAAAAACACCAAAAGCCAAAATTGACAAATGGGATCTAATTAAACTAACTAAAGAGCTTCTGCACAGCAAAAGAAACTATCATCAGAGTGAACAGACAACCTACAAAATAAACAGATTTACAAGAGAAAAACAACCCCATCAAAAAGTGGGTGAAGGATATGAACAGACACTTCTCAAAAGAAGATATTTACACAGCTAACAAACATATAAAAAGAAGGTGAACATCAGTGATCATTAGAGAAATGCAAATCAAAACCACAATGAGATACCATCTCATGCCAGTCAGAATGGCGATTACTATAAAGTCAGGAAACAATACAATAGATGCTGGCGAGGCTGTGGAGAAATAGGAACGCTTTTACACTGTGGGTGGGAATGTAAATTATTTCAACTATTGTGGAAGACAGTGTGGTGACTCTTCACGGATCTAGAACCAGAAATACCATTTGACCCAGCAACCCCATTACTGGGTATATACCCAAAGGAATATAAAATCATTCTACTGTAAAGACACATGCACACACATGTTTATTGCATCACTATTTACAATAGCAAAGACATGGAACCAACCCAAATGCCCATCAATGACAGACTGGGCAAAGAAAATATGGTACATATACCCCATGAAATACTATGCAACCATAAAAAGGAATGAGATCATGTCCTGTGCAAGGACATGGATGAAGCTGGAAGCCATGATTCTCAGCAAACTAACACAGGAACAGAAAACCAAACACTACGTGTTTTCACTCATAAGTGGAAGTTGAACAATGAGAACACATGGACACAGGGGAACAACACACACCAGGGCCTGACTGGGGGTGAGGGGAGGGAACTTAGAGGATGGGTCAATAGGGGCAGCAAATCACCATGGCACAGGTATACCCATGTAACAAGCCTGCATGTTCTGCATGAATATCCCGTTTATTTTTTCAAGAAATAAAGAATTTAGCTTTTCCATATTTTGGTGAATGACATCATAATTCACATGGATAAGAGAAACAATGCTAATCTGATTCATATTTCTAGTTTAGCATTTTTCTACCAGGTGTCCTTAAAGAATCTCATGGCTAGAAACATCACACAGACTAGAAAGGGTGCAATTTGTAGATCTGAACTCCTGAATCCATCACTGACTAGCTTATAACCTTCGGTGGGCTACTTAACTACTCTAAGCCTTTATTTACCTCATTACAAGACATCAATAATGAAATAACTCTCATAGAAGTACTTGGGATTAACTGAGTACGTATATACCGTGCCAAGTAAAATGCACATAGAAAGTGCATATTAACTGATAGCCATTTTAGATATGAAAAGTACTCAACCTATGCCTTTGTCTCCTTTTCTCTACCATATCAGTATTTTTGTTTGCATTCTCATCAACTCTTGCCTGGTTTCCATCAATTGCCTCCTAACCAGCACTTCAATACATCTGCCAGGATGACTTTTCCAAAAGGCAAGTATGATCATATTGCTGCCTTTCTTAAAGCCCTTAAAATGTTCCAATAGTTCCCCACAGCTTCCAGAATAAAGTTCAAATTTCTTAGATTAACACCTAAAGTCCATCATGCTCTGATGCTTGCCCTAAAATCCCAGCTCTATTTCCCACATGAACACTTCTAATCAACCCCATAGAACTTCTTACTGTCCTCAAACACACAGACTGTATTCCTCATGCTATTATGCAGGCGGTTTCCATCAGCCCCAGAGTTTTTCTTCTTATCTCTTCACCAAAACAGCCATCTGACATGGATTTTCTCTGTGCTCTAACTGCATCCTGTGCATTTTATTCCTTATGTATTGGATTAAAGCACCGACATTGGAGCTAGACTTCCTGGGCTCACATACTGGCTCTGGTATTTATTAGTTGTGTGGCTTTAAGCTCATTGTTGTCTCTATGACTCAGATATTTGTATGCTAAGGATCATAATAAAAAGGTCCACCTTTTTGGGTTGTTACAAGGAATAAATGAGTTAATACACGTAACTGCTTAATGCTCAATAAATGTTAGCTGTTAATATAGTGTGATACCTATTAGCTTGTAACACAGTGATAACTCACTTCACTGTGCTATATACTTCACTGTGCTATATACCCTTTGGAACTTTCTATTTGTTTTACAGTTCTTATATCTAACAATTGCTCCAATGCCTATTACTGCTCATTATATATTGCATAATGAAATAAATGGATGAACTAAAGAATAAATTTCACCACATTGCATCTGAGTTCTGAAAGTACCAACATGAAACAAGTAGTAGCTTGAATACTGGGAAAAATCTCACTATATATTAATAAGTTAAGAAATAGTATCTTTCAGGGATTGCTGTGTGCCATTATTTATATCCCATTGTTTGCTATTAGCTGAAGAAATGAATTGTATTTACAAGTTCAATAATGAACAGTCCATGAAGAACCATAAATTATATCTTATGGGAATTTGAATATATAATAATTGAAAAATTAAGAGGGTACTACATCATTTTTAAAGCATTCATTACTCATACAAATTGGAGATATATTTTCAATTAAAAAATCTAGCTTAAGTTTCTATTAAACTTTCTAGCTGTGTTCCCATGAAATATTCAGGTATTAAGCATGCTATGAATAACCCAAAATACTATGTACACCACAGTCATGAAAAATAGCAGCATGCTTACTGAATAAAGAATAAATGGAGTCAAAACTACATTAGTTTGGTTTGATTATTTATTTTACATAATCTGAATTGGGCTCAGCAGTTCAGGAATACTCTCTAATTGCCACTGAATCAACTTCTCCAGTAACCTGTCATTTCACACATTAGAGTCAGTTCTTGGTAATCTCAGATTTATTCACTTTACAAATGACCAAGATAATTTACATTGTGTTGATCTTGGAAGATTTTAAGTTTTCTTAGCAAACAAAATAAACTGATTAGTGACCATGAGCCAATTTTCTAACTCAGATAGCTTCAAATAGTTGGGCACAAAGTAACAAGACTCACTGACAGTAGCTTACCTCTGTGACGCATAGTAGCTAATCTCAGTTCCTGGTGTATATACTACTCCTGTCATTCAGAGATTTTTTGCAAAGGAAAAAAATGCAATTCCACAACTTAAGTAATTAGTGAAAATATGTACTAGCATGATACACAAAGTGAAAATAGCAAAATAAACATTTTAAAAGAATAGTCACTTATCAATATACAATTTAAGGCTTTATGTAGCGTTTTGAAGATCTCTATCCCAAACCTGCCTATGATCTTACCGACATGGACCTCAAAATTAGAACCCATTGAAAATAATCTTGACCTCCTTACCACGTTCATGGCCAAGACTTTGTGTTTCCTTACTCTTTTATACTCTCTAATATGATCAACTTGATTCCTTCTCACATACTTAATGGACTGTTGATAGCCTTATACTCACCTTTTGCAACTGGTGTTAGACATTACTCCCTTGTACTGATCTTGTTTTCCCACATCTGACTCATTCTGCTCCCTTGAACCACACGTGCTGTGGCGACACACCCTGCAATGAGTCATGGAAGAACTCCAGCCCTACGAATCAAGATTGGACAATGTTTTTAAGTCAGGGAATAGAGAGTTTTGAGCTTGCCCAATTTCTAGAAATATAATATGTCCACTGAATTATTTTTCTCCCAGTTTAGAACATACTAACTTAAGCATTATACTGAAAGGCAATGTCAGATTTTAATATTTACCATAAGTAGCAAAATGTAAGTTATAAAAAATAACCTTGCAGCAGTTTGAAAATTTGAGAACTGTCTTAATAGATAGGCTCTAAGACTATATAAATGTGAAAAGAATATTCTATATATTTATTCATTAAAGGCAGAACTACAACAAAGGAAATATTAAGACTGAAGGATTATGTACTAAAAAGAACATTCAATCAATATTTCTTCTGTGATGCACAGAGCAAGCTAGACTTAGCCTTTCTGAATACTTTCAGGTTATTTTGCATAATTACAACCAAATGTTTAATATTTCTGCATAGAAACAGATAATCACATAAGCCATTTAGGAATTTTCTTTATATAAAAATAAGAGTTCTTTACCAAACAGAAGCTGTTCAAAATTAAAGCATGAATATCAAAAATATATAAACAATTATCCTTAATATAAAATTATGTTTCTCTTATCAAAAATAATAAGTATAGTATAATAAAATCTATCCTGGCTTTAGTTTTCAAAAGATCAATCTCTAAAATTATTTTACTAGTAATAAAAACATTAACTACTCACTTATATCTTTGTATTTTTCTCCCAATAATAAGCTATACTATCTTACAATATTTTGAACTTTACTCAAGCACAGATAAAATTTTAATATAACACTCTAAATATGCTATCGACACATAATTGTGTCTACAGTCAAAAGATAAGAGCTGACATGAAACATGATTGAGGGAATGTGACATTTCAGCCATTTTTGTCATTAATACTAAGTTGCATTTTGAGCAAATCACATGACTATCATAGTGAGTACACTCATGTTTTCTAACTCTAAATCACCTGTGATTTTGATACAATCATTACAAATGTTTGGTTATTTTCATGAATTAACTAAATTCTGACATCAGTAGAAAGCAAGATCACAGCAGCCAACATGGTTTACCTGCTCAATTTTTACTGACAGAACCATATGCTGTTTCACAGACAAATAATGTGTTCTTTAAATTGGGGTATTAGAATACACATAAGAACCAGATTGCTTCTGTAAAATGATATAGGCAAGCATACATTTTTAACTTCTGTCAAGAAGAAACTCTCAACCCATTTGGATAATAATAATGGTGGGATTTTCATAAGCAGAGATTTATCACAACTTATCATTTTTCTTGAAAACTATAGGCAAGAGAAGAAGTTTAAGAACAAGCAAAAAAAGCACGAGGAAACATATATAATCACAGTGACCAAAATTGAAAAACCGTGAATACTACAGAGAAGGAAACTCAGTGAAATAAGAACTCACCTCCCACTGTAGCCATTTGATGTAAATAATTTAGTTTGTGCAATATGGAACATGTCCCAGTGAGAACGAACTATGATATGGGGAACTAAAGTCTCAAACCAATACAGGTTCTCACACCAATTTTGACTATATTATCTCAAATAATTAAACATCAGTGAGTTTTCTTATCTGACCAATAAGCAAAAAATTGGCTGAAGATTATAGAAGATCAGTGTGAAAGTATTCAGCATAATGTCTGATATAAATATGGTATTTGCCAGGGTTAGATTATTTGTCCCCTTCAAAACTCATGTTGAAATTTAATTGCCATTATAACAGCATTAAGACATGGAAACTTTAAGACGTAATTAGACCACGAGGGCTCCACCTTCATGGGTGGGATTGGTGCCTTTTTTTAAAAATTTATTATTATTATACTTTAAGTTTTAGGGTGCATGTGCACAATGTGCAGGTTAGTTACATATGTATACATGTGCCACGCTGGTGCGCTGCACCCACTAACTCGTCATCTAGCATTAGGTATATCTCCCAATGCTATCCCTTCCCCCTCCCCCCACCCCACAGCAGTCCCCAGAGTGTGATGTTCCCCTTCCTGTGTCCATGTGTTCTCATTGTTCAGTTCCCACCTATGAGTGAGAATATGCGGTGTTTGGTTTTTTGTTCTTGCGATAGATTACTGAGAATGATGATTTCCAATTTCATCCATGTCCCTACAAAGGACGTGAACTCATCATTTTTTATGGCTGCATAGTATTCCATGGTGTATATGTGCCACGTTTTCTTAATCCAATCTATCATTGTTGGACATTTGGGTTGGTTCCAAGTCTTTGCTATTGTGAATAATGCCGCAATAAACATATGTGAGCATGTGTCTTTATAGCAGCATGATTTATAGTCCTTTGGGTATATACCCAGTAATGGGATGGCTGGGTCAAATGGTATTTCTAGTTCTAGATCCCTGAGGAATCGCCACACTGACTTCCACAATGGTTGAACTAGTTTACAGTCCCACCAACAGTGCAAAAGTGTTCCTATGTCACCACATCCTCTCCAGCACCTGTTGTTTCCTGACTTTTTAATGATTGCCATTCTAACTGGTGTGAGATGGTATCTCATTGTGGTTTTGATTTGCATTTCTCTGATGGCCAGTGATGGTGAGCATTTTTTCATGTGTTTTTTGGCTGCATAAATGTCTTCTTTTGAGAAGTGTCTGTTCATGTCCTTTGCCCACTTTTTGATGGGGTTGTTTGCTTTTTTCTTGTAAATTTGTTTGAGTTCATTGTAGATTCTGGATATTAGCCCTTTGTCAGATGAGTAGGTTGCGAAAATTTTCTCCCATTCTGTAGGTTGCCTGTTCACTCTGATGGTGGTTTCTTTTGCTGTGCAGAAGCTCTTTAGTTTAATTAGATCCCATTTGTCAATTTTGGCTTTGGTTGCCATTGCTTTTGGTGTTTTAGACATGAAGTCCTTGCCCATGCCTATGTCCTGAATGGTAATGCCTAGGTTTTCTTCTTGGGTTTTTATGGTTTTAGGTCTAACGTTTAAGTCTTTAATCCATCTTGAATTGATTTTTGTATAAGGTGTAAGGAAGGGATCCAGTTTCAGCTTTCTACATATAGCTAACCAGTTTTCCCAGCACCATTTGTTAAATAGAGAATCCTTTCCCCATTGCTTGTTTTTCTCAGGTTTGTCAAAGATCAGATAGTTGTAGATATGTGGCATTATTTCTGAGGGCTCTGTTCTGTTCCATTGATCTATATCTCTGTTTTTGTACCAGTACCATGCTGTTTTAGTTACTGTAGACTTGTAGTATAGTTTGAAGTCAGGTAGTGTGATACCTCCAGCTTTGTTCTTTTGGCTTAGGATTGACTTGGCGATGCGAGCTCTTTTTTGGTTCCATATGGATTGGTGCCTTTCTAAAAGGAAGAGTTCTTCACCCTCTTGCTTTCTCTTGCCCTCTTTTTGCCCTTCCACTTTCTGCCATGGAAAAATGTAGCAAGAAGCCCTTTGCAAATGCCAGCCCTTCCATCTTAGACATCCCTGCCTCCAGAACTGTGAAAAATAAGTTTCTGTTTGTTATAAATTACTCAGTCTGAGATACTGTGTTATAGCAGAAAACACACACACACAACAGACTAAGATGGTTTTTCTTATCTGTGACCCCTTATCAGTAGGATTAAAAATAGGATTAAAAATAGGATTAAAAATTCTCATTTATTGTAACCTCCATGTCAACCCCTTTCATAGGAAATACCAGCTGTGTGGTCAAAATAGTTCACATATCAGATATGTAAAATATGACAAATAATCTACAACTGGAAATACTGTTCTTGAGATCCCAACTCCATGGATTTTAATAATGTTTAATTGTACTAATTCCTAGTAATTAAATTACTTCTGTTTTAAAAGTGAATCTCTCAGAATTCCACCTCCCTAACACACACACGTATACATAATTGTGGTTTTGATTCTTAGCTTCTGAGTTCATCTAAAACCTGGAGTGGAAAGTAGGGTTTATGTCATCCTGGCATTAGAAGAAAGGCATTTAGTCTTTATGCCATCTTCTGGCTTCTCTGGTCTGTACCAAAATGAAGCTCATTTCTATCGGGTCTACATTGCTCTCATTGCCTTCACTGAGCCAGTTAATGGCCCCACAATGGGTTTTAATTGTCAGAACCAGACAATCTGCATTCTCTTTTTCCCAACCTGAAGTCTTCTCTCAGTACCTTGGTTCCCTTGACAACTTTGGTGGTATTGGGTGCTCAGGAATGTTGTTTATTTTCCCTCATGGCTTTGGGAGCTCATGACTTTTTGAAACTGTCCAAATGTTGATCTAAGAATCTCCTTTAGCCACTGCTATTCTCTAATCATAGGTGCCCTTTTGGACGGTGGGTTTTCCTGTAAGACTTGCCACTATTTACACTGTAGGAAGCCAAACCTTGGTGTTGACATAATTTTTCTCATTTAACCAAAGGTTTAGCTACACTCCTCTGAGTCCTCTGCTTGACTAGGCCTAATCTTAGGTTTCCCTTCTTATCCTTACAGAATGCAGTCTGAGCGAGAATCTTGCCAATTTAGTTTATGAAAAGTCTCCCACTCTTTGTATCCAACCACCCTCAAAATCTTATCACCCTGACCTGCCTTCAGCAATAATCCTACTAAGTCTGTTTAGTCAGAAACCTCCTTATCCTCGATGTTTCCGCTTTGTAATTTTCCACCCACTGACCACCCCCCAACCCCAAACCCTGTTCCTTGGTTATAAATCCTCATCTGTCCTTGTTAGTGTCAGAGTTGAATCCAATCTCTCTCTGCTGCATGACCCTGCTGCAATGGGTTTTACACCTCTTGTAATGGCCCCCCTTTGAATAAGGTCTACTTTACTATCCTTAACAAGTATTTGGATAATTTTTTCTTGAACAAAGTTTACATCATCTCCTCTACTCTTTGAGGTTTGATCCAAAAAACAGGAGACAGGGCACTTCTCAGAGACTACTGTTTCCAGAGTCCAGTCACATTCCTTTCTGATTTCTCTTCCCATGTACAAATCAGTCTAAGCCTCATTTTCCTACTCTATGTGTTAATTACTGGCTCAAATTTCAGCAAGGTTCAGCTCTTGATATTTAAATGGAAACTTCTGGCAATTAAAATCAGTACAACTTTTGTCTCAAGCCTACGTTTCTTACAATTGAAAGTCTGTTTTTTCAAAACATTGCCACTACCATAGGTTTACAGACTTTCAGAAGTAAATATTTCAACTCCTTTTTGTTTTTTTCTTTATTTTACTCTTATCATCTCTGCCCTCAGGATATACATGGCTTATAGAAAAACCTACTGCCTCAGAGGCTGAGCCCATTGGTGAGGAATGGAAAACATGGCTTCAATGTCAAAAGCTAACCCAGTGCACTTGCCACTGCCAAATAAATATTATTAGGTTGGTGGAAAAGCAATTGCATTTTTTGCTATTAAATATAATGGCAAAGACTGCAATGGCTTTTGCACCAACCTAATAGAATAGACTCAAGAGCCTGGGTGACTAACACTTCACATGTGCTTTCTGTCTCGGTGGTTATATCTACATGGTTGCCTTGTCACGCTGTTCTCTCCAACTTTGTATGTTCAAACCCAAACCATCCTTCTAGGTTAAGCCCGAGTGCTGTCTCTTCCATGAATCCTTTCCAGTCACGGACAGTCTCTTCCTTTCTGGCAATTAATATAACATATCTGTACCACTGTCATAATCTAGGACAAGTCTCATTCATAATGGATTTTTATGTATGTCTTATTTTCCTGTGTAATATTTTAATTTCCCTAATTCTACTTACTGTGCCTGAGTCCTTTGTTTCTCACTAGTGGTTAGCAAAGTGTCTTAGCTTTAAAGACTGAACTACAGAAACATATGATTGTATCTCAATGAGATATTATATCATTCTAATTTTAAATTTATCAAACAATTTAGCTTTTTTACCAGAGCCTATCAGAATACACAACAGCTATATTAGATTCTTAATATACTGATGCCATAACACAGTACTACAAACTGGTGGCTTAAAACAACAAAAATTTATATTCTCACAATTCTGGAGGTTAAAAGTCAAAAAAACATGGCAGGGCCATGCTTCTTCTGAAACCCATATGGGAGGACTTCTTTACCTCTCGCTGGCTACTAATGGTAGCTGTCAATCCTTGGCATTCGTTGGCTTGCAGCTGCATCACTGCAAGCTCCACTTCTGTTGTCATGAGACATTCTCCCTTGTCTGTTTCTGTTTTCACATGGCTGTCCTCCTCACTATGTGTATCTATGTCCAAATTTTCCTATTAGAAGAACATCAACCATATTGGATTAGGGCTCATCCATAAATCACCTCACTTTAACTTAATTGGACTGTAAAAATGCTATTTTCAAATACAGTCACATTCATAGGTATTCAGGGTTGAGACTTCAACTTATCTTTTTTTGGTTGGGGATTGGGGGGGCGGATCACAATTCAACCCATAAGGGCTAATAATGCATGTCACATAGTAGGTATTCACATATTTGAATAAATGGAAAAACAGTCTACATGTGTATTCCATAATTTAATAGTACCTACTTTGTGCTTATGTTTGTCAACATATAGCGGCATCCTAAAGTTGTTCCCTGCATTTAATCATTTGAATTTAAAGAAGTCTCCTGCTGTATCACTGCCTAGTTCCCATTCTCCCTAAATAGTCTTTCATTTGTATTTTAAAGCTTTTGATCTGAAGCCGACTGCTATTGTGACTTTGCTGTTATAGGCCTGAGCCAAGTTCATTTAATCAGTATTAGAATTGGCCCATTAATCTATTTTATTACAAATCATGGAGAAAAAATCAGACCCAAAAGAAACAAAAAATGGTGTTGTACAGTACATTTACTTGCCTCTCTTAACCTAAGACCTTGGGTCAGCTGTTCAATTTCATTGCAAATAAATTTAAGATAATTCATATTTATCAGTCTTACATTATATCTTACTTGCTGAAGCATCTTTATGAGATATGCCACTGTATTGAAAAAGATATTAAAAATGTAGCTGTGAAAACTGAAGTAGCATTGTATCACATAAATGGTATCTGTATTTATTGATAATGATATAAAATTTGAGGGTAAGTCATTAATACTGTGCACCAAATGACATCTGATTTGTGATCTCATTCAAAATTGCTTTCAACAGAAGAGTGAATGATTAGAGTATTACACTCTGGCTAGAAAATATTAAACTCCCACAATATTAAATTCTATCCAATCATATCACTTATATTGAGCATTACTTTAAAAATGCCATTCCAAATACTTTATGGCCACTGCAAGATATCCATAATGGCAATTACAACATAAGCAATGCATGTGAAAGCAGCACAGACATAATATTTGATATAAATATTTTCGAAAGCATTTCCATCTGCAAATGTAACATGAGTCTAAAAAATCCACAAATATAAGATTCTTGGATTTTCATGTTAATGCCGTACCTTAGTTAAAAAAAATAGAGTATAAAAGAAGAATTACACATAAATTCACTTCACAACAACTATGATTTTTAATACTATGATACAAAAAATAACTCTTTCTACATATTTTACTGTATAAAGTATACATTATTGTTCACCATTATAAAACTTGAAACCCTAGTGATAAAAACAACTGAAATCTACATATGAAGAAGCAACTTTCCTTGTACTCTTCATCATCATCTTCAACCTTTTGCCTTTTCACTGCCCCTGGATCACCACCTGTTGGCACACTTGTCTGTATACATTAACACTTTTATCATCTGTTCTTTCATCAGCATGGTCCTCTAGCATTTTTACCTTATTATATGATAACATCACCTAAAATCAACCTGAAAATATGTTTAACATCAGCCAGCTTACCCTGTTTGAATCTAAGCTACCTCATATGCAAAACTAATAATTGTACACTAGTGTTTGCAATATAGAACAGCCCACAAAATGCTACAGGTAGTGTGTAATGAACAAATGTCACCCCCTTCTCAGCCACGTCTACTCCAAAAAGCATTTTGTAGAAAATTGCTCAACTGCACGAATGATCCTTTGGAAAATGAAAAATTATTCTCTTCCCAGCCCAAATCCCTGCTGAGTACAAGTCTTTTTTTTTCTTTTTTTTTTTTTTGAGACGGAGTCTCGCTCTGTCGCCCAGGCTGGAGTGCAGTGGCGCGATCTCGGCTCACTGCAAGCTCCGCCTCCCGGGTTCACGCCATTCTCCTGCCTCAGCCTCCCGAGTAGCTGGGACTACAGGCGCCCGCTACCACGCCCGGCTAATTTTTTGTATTTTTAGTAGAGACGGGGTTTCACCGTGTTAGCCAGGATGGTCTCGATCTCCTGACCTCGTGATCCGCCCGCCTCGGCCTCCCAAAGTGCTGGGATTACAGGCGTGAGCCACCGCGCCCGGCCGAGTACAAGTCTTATGTATCCCTAGTTGGCTCCCATTTTCTTTCCCACAATGACTCTCATACGTTTTACCAATTTTCATATATCTTCAACTCATCCTCAAATGATAAATTTGTTTCCTATTCTGTGATAAAACTAGGCATGAACACATTCTACCCCAAATCCCATCTGTATTTTCACCAATTACCAATTTTCATCCTCTTTTTGCAGGTATCAGAAGAGTAACTGGCTCACTGGATTCCCTCTGCCTAGACTACCCTTCCCCTTATTTTCATATTGCTAATCCTCTTACCTCATTCAAGTCTTTTCTCAAATGTCCTTTAAATGTGGTCTACCATGGCCATCATATTTAAAATGTAAACCCTTAGCCCATTTAAGATGTCCATGATTTTCTTCTATTGTACTCTATTTTTGCTCCTTACCGTATCTTATCCACAAGGATACTATGTAGTTTACATATTCAACTGTCTAACCTTAGTCCTTCTGAGATAAAAGAAGCTCCACCATAGAACAGGGATTCTTCTATGTTTGTTCAGTGTAGGATAATTAACACGTAGTGTATATTCTGTAAATATTCACTGGAAAAATAAATAAATGCCTTCTTCTTAAGCCAACAGTCACTCTTCTTTCTAAGCCTCAAGGAAAAGTATATCTTAAATATCTTATTTTATAAAAACATTCAAATAGGGAAAATATATTTTTAAAAAACAGTATGAAAAAACTCATACCAAAAATATATTTGGCTTACTAAACTTATGAGTTCAAATAAATTCTTTAAAATGAGAGAGACACTTCAGCATGAACAAAAAGCAAAATCCCACAGGAGGCCAGATCACTTAAAGCAAGGAGTTCCAGACCAGCCACAGAAAAATAATGAGTCCCATCTCCTTAAGAAAAAAACAGCATGATACTGGTAGCAAAACAGAAATATAGACCAATGGAACAGAACAGAGGCCTCAGAAATAACACCACACATCTGCAACCATCTAATCTTTGACAAACATGACAAAAACAAACAATGCGGAAAGGATTCCCTATTTAATAAATGGTTTTGGGAAAACTGGCTAGCCAAATGCAGAAACTGGACCACTTCCTTACACCTTAAACAAAAATTAACTCAAGATGGATTAAAGACTTAAATGTAAGACCTAAAACCATTAAAAACCCTAGAAGAAAACGTAGGCAATACCATTCAGTACACAGGCATGGACAAAGGCTTCATGACTAAAACACCAAAAGCAATGGCAACAAAAGTCAAAATAGACAAATGGGATCTAATTAAACTAAAGCGCTTCTGCACAGCAAAGGAAACTACATTCAGAGTGAACAGGCAAACTACAGAATGGGACAAAACTTTTACAATCTATCCATCTGACAAAGGGCTAATATCTAGAATCTAAGAAGAACTTAAATTTACAGGAAAAAAAAAATCAAAAAGTGGGTGAAGGATATGAACAGACACTTCTCAAAAGGAGACATTTATGCAGTCAACAAACACATGAATAAAAGCTCATCGTCACTGGTCATTAGAGAAATGCAAATCAAAACCACAATGAGATACCATCTCATGCCAGTTAGAATGGGATTCATTAAAAGTCAGGAAACAACAGATGCTGGAGAGGATGTGGAGAAATAGGAATGCTTTTACACTGTTGGTGGGAGTGTAAATTAGTTCAACCATTGTGGAAGACAGTGTGTCGATTCCTCAAGGAACTAGATTCAGAAATACCATTTGACCCAGCAATCCCATTACTGGGTGTATACCCAAAGGATTATAAATCATTCTACTATAAAGACACATGCACACACATGTTTACTGCGGCACTATTCACAACAGCAAAGACTTGGAACCAACCCAAATACCCATCAATGATAGATTGGATAAAGAAAATGTGGCACAAATACACCATGCAACACTACCCAGCCATTAAAAACGATGAGTTCATGTCTTTTGCAGGGACATGGATGAAACGGGAAACCATCATTCTCAGCAAACTAACACAAGAACAGAAAACCAAAAACCACATGTTCTCACTCATAAGTGGGAGTTGAACAATGAGAACACGTGGATACAGGGAGGAGAACATCACACACGGGGGACTGTCAGAGGGTGGGGGTCTAGGGGAGGGATAGCATTAGGAGAAATACCTAATGTAGATGACGGGTTAATGGGTGCAACAAACCACCATGGCACGTGTATACCTATGTAACAAACCTGCACATTCTGCACATGTATCCCATAACTTAAAGTATATAATAATAAAAAGTACTTATATTGTTTCTGAGCCATAGAATATTCACTTGTTTGGTTGACATAATCTAACCAGGAAGAATGATATTCATTTCTGTTTATAAAAAGAAGAAAGAAAAACAATAATTTTAAAAAGCAAAATCCAAACATATTTTTAAAACCGATAAAATGAAGTGTTTCAGAGACTGTAAAAAATAAACGGAAAATTTTTCTGGTTGTTAGAAACAACTAACAAAAGGAGTCAGGAAATTATAAAACAAAGTGTCAAATTTGTGTCAAAAAATGCATTAGAAGAGACTAGAAGGGCACTTTATGATGGAAAAGAGTGCTGTTAAAAATGAACTTATAGGCCGGTCGTGGTGGCTCACGCCTGTAAATCCCAGCACTCTGGGAGGCCAAGGTGGGGGGATCAAGAGGTCAAGTGATCAAGACCATCCTGGCCAACATGGTGAAGCCCCGTCTCTACTAAAAAAATACAAAAATTAGCTGGTCGTGGTGGTGTGCCCCTGTAGTCCCAGCTACTCAGGAGGCTGAGGCAGGAGAATTGCTTGAACCTGGGAGGCAGAGGTTGCAGTGAACGGAGATCACACCACTGCACTCCAGCCTGGCAACAGAGCGAGTCTTCGTCTCAAAAAAAAAAAAAAAAGAAAGAAAGAAAAAAAAGAACTTATAACAGTTTGGGATATTTTTGTACCAAGAATAACAAAATCTATATTATAAGGCAAAAGTACGGAAGTAAAGGAATATTAGAAAACCCCTGTTGTAAGGAAACTTAATGCATCTTCTCAGACAGGTGAGTGAATAAATAATAGAAATAATATAGAAAAGACATAGAAGATCGATCAAATATATTAATCTTATTGAAATATATTGAATCTTATATGTGAAAAGAGAAAATACAGCATTTTCCCCATGAGCTCATAAAACATGATCAAAATCTCCATTCCAAAAAATGCTCTAAAAATCACAAGACATAAATACTGTACAGATACAATTATCTGATTAAAGAAAACTACAACATTTAAACATCATCAGAATGGCAAAATATCCTACCAAAAATATAAGTAAATCCTTTATTAAACAATCTTCTACTAAAAAGGACAATCAAACCAAAATGTAGGAAGATCTAGAAAATATTTAAAGGAAGACAGAATATAGCTAAGGAAGTACTGAGAAGATAATTCATATCTGTAAATTATATGTCAATAAAAGGAATTAAACTCATTCAACATATTAGAAAGTAAGTTACAAATTAAGCCACAGAGTAACATAGAGAGCAATTATTAATGATAAATGGAGAAAATACATATAAGTCTGAAAAAGCATAACAAACAAATAAAGTTTAGTTTTCAAAATAACCATACAGTCAACAAACTACTAGCCAACCTTATCATGAAAAAAGGAAAAAGGGCAAATACACAAAATTTTAACATACGAAATAAAAAGAAGTGAGGAAATTCAAAATCATGCAATCTACTTGATTTGAAAACTGGGATAAAATGAATAATTTTTGAGAAAAATGGAAACTGACTTTGAAATAAAATTCTAGACAGGCCAATTTCCACAGGAAAAATAATGGTAAAATGAAACTCCCACCCCAAAAATGCTACGCTTAGATGATTTTACATAGGAAATTGGTAATGTCTTTAACAAAGAGAGTGTTTCAAGGGTATGTAAACTCTTCTAGAACAAAGATAGAAAAGAACTAATTTTTTTTCAAGCCAACATAACACTGATATTCAAACTTTTCAAGTGCCACGCAAAAATACTACAGATGAACTTTATGAATCACAATGAAACAATCCAACATAAATATCTGCAAAGAAAACTCAGATTGTAGAAGGAAATTATTTAAAGAGGATTTTGTTTCAGAAATGTAAGTATTCAAAATTAAATCAGATATTAATATCATTTTATATTAATAGATCTAAGGATAAATGTCCTGATAATATCCATAGATATTAATAAAATATAAAAATATTCAATGTAAGAATTTATAGATACTTTCTTAACACCACAATGTATGTTCATTCCAGCTCAAAAGGGTAATAAGGTAGATGACATCCTTACTGTGTCACTGATTTTAAAAAATATCTCTAGCAAATTCGGGGGCATAATTAGAGTGACCTCTACCTCTTTTGCACTTAACACTGTACTTGAATTATGGGTCAAAATAATTTAACACAGAAAAGAAACAATGTATAAAATTTGGAAATAATGTAGCCTATTTACAGTTGAGGTGTTTAAATAGATGAAAAACAAAAGAGATATAGAACAATATTATATAAAAATAACTCATAATACAGAGTAAAACATTAATATGCATAAACAAAGAGCTTTTGAATAAAACAGTTTGAACCATACTGAAGTGTTTTTTGTTGTTGGTCAAAATTAGTAAATACATGAACAACTGAGTTCACCACCACCAATGGCAACCGTCAGATGATATAGTGGAAGAACAAAATGCCATTTACAGGAGTACAAAAACAGATACAGTATCAATAAATGAATATAACCAAAAATGGATACATTCTTTGATTAGAAACTTTAAAACCCTAATGAAGGTTTGAAGATTCAAACAATGTATGTGATTTCAATAAAATGTTTTTGAACTAAACAGATTCAAGCTAAAGATTATAAGGAAAAATAACATGAATAATCAGAAAAAATTTTCAGATGGGAGGGCAATGAAGAGCACCAGCCACTTAATCTGAAAATATACTATAAAACTTTCATAATAATATAGTGTATTAATAGAACAATGGAGAAGCAAACATCTAGAAATATAATCTAGTGTATACATATGATACTTTACTATATGATAAGGTTTGGATCTCAAATTACTAGGGGAAAAAATGCCTCATTCTATAAAAGATTTTGGAAAAACTTGGTATCTATTAAACAATAAAGGTGCACCTATACCTCACATCATACACTAGAAACATTGCAAAATGAATCAAATATTGAAGGGTTAAATTTTTATAATAGCATGCCATACAGCTGGAGAATGAATGACCCTAATTTCCTCCTACAAATCCAAAATGACCTGGTAATTATAGGATCTAATTTTCTAATTCTTAATCTGCTGGACATATTTGAACATTCTGCAGCTGTTCATTTTCATTTGAAACTCTCTCTCATCTTTGGCTCCAGTGACTTCAGGGTTCAACTGAGGCTCAGGCCAGGCAGTTAGCTAACTTGTTCAGAATGTCAATATATAAAGAACACTAAAATGTCACTGAGCATTAGAATGAGAAAAACAAATTTCCAAGACTTCTCCTGAGGACATTGTTATGAAAATATACTTGATTAAGCTGCTTGAGCCTGTGGACTCACCTTCCAATGAAAACAATGCTGATAAACAGCTTTTTACAGAGGTTGCTCATTAACTCTAAGACTTTTTGTTTAGCTGAAGGTTATGCAAGCTCAAGCTGAGGCAGTGTCTTCTGCCAGCATTTTCCCATGCAAGTTTTTAGCCTCTTCTCTAAATGAGTGGGCAACAGCAACTGTGACAGTGAGATCTGAATGGGCATGAGCTATCGGCTTGTCCAGGGATGCCCATGTCTCTCTGTGTTATAGATATTAAATCTTCTAATGTCCTTCATTCTTTTTAAAGTCTTCTTTTCTCTTTCTTAAATGTTTCTTACATTAGGGAACTTTGCAGTGGAAAGTTTCCCAAGAAGATCTCCAAAGAACTTACCCGTGTGCTTCATTATAAACCAACAGACTAATCACTTAGGATTTTGATGGTCTCTCAGCCTTTATCCAGGAAAATATGGAAGTTAACAGTAAGAGAAAAAGAGTATGGCTCTTGCAAGCCTAATAAAGATACTCTTGTCCCTTTACTCTGTATTTCTTCTCAGAGCTGCTAGAGGTACCAAAGACTTAAGATAGAAGGTAGGAAGATGTCCTGGAGAAGCATACTATGTAGCCTCCCATACAACTCCTAGCAATAGTAAATAAATAAAGAGTAGACTGCATTTCCCCACTCCAAGTCTCTTGGCCCCACAACCAGCCCTGTATTGTGACAGAGAGGAGATTACATTGTAAACCAGACAAGACTTTTTAATAAGTTTAAGTAGAAAGAAGTTATAAAATACGGCCAAGACATCAATAAAAGGTCTGCTACCCACTAGGGAAGGAAAATTTGACGTTGCACAGTTGGGGACATTGATTAGAAAAAAAAATAAATCTTTTTCAAGTTTGTACTTCACAAAGTTCAGACTCTCCAATAACCCTGTTATAGTATTTATAGCTATAAAGGGCTCTGACATATGAGAGGCAGGCTGTGATACTCAAATAAAGGGCTCTGGTTGGAAAAACTTCCTGCAAAATTTAAAACATTTTTGTCAAGTCAAAAAAATTAATAACATTTGATGAAAACCAGCAGCCATTCAAAATAGCTTATACTATAACTGATTTTATTGCAATAACGATAGAAGTCTAATATTAAAAATGATTCTTTTTTGCTTGATATAAATATTTTCATTAAACTCAGGAATTTCTACAGGCAGATATGCTTTTCTTTATACACACACAGAAGCCCACATACAAATACCAATTTGGAAAATTAGGTCTAAATAAAAATTAGTTTTATTTTAGCAAAACAAAAATTATGTTCTTAATTGTTCCCTTCTTAATTCAATATAATTTGTATTATATAAGAAGGATACAAATAAAAGTATAAACAAGGCAGACAAGAGTAGATAACCATGTACATGGTGCTATTTAAATAATATCAACACACTGATCAAATTGAGAATTCTGTCTTTCCTGTTCTATTTATTGACTAATGAATTTATTCTCTTATCCTTAAAGTTAGCTATTAAAGCTACTGTATGTTAGAGTAATAAATCTGGGATAAGACGGCTTTATTTTAAAAAGACAAATAAATTAAATCAGTTGATTAACATATAAAACACAGCACTGATATAATCAACTAGCAAGCATTAAATATGTGTAAGCTTTTAGTTTTTACTCTTAATCCCTAAGGAGCTTTTACATTGCCATCAAAGTCTATGAGTTTATTAGATTTGATAATTGAGATTTTATGCCTGACTAAATATTTGCGATTGAGAATTACAAACTCTTCATTTTAGATTACTGAAGGGATAAAGAACATAGAAAAGACAGATGAGACAATATAAGGATGATGACACAATAAAGGATGTTAACAAATATATCATAATTGATCATTTGCAAGGAGCAAGACTTTTGGGCCAACAGGAAAAAGCCATCTAGTTCCTATTCCATGGAATGCTATGCAACCATAAAAAAAGAACAAGATCACATCTTTTGTGAGAATATGAATGGAGCTAGAGGCTATTATCCTTTGCAAACTAATGCAGGAACAGAAAACTAAACACCGCATGTTCTCACCTATGAGTGGGAGCTAATTGATGAGAACTCATGAAAACGAAGGAAACAATAGACACTGGGGTGTACTTGAGGGGAGTCGGGGAGGAGAGAGAGGAGCAGAAAAGATAACTACTGGGTACTGGGTTTAATACCTGGGTGATAAAATAATCTGTACAACAAACCCCTGTGACATGAGTTTGCCTATGTAACAAACCTTCACATGTATGCCCAAAGCTAAAATAAGTTGTAAATAAAATATCTTATCAAAATTGCTTCACTTTTTAACTTTCATAATAACAGCAATAGAAGACACAGAAATATCATGAAACTGGAGGGAAACAATTGCAAGCCATAGCACCATGGGCAATTATTAGAATCTCAGAAAAGACAAGGAAGAGTCCTCCCCTAGAGCCTTCAGAGACAGCATGGCTTTGCCAACACCTTAATTTGGGAATTCTAGCCTGAAGATCTGTGATAGAATACATTTCTGTTTTTGTTTAACCCACTAAGTTTACAGTATATTATTATAACAACCCTAAGAAACTAATGCAATTTTTTTTTGTTATAGAGGTCTGCTATCTTATGAAAGTCTCTAAACAATATGGAGATGGAAGATCTCTGTGTTAGTTTCTTGACTGTCTCATACCCCCAAGTAATCCTTTCTAAATATACATCCACAAGTACCATAGAAAAAAATTTGCTGCTAACACCAGCCTCACCAAGTCAGCTACAGCTGGTTCCTTCAGGCATTTCAGGTATTTCCTATACTGCTAGAAATTATATATCAGTCCTGAAAACTCTTCAGGACATTTGCTCTAAGAATTGCTCAGCTTACTTCTCCAGCTGGGATATACAACTAAGCCTGACCTCAGAACCTATTCCTCATCCTATTTTATAGAATGCTTCCATCCCAGTTGCCCAAGGTAACTCTGGAAGGAAGTCATAACAGAAGATGGTCATCATCCAGACAATCTATAGATATGTGGTTCTCAAATTTTCCTTTCAGGATTTGCAGAATCAGCTAAACATGAAGACTAGTTAGAAAGCCAAATTTTCTACTTCTACTGCAGACCTACTCTGGGCTGAAACTGCCGTTTTTGTTTTGATAAGCACTGCAGGCAATTCTGATGCATGTTAAAATTTAAAAATTGGGGGGGTGGTGTTCCAAGTTGGCCAAATAGAAACAGCTCTGGTCTGCAGCTCCCAGCGCGATTGATGTAGAAGACGGGTGATTTCTGCATTTCCAACAGAGGAACCTGGTTCATCTCATTGGAACTGATTGGACAGTGGGTCCACGGAGGGTGAGCTGAAGGAGGGTGGGGCATAACCTCACCTGGGAAGCACAATAAGTTGGGGGATATCTTTTTCTTAGCCAAGGGAAGCCATGACAGACTACCTGGAAAAACGGGACACTCTTGCCTAAATACTGTGCTTTTCCCAAGGTCTTAGCAACTGGCAGACAAGGTGATTCTCTCCTGTGCCTGGCTTGGCAGGTCCCATGCCCATGGAGCCTTGCTCACTGCTAGCACAGCAGTCTGAGATCGAACTGCGAGGCAGCAGCCTGGCTGGAGCAGAGGCACCCACCATTGCTGAGGCTCGAGCAGGTAAACAAAGTGGCCTGGAAGCTTGAACTGGGCGGAGCCCACTGCAGCCCAACAAGGCCTACCGCCTCTAGACTCCACCTCTGTGGGCAGGGCATAGCTGAACAAAAGGCAGCAGACAACTTCTGCAGACTTAAACGTCCCTGACTGGCATCTCTGGAGAGAGCAGTAGTTCTCCCAGCATGGCGTTTGAGCTCTGAGAACAGACAGACTGCCCCTTCAAGTGGGTTCCTGACCCCTGTGTAGCCTAACTGGAAGACACCTCCCAGTAGGGGCCGACAGACAACTCATGTAGGCAGCTGCCCCTCTGGGACGAAGCTTCCGGAGGAAGGATCAGGCAGCAATATTTGCTGTTCTGCAATTTTTGCTGTTCTGCAGCTTCTGCTGGTGATACCCAGGCAAACAGGGTCTGATGTGAACCTCCAGCAAACTCCAACAGACCTGCAGTTGACGGACCTGACTGTTAGAAGGAAAACTAATGAACAGAAAGGAATAGCATCAACATCAACAAAAAGGACATTCACACCAAAACCCCATCTGTAGGTCACCAACATCAAAGAACAAAGGTAGATAA
Source organism: Homo sapiens (assembly GCF_000001405.40). Lineage (NCBI taxonomy): Eukaryota > Metazoa > Chordata > Mammalia > Primates > Hominidae > Homo > Homo sapiens. Next base: position 83,555,670 of record NC_000012.12, on the reverse strand, counting down.
AACCAGAAAGATGGGAAGAAACCAGAGCAGAAAACCTGAAAATTCTAAAAATCAGAGCACCTCTTCTCCTCCAAAGGATCATAGCTCCTCGCCAGCAACAGAACAAAGCTGGATGGAGAATGATTTTGACAAATTGACAGAAGTAGGCTTCAGAAGATCGGTAATAACAAACTTCTCCGAGCTAAAGGAGGATGTTTGAATCCATTGCAAGGAAGCTAAAAACCTTGAAAAAAGATTAGACTAATGGCTAACTAGAATAAACAGTGTAGAAAATACCTTAAATGACCCAATGAAGCTGAAAACCATGGCACGAGAACTACATGACACATGCACAATCTTCCGCAGCCTATTCGATCAAGTGGAAAAAAGGGTATCCGTGATTGAAAATCAAATTAATGAAATAAAGTGGGTGGTGGAGCCAAGATGGCCTAATAGGAACAGCTCCAGTCTACAGCTCCCAGCGTGAGCAACACAGAAGATGGGTGATTTCTGCATTTCCAACTGAGGTACCAGGTTCATCTCACTGGGTAGTGCCAGACAGTGGGTGCAGGACAGTGGGGGCAGCGCACCGTGCATGAGACAAAGCAGGGCAAGGCATTGCCTCACCTGGGAAGTGCAAGGGGTCAGGGAATTCCCTTTCCTAGTCAAAGAAAGGGGTGACAGATGGCACCTGGAAAATCGGGTCACTAACACTACACCCTAATACTGCACTCTTCCGACAGGCTTAACAAATGGCACACCAGGAGATTATATCCTGCACATGGCTCGGAGGGTCCTACGCCCACGGAGCCTCACTCATTGCTAGCACAGCAGTCTGAGATCAAACTGCAAGGTGGCATTGAGGCTGGGGGAGGGGTGCCTGCCATTGCTCAGGCTTGAGTAGGTAACAAAGCAGCCAGGAAGCTCGAACTGGGTGGAGCCCACCACAGCTCAAGGAGGCCTGCCTGCCTCTGTAGGCTCCACCTCTGGGGGTGGGCACAGACAAAAGACAGCAATAACCTCTGCAGACTTAAATGTCCCTGTCTGACAGCTTTGAAGAGAGTAGTGGTTCTCCTAGCACACAGCTTGAGATCTGAGAACGGGCCTACTGCCTCCTCAAGTGGGTCCCTGACTCCCAAGTAGCCTAACTGGGAGGAACCATCCAGCAGGGTCCGACTGACACCTCACACAGCCAGGTCCTCCTCTGAGACAAAACTTCCAGAGGAACAATCAGGCGGCAGCATTTGCGGTTCACCAATATCCGCTGTTCTGCAGCCACCGCTGCTGATACCCAGGCAAACAGCATCTGGAGTGGACCTCCAGTAAACTCCAACAGACCTGCCGCTGAGGGTCCTGACTGTTAGAAGGAAAACTAACAAACAGAAAGGACATCCACACCAAAAACCCATCTGTACATCACCATCATCAAAGACCAAAGGTAGATAAAACCACAAAGATGGGGAAAAAGCACAGCAGAAAAACTGAAACTCTAAAAATCAGAGCGCCTCTCTTCCTTCAAAGGAATGCAGCTCCTCACCAGCAATGGAACAAAGCTGGATGGAGAATGACGATGATGAGTTGAGAGAGGAAGGCTTCAGAAGATCAAACTACTCTGAGCTAAACAAGGAAGTTTGAACCAATGGTAAAGAAGTTAAAAACTTTGAAAAAAAAAATTAGACGAATGGATAACTAGAATAACCAATGCAGAGAAATCATTAAAGGACCAGATGGAGCTGAAAACCAAGGCACGAGAACTACATGACGAATGCACAAGCCTTAGTAACCAATGCGATCAACTGGAAGAAAGGGTATCAGCGATGGAAGATGAAATGAATGAAATGAAGTGTGAAGAGAAGTTTAGAGAAAAAAGAATAAAAAGAAATGAACAAAGCCTCCAATAAATATAGGGCTATGTGAAAAGACCAAATCTACGTGTAATTGGTGTACCTGAAAGTGACGGGGAGAATGGAACCAAGTTGGAAACCACTCTGCAGGATACTATCCAGGAGAACTTCCCCAATCTAGCAAGGCAGGCCAACATTCAAATTCAGGAAATACAGAGAACGCCACAAAGATACTCCTTGAGAAGAGCAACTCCAAGACACATAATTGTCAGATTCACCAAAGTTGAAATGAAGGAAAAAATGTTAAGTGCAGCCAGAAAGAAAGGTCGTGTTACCCACAAAGGGAAGCCCATCAGACTAACAGCTGATCTCCCGGCAGAAACTCTACAAGCCAGAAGAGACTGGGGGACAATATTCAGCATTCTTAAAGAAAAGAATTTTCAATCAAGAATTTCATATCCAGCCAAACTAAGTTTCATAAGTGAAGGAGAAATAAAATACTTTACAGACAAGCAAATGCTGAGAGATTTTATCACCCCCAGGCCGGCCCTACAAGAGCTCCTGAAGGAAGCACTAAACATGGAAAGGAACAACTGGTACCAGGCACTACAAAAACATACCAAATTGTAAAGACCATCGAGGCTAGGAAGAAACTGCATCAACTAACGAGCAAAATAATGAGCTAACATCATAATGACAGGATCAAATTTACACGTAACAATACTAATTTTAAATGTAAATGGGCTAAGTGCTCCAATTAAAAGGCACAGACTGGCAAATTGGATAAAGAGTCAAGACCCATCAGTGTGCTGTATTCAGGAAACCCATTACACGTGCAGAGACACACATAGGCTCAAAATAAAGGGATGGAGGAAGATCTACCAAGCAAATGAAAACCAAAAAAAGGCAGCGGTTGCAATCCTAGTCTCTGATAAAACAGACTTTAAACCAACAAAGATCAAAAGAGACAAAGAAGGCCATTACATAATGGTAAAGGGATCAATTCAACAAGAAGAACTAACTATCCTAAACATATGTGCACCCAATACAGGAGCACCCAGATTCATAAAGCAAGTCCTTAGTGACTTACAAAGAGACCTAGACTCCCACACAATAATAATGGGAGACTTTAACACCCCACTGTCAGCATTACACAGATCAACAAGACAGAAAGTTCACAAGGATATCCAGGAATTGAACTCAGCTCTCCACCAAGCGGACCTAATAGACATCTACAGAACTCTCCACACCAAATCAACAGCATATACATTCTTTTCAGCATCACACCACACCTATTCCAAAACTGACCACATAGTTGGAAGTAAAGCTCTCCTCAGCAAATGTAAAAGAACAGAAATTATAACAAACTGTCTCTCAGACCACAGTGCAATCAAACTAGAACTCTGGATTAAGAAACTCACTCAAAACCGCTCAACTACATGGAAACTGAACAAGCTGCTCCAAATGACTACTGGGTACATAATGAAATGAAGGCAGAAATAAAGACGTTCTTTGAAGCCAATGAGAACAAAGACACAACATACCAGAATCTCTGGGATACTTTCAAAGCAGTGTGTAGAGGGAAATTTATAGCACTAAATGCCCACAAGAGAAAAGCAGGAAAGATCTAAAATTGACACCTTAACATCACAATTAAAAGAACTAGAGAAGCAAGAGCAAACACATTCAAAAGCTAGCAGAGCGCAAGAAATTACTAAGATCAGAACAGAACTGAAGGAAATAGAGACACAAAAAAACCTTCAAAAAAATCAATGAATCCAGGAGCTGGTTTTTTTGAAAAGATCAACAAAATTGATAGACCACTAGCAAGACTAATAAAGAAGAAAAGAGAGAAGAATCAAATAGATGCAATAAAAAATGACAAAGGGGATATCACCACCGATCCCACAGAAATATGAACTACCAGAAGGGAATACGATATACGCTTCTATGCAAATAAACTAGAAAATCTGAAAGAAATGGATAAATTCCTCGACACACACACTCTCCAAAGACCAAATCCAGAAGAAGTTGAATCTCTGAATAGACCAATAACAGGCTCTGAAATTGAGGCAATAATTAATAGCTTACCAACCAAAAAAAGTCCAGGACCAGATGGATTCACAGCCAAATTCTACCAGAGGTACAAGGAGGAGCTGCTACCATTCCTTCTGAAACTATTCCAATCAACAGAAAAAGAAGGAATCCTCCCTAACTCATTTTATGAGGCCAGCATCATCCTGATACCAAAGCCTGGCAAAGACACAACAAAAAAGGAGAATTTTAGACCAATATCCCTGGTGAACATCGATGCAAAAATCCTCAGTAAAATACTGGCAAACCGAATCCAGCAGCACATCAAAAAGCTTATCCACCATGATCAAGTGGGCTTCATCCCTGGGATGCAAGGCTGGTTCAGCAGATGAAAATCAATAAACATAATCCAGCATATAAACAACCAAAGACAAAAACAACATGACTAACTCAATAGATGCAGAAAAGGCCTTTGACAAAATTCAACAACCCTTCATGCTAAAAACTCTCAATAAATTAGGTATTAATGGGACGTATCTCAAAATAATAAGAGCTATCTATGACAAACCCACAGCCAATATCATACTGAATGGGCAAAAACTGGAAGCATTCCCTTTGAAAACTGGCACAAGACAGAGATGTCCTCTCTTACCACTGCTATTTAACAGTGTTGGAAGTTCTGGCCAGGGCAATCAGGCAGGAGAAGGAAATAAAGGGCATTCAATTAGGCAAATAGGAAGTAAAATTGTGCCTGTTTGCAGATGACATGATTGTATATTTAGAAAACCCCATTGTCTCAGCCCAAAATCTCCTTAAGCTGATAAGCCACTTCAGCAAAATCTCAGGATACAAAATCAATGTGCAAAAATCACAAGCATTCATATACGCCAATAGCAGACAAACAGAGAGCCAAATCATGAGTGAACTCCCATTCACAAGTGTTTCAAAGCCAATAAAATACCTAGGAATCCAACTTACAAGGGATGTGAAGGACCATTTCAAGGAGAACTACAAACCACTGCTCAATGAAATAAAAGAGGACACAAACAAATGGAAGAATATTCCATGCTCATGGATAGGAAGAATCAATATCATGAAAATGGCCATACTGCCCAAGGTAATTTATAGATTCAATGCCATCCTCATCAAGCTACCAATGACTTTCTTCACAGAATTGGAAAAAACTACTTTAAAGTTCATATGGAACCAAAAAAGAGCCCGCATTGTCAAGTCAATCCTAAGCCAAAAGAACAAAGCTGGAGGCATCACACTGCCTGACTTCTAACTATATTACAAGGCTACAGTAACCAAAACAGCATGGTACTGTTAACAAAACAGAGATATAGACCAATGGAACAGAGCAGAGCCCTCAGAAATAATGCCACATATCTACAACTATCTGATCTTTGACAAAACCTGACCAAAACAAGCAATGCAGAAAGGATTCCCTATTTAATAAATGGTGCTGGGAAAACTGGCTAGCCATATGTAGAAAGCTGAAACTGGATCCCTTCCTTACACCTTATACAAAAATTAATTCAAGATGGATTAAAGACTTAAATGTTAGACCTAAAACCATAAAAACCACAGAAGAAAACCTAGGCAATACCATTCAGGACATAGGCATGGGCAAAGACTTCATGTCTAAAACACCAAAAGCAATGGCAACCAAAGCCAAAATTGACAAATGGGATCTAATTAAACTAAAGAGCTTCTGCACAGCAAAAGAAACCACCATCAGAGTAAACAGGCAACCTACAGAATGGGAGAAAATTTTTGCAACCTACTCATCTGACAAAAGGCTAATATCCAGAATCTACAATGAACTCAAACAAATTTACAAGAAAAAAACAAACAACCCCATCAAAAAGTGGGCAAAGGATATGAACAGACACTTCTCAAAAGAAGACATTTATGCAGCCAAAAAACACATTAAGAAATACTCATTATCACTGGCAATCAGAGAAATGCAAATCAAAACCACAATGAGATACCATCTCACACCAGTTAGAATGGCAATCATTAAAAAGTCAGGAAACAACAGGTGCTGGAGAGGATGTGGAGAAATAGGAACACTTTTACACTGTTGGTGGGACTGTAAACTAGTTCAACCATTGTGGAAGTCAGTGTGGCGATTCCTCCGGGATCTAGAACTAGAAATACCATTTGACCCAGCCTTCCCATTACTGGGTATATACCCAAAGGATTATAAATCATGCTGCTATAAAGACACATGCACATGTATGTTTATTGTGGCACTATTCACAATAGCAAAGACTTAAAACCAACCCAAATATCCAACAATGATAGACTGGATTAAGAAAATGTGGCACATATACACCATGGAATACTATGCAGCCATAAAAAATGATGAGTTCATGTCCTTTGTAGGGACATGGATGAAGCTGGAAACCATCATTCTCAGCAAACTATGGCAAGGACAAAAAACCACACACCACATGTTCTCACTCATAGGTGGGAATTGAAGAATGAGAACACATGGACACAGGAAGGGGAACATCACACACTGGGGACTGTTGTGGGGTGGGGGGACGGTGGAGGGATAGCATCAGGAGATATACCTAGCATTAGGAGTTAATGGGTGCAGCACACCAACATGGCACATGTATACATATGTAACAAACCTGCACGTTGTGCACATGTACCCTAAAACTTAAAGTATAATAATAATAAGAAAAAGAAATAAAGCAAGAAGACAAGGTTAGAGAAAAAAGAGTAAAAAGAAACAAACAAAGCCTCCAAGAAATATGGGACTATATGAAAAGACCAAATCTACATTTGATTGGTGTAACTGAAAGTGATGGGGAGAATGGAACCATGTTGGAAAACACTCTTCAGGATATTATCCAGGAGAACTTTCCAAACATAGCAAGGCAGGCCAACAATCAAATTCAGGAAATACAGAAAACACCACAAAAATACTCCTCAAGAAGTGCACACAAGACTTGTAATTGTCAGATACACCAAGGTTAAAATGAAGGAAAAGGTGTTCAGGGCAGCCAGAGAGAAAGGGCGAGATAGTCACAAAGGGCTGCCCATCAGACTAACAGCTGATCTCTCAGCAGAAACACTACAAGGCAAAACAGAGTGGGGGCCAGTATTCAACCTTCTTAAAGAAAAAAATTTTCAATCCAGAATTTCATATCCAGCCAAACTAAGCTTCATAAGTGAAGGAGAAATAAAATACTTTACAGACAAGCTAATGCTGAGAGATTTTGTCACCACCAAGCCTGCCTTAAAAGAGCTCCTGAAGGAAGCATCAAACATGGAAAGGAACAAGTGGTACCAGCCACTGCAAAAACATGCCAAATTGTAAAGACCATCAATGCTATGAAGAAACTGCATCAATTAACAGTCAAAATAACCAGCAAACATCATAATGACAGGATCAAATTCACACGTTAACAATATTGACCTTAAATGTAAATGGGCTAAATGCCCTAATGAAAAGACACAGATTGGCAAATTGGATAAAGAGCTGAGACCCATCAGTGTGTTGTATTCAGGAAACCCATCTCACATGCAAAGACACACATAGGCTCAAAATAAAGGGATGGAGGAAGATCTACCAAGCAAACGGAGCAAAAAATAAAAAAGCAGGGATTGCAATCCTAGTCTCTGATAAAACAGACTTTAAACCAACAAAGATCAAAAGAGACAAAGAAAGCCATTACATAATGGTAAAGGGATCAATTCAACAAGAAGAGCTAACTATCCTAAATATATATGCACCCCATACGGGAGCACCCAGATTAATAAGGCAAGTCCTTAGAGACCTACAAGGAGACTTAGACTCTGACACAATAATAATGGGAGGCTTTTACACCCCACTGTCAATATTAGACAGATCAACGAGACAGAAGATTAACAAGGATACCGAGGACCTGAACTCAGCTCTGCAACAAGCAGACCTAATAGACATCTACAGAACTCTCTACCCCAAATCAACAGAATATACATTCTTCTCAGCACCACATTGCATTTATCCTAAAATTGACCACATAATTGGAACTAAAGCACTCCTCAGCAAATGTAAAATAACAGCAATCACAACAAACTGTCTCTCAGACCACAGTGCAATCAAACTAGAACTCAGGATTAAGAAACTCACTCAAAACCACACAACTACATGGAAACTGAACAACATGCTCCTGAATGACTACTGGGTAACTAATGAAATGAAGGCAGAAATAAAGATGTTCTTTGAAATCAGTGAGAACAAAGACACAACATATCAGAATCTCTGGGATACATTTAAAGCAGTGTGTAGAGGGAAATTTATAGCACTAAATGCCCACAGGAGAAATCAGGAAAGATCTAAAATCGACACCCTAACATCACAATTAAAAGAACTAGAGAAACAAGAGCAAGCAAATTCAAAAGCCAGCAGAAGGAAAGAAATAACTAAGATCAGAGCAGAACTGAAAAAGATAGAGACACAAAAAACCCTTCAAAAAAGTCAATGAATCCAGGAGCTGGTTTTTTGAAAAGATCAACAAAATTGATAGACTGCTAGCAAGATTAATAAAGAAGAAAAGACAGAAGAATCAAATAGATGCAACAAAAAATGATAAAGGGGATATCACCACTGATCCCAAAGAAATGCAAACTACCATCAGAGAATACCATAAACACCTCTACGCAAATAAACTAGAAAATCTACAAGAAATGGATGAATTCCTGGATACATACACCCTCCCAAGACTAAACTAGAAAGAAGTCAGATCCCTGAATAGACCAATAACAAGTTCTGAAATTGAGGCAGAAATTGATAGCCTACCAACCAAAAAAAGTCCAGGACCAGATGGATTCACAGCCGAATTCTACGAGAGGTACAAAGAGGAGCTGGTACCATTCCTTCTGAAACTATTCCAATCAATAGAAAAAGAGGGACTCCTCCCTACTCATATTATGAGGCCAACATCATCCTGTTACCAAAGCCTGGCAGAGACACAACCAAAAAAAGGAATTTTAGACCAATATCCCTGATGAACATCGATGCAAAAATCCTCAATAAAATACTGGCAAACCGAATCCAGCAGCACATTAAAAAGTTTATCCACCATGATCAAGTTGGCTTATCGCTGGGATACAAGACTGGTTCAACATATGCAAATTAAGAAACATAATCCATCACATAAACAGAACCAATGACAAAAACCACATGATTATCTCAATAGATGCAGAAAATGCCTTCGACAAAATTCAACAGCCCTTCATGCTAAAAAGTCTCAATAAACAAGGTATTGATGGAACGTATCTCAAAATAATAAGAGTTATTTATGACAAACCCACAGCCAATATCATACTGCATGGGCAAAAACTGGAAACATTCCCTTTGAAAACCAGCAAAATACAAGGATGCACCCTCTCATCACTGCTATTCAACATAGTGTTGGAAGTTCTGGCCAGGGCAATCAGGCAGGAGAAAGAAATAAAGGGTATTCAATTAGGAAATGAGGAAGTCAAATTGTCCCTGTTTGCAGATGACATGATTGTATATTTAGAAAACCCCATCATCTCAGCCCAAAATCTCCTTATGCTGATAAGTAACTTCAGTAAATTCTCAGGATACAAAATCAATGTGCAAAAATCACAAGCATTCCTATACACCATCAACAGACAGAGGGCCAAATCATGAGTGAACTCCCATTCACAATTGCTACAAAGAGCATAAAATACCTAGGAGTCCAACTTACAAGGGATGTGAAGGACTTCTTCAAGGAGAACTACAAACCACTGCTCAATGAAATAAAAGAGGACACAAACAAATGGAATAATATTCCATGCTCATGGATAGGAAGAATTGATATTGTCAAAATGGCCATACTGCCCAAAGTAATTTATAGATTCAATGCCTTCTCCATCAAGCTACCAATGTCTTTCATCACAGAACAGGAAAAAACTACTTTAAAGTTCATATGGAACCCAAAAAGAGCCCGCATTGCCAAGACATTCCTAAGCAAAAAGAACAAAGCTGGAGGCATCACACTGCCTGACTTCAAACTATACTAAAAGGCTACAGTGACCAAAACAGCATGGTACTGGTACCAAAACAAAGATATAGACCAGTGGAAGAGAACAGAGGCCTTAGAAGTAACACCACACATCTACAACCATCTGATCTTTGACGAACCTGATAAAAACAAGAAATGGGGAAAGGATTCCCTATTTAATAAATGGTTTTGGGAAAACTGGCTAGCCATATGTAGAAAGCTGAAACTGGATCCCTCTCTTACACCTTATACAAAAATTAATTCAAGATGGATTAAAGACTTAAACGTTAGACCTAAAACCATGAAAACCATAGAAGAAAACCTAGGCAATACCATTCAGGACATAGGCATGGGCAAAGACTTCATGACTAAAACACCAAAAGCAAAGGGAACAAAAGCCAAAATAGACAAACGGGAAATAATTAAACTAAAGAGCTTCTGCACAGCAAAAGAAACTACCATCAGAGTGAACAGGCAACCTACAGAATGGGAGAAAATTTCTGCAACCTACCCATCTGACAAAGGGCTAATATCCAGAATCTACAAAGAACTCAAACAAATTTACAAGAAAAACAACCCCATGAAAAAGTGGGTGAAGGATATGAACAGACACTTCTCAAAAGACGACATCTATGCAGCCAACAGACACATGAAAAAATGCTTATCATCACTGATCATCAGAGAAATGCAAATCAAAACCACAATGAGATATCATCTCACACCAGTTTGAATGGCAATCATTAAAAAGTCAGGAAACAACAGATGCTGCAGAGGATGTGGAGAAATAGGAATGCTTTTACACTGTTGGTGGGAGTATAAATTATTTCAACCATCGTAGAAGACACTGTGGTGATTCCTCAAGGATCTAGAACTAGAATTACCATTTGACCCAGCCATCCCATTACTGGGTATATACCCTAAGGATTATAAATCATGCTACTATAAAGGCACATGCACACATATGTTCATTATGGCACTGTTCACAATAGCAAAGACTTGGAACCAAATGTCCATCAATGATAGACTGGATTAAGACATGTGGCCCATATACACCATGGAATACTATGCAGCCATAAAAAAGGATAAGTTCATGTCCTTTGTAGGGACATAGATGAAGCTGGAAACCATCATTCTCAGCAAACTCTCACAAGATCAGAGAACCAAACACCGCATGTTCTCACTCATAGGTGGGAAATGAAGAATGAGATCACTTGGACACAGGTCAGGGAACATCACACACCGGGGCCTGTCAGGGGCTGGGGGATTGGGGGAGGGATAGCATTAGGAGAAATACCTAATGTAAATGATGAGTTGATGGGTGCAGCAAACCAACATGGCACATGTATACCTAGGTAACAAACCTACACGTTGTGCACATGCACCCTAGAATTTAAAGTGTAATTAAAAAAAATTACTTCTATCAATGATGCTCTGCAAAGTAACTCTCCCGTGTAAGAAGGCTGGTTAGTAATCGAGTCAGAGGGGGAGCTGGAAGTAGGTCAACATGGTTAATTAGAGAAACAGTGAAAAAGCTGGTCCTGTATACCATAGTGTTTTGCTGATGTTTATTCAAAAGGCTAATGAGGCAGTAAAAGAAATTGTACTTTAATCAGATTATATAAATGCTCATTACCAAGTTAAATTTTATATGATTTAATCATTTATTCAGCAAATATGTTTTGGAATTTTTCCAGACAATGAGAATACTGCAGTTAACAAGACAGAGACCCTATCTCATAGAGTTAAATTCTGGTAGAAAAGACAGAATACAAAGTAAATATATAACTTTAAGTAGTGGTAATAGCTATTAAGAAAAGCCTTGTAAGGGATGAGGTAACAACTGGTGCTGGTTGACAGGATGAGCAGAAAAGACCATTATAAAGTAGAAATATCTCAACAAAAAAATAATTTTGCAAGGAAGCTTTCAATGTGGAGATTTGGAGACAATATATTCTGACAGACAAAACAAAAATGCAGATGTTAAAGCCTTGGGGTGGACTAAACTTGAACATTTAAACAAACAGCAAGAAGGCTGGCATGGCTGCAGAAGAGTTAGCAAAAGGAGAGTCGGGTAGGAGGTAGGAGTAGAGGCAAGGGCCAAATTGTGTACATTTTTGAGGACATATCAGGATGTTACACTGTATTTCCAAACACTTAGGTCAACTCATTGAAAATTTTTTCACTGGGGGAAAAATAACATGATTTGTTGTTGCTGCTGCTGCTGCTGCATAAAAAGGCTGTACGTGGGACAAAAGTAGAAAAAGGTAAGATGATTTAGGAGTCTGTGGAGAGGTCCAAATCATAGAAAATAGTAATATGGGCAAAAGTGACAATAAAGGAAACAAAAGGGGTCATCAGACTATGGATACATTTTAAAGCGACAACTAACAAAATATGTGGGCAAAGTAAGAAAGAACAAGAACACAAAGATGACTTCTAGGACTGAAAAACAGTATCTGATGATGCTGTTACTGAGATGGGGATCAGTGTGGGAGCAGCAGGCTTGGAGGGGGCCTTCAAGCTCAACTGTGGTTTGTTAAATTTGTCTATACAGGTGGAGATGTTTAGTAGAGGTTTAGCTATATCATGCATGAACTGAGAGGAAAGGCAAGACTGGTGGGAAAAAAATTGGAACTCATGATTTAATAAGTGGAATATTCTAAAAAACAAAAATGCTACCATTCGTAGGAAGAGGAGAGAATGTGTTTGAAGGTAAGGTGTGAGATACTTTACTTTCTTTGTGTGAAATGGAATGTCCACCAAGAAATTAAATGGCAAGATTTGTGGTAAGCATCCACAACAAATATTTCATAATATTTATTGAGTTTAAAACTATTCACAAATGTGTCTGGCTAGTTGGACAGATTACCAGATCAACAGCACCCCAAGTTCTCTTAGCATGATCAACTCTTAGTAAAGTACAAAAATTTGTACCAATTTTCTACCAATTAATCAGGGTTGGTGACTTGCCCCTCCCCAGCTTTAATAAGGTATAATTGACAATTTAAATTTATATGTATTTCAGGTGTACAACTTGATGACTCTATACACACACACACACACACACACACACAGCAAAATAATTATTTTTTGATGAGAATACTAAAGGTCTCTCCACTTAAATAATACAGCATTGTTAACTATAGTTGCATTATTGTACATTAGGTCTCCAGAACTTATTCATCTTGTATAACTGACACTTTTTACCTCTTTACCAGTATCTCTCTATTTTCTGCCCCCCCTGCCCCACCCCCACCCCTGGCAACCACCCCACTATGCTCTGCTTCAATGAGTTTGACTATTTTACATTTCACATATAAAGTGATGTATTAATACAAAGACAAAATACAGAAGGAAAACTGCCTCAAGGAAAAAGTACAATTCGAATTTTAGATGAGTTTTTCTTATGTAAAAATAGGCTAGAATATTTATAGAAAATCTATTGATAACAAAAAACACATTATAATAACAGTAGATCCACAATGAAACTTTAATGATTTATTTAATGTATTACATATTGTCAAGAGACTTTAATAAATGTGTTCTATTGCCCATTAATGTACTATGCAGAAACAAAACGATTTAATATATTTTCTTAAAATGTTTCTATGTCTTCTTGGCCAAAATGTTAAAATAACTTGTAACTCTAAATATTTCTTCTATTACAGCCTAAAGTCACAGAATCTATTTTTGCAAACTTGTTAATATATGCATATTAAGCAATTCTAATACTTATATTTAAGAAATAAATTAATATTAGTTCTATATGTTAACATTCTAACTTTAAACAGCTGACTTTTGCATCTTATATATAAAAATTTTATAGTAAACAAAGAAAAACCCAGAAAAAAATAAATTATAGTTAAATAAGAAAACAAAACACTAACAGTAAAGTAGTGGGTAGTCCAATTAATTTCATGGATTTTACCAACAATACTAGTGAAATATATAAATCAGTTTAAATAAACTTGGAGTGGAAAAAATCTTTTGTAAACAATACATTTTGGTTATAAATTCACACTAGTAATTTCATAGCAAATGTATAACACATGTACCACCATGAAGTCAAGGCATGCTGTAATCTGTAATCAGACTGCTTTGTGAATTTACTATAACAGAATGATTAGACACTGGATTTAATCATGCCATGTCTGGGATTTGGCATTCTATCAATTGTAGCCCAGCTGCCAGTCCTGCCACAGTGATAGAAACTTACCAGTTTTTTTGTAATAAGGCATGTCTGCAGCTATGTCTTTTATTATGATAGAGAGAGGGAGAGAGACAGAGGTAGGGAGAGAGAAACAAGTATGTACATCACCTGCATTTGCAGAGATGGCATGACTCTCATAATTAGAAGCTTTTCTTACATACTTTACTACCCAATTGTGTCTATTTGAGTAGTAAGCACCATGAACCCAAGAAATGGGTGTCCATAAAGTTTTTATGATCATACTAATTCTAATAAATTCAGATGAGGATGCACTAATACTCAAAAAGTTCAAATTGTGTTATACTTCAGTATACAGTAGCTTGCTATTTCATTATGTACTCAACTTTCCAAGTTCTCAAGTTTTATAAGTGTGTGTGTGTGTGTGTGTAATTATAGAAATATGCTTATTATAACAAATTTTATTTTGTGGCCAAATAGTATACATTGAAATATACCAAGTGGATGCATCCAATGTCTATAGAAGAATTAATTCTTCTAGGGTAAGATGTTGATATGCCTGTTTTCAACCTCACCAAAATTCCAAACTGGGTAAGTTGCATCATATTTTCTTTCTGAAAACTAACTTCTAGAATAGCGATGCCACTAATGGAATAACAGAAATGTTGCAAAGGAAAACTGAGTGGAAAGGAATATTATAATTCTGTTTGGAAATTTTAGAATTTCCAATGACATTACATTATACAGGTGAAGGTTGAGATGACAATGTGATTATCTTACTGGTGTTCCTAAATAGGACAAACAATGCAAGCTGCTATAATAAGAAATCTGAAAATTTTATAGCTTTATATTTTTTTAAAAAATGTATTCTTTGTTTAAATGCAGTAATTCTTGTTGGCAAGTACTTCATGTAATTTAGGAGGTATACTCTTTACATCTGTGGCTCTGACCTTGTCCAGTATTTCCATTCAGATGATGAATAAAGATTAGGATATTTAAATATGGTAGAGAAGACTTTAAGAAGTTGGATTTTGAAATGACATATAATCACTCTTGCCTACATTCTATTGTGCAAAACTCTAGGGAGGCTGGGAAATATCATCTACATTTATGCCCATGAGTAAAAGGTGAACACATAGCTATCTGTGTTGTATTTTGTTTGGTTGAGATGTAAAGAACTGTAATGTGAACTTGGGCATAGAAGACCACCAAAATAATAATGGGTATTTTGAAAAAATGGGTGTACATGAAAAAGCCAGAGTTTAAAACTGTTTCTTATGATGCTGTGGTACTCATGTGACAAGAGCAGATGTAATTTTTAAGTATATTAGTATTAATCATTTAAAATATTAACCATATTGGCCGGGCACAGTGGCTTATGCCTGTAATCCCAGCACTTTGGGAGGCCAAGGCGGGCGGATCATGAGGTCAGGGGTTTGAGACCAGCCTGACCAACATGGTGAAACCCTGTCTCTAATAAAAATACAAAAATTCATCAGGCTTGGTGGCACACGCCTGTAGTCCTAGCTACTCAGGAGGCTGAGGCAGGAGAATTGCTTGAACCCAGTAGGCAGAGGTTGCAGTGAGCCAAGATCATGCCATCGCACTCCAGCCTGGGTGACAGAGCAGTACTCCACCTCTCTCTCTCTATATATACACACACACACACACACACACACACATATGTGTATATATACACATGTATATATACACACATATATGTATATATAGATACACACATATATGCATATATATGTGTATATATATATAAATCATATTAAGTATTTTTGCTAAGTAAATGAAATCAATACACTGAACTGGTTGAAGGGATTCAAGTTCTTTTCTCTTATTTTATTCTATCAGTTACTCCTACTTCAAAGAAAACATACCATTTAAAAAAATTAAGTTTATTTCTTCTAGTTTGGACATCTCTGGAGATGTAGTTCCATATTATATTTTCAGGAAAGGGCTATTCAATTTAAATCTTACTTTCCACAATGATAAATACTTCTGCTATAATTTATTCATAAATTATTCTTTGTTAGAGTAAATCAAACTATGCAAAATGAGAAGCAAGCCATATTGTTTGGCAAGTCACACAAACATAATTCATAAAAATATATATTCAGCATTTCAAATTAACTATCACAAAACGTAGCTACTGCATATAACAAACATGTGGGGCAATTCTCTACACAAAACATTTCACAGTAAATATTGTTAACTGAGATTTATACTTGAAATTGTACCTCAAAGTCTTTTTCAAAATTTTTTTTCAGTAAATGAGTGTATTTTTTAATTGGCACATTTTAATATCCTCAATGTTCACTTCAATTATAGACACATTACTCTGACAGATGTTTCCATGGGAAATGTTTATTTCACTATTAGCAGAGGAATATCTGCTGCTGGAGAGAAAGAGATGGGCCATTTTATTTCCCCAATTCTTAAATAGATCAGTGGTCCATCATCAAAACTGTCTACCGTCCATTTTAGACAAACATTTTTATATTATTAGGAATGGGCAACCATTTTCTTAATGTTCCCTGAAATTCCAACTGTGTTTCATTCAAATACATGAACTTTAAATTTTTTTTTACAATTCTACAATCTTTGTCCTGTATCCATACAATTCAGAAATAATATAGATGAGACAGAAGACTTATAAATCATTTTATAATGATTATAAATGTAAAAAGAACATCCACAATTCAATATACAATCAACCTTTTTACTTATCCATCTGAAAATAACTTCAGACTTGGAAGAGACTTTTCTCCTTATGAATTAAAGGTTAGCAATACATCTGCTGTTGTCTTGAATTCTGTGATTGCACAGAGAAGTTTTATTGTGACCTACTTTTTATCTTCCAAAGAGTTTTAAAGGAAATTACATTGCATAATCCACGGCATTTATACTTTTCTATCACTTATTAGGAAAACCTCACTACATGAGCTCTCGTGTAGTGAATACCTTAGAAGTAATGAACATTTTCTAATAATTAAAATCTAATGCTTCCAATATAAAGACAGTGAAATACGATTAACTCTCTAACAAACTGTGCCATAAAACTAAAAAGGAAAACAGTCTAAATTACCATTACTTCCAGCAGCAGAATATCTAAACATAGCAGAAATAAAACTGTATTGAGTCCATGTGCTTTTGTCTATGCCAAATAAGAGTTAGTAGCATTGTTTTTCCAAAGCAAAAATGATTTTTCCACCCAAAGTAAATATTACATCTTTTTACTCCATATATTGTTTCCCCTGTGAGTTATGAGTAGTTCCCAAGAAGACTAGAAGATAAAACATGTTTAGAACTTTAAGAGACAGTGATTCCTTCAAGGACTTTAAGTACTTCATAGTAACAGCTGCTTTTACACAGGTGAAGTGATTATTGCAGCAGGAAGGTTAACGACTGAAAGGGCTCTCAATTCTGTTTACATAAATTCGAATCCCACTCAATAACTTAACAGCTATGTGACTTGAACAAGTTATTTAAACTCTACATTCTTCATCTGTAAAATGTAAATAACTATAATACCTAAATCATAGTGATAGCAATAGGAGGCAGACACTTTCCTTGGCAGACAGGGATTGGTCTCTGGTGAAACTTGACCTTCAAGCCAAGGCCAGACTGAAGCCTTAACACCAAACTACCAGTTCCAGATAGAGTCCACTGACCCGAGTGAGAACTTCCATTCCCCTTCAGTGTGCTCAGCCCATGACTGGTCCTGGGCCAAGCCTCCACTTCAGCCCCCACTTCAGCCCCCGATTGGCTCTTTACACTATCATACCTCTTTCTGAATGGTGCTTTTTCCAAGCCTACCTATAAACCAATCAGCATGCGTTTCCCGACTCAGCCTCACAACTGGCAATCCACTTACAGGTACCCACTTGCTGCTGAGAGCTTTCTTTCTGTTGCTAAATAAAATTATACTCTGCCTTGCTTACTCTCTGGTGTCCACATACCTCACTCCTCTTGGTTATGAGACAAGAACTTGAAACTTGCAAACTGTGGGAGTGAAAGAGCAGTAACATTCCCTCCCACTCACTGAGCTATGGCACTCAAGAAGCCACAACAATAGGATTTTGTAACAGTCTCAGAACAGTACCAGATACATAGTAAACTCTTGTTATCAATTTACTATGTATCAGGTAAGAGAAAAAAGGATTGCAGGAGAATACAAAAGAAATAAACCTAGCATCATCCATTTTTTTGGACCATTGAAAATAAGCTATATTACACATTCATTTTCTTTTTCATTCAGTAATATTTTAACTCATAGTCTGTATCAAGCAGTTTGCCGGGGACTGTGATCCTAGCAGTGAAAAAGACAGAAATGGTCCAGCTGTCAGAAAAATGACCACCATTAGAAAGTGTTATACAACTGTATGCAATTAAAAGTAAAAATTGCATTGAAGCAACCCCTAGATGCTATAAACCTTTACAGCTAATAACAATAGTAATGTGTCTATTTTAATCAACAGTTGCCCTACATTTGTTATGTCTAATCTTCACAACAATCCATAGGGTACACACAATACCCATGTTGTAAGTAAGGACCTTGAGATTGCACAAAATATAATGGCTTCTCTGAGTTCACATATCTGGTACAGTAAGAGAAAAAATTCACATTTCATTCTTTATTCTCTCTACTAGCTGTTACAAAGCAAAGGGCACTTTTGCTGAGGTGCCTTGCTTCCGTACCAGCATATTTTTCTTTCTGGGCATTTTCTTCTCTCTCAGGGAAACATTCTCTATTTTCACCCTAAATCAACAACATGAATTCATCAACTAAGCCATTGGTTCTCAAACTTGCTTCCCTCTTACAAATTACTAATGCTTTGGTGAGAGATTCTTACTTAGTCACTGTGCGGTGTCACCAGGGTATTAAAACATTTTAATCACCTCTCCAGGTGATTTTAACATATTGTGTGGTTGGAAACCAAGGAACTGAGATGTAAATGACTGCTTGGGTGGTGCTTAAAACAGGAATCAGAGATTTAAATAAAAGGGATTAAGTTATAAATAATCTCTCAAAGTAGCAGGTGGCTGGAAAAAAAATGTAAGAGAAAACAAAGACAATATCATAGAGATTTTAAAATCTGCAGTTATGCTAGAGAAGAGAAGAAAAGCTACATTGAGGGCTGGGTGGCAGGAAAGAAAGAGATTCAGGGGGTTATAATTCAGTGTTGACCTGTTGTGACAAAGGACTGAGAATGGAGTTTCCTCATTTGTAAAACTTGTTATTCACATTTGTAAAATGTGAGATTTACCTGTAAGATCTTTAAAAACACCTAGCATGTAAAAGTACTGGTTACATGTTAGTATGGGTGGATCAGGTTTTGGTGGGGCCATTTATATAATTTGGGAGAGTATGATGAAAAATACAAGAATAAAAAATTACAAATTCAGAATTATATACATTTCTGTTATTTGTATTAAACATGAAAAATCACAAACAACAAATATCACAAACAAAATCTAGAAAATATATTGTGTGTTGATTAATTGCCTGATATACTCTAACATGTTTCTACATGTTTGGCTACATACACTTTAATGGTCCTTTCACATAAATTACTTTTAATAGTTACTATAAAGAATAATAAGATAATTCATGAAAACTATTTTGTTAATATCCATAGTTTTAACAAGGTATTGATAAGATACAAAATTTCCCCATATGATTCTATAGGTTTTATGATTAGAAGAATTTCCCACAAACTAGTTTCTGGCCTCACACACTTCAAACTTGTATTTCCTTTACTACACACATATTTTGGCGCTGAGAGCCATAGGACAAATGCACATTTCAGTACAATTTCTAGCCCTGTCATAATGCCTTGGTAGATTTGCACAGTAAGCAGAAGTATTCCTGAAAGCTATTAATAACTGGGACAGCTCACAATTCTTTAGCTGTACACCAAAGTTTCCATGAACCATTTAACTACATTCTTCTAAACCCAAAATACATATCTCTCAAACTCAACTTTACCTTCACTGGATCCGAATAATGCCTGTGGCCAATCCACAGGAATTTTACTAGGAGAAGTATGATGGAAAGGCAAGTCATACAGGGAAGCAACAGTCTCAAATGATTGCAGTTCTTATACTACTTCTTAAAATGTGACCAAAAATGCATAACTTGTAAGAGACCTATATAAGCAAGGGATCCTAAAGATTAAGTTTTATTATATTCATGGCAAATCCATTTCTGAATATTAGCCATTTTTTTCAGTAGCAGCTCTATAATTTCAATAAAGGGTAGATAATTTTGTCAGAAGAGGTGGATAAGTGACCAATATTAGTAAATGCCATTCTAAGCATTTTACACATATTAATAAATTTGTTTTACAGCAACCTTATTATGTATTTTTCTTATTATCCCCATCTCTCAAATGAGGAAAGTGAGGCCCACAGAGGTCAATGGACTTAAATCACACAGAGAGTAAATGGCAGAGGCGTAAACTCTCTATCATGTTACGTTTATGCAGCCAACCTCTCAGATTATTCTTGAGACTAAAAATGCATTCCCTTTTACCTAAGTTTTAAGGAACTGTCAAATATTTCAAACATCTGAACAGGGAGTTGAATATTATAGAAATCCGCTTGATGGAAATGAAAGACAAGGTAAATCTACAGGGTCAGTGTGGGAGTCTACCACATACTATTCAGGTAGCTCAAACAAATAAATAACGTTGTAAGCCTGACAAGTGAAAAGGAAACAACTAAAAGAAATGGCAAGCAAAATGAAAACTGAGTCAATTTTCTACCATGTGTCAAAGCAGGAATGCATTTTTAATGTGACTTACTAAAATATATAGGATCAATTAGCAAGGCAAATTCCATTTCTATTTGTTTAGGATGAACATACAATAATGTAAAAAAATTATAAATGCAATCAAAGAGGTTAGAAATGATGAAATGTAATATCAATTATGGTATGTCCAATTGGAAGTTAAAATGTGAAGTATGATTGTTGTGGACAGTTGTATACATTCAAAACAAGATTTATAATGGTTATGCTGAGGACGTGGTTTGAGAGGATAAGAGGAAAATTTGAATTGAATTTAGTATGAATATTACTCTGAGATAAATTTAGCAAAGTAATTCCTATTTATCTTAACTCAGCTCAGAAGTTGGGAGACAAAATCAGATGCATCAGACCCTGATACATTGGATGTGCACATGCATACACATAAAAACAACATTCATACAACCTATGGTAGCATTTATTATTATCTATTTTAATTGCTTATTTATTTCTCTATCTCACCCAATCCATGGTGACCTTGTAAATGGCAGATCTTATTTTTTTGGTGCTGTGATCCTGTCATGTGGAAGAAGTTCAGTAAAATACTAAATGATGAATGAACAAATGAATAAAGTGAAGACATGTAAAACTTCACATCCTACTTCATATTAATTACAAGTTTTAAGGCTAGCATCACTGAACACTGCACTAAACAACAGCCACCAATGTGACTCATAAATCATTCTTATAAATATCATCTGCTATTACCTACCTTTTGAACATCTGGAACACTTTTACACTCATAATATTTATCATACCCATTCATACAACAAATATATATTGTGTACCTACTAAGTGATAGACATTGTTTCAGGCAACAGTAAAAATTGTCGAACAAAATCACTGTAATTTTTTGCTATATTTATAGACATATTATTCCTGTCTAATCTCTTATATTAACAACTTCTTATGGCCTACTCAACACTCTATCACTTAAGGTCTACTAACTCATCTTAAACATAACAAGTTCACTTGTCAATTGGTAAATGAATTTTAATTGAACAAAATGTAGATTATATATTGAGACCTTCTAACTCAAATTCATTGAGAATGCATATATTTATGCCAACATTGGCCCTATGAGGACTATTTTCTCCCCCAAGGAACAGTCCTTCCTGAAAAATTTTTATTTGTACATTGCTGCTACAGAAATAGGAGCCTGTGTTTTAACAAAGGATGTGATCTTGTAGAAACTTTCTCCTGGGATATCATACCATAGATATGCAAGGATCTATGATCTGCAGATACTGAGGTAGCCAAGCACCAAATAATGTCACTTAATTTTTGAGCATCTGCTGGTATCAATAGCTTCCTCATTTAAGTCTCTGGGAATCACAATACATTATCTCCTATTGTTTCTGAGATTTGAAATTCTGATTTCTCCATCAGCTTAAGTAGCTCATTTCTAGGCTATGAAAAAATACCCTAACTTTACTTCTAAAATCCTTTTTTGGTTTGTTTCAAAAGAGGTTTTTACATTTTTTTATTTCAAAATTACTGTGATTTAAAACATACACTTTTGAACATTTAAACTCTCAATTTACTAGCTCTGTCTTAAAGTTCCTGCCATTCAAGTCTTGCCAAATGTCTTTGTGTTTGTTATTTTTAAAATGGATGCTGTCTTTTCTAATAGTACCAAAAAATTTGGGGGTGGAGGTTGTGTTTATTTGTTTTGACTTTACCTCCCCACTTTTCCCTAAATCAAATAGTTTTATAATTTTATTGATATTTACAGTTTAGTTCGTTCCTTCTAGGAATAATACATGAAAAAAAACAAGTTAAAAAGAAAAACTATAGTCTTTAAAACTATTATTGCTAGCAATTTAGAATATTGAGAAACAAATTCATTTTAATTCTTACCACCCCTCCTATTTTGAAGGACATATAACGTATATTGCAACATATAATTCTATTGAGAAAAGTGTTGTCTTTTTGTGTAAAACTCTTTACATTAATAAACCCCTTACACATCTATAGGTAGAACTTTGAGTAACTTTCCTTTACCCTATAGGAAATTGGACAAATTGATTCTAAAAATTAGGTGTTTTACAATACTTTATCTACTTCAAATTGCTTATTTCTTCTCCAAGTAGCTGCCAAATTATTATTTTGAGGGAAGTAAATGAAGAAATTTGAATATGTAACTTTGGGCAAGTTGGTGGACTTTTCAAAGTCAAGCATTAAAACATTTTCTCATCTTCCATTTCTATGTTCTTACATGTCCAAATATTGAGGGCTGCATATTCATTAAGATTAAAGTGTATCTGTTGATAGGTGTTTATCTTTATTAATTTTAGTATTTTCACCTAATGAAAGGATTACTGTAACAATTTTGATAATGCTAAAATAATTTAGGCCCTGGATTACATTATGGAAACCTTACTCATTCCTTAAAAGGACTTAATTATCCATTAGTAGCAAGGGTAAAATTTATTTGTCCTACGTGAGTAAAGACAAGAAGTTCATTATTTTCATATTTCATTGCCTGAATCAAAGGTGCTAATGAGATACCTTAAGGCAATTCCACATGTAAGAAAATTCCTAGAATTTAACAAGATATTTAACATTAGGTGAAAAAAGAAGGTTAAAAAAAAAGAAGCCAAAACTCAAGTGACATCGTAAAATGGTACCTTGGAGAAATCACTTGTACTTTAGTAATTTAGAAAGGTCTATCTCATTCATAGCAAGCAAAAGTAAAAATAAACTTTCATGCTGTGCTCAAGAACAGCTCAAAAAACATTTTATACAGCATACTATGATAAATTGGACTGAAATTCAGAGTTAACATGTGACCTTTCAAACTAGAAATATAAGAACAAAAATGCAAAATTAAAGTATTGTGTTGCTGAGCACCTTCATTAGCAAATTATTTTGCTAAGTACAAACACTGAGTACCTTATTTAGAAAATTGGCTCCAACAAAGGAGAAAAAAAAATTGGTAATGTGTGTGTTCTGTGTGTGATTTCTTTAAAATTTCTTCTTAATCAACATTTTTAGCTACTTTAGGAGTACTACTAAAGTATAAAGTACTAGATACTACTAAGGCTACTGTTGTAATGGTACTAAAGGAAGATAAAGTAATATATAGTTATTAAGTATAAGGTATTATTTTCTATTTATATTTGGGAGTGACCAACTAAGGATATGTTCATTAAAAGTGAATGCAGATTCTTATTTACACAGATTGAAAAGAGCAAGACAAGACGTGAAAGGAGAAACTTAAGGAACACTACTAATTAGGTTAAACACAACAACAGACAGAAATGGTGACCAGAGAGGCAAATATCAAGGAGGACCAAGTTACAAGATAGAAGTAATGTAATCCAAGGGAAATTAGAGTGTGACAGCCTGAGTGGTTAGAGTCTCAAATGTTTTAGAGCAATCAAATAAGAAAGAAATTATCAGGTAGAAAGAGTTGTTAGTGTCTTGGGTGAAAAGTGTTCTCTGTAGAGCTATAGGTTGCATTGACTTGAACTCATGATAGAATCGACTCAATCATGTCATACAAGAGGCTTCTCAGGGAGGCCTCTTCTGACTTTTCCATTTAAAAGGGCCCCTAAACAGAACTTAAGCCCTTTCCCTGCTTTCGTTTTTCTCCATGCTGCATTTGACAGACTATGTTTTACTTGTTTATTGTCATCTGCTCTTACAAGGATAACAGCTCCTTGATGATGTGAATCTGTTCACTATTTATCCCTAGTGTTTAAAACAGTGTTTGGCACACAGTAGACAATAAACATCTACTGAAAGAATGAATGAAATTTAAAAAGAAAATCACTGTAAGTGAAATCGTTCTTTTATAAAGACTTTCATAGCCTGGCGCAGTGGCTCTCACCTGTAATCTCAGCACTTTGAGAGGCCAAGGCTGGCAAATCACGAGGTTGGGAGTTCAAGACCAGCCTGGCCAGCATGGTGAAACTGTCTCTACTGAAAATACAAAAAATTAGCTGAGCGTAGTCACAGGCACCTGTAATCCCAGCTACTTGGGAGCCTGAGCCAGGAGAACTGCTTGAACCCAGGAGGCAGAGGTTGCAGTGAACCAAGATCCCACCACTGCGCTGCAGCCTGGTGATGGAGTGAGACTCAGTCTCAAAAAAAAAAAAAAAATCTGTTTTTATGCAAAAGCCAAAGAGCCAATAGAAATGACAAGTGAGTTTGAACATAGAAGAAAAAAAAAATCAGTTGATGTCGGAATATCCAGGAGATGGAAAGGAGAGAATATTGGTCATGGGAGTCTTAGAATAAGTGTCAAAATTAACCTTGACTAGAAGGAGAAACACTTCGCATAGCAGGGAACATTTCAGTATGGACGAATTTGAATGTGGATGTTTCTTAGCAAAAATGGTGGTTAAAAATTTCAGAGAATTGTTATGCATATTATGTCTGCGATGGTTTAAAATATCTGTGGCAAGATTAAAAAAAGTCTTCTAGTGCCATGCAGAAGAACATAAGAGGACTGAAGACTGTAGCCAATAAGTAGACTTCTATTTTCAAATGTTTGGAATGTAGGAAAGGAAATGAATAGGTTAATGTCTTTATTGGTTAAAAAGTTGAAAGACTTCTCTTTGTTGTTGTCATTGTCATTTTTGGGGCATTTAAGAGGAATGCTTAGAGCATGAAAAGATGAATTCAATGAATAGGAGCAGCAGAAGTGCAATTTTAGATACATAACATTTTTAAATAAATTAGTATGCTTTTCTTGTGCACAAATACATGGGCATAAACTTCCCCCCATTCCCTTGTAAGTACCATTACCTTGGAGGGGGTTAAGATTGCTAGAGCTGAAATGAAAAGCAAAGGAAAGACTTAATAAACAATTTTGCCTTCCAAATAGGTTTCTTAAGCCAATTTCATTGCTAGCCAGCCAAAGCTTTTGATTTGTATGGATAGAACTAGTCAAGAAGAAAAAAACAGGAGGAAGATCAAGGATCAACAAGCAAAACCTTAAAGAAAGAAAACATTGGATTTATTCATAAACCTAGTTTTATGAGATAGACAAAGAACAATATTTAAAATCAGAGAAAGAAGAGACCCCCCAACCTAAGTGGACCATTCTTGATAGTAAAGGAAATATCAATAAGAATACACCACTTATTTCTTTCTTTTTCTTTTTTTTTTCTTTTTCCCCATGAGAAGGTACTTTTATTGCTTGTATTTAACAAATGAGAGAAGTGAGGCATTACCCAATAATCTGGCCAAAGTAGACACCTCCCACTCCCATAATTATTTTTTTTTTTAATATACTTTAAGTTCTAGGGTACATGTGCACAACGTGCAGGTTTGTTACATATGTACACATGTGCCATGTTGGTGTGCTGCACCCATTAACTCATCATTTACATTAGGTATATCTCCTCATGCTATCCCTCCCCCCTCCCCCCACCCCCCAACAGGCCCCGGTGTGTGATGTCCCCCTTCCTGTGTCCAAGTGTTCTCATTGTTCAATTCCCACCTATGAGTGAGAACATGTGACTTCTTTCAAGAACAAGTACTGTCTACACTAGTAGCAGGATGAGGGAGGCACTGCCTGTGCTGAGGAGCTACTGAAGCAGTCTGTATTGCGCACTGCGAAGGTGAAGGTACCTCTGCAGATGCTTGCATAATGCTTGCCAATTTTCAGCAGGATAAATTCCCTTCATAAACCCCAACTGGATAATGTCTTCCTTAGTACTCTATGATATTTACATACTCTCCAAATAGGATAAGGTCCTGGATAACCAGAGGGGACATTTGAAAGTGGAGGGAAGGGGAAAGTTCTTACCATAGGCCACTGGACTTGGATGGAAATAAACAGAGCCAGTTCCAGAGTCCTCATGCCCCAGGACCATGGCAGTGTTGAGGCCTATTCCAATTAGACTTTTGAAAAAGAAGACACTTATTATAAAAATATCCTAAAAGGGCCAATGAAATTAAGAGCAAAGATATGTATGCTGAATCATATATGAGAAAGTAGAAATACTTCCTCAAAGGCGAGAAGGAATCAAAGGGAATTGAAATTCAGAGGAGAAAATTCTAAAAATTAGGAAACCAGCTGGATTGTAACAACATTCACTCAAATATAAGAGACTAGAAAGCTAGTGCTGGGTAGAGTAGTGGTTCTATTCTTTGGCATTTGAAACATACATAGAATCTTTAAAACAGATCTGCATGTGATATGACATGCTGTAAATAGGACATCATTAAAAAGGTCTAGCTGATGTTAGGTAGTATAAATTTGCAGTTTAAAATATCAATTAATTACCAAATTATAGCAACATTCACTATGGTTCCATTTATTTTGGTTTAATTTATTTTCCCAGTAACAGATGTCCATGTAATTTGATGGTTGCCAAGTCACATTAATCTGTTTTGATAATAATTGTGGGGCTTATTTTAAAATATGGTTTGTTTTATTGGACATAAACTGAATATTTAAACGTTGCTAAATGAACATTTTTTTAATGAGGGTACAATATTCCAGTGAAATTACTCATACTTCTCCCATCTGTTATGCAAAAAATTTCAGGCTTACAAAATTTTAGTATATATAAATACTTGACTTCTAACATTTGCCTATATACCATGATTTACTAGATTGTTACTTTAAATGAAAAGAAAGAATAAAATGAAAATGGAACCAGCAGGAACTGACAAGTTTTATTAGCCCAGAGAGACATTATACAGAAATGTCAAACTGACCACCTACTGAAAAGGGCTGGAACTTTCACTTCTCTCTAAATGTCACCAGCTTGCTCAAGTAAACACTAAGGATTGATGTAGCTAGCAGCCTTATATGATGTTCTTTTAAAGTTATCCATATTTCATTCACTTTTTTTTCCTCCAAACTTCAAGTCACACTGCATTTTATTTTGCTTTCTCCCTAGTGGCATGCAATAAAACTCCTGCTTTCTTCTCGCAGATAAACTTCCTCTTGATCAAGGCCTTCACTACACTCTTCCAACACTTCAGGGCCTGCTTCAACTCAACATGACAAGACACATGATTTGAAGCAGAATTTTAGATCAGAGATTTATCTTGGCTACATATGTAGCCCTTGAGCAAGTCTCAGTTTAACTATCTGGACTACAGTTTTCACCTCTGGAGAACAGAAGGATTCTAAGAATTTTAAAGGTTAAAGAAAAAGACTCTATAATTCAAACATATACTAAGAAGCACACACAAGTACCAATAGTAGACTAAATGATCAAACTAGGTAAAAAATGATGCCAACTCTATATCAAAAGATCTCATGTACCTCATAAATATATACGTCTACTACATACTCAAAAAAAAATTAAAATAAAAATAAATTATGGCAAAATCTTCATAGAATGAGAACCCAGACTACTACCTCAATATTTTTTTTTGCTAAATTTCCACAGATTTGTCATTTGGGTTTGAGTTTTCATGTGAGTGAGAGAATATCCTGTATCAGTGATGTCAGAAAGAAAAGGTTTAAACTGTGTATATGCATATATAAGTATATTATTCCAGTGAAATTACTCTTCTTCTCCCATCTGTTATGCAAAAAATTTCAGGCTTACAAAATTTTAGTATGTATAAATACTTGACTTCTAACATTGCCTATATATGATGATTTACTAGATTGTTACTTTAAGTGATCAAAAAGAATAAAATGAAAATGGAACCAGCAGAAATTGACAACATATATAAATGTATACACATACACATATAGATTCCTAGACTATATTCTTTTATAGAAACTATCTTACAATGTATTCAAGTCAAAAGACTTTCACAGGGTCCTATCGGTGATGTTAAGGTTTGCTTACTAGATACATAATATCCAACTGTGTGATTGCTAGGAAAGCAATCATCATATTAAAAACATTAGATATACTGTATTCAAAATATGCTTTAAATCACGAGAAAAAAACTAGTGCCAAGAACTTGTTATGATTCCTAAATATTTAAAATTATTTTTATGAAACCACATGACTTTTAGGAAATCACAATAAATGTGAATTTACATTTAGTGGTTTTTTTAATCTCTGAAACAAAACTAAGTAATTTTGCTAGCATCAAGAGAAAACATCTACAGTATCTTTTTCCAAAATAAGCTCAATGAATTTACCATTTATTTTCTGTAAAAAGAACAATTTACATACTTACATACATATACATACGTAAGTAAAATAAGTGATAACACCATAACATTTTCAAACTCCAGTATTTCAGAAGTCGAAGCAAATATTTTCTTAAAATATACTGCTTTTGTAGCTTATAAATGTGTAAAAACTATGTGCCTTTATCCAAGGCCACAGAGTAAATTAAATTATAAAAATTACTAAAATAAAATTAAACCAATTCCAAGAATCAATTTTTGCTAGTAAGATATTAACTAAACCATTGTCTCAAAATTGTAGAAACTTGTTAAATCATCTCCTGATTGACTTCAGGTGTGTGTTAAGGTTTTGTAGGACCTTATATAAAGACAACTTTGTTACATTGCATGATAATCTAAACCTTTATGGCTTAAGTAAAAATTACTCAGAATTGAGTAATGGATTAGATTTTTAAAGTCACAATAATTGCAGAATATCTCCATGAAGAGCCTTTACAGAAGAGTATGCATTTTACAAATGCCATGTCAAAAACCAAGTTCAATTTTTCCATCACTCAATCAGGTCACATTACAGATCCATCTGTTTAAATTACTAATATTGGAAGGAAGAATGTTACCCCTAAGTGCAGGCAGCTACAATACCAGGTCCAGCTGCTTATGACTCCAGTAGCCTGCCTGTAATAGCTAACTTATAATATTTTCCTTTTATTTGAAAGATCTAATATCCGAGACAAGTTCAGATTTCTGAACACCAATTCCTAACTTTCCAGCTCACTTACTGTAATCGTTAGCCCCACACCAATAACTCTTCAACCCATTGAGACCACTAATTCATTGATACTACCATTTTTTGGTGGCCATCAGCCCCTTCATTTTCTCATTTACTTTTTATCCAGTTCAGATTTCTGGCCCATAACTCTCATCTATTCTTTGAATAAAATTTGAACTCCCTTGTAGTTTGTCCTTTACCAACTTAAAAAAAAAATGATTAAACCTATCTTACCACATCATACTTGCATCTATGCTGCTCAAAATGACACTAGAAAGCATATACAACCATTCTGGCTAAGTTTCCTTTCATTTGTGACTACTTATCTCCACTGGGACCTCAGCAGTACTCCTCCCTATCATATCATATTGGATATGATTCCAATATATATCCTCAGGAACTTCACTCAATCCCAAAGAGGAAACTCCTCAAATTTCCAGCCCCCACCTCTCCTCCTCACCCTTGGGTGAAAACTTCATTCTTAATTCACTGAGCAATTTGAAGCAGCCAAAATAGAATTTTCTTCTCATCCTTCATGTCTGATATCATGTTTGCAGCTATATCTATGTGTCCTAAATATCTATCCTGTTAAAATGGGCTGAGAAGTTGCTACATTCACCTAAGGTCAACCCATCCACTTACATGCATTTCATCTTCCTCTCTAGCTCAAGGATTTTGTTCCTTCAGTTAACTCCTCACTTTCAGGCATAATTTTATTTGTTTCTCTCATTACTGGATCACTTCTATTTTCATACATTGTATAATAGCTCTCACTAAAGTAAAAAGAAAACTCTTTAATATTCTGTGTATCATCTGGTTATTGCCCAATTTCTCTATTTGCATTTTGGCAAAATTTCTCAAAAGGTTTATGTTTACTGTCTCCATTTCATCTCTTAGGGCTTTAATCACAACTATTTCACTAAAATTGATTTATTCAACGATATTGATAATCTTCATGTGGTAATTCTGTGGCTTTATGGTCTATATTTAGTCCTAACTTTACTTCTCAGCAGCATTTAATTTAGACATTTCTTTCTCCTTGGAATATTTTCTTTTGAATTCCAATATATTACACTCTCCCAGTTTTTTTATTATTATTATTATTATTATTTTTATTATACTTTAAGTTTTAGGGTACATGTGCACATTGTGCAGGTTAGTTACATATGTATACATGTGCCATGCTGGTGCGCTGCACCCACTAACTCGTCATCTAGCATTAGGTATATCTCCCAATGCTATCCCTCCCCCCTCCCCCCACCCCACCACAGTCCCCAGAGTGTGATATTCCCCTTCCTGTGTCCATGTGATCTCATTGTTCAATTCCCACCTATGAGTGAGAATATGCGGTGTTTGGTTTTTTGTTCTTGCAATAGTTTACTGAGAATGATGGTTTCCAATTTCATCCATGTCCCTACAAAGGACATGAACTCATCATTTTTTATGGCTGCATAGTATTCCATGGTGTATATGTGCCACATTTTCTTAATCCAGTCTATCATTGTTGGACATTTGGGTTGGTTCCAAGTCTTTGCTATTGTGAATAATGCCGCAATAAACATACGTGTGCATGTGTCTTTATAGCAGCATGATTTATAGTCATTTGGGTATATACCCAGTAATGGGATGGCTGGGTCAAATGTTATGTCTAGTTCTAGATCCCTGAGGAATCGCCACTCTCCCAGTTTTTAATCTTCCTATTCTTCTGACTCGTTTTCTGTATTTTCTTTCTTTTCCTGACTCTTGAATGCTAGAATAACCCAAAGTTCAATCTTTTTCTCTCTGCTTTCTCTGTCAACCCTCACTTCCTAGGGGTGCTATTTAGTCTTAGGGCTTTGGAAACTATCTATACAATTTGATAACTCCTAAATTTCTATCTCCATTCAGAACTTCCTCATTCTCTCTTAACTTGTACATCTGACTGCCAAATCTCAGTATGCTGACTTGAATCTTTAATAGACCTCTCACATTTAAAGTTTCTAAAATAGAAACTGAATTCTCTCTGTCCTCTCCAAACCTGGCGCTATCACTCTTCCAATTGCTCAAGCCAAAAGATTTGGAGCCATATTTTCTTTCCCTTGTATCCAAAATTGAAATCCTACATTATGAGTAACTATATTGTGCTCTGCCTTTGGAATGTATCTGAACCTGACTACTTCTCTTTACCTCCACTTCTAGTCTTTTAGTCTAAGACATTAACTCCATAGTAGCTGGAGCAGTTTTTTTTTAATCCAATTATGACATTTCTCACATAAAACCTCCCCAAATGGCTACCTATCTAGTTAACCATGAGAGCCTTAAACTATGGTCTAGTAAGTCCTCCATGATCTATCTCCTTTCTGTCTCTTTAACCATACCTCCTAAAACTCATCTCCTTGTTTTCTGAAGTCAATGTATTTGTATTTATTGTGTACTCTTCCTTAAATTCTCTTCCTCCATATATTTGAAAGCCTTGTTCATTCACTTCATTTATGTCTTTTTTCAAATTTACCTACCCAGGAAGTCCTTTCTTGAACATGCCTTCCCCAACTTGCACACACAATTTATTACCTATTATTATTACACATAAATTTCAGTAAGTCTCTCCGCTTTGTCCCTAACTTAACGAAAGGTAAAATATATCTAGGGAAATTGACTTCCTTCTCACTATAAATTATTTCATGGTACACCTAGGTGAGGCTTAAAAATGAGAAATCAGTAGTACTAGAATTAGAACTTGCCAGCCCTACTTGGTTATGATATTACTCTTGAATATCTCCCCTAAAATTCTGAATTCTGTTAGCCTTCCTAGAATTCAGGGATCTGCCAACCTCTTTCTACTCAGGAACCCTTCCAGGACTTGCCTATCTTCTTTCATCCCCTAACTGCTTACCGGATGTTATAACAACACCTGTGCCGCTTGCCAGATCTCTATATATATTAAATCTAGTACTTTTATCTCTCTGTTACACTCAGGCTTTATAAACCATATTGCGGGTTGCTATTGTCTGATCTTGATGTATTTTAAACTATATTCTATTACAAGCTTGCATATTTACTCTAATAGATTAATATACCACACTTTTTAGAATAATTCCTGTTTGGGGGACTTAGCAGTAAATTCTATCTCATGTCAACATCTAAATTTATTATAGTTTACATTATTTATTTTTATTTTTCAGAGGACCTTTACTTCTTTATGTGCATTTATTCCCATATATATCACTAAAACTAATGTTCCTAAAGCTCATACTGGATAATTCACATGATTAGGAGGATTTTTCTATTAAAATGAGTTTCATTTGGTTTTTAAAAAAATATTCTGAGAGGGCAGTTATTCTCAGAAGCGAACTAGTTTCTCCCAAAATGTAGTAGGAACTATTATGTTGTATCATACTGCTTGATTTGAGTTGAGTTAGAATTAAAGCAAATAAAATAGTTATATGTTATTTAATAAATTAAAAATGCAATATTCCAGTATAAATTTATATTGCTATAGTTCAAGAATTCTTAGTGAATTCATTTGAAACATTCAGTTAGAACAAGGTACTAAGAGGAAATACTCAATTATTTCCATGTTTGACTATATTGCTTGAAAATAATATATATATAAAAAAACCCTTGACATAGTCCATATTAATGTATACACTGCCCACTGATGCCTATCTCCAATTTTTAAATTTGTTTCATATATATAAATTTGAAGGTCAAAAAAAGGTAACATAAGTGCTAAGAATGGAAGAGTCCGATTAAAATTAACAACACATTTTATACTACAGTTTATTACCTTCATAATGCTAAATTACAGTGTGAAAATGCAGATCTTTTGTAATTTAACTGGATTAACAAATATGAAATAAATAGCAGAAATCAAAGTGAGTATCAAATGCAATATTCAAGCAAATAATTAAAGTAAATGCTTTATTGTAAGTCTCCCCAAAGATACTGAAGTCCTGAAGGTCGTGCTGATTAACATGCTAAAGAAATATAAACCAGTGGTGTGATCCTATTAAAGCTAATGAGTTACTAAGGTGTTTTTATACATAGAATAGCAGCATAGATGGAAGATGAAGCTTTCTAAATTACCAAAGTGAAGAAAAACACTCAAGGGTTAGGAAATACTAAAAGCAAAGGTCTAGAATAAGTTTGAGGCACTAGAAAGACTTAATATATATCAGAGCATGATGAATAATTATTCCCAAAGTATATTCAAAATTGAACAAAATATAGGATTAATGAACAATGAAAAATTCCTAATCATATACCAAAATATTCTGACAGTAAGGATAAGTAAACACCAGACTGACTTTTAGTTGTACAGTGCAATCACCTAGAGAGATTTGAACATAGCTGTTATACTTTAACACAGCTTTATTTGATGATACAGCTGGTATACAGTTTGAGAAACACTAAGATGTTCACCAGACTGTTGTAGGTATCTTCCAAGCCTATGATTATTAAATTTAATTAAAAAACAGGCAAATCACTTGGCATTTAATAAAAACTCTTTGGCTTGCCATCTATTTCAAACTATACTTGACTATTCTTAATGAGCTTAAAATATGTTTTGGAATCAAAGGGCATGATTCTGATTTCCAGCTGAACTAATCTTTGCACTCACCATGGCCGTAGTGTAAAAAAAAATAAAGTTAATTGTTAGCAAGAAAGAACCTAGACATGCACACTCATGTTAAGGAGAAAGACATATATTCAAGAAGCCACGGCCATGACCACTAATTAAAAATAAATATAGGTGTCTCTTGAACAACACGGGTTTGAACTACATGGGTTCACTTATATGTGGGGTTGTTTTTTAACTAAACACAGATGGAAAATCCAGTATCCACAGTATGTGAAACCCACCTATATGCCCAGTTTTTCAAACACAAGGGTTCTGCAAGGCCAACTGCAGGACTGAGTATGAGTGGATTTTGGTAAAGCTGAGGTTCTGGAACCAACTTCTGAGGACAATGAGGGATGACTGCACATGTAAATTTATTTTTTTTTTCCTAAAAAAAACAAGCTTCCACTCTTTGTGACATAATATTGAAGAGACACAAATTCTTCTATATAAATCACAAAAAATCTAATTTTAAAAAATGTGTTTTCAACAAATACATACAATAATGCATTTAGCATGATTGATAATGGTCTAAGTTCAAAAGCAGATAGCTCAGAAAAATCATTGTCATAAGACTCAGAAGAGGAAAAGCAGAATTTAGATAAAGAATCTCAATCACCAGAAGAGATCCTAGTCCTTAGTTCCAAGGTTAACGATTACAAGTACTTTCCATGTCAGAGGAAGTAGAAATTGATATCAGAAACCAGTCTATAGATGCACAGTTGTTCATCATTATGCCTGAGTAGAAAACATACATATCTCATTGCTTAATACGTTCAGTTATTGCCAACGAATCTTTTTGTCATCTCCAATAAATCCTAAGTTTAAAAAGGAAAAAAGTCATACTCTCCAGGTGTTGCTATCCAAAGCTCCATGAGCTAGATTGTGCATTCCCAAATATTACAGACTGAATTGAAAAAACAGGTAAGCAATGCCCTTTAAGAAGTCTAACTGATGGAGGTTTAATTTTGTTTCAACGAGCCACAAATGGCAAGATTAGTAGTAAAGTTTTGAAAATAGTCAAAGATCCTGGAAAGCTTTATTTATAATACCAAGTTTCAGTATTTAATCCTGGAAATTTCGAGATAATTATATCTCAAAATGGAGTTCTTTAAATGTCTATTGCATAGTTCCCATTTTTTGTGATACAAAATGAAGACATAAATATATATATTTATATTTAAAATCAAAATCACAATAGGGAATTACTTTAGGATTAAAATATCTATTTACCAGTCTGTTCAAGTATTAAATTAGACTATGGGAAATTGTCATTTTTATAGGTTAGAAATAGTTGAATATTGGCAATTTCATATTGTTCAACTTAATATTCATCAAATCACTTCTGTGTTTAAGAATTAGTTATAGTCAATGAAGATATAATGTTAGTGCAACTAAAGTCTGATGTGTAAGTAAAGTAATCTTTGCAGTTTGAGGAGCCGTTCAGTATCCCTATGACTGCCCTGAATGACTATCGTCAATCCATCTATCCATTGGTTCATCCATACATTCATTCTACAAATACTGATTTGGCACTTAATATATGCCAAGTATTTGCCTAGGTATTGAGAATGCATTCATTATCAAAATAACATAATCCCTGCCCAAGTGAAACTTAAACCTCAGTCAGAAAAAGAGACATAGAGAAAAAGTTCACACATTTTAAGTATATGTATTATGAAAAGTACATTAAAGAATAAATGCAAGATGCTTTAGAAGAGATGACCAGAAAGATCTTGTCTAGTTTCTGAGATTTCACATTTTGTAAGCTGGAGTGCAGACTTCTTGACACCTCCCAAGACTGCAATGAAGGAACCTGTATATAATAATGGTTAATATCCAGTGTAGCTTAGACTAAGTGTTTTACTAATCTTATATCAAAGCAGATAATATTCCAAATCTACATTTACTGATTAGGATCTGAATATTAGTGGGTTATGTAATTTGTTCAAGAACACAAAGCTAGTAAGTGGTGGTATCAGAATTTCAATCAGCAGTCTCCCTACGTTACCTACCTCGTTAGCTTTTGCTTATGTCACCTCCTATAGCTCAACCCCAATCTATCTGCCAGACCTAAAACTCCAGGGCTAGTATCCCTAACTCTAGGGCATAACTCTCCTAAAAAGTATCCCCAGAATTTTTCAACTAAGCATTTCTCATTGCAAGCAGAGATGAAATTGGGAAGAGCAGGACAGAAGAATGTTGACAATTAATGGCACAGTCAATCATCTGAGGGACAATTGAGGCTAATGTGATTCAAGTAGTTAACATATCCACTCACATTATCCTGCAAAATGTCATTTGAAGTTCCCTTTCAGTTTAGAACTGGTATCTGAGATTCAATGCTTATTCATTAGAACAATCTTTACTCAAGACCATAAATGCATGCTCCAAAGAGCTAAAGCTTACAAACAGCAATTAAACAAGGGCATCACAGTCTCATGATTCCTCTTTGTGGATAAACTGATTGTTAAAAAGTCAACTCCAAATATAAGTAGACAAGTTTAAAATTTAAGAATTAAGTAAAACACACTTTGTTAAATCTTTAAGCAGATCTAATGTAATTTGACCAGGTGAAACACACATCAGGATACTTGACAGAAATTCTCCCCAAGCTATTAATTTCATGGCAAATGACCATTTATTTATTGTCCTTATCACTCCTGATAAAAAGTGATATGAACACTACCATTTAATGTACTTAATCTGAAATGTAAAGTAACATTTATAAATAGTGTATGATTTTTATAGTCAGTAAATGTCAACTATAGAAGGCAAAATTTCCTTTACTGCCAAAATCTCTCTCCTTTAATATTGACCTCTTAGTGTGGCTAAGGAAGAGAGGCATAATCCTGGCCATTTTTCCCCCCAGGCCTTATTTATAGAAAGCATTTATACTTTGTCCAGAAATCATAAGTACATACTTTTTATAGATGTCCTCATCTATATGTAGCTGCCAGGGTTATTTCAGAATCCATCACATTCTTCATGAGATGAGAGAGTTCCCTGACCCCCTTGTGGGACTTACAACAGGGGTGTGGCTCGTTTGCTTGGCTGCCATGCTCAAACCCCTTATGGGAGGGGAAGCACACAGAGCCTGGGCAAGCGCTTTAGTGTTCCAGCCCCACGGTAGCATGTAGGGATATGTTACAATTAATGCTCCTTTAGCACTTGCCATCCACAGATAAATAAGTGCTAAACCAGCTCAGTAGAGAATCAGGGTGACAGCCTTTATACCATGCCCTCTTGGTTCCTGGGCTCCTTGTCCGGTGTTCAGGAGAAACCAGGTCACATGGACTTAAAGGATGGTGAATGAGGGAATTTTATTGAGTGATGGAGGTGGCTCTCAGCGGGATGAATGGGAAATCGGAAAGGGGATGGAGTAAGAAGATGATCTTCCCCTGGAGTTCAGCCATCCCACAACCTCTCCTCTCCCACCATCCCAGCTGAATTCCTCTTGACATTCAGACACTCCTTCTCTTCTCTCCTCAGCTGTACCGCTCTGCTGCTCTTCTGCTCTTGGAGCCTGGGGTTTGGGGTTTATATAGGTACAGGATAGGGGGGTGTGTTGAGCCAAAAGGCAACGTTGGGCATGAAAACAGGAATTCCTTACGGCCACGGGTTTCCAAGCTTGAGGGTGGGGCCTTTGCCAGGGAACCGTCCTCTTCTACCCTGTATTTCCCTGTCTCCTGTCGATATCATTCAGAGTATAGTGAAATGGGCAATTATTTGTAGCATACCAAGAGAAAAGTTGTCATTGATATGTAGTGGATGAGGTTATGTATGACATAAGTTTCTTTGGTTGCAGTCAACAAAAACCAATATGGATTTTTTTTTAATGGAATATATGTTTGGAAGTATATAGAGGAGTTCACAGGGTCAGGGGAAGGCAAAAACAAACAAACAAAAAACACCAGGATTAAAACTGACAAGAAGCAGACAACAACAAATCTTACCAGACTTTAAGTTACCACTGCTGCTACTAGAATCAAATGCCAACCATTTGTTCTGTTTTGAATTATTTTATTCACTATTCACATTCCTCCCAAAAAAGAATCTTTTTGAAAAAGCTTTGATCATAGACTTCTATATTTTTCCTAAGAATCCTAGTTAAGTTCTAGTAAAAGAAGTCTCCAAGGACCCCTTTTGCTTCTGGAGTAGGAAAACTTGATTTATTGCATTAAGAAGATTGCATGTCATGGTCAGTCTTTCCCTCAAAGGAAATTTGGATGCAGGTCCAAAGGACAAATGAACGTTTGTTGACAGAGGATAAGAAAACTAATTTTTTTTCCCCTAAACTACAGATATGCATCTCCTACAACCAATAATACCACCCCTAGATGATCACCAGACAAGAAATGCATACATAAGTTCCCAAAATATATCTGCAAGAACATTCGGGGAAATATTTTTGGTAGATAAAAACTGGTAATTATGGCAATGTCCGTTAACAGAATGGATAAGCATTTCATGCAGTGACATAGGTGAATTTCACAAATATAATGTTAAGCAGCAGCAACCAAGTACTGAAGAGTACCCAATGCATGACTTTGTTATCAAATGTAAGATAGGCAAAACTAACCTATGATGTTAGAAGTCAACGTAAGAGTGACTCTTGGGTAGGTTGGAACTAGTGGGGTACAGGAGAAAATTTCTGGGTGCTTCTGATGACCTGTTTATTGATCTGAGTGTTGCTAAATGGCTGTGTTCAGTTAATAAAAATTTATCCACCTCTGTACCCTTATGATCTGAGCATTTTTCTGTATGTTTGTGTGTGTGTACGTGTATCTACATACAAAATTATGTAAAAGAAACATGGTGGCGTAAATTATAAAACAAAATCTAAAAGAATTAAAAGAATATGTATCTCCCTTGGAATGCAGAAGTAGCCAAAAACAAAATAGAAACAGCACAATATTCTTATTAGCTTTAATGTAATATTAAATGTAAATCATATACATGTTATCGTGTTTGCATGAGTGCTCTATGGAGTTAGCCAACCAAGGTTCAAATCTCAGCACTGCCATTTACTAATCATTTAACCTCTAGTAAATTAATCTCTATAAACTTTCACCTCCTCATCACTAAAATGTAGATACTAATACCTACACGATAAGATTGTAGATATTATGCAACAAAATAATATATGTAAATGGCTTAGCATAGGTTCTGACACAGTTAGCAATTACTGCTAATGCTGTTGAAGTCCTTTAACATATATTTTCTGAAACTCACTATAATCCTAAGAGGTGATCATGCAGGGTGAAATGTTGAGCAGTATTCTCCACAATGTGGGACAAATACCCACTGGTAGCACATAAATTGATTTCAGATGGCATACAGGCATGGCCTTAAATTACACCGAATTACACAGTGAGAAAATTGTCCTCTTCCAAAGCTTCTGATTACATTAAGAAAAGTTCACAGTTTGGTGCCAGTATGTCTTCAACCTCCTTCTATGGCTGGCTAAGCTCCCATTTTAACAAAGAAAGGGCAAGCTTTAGGCTAAAATTTGATAACATTGATTTAGTTTTGGTCTTGTACTGTGCATGTGTTTTAGGGACACCTCCCATTTATGGTAAAATACACTGATTATTCATTTGTGTTAACTATAATTTACTTATATAAATTTATCTAGGTTAAAAGGGAGTCAAAATGTATTTAGGAAATAGTAGAATATTTGGTAAACAGAAAAAAGTGGTAATTTGTGATACTTGACCTGAAATAAAATGAATTTATGATGAAAGTCTTATGATAACGTAATCACATTGTTGAGTTATAAAGACACCTTGGTCAGAATACGGCATATTCTCCCATTTACAATTCACATATTTCCTAGAAATATCTCCAGATGACTGAAATTTCTCTTGGAAATGCAAATTCTAAGTCAGAAATCAGAGTCATCCAGGCCACAATGCAGGAAACAGCTTACTACCAAACCACACCAAATGAAGGTTTATTTTGTCCTAGCCCCTGATCAATCCTTCCTCCACCTTGTTGAGGTCAAAACAGCAGTTATTAGGGGAATGTAGAAGGAGAAGTCATTATTTCTTTCCACCCCTTTCCCCTCTTTTCCTGTAATTTCCATTCTAAAACAGATCCCTGCACCTAGGGGTAGGTAATAGAAGAAGGAGAAAAGATTTAAGAGATGCAAATTCAAAGTTTAATTACAGATGGGAGACATTCTAATTTCTGAGTTGAGATTATATGCAATTTGGAGGGGCTACTGGTCTGAGCAGAAAACACAAAGGTTTAATGGCATTTTCATACAGAGGAAAATTAGGGCACTAGCAAAGGTTTACAGGGATGATGGAAGTTAGAAACAATTGTGTCTTGATGAAATCATGAGTTGTGCTTATTAGGCATACTGGTTTATATTAAATAAGAAATAAAATAAATTACAATGTACCTCTCATGGGCTAATCACATGAATATGTAGATAACATTTGCTGTATTTACCTACATAATATTTCCTTTGCAGAAAGAACCGGAAGGACACACAATAGAATTTCCACAAACAGAAGAGCCACTACCGGAAATGCTACATTAAAATTTTAAAAAATAAAATTGTGATTGTTAGAGGTAGAAATATTCACAATTAGAAATCGCAACCTCAATTCAATAGCTTATCTTTTATATGAAGTTATAAAATATAGGTCATAAATCAAATAAGTGTGTTTCAAAAGATTTAGTAAGGCTTTGTATCATAAAATAAACACAAGGTAATTCAGAATGGAAACTTCATTTCCTGTTCACCTGTAAACTGCAGTGAGAAGCATAACCACATATTTCAAGCCCACAGCTTGAGTGACTCAGAGCATTTTTATTGTCTATTTGTCTGCAATCAAAACCACTGTGCTTATGTATATATGATCTGCTCAAATAATGTTTCACATTCATTAATTCATTCTACAAATACTCTAAATACATTTC
Organism: Homo sapiens; assembly: GCF_000001405.40. Lineage (NCBI taxonomy): Eukaryota > Metazoa > Chordata > Mammalia > Primates > Hominidae > Homo > Homo sapiens. The sequence goes on along the minus strand of NC_000012.12, from coordinate 83,514,441 downwards.
AGACATTTTTCTTGCTAATGGCAGGCAAACAACTAGACACAAATGTTCACTGCTCTCAGGAAACACTGAACAATTAATAACAACTATGACCACTGTCACAAAATGGTAGAAAGCATGAAAGTGCTTCAAGCAGTAATATATAGTCCCATAAGAGAATGAGGGAGGGTAAAAGATTGCTCATTATTTTTGTGAACAATTAGAAATTCGCACACTGCAACAGTTTTAATATGTTCTTAAATAATAAAACATAATTGTAGTACTGATAAAAATATAATGTTTATATGACTAAATGATTTCAAATCTATTTTGGCATTATTTTAAAACGTTCTTCTCTGTTTTAAAGTTTAAAAAAATTTGTTTTTCATTCTATGTAATGTCACAGAAAGTTTAATAAGAGAAATGTATGCCTTTATCTCACTAGAGTACACCCAGGCTATTATACTCATCCTCATTCCAACTTTTCCAAGTGCTCCTGTGTTATTTTTGTTTTGTCTTGTTTTTTTCTTAAATCTCCTAAGCATATGACTGTGATCTGCACAAGTCTCCCCATCCATTTCAGCTACAGAGTCAGAAGATAAATAAAGAACTAGACAACCAAATAAGCATTGGCTGAAAATATCTCACAGGAGGTGTACTTTTAAAAGGTACCCTGAGGCATATAGGAGATTAATTTTGGATTTGAAAATACTACTTCAGAAAAGCAACAGTGTTTATTTAGAAGAAAAATTGAAAGAAAAGAACAATGGGTTAGGCGTAGAGCAAAACAATCCACAAGAAAAATAAGCATGAAGGGAAAAGGAAAAATAAGCATGAAGGGAAAAGTAAAAATATGCCATGTGGAAAAACATATTTCCCCAATCTATTACAAAAAGTAACAAATATTACTGAATCATTCTACAGAAGAAGCGTTTCTTCATAGTGATTTTCTGCAGATGTCAGCTGTGGCAGGCCACTAATTTATATTCAGAGAAATAAATAAGAATAGACGGATTTATTTGAAGAATTTCTAGGCTTGATGTTTATGCTTTCTTGGAAAGATTCCCGATTGTTTTGTACGCATGAAGAGTACTTCCAAACACATACTCAAAGTAATCTTATTTGTAATACGAAGGCAGAAATGATCTGTAAAAGGTGAATGCATTACTATAGCAATAACAAAAACAATCAACCAGGGCTACTCTTCTCATCCTCCCACCACGCTCCCCCATCACAGTCAGCACTAGCTTTTCTGTTTCTTTCTCTTAATGGTATCACTCTTCTCCCAGCCTCCAAAGTTGAAAACAGGTGTTAAGATCACAGATTTGAAATTAGAAAAGTACCTGGGGCCTACTATCACCAGCTGTTTAATCTGAGCAAACCACTTAACCTCCCTCACCATCCATCCTCTTCTCTATACCATAGGGGTAATATCTGCTTCACACATATTTTTTTTTAAATCACAGTAATACAAGTAGCATTGACTTTATAGTAGGCAATCATTATTTGTCCTTATTTATTCTTATCTCTTTCTTCTTTTTCTTCATTCTATCACAGAGACATTAGGAGGTAAGGATCAATAACCTTAAGCTCCATTCCTTTGTTTCTACTCCCTAGTGTTCTACCTTTCCTGGTCACAGACTGTATTGTCAGGTGTTCTCTAGAGGGACAGAACTAATGGGATAGATGTATATATGAAGAGGAGTTTATTAAGGAGTATTGACTCACACGATCACAAGGTGAGATCTCATGATAGGCCATCTGCAAGCTGAGGAGGAAGGAAGCCATCCAAGCCCCAAAATCTCAAAAGTAGGAAACCCGACAGTGCAGCCTTCAGTCTGTGGTTGAAGGTTTAAGAGTCCCAAAGCTGAAGAACTTGGAGTCCGATGTTGGAGGCATCCAGCACAGGAGAAAGATGAAGTCCAGAAGACAAAGCCACTCTAATGTTTTCACATTCCTCTGCCTGCTTTTATCATAGCCCTGCTGGCAGCTGATTAGACTGTGCCCACCTAGATTGAGGGTGGGTATGCGTCTCCCAGCCCACTGACTCAAATGTTAATCTCCTTTGGCGACACCCTCACAGATACACCCGGGAACAATGCTTTGCATCCTTCAGTCAATCAAGTTGATACTCAATATTAAGCACCACATAGACCTACACTCTGCCCTCCTCATAAAAAAAAAAAAAGTTCGCTTTTTGTACACCTCATTTCTGCTGTCAGTACACCTATCCCTTCCCTCATCTGCCAAGCCCACCTACTGTGACACCCCAGCTGCATGAAATCATAGGCAAATAGACTATCCAGTGCAAAATATTTTCAGCTGGGGAAGCCTGGAATTACTAACCTATCTGGTAAGCAGCATCTTGTTCAATCTGAACAAGATGACTCTCTCCCCCTAACCTAAGGAATTTAACTTCTGTCAGTACCTTTCATCAGAGGTTCCATCAGACTTTCACCCATAGAAGCCCTGGTGCTTATTTTAAAGAAGAAAATCTGAGCAAAGACAAAGATTTCCTCTTTTGCTGTACATCTCAGTATGTATACTGTAAATGCTTCTCTTTTTTTTCTTTTTCCTCCTCCTCCTCTACTTTCTCTCCTCCTTTTCCTTGCCCTATTCTTCCTGTCTCTTCTTATTAGACATTTTTGGAAGAAGACAATGTTATTTCCAATGATCCTGACTCTATTCTGGAACAGCAAGGTGTGTTTGGCTTCAGAAATATCTTCAGTCACCCAGCACAGCATCTAAAAAATCCTATTCTAGATTAATGACATAAAAATAGAGCAAGGTACAAATATTCAGTCTGTTTGGATAAAAGGAATTTAATTATTTTGTTTTGTTTGCCTTAGAGTGACTAAACCCATTCTAAGAGGAATAAAGTATAAGGTATTATTGCCAGTCCTCATATCACTTTTAGAATAATATGAAAATACTCCAAGCTCACTTATGATGAATAAGATTGAACATTTGAAGAAAGTATCTCCTTGGCCTCAAGGAAAATAAAACTTATTTTTGTTTACTAATAGTCCAGGCTTTGGACTTACTAGTTCATTAAGAACTATAATAAGAAAGGATGTGAGGCTAAGACTTGCATAGAGGAATAAAAGGGATCTGGAGAAATAGAGGTAGGAGGACCTAGTAGGAGGGTTACTAGATGGAATTCCAGATAGTTAAAGAATGGGAAGGAATCTCAGAAGAAGAGTTTGGAGGGTGCAAGTGTGTGAGTGAGGGTGTGTGTATGCACACTTGTGCTTGTAATGGGGGAGGGGAACTTGAGCTGAATGTGAAATAGTTAAGCGAGAGAATGTCCGTCACGAGGAACACAGTTTGGGTACTAGAAATAATGCATCAGAGTCCTCAGCAGCTGAAATTTAGCTTTACTTGAGTGAGCCTCTGCCATCAGGTCTATCCTTAGATCTTCATGAAGGAAAAAATCGACCACTTCCTCACAGATCGTCCCATGACTGCCCAACAGAGAAAGCTGAGCCACATCATAAAACATCAATTTGACCCTATCTTATTTCACTCCTTGTGCAAGCCTTTCTTTGTTGCCTTCAGAGTTCCCATAAGCCCCAAAGCAGCCCCTGGCAATTAGGAAGATATTGGGGAGAAATTATCATACCTTTAACTAGAGAGCTAAGTTAAACAAACTCGTGCAGGAATAACGTAAATCTGAGATGTGCCATTCTCACAGCCACTGTCCTCGCAGTCCTTGACTGCTTGCTGCAGCTTTTCCTCCAAATCAATGTGGGTGAAATGTAAGTTTGAGGACTTTGAGGTCATGCAGACTTCTATCTGAGGCTAAGTAAAGGGTGACCAATTCTTAAGAAGAAGACCCAAGATACAGCAATCTCATTTTCTAATAATTCACCAATAATATTTCATCAATGAGTTATGTTAGTATTATTGATACTGGGTAGTATCAATAATTCATTCCATGTGTATCTATTTTGATTTTCCCCATCACCAACTTCTCTCAAAATACATCATCAAGGAAAAGTGTGGGAGAAGGAACACTGATCTTCATCAGTTAATGCAGATTTCTATTATTTCAACAACTTGTTCTTCTGTTTATTCTCCCCTTCTGTACTTTGCTTGGCAGATTGTGAGCAAATCCTAGAAAATCCTTACCAATCACTCTGTGATTCCCAATGCCTCCTACACCACCATTCTATTGACCTAGAACCACTGGTCAATAGAGTGGTTGCATGCTACTGGAAGCACACTAATCCTTAACCTAAATGCTATTACATAAAGTTAACAGCACTTAAATGCTGATAGGAAGTCAATAAATCTTATGTCACATAACAGAAAAATAAAGCAAGTAAAATGAAGATTTTTTCTTAGTACAAGTGTATACATGCACAAATATGTTCTTAACAAAATATACATGCACAAATATGTTCTTAACAAAAGAAGGAAGAAACACTCATGACAATTGCAGTACTCATTCCTGCAATTGGTCATGGGGTTGTAGTTGGTATTGATGACTACTTCTTCTACTACCCATTCTGTATTCCCTTTGCCTTCTAGAAGCAAAAATCTCAGTGGGTCATGTTTTTTAACCTGGTGCAGGGATCCAAACCTTCATTCCTGAAGGGTCTGTGCCATTTGTAGTCCTTCGTGGATTGGGTCATTGTAAGTTTCCCCTTGACCTTAATCAGGGCATAGTCATACTAAGAAATGCCCTATTGGATCTCCTGTACTTCACATATACTATTCCTTACCTGCATTGTGGAGTAATAGACTGATTTCATCTTGATAGTTTGGGTCAATCACCACAGCCAACACTGTAACTCCCCTCGTAAGCTGTTGACTTAGAGGAAAAGAGGAGCCCAAAGTGGTCCAGGGCAATCTTAACTTCCAATTTAATGGAATTATTGTTGTGTCTCCTGGTGGCAGCATTCCCCACTCTGGAACTAAGACCTCTGGGCCAGCAGAATGTAATATCACAGTAACAGAAAACAAAAATGTTGCTAGTGAGTCACTAGTGATAGGGACAGGAGGCAGGAGGGTGGCATCCCTAGGGAGGGCTTCACCCTTAAGCCTGGACCCCCGGCCCTAAACTAGAAAAGGCATTCCAGTTTTTGTGCCCAAATGTTGATTTTTGGCCCACCCCACCCCCACATTCTGTGCTCATATAAACCCCAGACCTCAGCTTGCAGAGGGACAAGCAGCTGAATGTCAAGAGAAGCAGCAGAAACTGAGCTTTGGGGACTGCAGATAGACTCAGCTTAACATCAGACAGCACGACTTTGGTGAGAAGCCTGGCCAGAGATGTCTGGGCTTCAAGGAAAGATTACCTTCTTCCTGCGTTATCCCCTTTCCAGCTCTCCTTGCTTTGAGAGCCACTTCCACAGCTTAATAAAACCTCTGCATTCACCATCCTTCAAGTCCGTGTGACATGATTCTTCCCAGATGCTGGACAAGGACCCAGGTACCAAAAGGGCAGGGTGTAAAAGGCTATCATTCTGACTCTCCACTGAGCTGGGTAAAGGCAGGGTGTAAAAGGCTATCACCCTGACTCTCCAGTGAGCTGTCACTCTGACTCTCCACTTAGCCATCCGTGGACAGCAACTGCTAAAAGAGCATTAATTGTAACACACCCATAGATACATCCATGGGGCCAGACCCCAAAAGCCCTTGTCCCAGCCCCAGCACAGGCTTATCTGTGTGCTACCCCTCCCACAGGGGTTTGAATGCCACAGCCAAGTAAGTGAGCCACACCCCTGTCACAAGTCCCCAAAAAGGGGACCAGAGAATTCTCCCTTGTCACTAGGGGTGATGGTGAGTGGTACCACTTCCACTTTCACCCCTTGATTCCTGGACCCACAAATCCTGGCTATGGAAGAAACAGTACCATATATTGGATGCTGATTCAGAGCACACACAGCCTTCTGGGAAACTTTGCCCCAGACCTGCAAAGTATTGTCACCTAGTTGGCATTGTAATTATTACTTCAAAAGGCCATTCCAACATTCTATTGATCTAGCTGCTTCAGGATAATAGGGAACATGGTAAGACAAGTGAATTCCATGAGCATGAGCCCACCGCTGCACTTCTTTAGCTGTAAAGTGAGTGCCTTTGTCAGAGGCAATGCTGTGTGGAATACCATAATGGTGGATACGGCATTCTGGGAGTCCATGGATGGTAGTCTTGGCAGAAGCATTGTGTGCAGGATAGGCAAACCCATATCTGGAATAAGTGTCTATTCCAGTGAGGACAAACTGCTACCCTTTCCATGATGAAAAAGTCCAATATAATAAACCTGCCACAAAGTAGTTGGCTGATCACCCCAAATAATGTTGCCATATCGAGGGCTCAGTGTTGGTCTCCACTGCTGGCAAATTGGGCACTCAGCAGTGGCTGTAGCCAGGTCAGCCTTGGTGAGTGGAAGTCCACATTGCTGAGCCCATCCATAACCTCCATCCCTGCCAACATTGCCACTTTGTTCATAGGCCCCCTGGGCAATGACAGGGGTGGCTGGGGAAGGAGGCTGAGTGGTGTTCACAGAATGAGTCATCCTATCTACTTGATTATTAAAATCCCCCTCTGCTGAGGTCACCCATTGGTGAGCACTCACATAGGATACAAATATCTTCACACTTTTTCACCAAAGAGGTCCCTCCACATACCTCTTTCCCAGATTTCTTTGTCACCAATTTTCCAGTCATGCTTCTTCCAAGTCCCTGACCATCCAGCCAAATCATTGGCTACAGACCAAGAATCAGTATATAATCACACATCTGGCCATTTGTCCCTCCATGCCAAGTGCACGACCAGGTGCACTGCTTGAAGTTCTGCCTATTGGGAAAATTTCCCTTCACTGCTGTCCTTCAGGGATGTCCTAGAAAGAAGCTGTAGTGCTGCAGCTGTCTACTTTTGGGTGGTGCCTGAATATCATTCAGAGCCATCTGTAAACCAGACCCTTGTCTTCTGTTCCTCTGTCAACTGGTCATAGGGAACTCCCCATGAGGCCACTGGTGCAGGCTGGGGTAGAAAAGGCAGGGTGGCAGGAATGGAGACTATGGGCATTTGAGCCACTTCCTCATGTAACTTACTCATGCCTTCAGGACCTGCCCAAGCCTGATCACATATATGCCACTTCCATTTGATGATGGAATGCTGCTGTGCATGCCCAACTTTATGGCTAGATGGGTCAGAAAGCAGCTGGTTCATGATAGGTGGTTTACATCTCATGGTGACTTGATGCCCCATGGTCAAACGTTCTGTTTCTACCGAAGCCCAGTAGCAGGCCAAGAGCTGTCTCTCAAAAGGAGAGTAGTTTTTTTTACAGAAGACAGCAGAACCTTGCTCCAAAATCCAAGAGGCTTCCGCTGTGGTTCACCTACGGGGGCCTGCCAAAGGCTCCAAATAGCATCCCTATCTGCCACTGACACTTCAAGCACCATGGGATCTGCTAGGTCATGTGGACCAGGTGGCAGGGCAACTTGCACAGCAGACTGGGCCTGTTGAAGAGCCTTCTTCTCTTCTAGACCCCACACAAAACTGGCAGCCTTTCAGATCACTCAATAAATAGGCCGGGGTAACACACCCAGATGAGGAATGTGTTGCTTCCAAAATCCAAATAGGCCCACTAGGCATTGTGCCTCTTTCTTGGTTGTAGGAGGGGTCAAATGCAGTAACTTATCCTTCACCTTAGAAGGAATATCTCAACAGGCCTGACATCACTGGATCCCTAGAAATTTTACCGAGGTAACAGGTGTCCCTGAATTTTAGTTAGATTTATTTCCCATCCCCTGGCATGCAAATGTCTCACCAATAAGTCCAGTGTGTTTGCTACTTCTTGCTCACTGGATCTAATCAGCATAATGTCATCAATGTCATGGACCAGTATGATATCTTGCAGAAGCAAAAAGCGATCAAGATCTCTCTGAATAAGATTATGTGGCTCACACCTGTAACCCCAGCAGTTTGGGAGGCCGAGGTGGGTAGATCACGAGGTCAAGAGTTCAAGACAAGCCTGGCCAAGATGGTGAAACCCCATCTCTACTAAAAATACAAAAAATTAGCAGGGCGTGGTGGCACACGCCTGTAATTCCAGCTACTTGGGAGGCTGAGGCAGAAAATTTCTTAAACCTGGGAGGCAGAGGTTGCAGTGAGCTGAGATCATGCCACTGTACTCCAGCCTGGGTGACAGAGTGAGACTCTGTCTCAAAAAAAAAAAAAAAAAAAAATCTGACACAAAGCCAGAGAGTTGTTATACCCCTGAGGTAGAATGATAAAGATATACTGCTGGCCTTGCCAGCTGAAGACAAATTGCTTCTTGTGGGCCTTATGGACAGAATGGAGAAAAAGGAATTTGCCAAAACCACTTCTGGTACAGCAGCTGCAATTGGAGTCACCACTTGGTTAAGCTTACGATAATCCACAATCATTCTCCAAGATCCATTTGTCTTCTGCACAAGCCAAATAGGAGAGTTGAAGAGGGAGGTGATGGGAATCACCACCCCTGCATCTTTCAAGTCCTTGATGGTGACACTAATCTCTGCAATCCCTCCAGGGATGAGATATTGTTTTTTATTTACTATTTCTCTAGGTAGAGGCACCTCTAATGGCTTCCATTTGGCCTTTCCCATCATAATAGCTCTCATCCTACTAGTCAAGGAGCCAATGTGGGGGGTTATGCCAGCTGCTAAGCATGTCTATGCGAATTATGCATTCTGGCACTGGGAAAATGACCACAAGATGAGTCTGGGGACCCACTGGACCCACTGTAAGTCAGACCTGAGCTAAAACTCCATTAATTACTTGATCTCCATAAGCCCCTAGTTTAACTGGAGGACAACAATGACATTTTGGGTACCCTGGAATGAACATCAGCTCAGAGCCAGTGTCCAGTGTTGCCCGAAAATTCTCATCATTCCCTTTTCCTCAGTGCACATTACCCTGATAATAGGCCAGAGGTCTCCCTGGGGAAAGATGGGAGAAAAATTAACAGCATAAATTGTCAGTAGTGTAGTTGGGGCCTTCCTCAAGGGGACCCCATGTCCCCTTCATTCAAAGCGTTCTTTGTCTGTAAACTGGTTCAAGTCTGGAAGTTGATAGAGGGGTCATTATTCTCTATTTTTTTTCTTTTTTTTTTTTCCTTATACTTTAAGTTTTAGGGTACATGTGCACAACATGCAGGTTAGTTACATATGTATACATGTGCCATGTTGGTGTGCTGCACCCATTAGCTTGTCCTTTAACATTAGGTATATCTCCTAAAGCTATCCCTCCCCCCTCCCCCCACCCCACAACAGGCACCAGTGTGTGATGTTCCCCTTCCTGTGTCCGTGTGTTCTCATTGTTCAATTCCCACCTATGAGTGAGAACATGCGGTGTTTGGTTTTTTGTCCTTGTGATAGTTTGCTGAGAATGATGGTTTCCAGCTTCATCCATGTCCCTGAAAAGGACATGAACTCATCATTTTTTATGGCTGCATTGTATTCCATGGTGTGTATGTGCCACATTTCCTTAATCCAGTCTATCATTGTTGGACATTTGGGTTGGTTCCAAGTCTTTGCTATTGTGAATAGTGCCGCAATAAACATACATGTGCATGTGTCTTTATAGCAGCATAATTTATAATCCTTTGGGTATATACCCAGTAATGGGATGGCTGGGTCAAATGCTATTTCTAGTTCTAGATCCCTGAGGAATCGCCACACTGACTTCCACAATGGTTGAACTGGTTTACAGTCCCACCAACAGTGTAAAAGTGTTCCTATTTCTCCACATCCTTTCCAGCACCTGTTGTTTCCTGACATTTAATGATCATCATTCTAACTGGTGTGAGATGGTATCTCATTGTGGTTTGATTTGCATTTCTCTGATGGCAAGTGATGATGAGCATTTTTTCATGTGTATGTTTTCTGCATAAATGTCTTCTTTTGAGAAGTGTCTGTTCATGTCCTTTGCCCACTTTTTGATGGGGTTTTTTTTTTTCTTGTAAATTTGTTTGAGTTCATTGTAGATTCTGGATATTAGCCCTTTGTCAGATGAGTAGATTGCAAAAATGTTCTCCCATTCTGCAGGTTGCCTGTTCACTCTGATGTTAGTTTCTTTTGCTGTGCAGAAGCTCTTTAGTTTAATTAGATCCCATTTGTCAGTTTTGGCTTTTGTTGCCATTGCTTTTGGTGTTTTAGACATGAAGTCCTTGTATTTTTATAATTCAACTCAGCCTGGAAGTTTTCTGCTTATATAAATTAAGTAAGAATTCACTTCCTATTAATTTCACTTCTAGGAACACTCTAGCCAGTGCCAGAACTCTACACAAGTCAGACTATTCTGATTGCTGCTGTCTGTGCTGTCCACTCTAGTAGCTACACTGACTTTGCCCTTGACAGTTGAGTGCCACCACTTGGCCCATGCCACCTTGGGATACAATTATTCCTATAGCATTTAAGTTTTCCAATTGAGTGACTGTGGTTCCCAATGTAAGATCTGGCATACAGAGAAGAGCAATCACAGAGCTCTTCAAGAATGCAGGTGCTCCCCTCACAAATCTGTTTCAGAAGGCATCGGTGAAGGGTATGTGTTCTGCACCCTCCCAGTGGGATGAATTGGTCTAAAGTGACGAACCTGCTCTAGCATTCCAATCTCCATTAGCCTTTGGATCCCTTCCTCTACATTAAACCAAGGGAGATCAGGCATTTCCAGCTCACTCAGAAGGGTCATCTTTTGATCCATGTTTCAGCTAACCAAGCAAATAAACTATCAGAACCTTTTTTAACTCCCTGAGGTACAACATTATATGCAGAATCCCTGCTTAGTGGGCCCATATCAATAAATTTAGCCTGATCCAACTTTATGTTCTTTCTGCCATTATCCCCCACCCTTAATATTAATTCCCATGCCTGTTCTCCAGATTTCTGCTAATGTAAATTAGAAAACTCTAGCATGTCTTTTGGAGTGTAGTACAGCTCTTTGTGGGTCACACTATAAACTCACCTCTTGGGGTTTGCCACAACTTTAGTCTAGTTATAGGTCTAGAAACAAACAGAGATATTAGGGGTGGGTCCTGAGGAGAATCAGCATTGTCTTACCTGGCAACTGCTTCAGAGGAGGCTATCACTGTTGCCTCAGGCTTGCAGTGTTAATATCCTCAGACAAAGGTGGAAAGGCTGATGGCAGCATGGGTAGGGGAGGAGATGTTGCCAGCACTGGGGTGGTGGGGGGAGGCCATTTTTTCTGGCAAAAAAGGCTCATCAGAATTTAGGAGTTCAGTACCCCCAGCCTCATCAGGGTCCTCCCACACGTCCCCATTCCAAGTTGCAGGGTCCCATTCTTTTCCAATAAATGTCCTCACTTTAACAGTTGAGAATTGAGAGAGTCTTTGGGTATCATTTTTGGATTCATCATCTTGTCTCATGTTATATCATCTATATTCTACTAACTCCTAATTTATGTCTACAGCCCTGTGTCTCTCCTTACTTTTTACTTAATGGAATAAATTCTTTTAAGCCCCTTCTGTATATAATTTCCCATGTAGCTTTAAGGAAGTTATTTTACTACCCTAAGGAGTTTTACACCTAAGATTGAAAATAATATCTACATTTAGGGTTGTCTTAAAGTTAAATTCCTTAAGTGAACATATTTTTAAGTATTAAAAATATGAGGGATTAAAAATTAGAAAATAGCCTTAATGTTACTTCTAAAATATACCAAATATTAAATTTCTTGTGGCTCAAATAGAGTGCTACTTTTCAAAATACATTGCACTATTTTATAATAATCTATCTCATTAGAATATGCATTTCCTTGGCACTCCCTAAAAGAAAATTTTTATGTTAACTTTTTAAACATGTCTGGTAGACATTTTTGTTTTTTTCTGAATTGGTCCTTGGAGAAAAACAAAAAATGTTGTTTCCCGAAAAGAAATCTGATAAGATACCATCAGACCAACTCAGTGAGAAAAACTACTCACATTATAAAATTTATTTTTTGGTTAGTCTATGTTGAAAGTTGCTTCTAGGGCAAAGCATAAAATACTTGATTAATTAGAATATCAAGAAAATTGTTTAAAATCTTAAAGTTTAAAAATAGTTGAATTAATTTTTTATACTTTTCACATAGTATTATGATGTAAAAAGACGTGGGTACAGTGGATGCTTCAAAATATTCTTGCTCTGTAAGTCTAATTATACAAGTTTCTCTGAAGTACAACACGAGGTCAGCAGGAAATACAGCTGACTGATAAATGTTGATGGAATTAAAGCATACTGTACCAACCAAATACTATTTTTGCAACCTACTGATTTTTGAAAACTATTTGCTGGGTAATTATGATTAATCCAAAAGAAAATCTGGAAACCTGTGCTTTTAATTCAATTTATGGGTGATTAGGGCATTGAGAAATGTAAGATAACAGCTCCCTTAATGGGGCAGCTTTTAAGCACGAAATTACCTTTTGAATGCTTGAAGAAAAACATTTAAAGATTTGAAGAACCCTGCGGTGATTATTAAAACCTCTGAAAAGCACTCTTTATTCTCTAATAATCAAATGAAACAAAAGTCTTTGGCCCACTCAACTTCAACCCTTCAACACAGGTCAGTCAATCTACCCACATTCTCACATCTTCATTTTGTTTTTGTAATCTCCAACTGATTTTCCCCTTTCTGAATATAACTTCCTGTCTTTCCTCTTTACTAGTCCTTCAGTATCACAGAATCTGATCATCCTCATCCACATTTTGATCTCCTATGCCTCTCTGTATTTCTATTATCCTTAACTCTATTTAATCCAACTCCTTATTTCCCCAACCCCTCTGTCATGGACCTATACTTCAATCAAATTCTCGCCATACTTCTCTTGTGGATTATCTAAAGAAAATATCTAACATACACAAAGGAAACATACACAGCCTCATTGGTAGGGCAAAGATGGCAAAAACAAAAGTACTTATGATTATAAAACAAGGAGAGACTGACACAGATAATAGCAAGTTAGAAAAAAAAAACAAAAAAACAAAACAGGACAACTTAATCAATGAATAGCATTAAAAGAATTTCATTAGGAGGGAAATCTGGGAAGATCCCTTTGACCAGTGTGGGAAAGGTAGCTACATTTCAGTAGCCAAGGATTGAACAGATCCAATTACCCTCCAATGTATTAGTTTGTTTTCATGCTGCTGATAAAGACATACCTGAAACTGGGAACAAAAGGAGGTCTAATTGGGCTTACAGTTCCACATGGTTGGGGAGGCCTCAGAATCATGGTGGGAAGTAAAAGGCACTTCTTACATGGTGGAGGCAAGAGAAAAATGAGGAGAAAGCAAAAGGGGAAACACCTGATAAACCCATCAGATCTCATGAGATTTATTCACTATCACAAGAATAGCATGGGAAAGACCAGCCCCCATGATTCAATTATCCCCCTGGGTCCCTCCCACAACATTTGGGAATTCTAGGAGATACAATTCAAGTTGAGATTTGGGTAGGGACACAGCCAAACCATATCATTCCACCCCTGGCCCCTCCAAATCTCATGTCCTTATATTTCAAAACCAATCATGTCTTCTCAACAGTCCCCCAAATTCTTAACTCATTTTAGCATTAACCCAAAAGTCCACAGTCCAAAGTTTCACCTGAGACAAGGCAAGTCCCTTCCACCTAAGAACCTGTAAAATCAAAAGCAAGCTAGTTACTTCCTAGATACAATGGGCATACAGTTATTGGGTAAATATGGCCATTCCAAATGGGAGATATTGGCCAAAACAAAGGGGTTACAGGGCCCATGCAAGTCCAAAATGCAGCAGGACATCAAATTTTAAAACACCAAAATGATCTTCTTTGACTCCAGGTCTCACATACAGGTCATGCTGCTGAGAAAGATAGGTTTCTATGTTCTTGGGAAGCTCTTCCTCTGTGGCTTTGCAGGGTACAGCCTCCCTCCTGGCTGTTTTCATGGCTGGCATTGAGTGTCTGTGGCTTTTCCAGGCACCATGGTGCAAGCTGCCAGTGGATCTACCATTCTGGGGTCTGGAGGGTTGTGGCCCTTTTCTCACAGCTCCACTAGCCAGTGCCCCAGTAGGGACTCTGTGTGGGGTTCCCACCCCATATTTCCCTTCCACACTGCCCTAGCAGAGTTTCTCCATGAGCGCCCTGCCCCTGTAGCAAACTTTTGCCTGGGCATCCAGGCACTTCCATACATCTGAAATCTAGGCGGAGGTTCCCAAACCTCAATTCTTGACTTCTGGACACCTGCAGGCTCAACACCATGTGGAAGCTGCCAAGGCTTGGGGCTTCCACCCTCTGAACCCACAGCCCAAGCTCCACATTGTCCCCTTTCAGCCATGGCTGGAGCAGCTGGGACACAAGGCACCAAGTCCCTAGGCTGCATACAGCACTGGGGCCCTGGGCCTGACCCACAAAACCACTTTTTCCTCCTGGACCTCCAGGCCTGTGATGGGAGGGGCTGCCATGAAGGTCTCTGGCAGGGCCTGGAGACATTTTCCCCATGGTCATGGGGATTAACATTAGGCTCTTTGCTACTTATGCAAATTTCTACAGCCAGCTTGAATTTCTCCTCAAAAAGTAGGGTTTTCTTTTTACTGTATTGTCAGGCTGTAAATTTTCTGAAGTTTTATGCTCTGTTTCCCTTTTAAAAATGGAATGCTTTTAATAGCATCCAAGTCACCTTTTGAGTGCCTTGCTGGTTAGAAATTACTTCCACCAGATACCTTAAATCATCTCTCTCAAGTTCAAAGTTTCAACAATCTCTAGGGCAGAGGCAAAATGTCACCAGTTTCTTTGCTAAAACATAAGAGTCACCTTTGCTTCAGTTCCCAACAAGTTCCTCAACTCCATCTGAGAACACCTCAGCCTGGACTTTATTGTTCATATCACTACCAGCATTTTTGTCAAAGCCATTCAACAAGTCTCTAGGACGTTCCAAACTTTCCCACATTTTCCCATCTTCTTCTGAGTCCTCCGAACTGTTCCAACCTCTGCCTGATACCCAGTTCCAAAGTCGCTTCCACATTTTCAGGAATCTTTTCAGCAGTGCCTCATTCTACTGCTACCAATTTACTGTATTAGTTTGTCTTCGCACTGCTGATAAACACATACCAGAAACTGGGAACAAAAAGAGGTTTAATTGGACTTACAGTTCCGTATGGCTGAGGAGGCCTCAGAATCATGTCAGGAGGTGAAAATCACTTCTTACATGGTGTCAGCAAGAGAAAAATGAGGAGGAAGCAAAAATGGAAACCCCTAATAAACCCATCAGATCTCGTAAAACTTATTCACTATCACAAGAATAGCACATGAGGCCAGTCCCCATGATTCAATTACCTCCCCCTGGGTCCCTGCCACAACAGGTGGGATTTCTGGGAGATATAATTCAAGTTGAGATTTGGGTGGGGACACAGCCAAACCATATCACCTATTGAGCATCTATCTATGTTCTTGATTTTACCTGTTGGAAAGCTTTGGCCTATGCTGCTGCATTGCTCAGGTGAGTGTGGTCTCTCATGACCTTTATTCTGATGTTGATGTATTACTGAATAAGTTACTGGAGACATTCACGGTGTTTACAAGAGTTGTAATTCTCTTCAGTGACACTGTCTGCTTTCATATTTCAGATCAGTGAACTGTTTCTTGGAGTAGAAGAGTACCAGAAAATATCTAGCAAGGCAATGTAAAAGACACTACTTGTACTTTAAAAAAGACAATCAGAGAATAGACAGGTAGGTAATCTGTTACATTGAAGAGGCCCAAGTTTTAATCTACCAATGTGTAGAGTCAAAGTGTAGTCTACACAACGTGTACCAAATTGTAGTCTACCAATGTGTAGAGTGTCTGTGTATTTTGTGGGTTTGTATGGTGTGTGTGTGTATATAGAGATGCATCTAGAATATCTGTAGCTCAATGCCCATCAACATACATCACTGCTAAACATGAGCAAATGCACTAGATATTCCCTTGGGCAGCCTTTACACAGAATCACAAAAGCCCATAATTGCTATTGAAAGGAGAAAATGCAGGTTGATGATATATATTAAAAATGTAAAACTCCTGCAGTTGATGCAGCTGTGTGTAGCAGGTCAAGGCTAAGATAATTCCTTTGGCCTTCAGTTTGTGGTGGTGATGGCCAGTGGATAAGTGCCTTCAGTTGTGAAGATGAATGCCCTCCTACTCTTATTTTGCTTCTGTTATGTGATTTACTTGGATTAATAGGGCAGGTAAAAGCACAGCTGCGCAGTTCCAAGCTTCAAGAGGCCTCAGGTGCATTTCTTGCACTCTCTTGCACCTTTCACATTGCTATAAGAACATGCTGCACGTACATGCCAGTTTCAGGAGCAGAATGAGATACATGGAGCAGAGTCAAGCCATTGTCACATGAGTGAGAAAACAGTAAGCAGTGAAGTTCAGTATGGATTAGCTGAATGCCACAGATACGAGAAATAAATGTTTACTGTTTTAAGGCATTGGGGTCTGGGGTGATCTGTTACGCAGTAAAAATCCGTTAATAACACAACTTCCTTCCCAAGTCCCACCACCACCACCTTAAATTTAAGCATTTTTTCATACCTTCTCTTGTGCCTCTTCTTAAATATTGATTTATATTAACAGGAATGTAGTAATAAAGTGTCATCTTAGTCTGTTTAGGTTGCTAAAACAAAATACCATAAACTGGGTATTAAACAACAAAGATGGATTTGGTTACAAAAACAGAAAAGTATTGCTTACAATTCTAGAAGCTAGGACGTCTAAGATGAAGAAACCACCAGATTCAGTGTCTGGTGAGCACCAACTTTCTTGTTCACAGATAGTATCTTCCCACTGTGTCCTCACATGGCAGAAGGGAACTTTGGGATGTCTTTTATAAGGGAGCTAATCCCAGTCACCTCCCAAAGGCCCCACCTCATAATACCATCACTTTGGAGGCTAAGATTTCACATATGGATTTCAGGGAACACAAACATCGGACCATAACAAATATTCTATTCTCAAAGAAAAAAATTTCTAGATAAAACCAAAATTAAATATTTTTACTGGTATTGAAAAAGATTTTAATATGCAATTATCTATCAGTTTGTGTCTGTCCAAAATTTATGTCATAACCCCTAGGACCTCAAAATATGAACTTATTTGGAAATATGGTCATTGCAGATATAATTAGTGATGTTAGGATAAGGTCACAGTGGAGTACAAAGGGCCCCAGTCCAATATGACAAGTGTCCTTATAAGAAGGGGACATATGGACATAGACACACAAAAAGACAGAACACCATGTGAAGACTGGAGTTATTTCCTCTTAAGCCAGGAATTACCAGAAGCTAGAAAAGAGGCCTGGAACAGATCCTTCCCTAGTAACTTCAGAAAGATTATGCTGACATCTTCATTTGAGACTTCCAACCTCCAGAACTGTCAGACAAATTTCTTTATTCTAAGCCACCCAGCTTGTGGTATATTTTTATAGCAATTCTAACACACATGCTAATGGGTATATGAATTGTCAGGAAATTACATTATAGAACTTCCCAAACTTATTTGGTCTACTCTTTCCTTAACACAAGCTCTCTTATTAATATCTTTGAGAAAAATGTTAAGCAGAATTCCAAGTTAAGCAAAAATGGCCTACAAATGTAGATCTCCTTTTCCAAGATCTGTATCAATGCTTACTTGATGGTGTTTGTAATTCCTTGTGATACAATTCTTGAGTGATATTAATGGACAAAACCAATTATTTTAAAATCAAGACTAAGGAGTTGGGTAAGAATGAAGCATTCCTCCAAAACTCTTTCAATACTCAGTACAAACATATCTTGTTTTATTGCACTTCACTGTATAGTGTTTCACAGATAGAAAATGTTTAACTAGGAGATGTGAAAGTTACTACTTTTACTTAAAAAAAAAGTAGAATCAGAGAATAGATGGGTAGGTAATCTGTTACATTGAAGGGGTCAAAGTTTTTGTCTACCAATGTGTAGAGTGTCTATGTGTTTTGTGGGTGTGTATGGTGTGTGTGTATATACAGATGCATCTAGAATTTCTGCAGCTCAATGCCCATCAACATGCACTTTTTTTTATATCACTGCTAAACATGATATAATGCACTAGAGATTCCCTTGAGCAGCCTGTAGACAGCATCACAAATGCCTATAATTGCTATTGGAAGGACAAACTGAAGGTTGAGGATATAAATTCAAAACGTAAAAATCCTGCAGTTGGTGCAGCTTTGGGTAGTAGGTCAAGGCTAATATAATTCCTTTGGCCTTCAGTTTGAAGTGGTAATGGGGATGCTATTTAAAAAAAAAAAAAATGAAGGTTTGTGGCAACCCTGCCTGGAGCAAGTCTATTGGTGCCATATCTCTAACAGCATGTTCTCACTTCATGTCACTGTGTCATATTTTATTCTCATATTTCAGATTTTTAAACTATTATTATATCATGGTGATCTATGGTCAAAGATCTTTGATGTTACTACTGTAAATGCTTTGGAGTACAATGAGTCTCAACTGTATAGGACAGTGAAGTTAATGAATAAATGTGTATATTCTGACTTCTTCACCAACCAGCCATTTCCCAATCTATCTCTCTTTCCTTGGGCCTTCTTATTCCCTGGGACAAACAGTATCACAATTGGGCCAGTTAATAGCCCTACAATAGCCTCTAGTGTTCAAGTGAAAGGAAGTCACATGCATCTCACTTTACATCAAAATCTAGAAAAAAGTAAGGCTTAGTGAAGAAGGTATGGCTAAGATAGGTGAAAGCTAGGTCGCTTGTGTGCCAGTTAGCCAACTTGCAAATGCAAAGGAAAAGTTCTTCAAGAAAACTAAAAATGCTACTCCAGTGAACACACAAATCATATGAAAGCAAAATAGCCTTAATGCTGATACTGAGAGAGTTTTAGTGGCCTGGAGAGAAGATCAAAACAGCCACAACATTCCTTTTAGCCAAAGCCTAATCCAGAGGAAAGTCCAAATTCTCTCCAATTCTCTGAAGCCTAAGAGAGGTGAGCAAGCTGTTGAAGAAAAGTTTGAAGCTGGCAGAGGTTGGTTCATGAGATTTAAGGTATGAAGCCATCTCCATAACATAAAAGTATAAGGTAAAGCAGCAACTGCTAATGTGGATGCCTCAGCAAGGTATCCAGAAGGCCTAGCTGAGACAATTGTGAAGGTGGCTACACTAAACGACAGATTTTCAATGTTCTAATGGAAGATGAATCCACCTAGGACTTTCATAGCTAGAGAGAAGTCAATGCCTGGCTTCAAAGCTTCAAAGGACAGGCTGACATTTATAAGGCTATTGCTACCATAGATGGGGATTCTTGTGATGAACCTTAGCAAAGTAAATTGAAAAACATCTGAAAATGATTCATTATTGTAGATGCCACTAAAACCATTTGTGATTCATGAAATGAGGTCAAAATATCAACATTAACAGGAGCTTGGAAGAGGTTGATTTCAGCCTCTATGGATGGCTTGGAAGGGTTAAAGACTTCGGTAGAAAAAATAATTACGAAGTGATGGAAAGAGCAAAATAACTAGAATAAGAAGTGGAGCCTAAAGATGTGACTGAGCTGCTACAAATTCATGATAAAACTTGAATGTCTGAAGAGTTACTTATGGGGGAGCAAAGAAAGTGGTTTCTTGAGATGGAATCTACTGCTAGTGAAGATGTTTGCAAACACTGTTGAAATGACAACAAAAGATTTAGAACATTAAAGTTAGGCAATAAAGCAGTGGCAGGGTTTGAGAGAATTGACTCTAACTTTGAAAGAAGTTTTACTGTGGATAAAATGATATCAAATAGTATCACATGCTATAGCGAAATCTTTCATCAAAGGAAGAGTCAATTAATGTGGCAAACGTCACTGTTGTCTTATTTTAAGAAATTGCCACAGCCACCCCAACCTTCAACCACCACCATCCTGATCAGTCAGCAGCCGTCAACATTGTGGCAAAACCCTGCACGAGCAAAAAGATAATGAATTGCTGAAGGCTTAGATGATTGTTAGCATTTTTAGCAATAAATTATTTTTAAATTAAGATATATACTTTTTAAACATAATGCTATTGCACACTTAATAGACTACAGTATAGTATAAACATAACTTTTACATGCGCTAGGAAAGTAAAATTTTGTGACTTGCTTTATTGTGATACTTGCTTTATGCAGTAATCTAAAACCATATCTGCAGTATCTCCCAGGTAAACCTGTATAATTCATCCTTCTACCTTTTATAACAACATAGTATTATTCATATTCACTAACTTTAAAATAAAACAAAATCCAAAGTCCCATATTTTTTTCATAGCAGTCTAAGAAAAGGAAATTATCTTTTACTTGAGCAAAATTTTTCACCATCATTCCCCGTTGATACCTTAATGTAAGGAGCTTATTAGGAGACAGAAAATAAAATGATTCTGGGCTTTTCTATAAAGGGAGAATGTTATTAGCTTTACCACTGCTTGGCTGAAGCTGAACTCTAGAGAAAGAATGGGATAACGTCCTCTCAAATGCATTTTAATGACTTTTTTAATCAAACATGAAACCTACACTGATAGATTACTCAGAATTTTTACTGTCCATTGTATTTAGCAAGACCCAATCTAGGAATAACAAATGATTGACTAACATTTTAAGCAATTATTCAACAGAAATTATTTGTATAACCCTAATATATTCTTGAGCAAGCAGTGTTTAGAGGAGATTGTAATTTACAATGCCCTTGTACTCAATTGTTCACAAGACTGATTATCAGGTCTTAGATGGCTTCTTATACACCTTACGATATCCAGTAGACCCACCACAGAGGAGGCACTCAATAATATCTTTCAAAGCTTCTTTTAAGGTCTCGGATATTTTATTTTGAGGACTTCACATTTGTTATTTAAAAAGAATAACGGAGAATCTGGAGGCAAAGTAAAAGAATCTGGAGGCAGAGTAAAAGAATTTTTAAAGTATTTAAAGTAAGCGGTAGCACAGTCTTATGGAAAGATAAATGGATTCTAAATTGAGAATACATATGCTACAATTCTGAACAGGAGCAGATTTTGAACATCTTACACTTAACCTCTGAGCTTTCAGTTATCATACTGAAAAAAGATACAATGGATATGATAATTACCAACTATAAAATAGTTACAATGGATATGATAATTACCAACTATAAAATAGTACAATTTGAGCCTAGACAGAGACTGTGGTTAAGTCTGAGGCACATCTGAGTATAACTAGCAAAGCGATCATACAGACCTACCATGCATATATAGCATGAGCTAATTAAAAGGGGTGGGATAGGATCTATATAGAGAATGTTTGAATATAGCACTTTAGTAGAAAGACAGTTGGTGAATAGTGTACTATCTATTCTTGGCTCAATCCAATGAACTGGTTTTCAATATTCCGTAAGAAATTGTACACAGAACTTAAAAGTGGTATTTTCTCAAGGTACTGTAGTATTATTTTCTTCAAACCAAGAAACCATTCTTCATCACATATGCCATTAACAAGTTTTCACAGAAAACAACACAAAACGATAGGATGTACTACATTAAATTTATGTATCAATTGATTCAGAAATCCTCCTTTCAGAAATCATAAAATATGAAAGAAACTTGTGACTCAGATTGAAAAAAAAAATAAGGCTTTGAGATATGGGACCCAGGCTGTGTTATATTACTATCAAAAATTATGTCAAGTATTTATTACTTCACCTCTCACATAAATGTAAATGTCATTTTAGTAGGGAATTTTGCTATCTTGTTTTGTTTTTTTTTTTTTTTTACCTTTACTATCTTCTTCGTTGTTTGATCTCCAGGAACTTGAATAGTAGTTGGCATATAGAACATATTTAACATCTATTTATTAACTGAATAAATGAAGTAATTGTGACAATGTCTATCATAGATTTGGACAGAAAACATGGTCCCCATTTGTACCTGAAAAACGTTAGCCTATGAACAATAATGACTAAGAGAACCTCATATTGTTTTCACAGCTCAAGGTTTTTCAGCCTTGGGAAGTCCATACTCTAAGCAAGAAGACTGTATTGTGAATGGTATCCATGCATCCCAATAGTGCATTGCTTTCATTTCAAATAGTTTTATAGACAGGGCAACAGCAACACGGTTTATAAGGCCATGTAAATCACCACTGCATGTATCCACAAACCAAAATAGTAAGCTGGAATTCCTGCAGTATGCAAGTAAATACAGCAAGCCAGTGACATTTGAGCTATGACTGTGTATGTGATCCCCTTGGGGGAAATCTAGGTTACAATTCTATCATTTCATTTATTCAACAAACATTCATTAAGTGCCTATTACATAAAATAACATGCTGAGTACTGAGAATGCAAAATAAACAAGACATAATTTCTGTTCACACTGTTTTACCTGTCCCTGCCAAAAGCTCACAATTTTATCTGATGGAGGACAAATTATTTTTTGTAAATGATCTTTATAATAAATACAAGTAAATTACAAGCAGTGTTTTATAAACAAAATATGGAGGCTTTACTTCTTATATATTTTAGGAAACAAATGGCAAGAAAATTTGGCCATCCTGCTTTTCAAAGACTTTGTAGACTCCACATCTTACAAAAGTTAAGACCTAGTTCATTAACTGTAAGAAAACTAAATAGTGAAACTCACGATCTTCAGAGAAAGCAAAGTATTGATATTACATGTATCTACAAACAAAAGTGTGTTTTAATGAAAAGAGAAATACATTGACATCATTATAAAAAGGAATCCACAACTACAGAAGCACTCTTCCATCGGGGGGACCTACAAGCCAAAGCTTTTGGGTAGTCACCACCAGGAACAAGTAGTACATTGAAATAATAGAGTGTTTGAAGATTTCATAGGTGCACAAGTACTGAGAGCCAACCTGATGTGAGATGAAGCAAGGCAAATTTGAAAGGGAAACTTACATGCAAATAATTCTCTCCACTAATAATTACCTTATTTTGATAGAAAAAAATAGATAATTGCCTCAAGGAACCATTAAATCTGAAAAGAAAAAAACATGCATATTTTATTCCTGTTTCAAAATGTTTTGGAAATGGCAATGCTGTCTATTCTTTCCTTAATTGATAGGATTTAAAGGTTGACCCAGGTTCTAAAGCATTTATTTTCATCTAACTGAATAAAGAGGTGTCAAAACAAATAAATCATGATTACCTTAAATACTGAACAATGGAGATGTGATGACTGAAGGAGGACATAATTGAATAAACTCTGGGAAATTTTTGTATGATTAGTTGTTATAGGAAGGCTTTGAATAGAACTGCAATCTTTTATAAATATCCTTACCTGGGAACCCTGAAAGAAAACAATAGTCACACTGAAAAGTAATGAAATAAAGAAGATCATCTGCTATTTTGAATAATCTACCTACTCACATCATTGTTTCTCTCCTCTATATTAGATTTTACTATTAATAGCACTCTTATTTTTTTTATAAAAGATTAGATTTTCAATAATGTTAGTTATTTGTTATAAAATTTCTACAGATTACAACAAAATCTCAAATAATCCCTCACTTTAGCACTCCCAAAAGTGGGAAGAGGGAGAATTGATTACAGAACAGAATAAAACTAATATTTTATCCCATAGATTCTCTTTCTCTCAAGTAGAAACATTTAGGGAACTTATTTTAAAGTGTTATGAATACATAAACATATGTTGTGCAGCCTACCTTCCTGCGTCCAAATATGTAAGTAAACAGGGTTTACCCATGCTCTGGCTAAGGTTACCTAGGCATACTATTAATCATTTTTTATCTTTCACATAGGCTTAGACATGCTCAACCTTCTCCGTTTGTAAACTGGTTCAAGGGTTGACTACATAATTTCAAGGGTCTACTGCAAATTTAAAATGTAGGGCCCGTTATTTAAAAAGCAGGTGGGAAAAGCATCAATAATACTAAAATATAAAGTTTTTTTTTCCATTCTTTCTCCATCTATTGACTTGCCATAATGTTTTCTACTTGTTATACAATTAAGTGCTTGGCTAATACAGGGAAGTAACACAAATATAAAAGGATGTGGTAGGATTTCTTGATAGTTCATGTATCTTATAATACCACTGCCTCCTGTATGCATTTGAAGCAAGTTCTGGTTCTACAAAGTGTGGCCTCTCAAGGTTGTCATGCCCTGCTTATTCGGTCACAGATATAACACATTTATCTTATATTCACTCTGAGCCTTGCAGAACTCCCACACATTGTGAGTTCACCAAAACTCTGTGCTCACGGAGTATTGCAAATGCTATATGCTAATGGGGTGACAAGGAACAGTGGTGAGACAGTGGCAATATTGTGCATTACACTTCTGTTCACATTACCTGCTGCATTATCCCAGCAATTTTCATTTGCAAAAGATAAGTTCAAAGAAAAAATTATTAAGAATTTAAGAAGGTAACAACCAAGTATTAAACCAAGTTGTGGCCCTTCTGAACATGGGACTCTGTGTGATTGCTCAGATCATAAACCCATGAAGCCATCCCTGACTGGTTGCATATATTATTTTTGCATAGGGAAAATGAGAGGCTGTATTTACATCTTGAGCCCACATTTTTTGTACCTGTTTTATTTGTCATTATGTCAAATATAATCTGTTTGCAGTGAACTGAATGTCTGTCTGTATCTCTCCAAAATTCTTACGTTGAAATTCTAACCTTCCAGTGACAGTATTCGGGGGTGGGTCCTTTGAAAGGTGATTAGGTTATGAGAATGAAATCCTCATGAATGGGATTAGTGCCCTTATAAAAGAGATCCTCAGAGAGCTCTCTCCATTCTTTCCTCCATGTGAGGATACAATGAAAAGTCAGTCATCTGCAATCAGAAAGAAGGCCCTCACCAGAACCTGACTATGCTGGCACCCTGATATCAGATGTCCAGCCTCTAAAACTAAGAGAAATAAGTTTCTATTATTTATAAGCCACCCAGTCTATGAAACTTTGTTATAGCATCCCAAATTAAGATGTTACTGTGTCATGTAATTCTTTAAGGAAGAGGGGTGGCTTTACAGCTTGTTTCCTAAACCAAATGCCATTTAATAAGATACAAGTCTATATTGTCAATACTAGCCAGTTCATAAATATAGTATTTTCACTTTATTACAATTAGCTATGACAAAGAAATAAAAAATTCAATGCATAAAATATTAGGACATTTCATTCATCTAATATTTATTGAACCCCTATTGTACATCAAGAATCATTCTAACTCTGGGAAGAAACCTTACATCACGAACACTACTTATTTTGTAGATCTTATCATATTAAATATATTCAATCAGCTCTGACATAGGACAGGTTTCAATGCATAATAGAGATACTTGTTTATTCATCTAATATTTATTGGATTCCTATTATGTCTCATTCACTATTCTACACTCTGGGGATACCTGAGTGAACTCAACTTACATGCAAGTGTTTTTTACAGGCAAAAACAAGCACACAAATATAAAAAATAATGCCAGGCTATAATAGGTGTTATGTAAGAAAATAAAAGCAGAATAAAAGGATAGATTGTGATAGATAGTTGCTATTTTAAATAAGGCTATTCTGGAAGACTTCTATGGGCAGGCAGCATCTGAACAAAAACAAAATTGTTTAAACAAGGAGAGACAAAGCCAAGAGACATCAGAGAAAGGACTCCAGCAGGCAGAGTTTTCAGCAGATACAAAAGCCTGGAATTGGTAATACGTTTGAAACATTCAGGAATAGAAAGATCGGTGTGGCTATCAATGAGGTAACCTGCACCAAGATCAGATAGGGAAATTATGAGAGGCCTTGTCAAGATTGGAGACTGTATTCTAAGTGTCATGAAAAGCCATTGGATGGTTTTGAATAGGAAGGTGTAGGAATAGCGAATCCATTATTTTTGTCATTAATGCATGCTTTTACTATATTTGCCAAAGCTCTACAATCCACAACCAATCAATCTTACCTTCCCAGACTTACCACAACTACATTCTTTCATAAATCCTAATTCTCTAGGGAAAAAATCCCATCATAATTTCCAATTACATCTGTCACTGCATATCAAAATTTACTGATCTTCCAAGGCCTCCAAGATTCATGTCACCTCTTTCACAAAAGGGGCATTTCTGATTAAAATAATTCATCTATCAAATCTCTATAACATTTTGTTCTCTCCATGAGAAGTCATTTCTATGTCATTCTCTTGATGTCCTGCTATTCAACACAATTGTCCAGTAATCAAACAGGCAAAATGGTCTATAAAATGGGGAAACATTAACAAAGAGATTTTTACATAATAAACATTTAAATTAAAATATGTAATTGTATTTTTGTACATGAATATTTTAATGTAGGATTGAGACCCTTTCTCTGAGTATATATTGATTAGAGTTCTGTAAAATGGTCCCCCCAACCACTCATTTGGCACGTTAATATCAATTTTAGTTATTTAATATTGAACAGCAATTTAAAGGTATCTCTATATAAATCTGAGGGTAAAATCCTTGAATGTGTTTATTTTTCTGCCTTCTAGCTTCCCCTAGAACGTTGCTACTCAAAGTATAATCTGTGGACCAGCTTCCTCATTATGACACCTTGTAACTTATCAGAAATAGTCTCAACTGGATGTCTATATGCAGAAGAATGAAACTAGACCTATGTCTCTCACTGTGTACAAAGATCAACTCAAAATGGACTAAAAATTTATACATAAGACCCAAGACTAAAAATACTACAAAGAAAACATATAGAAAACGCTCCAGGTCATCAGTCTAGGCAAAAAATTTATAGCTAAGACCTCAAAAGTGCAGGCAATAAAAATATATATAGGAAAGTGGGACTATATTAAACTAAAAATATTCTGCACCACAAAGGAAGCAATTAACAGAGTGAAGAGACGACCTGTTCAATGGGAAAAATTATTTACGAACTATTCATCCAACTAGTGATTAATAAATATCCAGAATATACAAGGAACTCAAACAATTCAACAGCAAAACAAGCAAATAATCCCATTAAAAAGTGGGCGAATGCCCCGAATTTCTCAAAAGATGACATACAAATAGCCAACAGGTTTATAAAAATATGCTCAACATCACTAATTATCAGGGAAATGCAAATCAAAACCACATGAGATATCATCTTACTCTGATTAAAATGGCTATTATTTTAAAAGATGTTTAAAAATAGAAGATACTAGTGAGAATGCAGAGAAAGGGAACTCTTATGCACTGCTGGTGGGAATGTAAATTAGTACAGCCATTACGGAAAACAGTATGTAGGTTTCTCAAAAAAAGTAAAAGTAGAACTACCATAGGATTCAGAAATCCCACTACTGAGTATTTATTTAAAAG
The DNA here is from genome assembly GCF_000001405.40 of Homo sapiens. Taxonomy (NCBI): domain Eukaryota; kingdom Metazoa; phylum Chordata; class Mammalia; order Primates; family Hominidae; genus Homo; species Homo sapiens. The sequence goes on along the minus strand of NC_000012.12, from coordinate 83,487,161 downwards.
ACAGGAAATTACTATTTTAAAAAGATACCTGCACCCCCATGTTTATTGCAGCATTATTCACAACAGCTAAGATATGAAATCAACCTGTGTCTATCAATGGGTGAATGGATAAAGAAAATATGCACGTATATAGAATAGAATACTATTTAGTCAGGAAAAAGAATATCCGGTCCTTCACAGCAACATGAATGGAACTGGAGATCATCATGTTAAGTGAAATAAGCCAGGAGCAGAAAGACAAATGTCACATGTCCTCACTCATATGTGAGAGCTATACAAAGTTGATCTCATGAAGGCAGAGAGTAGAACAATAATTTTCAGTGGCTGGAAAGGATGTCTGTGGGGTTAGGGAGATGAAGAGAGGTTGGTTAGTGGATAAAAACATACATTTAGATAGAAGGAGTAAGTTCTAGTGTTCAATAGCACAGTAGAGTGACAATATGTGTCTAATTAACAATATAATGGATATTTTCAAATAGCTACAAGAGAACATTGGGAATGTTACCAACAGAAAGAAAAATGTTCTAGTAACGGATATCCTACATACCCATTATAATATTTATAAGGTACATGTGATATTTTGATACATTCTATGCATGTATTAGAGTTCCCTTTCTCTGCATTCTCACTAGCATCTGTTATTTTTAAATCTTTTTAATAATAGCTGTTTTAATTAGGGTAAGATGATATCTCATTCTGGTTTTGATTTGCATTTCCCTGATAATTAGTGATGTTGAGCATTTTTTAATATACTTGTTGGCTATTTGTATATCATCTTTTGAGAAATTCTATACCTGTATCAAAATCTCACATGTACCTCATAAATATGTACAAACATATATCAATTAAAATATTTTTTAATTTACAGAAGAGAAATACAGTCTAAAGCCCTATACCAGAATTAATTCAATGTGAATCCACACTTTAACAACATCCAAGTGGTTCTTGTAAACCTGAAAGTTGAATAAGTAATTGTCTAGCACATGTCTAATTCAATTACAATTTTTAAAACAAATTGCCTTAACCAAGTCTCTTCAAAATATTAAAGTTGATTTTCATAAAAATAACTTCCTTGCTTGCTCTCTCTTACACATTAGTATTTTACTGGTTTAGGTATGTGCAGAAAACACTTGATATAGCAGGCCTGAGAAAGGTTGGCTTGAAAAGTTGGCCCTTGTTGATATTAGGGAACTTGACTGCCAAACAGGTTTCTAAACTGGTATAAAGTTGTCCCTAAATGATAAAAGTGGCTTGCTGTGCCTAAATTGTACAAACAATGCCATTTATGATGGATACCTGCTCTCCTCTTGCAGTCAGGAGTTTTGGTACAAACTAGACAGAGTACCAATATGACTGACCCTCCATAAAAACCTTGGATTCCTAGGCTCATATGAGCTTCCCTGGAAGACAACATTTTATGCCGATTGTCACAACTAGTTGCTAGAGAAGTTAAGTGCATCCTCCCTGTGTGACACCACTGGGAGAGAACTCTTGGAAGCTTGTGCTTGATTTTCTCCTAACTTTGCACTTGGCAGCTTCTTCTCTTGCTGACTTTGCTTTGTATCCTTTCTCTATAATAAATCTTAGTTGTGATTACAACTATTTATACTGAGTCTTCTAGCAAATCATTGGACTAGGAAGCAATCCTGGGGACCCAAAACAGAGTGTAATTAAATTACCTTATTACTAAAGAAAATACAGCTGATTTTGGAACTTTCTTAGCCGATTTTTAGTAAGCATATAACTCAATTACTGAGAGCAAAGTACATGAATATTCAAGAGTCACCATGAGCAATTAGTGCCTACCAGACATAAATCAGCATATTTTCAGAGAACCGAGGTGAGGTTGGTAAATTCACTAAGGAAATAAAGCTCTCCTTAAGGCAAGGTCCAGGCTCAACAGACTGTATATACTCCACAGAATATAACACTGTGTCCCATACATAATAAGCTTTCAGGGAATAATTACTGAGAGAATTCTTTAACCATTTAAACTTTTTGTTGAATTATATTTTAAGCAAGTGTATTAGTCCATTTTCACACTGCTGATAAAGACATACCCTAGACTGGGCAATTTACAAAAGAAAGAGGTTTATTAGACTTACACTTCCATGTGGCTGGGGAGGCCTCACAATCATGGCAGAAGGTGAAAGGCAAGGAGCAAGTCATGTCTTACGTGGATGACGGCAGGCAAAGAGTTTGTGCAGGGAAACTCCAGTTTTAAAACCATCAGATCCCATAAGACTTATTCACTATCAGGAGAACACTGCAGGAAAGACCTGCCCCCATAATTCAATCACCTCCCACAGGTTCCTCTCACAACTAATGGGAATTGTGGGAGTTACAATTCAAGATGAGATTTGGGTGGGGATACAGTCAAACCATATCAGCAAGGCAAAAGGTTCACTAAGGTGTTTTTTATGAAAGGAATCATAAATGATATGCATAGCTAAATCCACATTTTGCCTGTAAGTATTTTTAACAAAAACATATTGTTGTTAGTTTTCATTATCATCTTAATATGAAAACATATCAGTAGCTTTTTGCATCTCAACATACATCAAAGTATTTATTGTGTTTTTATTATAGTGAATTTGACTGTCTATTTCAGGTCTTATGGGTTTTACTCTGCTTCACTAAAGCCCTCTAAGGCAGAGAAAATCTACAGTGGTATTCCTGCTACAAAACAAATCTGACATTCTCCAAAGCCGTCATTCTCCTTAACTTGTCAACAGATTCAGTTGAATTTGTTGTATTGATATAAAAGTTGAATTCTGAAAACTAAATAACTTAGGAAGCTATGATCTTTCTATGCTGGTTTGAAGGACTTTGCTACTTAGACAAGTAAATGACTCCATTTAGAAACTATTATTATAGTTTACCATAAGAATCAAGAACAATTGTTAAAATGTTGATTTACCATCATCTAGATAAAATTGCCTCATTTTCTCCTAACATGATTTCCTACAGCTTTTGGTCACCTAAACACGGTTAGCTTTATAAACATTAACTTAGAATGGTCTCTGATGTACATGTGCTAAAAATCATATCTTTTTTATAAATTAGAGGCCTTTGAGTACCTAGACGTCTGGTAACAACCAAGTCTATGTGATCATAGTTCTATATGAATCCTCAAAATTGCTGATCAACTTCCACTTGTATTGTGCTGACAAAAGTAACCCTGTGGATTGGAATACTGTTAAGTGCACTTTTCTACCTATTCTGATATGAGCCACAAAATATTATCTTGCTAAAGACATTTAGAACATTTATTGACAAAGAAAGTTATAGATTCAATTTTATATTGACTAAAGTTATATCTTCCTACAGGATTTTTTTTACCTCAACTATATGTTTCACAAAAATGTTAGCATGCTTTAGCAATCTGAAATTTTAATATTTTTAAGGAAAGAAAAATATTTCCTGTTATCCTAAAGAACAATGAAAATAAATTTTAGAGGAGTCTTTTTTATTCAAATACAAAAAAGTTTAGGATAATTACATTTCAGAGTAAATGTATTTTGAAACCCTTTATTCAGATGTAAAATCTAACACACCTTGATTCAGAGTTTAAAATAGTAGTTGATGCATAAAAAATTAATTGTCTTGAATAAAGGAATAAAGGAAAGTATTAAGGAATAAATGAAGGAATATATTTGCTAATAACAGATTTTTAGAGGAATAAGTTCTGACAACTCTGAAACTACAAAGTTTATCAGGAGAAAAAGGAGAGGCACCTACACATAGCAGCTTCATGCCCTTTATATATAGGTAAAAACATATTAAGGATATTAGATAACAGAACATGTTATTTAGTAAATTTTTGTGATGTATGATTTATCTGTCAGTTCTTAATTTAAGATTGTACTGTATTACTGGTTATTTCTAAATGTGTTTTCCTATTTATCAACCTCTAGTCATAGTACTAAAAGCATTAGTTTGTAGTGCATGTAAGAATATGTCTTAATTATCAATTTCTTTTAAATGTGTTTTTCTGCATCCCACTAATGGTCTTAGGTAATCACCATAATCACATTTAAAAATAGGAAAAATGGAGATGAGGAAATTATATGATTCATACAAAGGTTTAAATGAAGTAGGAAATCATGTCATAAATATACTCTGCAATTTTTTGCACAAGTGTTATCTCTTATCACCACTAGTTCTAGAATGAAATAACAGATTACATTTTAACTGTACAGAAAAATCCTAAAGAGAGAGACAAGTACATCAACCATCATTCTTAAGCAATTCAGACGTTCTTCCATCAAACAAATAAAATGTCCATGGACTGTCTCTAAAAAACACAGTAAACCCAAGACCTAAAAACAGAAAATGAGATGAGTTTCATTATAAATTTCAAAGTCTGAGATCTACACAAAATATTTCAGCTTCTATTAATTTCCATTCCTTGACCTGCTCAATTGTCCAATACCCAATTCTAATATTGTCTTTCAAAATTAGTCTCTCGGTGTCCTTATAAACCTTGTAAACATCACCATCATCATTCTCTAGTGGAGGGCAATGATGTGATTCATTCTGTACCTTGAGATGATCCTTCATCATTGTCTTCCCTTTTGGTATAAAGTAGTTTTAAAATTATCCACTTTGTGGGCAAAGAATATGAACAGTCACTTTTCAAAAGAAGACATATATGTGGCCAAGAAGCATATGAAAAAAAGCTCAACATCGCTGATTACAAAAATGCAAATCAAAACCACAATGATACCGTCTCACACCAGTCAGAATGGCTACTATTTAAAAAACCAAAAGAAAAAATAATAGATGCTGGTGAGGTTGTGGAGAGAAAGGAATGCTTATATACTATTACTAGGAGTGTAAATTAGTTCAGCCATTGTGAATGACAGTGTGGTGATTCCTCAAAGACCTAAAGACAGAAATACCATTCAACTCAGCAATCCCTTTCTGGGTATATACCCAAAGGAATATGAATCATTCTATTATAAAGACACATGCACAGGTATGTTCATTGCAGCACTATTCGTAATAGCAAAGGCATGGAATCAACCTAAATGTCCATCAGTGATACACTGGATAAAGAAAAGATGGTACATATACACCATGGAATACTATGCAGCCATAAAAAAGAATGACATCATGTCCATTGCAGGGACATGGATGGAGCTGGAGGTCATCGCCCTTAGCCAAATAATGCAGGAACAGAAAAACAAATGCCACATGTTCTTACTTATAAGTGGGAGCTAAATGAGAATACATGAACACGTAGAGGGGAACCATACTCATGGGCCTTTCAGAGGGTGGAGGGTGGGAGGAGGGAGATGATCAGGAAAAACAACTAATGGGAACTAGACTTCATACCTGGATGATGAAATCATCTGTACTAGAAACCCCCATGACACAAGTTTACCTATGTAACAAACATGTGCTTGTACCCCTGAACTTAAACTAAAAGTTAAGAATAATTATCCACTTTGGCATATGAATAGAGTATATACATGAACTTCATACATGAAAAAGGGAAATTACAAATCATTATTCATAAAGAGAAGACCAATTCTTCAAACAAGCTAGAAAAACAGACAAATTGAAACAAATAAATAATTAAAACCTTTACATAATATCAAAGATCAAAATAAAATTGTATCTAGTATGTAATGATTTGGTTATCGTATCTGCAAAATTGGATTCTTGGAAAGGCAGGGCCCAGGGCAATTTTGCAGACTTCAGGCTCTGGAACCATCCAATGAATGTCTGTTTCATTCTCATCTTTGCATTTCTTTGCATGTTGGCTTAATTTTCTCGTGCTGCTAAAAAAATATCTCTTGCCAGTCAGAGGGGATGACAACCAACTACTGAGCTTAAATTTGCACACATTAGTGACAGAGCTAAAGATGCTCTTCCTTTATCAGTAGTTCTAATTTTCTCAGGGAAGGAATATGACTGGCTGCACTTGGGTTAGTGGACACCTCAATCCATTGCTGTGGCCGGAAAGCAAATTCCATAGTAAATCTGTCAGTTGTCATTTGGACCACAAGTCAAGATGAAGTTATTTTGCTCAAAAGAGGGGAAGATATTGGCAATCAGGACAATGTAATGTAATTATAAAAGACATATCTGGATTTATTTACATTAACGGTTAGCAATAAAAATGTAAAACTAATCACCTATATACAAGATTTAAATATAGGTATAAATGCTTGCTACATCACTATGTGAGTGTAGACAAGTTACTTAATTTTCCTGAGTCTCTATTTTTGGCTTCAAGTAGAATTTATAATTTTTCCCTAAAAAAATTGTTCTGAGATAAAAACACAAAGTATCTTTGAAGTGGCAAGAGTTTATCTGGACATCATAACCATCACTCATAATTTGTGGCTATTATGCAAAATGTAAATGGTCACAATCAATATTCACTTTGAAAGAATTCTGGTAAATAGCCTGGTCAAATATTATTTTCAAAACAATATGTTTGGGGGCTAATTTGGTTAATAATAATGCCACTAATTATTTTAGCATTCTGGACCATATTGGTGTATGTATCCGTAAAGCATCAGCACACAACTGCATACATGAATACATATGTGGTATAGGTAACCGAAAGGGATAGCTCAACAGTAAAAGGAAAGCTAAACCATAAGAAAACCATTGTTATCTTTCACTACTGATACACATTTCTTTTAGCAAGGTTTACATTTAGAAGGGTGCTTTTAGAAGTAATCTACTTTTATAGTTTCTCTCCAGAGGCTGTTATGTAGAAGCAGTGGCAGTACTTAAAATAATTACTCTATGGCTATATTATGTGTTTCCATATTAGCTGGTATAGTGAAGGTGAAGGACCCTTGCCTTCAAATCAATGAAACAAGCAAAATTTTCCACCGTTCAATATTACTGAGAAGAATGTTTCTGTGCATCTCAATTACATGAATATAAAGTTGTGTTGTGTTTCAATACTTACCAACCCTAGGTCTATATTTTCAGACTTTCTCGGTTTTATAATCTATTTCTTCAATTCACCTAACTTTCATCTCTAGGATAACTCTTTTCCAAAATTTAATTGGAAAGATTATTCTTCTTTTTTTGTAAGTGCATAATGACCAACTATGTGCCAATTGCCTAAGTAGCTGATATTCCTAGCCACACAAGCCCAAACTTTAATATCAGGATTATGAGTAATAAGCTCTGTTCATTGTTTGTTCCCTCCATACGCCAAAGCAGGGCTCTCAGTCCTCTCTAGTTTATTCCACATCCAACTGTAGTGAATCCCTAAGAGATGGCTGAGGCCATCTTGCATACAAATCCAGAAAAGTCTCTACTTGGCATTTCTTTGTACACTGCAAATCCTTCAAGTAGAGTTGTTCCCCCTAGGCAATATTACCTCTTCCGGAAACCACTATTTCTTCTCTATGCCCTCTAGTCCAGCAACCATCAAAGTTCTATGGGGTACTAATTACTCCTAACTACAGCTTCCAATGGACACTATCAAACCTATCTGGCACTACCTGTTCCAGGTACTGTGGACAGTGTGTCTATTTGTGCTATGCTGTATGAAAGAAGCTACAAAGCAATGCTTAATAATAGATATCACTAATTTAGCACTCATGACATGCTAGGCACTATGCTAAAGCATCTCAATATTCACTACCACATTATATAAAAGATACTAATCTTTAACAATTGAAATCTCAGCTGAAAATATTGAGTACACTGTTCAAGATCATGCACTGAAGGACAGTGCTCATTTTCACACCTATATCTAATTCCCCAAAACCCAAATTCTGAAATATCTTTCTAAATATTTACAGAGGTTTCCTGCCTAAAATCACACGAAAAAAACAACTAAAATGTAAGAAACAGATTTTTAAAGACTTTGGATATCAAGCAACAAAGACAGTGATCTCTGAGAGACAGGAAACAAATGAGGTAGCCCCAGGACTGGACCTTCTTACCATCTTAGGAGACATTTTAGGCAATGATACAGACAAGGAAAACCCCTACAAGGCCCAACCATCTTCCTGAACTGAGGAAATGGAGCTAAGATTCGAGGAGACCAAAATGACTAGAATTCACAGGGGAGAGGACCGGTGAGGAGTTATACAGAATAAGAACCTCAGAGAACTGTGGCAGCTCCCCTGCAATATTTAGCAGAGTACTGAGCAGCTCGTGGGTGAGGAAATAGCCCCAATTCAGGAAAGAACTACCCAGAAGGATTAGATAAAACATTCTCAAAGCACACATGGAGACAGGAATAGTGCTTGTCCCTCAGCCAGAATTAAAAACCTTTAATTCAGAGGGCATTGGGTAGAGTATTCAGAAAGATCTTACATCAGTAGCAAAACAAACCAACAAAAAAAAAAAAAGAAAAGAAAAGAAAATTAGCCATAGAATAAACACTGCTCTGGGTTTCATCTAACAATTTTAGAAGCAATACCTAAAAGGATCAAACAGTGTTCCATTAGCTCAACTATGTTCCAGAACAAAGCTCAAGAATACTTTTCAGAACAGAAAATTCCAACACAAAAAGGGTGAAATTGACAATGTCTATACATAAACAATATATTGAAGATCATCACAAATACTATGTAGGTAAAAATACGTAATTTTTTCATTATGTAAATGTATTTAAAAGAAAAAAAACTGTGTTTCTGCTTCCGGGAAGATAAATAGACATACCTTTTTTTCATTCCTACTCCTAAGCAATTCTAAAAACTCCCAACATTACATATACAACAAAATCAGATACTCCTCAACTTATGATGGGGTTACATCTGAATAAACTCACCATAAGTTGAAAATATAAGTCAAAAGTTAATTAAATACAACTGATAAACCCATGATAAAGTTTAAAAATTTTAAGTTGAATCATTGTAAGTTCAGATGCTCCTCAACTTATGATGGGATATCATCTGGATAAATTCATCCTAAAGTCAAAAAAATTATAAGTTGAACAATTATATATCAAGAACCATCTGTGTAAGAAGATTCTAAAAGGTAAGGAGGCAGCAACAGACTGGCTAGTGCATACTAAGAATCCAAGGAATGACACGGTGGCAAGTTCCTAAAACTAACCCTATCCTGTATGTCCTCCATGGAAGAAGACCCATCTTTTGGTTTGGAATTTCTTCCATAGATATTCCTTCTACTCTGAATGTATTGAGGAGACTCCCAAATCAAAGCTTTTAGGCTTTGATGGAGGGACTAGTCAAGTTACCACTTTTGAGAGAGAGAAACAGCAGATAAGTACTAGTCCATCGTACTGCTCTGCCTCTCTTGCGTTACTACACAGAATGTGAAAAGGGAGGGCATCCAGTTATTGGGTGCCTTCCTGCTGCTGATAGTGTTTAGCCAGCGCTTTAAAAATAACATTGGAATTCACTGCAATCAGTGTCTGCACTTTCTGAACTCTTTCCAAGTCTGAGCATATACGTGTGGCAGTTTCTACCTACTGAATGCTGCTATTATCCATTAAGGAAATTCCAATTAAATGATTAAATGATACCATTACCTAAATATGGATAAGTTCCAGAACCTAAGCAAAAATAAAAAAGAATGAAGGAAAAATATATATGAGAGAAATGTAAGCATGGAAGGAAAGAAAAGGCAAAATCTAAACCAGGAGGTGTCTCTTATGTTTTTCAAAGAACTAATCCTGCTATCTGAGACCACAGATTCCTCCTTGTCACCACACTGCTTCACCACCTGGGGCCATGACAACTGATCAAGGTGGCATTCCTCCAGTATCTCTCCTAGGCTATCTGAAGGCTTATAAAAATATCATTGAAATTTGTATCTGTTTTGATATATTCTCATTGGCACTAGTGAGTTTGAGCCTTGGCCAGTGTCATTTTCAGGAACGCTTCTAGGCATTTTTTTTTTCATTTTACTCTCTTACATCTTTCAATTTCTGCCTTCTCTCCTTCCTTGATCAGCTTTAAAAAATAAAAGAAGTTGTGGCGGGGAGGAGGAGCAATACTCTAATTTCACTTAGACAGAGCAATTCTCTTGGAAAAGCTTAAGCCTGAAACTTATCCAAAAAAAATTAAACTCATTTCCAGATTCCATAATGTTTCAGGTTGTAAAGACATTTTCTCCTAGCATTCTGGGAAATAATTTTTAAAATTAGCTAGAACTACCCTCCAGCTTTTTACTCAGCAAAAAGCCTACCTGAGGACACTTACACATTCTTCCACAGTCACTGACTTGTTTGTTTTAATATGCTTAGGTCTGGCCTGGAGTGCTCAAATATAGTGCTTTCTGTCTCTGATATTTCTTTGTTGAGTAACAACTCAATCAGATACCTGAGTCATGGTTCAAAGGCCTCTGACCTAAAGCCAGGATAAGGTTTTTCTGAAAACAATCCCAGCTTTTGATCACAATTTCTTCTAGTAAAATAGGAAGTAACTTCTCAAAGTATGTATCCTGATGTTGAGGTGCATCCATCAGTCTGACTGGAAATATTCTCCAACTCCTCAAGTTATCTACCATCAGGCCCTCCTTCAAAGAAGAAAACAATTCTTTTTTAAAGGTTGCATCAAAAGGAAAACTGATAACTTTTTTGGGGCTCCAGACTAGTTCTCAACAAACTTGCTTCCTATCAACAGGCTAGCACATAAAGCAGATAGTTGAAGGGAAACCACTCCTCCTGGTACAGCCATCCTGAGTACCCATGTCCAATATGATCTTATTGAAGTTTTCCAGGTCTGATAAATCCTATTCACAGATGGTCATTATTTATGCCACCAAAAACCTATAAATTCATCTTCATCTCTCTGTATTATTATTCTCTTACTCTAGGGTTTATCCTGAATGATGCTAGAGGGGCAAGAGAGATATACTTCACTTTAGCATAGGAGTGCTATCATGCCTGTGAAGTAATTCAGGTTTAACTTGGGATTTACTACCTTGAAAGGTAAGTAGATGGGTAAATCATTTACAAAAAAGATAAAAATGTAAACAGAAAGAGACAGGATTGACAGATTTTATCTGATTCATGGCAAGGCTATATCTACGTATCATGGAAGGGTCCCAAAAACCAATGGGGATAATGCTGATTCAACACATAGAGGATTTGTTTTTCCTCCAGCTGGCTCTGTAATCAGGACAAGGCTATTTCATGTCACCATATAGCCATACAAATCAGCCACATCCCACAGTCTAATCAGAGAACAAGTGGTGCCCAGACCTTCAGATGATAAGATGGCCAGTGGTATTCACTATGACCTCCCCCTTGCCTCCCACATATGTTTGGAGAACTGAAGCTCCCCCAGTCATTTTTCTCCTCTATGAGTTGCATCCCCTAGCTTTAGGTTTATTCAATGAGAGCCAATTTGCATCCAAATCTGACTTATATTTCTATCATTTCTTTATTGGATTTTTAGTTTCTGCTTCTGAATAGTGAACTGTATCTGCTGTTGCAAGCTGATAAATGACGGGGAAAAAATAGATCCATAAGGTGCCACTGAGACAACAGAGGGGAAGATCTAAAATCACACATATATAACCCTGTTCTGTGTTTTCTCATCTTCTCTGCAGGTGGACTTCCTTTCTCCCCATCCTTCCTAAGTAAAACATAAAGTGGAATTTATTATTAAATCATCTTTACCTTCTGATAATAGCATAAACTGTGAGACCTCTGTAGAGTCCACTCATAAATATTACCCACTATTCTACCACCTACACATTCTGACTATAGGGTTCACAAGTCATCCTTTCCCAGTTGTTACATAAAAATGTCTATTACCAGAAGGATTGCCAGTTCTTATGCTAATAAGCACCAACTGAGACTTACCTGTTTTTGTGAGGCCTTTACTCTAAAATCAGCAAATATATCTCTGAATGCTAGCCAGTGGCAGTAAGAATACAACCTAGGAACAACCTTTTCAGATGGTTACTACTAGTCTACCTGTATAACAGACACTACCAGTGATATGCAGGTAAATGTTATACAATTAGCTTTCTGGTTAGGGGAGGACAGAGAGCACCATGATTTGTAGGGCAGTCGTTCCTCGATATCTGTGGAAGATTGGTTCCAAAACCTCCCCATCAATCCTAAATTCCATAGATGCTCAGTGCCTTATGTAAAATGGTATAATGTTTGCACACAACTTATGCACATCCTCCCAATATACTTTAAATCTCTAGTTTACAATTAACACAGTAAGTAGTCATTATGCTGTATTGTTTTTTATTTGCATTTTTTATTGTATTATTTGGTATTTTTTCCCAAATATTTGTGATTCTCAGTTTGTTGAATCCTTAGATGTGGAACCGTGGATACAGAGGGCCAACTGTATATAACAATTTGATAAAGTAAATATTTGTACCATGGCCAGCTTCGAGCTACCAATGTATTATTACTGAATGCAGAGTTGAAAGTGATATACACTGTCGGCTTCACACTAGCAGATAGAACCAGCTCCAGTATACCAATCTGGATTACCCATAATTCTTTTCTTCCTGGTCCATTTCTTTATCTTGGAACCTCTAAGCCAACTATTTTGCCTCAACGATAAATTTAGATGACTTGTAGATTGTGGGATCCCACCCCAACTGACTCTAACAGAATGTCTGTGTAAGTAAGCTTCTTTTTCAGGCAGGCTATCTCCACCTCCACCCCTACTATAACTATATGCTCAACCCACACCCCATTCCTGTAGGTTTAGTGGCAGACTCTGGCTTGGCCATCCCACCAATACATCACCAAAGAACCCAGAAAAAGTAACAGGACAAACATCAAGAATGCCAGAATATATTCAGAGTCGATTTGTATTTTAGGTCAATTAACTGCAAATTAAGTTAATTATTCACTACCACTTAATTGTTTTATGTTAATATAGCAAAAACAAATGAATTCATGTTATTGAGCAATCAGAAGTACTCATGTAAATGATGATATAAAGGTACACATTTTTGGCTACTACTTTTTATTAAATAACCTAGCAGGTGGTCATACATCTGAGCTTTGCAGTTAGTAGCCTAATGAGGTCTCAGCTGCTCTTGTGTAATTTGTCACTGAGCCCCTTTGAATATACTTTGAGTACTGAGTTTCTCTTCCGATATTATCTAAGTTAAAAGTAAATTAACAAGGATAGAAGATTAAGCTGGCTATTTAACAGGTTTAGTGGAATTTTAAGTCAACTAATTACACAGATGGAAGCCATCTGGTAAAATAAAAATATAGTAGAAAAAAATGGTTAAGATTTTAACTTCCTGAGTCAGAGATCTGTGTTTCGATCCCCACCTCTGCCAGTATTAGCTGTCTTATACTGAACAAGTTAGTGAACATCTGTTAACAGAGGTGGCTAGCTAATCATTACCATTACTTTCACTTTTGCAAGGTCCTGACTAGACTATCTCTCTCCATCTTTCTTGCAGTTAATTGCGGCCATCTGACCAATGCTTTCCAATAGAACATGAACAGAAAAGCAACGGATGGTACTTTGAGGCTAAAGCTTTTAAAAGCCAACATTTCTCCATTTTCCTTTTTTAATACAGGCTAAATTCAGATGCCAAGACAGACTCTAGTGGAGGGTAGAGAAACAAATTGAAAGAAGCCTGATTTCCTGAATCACTGGAGAGAAGAGCCTCCTGCTAACTTCAGACATCTCTTGAATGTATTGTCACTGAACTTTAGGGGACCTATTTGTTACATCAGTTTAGCAGGCCCTAATGAATACAGCATCTCTCTCAATAAAAGGATAGTAATACTATCTATTAATTAACTTTCTCTTGCTTGGGAGAAGCAAAATTCCACACTAGCTAGTTTAAGTTAAATAAAGGAATTTTCCATATTAATAGGGTGGTCCACGAATGTAGCTGGGCCTCAGGAGTCAATGGAAGCAGAAACGAGAATGCCATTAAAATCCAAGAAGCCCCCTCCACCTTTTTATTTATTTATTTATTTATTTATTTTGAGATGGAGTTTTGCTCTTGTTGCCCAGGCTGGAGTGCAATGGCATAATCTTGGAATCTTGGAAGCCCCTTTTTAAATCTCTGTCTCTCATCTCTGGCCGCATAATCTCCAGCAACCCTTTTTTGCTGTCAATTTACATTATTCGATTCCTTTTCCATGTAAATACCACTCCACAGTTTCTGACTTTATATACTCCAGTGTTCAAGAAACTTACATCTCTCAATTGCAACTCCAAACTCAAGGGGATAGAGCCTATTTGGTCAGCCTTAGGTCAAGTGTTCACCATTGGTCTATTTTGAGCAATAAGATAAAAAATACTAACATCGTTGCCAAAGACTCACTCCTATCTATAAGTGCAGAAGGGTAGTTTTCAGAGATAAGTGGTTAGGGTTGAACAGATTTCTTAAGATGAGTCCAGTACACTACTTCACGGGTTATCATAAAAGTTAAACAAGATACTCAAAGTCCTTAGCAAAGTTTGTAACACACTGACAATTTCATGTTACTTTTCTTACGATTGTTATTACACATTAGTTTTCTACTGCCATTACAAGTTATCACAAATTTAGCAGCTTAAACAACATCTATTTATTTCCTCCCAGTTTTCATCAGTTTTAAGTCTAGGCACAGTGTAGCATAGTTGGTTCCCCTGATCCAGGTCTCGCAAGAACCAAATCAAGATGTTGACAGGGCTTTGTTCTTTTCTAGTGGCTGATTGTTAGAATATGTGCTTGGCAGAAGTCAGTTCCTCGTGCTTATAGGAGAAGGTCTGTTTCCTTGCTAGCTGTCAGCTATGGGCTGTCTTAGCTATTAAAGGCAACTCTCTGGTCCTTCGGTTGGCCCCCTATGTCTCAAAACCAGCATAGGTGCATCAACTGTTTCTCGTGCTCAGAATCTCTTGGACTTCCCCTTCTATAACATCTTTCCTGCCTTTTCTTCTACCACATGTGACTCCAGCCTGAGAAAATGATCTGCCTTTAAGACTTACGTGATTAGGTTGGGATCACCCAGGTAAGTCAGGATAATTTTCCTATTTTAAGATCCATAATCTTAATTACATCTTCAAAGTCTCTTTGATCTAAAATGTAACATATATACATGGGTTTCAGTGATGAGAGTGTGGACATTTTGTGGGGTGGGGAGTGAGCGGGGTGATTCTGCCTACCACAGACATAGGCTGACATTAAATGTTACTACTCTGGACTTCTTTAAAGATTATGACAAACATATATAACTTAACTGCCATTGACTTTTGAATAGCTTTGAGTACTTTAGAAGTAATGCTAACAACCTGACTGTAATGATATTTAGATTATGTAAGCATATAATTTGAGTTTATCTTTAAATTATGTGTCATACATGTCTTTGTATGTGTTGCTATAAAGGAATACCTGAGGCTGGGTAGTTTATGGAGAAAAGAGATTTATTTTGCTTATAGTTCTCCAGGCTGTAAAAGAAACATGGCAACAACATCTGCTTCTGATGAGGGTCTCAGGAATCTTCTACTCATGGTGGAAGGCAAAGAGAATCAGTCATGTACAGATCATATGGTGAGAAAAGAAGTAAGACAGGGGGAAGGTGCCAGGTTGTTTTTAACAACCGGCTCTCAGGGGGATTCTTATAAGAACTAATAGAGAACTCACTCACTGAGGTGAGGACGGCACCAAAACATTCATGAGAAAACTACCGCCAGGATCCAAACACTTTGCATAAGCCCCTACCTCCAACATTGGGAATCATATTTCAACATGAGGGCCTTTGGAGTGGCTCAGCACTTTGGTAGGCCAAAGGGGGAAGATCACTTGAGCCCACGAGTTTGAGACCAGCCTGAGCAACATAGTGAGAAATTGACTCTACAAAAAGATTTTAAAACTAGCCAGGCGAGGTGGAACACACCTGTAGTCCCAGCCACTGAGGCGGCTGAAGTAGGAGGATCACTCGAGCCTGGGAGGTTGCAGTAAGCCATGATTGTGCTCCACTGCACTCCAGCCTGGGGAACAAAGCAAGACCCTGTCTCAAAAAGAAAGAAAGGAAAAAAAAAAAAAAAAGAGCTTTCAATATGTGGTTTAGAAGATCAAATATCCAAACTATAGTAAAATAAATGTTTTTAAAATTATAATTCTTCTCTTAATATATATCCACTGATTTACTTATTCATTTCACAAATATTTACTTTACGTCTTTACAGCTGCTTTACAACTTCAGGTGCTAGAGATAACAATGATAATCAGCACGTGCTGTGAATGAGCCTACATAGTAATAGTGGGAGATAAGCAATGAGTTAACACATGAAGGATTAAGGTAATTTCAGATGTTGATCAAACAAAGTCATGTGATGGAGAGCACCCAGATGTCTGAGTGGGCAGGAGGTAGTTCTAGTTTAGATTGTGTTATCAGGGCAGGTTTCTCAAGGACGTAGGGTTGGAGCCTTCCAGGTAGATGGCACAGTCAAAGAAAAGGCCCTGGGGATGAGAACCAGCTTGGGAAAAAAAGTAACCAAAACTGAGAAAGATACTATGTGAGTTCAGAGAGGGAGATCAAGACCAGATCACTTGCCTAACACTTTTAAATTCTAATTGTCCATATAGTTAATTAAAAATAATAATCTGATTTTAACGCTCTAAAGCTTAAAAACATCTAGTTCAAACTGAACTTCACCCAGTTGGTCTGTTTTGTTACAATATTTTTTATCAAATATAAAATTGTACTTAAAAGAGAAAGTTATAAATGAATAATTCCACCCAGGTGTTCCCAAGTCCACCAGTCTTTTAAAATCACTCTTTCCCTTCAAGTATAAATAGAACACACACTCTTTCATAAAAAGTTACCCAACTCCCATCTGTAACAGAAAAACCTCAAATCCTTCCTGAGAATCATTAGCACTTTTCTTCAAGTAAATTTGCCCTAATTTACTGCTTTTGCTAAATTTTAGTCTCACTTATATCTATCCTCTGACTCCTTTATTTCCTAATGAAGAGCCTATTTCCTTAATTTTCTTTAGTTGCACTCCCAGCCTTTCTTCCCCCAACAGTTGCATCTCACTGTAATAGACTGGTTTTTTGCAGGGAAGAAATAGGGGTTATACTGAAGTTATTAATATTAGGTTGGTGCAAAAGTAATTGCACTAGTACTTCAAACTTAATGGTCATCCCTGCTCCAAATGACCTTGGTCATTCCAACCTTAGGGAAGGGAATACTCATGCTGCCCTTTCAGCCTTCAACACTGCAGTCTGACTCCTTTATTTTCTCAGTATCACCTTAGCCCCTCTCACAGGATTGCCACAGGAAACTCTAAATTCTACGCATGCAAAATACAGTGCATCTTAGAAACCTTTGTTTCAATGACCCCCATAGCTGCCATGTCACAGAAGCCTTTTCCTTTGCGTTCCTAAAGAGTACTTCAAAGTATTTTTTTTAATAACATCAGTCCTTAACAGGAATTCTGCTGTTGGATTAATATTTTTCTCCCTGCCTTATAAACTAACACTTTTTCAAAATACATTTCTTTTTTTCCCGTCTGGCACTGACTTGCTGCATTATGTCATATGCGTCACTCACTCACACTTTCTCTGAGAAAATGTGCTCTATGAATCCAAAATGACAATAATTCACGGTTTCCTGTGATATACTGGAACTCATCTGTGAAATGTCTGTTGCTGAGAGTAGACAGACTGAGGGATATTTAAAGCCTTATGAGGAATAAAAATCTAGTTGAAATGTGTAAGATTTTTATTGTATTCAGCAACCCTACTTAAATGACCTTGTTAAAAAGGCTAAATTCAATTTTTAGTGAATAAATATCTAAATTTAATTAGTGGCTTGAAAACTTGGGGAAATTGTTGTCTTTGGAACAAAGTCCTAGAGTATGGTCTATGAGCAGTTTTGATTGTTTTGTGCATTTGAGTCATATTACTGTTTGGACACCTGTTTTTTAACGTTATGTATTCTAATACCTTAAATACATTGAAAAATGCATTATTCAGACTCTGATGAGTTATATAATAAATATCCTAAGCTAGTAAATGATGATTCTTTCTGCTAATCAAGTAGTATAAGTCTTTAAATAATTTGTGGAATTTTGGCATTACTTCAATGTGAAACAGTATATGACTAAGAAGGTGCAGTTTGTGGCTGGATATTAATTCCAGTTCTGTGCTTTACTAAGCTACTTTCTCTGTGCTTCAGTTTCCTTATCTGTAAAATGTGCAATAACTCATACAGTTAATGTAAAAATTAAATAAGTTAATATAGATCAACTTCTTAGAACCATGCCTTACACATAAGCATTCATAAAGAATTAACTATTTTATAATAATTACTATTTAATTCACAAGAATTGTATAGGTTTATGGTATATAGCATGTTTTGAAATATGTACACATCGTGGAATGACTAAATCAAGCTTATTAACTATATTCACCATGTTGTACAATAGATCTCTTAATTTATTCCTCCTGTCTAACTGAAGTTTTTTAATCTCTTGAGCAACATCTTCCCAATCTCCACCACTGACCCCCACCCCTCTGGTAACCACCATTCAACTCTGCTTCTTTGACTTTTTTAGATTCCACATGTAAGTGAGATCGTGCAGTATCTGTCTTTCAATGCCTGGCTTATTTCATTTAGCATAATGTCCTCCAAGGATTAGTTAGTATTAAGATATAAAACTATATTATTAAGATATAAAATTTTATTAAACTAAACATAAATGGAGAAATGAAAGTACTACTACTATTGAGAAAAGATTTAGTAGGTTGGCCAAAACCGACTATAATCAGGTGTCTATTAGACTAAACTTCTTAATTGAATGATCAGTTGTGAAGAAAAAAAATTTTATATATATATAATGCTTGGGAAAGTTGTGTCTAAATTATGTTATAACACTGTTCTAGGAGACAGAATCAAACACCACTTAGGTCATATAAATCTTTTAATGGTATTCAATTTTTACAAATTGTAAGATCCTTTCTTAATTCAGTTTTCTTATGCTTATTCCTTCAATGTAGTTTGTAAAATGAGTATTTTTTTGCATGTTTAAATCAAAATGTATAAGATTTTCATGTAATTCACTATTTTTAGGCCATTTAGAGCTTTTTCTTTCCCAGACATTTCCAAATGTTGGCATTATCTTTTTCTTGCAGGAATAAATTTCATTATCTTTACTTACAAGTGGCTTTGTCTTTCAAAAGTTATTACTTATAATATGAGCATTTTAAAGGTATGCTAAAATTTTTGAAATATTGATGGCTGATTTAAGACATGTTTTAGTTGTAGTTTCTCATATTGTCCATGATTATCAGTGAAGATGTGTAGAGATCAAAATGTTAAAACAATTAAAACCATGACAAGATAAAGAGCTGTATAACAAGAGCTACAAGGATAAGAGTAACAGCGACTTGTGCCAATCATATGTTCTCCTCCCTTCTGCCCACTCCATGACAAAGCATGACACAGGAATGAAAATCCTGGAATGTTCAAAAAGGGAGAGGACTCAGACTACCTCCACTACATTTTTGTATAGGTGAGGGTCCCCCACTCCAAAAGAAAGGTGAATAGTTCGAGTATGTATAAGTGAATCTCAGACTTTTTACATCTAGAGATCACTTGACCAAAAAAAAAAAAAAAAAAAAAAAAAAAGATCTTTTATTTATCATCTTCTGCCACTATTAAAGAGAAAACCTTATGTGGGCCTCATTCCAGAAAAATAAGTATTGATGTAGTCATGTTTTCATTTTCTTGTTTCTTTTCCCCTTCTTGCCTTCCTTCTTTCATTTTTTATTTGTTCATATGTCCCATAGAAACTTATGATCTTAAACACATGCCAGTATAACCCACATTACTTTTAAATGTCACACTGCCTTTCCCCTTTGCACTTTTTAAAAATCACCCTCCAAAATTACCTTGACTTTTGTGTATTATTTATAGTTTCTTCTCCTGTCACATAATCTTCTCCAAGGACTCTACCGGCATGAATCCTTCTATATTTTTCTCTTGTTGGAATAACCATATGTACACCATGAACATTCAAAATAAACATAGGTGTGTTCATACATGTATGAATTTCTCTGACTTTTAATATTAGATAAAACTCAGCAGTTAACCTAATCATTTGTTAATGGTTGATCTTGAATTATCCTTCCATTATTACCTAGGTTAAATTATTTACTGAAGTCTTCTATGTCTTCTTGGGCAAACTTGGTATTTTGTACTTTGAGGAGAAACCGTCAAACCTCTTTCAGGCTACAAAATTCATTCCAATAGATTTCCATGTAGTAATTTCTTTAAATTCTTGTATCTTTTCTGTGTTTGGGATGTTTTTATTTTCATTGGCTAAGATTTCTTTCATTTGATTAATGAAATGAATAAGAAGTTTGTTTTAGTATCTGTACTATTATATGTGTAGGACAGTTTTTCATTCATTTTGGCTTTTATCCAAGTTAGTTAAAAGTAATGCCTATTTTAGAAAGATATAATTTTATACATATGTATTATAAAAAAATTAAAATAGTCACATCAGAATCTATTAAGAGGGTCAGCATTAATAGAGTATTTAATGTATGATTGCATTTTACCAAAATATAGGTATATATTTATGCAAATTAATGAACCTCTGAGAATAAATGTTTACTTCCTTTATAATTATTTTTGTTATGAAATTATACTTTGGCATCAATCATTTAAGATTGAAAGAAACATTAATTTAAAACCATAAAAATCCATAATTTTCCAGAAGCCTTTTATATCCAGGATAAAATAATCTGCAATGCTCAACAGTCATGACTTTAAGATCAGACATGCTTGAAATAATTCTTAATTATTGATTTTGAATTGCAAACAACTAGGAGTCATTTTCTGTTTTTTCTCCATAAGAGAATAACATAAAATGGCATAAAGAGCAATAAATTTACTATAAAATGAAATTATGGTATCTTTGTTATAAGTCATAATACAGTATGTTGTATATACCGTGTATACACAAGATCTGTTATCCTTTAATCTTTATAATTCTAAAATCCAACTAAATGACAAGACAGTTTTATATTATGTAAGAGGCCGAATTTATTAAAAGATTATTAAACGGGTTCAGGTAAAAACCAACATACTCTTCAGATAGCATAAGTACATATCAAAAATTACTGTAAAGATTCAGTATGAAATGAAGGAGTTAAACATATCTTTGAAGATGTATCACTCACCTACAAACTCAGAATCAAAGTAAACCTTTATATGACAGAGAAAAGGTGGAAGAAAATAAGCACTGATTCTTAGAATAAGTGTTGAACATGCACAATTTTCCAAAAAATAAAACCTGAATTTAAGAAACTAAGATTATAAACCCTTATTAGGGATAAGCTTGAAGAAATACTACTATTTACTTTGAGATTACCTTTACAATCAAATTATTTCCTAGCCACTTCTCAGGCTTTGAACTACAAAGCTTTTATAGCTAACATAAGATGATATGCCTAGAATTTTATACTTTAGTCAATACAAGATCCAAGATAACACCTTCTGTGATGAGCCTCCTATGTCAGCAACCTATGAGAGCACTTGCAGAAGAAACGTGCTTAAGAAATGCAAGGACCGAAAGAGTATTTCTTAGAGAAAGAAAACTCCTTTGTTTTTTTTTAAACAAGAGCAAACACGCCAATCCTGTCAGTCCCCAAAGGCAATTACTATGTGTCTTAAGACTTCATTTCTTTTTAGAGAAAACTAATCTGCATTTATTAATCAATATGTAATTAGAAACGCTTTCCTCATAAACCACTTCTGATGTTTGTAATGGATTGTGTTAACTGTTTAAAAACAAAAGAAAGGAGGAGAATGAAAGAGAGGCAAGCAAGGAGAAAGGACAGAGAGGGCAATGGAAAAATGTCCCAAGTTACTTTGAACCTTGAATTGTGCCTTAATCTTTTGAAGCAAAAACCTAATCATTAGGACATTAATGTGATTCTCCTCAGAAGTAGAATTAATATTTTAGAAAACAGCATAATGGGATCTCAGATTGAAGAAAAGCATTCTGCTTAAATAGGAAGCAGAATTATAAAGAATTTATAGCACTTTTAATCTTAAATGATTGACAAGAAAAGATTAACGTGTAATTTTTTTACCTGGAGCATTTGAAACTAAATTTTGGTAAATCTTTTGAGGGTAAAGTGAAAAAAAAATTGAAGCAATTATCTCTTTAATTTTACTACAGTCCCAATTGAAACATTAAAACTTCTCACCTGAATGATTTCTTTTCAGAAATTAAGTTCTTCTTTTTAAATGTGTGATATTTATTTAAATAAAAATCAGTTATATCAAATGTTAGTTGTGAGAATATTGTATGGATTGCTAACATCGTTATTTTTGAGAATTCTATGATCAAAAAAAATCAGTTCTTAAAATACTGCTTTAGGGCTGCATATGCTAGTCAATTCAGTTATGCAAAAGAATTCCCATAGATACTTTAAGGACTTTCCAGTTCCTAATTTAGTGGCTGATTCTTGCTTCACAAATCACAAAAGAGAAAAACCTGTATCATCCACTTTTTTTCATATTTTATAATTTGTTGTATTATCCAAACACGTTCAGAATCTTATCTGTTTTGCAATTTTAAAGGTAATTCATAATGGGGTTGGTTTTGTTTGGAATTATTTTACAAATCTCCATCCTAACATTTTAAGTTCCCAATATCAAATTCTGCAGATCACCATGATGCTGTTCTCATAGTTCAAATAAAAAAACAAAATTTAACAAATTTGAAAGCTGGCACTTTGGTTAAATGTTTCATTGCCAATTATGAAGTTCTAACTAAACAACTTTTCTTTTTTTAAGCCAAGACTTCATCATAATTAAAGATGTTATAGAAATTCGACTCAGTGAGCTTAGAAGCAATTTAGGAAAGCAAAATTAAAAAACCATAAATGAGCAATTTGCATGTTTTTCTCCTCTATTTCATTGCCATGTGGTGGGAAAATAGACAGTTTATGAATTTTGGTGGTCTCATCATTTCTAGTAAATCAACTGACTGACCAAAGTCTCCAGAAAGTTTCATGGTTCGCGAAGTTTTAAATTACAAATTACAAATGCTCACATCATCCATCTTCCAATTTATTGCAGCTGGAGCGAAAATCTAGTTCTAAACAATTAGCTCAGAAAGTACTGGCCCCTTTTTGTTTGATTCCATCAGTATCATTCTTGAATGTGAATCCTAAGTATCTAAGCCGATTCCTTGGCCATTTCTCCAAAGGGTTCTAAATATTTGCTCTTTCTTCTTAGGCTGATTATTCAATGATAGATATTTTGACAGGCTTCGCTTACATTAAACACAAATGGTTCATAGGTTTTGTTTGTTCATATTTTTGAGATAAATGGAAAGAAATGAAATACCAGATAATAACCAACTGGCTATTGAACAAATAAAAGAATGTGACCTCAGAGGCATTTCCCAGTTTTCTGCCTACTGCTTCGTAATTAATGGCCTCATAGGGTCAACATAAAATAGCTGCTGCTTGGATTATAAGAATATACCTATTAATAGATTATTGTGTTCTCAGTTTATGTAATGTCTCAAAGCCCTTTGACACTAATGACCAATCCTTACTTCTTATAGTCTCTTGCATGATACATTTTCAATTTTTTCTGTTTCACCTTTACTGGTTATTCCTCCTCTATCATCTCCCATTGCTGAGTTTCTCTCTGTTTAAAATTGAACAGTTTACCTGGATATTATACTTTAATTACCTTTAATAGCTTTAATTATCTCTATGCTGACAGCTCCAAAACTATCTCCTGCTTGTATTTCTCCTTGGATTCCAGTCCTTCACATCCAATTTCCTATATATTTAACTGAATGTCCACAGGCATATTAAATGAGATAAATTCCAAACTGAATTCCGCAAACTGTTCTCCCAGCTTTCTGCAAACTGTTCTATCCTAGTCTTTTCTACACTTATGTGGTACCACCATAGACGCAAATTGCTTAAAGTGATACCACATAGGTAATAATAGTAGAACACTAGAAGTAATCCTAGACTTTTCCTCACCACCCACATTCAATCTGTGAGCATATCCTATGATTTCTGCCTCAAAAATATATCTTGAATATGTTTACTTTTATCTTCTCTCTAACCACCTTTGTTAAAACCCTTTCCAAGTCTACTAAAATAGTCTTCTTGCTGTTATCCGCCTGTATTTTACTGTGGTCTTCAATGTGGTGTTATACCGCAGCCAATTAAACATGAATCAGATCAGTTCAGGCCCCTTTGTAAAATGCCTTATATCTCCCCATTGCACTTCAAATCAAATCCCCTAATGTTAACCTACAAGTTATTTAAAAGTGTGACTGACTCTTGGCTGCATCTAAACGTTCTATATGCTCTTAATTACTATTAGTATCATTTTATCTCCTAGAAGTTGCCAGGTTTCCTACCAACTTAGAGATGTAATACATATTTTCCCTCTACCTGTAATTCTGGTCTCTAGGTTCTGAACATGGCTAGCTCTATCACACCCTTCCACTGTCAACTGAAACACCTCCTCAGTAAAACCTTCTCTAACCATGTCCATACTGGCTGTTCTCTCTCTACCATGGTTGTCTGTTCAATAAAGCATAAGACTTAAGAGCACAGACCCTACCCAGGCTCACATCCCAGCTTTAGTTTTGGCTCCTCCTACTGTATGATACTGGAAAACTCATTTGACCTATTTGTGCTTTCTGGTTCCTCATTCTGAAAGTGCCAGTAACAATAACACCTACCTCATAAATTATTAAGATTAAAAATTAAAATGAGTAAACACATAGAACTGACTCTGTCACCATTTTGTCAATGTTCAATAAGTGTTATAATTTTCTTCATAAGACTTCTCAATTTATTATTACTCATTTATAAATTTGCTTTTGTTTTTGTTTACAGTTTGTCTCCTAGATGACTAAGAACATTATTAAACAGGATATATTTGTGTGATTTTTTTAAATGTCATTGAAAACATTGACAAACACAATGGCCAGAACATGGTAGATATACAATAAATAATTATGAAACAAATCATGTTTGAATGGATTTAAGAGCTCCTACTTAAAGACACATCTAACTGGATTTTTCCCTTTGACTGTGGACAAAAAATGTAATTCGTTACCTTAACCATGGGTTTTAACCATTCACTGATAAATATAGATGCATTTGTAAGGAATTTATTATGTAACAATGCATTTTTAATTCTCAATTCACTCTTAGTAAAAATAAAATATTTAAGCCACAAATTTCTAAATTCATTTGTATGTCATTTTTTATTTTCTACTTCCAACTTCAAAAAAATTCATCTCTTAATATTGGCCTTCTGACACTTTTCCATAGCATTAGGGCTTTCATTGTAGGCTTTCAGACCACATCTGATCTTTCAGAGTCAGCAATATTATAGTGTGCCTGCAAAACTCATCAGACAAAAGTTTTATGTTACTGTTGTTGCTGTTGATATTGCAACATTCTCTCTCGACCTCTGCATACTTGCAGTCTGCAAAACAATGTTTTAGGCTTTAGATCACAGAGCTTTTTACTCTTTGTTTTCTTCTATATTTACTTTGAAGTTGGACTTTTGACCATCTCCTCTCCCAAAGTAAGTCTTAGGGTTCCTGTTCTTCAAAAGGACTAACCCCTTAGCTTTATGTCTACTGGATGACCCTTCTTCCTCTGGGCAGCCTGAAAACATTGGCTGCAGTCACCCCATACCAAGCCCTAAAAAACCTCTCAGTAAAGCCTCTCAGTGACTCATCAGGTCTGCTCAGAATGTAACACCATATCACTCTACTCTAATGTTTAGTTTTACTTATTTGATAAAGCAATATACTAGTAGGAGCTAGATGTCATGTTTTATTTTTTTAAAAGTGGCATTAGACATAATTTGCATCTTTCTTCATAGTCTCTCTGCCTCATATGGCTACGACGTCATAAGTCTCACTCATGCATGAAAAAGGTATCTGCAAGTTAAAGAAATATTTCATGTATTTAACACTTCATTATGTTGTTTGCTTTGGTACAATTAGAAAATCATAAGCAGGGAGTTCACAATAAAGGAATAAAAATACCCGTGAAAAATATAAATAGAATAAGAAAAGTAAACATGTTTACAGTCATTACAGGAATGTCTAATGAAACAATGGGATTCTATTTTTTTACCTACTTAATTGGAAATGATTAGTAAATGAGATCTGGAATGGACATCAAGTGTACAATCTCAGCAGAAAACTGAGGTACCCATTGTACATCAATATAGAAAATATGAAAATATACAGGAAAATTTAGACTACCTATATATATGTTAATCTAGCATTTATATTCTAATAACTTAAGTATCACATAAAGTACACAAGTTTATAAGGATATATCATGATAAAATAGTATGCTTTTGTGTGTGTGCACCTATCCAATATCCATTTACCCATCTTCCACTCCTAGGTTCATGTTCTTTTAGTGGGGCTGATTCCCATGCTTCAAGCATTGCATGTGACTTGCTATCTGAACGTTTATATCCCAAAATATATGGAAACCCCAAATTCTGTATGTTGAAATCCTAACCCCTAAGGTGACAGTATTCAAAGGTGGGGGCTTTCGGAGGGGATCAGATTATAAGGGTGAAGTCCTCATGAATGGGATTAGTGCCCTTACAAAGGACCCAGTGAGCTCCCTTGTCCTTGCTGCCAAGTAAGGACACAGCTAGAAGCTACCATCCATTAACCAGAAAGCAGCCCTCACTAGAAACCAAGTCTGCCAGCACCTTGATCTTGGACTTCCCAGCCTCTAGAACTGTGAGAAATAAATTTCTGTTGTTTAAAACCAAAATAAACCACACATTTTATAATAGCTTCCAGAATGGACTAAGACATGACCCAAACTTGAAAACTCAGAATATCACCTCCCCTAACTTGAGCAATTGATTAAAAGAAAGGTTTATGAACCCAATCAGACCCAAGTGGAATTAAGGTTATCACTTTTGCTTAAAGAAACAGAAGAGAGGAGCCTATTTTTCTGCTGGTTCCCTGGGACTAGACTAAGTCTGGAGCTACTGGCAGCCATTCTGGCAGTCATTTGGCCATCTTGAAAGGAGAATCAGCCTAATGAGAGAATTGGGTCCAAAGATGAGTCAAGACGAAAGATGGAGAGAAACCGGTTACAGATGACATTAATTGAGGCCATGAGCCAAACATACTCAAAGTTAGTTAAACTGATTTTTTGGGGGGCTGTGATGGCAAATAAATAAATTTTCTTTTCTATTTAAGCTGGTTTTGATTGGACTTTATGACATTTTAAATGGTATTTTAGAATACAAATGGAAAATGTCATCTCTGTAGAGAATTTTAATAACAATTATGACACATAGTTAAAAGGAAAAACAGCCATTAGAAAGAATGAGGTAGAGCTACAGTACTATAGACAGACATCCAGGCTATAATAAAGTTGTAGAAACGAAAGTTTATTATAGTGTCATTTAAAGAATAAAATATGTTCATACACATATAATGTCCAGACATATATGTAGACTTGTATATGTATAGAAAATTGACTAAATAATTAATAATGATTACTTTCATTATTTCTCATTTAATGACATATTTTTTACTTAATACCCATCTATATTATTTGAATACTTTACCATTAACATGTACTGCATTTACATTAATAAAAATCTATGTTAAAAAAATAGAGGCAGCAAAGTATGGAAGTACCTTTTCTTCATAGCCTCAAAGTGATATCAATCTTTAATAGAAGATGGAACATGATCTAAAATCATTTCAAATTTCTTTCTCTGCTTATAAATCGATGGTGTATATTATACAATTGTTACTCTATGATGCAAATTGAAATAGAAAATGAAGAAAAGTATGTCTTCATAGGACATTTTTTCTTGATTCTTTTTCATTTCTTCAATAGAAAGAGATGCATTTTTTCTTCATTTCCTTCAATAGGAAGGAAACAGGAAATGAATCAATAGGAAATGAAGAAAAAATGCATCAAGCCAAAGTATTTTTGTTTTTCTTAATATAGTCTACATAATTGATATAGCACAGTGAATAGACTTTAAGGTAGCCCCTGTGATTCCACCTCCTGGTATTCATTCCCTTGTAAAATTTCCTTCCCTTAAGGGTAGGTGGAACCTATGACTTGCTTCTAACCAATAGGATATGGCAAATATGATGGGATGTCAATCTTGTAATTATTTTACATTATATAGGAAAGGTAATAGAATGTAACTTCCATGTTGTTATGTAACTTGTATATAATGCAATCTACTCACTCTAGGGTAATCTTTTTCTCTGTCTCCCCTCCCCTTCCAAGGATTTTGAAAAAGCAAGCTGACATAAATCCTATAATCACAAGGAAATGAGTTTTACCAACAACCAGAGAAAGCTTGGAAGCAGATTCTTTCTACGTAGAGCCTCCAGATGAGAACCAGCTAAGTCATGCCTGGACTTCTGACCCACAGAAACTGAGGATAATAAATGTTTTAAGCCACCAAGTTTGCGATAATTTGTTACAAAGCATAGAAAGCTAACACAGATGACTTGAATTCTAAATTCCATGTAAAATTTTATAACTTTTCTCTTTATGTATTCAGATAAACAATATTCCTTACACACATTTGAAAACATATCAATATAAGACAGCTAAATATTTTTTAAAGTTACAACGTAATACAAATAGAAGATATATAAGAAAGCAAAATCAAATTATGTTTTCCTTTCAGAATTATAAAACCCCCACCTAGCAATGCTAGGCTCCTGACATAAATTACTGAAAAATAGTCAGTAATGAATTTTAAAGCCAAAACAGAAAGTCTTAGTCCCTTTCTACCAAAAAGGTATTTAACACATCTTAAAACAAAAATCGAGTAACCCGGGGAGGATAAAATAAATTTGTGTCACACCAAAGGAAGATGTAAAAATTGTTTGGTTTGCAGAAAAATCATTCAAAATCATTTCAATCCTTGGCTCATAAATAATGCAAACTTAATGAGATATTCTATCCTAACATGTATAGATGAAGTTCTTAATTATTTCAAAGGGGATTGTGCCTACATACCTGAAATTTAAACTTTCCCTGTAGAAAACAATAAAAACATACACTTCTTTATAGATATATTTAGAATGTGTTATCCCCAACTAATATTTTCTAAACTACACACATACTTAAACACTGAATTTAAGATATAAACTGAGATCCTTACCAATTTTGAATGGAGTTTAATCACATCAACCCACATAAAAGTCTCACATGAACACATATTTTTATGTGACATATTTTTCTTCAAATAAATATTGCTTCTCAGACTTTTTAGCAACTGTGGCAAAAACACTCATTGTGAATTTATTTTTCTTACAGCTTGTATATGTTTTCTTTATCTTGAATTGTCTGCCCAAGTAGATGAGAGATTTGAAAAATTCTGTCGACAGTGGTAACAGAGTCAGAGGTCAAAAGTTTCCAAGCATGAACTAAACCTAAACAGCAAGAAAAATATCAAAATGTATGCAAAAATACACAGAAAGGTTATTGATCTTCTAAAATCATACCAGATTTTAGAAGAAATACCAGAAAATAGCCTTAAGGAAATAAACCTTGTGTTTGTCTAATAAAACCCATCAAGAAGTATGTAATAATTACATCAACCCTCTTGAAATTTTTTTAAAAAGGCCAAGTCTATAGAATGAATAGTATCAGGCCAAGAAAAAAAATTCAGGCCCTGTTTCCAAGGACAATAATAGTGGAACAGACAGATAGTGGCCAGTCTAGCCTGGGGAATGCAAACCAACCAAGTAAAAAATTTGACAACTCAGTTTTTTATAAAATTAAACCAATGCTGTGTATAAAAGTATCCAGAATGAAATGAAGAACTGACTCATATTTTGATAATTAATGCTCAAAAATGTGAAATTTTCTGTTCCATTATTTAGGTATTTTAAGAAAAATTTACTTTAAATTTTTGCTTTATGTGACTATAATAGCTATATTTCATGTATTAGCATTTATACATACAAAGGCTGTAGAGTTTTACCAGACTTTATTCGAGGGTCCAGAGTACTTAAAGAGAACAATACAGGAATAGAAATAGCATAAACTATATACTTCAAATAATTTCACAGGGCTGTGTAAGCATTTTAAGGAATTGAGGCTTTATCCTAAGCCTAAGGGAAAGCCATCCATATAACCAAATTTCTGTTTGGAAAAATGTGCTCTGGTTGTAGTACAGAGAATTAGTTGTCAGAACAAAGGTGAGATGGTGGTGATATAGATGCCAAAGTAAGAAAATATGAATGTGCTATGCTATTTCACTCTTCTGTCCTTCACCAACCTATTTTCTCTGCTTCCTTTTCTCTTTGTTCATATTTTCAGTTCAAGTTTCACCCCTTCTATGAAACATTTCATGAAGTATCAGCCCATTCTGTACAATCAACCACTCCTGCCTCTGTGCCCAAACAGTATATGCTTTTATCATGGCCCATGCCATTGAAATGCATTTAGCTGTATATGTATATTCGTCCTTGTACAAATCAATAAATAAATTCTTAATGAAATTTATTTTCTGTCTCCAGCATCTAAACAATGTTTTGCCTTGTGCTAATCAAAAAAGTTCTGGTTGACATTTGAAATGGTTATTTTGATAATCTCTTTCTGTACCTTCCCTAAAGATTACTCTTAAGACATTCTGAAAATATCCATTTTGGCAAAGTTGTATGAGTTATTCAAGATTACTGTAATTTAAGTTGCTAACAAAATGGATCCTATCTATTTGTTCACCCTTTATTTCCCTGTCCTATATCAATTTCTGCCATCTAGTAGGTATTAAATATATTTTATAAATGTTTAAAAATTATTCATATTAAACTAAAATATCAGCTTTTCCCTTCCGTTTTAAAGTGTTGTCCACTGCTAATATGTGCAAAACATGATTCACATCTACTCTTAGGGATTTCATTTCTTTTGCTGGTCACAATATGAAAGCCTATACTAGGATATCCATCAATAATGGTGCTTATACTTCTGAGGGCTTAATGTAGGACAGGACACAGTTTCTTCTACTACCACAAAAGTACCACACAGACATGAAAAAGGAGAAATTATAGACTTGACACTGTGATTACCTCAGTCTAAAGGGAAGTCGTTCAAAATATTAAACTCTTC
The DNA here is from genome assembly GCF_000001405.40 of Homo sapiens. Classification (NCBI taxonomy): domain Eukaryota; kingdom Metazoa; phylum Chordata; class Mammalia; order Primates; family Hominidae; genus Homo; species Homo sapiens. Next base: position 83,456,111 of record NC_000012.12, on the reverse strand, counting down.
TGAGGGGAGTTGCCTTGTGCCTATTTCTATAACCTTTCTTCCCTCTCCTTATCAAGTCAATTCTACTCAGCTTTATCTTCAAATAAGCTCTGTCAAGTATCTACCATGTTTAAGGAAACTATACCCTTTCTCTCAAAGAAAATAATTTTATTTTCTGTTTTCAGAGACTAAACAGTCAAGGTCCATTTTTGGAAGAAAACACACTTAGACACTCCAGGCAACAATTGCAACATCACTACAATATTATGCAGAGAGGATCTAGACTCCACCACGACCTGTGCGTATTAGCGTCCTAGGGATGCCATAACAGAGCACCACAAACTGAGTGGCTTAAAACAATGGAATTTCTTCTCTCAAAGTTCTAGAGGCTAGAAATTCACAATCAAGGTGTTGGCAAGACCAGCTCACTTTGATGTCTCTAGGGAAGGATCCTTCCATGCCACTTCAGCGTTCTTTGACCTGTAGATGATCACTGTGATCTCTGCGTCCATCTTCATGTGGGTGTATATGCGTGTGTCTGTCTTTGTGTCTCTTTCCCTTTTAAGTACACTGATCACATTGGATACGGGGCCCCCACCACTCCAGTATTACCTTTTTATCCTAATCTGATGTAAGACCTCATCTTAGCAAATTATGTCTGCAACAACCCTATTTCCAAATAAGGTCATATTCTGAAGGTCTGAGAAGGATATGAATTTCAGAGGGAAACTATTCAACTCAGTATACCATTTTGGATAAACCTTTCAGTCTATGCTGTGGTGATGGTGCCTATCTGTAGTAGCAAATGGGAACTCTACTAGAGTCTTCTACGACAATAAATCAGCAGAAGTTTTAAATTATAGCATTAATTTTCATAACTTCAAAGTGAGGCTATTATCTTCTTACCCTAATCTGATATTATATGCAGGTGATAATATATGTAGACATTCCATACTTTTTTTCCATGTAGAAGCTATTGCAAAACTCCCTGTTTTGATATACAGCCTTTTCACCCCTCTTACCAGCCTTCATGATTTAAAAAAAAAAAAATTGTCCCTACATATCTAACAAGTGCACAAAAGGTAGTTTAGTAAAAGGCATGGTTTTCTATTATAACATTAATTAAAACACAAATGATCAAATCCACGATACCCCTATTGTCTTTGTTTACCTCAATGCTATAACAAAATATCATAAAGTGGGTAGCTTATAAACAGCAGAAATTTGTTTCCCACAGCTCTAGAGGCTGGGAAGTTCATGTTCAAGGTGCTAGCAGATTCTGTATCTGGTGAGGAACAATTTCCTATTTCGTAAGCATCCATCTTCTCATCATATCCCCATGTGGCAGAAGGGGCAAGGTATATCTCCACAGCCTATTTTATAAGGGCACGAATCCCATTCATGAGGGCTCCTGACCTCATGGCTTAGTCACCTTCCAAATACCCTTCTCTCAAATACCATCCTTTTGGGGGTTAGAATTTCAATAGCTGAATCATGGGAGGGAGAAATATTCCATACATTGCATCTAGCTTCCTGTCCCACAAGCATTCTAGATAAAATAGTTTCTCAATACATTTATTTCTACCTGTACTAATTACAATAGTTTCATAAATTTACCTGTCAATATCCAAACACAATTTTCTTTCATTTCTTCCTGTTTTTCAAGCCTCAAGAAAAGTTCAGGTACCCAGTGTATATGTTTACATTTACATCTTATATGTAATGTTTAAGGCTTTAGAGATTTATAAATCTTTAATTTTTATGCTTTGTTAATTTCTTATCATTTTTAAAATGTTTCCTCATTGCTTTCCTTGATGATGTAAATCATTAGTCTTAGACTCTGTGACTGCTTCCCTTAGGTCAAGGACATGGAAACTCCCCTAATATTTTAGGAGGAAATATGGTTTATGACAAATGAATATAGATACCTCTGTTTTATTTCTTTTACTCTTTCTGGTGATGCTCACAGTCATAATGACCTCATTGACTACAGAAGAATAACTTTGTTTCTGTACACAGTTAGTACAAATTCCACTCCTGAGTCAAAAAGCTTGTTTGTGGCCTACTTTCCTATAAACATATAAAGAGTTTAGATTACTTTTCCTGAACCTTGCTTATATATAAAGCCATATGTGACTTCTCTATACACATCTTGCCTCAGGAGATCTTCTTAAAGTGGCATTTTGTTATGCAGAAAAGCTTCAGAACATATGGAAGTTGGGAGTTTTTCTGACACTGCCCTTTTTCCAGATTAGATTAAATAAATCTAGGCCCAGCAGCAATCTATGGAGGACTCTACTATTTATTATTATTCTTGTAAAAAGTGCCTATTCATCTTTGTTTTCTGTCACTAAGCTAATTCCCTATCCACGACTAAACAACTCCTCCATCCCCACCTCATTTTCACTGTGATTCACAGACTAAGGAAACAACCTTTGATGAGGTAATTTTGCCAAAATTTAAATGAAGGCTAAACAACATATATTCCCTAGCCCTCACTAATCTATTTTAGTTACCCACTCAAAGCTCTGCAAGTGAAGCATGATTTTCCTTTAGAAAAACCAGGTTCACTCCCCACCAGAAGGTCATATTTATTTATGCCTTCAGCATTACTCTCCTTTATTAGAGTTCCTACCAACTTACTGGCTCCATAACATCACTGAAATAAATATCTAATTCTATGGAATTCTTTACATTTAAAATGTAAATATGAACTTATTGTATTTATATGTCATTCTTTAACATGCTATTCATAAAATTTTTATAAAATGATATTTCCAGAAAGAGAAGTAAAATACACTATTTCCTCAATAAAGACCAGGACATAAGGAAACTAAAATGTTCCTGACTACGTTGACTATTCCACGATGGAATTCAAGGGTAGAATTCTGGCTACTGAGAATAAATTCCCCAAGGCTAGAGCTATTCAAGCACATAGTACAGATGAACTCAAAGCATTCAAGTTGATGGAGGGCTGGAGAGGTGAGAGAAATAGAGTGATCATGTATGTTAGATCACCTTTAGATCCTGAGATTTTGTGATTCCATCATCTTCTATCATCTCTTGCATATTTCACAACACTGTAACACTCTGCTTAAAAACAAAGGGCAAGAGAAGGGGAAAAAACCCTATAGTACTCAATTTTGTTATTTTCATCTTCTGTCGCAAATGTTTAATTTTTGTAGTAAACCATATTCTATTGGATGTATTTTCTTATATAGTAACTTTGAACTTACTATTACTGACCTAGGTTGTGTTTAAGAATAATCCTCCACATATTTAAAACATTATATTTAATATGTTTTAAAAAAAGAGTTGAGATTGTTTCACAAATCATAGCAGTATTTTCTAGGTCAAAACCTGGCAGAAAATGGAACAAATGTTTGTTTTTCATTTCATAATTAAATCTTTAGCGTGTGTGATTTTTCAGTTATGTGTGCAATCCCCGAAAAAAGGCATCTGTAGTTTTTAGCCTTAGCACGAATAGTCTAAAATATCATTCCACTTTCCAAACCACCATGACAACTAATTGATCTAGCCAATTACTCTGCCCAATTAGAATTCAGAAATTCACATTTGTATTTGCCAATAATTTACCATTTCTTTCCTGCCAACTCTCCAATATTTGTAATTTGCTTTTATTTCAGTACTTTGATTTCAAGATTGCTCTTTCACATGGCATTTTTTTTAGCAACTCTCAGTACAAAGTGACAATAGAGACTGTCTCTGATTAATTGCTTCAGAGCTTTAAATTTATAATGTATTTTCGTCTTTGCTAAGGCACATACAAGATTAATATTTTTCTGTCTCAATTACATTTCTCCTCTATACATTTGTTTTTTAATTACCCAAGTAATATATGAATATAATCTTATTAAAAATCAGCATGTTACAGAAAATCTAAAGTCTCATTTACATCATCATTAATTTTACTCCTCAGATATAACCATTGTTATTTTTACATATGTAATCACTGTTATTTTTACATATCTATTCTATTGTGTGCATTTCTGTGCATTTACATCCATATGTGCACCCATAGGAAAACATGTATTATTGGTATATGAGGGTTTTACAACATAAATATTACAAATATCTTAGGCTTTACAACATGAACATTACAAATAATATCTTAGAAATATATCATGGCACTTTATTCTTTTCAACTGTTACATAATCTACAGAATGGATTATTATTCTCATTAACGCATATTTTTGTCTCTTCAAAGTGTTTATTTCAATAATGCTGTAGTGACTACCCTGCTTTTGGAAGTAGATGGTAAGTTTGTTGCTTGAGTGGATACCAAGTAGAAGAACTTCTGGATTATGTAACATTCACATTTAAATTTGAATTATTCCAAAGGGTTGTACCTATACTACCAATTTTTAACCTAATTACCTTGTGTTTCTTTTCAGACATCCAAAGAAATGTCAACATTTTTAAAGCCTAGAGTTATTTTTTTATGTCCAATCAAAGCTATTTTTAAGGTTTCACTTAAAATTTTCATTTTGTGTCTTTAATTGGTTTCTCCAGTGTCTCATTTTTCTGGCATCCCAAAACTGTACCCAAGTGGAGCAAAACTGTCATTCTCTTTTAATCAGATATATTATTTTCATTTATTATGGGCAATATAGGTTTTAGAAAGCAAATAAAGACTGGATATTCCTCCTCCCTGAACTAGAATTGTCTAGTTCAGCATTCTTGGGACTTGGCAACTCTTACTGCAGTGCCTCCTGTTGGTAACATGTTTACTCTTCCCCTACCACCACACAGGTCAAGCTTGGAGTGCAGTAGCTTCCTTCCTTATAACTATTTTGATTTCAAGAATTTCAGGCACAGCCTATTCTTTGAACAACTGTAAGAAAAACCTTCCTTAAAGATAATATCAATCACGTCATTTTACTACTAGGAGGAACCACGCACTATGGTTATCCAACTTATTTTCCCAACTTTCTCTCACATTTCCCAGGCACCAAATTATTTTTGCAAGTTTATTCAAGCAAGCCAAATTTGATATTCCCCCTTATACTTTAGTGCCTTGTTTGTATTATGTTCTCCACATATTTTCTCCTTCTCTCTACATGATTCGACTTCTATCTAAATGTCAGAGTATCTTAAATATTACCAATATCTGCAACTCTATTTTTATCCTTCTTTTGGCTTCCCCTAGAATATGGTTGACCTTTATTTTGACACTTAATATACCCCTGCTTCTTTTGCAGCTACTTGTATTCTCCTTGGGGTGTACCAGCTAATGTTGTTAATTTTTCTTTCATTAATAAAATATTTAAGAGCTTGTTCTTTTTTTTTTTTTTTTTTTTTTTTTTTTTATTATACTCTAAGTTTTAGGGTACATGTGCACATTGTGCAGGTTAGTTACATATGTATACATGTGCCATGCTGGTGCGCTGCACCCACTAATGTGTCATCTAGCATTAGGTATATCTCCCAATGCTATCCCTCCCCCCTTCCCCGACCCCACCACAGTCCCCAGAGTGTGATATTCCCCTTCCTGTGTCCATGTGATCTCATTGTTCAATTCCCACCTATGAGTGAGAATATGCGGTGTTTGGTTTTTTGTTCTTGCGATAGTTTACTGAGAATGATGGTTTCCAATTTCATCCATGTCCCTACAAAGGATATGAACTCATCATTTTTTATGGCTGCATAGTATTCCATGGTGTATATGTGCCACATTTTCTTAATCCAGTCTATCATTGTTGGACATTTGGGTTGGTTCCAAGTCTTTGCTATTGTGAATAGTGCCGCAATGACCCAGCCATCCCATTACTGGGTATATACCCAAATGAGTATAAATCATGCTGCTATAAAGACACATGCACACGTATGTTTAAGAGCTTGTTCTATGTTGCAGAGAAATATTCTAAATACTAGCAATATAGCAATTTAAAAAGCACTCAAGACTCCGGCCATATGAAACAGTAGGAATAATTTTATGTATCTTTTATGTATCTTGAATCTCTTCCAATGCTAAGAATAGTGTCATAATTGAAGTAAATGATCAATGTATCTCTTGTGAGGGCTAACCTTTTCATATTATATGACTTAGATACATAAATAAGCTAGACCAGCTATATACATTGTGTGGTAATTTTATTTGTCTATTTGGCTGGACCATGGTACCCAGATATGTGGTCAAACATTCTGGATGTTTCTATAAGGTGTTTTTTTAGATGAGATTAATATTTAAGATGATGGACTTTAAGTCCAGCGGATTGTCCTGAGCAATGTGGGTTGGCCTCATAAATCAGGTGAAGGCCTGAACAAACAAAAAGACTGACCCTCCCCACAAGTGAGGGTCAGCAGACACCCTTCAGACTTGAGTTGCAAATATCAGCTTTTCCTTCAGTCTCCAGTCTGACAGCCCTTAGACTTGTACCACAGAGTTTGGACTTATCAGTCTCTACATTCACATGAACCAATTCCTTAAAACAAATTACTCTCTGTAGAAGCATACATATACCCTATTTGTTCTGCTTCTCTGGAGAACCCTAACTAATATACATAGGGAAAAGAGTGATAAGTTCTTATTTAAGGCTATGGATAGGTTTTGTAGTAACTTCTATTATTGCTGCCTTGCCCTTTGGGAAGACTACCAAAGTCCAGCTTAGCTATGTACCTAGTGGTTCCTCCTCCTATGGGAGAATTGTACCTCCCCATTCCATTAACATAAGACTTTCCAAGGTGACTTCCTTTGGCCAATGACAAGTGAGTGGATGTGAACAATGCTATTTGCAAACATATTATTTTCCCTCTACCACATGAATAGCGTGTCCTAGAAAGACACTGCTTCTTCATACTGAACCCCAGAGTGAAAAGGCACAGGTACTAGAGCTGTAACTAATTCTTAAGCATTGAATCTAAATGTGAATACAAGAGAAGCTTTGCTTGTTTTAATGATTTCACAACTTCTAATATTACAGCAAAACTAGCCTTAACTAATACCGCTTAATGGGTTATTGATCTAATGTTCTCCCTCATAACCACAAAACTGTTTGAAAAAGATTGTGTAGGGATAAATAAATGTAATCCTTCTCTCACCCTAGGGAAAGTGCCCACATATATCTTGCTGAATTCTTAAAGTGGTATCTGCCTTAAAAAGAATAATAACCATGGCAAATTGTTGAATAGAAAAGACATTCACAACTAGTGGTGACAAATATTCTAAGGAAGAAGGCTTTAGCAGTTTTCTACATTCCACTGATTTACTCTGTGTGAGTCTTTTGCAATCTATCATATGAGAAAAAAAATTATTGTGCCTGCTTAAGGCAGGCAGCTCTAAGGTAGCATTCATTCATTGAGCAAAATATACAGTAAACACTAACTATGCTAGAGAGTAAGGGAAGCACCAGTGATGAAGACATGGTTTCTATATTCCTAAATCTTAAGAGAAAGACTGTAGAAATCTAAAAACCACACACGCAGAAAGTAATGTAATTAGTGGATCTGGATTTCAGCCTACCTATGAGTAATAAACATAAGATAAAATCCTGGTATTTTCCATAAGTTCTGTCCATCCCCCTGCCTATCTCCCACTGGTTATGAGGTTGCAAGCTAGATAAATGAGGACTGATGATGTGTAGTTTAATATTTTAAAATAAGTTTTTAATAAAAATGCATTAATGTTTTCTAAAATTCACATATATGTCGTTTCTGTATCCTCAGGCAAGCACTGGGTTGAACATATACTCAATAAATGGCTTCTATATTTCACATTGCATGCCTGTATCAAAACATCTCATGTACCCCATAAATACATACACCTACTATGCACCCTCAAAAGTTTTTTAAATATACAAAATTTAATTAATAGTTTCCAAATAAATTTTATTATTTATGTACCAAGTCCCTAGAACAGTGCCTGGCAAGATAAATGTCTGTATGTTTCAACATCATAATTAGGATCTCATGAACTTAATGCATATGAAAGGAAGCCAATAATTAGCAGTTCTCATAGACAACAATAGTAGCATAGACAATTCTAGGAAATAACTGGTAATTTAATCATACCATTCAGTCATCTGTTAATTTGTCAGAAGAAAGGTAAGCAAACCTCCGATACATTACTGAATCAATAATGAGCCACTGCCAAGTTCTCAGCTACCTAAGAATATGATTTTAGTTAGGAAAAATAGGGGTGTAGTAAGTAATTTAAAAGGATAACCTGGAGAACTACATGACTAGGGAACTTTAAAAAAGGTCATCAGTCATATTTTGGAGGTTCTAGAAAAATGTGTACATGCTAAAGAAAGATGAAACAGAAAAAGGCACCAGTTGCACACCTTTGATTGGCCTTAAAGCCTGCATAACCCAGAAGTAAAATCTAAGGTTGTGTACAAAATGTGTGAAGTTTGAAATAACCTTCTCACACAGATCCTCTGGCAAAAAGCAGGAAACATAAAGTCATTTAAAAATCTGATAGATCATTAGCAGACTACTGAATTATACTGACCCAGATGTGACACCTAGAACACAAACTTAAAAATAACTTAAAACAAAAACCCTCTGTATTAGTCAATGTTCATGCTGCTGATAAAGACATACCCAAAACTGGGAACAAAAAGAGGTTTAATCAGACTTACAGTTCCACATGACTGGGGAGGCCTCAGAATTATGGTGGGAGGTGGAAGGCACTTCTCTGGCAGCGGCAAGAGAAAAATGAGAGAGAAGCAAAAGAGGAAACACCTGATAAACCCATCAGATCTTGTGAGGCTTATTCACTATCACAAGAATAGCATGAAAAAGACCAGCCTCCATGATTCAATTACCTCCCCATGGATCCCTCCCACAACTTCTGGGAATTCTGGGAGATATGATTCAAGTTGAGATTTGGATGGGGACACAGCCAAACTATATCATTCCACCCCTGACCTCTACAAAATCTCATGTCCTCACATTTCAAAACCAATAATGCCTTCACAACAGTCCCCTAGAGTCTTAACTCATTTCAGCATTAACCCAAAAGTCTACAGACCAAAGTTTCATCTGAGACAGGGCAAGTCTCTTCTGCCCAGGAGCCTGTAAAATCAAAGGGAAGCTAGTTACTTCCTAGGTAAAACAGGGGTACAGATACTGGGTAAATACAGCCATTCCAACTGGGAGAAATTGGCCAACACCAAGGGGTTACAGGGCCCATGCAAGTCCAAAATCCAGCAGGGCAGTCACATTTTAAAGCTCCAAAATGATCTTCTTTGACTCCAGGTCTCATGTCCAAGTCATGCTGATGCAAAAGGTGGGTTCCCATGGTACTGTGCAGCTCTGCCTTGTGGCTTGGCAGGATACAGCCTCCCTCCTGGCTGCTTTCATGGGCTGGCTTTGAGTGTCTGTGGCTTTTCCAGGTGCACAGTGCAAGCTGCCAGTGGATCTACCATTCTGGGGTCGGGAGTATGATGGCCCTATTCTCACAGCTACACCAGGTAGTGTCCCAGAAGAGGGTCTGTGTGAGGGCTCCAACACCACATTTTCCTTCCACACTGCCCCAGCAGAGGTTCTTCAAGAGGGCCCCACCCCTACAGCAAACCTTTCCCTGGGCATCCAGGCATTTCCATACAACTTCTGAAATCTTGGTGGAGGTTCCCAAACCTCAATTCTTGACTTCTGTGCACCTGCAGGCTCAACGCCATGTGGAAGCTGCCAAGGCTTGGGGCTTCCACCCTCTGAAGTCACAGCTGAGTTGTACATGGACCCCTTTCGGCCACGTCTGGAGCAACTGGGACACAGGACACCAAGTCCCTAGGCTGCACACAGCACGTGGATCCTGGGCCCAGCATATGAAACCACTTTTTCCTCCTGGGCCTCTGAACCTGTGATGGGAGGGGCTGCCATGAAGGTCTCTGACATGGCCTGGAGACATTTTCCCCATGGTCTTGGGGATTAACATTAGGCTGCTTGCTACCTATGCAAATTTCTACAGCCAGCTTGAATTTCTCCTCAAAAAATTGTTTTGTTCTCTACTGCATCATCAGGCTTCAAATTTCCTGAACATTTATACTCTGTTTCCCTCTTTAAATGGAATGCTTTTAACAGCACCCAAGTCACCTTTTGAATGCTCTGCTGCTTAGAAATTTCTTCCTCAAATACCCTAAAAATCATCCCTTTCAATTTCAAAGTTCCACAAATCTCTAGGGCAGGGGCAAAATCCTGGTATCAAAATTTGTATTAATCAGGGTTCTCTAGAGGGATAAAACTAGTAAGATATATATCTTATATATTGTGGGATCACAAGGTCCCACAATAGGCTATCTGGAAGCTGAGGAGAAAGAAGAGCCAGTCTGAGTGCCAAAACTGAAGAACTTGGAGTGCAATGTTTGAGGGCAGGAAGAATCCAGCATGGGAGAAAGATGTAGTCTGGGAGGCTAGGTGAGTCTCTGCTAAAATGTAACAAGAGTCACCTTTGCTCCAGTTTCCAACAAGTTCCTCTTCTCCATCTGAAACCACCTCAGCCTGGACCTTATTGTTAATATCACTATCATTTTTGTCAGAGCCATTCAAGTCTCTAGGAGGTTCCAATGTTTCCCACATGTTCCTGTCTTCCTCTGAGCCCTCCAGAGTGTTCCAATCTCTGCCTGTTACCCAGTTTCAAAGTTGCTTCCACATTTTTGGGTATCTTTTCAGAAACACCCCACTCTCCTGGTATCAATTCAATGTATTAGTCCATTTTCACACTGCTGATAGAGACATACCCGAAACTGGGAACAAAAAGAGGTTTAATTGGACTTGCAGTTCCACATGGCTTAGGAGGCCTCAGAATCATGGTGGGAGGCAGAAGGCACTTCTTATATGGTGGCAGCAAGAGAAAAATGAGAGAAAAGCAAAGAGGAAACCCCTGATAAACTCAACAGATCTTGTGAGGCTTATTCACTATCACAAGAATAGCAGGGGAAACACCAGCCCCCATGATTCAATTACATCCCCCTAGGTCCCTCCCACATTATATGATAATGTGGGTGATACAATTCAAGTTGATATTTGGGTGGGGACACAGCAGAACCAAACTTGGAGTCCACAAACTGCAGAAAATTTAGAAGCTACAGAATTATTTCAGGAAAGTTGCTGAACAATAAGCAGGAAAAAGAAAAACAGGAATAGCAAAAACAAATGTTAGAGAATTAATAAATCTGATACCAAAGTTGATACATTATCCAAATGTCCAGTTTTCAGCAAAAATTATGAGACATGCAAATAAACAAGGAAGTACATCTCATGCATGATGGTGAGGGTTGGGGAAAGCAGGCAATGGAAAATGTCCCAAAGTGAGGCTCAGATATTGGAATTAGTAGACAAAGACTATTATCAACAATTATAATTGTTTAAAGTGATAAAACCATGCCTAAATAATCAAAGTATGACAAAGATATCTCATCAAAATAGAGAATATAAATATCAATAGTGATGAAGTTATTTTAAAAGACCAAATAGAAATTCTATAGCTGAAATTACAATGAAATGAAAATTTGCCAGCTGGAACAAACAACAGATTTGAGCCAGCAGAAAAAAAAAGATTCTATAAAAACAGAATCAAAGAAAATGAAGAAAGTGACTGCAGAGCCTCACAGACCTGTGGGACACCACCGAGCATACCAATGTATACTTAATGAGAGTTCCAAAAGAAAAAGATAAAAAGGCAGGAAAATTATTTGAAGAAATGATAGCCAAAGACTTGATAAAGTTGATGAAAAATACTAGTCCACTCATTAAAGAAGCTCAAGTAGAATATACTCAGAAATCTATACCAAGACACATCTTAGGCAAATTGGAAAACACACACACACACACACACACACACACACACACAAACATAAAATCCTGAAAGCAGCAGGAGAATAATGACATACATAAGAACACTCAATAAGATTAATAGACTTTTTATTAGAAGCCATTGAACCAAAAGGACAGTGGGATAGTATCTTCATTGTTTTGCAAGAAAAAGACTATCAACCAAGAATTCTATATCTAGCTAATTTACCATTCAAAATGGATAGATTAAGACATTTTCAGATAAATAAAAACTGACAGAATTCATTGCTAGCAAATCTACCCTTTAAGAAATACTTAAGGGAGGTCTTCAGGGTGAAAGGGCATTTGATGGTAATTCAAATTCATACAAAGAAATAAAATGTACCAGTAAAAGTAATTATACCATGATTATGAAAGTCAGTATAAATTTATTTTAATGGTATCTTTTTTCTTCTATTTATTTTAGTGGATAGCTTTATAAATCCACAAATAATTATAAATTTTTTTTCATTGATTTATAATCTAATGATGAAATTCATAAGGAGGATGAAATTAGAGCAAGGATTTGTATAATGTTGAAAATATGTTAGTATTAATTCAAACTAGATTCTTTTGAGATGCTAATTATATTCCCCAAGGAGAATAACCAGAAAAATGACCACAGAGTTATAAAAGAAACAAGAAAATTTAAGATACACACGAGAAAATATTTATTTGAAAACAATAAAGGGAATTGAAGAATAGAGAGGAGAAAAATATAGAAGATATACAGAAATCAAATAGCAACTGGCAGTGGCTATACTAATATCAGACAAAACAGCCATTAAGGAAAAAATTGTTATCAGATGCAAAGAAGAACATTTTATAATAATCAGAGGTTCAATCAATCAGGAAGATATACTATTATAAACATACATGCACTTACTGAGTCTCAAAATGTATAAAGCAATACCAACATAACTGATTTGAGAATTAGACAATTCAACAATAATAGTTGAAGACTTCAAAACTTCATTTTCAATGCTGTATAGAATTAGAAAGGTGATCAAAAAAGAAAGAAAAACATTGAACAACACTGTAAACCAAGGAGCCCTAACAGACATCTATAGAATTCTCCACCCAGCAGCAGAATATATATTTTTCTCAAACTCAGAGTGTAAATTCTCCAGGATAGATCATATGCTGGGCCATACAACAAGGCTCAATAAATTTCATAGAATTAAACCCATACAAATAATGTTCTCTAATTGCAATGTAATTAAGGTAGAAATCAATAACAGAATAAAATCTGGCAACATCTAAATAATCAATAACTGAAATTACAAGTGAAATTACTTTCCGACAAACATGAAAACACAACATATATCACATTTTATGGGCAGGTAAAGCAGCTCTCAGAGGGAAAGTTGCAGCTACAAATACATATTTTTTTTAAAGTCTCAAATGGCTAAACTAATCTTTAATATTAAAAAATAGAAAAGGAGGTACAAACTAATTCTAAATCAAGCAGAAAAAATGAAATAAAGTCAAAAGTGAAATTAATGATATAATATAGAGATGAGAAAAATAGAGAATAAGCCAATAAAATCAAAAGTTGATTTTTTGAAAAGATATAAAAATAAGACAACTTTAACCAAAAAAAAAGAAAAAAAAATAGAGAAGTTTCAAAGTAATAAGTCAAGAAAGAAATCAGGGAACTTCTTACAAAAATAAGACAACCTAGATGAAATGGACAAATTCATAGAAAGACTCAAACTACAAAAATGGACTCAAAAAAAGTACATAATATTAATAAACTAACAACAAGCAAAGAGACTGAATAGATTGAATTGGTAATATTAAAACATCCAACAAATAAAGCCCAGGTCCAGATGGCTTCACAAGTGAATTATAGCAACATCTTAGAAGAATTGGTAACAATTATTTACAAATTCTTTCAAAGAAACAGTGAACACATCTGAACTCATTTTATGATACCGATATACAAATGTATCACAAGGAAAGAACACTATAGAACAAGATCCTCTAAGTATATAAACTAAATACCCACCAAAAAAAAGTGTTAGCAAACTGAATCCTACATTTTAAAAGGATAATTTACCATGACCAACTAGTATATGGATTTATCTCAGTACTGCAAAGGTTATTTACTGTCTTAAAAATAGTAAATAATAAATTAACATGTAATAAAATGTAATATACTAAACAAAAATCACATGTTTATCTTAATAGATGCAGAAAAAGCCTTTGACCAAACCCAATACCCTGCATAATTTTAAAAAAAAGATACTTCAAATTAAGAATAGAAAGAAACTTCTTAAGCAGATAAAAAGACTCTACAAAACAAAACCCAGAGCAAACACCACACATGAATCAACACAATGTTTTCTGCCTAAAATCAGGAAAAAGACACAGACAACTACTCTTAGGACTCCTATTAAACATTGTACTTGAGGATCTAGCCAGAAAAATTAGTCAAGAAAAACAAATAAAAAACATTCAAACTTATAAAGAAAAAAATGAAATGACAGAACATCACTAATCCAAAAATTTGAAAACTCAAAAGCTCCAAAATTTGAAACATTTTGAGCACTGATATGATGCTCAAAGGAAATGCTCACTGGATCATTGTGAATTTCAGATTTTCAGATTAGCAATGTGGATTGCTCCATTGGTATGTATTTTGCAAGTTCCAAAGTTCCAAAAAATAAATCAGACATCCAAACCACTCTGGTGCCATTTATTTTAGATAAGGGATACTCAACTTGTATCCCTATTTGCAGATGACATGATCTTGTATACAGAAAATCCTAAGGAATCCACTAGAAATACCGAGAACTGACAAATTCAGCAATGAAGCAAGTCACAAGATCAGTGTACAAAAATCAATTAAATTTCTATGAGCAATTGTAATGAACAATCTAAAATTTAAATAAAGAAAATCCCATTTTTTACAGCAGCATAACAAATGAAATGTCTATGAACAAATTTAACCAAGAATTGTATGCTAAAAACTATAAAATATTATAAAAATAAATATCTAAACAAATGGATAGACATAATGAATTAACATTGTTAAAATGGCAATTTATCTGAATTGTTCTATAGATTAAGCAAAATTCTCATAAAAATCTCATCTGGCTTTTTTTTTGTGGAGGGGGGCTGCATTAGTCAAACTGATTCTGTAATTCAATTAGAAATGCAAAGAAAATTGAATTGCCAAAATAGTCTCAAGAAGAAAAAAAGCAAACTTGAAAGTCTTACTCTTTTATTCTTCCTGGTTTCAAAACTTACTATAAAACTAGAAATCATGACAGGTTGGTTCTGGCATAAGGATAGGCACAGAGATTAATTCAAAAGATTTGAAATTTCAGAATAAACACTCAATTTATGGTCAACTGATATTCAACAAGGATACCAAGACATTACAATGGGGGAAATAATAGTCTTTTCAATAATTGGTGCAGGGACAACTAGATGACAAAAGAATGTATTTTAAAATGTACCTTGCTTTATATGCCAAATTAAAAATGAATAATATACATAAATGCAAAAGCTAAAATTATGAAAGCCTTAAAAGAAACAGAAGTAAACTTTGTAACCTTAGATGAGACCCTTAAACATGATACAATAAAAGCATAAGCAACATCAGCAGCAAAATAAAGATAATTTGACATGACTAAAATTGTAAAACTTTTCTGTGTTGAAGGACTCCATCAATAAATTAAAAAGGTAATTCATCAGCACTAGATTTGCTTTATAAGAAATGCTTATCCAAACGTTTCAACTGGAAATAAAATGACCATAATTACTGTCATAAAAACACATGGAAGTATGGAATTCACTGGTGAGTATATAGTAAAATTCAGAATCCTTCAATACTGTAATGGTGGTCTGTAACTCCTTTATCTCTCCAGTATGAAAGTTAAAGTCAAAACAGTCAGAAATAAGTATAGCTACAATAAGTTGATAAGAACAACATAAAAAGATGTACATTGTGACATCAAAAATATAATTGTAGAGGGTAGGGTTAAAGTCTGGAGTTTTTGTATGTGACTGAAGTTATCAGTGTAAAATAGTCTGTTTTAACTCTGATATTTTGTGTAAGCCTCATGGTAATCACAAAGAAAAAAACTATAGTAAATACACAAATGATCAAAAGAAATAAAAGCTTGGCATTACAGAAAATCACCAAAGCAAAAAGAGAAGAAAAAAGAAACAAAAAAAATCTACAAAACAAGAAAACAACAAAATGGCAGGAATAATCCTTATGTATCAGTAATTACTTTAAATGTAAACTGATTAAATTATCCAGTCAAAATTCATAAACTGGCAGAATGAATAGAAAAATAAACAAGATTCAACTATATGCTAACTACAATAGATCCACTATAGCTTTAAGGACATACATAGAATGAAACTGAAGGGATAGAAAATGACATTTCATGCAAATTATAACCAAAAGAGATCCAGGATGGCTATGCTGATTTATATCAGAAAAAATAAACTTCAGATCAAGAGACAAAGCAACTCATTATTTAATGATAAAGAATTCAATTCACCAAGAGAACATGGCAATTGTAAGTATCTATGAATCCAACATTAGAGCACCTAAACATATAAGGCCAATATTAATGGACATGAAGAGAGAAATAGATAGCAATACAATAACAGAAGGGGACTTCAGTATGTTACTTTCAACAATGAACAGATCAAGTAGACAAAAAGTAATAAGAAAATACTATAATTGAACTGCACTTCAGAGGAAATAGATCTAACAAATATGTACAGAACTTTTCATCCAACAGCAACAGGAAACACATTCTTCTCTAGGGCACATTGAACATTTTCCAAGATAGACCATATATTAGGCTACAAAATGAGTCTTAACAAATTTAAAAAGATCAAAATCAGCCAGGTGCAGTGGCTCACCCCAGTAATCCCAGCATTTGGGGAGGCTGAGCCAGGCAGATCACTTGTGGTCAGGAGTTTGAGACCAGCCTGGCCAACATGGTGAAACCCCATCTCTACTAAAAATACAAATATTAGCCAGGGTGATGGCGGGTGCCTGTAGTCCCAGCTACTCAGGAATCTGAGGCAGGAGGATCACTTGAACCCAGGAGGCAGAGGTTGCAGTGAGCTGAGATCATGCCACTGCAATCCAGCCTGGGTGGAAGAGTGAGACTGTCAAAAAAAAAAAAAAAGAAAAAAAAGTCAAAAGTCAAAAGTCAAAAGTCAAAATCTTATCAAGTGTAGTTTTTGACCACAATGGTATGAAAGCAAATTTGGAAAATTCTCAAATATGAAAGTTAAACATGCTCCTGAATAATCAATGGGTCAAATTAAAAAATCAAAAGAGAAATTTTAAAAATATCTCAAGACAAACAATGGGAAAAAAAATACCAAAACCTATGGGATACAGAAAAAGTTCTAGGTTTATAACAATCAATTCCTACAATAAAAAAAAGAAATATCTCAAATAGATAGCTTAACATTATACTTCAAGGAGGTAGAAAAAGTATAAACCCAAAGTTTCCAGAAGGAATAATATAGAATGGAAATAAAACAAATAGAGGATTAAAAAAAGAGAAAAAAATTATAAAACTAGAGTTGAGTTCTTGAAAAAATAACCAAAATTGACAAATCCCTGGCTAGGTGAAGAAAAAGCCCAAATCTATAAAACCAGAAATAAAACTGTAGATATTACAGTACATATCTCAGAAATGTTTTGAAAAGGTTATAGGAACAATTATATGTCAACAAATATAGTAATCTAGAGAATGCAGATAAATTTCTAGAAAAATACAACTACGAAGGTTGAATCAGAAAGAAATGACAACCCTTAACAGATAGTAACACACACAGAGATTGAACCAGTAATTTAAAATCTCCCAAAAAAGAAAAGCCCAGGACCAAATACCTTCATAGCTGAATTCTATCAAACTGTCAAAGAAAAATTAATATCAAGACAGGCATATCTCATTTTATTGCACTTTGCTTTATTGTGCTTCACAGGAAATGTGTTGTTTTTAACAAATTGAAGGTTTGTGTAACCCTGCTTCAAACAGTCTGCTGTCACTATTTTTCCCAATAGCATATGCTCACTTCACGTCTCTGTCACATTGTGATAACTATCTCAATATATTAAACTGTATTATTAAATATTTATAGAGATCTGTGATTATTTATAGAGATCTGTGATTATTTATAGAGATCTTTGACATTACTTTTGTAACTGTTTTGGGATGCCAAGAACCATTCCCATATAAGATGAAAAACTTACAAATGCGTGTGTTCTAACTGCTTCGTTAACCAGCCATCTTCCCATCTCTCCTCATGTTCTTGGGCCTCCCTATTCCCTGAGTTACAAAAATATTAAGCTAAATAATCCTCTAAGATAAGCTAAATGACCTGAAAGTGTTCAAGTAAAAGAAAGAGTCACATGTCTCTCACTTTAAATCATAAGCTAGAAATGATTAAGCTTATTGAAGAAGGCATGTCAAAAGCTAAGACAGATCAAAAGCCAGGCCTCTTGTACCAAACAGCTAAGACAAGTTGAGAACACAATCGAAAAGTTCTTAAAGGAAGCTAAGTGTTGCTCCAGTGAACAGATGAATTATATGATGGACAAACAGCCTTATTGTTGATATAGAAAAAGTTTTAGTAGTCAGTAAGAGATCAAATCAGCCACAACATAGCCTTAAATCAATGCCTCATCTAGAGCAAGGCCCTAACTCTCTTCAACTTTATGAGGCTACAATGAGAAATCTGCAGAAGAAAAATTTAAAGCTGGCTGGGCAGGGTGGCTCAGGCCTGTAATCCCAGCACTTTGGGAGGCCGAGGTGGGCAGATCATTGAGGCCAGGAGTTCGAGACCAGCCTGGCCAACATAACAAAACCCCATTTCTACTGAAATATATTTAAAAAATTAGCCGGGCATGGTGGCACCTGCCTGTAGTCCTAGCTACTTGGGAGGCTGAGGCAGAAGAATCGCTTGAACCCAGGAGGCGGAGGTTACAGTGAGCCGAGATTGTGCCATTGTACTCCAGCCTGGGCAACAAGAGCAAAACGTCATCTCAAAAATAAGGAAAAAGAAAAAGAAAAGTTTAAAGATAGCAGATACCAGTTTATGATGTTTAAAGGAAGAATCCATCTGTATAACATAAAAATGTAAGGTAAAGAAGCAAGTGCTGACAGAGAACCTACAGCAAGTTTCTGTAAGATCTAACTAAGATAATTGATGAAGGTAGTTACACGGAGCAACAAGTTTTTGTCGTGGAAAAAACAGCCTTCTATTGGAAGAGGTGTCACCTAGGGCTTTCGAAGTCAGAGAGAAGTAAATGCCTGGTCTATTAGTCTGTTCTCACATGGCTATAAAGACATTCCTGAGACTAGGTAATTTAAAAAAAATTTATGCAGCCAAAAAACACATCAAGAAGTGCTCATCATCACTGGCTATCAGAGAAATGCAAGTCAAAACCACAATGAGATACCATCTCACACCAGTTAGAATGGTGATCATTAAAATGCCAGGAAACAACAGGTGCTGGAGAGGATGTGGAGAAATAGGAACACTTTTACACTGTTGGTGGGACTGTAAACTAGTCAACCATTGTGGAAGTCAGTGTGGCAATTCCTCAGGGATCTAGAACTAGAAATACCATTTGACCCAGCCATCACATTACTGAGTATATACCCAAAAGATTATAAATCATGCTGCTATAAAGACACATGCACATGTATGTTTATTGTGGCACTATTCACAATAGCAAAGACTTGGAACCAAGCCAAATGTCCAACAATCATAGACTGGATTAAGAAAATGTGGCACATATACACCATGGAATACTATGCAGTCATAAAAAATGATGAGTTCATGTCCTTTGTAGGGACATGGATGAAGCTGGAAACCATCATTCTCAGTAAACTATCGCAAGGACAAAAAACCAAACAACACATGTTCTCACTCATAGGTGGGAATTGAACAATGAGAACACATGGACACAGGAAGGGGAACATCACACACCAGAGCCTGTTGTGGGGTGGGGGAAGGGGGGAGGGATAGCATTAGGAGATATACCTAATGCTAAATGACGAGTTAATGGGTGCAGCACACCAACATGGCACATGTATACATATGTAACAAACCTTCACGTTGTGCACATGTAACCTAAAACTTTAAGTATAATAATAATAATAATAAAGAATGTAGTTGAATTGAAGAAAATGCTTTAAGAGTTCATGCATACAAACATGTTTGGAGAAGTGATATTACTTAATGGAACTTTTTAAATGTCTTTGATAATTTTGAAGAAGAATGTTAACTTCAAAATTCTGTTTTTAGTAAGTGAGTTATTTTTCTTAAAAAGTAGAAAGTATAGGTCTAAGACTCCCTGTTAGATGGAAGAGCTCTGGGCTAAGTTTTCCTGGGTTTGCCCTGTCCCCTTCATCTCTCATTTCTGTGAGAGTGTAAAGTAATGCATTAAATAAATAAAAATATGATTAACAAAAATTAAAAAATTTAAAAATTAAAAAAAAGAGGTTTAATTGACTCACAGTTTCACATGGCTGGGGAGGCTTCAGGAAACTTACAGTCATGGTGGAAGATGAAAGAGAAGCATGCACCTTCTTCACCAGGAGGCGGTAGAGGGAATGAATGCAGGAGGAACTACTCAACACTTATAAAACCATCAGATCTCATGAGTACTCACTCACTATCATGAAAACAGCATGGGGGAAACTGTCTCCATGATTCAATTATCTCCACCTGGTCTCTCCCTTGACACATGGGAATTATGAGGATTAAAATTCAACATGAGATTTTGGGTGGGGGAAACAGCTAAACCCTATCACCTGGATTCAAAGCTTCAAAAGATAGGCTGACTCTCTTTTTAAGAACTAACGCAGCTGACAACTAAGTTTAAGTTAATGTTCAATAACCATTCCAAATTTATAGCCCTTAAGAATTATGTTAAATCTACTGTCTGTGGCCTGTAAATGGAAAAAAGAATTTTATTAAATCTGCTCTGCCTGTGGTCTATAAATGGAACAAAGAGTAGATTATAGCACATTTATTTACAGCATGGTTTGCTGAATATTTTAGACCCACTGTTGAAACCTACTAAGAAAAATATTCTTTTCAAAATATTGCTCATTGACTATGCTCCTGGTTACCCAAGAGCTCTGATAGAGATGTACAAGGAGATTAGTATTTTAATGCCTGCTAACACAACATTCATTCTGCAGCCCATGGATCAAAGAATAATGTTGACTTTGAATTCTCATCACTTAAATACATTTATAAGATTACATCTACCACAGAAAGTGATTCTTCTGATGGATCTGGGCTAAGTAAATTCAAAGCCTTTTGGAAAGGATTCACTATTCTAGATGCCATTCAGAACATTTGTGATTCATGGGAGGAAGGTCAAAATATTAACATTAATAAGAGTTTGGAAGAAGTTGATACTAACCTTCACAGATAGTCTTGAAGAGTTCAATACTTAAATAAAGCAAATTACTGAACATGTAGTGGAAATAGCAAGACAATTACAAGTGAAGCCTGAAGATGTCACTAAATTGCTGCAATCTCATCATAAAAGTTGAAAAACGAGGAGTTGCTTTTTAAGGAGAAGCAAAGAAAGTGGTTTCTTGGATGGAATCTACTCTTGGAGATGTTGTGAATGTTGTAGAGATGACAGCAAAGGATTTAGAGTAATACACAAACTTAGTTGATAAAGCAGTGGCAAGCTTTGAAAGGACTGACTCCAATTTTGAAATAAGTTCTACTGTGGGGAAAACACCATCAAACAGCATTGCATGCTACAGAGAAATCTTTTGTTAAAGGAAGAGTTGATCAATACGGTAAACTTCATTGTTGTCTTCTTATTTTCTTTTTTTACAATTGCCACAGCCACCAAACCTTCAGTAACCACCAACTAGATCAGCAATCATCAAAAGTGAGGCAAGACCCTCCAACAGCAAAAAAAAAAAAAAAAAAAAAAAAAAGACTTACTAAAAGTTTAGATGATTGATAACATTTTTTAGCAATGAAGTATTTTCTAATTAAGGTTTGAACAATTTTTTTTAGACAAGTGGTATTGCACATATAACAGACTATAGTATAGTGGAAACATATCGTCTATGTTCAGTGGGAAACTAAAAAGTTAGGATGACTCACTTTATTGTTATATTTGCTATCTTGCAGTTGTGTAGAACTAAACCTACGGTATCTCAAATGTGTGCCTGTACTTCTCAAAATTCCACAAAAAAATAAAAAATAGAGTTGGTGGAGGGAGTACTTAGGCCAGTATCACCTAAGCCAGATAAATATCACAAGCAAACTACAGGTCAAAATCTCTGAATATTAATGCAAAAATTATTAATTAAATAGCCAATCGAATTTAACAACATATCAAAAAGATTACACGTCATAATCAAGTCATTTATCCCTGGCATGCAAGGGTAGTTTAATACATGCAAATAAATCAATGTGATAGATAACATTGAGAGTGAATGACAAAAACCTCATGATTATCTAAATTGGTGCAAAAAAAAGTATTCAACAAAGTTCAACATCTTTTCTTGATTAAAAACTCTTAACAATTTAGATATAGAAGCTAACTGTCATCAACCTAATAAAGGCTATTTATGAAATATTCACAGCAAACATCATAACAAATGGGTAGAAATGGAAAGTTTTTCCTCTAAGATCTGGGGAGGAATAAACTGAAAGCTTTTCTTTTAAGAACTGTTCAAGATAAGAATGCCCCATTTTCACCACTTTATTCAACATACTACTTGAATTACTATCAAGAGCAATCAGACAAAAAGAAAAATTATTCAAACTGAAAAGGAAGAAACAGTTATTTCTACTTGCAGATGGCATGATTCTTTATGTAAAAATTCCAAAGACTACACCAAAAAATCTATTCATACTGATAAATAAATTCAGTAAAGTTGAAAAATACAAAATCAGCATGCAAAAATCTGTGGGACTTCTATACGTAAATCATGACCTAGCCAAAAATTTTAAAAAAATAATAATCCATTATGACCGCATACAAAAAATAAAATGCCAAGAAATAAATTT
Organism: Homo sapiens; assembly: GCF_000001405.40. Taxonomy (NCBI): domain Eukaryota; kingdom Metazoa; phylum Chordata; class Mammalia; order Primates; family Hominidae; genus Homo; species Homo sapiens. The sequence goes on along the minus strand of NC_000012.12, from coordinate 83,433,283 downwards.
ACCCAAAGAGGTGAAAGACTTGTACACTGAAAACTGAAAACATTGATAAGGGGATGAGGGAGGCCAAGATGACCAACCAGAAGTAGTGGTGATTGCAGGCTCCCATCAAAAAGATCCAAAACAGGGTGTGAATCATGCACCAGCAACTGAGGTATCCAGATCTGTCATTAGGACTGACTAGGCAGCTGGCATGACTTACGGAGGGAAAGGAAGAGTAGTGTGGTGTGGGTGGTCCACCTGAGAGCCACACAGGGCAGAGGAGCCCCTATCCCCAGCCAAGGGAGGCAGTGAGTGAGCATGCTACCCAGCCTGGGAAATTGTGCTTTACCTACAAAACTGTGAAACCCATGGATTGGAAAATTCCACTTGTGAGCCCATGCCTCCAGGGCCTTGGCTGTGAACCACGGAGCCACACAGATTCTCAACAGCCACTAAGCTAGAATCTGCCTAAGCCTGCAGAGTTCCTGGGGGGAGCATTGGCCATCACCACTGCTGCGGCTGCCTTCTAAGGCTGCTGATCTCTTGGGGGAGGGGAGGCAGCCCCTGCAGCTGCAGGGCTTCCCTGCAGGAACTCCAACTCCAGCCAGGGGCTCAGGGACAGAACTCTGATCTCCTTGAGCCTGAGTCCCTAGGGGAGAGGTGGCCATAGTCTCTGCAGACCAGCACACTTAGTCTTTCCTCCTGCTAGCTCTGAGAAATCCAGGCAACCCAGACAAGGGGGTTTCCCTCCAGCACAGCACACCCCCTCCACCAAGGGGCAGCCAAAGTACTTGGTTAAATGAGTACTGCTTCATGTGCCACCCAACTGGGTGAAACCTACCACTAGGGGTTGTCAGACACCCTATCCAGGAGCATTCCTACTGGCATCGCGTCAGTGCCTCTCGAGGTCAGAGATCCCAGAGGAAGGAGCAGGCACCCATCTTTGCTATTTTCCAGCCTCCATGAGTGACATCTCCAGGTGTGGTAGTGAATCAGATGAATAGGGCCTGAAGTGAACCCCCTAGCAAACCACAGCAGCCCTACAGAAGAGGGAGCTGACTATTGAAAGAAAAAAACAGAAAGCAACAACAACAGCATCAACAAAAAAAGAGTCCCCATAAAAACCTCATCCAAGGGTCAGCAGCCTCAAAGACTGAAACTAGACAAACTCACAAAGATGAGAAATAATCCATGAAAAAACACTGAAAACCCAGAAGGTCAGAATGTCAGTTCTCCACCAGATGATCACTACACCACTCCAGTAAGGGCACAGAACTGGACAGAAGATGACATGGACGAATTGACAGAAGTAGGCTTCAGAAGGTGGGTAATTACAAACTTCACTAAGGTAAAGGAGCATGTTCTAACCCAATGCAAAGAAGCTAACAACCTTGATAAAAGGTTACAGGAGCTGCAAACTAGAATACCTAGTATAAAGAGGAACACAAATGACCAGATGGAGCTGAAAAACACAACATGAGAACTTCGTGAAGCATACACAAGTATCAATAGCCAAATCAATCAAGCAGAAGAATGAATATCAGAGATGGATGACTATCTTGCTGAAATAAGGCAGGCAGACAAGGTTAGAGAAAAAAAAAAAGAAAAAGGAATGAAGAAACCTCCAAGAAATATGGGACTATGTAAGAAGACTGAACCTACAACTGATTGGAGTGCCTGAAAGTGATGGTGAGAATGGAATCAAGTTGGAAAACACACTTCAGGATATTATCCAGAAAAAGTTCCCCAACCCAGCAAGACAGGACAACATTCAAATTTGGGAAATATAGAGAACACCACTAAGACACTCCTAAGAAGATCAACCCCAAGACACATAACCATCAAAATCTCCAAGGTTAAAATGAAGGAAAAAAATGTTACAGGCAGCCAAAGACAAAGGCCAGGGCCTATACAAAGGGAAGCTCATCAGACTAACAGTGAATCTCTCAGCAGAAATGCTACCAGCCAGAAGAGAGTGGGGACCAATATTCAACATTCTTAAAGAAAAGAATTTAACCCAGAATTTCATATCCAGCCAAACTAAGCTTCATAAGGGAAGAATAAATAAAAATCCTTTTCAGAAATGCAAATACCAATGGAATTCATCACCATCCAGCCTGCCTTGCAAGAGCTCCTGAAGGAAGCGCTAAACATGGAAAGGAAAAACCAGTACCAGCCATGGCAAAACACATGAAAATATAAAGACTAATGACACTATGATGAAACAGCATCAACTAGTGTGTAAAATAACCAGCTAGGATCATGATGACATGACCAAATTCACACAAAACAGTATTATCTTAAATGTAAATGGGCTAAATGCCCCAATTAAAAGACATAGCCTGGCAAACTGGATAAAGGGTCAAGACCCATTGGTGTGCTGTAGTCAGGAGACCCATCTCACATACAAAGACACACATAGGCTCAAAATAAAGGGATGGAGGAAAATTTACCAAGCAAAACCAGAAAAAAGCAGGGATTGCAATCCTAGTCCTTGACAAAATAGACTTTAAACCAAAAAAGATCAAAAAAGAAAAAGCAGGGCATTACATAATGGTAAACGGATCAATGCAACAAGAAGAGCTAACTATCCTAAACATATAGGTACCCAATACAGGAGCACCCAGATTCATAAAACCAGTTCTTACAGACGTACGAAGGGACTAAGACTCCCACATAATAATAGCGGGAGACTTTAACATCCCACTGTCAATATTAGACAGATCAATGAGACAGAAAATTAACAAGGATATTCAGGATTTGAACTCAGCTCTGGACCAAGCAGACCTGATAGACATCTACAGAACTCTCTATCCAAAACAAAAGAATATACATTCTTCTCAGTGCCACATGGCACTTACTCTAAAATCGACCACATAATTGTAAGTAAAACACTCTTCAGCAAACACAAAAGAACTGAAATCATAACAGTCTCTCAGACCACAGTGGAATCAGATTAGAACTCGGGATTAAGAAACTCACTCAAAACCACACAACTACATGGAAATTGAAGAACCTGCTCCTCAATGACTCCTGGGTAAATAATGAAATTAGGGCAGAAATCAAGAAGTTCTTTGAAACCAATGAAAACAAAGAGACAACATACCAGAATCTCTGGGGTGCAGCTAAAGCTGTGTTAAGAGGGAACCTTTATAGCACTAAATGTCCACATCAAAAAACTAGAAAGATCTAAAAACAACACCCTAACGTCACAATTAAAAGAGCTAGAGAGGAAAGAAGCAAACAAATGCAGAAGATAGCAAAAGATAAGAAATAACTAAGATCAGAGCCAAACTGAAGGAGATAGAGATAAGAAAAACCTTCTGAAAAAAATTAACGAATCCAAAGCTGGTTTTTGAAAAAATAAAATAGACAGCTAGCTAGACTAATAAAGAAGAAAAGAGAGAAGAATCAAGTAGACGCAATGAAAAATGATAAAGGAGTTATCACACTGACCCCACAGAAATACAAACTACCATCAGAGAATACTAAAAACACCTCTACACAAATAAACTAGAAAATCTAGAAGAAATGGATAAATTCCTGGACACATACACCCTCCCAAGACTAAACCAGAAAGATACCAAATCCCTGAATAGACTAATAACAAGCTCTGAAATTGAATCAGTAATTAATAGCCTACCAACCAGAAAAAGCCCAGGACCAGATGGATTCACAGACAAATTCTACCAGAGGTACAAAGAGGAGCTGGTACCATTCCTTCTGAAACAATTCCAAACAACTGAAAAGGAGGGACTCCTCCCTAACTCATTTTATGAGGCCATCATCACCTTGATATCAAAACCAGGAAGACACAACAAAAAAAGAAAACTTCTCATCTGACAAAGGGCTAATATCCAGAATCTACAATTAACTCAAACAAATTTACAAGAAAAAAACAAACAACCCCATCAAAAAGTGGGCAAAGGACATGAACAGACACTTCTCAAAAGAAGACATTTATGCAGCCAAAACACACATGAAAAAATGTTCACCATCACTGGCTATCAGAGAAATGCAAATCAAAACCACAATGAGATACCATCTCACACCAGTTAGAATGGCAATCATTAAAAAGTCAGGAAACAACAGGTGTTGGAGAGGATGTGGAGAAATAGGAACACTTTTACACTGTTGGTGGGACTGTAAACTAGTTCAACCATTGTGGAAGTCAGTGTGGCAATTCCTCAGGGATCTAGAACTAGAAATACCATTTGACCCAGCCATCCCATTACTGGGTATATACCCAAAGGACTATAAATCATGCTGCTCTAAAGACACATGCACACGTATGTTTATTGCAGCACTATTCACAATAGCAAAGACTTGGAACCAACCCAAATGTCCAACAATGATAGACTGGATTAAGAAAATGTGGCACATATACACCATGGAATACTATGCAGCCATAAAAATGATGAGTTCATGTCCTTTGTAGGGACATGGATGAAATTGGAAATCATCATTCTCAGTAAACTATCGCAAGAACAAAAAACCAAACACCACATATTCTCACTCATAGGTGGGAATTGAACAATGAGAACACATGGACACAGGAAGGGGAACATCACACTCTGGGGACTGTTGTGGGGTGGGGGGAGGTGGAGAGGGATAGCTTTAGGAGATATACCTAATGCTACATGACGAGTTAATGGGTGCAGCACACCAGCATGGCACATGTATACGTATGTAACTAACCTGCACATTGTGCACATGTACCCTAAAACTTAAAGTATAATAATACAATACAATACAATAAAATAAAAAGAAAACTTCAGGCCAATATTCCTGATGAACAGCGATGCAAAAATTCTCAGTAAAATACTGACAAACCAAATCCAGCAGCACATCTAAAAGTCTATTCACCACAATCAAGTCAGCTTCATCCCTGGGTTGCAAGCCTGGTTCACCATACACAAATCAATAAACGTAATCTATCACATAAACAGAACCAATAACAAAAGCCACATGATTATCTCAATAGATGCAGAAAAGGCCTTTGATAAAATTCAACATCACCTCACGCTAAAAAAAACCAATAGACTAGGTGTTGATGGAATATATCTCAAAATAATATAGGTATTGATGGAAAATAAACTAGATATTGATGGAATATATCTCAAAATAATAAGAGCTATTTATGACAAACACATAGCCATTATCATATTGAATGGGCAAAAGCTGGAAGCATTCCCTTTGAAAACTGGCACAAGACAAGGATGCCTTCTCTCACCACTCCTATTCAACAAAGTAGTAGAAGTTCTGGCCAGGGAAATCAGGCAAGAGGAAGAAATAACAGGTATTCAAGTAGGAAGAGAGGAAGTTAAATTGTTTCTGTTTGCAGATGACATGATGCAATATTTAGAAAACTTCATCATCTCAGCCAAAAAAACTCCTTAAGCTGATAAGAAACTTACACAGAATACAAAATCAATGTGCAAAAATCACGAGCATTTCTATACATCAACAATAGACAAGGAGAGAGCCAAATCATGAATGAACTTCCATTCACAATTGCTACAAAGAGATGAAAATACCCAGGAATACAGCTAACAAGGGATGTGAAGGACATCTTTAAGGAGAACTACAAACCACTGCTCAAGGAAATGAGAGGACACAGACAAATGGAAAGACATTCTATCCTCATGGATAGGAAGAATATCTTGAAAACGGACATACTGCCCAAAGTAATTTATAGATTCAATGCTACTCCCATCAAACTACCACTGACATTTTCACAGAATTAGAAAAAAAAAAAACTACTTTCAAATTCATATGGAACCAAAAAAGCCCCTCTAGCCAAAAAAATCTTAAGGAAAAAGAACAAAGCTGGAGGCATCATGCTCCCTGACTTTATGCTATACTACAAAAATACAGTATTCAAAACAGCATGGTACTGGTACCAAAACAGATATATAGACCAATGGAACAGAACAGAGAACTCAGAAATAAGATCACAAGTCTACTATCATCTGATCTTTGACAAACCTGATGAAAACAAGCAATGGGGAAAAGCTTCCCTATTTAAAAAATGATGCTGGGAAAACTGGCTAGCCAAATGCAGAAAATTTAAACTGGACCTCTTCCTTAAACCTTATACAAAAATTAATTCAAGATGGATTAAAGACTTAAATGTAAAACCCAAAACCATAAAAATCCTGGAAGAAAATCTAGGCAATACCATTCAGGACACAGGCATGGGCAAAGGCTTCATGACAAAAATGCCAGAAGCAAATGCGACAAAAGCCAAAATTGATAAATGGGATCTAATTAAACTAAAAAACTTCTGCATAGCAAAAGAAACTATGATCAGAAAGAATGGCAACCTACAGAACGGGAGAAAAATTTTTGAAATCTGCCAATCTGACAAGGGTTTAATATTCAGAATTTACAAAGAACTTAAACAAATTTACAAGAAAAATATAAACAAACCCATCAAAAAGTGGGCAAAGGATATGAACAGACATTTCTCAAAAGACAACATTTATGTGGTCAACAAACATATTTAAAAAAAAAAGCTCATCATCACTGATTGTTAGAGAAGTGAAAATCAAAACAACAATGGGATACCATCTCATGCCAGTCAGAATGGTGATTATTAAAATGTCAAGAAACAACAGATGGTGGCAAGGCTGTGGAGAAATAGAAATGCTTTTACACTGTTGGTAGGAATGTAAATTAGTTCAACCATTGTGGAAGACAGTGTGGCGATTCCTCAAGGATCTAGAACCAGAAATACCATTTGACCCAGCAATTCCATTACTGGATATATACCCAAAGGATTATAAATCATTCTATTATAGAGATACATGCACACATATGTTTATTGCAGCACCATTCACAGTAACAAAGACATGGAACTAACCCAAATGCCCATCAGTGACAGATTGAATAAAGAAAATGTGGTACATATACACGATGGAATACTATGCAGCCATAAAAAGGAATGAGATCATGTCTTTTGCAAGGACATAAATGAAGCCGGAAGCCATCATTCTCAGCAAACTAACACAGAAACAGAAAACCAAACAACGCACGTTCTCCCTCATAAGTGGGAGTTGAACAATGAGAACACATGGACACAGGGAGGGAAACAACCCACACTGGGGCCACTCAGGGGGTTGGGGATTAGGGGAGGGAGAGCATTAGAACAAATAGCTAATGCATGCAGGGTTTAAAACCTAGTTAACAGGTTGTTAGGTGCAGCAAACCACCATGGCACATGTATACCTATGTAAGAAACCTACAGGTTCTGCACTTGCATACTGGAACTTAAAGTAAAAAAAAAAAAAAAAAAAAAATTAAACTCAATAGATGTCTGTCTTCTTATGTGTAGATCTCGGATGGACATATCACTGTCTGGATCTCTGTAACACTGCGCAATACACAGAGCATTTTGAAAACCACTAAATCTACTTTCTAATTAAAGTTATAAAGTTAAAAGCAAAAAAAAAGAGAAAGTGTGGTACATGTCTACCATGAAATACTATACATCCATAAAACAAATGATATTATGTCCTTTGCAGCAACATGGATGGAGCTGGAGACCATTATACTAAGCAAATTGCAATTGTGGTGATAGTTGCAAAACTCTGAACACATTAAAAACTACCAAGCTTTACACTTTAAACGGGTGAATTTTATAGCATATGAAACATATCTCAAAAAAGCTATAAAAACGAATATTAGTATTATAATGCAATTAATATCACTAGACAATTCAAATAAAGGTTAATAGTGATGAAAGCTATATTTATTTAACAAACTGACTCAATTTATGGAAAGACGGTTTAATCAAAACATTTAATAATTAAGTAGAAGCTTAAATAGAATGCTAGATGTTAAAAACACAGGAAATAAAAATTAATGTAAAATAATCCTCTCATTACAATATTTGAGGTATAATTGAGCTTTATATATTTATACTTCAAAGGCCAAAATGCTTAATTATAAACTGGACAGCTGTGGGCAAATTTTTATGTTTTCAGTAAATACTTATACAAGAAAAAAAAAATTTATTTTTGCTAATAAATTTCAAGTAGTTTTGATTTAATTATCAAAATACTGATTAGTTGCCAAATAACATAGTCATGGCAGAAGGCAGTGTAGAATAGTAAGATTGTCAAAGACAATTCTATCATTTGTTTCATCCCATACTTTAATAATACTTGTTAGACACTGATCACTTAAATTCAGCACATTCCACCTTTATATTCTATTAAATGCATATAAAACTGAGTGCATGCCCTATTAACTATGTTTGCTGTAATTTTGAAACTTTTAATTTGTTTTTGATCCCATTGATAATGAATAACTCAATTTAAATGGGCTATGATTTCTTTGTAATCATTGTAGGAAGTCAGAAATCTATCTACGAATAATGTTTAAATATAAGGAAATTTTTATTAAGACTAAACATAATATGTATGAAGTCTGTTAAATTTAGTGATCATTTAAACATTCATTTTAATTTGTTCATATTTCAGACACTATTTTTAACATTTCATACACATTAATAAACCTTGGGCTCTAGATACAGTATTTATAGTGACTATTGGATATACCAGCTCAATTATACATGGTACCTTGTACAAATCAATTAACTTCTCTCCATTTCTGTTTTCACACTTCTAAAATAAGACTGAGTAGTATTTATCTGTGATTGTTTTGAGGGACTAAAGCTAAAATTCGTTAAATAGTTTATTCAAAGTCTGACACAGAGAGAATATTTATTAAACTTAAGTTAATAAATACCTTGAATACGTTCAATGTGCCAGACATTGTGCTATGCACTGGGGATAAAAAGGAAAATAAGACATGGTTCCTCCCTTCAAGGAGATCACTGAACAATAAACAAATGATTTTACTATAATGTGGCACGTATATCAATAGAAATATATACAAAATTCAAGGTTGTCTCAGAATGAGTGATTAACTTTTCCATGGGAACAGGTAAAGTCCCATGTAAGTCCCATATAAAGGGGTAAGTGCCTTTTGAAACAGGAGGTGAGATCTGAGAAGTCCACCATCACTGGATCCCGTATGAGAGAATCCTCTGCCTCTCCCTACTGCTTCTCTTAATATTTATACTAATAGGATGTACTGTAGTGGATTGAACATGGATATAGGGGCCCGATGAACCCCAATTCAAAATCGAGCTGTGCCACAGTTTCTCAAATGGCTACGAAGTTTTCCATGGCACAACCGTGATATGGGATGTTGATAGTTGGGGAGGTTTTGTGGGGAGGGGAACAGGGAGTAAATGAGAACTCTCTACTTTCCACCCAGTTTTGCTGGGAACCTAAAACTGCTCTAAAAAAATAAAGATTATTAATAAATAAAACAAGTTATTTGGGTCATAAACCCCTACAAAAAAAACTAATACAAAAACAAGTCAATATGGGGAGATTTTTGTCCTGATTCGACTTCTAATTAGAAAGCAAACCCTTTTCCATTTTGTAATATTCAAGTATCAAATTTTTATCATTAAACATGTATTAAATACTATGTACTAGATAATATTATAAACACTGACTATAGAAACATGACGAATGGAACTTAACCCAGATAAACTTACAATTGAGGGGAAAAAGATACTATGCTTGGGCAGTTTCTACATCATCATGGAAAATGACGTGTACATCATATGATTACTGTGAAGGTTGAGACACAATAAGCACAAAATACCAAGCACACTCTGTTGTAGGGTAGAGTTTCAATAAATGTTGACTCCTTTCTCCAATCATTGCAGAACTGAGGTATTTGAAGGATCTAAGAAGGCATCAATTCAGATTTAATTTATGTTACATTATCAGGAATAAAGATGAGTTATCAATACACTTAAAAGAATCATTTTAATAAAAGAATCTCAGTCTATACTATTCCAAGTTTTAGATTTAATATGAGGTAATACTTTCTATTAGCTTCCTAAGGCTACTATAAAAAAGTACCAAACTGGGCATCAAAATACAATTTTATTCTTAGAGTTCTGGAGGACAAAAGTCTGAGAACAAAGTGTCGCTTGGGTCATGCTCTTTCTGAGTTTCCAGAGGAGAATCCGTTTCATGCCTCTTTCCTAGCTTCCAATGATTGCTACTATCTTTGGCTTGTAGCATCATCAATCCAATTCTGCTTGTCTTTCTGTGCCCTCTTCCCTGTGTCTGTGTCCAAATTTTCTTCTTATAAGGACATCAATCATTGGAATAGCATCCATTATAATCCAGTAAGACCTCATCTTAACTTGATTACACTTGCCAATATCCTATTTCTAAATAAGGTCACATTAATAGTATCTAGGGGGTTAGAATTTGAACGTGTTTATTGTGGAACAAAATTCTACACATTTTACTGTGTTAGAATATATTATAAATTTTTATTTGGTGAGTCTTCTGGTTCTGATTTATAAACCTTACCAACAGAGAGGACAGACCAAAAGAGAGGACAGAAATATATAATCTAATATTAATGTTTCATGGATTTAATTGTATTTCATGTGTTATGGGTATAATAGTATAATACAAGTCTCGTTTCATAATTCCTTACATTTAACTTAGAAAGATTTCTGTCTATAACACTAATACTAAATGAAAGTGTATGACTTCACTATTATCAATTTAAAAATTATTCACTCTCAACATATGCAAATCAATACACGTAATCCAGCATATAAACAGAACCAAAGACAAAAACCACATGATTATCTCAACAGATGCAGAAAAGACCTTTGACAAAATTCAACAGCCCTTTATGATAAAAACTCTCAATAAATTAGGTATTGATGGGATGTATCTCAAAGTAATAAGAGCTATTTATGACGAACCCACAGCCAATATCATACTGAATGGGCAAAAACTGGAAGCATTCCCTTTGAAACTGGCACAAGACAGGGATGCCCTCTTTCACCACTCCTATTCAACATAATGTTGGAAGTTCTGGTCAGGGCAATCAGGGAGGACAAAGAAATAAATGGTATTCAATTAGGAAAAGAAGAAGTCAAATTGTCCCTGTTTGCAGATGACATGATTGTATATTCAGAAAACCCCATCACCTCAGCCCAAAATCTCCTTAAGCTTATAAGCAACCTCAGCAAAGTCTCAGGATACAAAATCAATGTGCAAAAATCACAAGCATTCTTATACACCAATAACAGACAAACAGAGAGCCAAATCATGAGTGAACTCCCATTCACAATTGCTTCAAAGAGAATAAAATACCTAGGAATCCAACTTACAATGGATGCGAAGGATCTCTTCAAGGAGAACTACAAACCACTATTCAACGAAATAAAAGAGGACACAAATGGAATAACATTCCATGCTCATGGATCAGCAGAATCAATATCGTGAAAATGACCACACTGCCCAAGGTAATTTATAGATTCAATGCCATCCCCATCAAGCTACCAATGACTTTCTTCACAGAATTGGAAAAAATTACTTTAAAGTTCATATGGAACCAAAAAAGAGCCCACATTGCCAAGTCAATCCTAGGCCAAAAGAACAAAGCTGGAGGCATCACGCTACCTGACTTCAAACTATACTACAAGCCTACGGTAACCAAAACAGCATGGTACTGGTACCAAAACAGAGATATAGACCAATAGAACAGAATAGAGCCCTCAGAAATAATATCACACATCTACAACCATCTGATCTTTGACAAACCTGACAAATACAAGAAATGGGGAAAATTCCCTATTTAATAAATGCTGCTGGGAAAACTGGCTAGCCATATGTAGAAAGCTGAAACTGGATCCCTTCCTTACACCTTATATAAAAATGAATTCAAGATGGATTAAGTACTTAAATGTTAGACATAAAACCATAAAAATCCTGGAAGAAAACCTAGGCAATACCATTCAGGACATAGGCATGGGCAAGGACTTCATGTCTAAAACAACAAAAGCAATGGCAACAAAAGCCAAAATTGACAAATGGGATCTAATTAAACTAAAGAGCTTCTGCACAGCAAAAGAAACTACCATCAGAGTGAACAGGCAACCTATAGAATGGGAGAAAATTTTTGAAATCTACTCATCTGACAAAGGGCTAATATCCAGAATCTACAATGAACTCAAACAAATTTACAAGAAAAAAAAACAACCCCATCAAAAAGTGGGTGAAGGATATGAACAGACACTTCTCAAAAGAAGACATTTATGCAACCAACAGGCACATGAAAAAATGCTCATCATCACTGGCCATCAGAGAAATGCAAATCAAAACCACAATGAGATACCATCTCACACCATAATGGTGATCATTAAAAAGTCAGGAAACAACAGGTGCTGGAGAGGATGTGGAGAAATAGGAACACTTTTACACTGTTGGTAGGACTGTAAACTAGTTCAACCATTGTGGAAGATAGTGTGGGGATTCCTCAGGGATCTAGAACTAGAAATACCACTTGACCCAGCCATCCCATTACTAGGTATATACCCAAAGGATTTTAAATCATGCTGCTATAAAGACACATGCACACGTATGTTTATTGTGGCACTATTCACAATAGCAAAGACTTGGAACCAACCCAAATGTCCATCTATGATAGAGTGGATTAAGAAAATGTGGCACATATACACCACGGAATACTATGCAGCCATAAAAAATGATGAGTTCACGTCCTTTGTAGGGACATGGATGAAGCTGGAAACCATCATTCTCAGCAAACTATCGCAAGGACAAAAAACCAAACACCGCATGTTCTTACTCATAGTTGGGAATTGAACAATGAGAACACTTGGACACAGAAAGGGGAACATCACACACTGGTGCCTGTTGTGGGGTTGGGGGAGGGGGGAGGGATGGCATTAGGAGACATACCTAATGGGTGCAGCACACTAACATGGCACATGTATACATATGTAGCAAACCTGCACATTGTGCATATGTACCCTAGAACTTAAAGTATAATAAAAATATTAAAAAGTCAAAAAAATAATTAAAAAAATAAAAATTGTTCACTCAACTATGCATTCCAACTTAGAAGTTTTATCGGTAAAAGAATCTGTGACAGATTAAAACTAACCACACATATTTTGACACTCATTCCATTGGGAGGTGAATTTAAATTCTCTTTTCCTTGAAAGTTGCAGGGCCTTAGTGAATTGCTTCTAACCAATAGAATGTGGTGAATATGACAATACGGTGATATATGAGATTAGGACAGAAAAATACTTGTAGCTTCTTCCTTTTGTATTAGTCCATTTTCAAACTGCCAATAAAGACAAACCTGAGACTGGGAAATTTACTAAAGAAAGAAGTTTAATTGGACTTACAGTTCCATGTGGCTGGGGAAGCCTCACAATCATTGTGCAAGGCAAGGAGAAAGTCACGTCTAACATGATTGGTAGCAGGCAAAGAGAGCCTGTGCAGGAAGACTCCCACTTTTCAAAACCATCAGACCTTGTGAGACTTATTTGGTTTCACTAGCGCAGCATGAGAAAGACCTGTCCCATGAATCAATTACCTCCCATGAGGTCCCTCCCACAACACGTGGAAATTCGAGATGAGATTTGGGTGGGGACACAGCCAAACTACATTATTCTGCAACTGGCCACTTCTGAATCTCATGTCCTCACATTTCAAAACCAATTATGCTTTCCTCGCAGTCCCCCAAAGTCTTAACTCATTTCAGCATTAATTCAAAAGTCCACAGTCCAAAGTCTCATCTGAGACAAGGCAAGTCCCTTCCACCTATTAGCCTATAAAATCAAAAGCAAATTAGTTACTTCCTAGATACAATGGGGGTACAGAATTGGGTAAATACAGCCATTCCAAATGGGAGAAAATTGGCCAAAACTTAGGGTTTACAGGCCCCATGCACGTCTGAAATTCAGCAGGGCAGTCAAGTCTTAAAACTCCAAAATGATCTTATTTGACTCCATGTCTCACATCCAGGTTACGCTGATGCAAGAGGTGGGCTCCCACAGCCTTGGGCAGCTCTGCCCCTGTGACTTTTCAGGGTATAGCCCCACTCCCACCTGCTTTCATGAGCTGGCAGTGAGTGTCTGCAGCTTTTCTAGGGTCACAGTGCAAGCTGTTGGTGGATCTATCATTCTGGGGTCTGGAGGATAGTTGCCCTCTTCTCACAGCTCCACTAGGTGGTGTCCCAGTAGGGACTCTGTGTGGGGGTTTCAGCCCCATATTTCCCTTTCACACTCCCCTAGCACAGGTTCTCCATGAGGGCCCCACCACTACAGCAAATTTCTGCCTAGGCATCCAGGCATTTCCATACATCTTCTGAAATCTAGACGAAGGTTCTCAAACCTCAATTCTTGACTTCTGTGCACTTGCAGGCTCAATACCACATGGAAGCTGCCAAGGCTTGGAGATTGCACCAAATGAAGCCATGGCCCAAGCTCTACATTGGTCCTTTTTCAGCCATGGCTGGAGCAGCTGGGACCCAGGGCACCAAATCCCTAGGCTTCAAACAGCATGGGAACCCTGGACCCAACCCACTAAACCACTTTTTCCTCCTAGGCTTCTGGGCCTGTGATGGGAAAGGCTGCCATGAAGACCTCTGACATGCCCTGGAGACACTTTCCCCATGGTTTTGGGGATTAACATTTGGCTCATTACTTATGCAAATTTCTGCAGCCAGCTTGGATTTCTCCTCAGAAAATGGGTTTTTCTTTTCTACTGTATTGTCAGAATAAAAATCTTCTGAACTTTTATGCTGTTTCCCTTTTAAAACTGAATGCTTTTAATAGCATCCAAGTCACCTCTTGAACACTTTGCTGCTTAGAAATGTCTTCTGCCAGATACCCTAAATCAACTCTCTCAAGTTTAAAGTTCCACAAATCTCTAGGGCAGAAGCAAAATGCCACCAGTGTCTTTGCTAAAACATAACAAGACACACCTTTGCTCCAGTTCCTAACAAGTTCCTCATCTCCATCTGAGACCACCCGAGCCTGGACCTTATTGTTCATATCATTATCAGCATTTTTGTCAAAGCCATTCAACAAGTCTCTAAGAAGTTCCAAATTTTCCCACATTTTTGTGTCTTCTTCTGAGCCCTAAAATCTGTTTCAACCTCTGCCTGTTATCCAGTTGCAAAGTTGCTTCCACATTTTTGGGTATCTTTTCAGCAACACCCCATTCCACTGGTACCAATTTACTGTTTTAGTCCATTTTTATGCTGCTGATAAAGACATACTGAAGACTAGGCAACTTATAAAAGAAAGAGGTTTAATTGGACTTACGGTTCCATGCGGCTGGAGAAACCTCACAATCACAGCAGAAGGCAAGGAGCAACCAGTCATGTCTTACATAGATGGCAGCAGGCAAAGAGAGCTTGTGCAGGGAGACTCCCATGTCTCAAAACCATGTGACACTTATTCGGTATCATGAGAACAGCAAGAGAAAGACATGCCCCCATGATTCAATTACTTCACACCAGTTCCTGTCACAACATGTGGGAATTCCAGATGAGATTTGGGTGGGGACACAGCCATACCATATCACCTTGGTTTCTTAGAATGCTCACTCTAGCAGAAAACAGCCTCACATAAGAAGTTAAACCAACTTACAGGGCAGAACACATGCAGAAACCCTAAAAACACATGCAGAAAGAGAGGGACCCAGCTGAGTACATCTTTACAATTGGGCCTGCCAACACCAAGCATGTGAGTGAACCTAACTTGAACCCTCCAGGCTGGGCCCATTGTATGTGAAATACCACCAGTTGCTCTAGTCTTTGTCATAAGGATCAGAATTGCTAAGAACTCCACATAAATGCATGACCCATAGAGTTATAAGACAATAGAACGTTTGTTATTTTAAGCCACTACATTTAGGGATAGCTGTTACACAGCAATTCATAATGGGGACAGCAGCATCCTTTACAAATTCTGTGAATCTAGCTTTATATGCCATCATGTAGTCAAGGAAAAACTGGGAGTCTTTGTGAAAGTAACTATACCCAGTGGAATTCTATAATAATCCAGGATCTGAGATCTCAGGGAGTTGGAAAAGCAGGTGGTTATGGATTTCTCAGTGAGATTCTTAAAGGATTATAAAACAGCTGAACCAAGATTGATATCTTAGTTGGGCTGACTGCAATATACCCAGTGTTGAGACTCCCAGAGTGAGGAAGAGACAAGTTGAGCAGTCTGCCTGGTAATCTCCACGTGAAATGGGAGCACAGTGACTTCCACCCTTGAGTAAATCTCACCTGGCTACATATTCATGCATCACTGCCCTCAACAATAAACTGGAGGTTAGGAGCATGTAATCAAATCTGTGCTCACTGCCAAAGCAACTGAAATTTTACACATGCTGAAGAAATATATTCCAACTACCTAGGCAAGTTTTGTCTAGAATCTCATTTAAAATTAAACAGAATTACCAAATACTGAAGGCAGTTAAAAATTAAAAAGATACTAAACTGCAATTCAGATAAAAATAGAACACAAAATAACTTCAAATAAAAAAATAGTTGGTATCATGAGCAAATTTTTGAAGGAATATTATATCAACAAATGAGGGATGTTATTTTTCAAATTACATATCTAAAAACATTACTAAAATTTAAAGCTCAGTAAGTTAGATGAATAACAATGAATTTTGTAGAAAATGTAACTGCTGCACTAGAAAAATAAGCTAAGATTATTCTAGAATATTCTAACAAAAACGAGATAAAGATTAAAAGTAAAAATATATCAAATATGTCTATTTAAAAGGGACATATATCAAATAGCAGTTCCAAAAGGTGCAGATATAGAGCATCAAATAACTATGATAATGAGAAGAAAAGGAAGAAGAATTAGGTTTATTGAATTTTGCCAATTAAATGAAGCACAAACAACTGGAAACCAAACCATCTACATTCACACACTTGACTGTTTCATTAACATTACTTCAATTCAAAAAACCATTGCTCAGAAGGATACAGCTTGCAAACATCCTTAATTATTTCAGAAACTTCCTGAAAACACACTTAAGACACCATTGGAAGACTCACCTCATAGTAAATAACATCAAATGACTGTCTTTTTTCTGCAAGACTTACTTTGAAACCCCAGTCTCAAAACCAAAGTCTTGCTTTGTCTACGAATACCAAATTGCTATATGATGAACTGCACCCATTTCAAATCAAGCCCCCACATTGAAATACTTGCCTTAAACTATAGCCACAAGATCTCATGTACACCCTGTCTCTGCCTCTTTGCCTAAGATGCTATCAATGTACTAAACTTTCTAACACAATAAGCCAGAAGTTTTATTAGCAAGTTACATGCTAGTATTTCTGAGAAGCAAGCATACTATGCATTGAGATATCTAACAGTTGTCTTTCTATCTGCTGTTCTACATTGAAAAAGAATTTTGAAAAACGTTATAATCCTGCCACATTTTTAATTTGGTATGTAAGATTTTCCTCATAAATGTAAGTAGTTGCAAATGATGCAATTGACCGTATAGCACACATGGCAGTATAAGTGTAAAATCATGCTCCAAATGTATTCAATATAGAAATGAATCCAATAAATACAAATAATTTAAAACCATCAACATATTTTAAATAATAAATTTTATAGTATTTGGAAATTTAAGTTTTCTTTCCATTTCTGGCTTTAAAAAGCACTACCAAGAACCAGGTAAGATGGCCAGCTAGATGCAGCCAGGAGATGCCTCTTCCACCAAGTGGAACCAAAATATAGAGTAAACAATCACACTTTGAACAGGTCTTTTGAGAGAAAACATTGAAAGTTGATAGAAAGGAGACACAGACACCATAGATGAAGAGGGCGGAAGCTGGGTAGCCTACTCTGAGTCCCTGGGCACCAGGACTGTCCCCAGTCCTGAGCTGGACCTAAAGAAGGGGTTAAGGAATTCCAGGGTACTACATTCTCACCATAGACCTCTGGGATCCTAGCTACAGGAGCTCCCATGACCCCCATAGATCTTTGAAATGGCAGAAGCCGCCTCCCAGAGATCAGGGAGAAGCACAGCTCAAACCCATGAGGACCTTGGAAAGTTCTGCCATGCAATATAGCTGCAGCAAAATGCGACCACAGGAGCCTGTCCCCCAAGGTGATCTATCTTGCACTGAAGGACTGCAGTTTGCCAGGCCAGGAGAGGGCAGGGCTGCCATTGTCACCAGGCCATTCTTGCAGAACTGGGGCACACTTGAGCCATGCAGCCCCTTGCCTGCTGGCACCTCCCAAGATTGCCTGCCTGGTTGCTCCTGCAGAAGGGTACCCACAGCACGGCCTCCACTGCTGACCGTCTGAGTGTTTTGCTGGCAGCCTGGGAGCAGTTAAGCATCCCCCAGCACAGCTGGTGGTGGACTTCCAGGGGCCAGAGGACAAATATTTTGGCCAAGATGCAACTCCCTGAGATTTGAACACATCACCCAGGGTTATGGAGCTATCTGTAGTCTGAGCTCAAGTAAGGGAGGAGTAATCTCAGAACCCAGAGAGGAGTGTGGCATGGGTCTGTGTGCCAGCATGGAAGTTGGGCACCCCCCGTAGATTCAATGCGATATCTATTAAACTATCAACATCATTTCTCATAGAATTAAAAATAATTCTAAAATTCTTATGGAACCCAAAACCAGCCCAAACAGCCAAAGCAATCCTAAGCAAAAAGGACAAGCTGGAAGCATCACATTACTTGACTTCAAACTATATTACAAGGCTTCAATAACCAAACCAACATGGTACAGGTGCAAAAACAGAGACATAGACCCATGGAACAGAATACACAACACAGAAATAAAGCCACACACCTGCAGCCATCTGATCTTCAAAAAAGTCACCAAAAATAAGCATTGGGGAAGGGACTGTCTATTCAATAAATGGTACTGGGATAACTGGCCAGCCACATGCAGAATAATGAAACCGGATTCCTACCTATTACCATATACAAAAATTAACTCAAGATGGATTAAAGGTGTAAATGTAAGTCCTCAAACTATAAAAATCCTACAAGAAAACCTAGGAAATAACCTTCTGCACATCAGCATTGAAAAAGAATTTATGACTAAGGCCTCAAAAGCAATTCCAACAAAAATAAAATTTGACAAATGGGACCTAGTGAAACTAAAGAGCTTGTGCACAGCAAAAGAATCCATTAACAGAGTACACACAACCCATAGAATAGGAGAAAATATTCACAAACTATGCAGTTGACAAAGGTCTGATATTCAGAAACTTTAAGGAAATTAATCCAACAAGCAAAAAACAAACAACTCCATTAAAAAGTAGGCAAAGGACATGAACAGATACTTCAAGACATACAAGCAGCCAACAAACCTGAAAAATTATTTTAGCTCAACATCACTGATTGTAGAAATACAAATCAAAACTACAATGAGATACCATCTCATATCAGTCAGAAGGGATATTATTAAAAAGTAAAAAAAAATAAAAGTAGATGCTGGAAAGGCTGTGGAGAAAAGGGAATATTTATGCATTGGTGGTAGGCATGTAAATTAGTTCAGCCACTGTCAAAAGCATTTGGGAGATGTCAAAAAGAACTAAAAACAGAGATACTATTCAACCCAGCAATCTCCTTACTAGGTATATACCCACAGAAAAGTAAATTGTCTTTCCTAAAAGACACATGCACTCATATGTTCATTACAGCACTATTCATAATAGCAAAGACATAGAGTCAACCTAGGTGCCCATCAATGGTGGATTGGATAAAATGTGTGTGGTGACTATACACCACGAAATACTGCACAGCCACACACAAAAAAAATTATTATTTTTTATTTACAGCAGGGATGCAACTGGAGACTATCATCCCAAGCAAATTAATGCAGAAACAGAACACCAAATATTGCATTTTCTCATTTATACCTGAGAGCTAAATCCTACATACACACAGACATAAAGACGTGATATGGTGTGACTGTGTCCCCACCCAAATCTCACCTTGAATTGTAATAATCCTCATGTGTCAAGGACAGGCCTGATAGAGATAATTGTATCATGGTGGCAGTTTGCCCTATCCTGTTCTTGTGGTAGTGAGTAAGTCTCATGAGATCTGAGGGTCTTATAAATGGGAGTTACCCTGAACAAGTTCCCTCTTGCCTGCCCCCATGTAAGACAAGACATTGCCTTTGCTTCTCCTTTGCCTTCCGCCATGATTGTAAGGCCTCCCCAGCCATGTGGAACTGTGTCAATTAAATCTCTTTCCTTTATAGATTACGCAGTCTCAGGTGTGTCTTTATTAGCAGCGTGAGAACAGCCTAATACAAGACTGACACAATAAACAGCAGGGACTCCAAAAGGAGAGCGGGACAAAAGAAGGGGAATAGGCTGAAAAACTTCCTGTTGACACCTTGTTCACTATCTGGGTGGTGTGAGGAATAGAAGCCCAAACCTCAGCATCACACAACATATTCATGTAAGAAACCGGCACAAATTCTCCCTGAATCTAAATAAAATTGGAAACAAAGGTAAAATTAAAAAGTTTACTTCTATCTTTATTCCACTTCCCCAATGAAATTTTACCCAAATATAATATTTTTCTTCTGCCATAAGGTGTTACTATTATTTTACAACTGATCAGAATATAACAAATTTTTAAAATTGTAAACATTAAAATACCACAAAATTGCATTGGAAATTAGCCTCCTAAGGTAGTATGAGGGACGTTTTACTAGTTTTTATCTTTGGATAAAGGCGGCTTAGCCTAGAATTATATGGCTGCCAGCATCAGTCCTATTCTTGTTTTAATATATGTAAAGAATGATAAATCATGTTTATATAAACAAGTAGGTGAAAATGAGATGCATTTTGTTACACAGATGCCTTTCAATCTTTTAGCACATTTTGATATATGTGCCAAAAACCACACAGTGATCTGTAATCAAAAATTACTCTTTAAGGACCCATCCTCTTCCATTAAATCCACTTTCAATTTTGTTAAAAGCAAAGAATTGGAAATAACCCTATCAGCCAAAGAATTGTGACCCAGTGTTCAGGGTCATTCACTTCTCCATTCCTTGGAAGTAAACCTAAAAAGGCTTTACCAAGACTTAGCAAGTAATTATTACTTCTACCTATTAATTTTCACTTAGTGGTACTTTAACCCAAATACCTGAAACAGTTGAAAAAATCAAAACATTATTAATTACAAACTTGCAAGTATTTATAAAATGATATTTGTAATATGATAAATACATTTTAATTAAAGACTTTCCCCTACAGATTTAGCTCATGTTTAATATTTACTATATAAGCTAGTTGGCAAAACCAGTCCATGTTGTCAAATAAATCAGTAAAATCTTAATTTATGTTTAAAAAAGTCTAACTTCATTTTTCAATTCTAACTTAAATTTTTTTTAAAATGCTGAGATAACCAGCATTTAGCTAGATAAGATTACTAAAAGTCATTTCATGAAAAGCAAAATGTTACAGTCTAATTCATTTATTCATTTTTATAATTAAAAATAAGTTATAAATATGCTGTTTATTATTTTATAATATCTCAATATAATACTAATATTAAAAGTTATTTATGAGGTAAGGAATTTCTTTGGACTACATGTATATTTGTTTGCAAATTCATATAGTCCCCAAAACCCTGAAGTTCAGCTTTTGGAAATGATAAAATAAGAAACACAAAGGTTAACAAAAACTATCAATACAAATAATCAATCATACATTATTATGTACTTTCCTATATTTATTCAGAGTATAACTTGCTAGAAAATTTAGTACAGCTATAATATTTTTGTTAAAGAAAGCATAAAGCATTAAACATTTTATAGAAGACAATAAAATAAACTTTGTTATTGGAACAAAGATTCTATGATACAATTTAATAAAAATCAGTTTGTATTTCTCAAAATAATCCATATTAAATCTGGAAGACATAGCATACAAGTTTTATCTTTGTGATTTGTCCAAGGTCCTGTAGCTTGACAATGTTTTATAGCCCCAGAAAACATTTTAGTTAAAAAGAATAAGCATCAATAATCTATTCCACTTTGGCATTTTGTAGCTGCTTTTATTTCCAGGCAATCACACATCCCAGAGGTGAGGGATTACAATAGCTGAGAATAATTGCTTACATTTACCTACTTGAAAATGCTGCTTTTAACAGTCTGTAATTTTGGGTCTTAGGGAATTCTTCCTTCCAGGAAAAAGAAATGTTTTCTAATGGTGGGGGTGGATATGAATGTATGAGGAGGCAAAATTATTGAAAAAATAATTGTCATGACATCCAAGGCCCTACACTGCCATATATCTGAATTCCAAATATCTCAAAAGATCAAAATATCCAAATTATAAAATTATGCTTCACTTTTAAAAGGTAGTATGCACAAGGAAGGGAAAGTGGGTGATATAGTTTGGCTGTCTTCCCACCCAAATCTCATCTTGAATTCCCATGTGTTGTGGGAGGGACCTGGTGGGAGGTAACTGAATCATGGGGGCAGGTCTTTCTCCTGCTGTTCTTGTGATAGTGAATAAGTCTTATGAGCTCTGATGGTCTTATCAGAGTGAGTTTCCCTTCACAAACTCTTTTTTGCCTGCTGCCATCCATGTAAGACATGACTTGCTCCTCCTTGCCTTCCACCATGATTGTGAGACTTTCCCAGCCACATCGAACTGTAAGTCCATTAAACCCTTCTTCCTGTATAAATTACCCAGTCTCGGGTATGTCTTTATCAGCAGCATGAAAACAGACTAATACAGTGGGGAAGCACTCAATCTCTATGATTCCTTGTTTAATTACACGACCCTTTCTCTTTGTGTCCAAAGGTTTTTACACACAGGAGAAATGTGCCATAGCTAGATCGGAGATCAACAAAAGCATATGTCTTGGTTTAGTAAAGTAAGAGGCTAGATTGAGTTCAGGAATATCTCAGGCAAAGTAACTTTAGGAAAGAAAACAAAGTTGAACATCTAGAAATTGGCCTGTGTATCACTGGAAATTCTCAATTTATTGACCACTGAGTTAAACCATGAATTTGGGGAATGGGAAAAAAGAAAAGATGGGAGAGAAGAGAAACAGAAACAGCAATTGGTTTAACTTGGCATTAAGCCAGAGTCTAATAGAAAGCTGGACAGGGAGAAATTTATGATAAAATCATGACCAAAGAACTGTTGAAGTCATTGGGATAGGCCTCAGAGAGGGCTCCCAAAGATCCCTGCCTCCTGGTATCCCTGCCACTGTGTGTAATGTTATCTGGGCTGTGACTTGCTTCTAACAAATAATACTGTAGAGGTGAGTAGATGTCACTTCCTAAATTAGATTACAAAAAGACTGTTCTCTCTGTCACCTCACTCTGGGTGAAAAAAGCTGGCATGTTGTGAGTAGCCCCATGGAGAGGCCCTCAAGGCAGAGAAGTCAGGTCTTTCACCAAAAACCAGCAAGAACCTGAGACCTGCCAACAGCCATGTGAGTGGGCTTAGAGCCCCGCTTACTGACATGACTGAAGCCTCATCCCTTACCTTGATTGCAGCCTTGTACGAGGCTGTCAGAAGCACACAGCTAAATTGTGTGCCTGGATTTATGACCCCAAAAACTGTGAAGTAATAAATGTTCATTATTTTAAGATGCTAGGTTTAGAGATTGTTTATTATGCAGCAATGGATCATACAGACATGATTATCTAATGTTGTAAATTGTTTAGGTGCTCACTATGTGCCTATTACTCATTAAAATACAGGTTCAGAGCTCCTTAAGAATCAGAATGGGAAATCTCAAGATTACAGTATATATATATATATATATATATATATACACACACACACACACATACATATATATATGTATACACACAAAATAAAATGAACTCAGAGCCGTACTCTCTGATCAGACTTTCCAGTTTTCAGTACATCATGTTTACTCATCTTCGTTTCATTCCTATTTTAGCTACATCTCCACTTTCATTCTCCACACCGCAGACACAAGTACCTGCATGGACACATACTGATAGATGTGTACACACACATTTGCACACACAGGAGAAACTTCTTGTATCACTAACCAGATTCACTATTGTTGGGGAATAGAGGTTAAAACACTTGAGATGATTCACACTATAATTCAAACTTAGCAAAAAAGAATGACTATTTTATTTTTTGTAACTACCTTGACTCATGGAAGCTAATATAAAAATTAGTTCCTGTCACAATTCCACAAGTTTTTGTATCTGTGAAGTAAAATTACACATTTGTAGTCTTAAGAATTTATCCAGAGCTCAATAACCACAGAGTAATAGTGAAGCTGATAAGAACTTCCTTACGGCATATTTAACTTGTGATTTCTCCTTCTCAATGGAATAGCATTTCCTATCCACAGCAGGAGTTCTCTTTTTGTAAGGTTTCAGCAAAATGTCAGCACCTCCCATGGAGATAGATGTCAGCATTATATCCTGAGCATAGATACTGAAAATTATTGAATTATTTACTTTAAGGTTTCAAAATATCGTAAGGTTACTTTCCTACCACATATATCATTCACTTAAAGAATAGTTTTATTTATTCATATATTTAAACCCTTTTATAATACTGTCCTTGAGTTGCTTGGTCTAAAATTTTGCTTTGTACCTTGCTCCTTTTACGTTTAAATATCTCACATTTGAGTGTCTTGTATGGAGTCCACCACGGATTCTATACTGTATTTGATACAATAAAATTGTTTTAAATCCTAAGATATACTTTATTTCCATTTTAATATGCTGCTTTTATCCTGGAAGAATTTCTTCTCTTGTGAAAGTGTACACTATGCACAAAATAAACCACATTACTCACTCTTAGTCTATTTATCCATTTAGAATAAGCTTATATAGAAGAATTTTTCCAACAAATAGAGAAGAGCCACAGATTTTGCTCTGAACTAAGAAATCTATTATACATTGGAGTAAATTTGACTCTATTTAAATAGTCTTGATGCTTTGTAAAATGAAACTTGGCTGATGGTTAGTTTTCCAGGGTGATCATTAAAGGACAAAGCAGAACGTTAGAGCTGCAGCATTATTGGCAAGCTTTGCCTGTTTGCTTCTCTCTGTAAGTGAGCAGCCAATGGAACTTCTGTGCTGATGACAGTGTTCCAAGCAGCCCACCTCTCAATGCCATGTCTATTTGGCCACTCAATCCTGTTCATCATAAATCCATCTTCATCTTTCACGTCCACTGCAGCTTCTTTACTTCAGACTCCCATCATTTGTCTTATTTCCTTTATATTTAAATATGTTTCAAAATTTTGAAATACTTTCAGATCTGTAATAAAGTAGCCAAAACTCTCATGTCCCATTCAACCAGAATACCCAATGGTTAACATTTTACATTTGTCACATCACCATTCCCCCTCCAACCCTCTCTCCCCTGATATATATACACAGGCAGAATACACATACACATTATTCCTTTACAGAACCTTTTGAGAGGAATCTGCAAATGTGATGTCTCATTATGCCTGTATATTCCAAGCATTCTAATGTATATTTCCCCCAAACTAGAACATACTACTCCATAACTACCTTATAAGCCTCTAAACCAGGTATTGAACATTGGTATAGCACTGCTATCAGCTTCTCAGACCCAATTCCAAATTTGCCTACTGTCCCACGGTGATACAGGAAAAATGTGTGTAATAACTTTGCTACTCTCCCCTTAAATTTGGGCCAATATGATTGCTTATCTATACAAGGCATGGAGCCCTGAGATTTCACTTAAGAAGGCTGATTCCTTAAGAACACCATGCTAATGGGTGCAGCACACCAGCATGGCACATGTATACATATGCAACTAACCTGCACATTGTGCACATGTACCCTAAAACTTAAAGTATAATAATAATAAAATTAAAAAAAAAGAACACCATGCTGAAGAACTCACATGTAAGCACTCTTTTTGATACACCCTACTGAGCCCAGCCTTCCAACCATCTTTGCCAACTCTTTAGCAATGTGATTGAAACCATATTGGGGCCTCCAGATCCTCCTGCCTGCCAATGGTAAACACCAAGTTGAATAGAATTGTTCAATTAATGCTTGCTCAAATTCTTAACCTAAAATATTATGAAACGTAATTCAATAGCTATTAATTTGCATCACTATGGAATACTCTTTTACCCAAGAATAGATAAAACACCTCACAATGTCTCATTTTTTATTTCCAAATTTCCTAGAAATAGATATTATATTCAGTTATCATATATTACAGACTCCTTCAATCTGGAACAATTCTTCAGTCTTTTTCTGTCTTTCATGTTCTTGATAGTTACAAAGACAACAGGCCTTAGAGTTTGTAGGATGGCCTTTATCCTAGGGTCCATCTCAAGAGTTCTCATGATCAGACTTAGTTCTTTAGTGGGAAGCTACCCCAAGAGTACAGTAATATCCTGTTCCTCAAATTATGCCCACCAGCCTTAGCACCCGTGGACAACCCCCAACTGAATCAAACTCCTCTGATGACAGTCAGTGGTGATTCTCTATATCTAGCATTATTTAAAACTGTTCTGTGAGGAAGAGCTTTCCCCTTCTGTGCCATTTATTATTTCTGAGTATTTCCTTACGTTTTTAGCACAAGATGTTAAAGGCGTGTCTTGGATTCCCCTTGCCTTCATACTGAAATCAGTCACTTCTTTAGTAAATATTTTGAACTTTGTAGGTCATAAAGTTTCTCTCACAACTACCCGATTCTGCTGTTACTGCAATAAAGCAGCCAAATGCAAGACATAAATGAATTAATATGGCTGTGTTCCATATTATGTTATTTACAAAAACAGACAGTGGGTGACTCCTGGACTAAGGACTAGAAATTCATGACCATAAAGAATATTAGAAAGAACTATTGAGATGCATAATATGTCAAGCCTAAGAATCCAAACAAAGACATATAGGTACAACATGATATAAGAGGAAAATGAAAATACAAGTGAATCCTTAAGGCAAATGTGAAAATTCTTAGCTTTATGAAGACATCAAAAAAAGGAAACTGCTATTAGGCAGGTAACTTGTGGGATATTGTATAAAGATAGAAACTTGATGGAAATGGTTTCTGAGAAACATGTGGCCACTAGTTTATAACCATGTGGAAGTTAGAAATCATTAATATTTGTTTCTAGGTATGTATCCCCATATGATTATTTTATTCTTAAACATATTTTAACTTCTATGAAATCTAAGAAAACTGTTCTCATATACAATCTATATGTTAGAGCAATTGATTTCAAATTTTAGCATATATTAAAAGCCCTTAAAATGCTCATTAAAAATGAGTGATACCATAGTCCATCCCCAAAGATAATGACTCAGTAAGTTGTGGGTGGGGCACCCTAGGTTATTCTCATGAGGATAGTCCAGAAACATAAATGAGCAATTCTCAACTAAAGCAATAATTATATGTATGTCACGTGTTACGCCAAACAGCAAGGAGACTCCAGGAAGCAGAGAGTGGGTTCTACTGACCACCAAGTATAGTCAACAATTAGGTCTGAGACTTGAAAAGAAGTCTGGTTACCTTCTAGGATGCGATGTTTCTTGATAAAGACTTTTCAGGGAAATTCTGTGTTTAGCAGTTAGAGGCAAAGAAGGTGCTCCCATCCAGGGAGTTCTCATCTGGTCAGTTCAGGGTTCTGGTCATTTGGCAACCATTTCTACTTGCCTACTGGGTCTCCCACTGTTTAACTTTCCTGTTGCTGCTATAAAAAATTACCTCAAATTTAGTGGCTTAAAATACAACACAATTTACTATGTTACAGTTCTAGATGGCAGAAGTCTGAAATGGGTCTCACAAGGTGTTGAGAAGGTTGTGTTCCTTCTGGAGGCTTTAAAAGATAATCAACTTATTTAGCACCTAGATATTTGTGGGGTAAGGGGTGCCCAATATTCCACCTGCTATACCCACAGAGAAGCTCTCTTTAACCATAAGAAAATGGTGACTCAGGAAAAGACAAGTGAGACAAGACTCCTGGGAATGTTAAGGCTATTGAAGGCAGCATCTAAAGCAGCACCTATACAATGAAATGTTAGTTGCAGCCTGGTGAAATTCAACAGTGAAAAAACCAGAAGAAAGAAAAACACATCACATATAGCTGCAAGGAAATGTGGGTGGTCACAGAGCAGGAGAGAAAAAGCTATTATCAGAGAAATAGGAGATAAAAGAGTGTTATATTTGTGTCCCCTTAAAGATCCATATGTGGAAGCCCTCACCTCCTATATTTGAAGACAGGGCCTCTAAGGAATTGAGGTTAAATGAGGTTATAAGGGTAGGGTCCTGATCTGATAGGATTAGTGTCTTTATAAGACAACACACCACAGAACTCCCATGGTGAATGTGCACGTGCACATGTGCACGCTCTTTGTACAAAGCCATGCATGCACTGAGGAAGGGCCACATGTGGACATAGTAAGAAGGTGCCCATCTACAAGCCAGGAAGAGAGCCCAAATCAGAAACTCAATCTTCTAGAACCCTGATCTTGACTTTCTAGCCTCTAGAACTATGAGAAAATAAATTTTGTTTTTTAAGCTAGCCCATTTGTGGCATTTTGTTATAGCAGCCAGGACGGACTAATATAGAAGCAGAAGGGACAAAGGTAAGAGGAAAAGAACTAAGAGCCAAAGCAAGGCATTAGATTCGCATGGGTTCTTTAGAGATCTGAAAGTTCCGTTGGCCACTGCATTCCTATGATCATGCTACTCAGCCAAATCTAATACCAGGTCAATGAGTCAATTTATTCTTTTGTATATACACTTTTAGAGATATCACTATGGAAACAGTCTCTGTATTAATAGATGAATACTTTTTCTCTTTTGTAATAAAATTGACTTGGAAAAATTAACAAGTATTTTGTAAATATTTGTAATCATTCTTACAGGTTCCTAATACATAATATGTATATATGAATCAACCATATTAGTCAATATATTTCTAAGTGTTCACTTTACAGGTACCTTAATTAGAATGCATTTCTTCAATGTGATCAAACTTATTTGAATTTTCGAACTAAGAATTGAAGTTTCTCTAAAAAATAAATTTCATGTCTTCACAGTTCACTCACTGTATTCATGAGTGAATCACTTTCTTGGTATGAATAAACTTGTTTTCAAAACCAAGTATTTAATATTCAGAACATCTCTCAGAATATGTCATCAAATCAGAACTGCGGAACCAGGAGACTCAAAATACTGTATTTTCCAAATGTTTTTATTTATTACTGAAGAAATAGGGTTCATAAAAAGGATAAAAAGAGTCTTTAACCCAATAACCCTAATTGTTCTGATTTTACTCTTCCCTATATTTCTGTCTCACCCTAGAAGTATGGTAGCCATAGAAACAACACTGGAACAGCTTGGAAGGGAGTAGGGAATTACCTAGGTAGGGTTTACTGGAAATGGGCTAACTGGAATCTCGTTTGAACTTTAACCAATGCTATCTTGAAGTTGTCCATGAAACTAGTAAGCTGAGTTTGAGCCTGTCAGACTCACATAAAAGATACCACATAAAAGCAAAGTCTGGCCGGGTATGGTGGGTCACACCTGTAATCCCAGCACTTTGGGAGGCCGAGGTGGGTGTATCACCTGAGGTCGGGAGTATGAGACCAGCCTGGCCAACATGGTGAAACTCAGTCTCTACTAAAATACAAAACTTAGCCAGGCATGGTGGCACATGCCTGTAATCCCAGCACTGAGGGAGGAGAATAGCTTGAACCCTGGAGGTGGAGGTTGTAGTGAGCCAACATCACACCACTGAACTCCAGCCTGGGCGACAGAGCGAGACTCCATCTCAAAAAGAAAAAAAAAAAAGTTCTCCTTGAAGAGGTCCTTCACATCCCTTGTAAGTTGGATTCCTAGGAATTTTATTCTCTTTGAAGCAATTGTGAATGGGAGTTCACTCATGATTTGGCTCTCTGTTTGTCTGTTATTGGTGTATGAGAATGCTTGTGAGTTTTCCACATTGATTTTGTATCCTGAGACTTTGCCGAAGTTGCTTATCAGCTTAAGGAGATTTTGGGCTGAGACAATGGGTTTTTCTAAAGAGGACACAAACAAATGGAAGAACATTCCATGCTCATAGATAGGAAGAATCAATATTGTGAAAATGGCCATACTGCCCAAGGTAATTTATAGATTCAATACCATCTCCATCAAGCTACCAATGACTTTCTTCACAGAATTGGAAAAAACTACTTTAAAGTTCATATGGAACCAAAACAGAGCCCACATTGCCAAGTCAATCCTAAGCCAAAAGAACAAAGCTGGAGGCATCACGCTACCTGACTTCAAACTATACTACAAGGCTACAGTAACCAAAACAACATAGTACTTGTACCAAAACAGATATATAGACCAATGGAACAGAACAGAGCCCTCACAAACAATACCACACATCTACAACTATCTGGTCATTGACAAACCTGACAAAAACAAGAAATGGGGAAAGGATTCCCTATTTAACAAATGGTGCTGGGAAAACTGGCTAGCCATATGTAGAAAGCTGAAACTGGATCCCTTCCTTACACCTTATACAAAAATTAATTCAAGATGGATTAAAGACTTAAATGTTAGACCTAAAACAATAAAAACTCTAGAAGAAAACCTGGACAATACCATTCAGGACATAGGCATGGGCAAGGACTTCATGTCTAAAACATCAAAAGCAATGGCAACAAATGTCAAAATTGACAAATGGGATCCAGTTAAACTAAAGAGCTTCTGCACAGCAAAAGAAACTACCATCAGAGTGAACAGGCAACTTACAGAATGGGAGAAAATTTTTGAAATCTACTCATCTGCCAAATGGCTAATATCCAGAATCTACAAAGAACTCCAACAAATTTACAAGAAAAAAACAAACAACCCCATCAAAAAGTGGGCGAAGGATATGAACAGACGCTTCTGAAAAGAAGACATTTATGCAGCTAAAAAACACATGAAAAAATGCTCACCATCACTGGCCATCAGAGAAATGCAAATCAAAACCACAATGAGATACCATCTCACACTAGTTAGAATGGCGATCATTAAAAAGTCAGGAAACAACAGGTGCTGGAGAGGATGTGGAGAAATAGGAACACTTTTACACTGTTGGTGGGACTGTAAACTAGTTCAACCATAGTGGAAGACAGTGTGGCAATTCCTCAGGGATCTAGAACTAGAAATACCATTTGACCTAGCCATCCCATTACTGGGTATATACCCAAAGGAATATAAATTATGCTGCTATAAAGACACATACACACATATGTTTATGGCAGCACTACTCACAATAGCAAAGACTTGGAACCAACCCAAATATCCATCAATGATAGACTGGATATAGAAAATGTGGCACATATACACCATGGAATACTATGCAGCCATAAAAAATGATGAGTTCATGTCCTTTGTGGAGACATGGATGAAGCTGGAAACCATCATTTTCAGCAAACTATCGCAAGGACAAAAAGCCAAACACCATGTTCTCTCACTCATAGGTGGGAATTGAACAGTTAGAATACATGGTCACAGGAAGGGGTACATCACACACCAGGGCCTGTGGTGGGGTAGGGGGAGGGGGGAGGGATAGCATTAGGAGATATACCTAATTTAAATGACGAGTTAATGGGTGCAGCACACAAACATGGCATATGTATACATATGTAACAAACCTGCATGTTGTGCACATGTACCCTGGAACTTAAAGTATAATAAAAAAAAATTTTTTTTTAAAGTTGAAGTCCATGAACATTGGTCATGTGTTGTACATCCATTTAATATAGTGCTTTGCAAGTCTTGCCAAGCAGTTACAGGAGTAGTGAACCAGACAGGCAGTGCCCAAGGACACAGTTGGTCAAAGAAGTAACGTTGCCAGGTCATTTTCTATGCAGATATTCAAGCACATCTCAAACAATGAAATGATCATAAAACCTTTAAGTATTTCTGTTTATATCTTAGAAAATGCAATATTGTGAAGGATCTTACCGGCTAGAGATTTTTTGCTTATGGCTGACTTTAGAAGAGGTGGCTCTAAAATGCTGGGTTATGAGGTAAATTGGGCAGTGCAATTTTGCCACTTTTCTTAGTTCCTTTATGGGGCTTATAGTCCCACAGGATTCTCAACTATTCTATTTCTCAACATGCAGAAAGAATAAGAATCAGGCCAGTAATTCAGACTGATCATGACATTTGTGACAAAAGTGCAGCCTTTACACACACAATGTTGAATGTTTTTAAAAGAAGATTTTCTTTTTTTTTTTTGACACACAAAATGACATCCCTAAATATAGTCATGCTACCATAGCATTCACACATTGGGGCTTTGCCACATTCACAGTGATTGAGCTTTGTACTTTATAGCTTTGCTGTTAGATTTGGTACAAAAAAAAATAAAAATTAAAAGCAAAACAAAAACACTGCTCAAACCAGCCCTATATGCAATTTTCTTCCTCCTTTGACCAATGAATTTGACTAATCAAGTCAAACTAGTTAAACCATTTGCGAGCATAGATGCCTCCCAAGATGCGATCTGCTAGAAAACTGCCCTATTTTCCTCTTACTTGCTTCTCTTTTTTCTCATTATTTTTATGAGGTAAAAAGGTAGTAAGATGATAGTCCACACTTAGGCAACTACTTCAGCAAAATTTCTAGGTAAATTTGTGGTGAAAACACTGTAATGGCAGAAGGGCCCGGCCCCAAATTGATTTTTTTTTAAATAAAGATAAATACAAAATTGAGGAGGGAAAAAACAGAACTCATTAAGGCCTTAGAACTTACGAGTTTAAATTAAATGAACGAAATATGTATTGTGTTTTTTAATGATATAATGGTCTATACATATTTAAGAATATAAACACTAAAAGAAATACACAATTATTTAAAAAATATAATTAGCAGTTTCCCAATAAAAAGTGATGAGCTAATAAGAAAATGAAAGCTTAGGCACAGCTCAAGTCAAACCTTCATTATATTGGGAGAAATTTCAAAGGTTATGTTCGTAAGTTGTTAACTCCTGTAATGTTAGCCTGAGAAAGTCATTAAGAAGGTTGCGGTAAGACATCATGGCGTGTGTCCAGTATCAGCAGCTTGATATCTGTATATCAGGGTGGTCAAACCACATTGATATGAAACCATTCTCC
This sequence comes from Homo sapiens, assembly GCF_000001405.40. NCBI lineage: Eukaryota > Metazoa > Chordata > Mammalia > Primates > Hominidae > Homo > Homo sapiens. Next base: position 83,400,277 of record NC_000012.12, on the reverse strand, counting down.
GGAGATGATAAAGGATATTTGCATACAATATTCTCTTTAAGCCTTCTTCCATTTCACATAAAATTACTACAGCTGACTTTCCATCAAAAAGCCCAAAACTAATTCCGTGTTTCAACAGAGTGCTGAGTCTTTGCTGCTTTATTTTCTTACAGTATTAAACATCATTACCAAACGTAATTTGTAGGACACGCTGACTACGACAGCAGTCACAGCTCTAACTTGTATAGGGCGGTCTACTGTATGCAAAGAATAGGAACATCAAGATGATAAGTCCTGAACGATTGCATAAGAAAACCACAGCAGAGCTGTGGAAGGATATATTTTAGGAGTTTGGGGAGGCTCAGGAAAAAAAAATCCGCAGGGTTTGCTCAGTAAATAATTTCACAGCGTAGAGGATAGTGAAGAGACTCAAAGGAAGAACAGAACTTAGGAGGATTATAACTTAGAACTTTAGGTAAATCAAGGAATAAAATTCAAGAGTGATCTTCATGCAGCAGAAAGGTGGTATACAAAGACTTAGAAGTATGTTGGTGGAAAATGTAAATCCAGCCTGCCTAGAGAATAAAAGGGAATTTGAGAAGTAAAAGACAAAATAGAGGGAGACTTACATTTCACATTCAGGATTTAGAGGTTTGTTTTCCACTCACATTTCCCAGCTTTAGCTCCACTGTGACTAAGTATAAAAACTAAATCCCTTTAGAATGATGCCAGAGGGATAGAGGGAATCTTAGCGACAACTACCACAGGCTTCCAAGGTAAAGGAGTGGACACACTGGAGAAAGTCGCGCCCCTCTGGTGTGCAGATCAGTAACTGAGAAACGTTTTTAAGCATTGAAAGGAAGTGAAGGATTTAAGAATAACAACTTAAATAATACACTAGAGTTCAAAAACATTCATATGTATTATTTCACTTAACCAGAAAGGAGTGGTGTAGACAAAGCAGTGTTGTGGAAAATTCTTCTGGATAAGACTTACAAAATCTGTTAGAAGATGAAAAGATTAGAGGCAGGAGGTGCGTAATAGTAAAACTAGAAACAAGGTAAAACACTGAAGATGACTTCAAAGGAAAAAGGCGGGTACACTGGAAAGGAAGTAAGAATTATAAAGCTACCTCAGAGCTGCAGCACAAGTTGAGCAAAATTTAGAAGGATGATAGACTTGACGCTGACTTCTTGAGGACTGGATTAGTACTTACCTCTTGCTTAGATTTCAGTTGGTCCTAAAGACGAAATTGCAAGGCATTAGGTTCTGAAGCAGACATCTTCAATTTGAAGAGAGGAAGGAGAAGGTACTAGAAACCAAGCAGAGCCTATAAACCAATGGTTCTTATAGCTGCTCCATCAGCATCAGCTGGAAACTGTTAGATCTCCAAATTACTGGGCACTACCCTACACCTACTACATCAGGTACTCTGGGGCTTGGGCCCAGCCATCTGTGCTTTAACAAGCTCTCCAGATTATTCGGATGCAGGCTCAAGTTTGAGAGCCACTGATACAGCCAGAGTTACAGATGTAGTAGAAATCATTAGTTTCAGATGGAGATCTGCAGTGGCTTAATGAAAGGAGGCCTGGTTAACAATTAAAATTTGATCACCCAGGGGTAATTAAATCATTCAGTTTGCACATGCCCAAACAATGCAACCTTATTATAAATGATCCCGTAAAAGGACATATATAGGAAGATGAAATGATTACAAAAATCAAAATTAGGAGTACTCTACAAAGCCAAGTCATTTTGATTTAAATTTCTCTTTATTTGAGATTACTCTTGCTAGATCCTCTTCTTAAAGACACAATCTGCTACATTAAAATGAAAAAAATTATATAAAGAGAGCAAAGAAAGGTATTTTATATATTTTTATTTCATCGTAACATATAGCAATAATTTCCTAGAGATTCAGAATATTTGAGCTGAAGAATATGCTTCTATACTATTGCATTAATGGTATGCCTTTTTATTATTATACTTAGAACTGCTCTACTCCTGTTTATTCAACACAGGTCTAGCCAGCTTTACCTAAACTACCTTGAAAAATGCAATAAAAATAAGTGAAATGTTTCTCATAGTACCTATGAATCATCACTATAAGATGACCAATGTTATGTACTTGACTAAATATATTATTTTGTTTTGAAGTGTAGATTATTCTGGTCTCCTTACAGAACACCAGCCTTTCCAAAAGGAGAAAAACAAGAGAGAGGAAAAAACAAAAAAAAAACTAAAGTCATGAAAACTTTGATCTCTTACTCATTTCACTCAGTTTCAAAGTCAGGCTAGTTATAAAAGTTCTAAACATGCCACACCACATTTTATTTCTGTACTATTACTTTACTTTTATATAGAATTTGGGAATCATATCAAAGGAAATATTTTAAATCATTCCAGACTCTGTGTTAGTATGAGGCAGCTTTTATATATTTGTGAAATTTCCTATCCTATAACTATCCAAGCTTTATTAAAGTTGGTGATCTGAAACAGAAAGGCCAGTTACCTAATACAGTATACCCAAATTCCAGAGGTATGTGTGAGAGGATTTACCCTTCTGTTCTGATCTAATTGTTTGCTTTATGGGGATCATGATGAAATCAATAAGGGGAAACTTGTGCCTCTAACTATTATATATGCATGCTCTTTTGCACAAGCAGGGATGCTCAGAAATCTTTTCATGAGGGTTACCCTTTTCATTGGTAAATAAATACTTTCTGTTGTCAATTCAAAGTTAGTTATGCCATATCTTGAGCTTAGGTCTTTCACCCTCCACAATAAAGATGGGAAGCAGCTAATTATTGCCCTATTTTTAATCCTTTCCCCATGCAGTCAGCAAAACTCAAGAGAAAAAGACTCCAAATGTTCAGGTATCACTAAAACTATACTAGTTCTTTCTTAAACAGACAGCTAAAATAATGTTTTTATATAGTACTTCTACACATTTACTCAATTTAATCATGTTTGTCACACATAGATATAATGAAAAGGAGAAATGTAGTATACAGCCATAGAATCACTGGTTCTTGCTATTATATAAATGACATACAAGGTTAAGAAACAGCCATATTTTTATTTTAAATCATGCCAAAGTTAAAATTGTTATACCAGTAAATTTTTTCATACTCATATTTATTACATTTTATCTTTCCCCCATTCTTATTTTGGAGAGAAAAATACCAGGCCTAAAAAAAGAACTGATGCCAAAATTCAAAACTTGGTATCTCATCTTCCTTCCTCCCCCAACAAAAGAATAGGAGGGCTCAAATTACTGAATGTTTTAAATTGGAAAAATATACATGCATAGAAACACAGGATCCAGGAAATATATCACTTCATACAATTCAAGTAAAAAAGAATGTCAAACAATAGTTATGGCACTTAGTTAAATGTTGAAATAAAAACACAAATGACTGATAGAGAATCTCTGAATCCTGGATGGGAAGACTCAATATTATGTAAAAGTTAATTCTGCCCATGATGCTATAAATCTACCTATTATTATCAAAATCCTAAGGATATTTACTTATAAAACTACAAGATGTGACTGATGCATATCTGTTACTAAATAACATGGGAGAATACTCTAGATATAAGAAAAAAACAACTATCTTATTTAACATTGGAAGAATTAGAGAGGCACTTAATAGAAAAAGGAATGTATAAAAAAACAAACATTTAAAGGTGCTCACACTTTCCAGTGATTAGAGAATAATAAATTAAAACAATAATGGGATGTCATTTATTCATTCAATAGTGAAAAAAAGACAATATGCAATGCTGGTGGAGGTGTGGTGAAATAGGCTCCAATGGAGAAATGTTCTGCGTACCTTTTCCAATTTAAAATGTTTATTGGCTGGGTGCAGTGGCTCAAGCCTGTAATCTCAGTACTTTGGGAGGCTGAGGCAGGCGCATCACTTGAGGCCAGCAGTTGCAGACCAGCCTGGCCAACATGGTGAAACTCCATCTCTACTAAAAATACAAAAATTAACCTGGGGTGGTGGTGCATGCCTGTAATCCTAGCTACTCAGAAGGCTGAGGCAGGAGAATCACTTGAACCTATGAGGTGGAAGTAGCAATGAGCCAATATCATGCTACTACACTATAGCCTGAGTGACAGAGCATGACTCTATCAAAAAAAAAAAATTAGTGTTGAGAGCAATTTTATAATTAGGAACCTATATTCTTCAGAAATATTTGAACTTTGCATTAAAAAATATGAAAGTAGGTTCACTACAGCATGTTTTTACAGTTGAAGAATCTGAACTATAAACCTCTAATTTTGACATGGGAATTTGCCCATAATCTATGAAACCTATTTTGTGTTATTATATTTTTTAAATACTATATGCATATATATAAAAATGTGTAGGTAAAAAGATTTTCAAATGCATAGAGACTGGCTTGAAAGGATGTTAATAATGTCAGCATAATGATAAAGATAACTAATAATATGGAGTAATCACGGTATAATACTGAGTAATCACTAAACGCCAGTTACTCTGCTATGTAGTTTTTCATAGATTATCTCAATTAATCCTCACAGCAATCTTGTGACCATGAAGTATTATTTCAGACATATGGCAACTGAAGATAAACATAAAAGTTTTAACAATATTACATGTGGACTACAAATGGACAAGAGAATCAGTGCCCAAGTTAAGATAGATTTACAGTCTTTACTATAGTATCAGAATTTATAATAAAAAGCATGCATATATTAGCTTGCTAATTAAAAACAAAGAAAGTAGTACAAAATAATTATAGAACAAAACATTGTATTAAATAATATATGCTATAATGTGGTAATTGAAGCTTGAAAGAAGGCAAAGATTAATTCTCACTGAATAACAAAATCATTTATAAAGGAGGAGGCCTTTGAGATAGGCTTTGAAAGATGACCAAGATTTCAGAAGGTAGAAATGGGCGGAAGGTATTTCAACACAAAGAGCCACAAAAGGAATGACAAAAGAGCAAGAAAAGGAGTACAAGATAATTCCAGGAAACAGGAAAGAGCTGTTTAACAGGAGCAAAAGATGTAGAATAATGAGAGCGATAAGACTAGCATTGTAGAAAGGCTTGAATTATTCTGATATATCTGAGAGATGACAAAACATAGTAAGAGATAACAACGGAGAGACAAGAGGCATTAAAGGATTATGATTTATTTAAGAAATTACCAAAAAATCAGTCTAGATATTAAAATCAGTCCAGATTCATTAAAAAAAATCTAAGACTAAATTAAAATACAGATTTGCCAAAGAGGTGATTCCCGACCTTTTGGCCATAGATCCTGGAAACTTGGCAAAGTTTTTGCAAGAGGTCCACGAATCCATATATGACATAGAATAATTGTGTATGCGCTGAATAAATGTCTTCAATTTTCAAATTGGGACTTCTATTAGGCTTGATGCCACATTGGAGAAGGCAATTTGATAGGTTTCTTTTCTTTTCTCCCCTGAGGATCCCACTTCTACTTTTTGACTCCATGGGCTGTGTCTAGGTCCTTCAGGATTGAAGCATGAGAAGGAACAAAGAGGTGCAAGGACATGAAACTCTCACTTGACTGGAACAGATATAATTTGGCATTGATTTCTCCTAGGCTTGCTAATGCTATATATATATATGGCATATATATATATCTTTATATATATATGCCATATATATATATGGCATATATATATATCTTTATATATATATGCCATATATATATATGGCATATATATATCTTTATATATATATCTTTATATATATATAAAGATACTATATAGAGAGCATATACAGACATCTATATATGCTATACAGATATCTATATATGCCATATAGAGATATCTCTCTATATATGCCATATAGAGATATCTCTCTATATATGCCATATAGAGATATCTCTCTATATATGCCATATAGAGATATCTCTCTATATATGCCATATAGAGATATCTCTCTATATATGCCATATAGAGATATCTCTCTATATATGCTTTATATAGAGATATCTCTCTATATATGCTTTATATAGAGATATCTCTCTATATATGCTTTATATAGAGATATCTCTCTATATATGCTTTATATAGAGATATCTCTCTATATATGCTTTATATAGAGATATCTCTCTATATATGCTTTATATAGAGATATCTCTCTATATATGCTTTATATAGAGATATCTCTCTATATATGCTTTATATAGAGATATCTCTCTATATATGCTTTATATAGAGATATCTCTCTATATATGCTTTATATAGAGATATCTCTCTATATATGCTTTATATAGAGATATCTCTCTATATATGCTTTATATAGAGATATCTCTCTATATATGCTTTATATAGAGATATCTCTCTATATATGCTTTATATAGAGATATCTCTCTATATATGCTTTATATAGAGATATCTCTCTATATATGCTTTATATAGAGATATCTCTCTATATATGCTTTATATAGAGATATCTCTCTATATATGCTTTATATAGAGATATCTCTCTATATATGCTTTATATAGAGATATCTCTCTATATATGCTTTATATAGAGATATCTCTCTATATATGCTTTATATAGAGATATCTCTCTATATATGCTTTATATAGAGATACCTATATATGCACTATGTACATATATGCTATATATAGAGATATCTATATATGCACTATATAGAGATATCGCTATATATAGCATATCTAGCGGTTGTCTTAGCCCATGCTCTATCTCCAATGGGTGACAGCTAATAGCTCTTGCTCCCTCAGCCTTTTGTTTTAAAGCTTCTGTTTAAGCATCTCTACACTGACAGTTTATTTTGAGGTCACATCATTTCTCTTCTTGATTACAACTTATATATTTTTTCTTTTTTTCTTTTTTCTTTTTCTTTTTTTGAGACGGAGTCTCACTCTGTCACCCAGGCTAGAGTGCAGTGGCATGATCTCAGCTCACTGCAACCTCTGCCCTCTGAGTTCAAGCAATTCTCCTGCCTCAGCCTCCCGAGTAGCTGGGATTACAGGTGCCTGCCACCATGCCCGGCTAATTTTTTGTATTTTTAATAGAGATGGGGTTTCACCATCTTGGCCAGGCTGGTCTTGAACTCCTGACCTCGTGACCTGCCTCAGCTGATCTTCTTTGGCCTGTAATAACTCTGGACAATCAAGGTATCCCAAAGCAACTGTCTCATTGCTTGACCATGAGAGTAACCACCCAGCCACAATCTCTTCTGTCTGAGATTTCTCAGGTATGAGTTGGGAACAACCTTCCTTGCAAACCATTAATTATCATAGACACAAATGACGTTCTTCAACTGGTCTCCTTGAAGCCTTTTAGACTTAAATGAGGTGGATACATCCTTTTCAAGGTAGGGAAGAATGTCAACAGCATTACAGCAACTCTTTCCAATAAATTTTCCCCTAAAATTTGATCACTTCCATGACAACTCTTTAATATACTTGTCGCAGATAAGAAGCAGAGGATTAAAAAAGAAATTTTAGATCACTCTTCCTTTATGAGTATTGTTGACTTTTCTTTCTTGGAAATGTGAAGATATTTGGCAAAAATTGTCTCAGATCTTCTAGAAATTAACAGTAAATTCTAATTTAATATTCAATAGGAGACCTAACTAAAGCAGAAGTCCAAAATTAATCATAAAAATTTAAATAAACACCAATATGATATATAATATGGCACATACACATTAATATGCTATATGCACCATTCACTACTTCATAGTCTCCATGTCACATGACCAGTTCCTTAATCTTTCCTAATCTTTCCAAATTTAGACTCTGACTCTTCATGCTTTCTACTTGGTGCTCCAGCAACGCCAACACTCTCCAAGTTGTTTCTTGTCTCTACACCTGTGCACCTGCTCTCCTTTTTACAAAGAATAAGTTAGTGAGTTTTGACAAATATGTACCCTGTGTAACCACAACTCTAATCAAGATATGGAACATTTTTTTCACACCAGAAAATCCTCTCCTGTTCCTCAGCAATCGACTTACCACCATAACCCCACTTTAGGCTAGCACTATTTTGAATTCTGTCACTGTAGATTAGTTTCCCTACTCTAGAACTTTTAATAAACAAAATCATAAAGGAGAGGTTGGCAGGTTATGGCTTATAGGCCAAATCTAGCTTGGCACCTATTTTCATAAATAAGGCTGTATTAGAACACAGCCACATCCATTCATTTGCATCTTGTCTATGGCTGATTTCATGCTAAAGTGGCAGAGTTGAATCGTTGTGATAGAGATTATATGGCTTAGAAAACCTAAAATATTTACAATCTTTCCAGAAAAAAAATTGCCAACCCTTATCATACAGCATGTATTCATTGTATTTGGCTTCTTTCCCTCAGCATGATTTAGAAATTAATCCATGTTTTTCCATTGCTCTACAGTCTAGCAGTTGTTGTTCTTTTATTCCACTGCATGAATATAACAATTTATCAGCTCCTTTGTTGATTAAAATTTGTAAGTTTTGGTTATTAAAAAATACATTATATAGTACATATGTTATAAATAATATGAATAGGATGCTATAAACATCTAGTATACATCTATGGTTTCACTTCCCTTAGGTAATACCTAGAAGTGGAATTCGTGGATCATATGGTAAGTGTACCTGTTACTTTACTAAAAAACTTCCAAAATATTTTTCACTGCATTTGCACCACGTTATACTCCTACTACCAATTAATGAAAACTCAGTGGCTCAACATTCTCACCAACACTTGACATACTTGATATTGTGATATTGTTTCATAATTTAATTTTAGCAATGAGTTTTAATAAGTTGTGCTTTTCCAAGAACATGTGCACTTTATCTGACTGTTTAAATTTATTGGCATAAAGTTGTTTATTATATTTCCTTCTTATCTTTTACTTATCTGTAAAAGCTGTAGTAACAATCCCTCTTTCTCCCCAGTATTATTCATTTATATTTTCTCTCTGATTTCCTTGATTAGTTTTGTTATGAATTTATCAATTTTATTAATATTTTTCAACAATCAAATTTTTAACTTTATTAATGTTCTCTATTGTTTATCTCATTTCTCTCTTTTTTTTTACTTTTGTTCTTATCTTTACTTATTCATCTCTTTTACCGTGTTTAATTTACTTTTGTTCTAGCTTCCAAAGTGAACATATAGGTCAGTTTAAACACTTCTTAAATTATTATTTTTCAATAAAATAATTGAAAATTACAAATTTTCCTCTAAACACCAATTTGTTGCATCTCACGGAATTTTATTATTATCACAAAGTTTGAAATGATGTTATATAGTAATATCCATGCTTATTTCTGCTTTGGAACACATATTAATTAGGAGTGTATTTCATTTTTAAGTATCTGAAGATTTTCTACAAATTTAGTTTTATCTCTGATTCCATTGGTTTAAAAAATACTCTGTAAGAGTTCAATGCTTTGAAAGTTATTCAGTTATTTTATTGTATGACATGTTTTATCTTGGTGAATGTTTCCTGTATACCAAAAAGAGAGGATATGCCATTGTTGGTAGTGTTTGTTAAATGTCAATTAGGTCAAGTTGGTTGATAGTGCTGTTCAGATCTTGTCTATTAACTCTGATTTTGTGGTTATTTGTTCACTCAGTTAGTGAAATATGGTTACTGAATTCTCCCAGTATGTTTGTAAATTTTTTTCTGTCTTTTCTTAGTTCTGTCTGGCTTTGCTTCATGTATTTTGTAGCTCTGTTATTAGGTCCACACACGTTTAGAATTGTTTGGTCTTATCATGAACTTTAAAAGTTATTTAATACCTCAGTCAAAGTCAGGTTTTAATTCAAACTGATGTTGCTTTTGGCCATATAGCTCTCTCAAAAATTTGTTGCTTCATTATCTGTCTGATTCTATTAAGGTCTGTGTAGCAATAGCTACCCTTATAATATTTTGCAAAATATGCTTCCCTCTCTCTCTCTCTCTCTCTCAACTTAATTATAGCTACATTATTTAGGCTCCCATGAGAAAATTATTATTCTCTTTTCCTGAGCAATTTTGTTTAATTCAAATAATGTTACTCCGGGTCACATTAATCTAATAAAAAGATTTTAAAGATTTAATAAAAGGTAGGGTGGCCACAACATGATTTTTTTCGCTAGAAAACTATTTTAATCTCAGTATGAATTAGATTTTTGTCTGGCACAATTTATTAATATTTTATTTTAAATATAACAGAATATAAGCATAAATGTTAAATACAAATATTTCCAATCTGCAAGCCTCAAAAGTTCTTTTTTGTGTTTTCCATCACTTAAAAAAAAAATTCTTTTATGAGCACGTCTTTCTCATAGAACTTTATCAAATGCAGCTGATAACCATATCACGCTAATAACATTCTTTTTTCAAAATGTTTTCAACCAAAGCCTCAACTCATCATGTCACTGTGAAATGGGAAAGATTCCCTTGTCCCCCTCGCAGGGCGTGGGATGGGGGTGTGGCTCCCTTCTTCAGTGCCCCACTGCTCAAACCTCTAGGGGAGCATACAGACGGAGGGCTGTGAGGATCTGAACCTACGGCAGCGTCTAGGGGTGAGTGTTTGCAGCTCCTGAAGCCCCAGTGGGCATGTGTTACAGAATGCTCTTTTAGTTTGACTTCTATAGGCGGCTTGTGTTAACTAGTTCAGTTAGACCCTCTACCTTGTCACAAGGTATCCTGGGTTCTTGCCTTGGTGTATAGAAGAATCAGATCACACATGGGCTTAGAGAATGAGTGCAAAGTTGTATTGAGTGGAAATAGCTCTCCCATGATGGGGGAGCCAGAAGGGAAATGGTTTTCCCCTGGAGTTGAGCCACTAGGTGGCCCTGGCTCTCTTCTGATTGCCCCAGCCAAACTCCACCTCGCCCTGACAGTTGATGACCTGCTGGCGTGCCCGCGTCTATTGGTGTGAACTTCCGCTGGCGTGCTCCCTTCCACGTCCTCTTGACGTCCAGTCTCTTGTCTTTTTCCACCAATGTGTTCCTCTCACCATCCAGCAGCTTCTGTCTCTGCCTTGCTAGGGTCTAGGTTTTTTTTTTATATACTTAAATTTTAGCGTACATGTGCACAACAGGGATAGCATTAGGAGATATACATAATGTTAAATGATGGGTCTAGGGTTTTTATAGGCCTAGGATGGAGGCATGGCGGGCCAGGGTGGTCTTGGAAAATGCAACATTTGGGTGCGAATGCAGAAGTGCCTGTCCTCACCTAGGTCCTAGCCAAGGACCACGCCTCCTCTACCCACACTTCCCTTCCTCCCTTCTGTATCATTTAAAGAGACCACGCTCTTCCCTTCCCAGCAGTCGTGTATCAATAGTATGTCTTCCAAGTTATCCATTTTGACATTTTACAAAATATCCCAAACATTGAAAACACAGGTTGCTCTCTTTCCCCAAATTCCTGTTTCCTTCCTAGCCAACAACAAAAGAAATGATAGATATTTTTGGCTTTTCATTTGAGCTGCCCCTTACTTTCAATATCAGTTTTACTATTAGTCAAGTGTGCTGCAATAATAAACAACTTCAACTTCTCAGTGGTTTACTACATCAAATATTTATTTCTTGTTCATGTTATATAAGAGCTGCTGGTTGGCTGGGGCTCTGCTCCAGCTGGGGTTCCACACCACATACTTCTTATTCAAATCCAGGTTGAAGGAGTAGTCCCAATATGGCACTTGCCCATTTTGTAGCTTGTACTATGTATCTTTGTTAAAGCTGGGAAATCTTTTCTAGATTCAATGCCCTTCCCTCTAAAGTTCCATGTTAGAGCTGGCCAGAGGAATATTTGGAAGAAGTGAAGCAGTGGTCATTACTCTCTGAAGGTTATCAAAATAAGATGCTATGAGGGACAGATGGGAATATGCCCCCTGATTTATCTATGCTCTTTTTTGCTTGGCATTTAATTATCCTTCTTAAATGCTATCCAATAGTAGCCTCAGGATCACCACTAGATGTTTGGTTGTGGATGCACCTGCTGAAAGTCCACCCACAAGCTTTCACCACTGTGGCAAGATGTGTTTGACTTCCCAGAGTGACTAGTAGCTTCTTTTCTGATCCTCAAGATCTCCTCTAAACTTTCAATTTTTTTCATCCCCTTCCACATTTGTATAAATTGTAACTCTAAAATCCCTTATTCTATGAAACTTACGCTGTCTGTGTTTCCCTTTTGAATCCTGACTGCACCTGTTCTCTGGCAGACAAGAAGGTTACATTTGATTGCTTGAATGTGGCATAGATCATCACTCTTCATGTTCCACTGGCATTGGATAAAACATATCACATGGCCAAGTCAAACATCAGTAGTGTGAGGAAGTATCCTCATGTGTGGGTAGTAGTGTGTAAATATTTGTCAAAATAATATAATCTACTAACCTTTTTCTGTAAATCTCTGAAGCAATCACTAAATTACTAAGCATTGAGATTGGAATAAGCATTGAGAGCCCTCATCAAGGTTTGGGGATGGAAACAATCCTACATAAATCACATGACTGACTAGATGGGAAGAAATTCAAGATATAGCTACACGGAAAAAAAGGTAATGTGCAAGGAGCAATGACTCACAGATGCCCACTGTAATTAATTGCTAACTAATGAAATCACTGTTCATTTCATAATGAAGTTTTGGCTGTCCTTAAAAAATATTTTCCTAATTTTTTAAATTTATAATTACAAAACTCCTAAAGATATTCTTAAGGATAATCACTTGAACTAAACATAAGGAATATTGTGATCCATATTCTTGTCCAAAATTTCATAGATCATCTAAATACACCATAGATTAGGGCACCCAAACTCACACTGTTTATGTTGAAAAGTGTTATCTGCAGAAGACTCTATTTCTCTGTAGATTTCATATTTGCTTTTAAAAGAATTTAAAGGAAAGAGTTTCTTAAAAGAAGGAGAATGCTACATCTCCATATAAGTATTTTTCACTTTTATTTCCACTGTAGTTAAAAATCACCCCATCTGAAACAGGGATCTTGAAGAATCTTTTAACTTAGCTATGGTTAACAAACAAACCCTGGAACAAACCCTCCAACCTAGATCAGGTGGCAGAGAAACCACCTCTGCAAGGCTGAGGGTTGTTACCTCTGTGCCATTTTAATTATTTTCTGACTTTCACAGAAAGCTGACATTTTCAATGAAGACATCAACACTGAGAGCAAGGCAGAGCCAACAACACCCATGGCCTTATACAGCCTCACATTTCAGACTGTTACAAATATTTTTAGTTGGATCAAGTCCATAGTGCTAAATATGCTCTATTATATCCATTCCCATGGAAACAGACAAGTTGTCACTGAAATTATAAATTTGCTGCCTGATGAAAGACAAAGAAGAAAGAAAATCTACATTAGCCTGAAAAAAAAACAAGAATTCCTATTTGAAAAGAAAATTCTGTAGCAGGAGCAAGGAAGATACAGAAAACAACCAAAAGTAAACTTTCTTTTAAAATATTGAGTTTTTTAAAAAAAAATCTATTTTGAAAGCTATAAATGACCTATTAGAAATTTAATGAGAAAATAATTTCAAATGATGTCAGCCACTTAAAGCTGGAAGCTTTTTTCGGGCTAGTCATTCAAATATTTACTGAGCAGCTGCTTGTGACAGAAACCATATTTAATGTGGTAAACCATTTCTGGACCATTACATCGCTTTCTAACTCTGCCTCTGCCTATAAGTCGTGTCACTCAGAACCCCTAAAAACCATCTTTATCTCACAAAATAACATGAAAAATCCTTCAAGTGGCCTTTAAGGCTCTCCACAGTGTGACTCTAAGCCCACTTAGTAGCTTTAAATTTCTGTAATTTACTATATGTACCTTATATCCAAATCAAGTCACACTGAGACGTTTAGCTATCCACATTGCTTGTACATTTTTGCCATCCATATTTGACCCTATTTTTCCTTTTAAAGTAAAAGTTCTGATCCATCATCTCCACAATTTAAAAGTCACACATGAAACATAGCTTCCATTTCGAAGCCTTCTTTCATCACTCTAGCTGTTAAAAACTGTCCCTCTTATGGCTCCTTATTTCTAACCCTCTCATAAGCCTAATAATATTCAGAATACTCGCTGCTCGGAATTGTCTTCATTTCTTAGACATTTTTGTTTCTTGAACCACAGGCATCTGTAAGTGAATATAAGGAAGTTGAAAATCACTGCCTTATGCATAATGATTGTTTAGAAAATACCAGTGAAATTAAATGGCAATTAAGATGTGGGAAAATTTAATCTATTTAAAATTTGATCTAAATGTATCACATCTGGATAGACCTTAAACTGGAAAAAAAAAAGTTCTTATAAATCTCGATGCTAAATTGAAGAGAATGGAATAATAACTCATTTGACACACTCATATTTGGTTCAGAAGCTTCCACAAGCTGTGCTGAGGGTTTAGTATCTTTCTTTTATAAATGAGAAAGGATATATGCATAGAGGCTGTATGGTTTTTCCAAGTCATAGGGGAGAGTTAAAAGTAGAATTAGAGCTGACAACTTTCAGATCACCTGCTTCATTCACTCAGCTGTAATATCTCTAAGAAGCTATTTCTAAGCTTCCAACAAAGTGGTTCTGAACTCTTCCATCATACTATTTTTTTTATTTTTTGAGACAAAGTTCTCTCTGTAACTCAGTCTCAATTGCAGTGGCACTATCACGGCTCACTGCAGCTTTGACCTCCCAAGCTCAAGTGATCCTCCCACCTCAGCCTCCCAAGTAGCTGGGACTGTAGGTGTGCACCACCAGGTCTGTCTAATTTTTTTATTTTTTTGTAGAGATGGGGGTCTCACTTTGTTACACAGGCTGATCTCAAAATCCTTGGCTCAAGTGATCCTCCCTCCTCATTCTCCCAAATTGCTGGGATTACAGGCATGAGCCACTATTCCCAGATCCTTTTTGTTTTTATTTGAGTAGTTTATGTACTTCAATGTACCCACTGAAAATCAGTCCCAATAAAAGAAAAGTCAGGGAACATAGACAATAAGGCAATTAGTGTTGACACATGGTTTTGTTTTTGTGTGTGTCTATAAAATCATTAAATTATTTATTCTTGATCTTGGTAAGGAGGATATTAGGATTAAAATATCCTACCTCACTTCTCTAATGGAATGCAGCCTTTAAACTTCAACTATTGCTAAGTAAGGAAGAAACATTCTCTTATTTATGTTGCCAGAGTTGGCAAATGGCTGATAGATATCAAGGCTACTTTATTTCACAGATCAACCATTTATTTTGCTATAATTTGGATGCCCTAAACTGATTAAAAGAAACATGCTCAACTTTCAGGATATTTGCCTGGGATCCACTTAAAGGCCTTTAGATGCCTACAATTAGCAATTTAAAACTTACAGCAAAACTGAATTAAATAAAATGTATTTCCCAAACCTACTGCCTTCAGAAATTTGATTATTGCTTTTCTTCCTGCTGTAATTGATTTCTAGTTAGCTAATGTAATGCCTGATATAAAGGAGAGAAATATTTTAAGCTTAAAAAGCATCACATAGCTGACATTTTAACTCGTTAGCATAAACGAGTCTATGAGTGGATATAACATCAAAATTCTTTGGCAATCATATGTAAAACAGCTAAAGTCTAGTCAGCAAAAGTGAATTTAGGGAATGTGGTAGACAGTTTCTGACACTACTGCCAGTGATCCCTGCTTCTTGGTATTTATGCCTTTGTATAACCCTCTCCTTTTGCCTATGGGCTGGACCTATCAACTTGCTTATAATAAGCAGAACACAGCAAAATTGATGGAATATTACTTCTGTGATTAGATTATTTAAAAAAAAACTATAAATTACGTCTTGCTAGCATTTTTCCTCTATTGCCTTTTTTACTTGCAGCTTTGATGAAACAAGCTGCCATATTGTAGAAACCCATGTGATGAGGAACTGAGGGAGGCCTTCAGCCAATAGCAAGCAAGGATCTGAGTTCTTAAATTCAACAACGCACAGAGAGCTGACTTCTGCCAGCAACCATGTGAGTGAGCTTGAAAGCAGGTACTTTTGCCGCTTTGAGATGATTACAGCCCTGCCGCCTTGATTGCAGCTTCTGAGAAGCCCTGAGACAGAGGTCCCAGCTAAGTCACACCTATATCCTAACCTACAGAAACTGTGAAATCGTGTATGTGGTTGTTTTAAGCCACTAAGTTTTGAGATATTTTGTTATGTAGCAATAGAGCACTCATACAGGGAGTAGTAAGTTTCTGAGAAAGTCGATTCCATGATTAGAACTACGGATATAGTTCGTGATGCAGGCAAAGTTAATCAGTGCATTTCATGTCTAGATACATGGTGATTGGTTTAATTTAGACATGTGACCTAAACTGCACATTTACAGTGAATCTTAAGACATTGCATGCAATGTTGATGAACAATGCTTAAGGAGCCATATAACCCTAGGAGTACCTGGTAGGCATCTTGGAACCACAAAAGAGCCAACCTTAAAATGAACTTGAATCCAAGAATGAGAGTGACAAAGAGAAACTTGGACCTTGATAACATTACTAGATACTAGATCCAACTTTGCTCGAAGCTAGCATAGCTCTGAGTTTTCCAGTTAAATGAAATATTACATAATCTAGGATAAAATAGTCTGTTAATATGCAGCACTAAAATCACCCTAAATGACATAACTTCCACATTCCTCATATATATGAATAATTCAAGTTAAGAATTTTAAAAGGCATGAAAGAGCACCCTAAACCTTCTCCAATTAAGTGATAAAATACATCTCTAACAACAGTGGCAATCATAAAAAGCATATATTGTAACTAGATATTTGCTAAAAAATAATTGAAATAAATAAACCATAATGAAAAAGTCAGATAAGCAATTTAAGAAAGCATCAACACAATTTCATTGTATTATGATTGCTTGGTAATAATTAAACATCAAAGTCAATACATATAAAAAGGTGCTTCTGAAGATGCAGCATAAAGTACCTCAAAGCCAACTTTGCTTGAAGATAAGCTGGAACATATATTAAATAGAAAAATTATACTATCCCCTATATAGAAAGGTTTGGAAATTAAAGGAAGTTTAAGTAACTTTTGAACTGTATAAATTATGTATAGCATTTTCCATAAACTTCAAATAATTTGCAAAAAAATTATATTACAACCTTTCCACCTAATTCCCCGACTTATTAATAAAAATTTCTATTAGACTACATTATCTAAGAGAATCAAAGAAAATTACCTCCCGAAAGATATAAGAACAAAAATAGAGCATACAGTTTCTCATTAGTGAGAAAAATGGATCATAGTTTCCCTTCTACGATGAGAGATAATGTCTTCATAGCCACCTACTCATGTGGCAAAGCTGTTTCCACAGGCATATGCATTTTTAAGATGGCCAAGCAGGGAGATTACAGACACTTTGATCCCAATTTTCTTTTTTTTAATTTCTTTTTTGTTTGTTTGTTTCGTTTTTTTACTTTAAGTTCTGGGATACAGGTGCAGAACGTACAGGTTTGTTACATAGGTATACATGCGCCATGGTGGTTTGCTGAACCTATCAACCCGTCAACTAGGTTTTAAGTCCCACATGCATTAGGTATTTGTCTTAATGCTCTCCCTCTCTCTGACCCCCACCCCCTGACAGGCCTCAGTGTGTAATGTTTCCCTCCCTGTGTCTATGTGTTCTCATTGTTCAGCTCCCACTTATGAATGAGAACATGCGGTGTTTGGTTTTCTGTTCCTGTGTTAGTTTGCTGAGAATGATGGTTTCCAGCTTCATCCATGTCCCTTCAAAGGACGTGAACTCATTATTTTTTATGGCTGCATAGTATTCCATGGTATATATGTGCCACCTTTTCTTTATCCAGTCTATCATTGATGGGCATTTGGGTTGCTTCCAAGTCTTTGCTATCATAAACAGTGCTGCAATAAACATACGTGTGCATATGTCTTTATAGTAGAATGATTTATAATCCTTTGAGTATATACCCAGTAATAGGATTGCTGGTCAAATGGTATTTCTGGTTCCAGATCCTTGAGTAATCACCACACTGTCTTCCACAATGGTTGAACTAATTTACACTCCCATCAACAGTGTAAAAGTATGCCATTTCTCCACATCCTCACCAGCATCTGTTGTTTCCAGACTTTTTGATGATCACCATTCTAACTGGCATGAGATGGTATCTCACTGTGGTTTTGATTTGCATTTCTCTAATAACCAGTGATGATGAGCTTTTTTTCATATGTTTGTTGGCCTCATAAATGTCTTCTTTTGAGAAGTATCTGTTCATATCGTTTGCCCACTTTTTGATGGGGTTGCTTTTTTTCTTGTAAATTTGTTTAAGATCCTTGTAGATTCTGGATATTAGCCCTTTGTCAGATAAATAGATTGCAAAATTTTTCTCCCATTCTGTAGCTTGCCTATACACTTTGATGACAGTTTCTTTTGCTGTGCAGAAGCTCTTTAGTTTAATTAGCTACTATTTGTCAATTTTGGTTTTTGTTGCAATTGCTTTTGGTGTTTTATTCATGAAGTCTTTGCCCATGCCTGTGTCCTGAATGGTATTGCCTAGGTTTTCTTCTAGGGATTTTATAGTTTTAGGTTTTACATTTAAGTCTTTAAACCATCTGGAGTTAATTTTTGTATAAGGTGTATCTTGTTTGTACAAAACAGTCAATTTTTGAAGGTTCTAGAAAACATTAAAAGTTCCCCATGAAAACATGTTAAGCATGTTTTATAGCAGTCTGAAGGATTCTATTAAGACAAATACCAGATAAATTTCTTCCCACAATCTATTCAGCCAATTACACTTCTAGGATGTAATAAAAAAAAGTTAAAATTTGGCCGGGCATGGTGGCTCACACCTGTAATTCTAGGACTTTGGGAGGCCAAGGCAGCTGGATTGCCTGATCTCAGGAGTTTGAGACCGACCTGGGCAACACGGTGAAACTCCGTCTCTACTAAAACACACAAAAAAATTAGCCAGGCATGGCGGCATGCGCCTGTAGTCCCAGCTACTCAGGAAGCTGAGGCAGTAGAATTACTTGAACCTGAGAGGCAGAGGTTTCAGTGAGCCAAGATCGTGCCACTTGCACTCCAGCTGGGCAACAGAGTGAGACTTTGTTTCTAAAAGGTAAAATAAAATATAAAATAAAATAAAATAAAATAAAATAAAATAAAATAAAAATTCAATGAGATCCTACTATGTTCTAGGTATCATTTAAATATTACTGTACGTAAAAGTGTTGAACTTTTGTTACCAAAAGTTTGTTATATTGTTGAACTTTTGTTATCATTGTTTGTCTGCATTTTTTAAGAAAACTGGCAATATAAATGCATCCCCTTCTCCTTATCCAGCAACTATGCCTAAAGAAAAAAAGGTACCCTTCTTAAAGTAAGCCTATAAATCAACTAATAGTAACTTGGAACAGAGATACAGAGTCACCTCAAGAATTCTGAGTGACCTCCAAGTCAGGAGAAACAGTGTCGGTAAAGGAACAAAGTACAGACAAACCAAGAAATAAAGTGGTATCTTCAAGGATGAGTCACTGGATCTCTAATTATCTGTACATAGGAATCACTGGGAGAGGGGGTTTAAACTGTTGATACCTATGTTCAACCTCCAGGGTTTCTGACTGTATTTAATCCCAATTGTGCCTAAGACACTAATTTTTTTTTTTATTTTTTTTTTTGAGACGGAGTCTCCCTCTGTCACCAAGGCTGGAGTGCAGTGGCACCGTGTCGGCTCACTGCAACCTCTGTCTCCTGGGTTCAAGTGATTATCCTGCCTCAGCTTCCTGAGTACCTGGGATTACAGGCATCCACGACCACCCCTGGCTAGTTTTTATTTTAGTAGAGACGGGGTTTTACTATGTTGGCCAGGCTTGTCTTGAACTCCTGACCTCAGGTGATCCACCTGCCTCAGCCTCCCAAAGTGCTGTGATTACAGGTGTGAGACATTGCACCTTGCTGACACTAATTTTTTTAAAGCTCCCCAGAAACACTAATTTGCCTCCAAACTGTGACCCAACTGGCCCACTGATTGTAGAAATATGCCCATTTGGTTTTTTAGAGAGATGAAGAATGACAGCTGTTCATTATTTGTTTCATATTATAGAGATATGGAATAAAGTCATGTTGTATTTGGAAAATCAATGGATGAGCAAGGCCACTGAAAAAGAGAGAATCTGAAATCTCTTTGGGATACAAGATAAAATTCAAAGAAAGAAACCCCTAAGATGTTTTCTTCTACACTCCCCTTACATTCTTATGGATCTGGTAGTTATGAAGAAAGGAGGAAAAATTGAGAGGGGACTGAAAAATAACTGTGATAATGTATTAAACCAAACTCCACTTAGCTTTATAATGTAGCATATAAAATGGGACCAAATCATGGACATTGTCATCATCATTACCTATTTTCTTCATCCAAATGGGCTCTGCTTTAATTTATATTAACTTAAAACCCTAAGGTCATGGCTACAGAGAAAATGAGGATAAATCCTGGATATCTTAACTGATTTAGTGAAACAATGAGAATGAGTCATGGATTATACCAGAAATAGAGGTACTCATCAAATATTGTCTTTTATTTATATACCACATGGGACCTAATTCTATATACACAAAACAAAATTGCAATAATAACCCTAATAATATAAAGTTTATATTTAATATTTAATAAATATTAAATGTGTGAATTTTTATTCCATATATGTTGTAAATAAGCAGTATCAATAACAGCTTAGAACCTCCATTTTATGTCATTACGATCCATTGAATATTAAGGGAAGAAAATCAGAGAGGGGCATGGAATACAGTGGAAAATAAATAGAAGCAGTTGATTAATAGGTACAAATATACAGTTTAATAGAAGAAATAAGACATAGTGTCTGATAGATCAGTAGGTTTGCTATAGTTTACAATAACCTCTTATATATTTCAAAATAGCTATAAGAGAATAATTTTAATGTTTCTAGCATAAACAAATGACACATATTTAAGTTTATGGATATCCCAATTACACTGATTTGATCTTTTGCAAATTATATGGATATATTAAATTATCACATATACCCCCAAAATATAATTAACTAAAAAAGAAAATAGTTGCCTCACAAGTTCCCCAGGCTTGGCATTTATTTTAGTGTTTACAATTATGTCCTCTCCAAGCTTATATTCTCTCTCTTTTATAGCAGAACACATTTTCTCAGTGCAATTAAGAATTTTCCTACTGGCTTTTTCACAGCCTTAGCTGTTGCCTTTGGGTTTTAGGGAGTCCAAGGAGACTATACACTGGAGCGGTTCACCAGCAAAGCACAGCAGCTCTATGAAGAAGCAGCAAGACCACATGTTCACGTGGGTTCCACATCCCATTTTTCTTTATTGGGCAGAATCTCCTGATCAAGTTCTGCAACCACCCCAATGAGTGTGAGTGAACCAGCAACAGATCCATACCTCCCTGGGGCAGAGCTCCCATAGGGAGGGGAAAGCCACCATATTTGCTGTTTCACAGCGTTCACCATTGATACCTTCAGGTGCTGGAAAATCTGAGGCAACTAAGGACTGGGGAAGACCTCCAGCACACTGAAGCAGCCCTACAGAAATGTGGCCAGACTGTTTGTTACATGGGTTTCCAATCTCATATCTCCTCAGTGGGCAGGGCCTTCTGGTCTGGGTGTCCAGCCACCTTGTGCCAGGGTTATTGAGCCAGTAGCAGCTCTGCAACTCTCTAAGACAGACCTCCCAGTGGGAGAGGCAGGCTGCCATCTGTGGTATCTCACAGCCCTTGCCCTTGCTGCCTCTGGGCTATGGAGAGTCCATGGGGATGAGGGCTGGTCTAGACCCCTAGCATAGAGCACTCACCTCATAGAAAAGTAGCCAGACTGTTCTCTACTCAGGTCCTGGTTCTCACCTCTCCTCACTGGGCAGGGATGGCTGACCTGGAATCCAGCCTGACCACTTCAATCAGAGTGCCCCTGCCTGACCACTTCAATCAGAGGCAGCCCAGCAGTTAAAGGAGCACCCACACACAGAGATGAGAAAGAACCAATGCGAGAATTCTGACAACTCAAATGGCTGGAATGTCTAATGTCCTCCAAATGAATGCACTAGTTCTCCAACAAGGGTTCTTAACCAGGCTGAACTGGCTGAAGTGACAGAAATAGAATTCAGAATATGGATAGGAATGAAGATCATCATGATTCAGGAGAATGGAAAAACCCAATCCAAGGAAATTAAAAATCACAGTAAAACAATACAGAAGCTGACAGACAAAGTAGCCAGTATAAAAAAAAAAAAAAAAAAAAAAAAAAAAGCCTAACTGATCAAAGAGAGCTGAAAAACTCTCTACAAGAATTTTACAATTCAATCACAAGTATTAACAGCAGAATGAATCAAGCTGAGGAAAGAATATTGGAACTTGAAGACTAGCTCTCTGAAACAAGACAGTCAGACAAAAATGTAAAAAAAAAAAGAATGAAAATGAATGAACAAAACCTCTGTGAAATATAGGATTACATAAAGAGGCCAAATCTATGAATAACTGGCATCCCTGAAAGGGACAGAGAGTAAGTAAACAACTTGGGAAATGTATTTCAGGATACGGTTCATGAAAACTTCCCCAGCCTCACTAGAGAGGCCAACAGTCAAAATCAGGAAATACAAAGAACCCCTGCAATATTCTACACAATAAGATCATCCCCAAAACACATAATTGTCATGTGCATCTGTGTGAAGAGACCACCAAGCAGGCTTTGTGTGAGCAATAAAGCTTTTTAATCACCTGGGTGCAGGTGAGCTGAGTCCAAAAAGAGAGTCAGCAAGGGGAGATAGGGGTGGGGCCGTTTTATAGGATTTGGGTGGGTAGTGGAAAATTACAGTCAAAGGGGGTTTTTCTCTTGCAGGCAGGGGCGGGGGTCACAAGGTGCTCAGTGGGGGAGGTTCTGAGCCAGGAGAAGGAATTTCACAAGGTTAACTGCTCAGTTAAGGTGGGGCAGGAACAAATCACAATGGTGGAATGTCATCAGTTAAGGCAGGAACCAGCCATTTTCACTTCTTCTGTGATTCTTCACTTGCTTCAGGCCATCTGGATGTATACTTCCAGGTCACAGGGGATACGATGGCTTAGCTTGGGCTCAGAGGCCTGACAATAATCAGATTTTCTAAGGTTCAAATGAAAAAAGAATGTTAAAGGCAGTGAGAGAGAAAGAGCAAGTCACCTGCAAAGAAAACCATATCAGGCTAACTAACAGCAGACCTCTCAGAAGAAACCCTACGAGCAATTGGGGGATTATATTCAACATTCTCAGCAAAAAAAATCTTCAACCAAGAATTTCATATCCAACCAAACTAAGCTTCCCCTTTAAAGAAGAAATAAGATCCTTTACAGATAAGCAGATGCTAAGGGAGTTTGTTACCACCAGACCCACTTTGCAAGAGATCTTTAAAGGAGCACTAAATGTAGAAAGGAAAGACTGTCCCAGTCAATACAAAAACACAGACCAGTGACACTACAAATCGACCGCACAAAAAAGAACCAGCATAATAACCAACTAACAACACAATGACAGGATCAAATCCACACATATCAATACTAACCTTGAACTTAAATGGGCTAAATGCCCCCATTTAAAAGGCACAGAGTGGCAAGCCTGATTAAAAAAAAAAAAAAAAAAAAGCAAGACCAAGTGGTCTCCTGTCTTCAAGAGACCCACCTGATATGCAATGACATGAATAGGCTAAAAATAAAGAGATGGAGGAAAATCTACCAAGAAAATGGAAATCAGAAAAAAGTAGGTGTTGAAATCCTAATTTCAGACAAAATAGACTTTAAATGAACAAAGATCAAAGAAAAGGAAAGGCATTACATAATGGTAATGGGTTCAACTTAACAAGAAGGCCTAACTATTCTAAATATATATATGCACCAAACACATGAGCACCCAGAAACCTAAAGCAAGTTCTTAGAGACCTACAAAGAGACTTAGAATCCAACATAATAATGGTAGGAGACTTCAACACCCTACCGACAGTATTAGATAGAACATTGAGGCAGAAATTAACAGATAGTCAGGACCTGAACTCCACACTTGGCCAAATGGATCTGATAGACCTCTAAAGAGCTTTCCACCCCAAAACAACATAATATACATTATTCTTTACCACATGGCACATACTGTAAAATGGACAACACAGTGGAACATGGAACAATCATTAAATCATTAGCAAATGCAAAAAAAACAAAAGCATACCAAACACACTCTCAGATCAGAGAACAATAAAAATAGAAATCAAGTCTTTAAATATTGCTCAAAACCATGAAATCACATGGAAATTAAACAACCTGCCCCTGAATGACTTTGGGTAAATAATAAAATTATAACATAAATCAAGAAGTTCTTTGAAACTAATGTGAACAAAGATACGATATATCAGAATCTCTGGGACACAGCTAAGGCAGTTTTAGGAGAAAAATTGTTTATAGCACCAAATGCCCACATCAAATAGTTAGAAACATCTCAAATTAACATAACATCACGACCAAAAGACCTAGAGAAGCAAGAGTAAACCAACCCCAAAGCTAACAGGAGACAAGAAATAATCAAAATCAGAACTGATAAAGGAGACTAAGACACAAAAAATAATTCAAAAGATCTATGAATCCAGGAGTTTGCTTTTTGAAAATATTAATAAGATAGATAAGCCATTAGCTAGACTACTGCAGAATAAAACAGAGAAAATCCAAATAAATGCAAACTAGAAACAACAAAGAGGATGTTACTGCTGATATTACAGATATATAAACAACTGTCATAGACTACTACAAATATCTCAATGCACACAAACTAGTAAACCTAGAAGAAATTGATAAATTCCTGGACACATATACCTCCCAAGACTGAACCAGAAAGAAATTGATTCCCTGAACAGACAAATAATGTGCTCTGATAATGAATCAGTAATATATAGCCTACCAACCATAAAAAGCCCAGGACCAGACAGATTCACAGCTGTATTCTCCCAGATGTACAAAGAAGAGCTGATACCATTCCTACTGAAACTATTCCAAAAAATTGAGGAGGAGGGACTCCTCCCCAGCTCATTCCATGAGGACAGCATCATCCTGATGCCAAAACCTTGCAGAGACACATTTTAAAAAAGAAAACTTCAAGCCAATATCGTTGATGAACATCAATGCAAAAATCCTCAACAACATAGTTGCAAACTGAATCCAGCAGCACATCAAAAATTTAACCAACCACAATCAAGTAGGCTTTATCCCTGGGATGCAAGGTTGGTTCAACATATGCAAATCAATAAATGTGATTCATCACATAAACAGATCTAAAGACAAAAAACTCCTGAGTATCTCAAAAGATGCAAAAAGACTTTCGATAAAATTCAACATACCTTCATATTAGAAACTCTCAATAAAATAGGTATTGAAGGAATATACCTCAAAATAATAAGAGCCATCTATGACAAACCCACAGCCAACACCATACCAAATGGGCAAAAGCTGGAATCATTCCCCTTGAAAACTGAATCAAGAATACCCTCTCTCACCACTTCTATTCATCATAGTATTGGAAGTTATGGCCAGAGCAATCGGGCAAGAGAAAAAAAAATAAAGGGCATCCAGATAGAAAGAGAGGAAGTCAAACTATCCCTTAGTTTGCCTTTTGGGCTGAGACTATGGAGTTTTCTAGATATAGAACCATGTTGACTATTCATGACTAAATCATGTTGACTATAAGCATGATTCTATATCTGGAAGACCCCATAGTCCCGGCCCAAAAGCTGCTTTAGCTGATAAACAACTTCATCAAAGTTTCAGAATACAAAATCAACACACGCAAAAAAAAATCATTGGCGTTTTCGTAAACCAATAACAGCCAAGACGAGCGCCAAATCAGGAACACAATCCCATTCACAATTGCCACAAAAAGAATAAAATACCTAGGAACACAGCTTACCAGGGAGGTGAAAGATATCTACAATGAGGATTCCAAACACTGCTCAAAGAAATCAGAGATGACACAAGCAAATGGAAAACATTCCACCCTCATGGACAGGAAAAACCATTATCATTAAAATGGCCATACTGTACAAAGAAATGTACAGATTCATTGCTAGTAGTATCAAACTACAAATGACATTCTTCATAGAACTGCAAAAAACTGTTTTAAAATTCATACGGAACTGAAAAGAACCCAAAAAGCCAAGTCAAACCTAAGCAAAAAGAAGAAAGCTGGAGGCATGATGTTACCCTACTTCAAGCTGTACTACAGGGGTACAGTAACCAAAACAGCATGGTAGTGGTACAAAAACAGGTGCATAAACCAATAGAACAGAATAGAGAGCCCAGAAATAAGGTCACAAACGTACAACCATCTGATCTTCAACAAAGCTGACAAAAACAAGTAGTGAGGAAAGGATCCTCTATTCAATAAATGTGCTGAAAATGTGACGAATGCTTAACTAGATTTAATTCTTATCTGTTAACCAAAGAGTGAAATGAAATCAGGTCATTTTATCGTCTTGTGGCTTTTTTATGAGAAGAAAAGGGAAAAGGCAGTTTGGCACTCTGTAACCTCATATCTTGGAGTGTTTTCCTAAGATATCAGGTCTGTTTTTGGCTTATTTTGTATCAAGCTATCAGTAAGAAGAGAAAGCTTTACAAAATTTTAAAATGTCCTATTTTTTTATACGGGATCTGTGAATAATTCTTCAGTGTACCAATTTTCACTGTTTCATTTTATGTCAAATTGTCAGTGTTAATAAATAAAATTTTTGTTTTAAGTGCTTTGGAAATTATCAAGAATTTTATGCACATTATATATCATAAGCTTGACAAGTAAAAATGGATCCAGGATGTATATTCTTTCAATCAAGACATATTCTAAAGGAATGATTTGGGTGGAAAAAGACTTCTAAAGTATCAATATAGTTCTCTTTTGAAAAAATCATTAAGCATTTTCCTTCTATCTTATAATTTCGAAGTAGTAGAGATACTCAAAAACAGAACTTCTTAATCTTAGAGTTTATATTTAAGGTTTCTCAATTAGAGATATTAACAAATTATTACTGAGGAAATAGCATAAGCATTTCATAATGATTTTAGTACCAAGGTGTTAGAAGCAGATAAATTCTTAGGGGAAAATTTATTTTATAAATTTATAAAGATAAAAAATAGAAAAAACATGTATACAATTAATATTAAAAATAAATTATCAAGTTAATTCTTTGCAAGTACAAAAATGTAGAGTTGGATTTAAATACAGAGGTCAGCATCATAGCCCCATTTGTTCTCAATTATGTGAATAATTAGGTTATAGAAAAGATTGTTCTTGAATTGCCCAAGCACTTTTCTAAAATTGCCTGAGATTAACAGTCTTATTGGAATTGGAGTAAATTTATAACAGTATAGCCAAACTATTTTTTCCTGTTCAACAATCCATACAGGCAGCTTCTCATGCATTCAGCTGTATTGTATCTGTAAACATAAGTCAGTAAGCTGGGGTAGGCAAAATTCAGCTAGATCCCATTCTGAAGTTATAGGAAAAAGAGCCATTTATCTGTTTCTTTACCCTACTGAGATAAGAGAAGGCACAATTTCAATGACTCTTTAATTTCCCTGTGTTTCTCAAGAGTTTGGAGTGGAATTAGATATCATTTTATCCAATGCCAAATTTATGTATCTTTTCTTCTATACCAGCTGGTTGCTCAGGTTAAAAAATACATCTTTTATTGAATATGAAATTTAAAGAATGAGAGCTAATTTCTATAGTTTCTTTTTTTACAATGATTTATTTTAAAACAAAACAAATGAAATGGTGCATATAATCAAGACTTTCAGAAGACAACCCCAAGAAAGAACGTTTTATAAATATCAAGAATTCTCTAAAGGAATGGTAAAGAAGGAACATAATGAGATGTTATTTCTGAACATAAATTTGAAGAAGACAAATTATAAGACAGTTTGTGAAACTGTTGATATCACTTTGCAACCCCTTCACTTTGTTCCCTGTCTGATTTAAATAAACCTGAAAAGTGAAGGCTATATTAATCTTGAATCACTTAATTTGTCTGGGCTTAATAGAAAATTATCTTCACATATTCATCAAATTTAACCACAAAAGCCTTAACTCTGTAAAAAACCTGAAATTATATGAAGTTTTAGACATTAATAATATATAACTTAAGTAAGATTTATGTTTTTTCCAATGTCACAGAAAAATAATTTGCCAAATCTTAACCCTCAAAATAAATTCTCAATTCTGATTTGATTAGCATGTATTCCTTGAAGAGGAGTTCTATCATTACTTACAATAGAAATCATAATATTTAAGTCTATAAGTAAATTTGGGAATATGGCACTCTTGTGCAGTTTTTTGAAAATTAGATCTTATTCCTCAAATTAATATATCAAGTTTCTTCTGGTATTAACGCTTGGGGAGAGGGGGACAATCTGTCAAAATTGTTAGCCTAGAAAAATACATTGGGTAGCAAGAAGACGTTTTAGACAATTTGTTACTCAAATCTAGCTGAACTAAACTAGAAAAATGAATCACTTGTTTCTGGGATGAGGTATTAATATTTGGTGCAGTGATGTGCTTGAATTGGTCCATACGAGCTTTCAAAAACTAATTATTAAGTTTCAGGAATTTTGCTAGTTGTTAAACACAGCTATTATTAAATTATATAAATATACAATTCAATCAATTATGTACATATGGAATACTCAAACCTCATCACTTCTTAATTATTTTATTATAGCTCACAATTATCTTTACATTTGAGAGTATTGATTCTCTTGCTTCCATATGAGGAAAATAGTGTTCCACTGCACAACTCTACTCAATGTCTTGTTCTTTGACATCATGCCAGTAGCTTGAATTTAGCTATCACAAGAATATTTATACCACAGTAATTGAAAAACATTGCATATCATGACTTCATTGATTGTTTTATTAATTGTCTAGATTAACAAAAGGAATGGAGAAAATGTTAATAGAAAAGAGTAAACGAAGTATACTATGGTTGTATCTGTTACATTGTGACTAGCACAAAAAATTGAGGAAATATTTTTCCATTATTTAAAAACTTATCCAATTCAGCAAAAAAGTTGGTCATGTCATTGGCAATTGAGTGAAGTTCCAACACATGTCTTTGCTTCATTTTATATTTTTATTAACACAAATGAAAATATCAACCAACAGTCCTGTTGGAAATAGAATTATTCAACAGCAGCAACTGTAGCTTGTCCGTGAATATGTGAATTTGGTAAAAACTAAACCAAGCATTATGTGAGAATCAACTGGCTACATGGAACTCACAAAAGGATATTGTATGTTTACTATTATTTGTAAATTGTTTGCTGCCAATCCTTTATATCAGTACAATTCATAATAAATTCATTATGCATAAATATGCACTTTTTTGTTTTTAGAAAGCCAGTTGTTAAATTTTTACCAGCAAATCACAAATTTTATGTCACCATATTGACCTGACATAGGTGAATAAGTAGTTGTTTAAAGTGTGTTCTAAACCTATATGGAGCAGCTTTATCTCTCAGAAGTGAGTAGCATGTCAATCTTCTCTAACAGCGATAGAAGTCCCTGACTGCTAGTTAGGAAAAGGAATCTTTTCTTAAGGCTTGGTGCCTATATGTCACAGCTGTGCCTACATTTGATCTTACAGAAAAATTTATAATAAACTGAGATAAACAAATTCCAGATAATTTTATGATTAAATGATCCATTTCAAAAGAAAGGATTAGAATATTTTAAAGGCTATTAATTCAGAAATCTACAATATAGTCAGTTTTTTTTTTAATCTTTCTGCTCTACTATTGCCGTTATTTTGGTTTCTGTCCTTAAAAGTGGAAACAGCTTCAAGCATCATATCCTCTTACTGAAATATGCAGCAGAAGAACTTGAATCTTTTCCTTTCTTTTGCTTTTTAAAGGTAACAAAAACTCTTCCAGTAAGCTCCCAACAGGCTTTATCTTATTTGCACTGTAGCACATATATCCTCCTTACTCAACCACTGACAAGTGGATAGAATTACCTTAACCATTCCCTCTCGGATTCATACTTCCCTGAAACACAAAACTTTCCAACACCAAAACAAAATCAAAATTCAAAAAAGACAGGAATATTTATAACCAACAGTGTCTGCTGCAGGAATATTCTGACTTTAAGAAAAATATTTCTGAGCATTTAAGTGGAAGGGAGAATTTGGGGAAAAAAAGAAGCCTGAATCATTTATAAGAGAACTCTTATTTATTCAATTATTTGACAAATATTTATCAAGCATTTTCTCCCTATCATACACTTTACCAGATGCTGGAAATACAAAGATAGAAGTTCCAATCTTGGCCCTCAGAGAACTCAATCTTTTTGATTAAACAGACCGGTAAATGAACAATTATAAAACATTGTGATAAGAACTCTAAGTACTCAACTGGGTCATCAAAACATTGTGCATTGAAATAAAAATACAATCTGTGACTCAAGCAAATACAATTATTTAAAAAACATTCTATACAAATAGTACATTCTGACGGGTGGGCACAAAGATGTGAGAACTCCAAAGTATGTGCAAATCCCTAGTTCTTCCCTTAACTTTACATGTAACATTGAGCAAGTTCTTTACAGATTAGGTAACTCAGTTTCCTCATCTATAAAAGTGAATTTATCTGTTCAATCAAATAAAAAAAGCAAGAGATGAAGTGAGAGATATCTCATGGGACCATAATGAATGATAACCATTGTGACAATAATGGAAGTGTCTTTGCTTCAATATCAAGTGAATATTTACATAAATTTTAAAACAGAGAAACACTGAAAGTGAAGGAATATTTTCAGCTAAACTGGGATACTTTCATTAGATTAACTTGAAATTATGACTCTCAAGAAAAATAGTTCATCCAGTACCTAAAAAGCAAGAATGTGAGAGAAAAAAATTGTAAGAGAATGCTCCATTTTTAGCATCAATATAATTTCATTTTCCTAAGATTTCAGTCATTCAGTGAAGAAATATTTATTGTGTTGGATACTTTTTAGATTATTCACTACCTTCTGTAGTTACTAGCACTCTGAAAAGATCATGGCCCTAGGGAAAAGGAACTGGGAAAGCTCCTATAAGATGACTGAAAGAATGAGAGAATGATTTTTTTTTTTTTTTTTGGTAGATACAGGGTTTCACCATGTTGGCCAAGTTGATCTCAAACTCCTGACCCCAAGTGACCCACCCAACTTGGCCTCCCAAGGTGCTGGGATTATAGGCGTGAGCTACTGTGCCTGGCCTCAGTGAATTTATATTTCTTCTTTCCTTTTAAGATAAGAGCCAGAGAGAGAATTTATTTCCTTTCCTTATTTGCTTCTTTACTTTTCCCTTTCATCTACCACATTTTTCTTACAGGTGTCATGTGGAATATTGTGCTAGTTTCTGGGAATGCAAATAATTTTCACTATGGTTTCAGTTGACAAAGAAAGAAACAGTACTATCTAGTGAAAGAAAGGAATTCATAACCCCAAATGTAACATATTAAATGCTTCAATAGATGAGTAACCAACATGGTATAGGATCTTGTTGGGGGAAGACACAGTTTTTTTAAAAATAGATGACTGTTTTTAATATATTACGTTGTTTTAGAAATTTAGTGTTTGTCTCTGTACTTAATTAAGAGTAAGCAGCAATACTTCTTTGGATATGCTGTATGTGCCTTAATAAAATTATTGAATTATAAGTTTTAAAAAACACACACAATTTTCATCCCATCTAGGAATTCAATACCAAGTGCCACTGTCTAAATCATTCGATCACATAGCTGTCTGTTTAAATTTAGCAATTCCCTCGAGATTAAGAATTCACAACATCCTAACAACCCTTGGTAACCTAGTCAGTATTTGATCTATCTTACAGTCAAAAACATTTTCTCTATGAGTGAAGTCTTCCTTAACAACAAATGTAGTCCATGTCTTTCTTCAGTCTACACCTGAGAAGATGCAGAAGTAAGCAGGGGAGAATGTCACCTTATAAATAGCTTTTCTTTTTAATCCAAAGAGAGTTATTAACTCTTTCTGATTTATCTTTCTAGAATAAATAATGCCACTCCTTTCCATTTTTGCAGTCCCTCAATTATGTTAAATGTTTTCTAGACTTTCTTTCCATTTTCTACAAGCATGATTTCAAATTGAACACAATATTCAAGTAAAATTATTTTTCAAAGATTTTGTAGGAATTGGTGTTTTATGAGGGAAAAATGACTATTTTTGGAAATTATTAAAATATATACAAATTTTGTATCTTAAAGTAATAGTGATTATCTTAAAATAAAAGCAAGACATGTATTAAGATACTCATTCGTTGTCAAAAATTCAAAGGTTACTGAGAGGTTATTGTGAGAGGTTGTTGTGTACTTCCAAGTATCACACCTATGGTAACACATTACTATATTCCTTATCATTTACTAGCTTACTACAAAATATGATTCTGAGAAAAACCTTTTAAATGACTAATTATATCAATTTATAACTACTTTGTGTGCTAATTTTGAAGTGTTGATGCACTTCAGCTGTTACTTGGTATAGCTTCCTAATTTAATTTTTGGTAATTAGGACTGATTGTTAGTCTGTCTCCAATGAGTTTAATTTTCTGTGGATGATCCTACTGGCTGAGTAGAAGCAATTTTGAAAAGTTTCTAAAGTTAGAAAATTTGAGCATGCAACACTTATAAATGGTGATTTATATACACCGTTTACTCATACACACATCTACCTACACAAATTTAGGGCAGCAATTCATCACACATAAGAAAATAGAAATAGAATTTAAATATCAAAACCAAAAAACTATTAGAAGAGAAAGTTAAGACTTGAAAAGTATTCTAGTAAGTAAACTATAATAGGGTGTATAAAACTGGGCTTCATTTTTGCATTTAAGCTCCCTGATAATCAAAGTGAAAAGGGAAAAATATGATCAATTATATAATTGTATATCTCAGAATGTCTCTTTTGTTGTTAGTATTGAATTGTAAAGAAAATGCTTTATATAGTACTTTAAAGTCCACAACCCTAAGAGGTCATGTGGAAAATAACCTCAAACTATTCAAAAAGCAAGTAGAGTAACAGAAAATCACAAGATGCCGACCTCCATTAACATTAAAGCACAGTTCAGTTGAATGTGATCTGTGAATAGAACTTGGATCTCATCTATGGAGCTGGTCACCTTAAATTTACAAGAACAAACACAATCGAAATTTGAAGTATTTGAATATATTAATAAATATAATTTCATAAATGCTCATATTTCTGATCATATAATTTATCTTTCCCTTAGTATTTTTGCAATAAGAAAAATAATTGTTCTTTTTATTTTTTTAGGCTGATCTTAAGAGAGGATTTTTTACCTCAGATCTCTTTCCTTTTAGGGTACAATGCAAGAAACTGCTATATACCTGCACAACTAAAGATATTTCTTATCTAGTGTTAGATAAGAGACCAAGAGATAAAGCCCTCTTGTCACTTTCAGCTTAGACCTAACTTGCAGCATAAGCCCTCCAACATGAGAGAAGAGCGAATACAGGTATCCTTTATCGTGTTTTATGTCTTACAAAGGCTAATAAAAACAGACTTTTCTTATTTCATTTGTCTTTAGAAGGTAAGTTACTCATTAAGAATGCTTGAAAATGTAAAACACTTTAAAATAAAATCCAGATCAAGGGCAGACCTTCAGAAAGTGAGCAACCACCTTCACAAACCATTGATTCAGGCTGACTTGGGTGCCACTAGCTAGAATGCTGTCAAAGAAAACTGTTAATGTGATATTCTAAAAGTGAGTCTACTAATTCTCATTTTTCTGATGAATCCTGAAATATTTCTTTGTGAAGTTGGTTGCAATGTAGCTCATGGAATATATGGACATACAACAAATACAGAAATCATCTAATGCCCAAATGACTTTGCACATTCACACACACAAACACACCCACACACACCTTTATTATTATAATTCCTCTCTTACCATCTCTAAGAGACACAGAAAATTTAGGAAAATTCCATGTTTTCAAGATAGAAAAGCTTGCTATCTTCTCTCTTGGGTACATAATATTGCAATACAAGGGTAGATTTCAAAAATAATGAGTTAATGTGTTCCTGATTTAACATGCTTGTTTTTGAGTGCCAGAGACTAGATTCCCAGCCCACATTTTAATATTTATAAGTACCTAGGATTTACCCTTAAGCAAAGGCAGATTTGCTGTAAGGCTAAAGCAATCATTAAGGAAACATCCTAAAATTACATGACTAGAAATTTAAAGAATAATGTTTACGACTTTATTATAAAGTTTAATTCTATGTTAAAAGTCAAATTTAGGGGTTTTAAAAAACAATACTGCATAGATTCTTATGGCAATGCTCTTGCTATATAACTTATATTCAAATAATTCTAATAGTATGTGACAATCCTTAAGGAGAGTGTGCTGTTGTTTTCCCCAAAGTGTGCAGCACGTTGTTGTAGTGAAAGGTCTTTCATTTATACTAACCTGTTTGAAGTTCACTTTCACTTTTTGCTTTTACTCTAAGACAGATATAGAGGATTCTGTGAGTATTTTGTGTAAATTCTCATAATAAAACCTTTGGATTTAAAGTTTATTGAATATCACTTTCTAATTAGAAAAAAAAACTTCTTAATAAGCCAAGACCCCCATTTTTTTTTTTAAGAGACAGGATCTCTCTCTGTCACCCAGACTGGAGTGCCACTGGAGTGCAGTGATGTGATTATAGCTCACTGCAGCCTCGAATTCGTCAGCTCAAGTGATCTCACCTCGGCTTCCCCTTAGCTGGGACTACAAGCACACATCACCACACCTAGCTAAGAATCCTTTCTTAACAGCTTCCCGCCTCACTCAGTATAAAAGCCATAGACTTTATTGTAACCTCTAAGGCCACATGGTCTGGTGTTCCATTCGTTTTCAGATCTCATCTTCAATTTTCTGAGTCAGTCACACTGGCCATAATGTTATTCTTTTACTTTAAATGTTTATTTTAGGTTCAGGGGTACATGTACAGGTATGTTATATAGACAAACTCGTGTCACTGGGGTTTGTTGTAAAGATTATTTCATCACCCAGGTACTACATAGGCAATACCATTCTCAACATAGGAACTGGCAAAGATTTCATGACGAATACACCAAAAGCAATTGCATAAAAAGCGAAAATTGACAAATGGGATCTAATTAAGAGCTTCTGCACAGCAAAAGGAACTATCAACAGAGTAAACAGACAATCTACAGAAAGGAAGAAAATATTTGCAAACTATTCATTCAACAAAGGCCTAATAGCCAGCATCTATAAGGAACTCATGTTATTCTTTAAGTACTCAAGACAAATTCCTACCTCTGGGCCTTTGCATTTTCTGTTACTCCTTCCTGGAACGATCTTTGCCCAGATATTAACATGACTCACTCCTTCACATGTTTAAGGTTTTTACTCAAGAATTGTTTTCTCAGTGAGTTCTTCCTTGGCTATACTATCTGAAATTAACTGACCCAAACAGCTCAGCCCCTTTCTTGTATATTTTTTATCCTTTCCTTAACATGTGTCATTAACTAACTTAATAAATTTATTTATTCATTTTGCTTATTCTTTGCCTCTTCCTCTAGAATTTGCAAGAATACTTGGCACAAATTAGTTGCTTAATAAATATTTAAAATTATCTCAAGAGTAGCAAATACTCTCCTTAAGACTAAAACAATTATTATCAGGAAGAAGAAAGGACGTTCTACCTATACTGTAAAACAAAACAATGACATATACAAATTAAAAAGAAAGAAGATAAAATTCATTTTTAGATGGTCAAGACTCTATTTTTGAATAACTTACAACCTTTGTATAACCTACAAGAATAGAGTGAAAAAACTATAAAAATTGATGAAGGATTAGATAAACTGATATAGATATGGTGGGACTAAAAGTGGTGGTATCCTCCTTCCATTCTAAGAAATTATGATATAGTAGAATGATTAAGAAGAGCAAGTCAGGAATCAAACTACTAGGCTCAAATTGCAACAGACTTCTTATCAGCTACTTGAGCTTGGGAAAATCACTTAAACTTCTTGCCCCAATTCTCCTACCTGTGAGTGGGAATAATAACAATAGTGACCTCATTGAGTTGTAAAGAATAAAGTAATTGATACTTCTAAAACCTTTAGAACCATCCTCACACATAGCAAGCACATATAAGTGCTGGCTATTAGCATCACTGCTAACGCCACTCTACTGAATTGACAGAATCCTCAGGGAGTCATTTATTCCAACTCCCTACATCTAGTTTCAAACTTGGGCTTCATTTTCTTTTTATACTAGGTAGTGAAACTATGTTATGAACATTATGTCACAGTGGTAAATGGCACTATAAGTAAAGTCAGATCAAACTGGCAATTAAATTTTAAATGCTCTGTGAAACTAGATTTGTAACCAAAGAAAAATTTTTTTAACAGTCTGAATAGGATGGAAATTGGATGACGGACTATTATTTACCAGATTTCATAATATGTGCTTCAAAATTCTAAAAGCCACAAAATCCCTGATAAAATCAGGATTGCTGAAAGGTAGATCTTATTTGGAAATATATGTGTACTAGAAACTGCATAATCTACACCTCCTCTGTGGTTAACTTGCCTGCTGAGGTTTCTCTGTGAATCAGACACAAAATCTCTGGATTGGAAATGATTGAACCAATACACATTTTCCCCTTTGTGTGTGTTCCATTCCTACTTTTGAATAATTCCAAATTTAACTATGAGTACTGATACACTAAAAATTCCAGGTGGAATGTTCAAGCAATGTGAGGCAGGATAATTTGCTGAGTTCTTAATTTGTGTTTTATTTTTAGTGTATTTTCCCTCCCCACATTTCTACAGAGTGTGCTGGGTCTTTTCTGCCCCTTTATCTCAGGGAAAGCTGTGGTTACAGGGCTCAAAGCAATAATTGCCTGGCGATTCCTTTCTCAATTTTTGTGTTTTGAAAACTAGATTTCAAGGATGAGAGAACTATAATAGGATGAACAGGAGAATACTTTTGACAGGAACAGGATCAAAGAAAAATAAGGAAAAAGCTGAGATTCCCCACAACTAAGGGTGATGGAGGTCATTGGATTCTGAGAGTAGTGGGAACCCGCTACTCTTTGCTGTTCCTGGAAGCACCCCATGATGTGGCAGAATTTCAGCTGTGGGCTGCATTTGGGGAAGTTGAACCTACCACATGGAATTATGGACACTGAAAAGATTTCTCTGCCCACATTTGGGGAAAAAAAGCAACAGACATGATTAATTCAAGTTCCAATGAGGAGCCGCTTCGCCTTAGTTTGCCAGATTTTTGTGCAACTCCAAGAAGTTTATTGCTTTCAATAATCAAATGACTAAAATTGTATTTCCTATTAGCTCCAAGTCAGATCTAGTCGTGTATATGTGTGTGGGTACAAATGTATATATGACATTTCTTGCCAATCTGAATTTATAGAAAATGATGTATAACATTAAAATAATATATTATCGCATATGAGCAGAAGTAAGTGTATCCGTAATGCACACATACGCAAAATTTCAAATTTTTATCTCCATGAGTCCCAAGTTATTTCAAGACTGAATGAGAGCTTATATTGTGTCTTTGAATTAAAAGTAGTATATAGGTAATAATAAAAAGATGATTGCCTTCTATTTTCCACTTAAAGAAAATGATAGGCTTCTTTTCAAAGTCAGAAATTAAATTGCCAAACTGTGATTTTTTTTAAAAAAAGGTCAGAGTTGAAGCTAAATCATTCACTGCTTGTGTATTTTATGAACTATCTAGTGAAAGGAGTCATCGCACTAGAACTTAGCATCCCTTTATTAACCATACGGCAAGTAAAGACCAATTTTTACAAAAGATTGCGTGACAGCATTGTATAATAAGTGACAAATCATTATGATTTCCTTTGCTATTCATTGAAGGAATGCTAATCATAATTAATATGCATGTAATGTGTAATTTCATAGGAGTGAGGTCATAAATTAGCATTAATTACAAGACTTCCCATTCCTTCATCTATTGAAATGCTTAGCAATTCCCTTTAAGCTCCAGCTTTCAAAGAACCAATTGGCCATTCTCATACTCACAAGGTGAACACTGACAGAGCAAGCAAAATTTTTAACTCTGAAAACAGTCACTAAGTTGACTATGAAGGAATAAGAAAAAGACACTTGGTCTTCAGGAAGCAAACTCTCCTGTGCTGAAAGCATATCTCCAAGAGAACATGTCATTGGAAACCTTTATTTTAAGAATTATTTTCCACAGTTAACTATTTTGCTGCCCGATGTATTGCTGTAATGTAGAATGACAAGTATGAGTGTTATTGAAAATTATTATGTTTCCTTAGTGAGAAAGAGATGTAAGACCAAGTTCAAATACATAGGTAAACTTTACCTAAAGCAGTTCTATCACTTTATATTTTGGGAACAAGCCATATCACCATTTGCAGTGATTCAGATGCTTAAGTCAGATTATTTTCTACAATTGACAGCCTAAGAGCTATGCTTCAGATGGCTTCTTGTGTCCAAAGGCATGAGCTGCTGCATCAGTAACGCAGGAGCACT
The DNA here is from genome assembly GCF_000001405.40 of Homo sapiens. Lineage (NCBI taxonomy): Eukaryota > Metazoa > Chordata > Mammalia > Primates > Hominidae > Homo > Homo sapiens. The sequence continues at coordinate 83,361,692 of NC_000012.12, read as the reverse complement.
GTCATTGCATATTACAATGACTGTGATATGTCTTACTGACAGCATCACAGCCTTTTGATTTACATGGACTGGCCTTAAAATAAATGAGTGGAATATTCCCCAAGGCATATAATCAATTGCATCTGTTGCAATCCTGGTATTTCCTTTGCCCTGTTTATACCATTACTGCCTCTACTGAAGCAGTATTATCGTTAAGTGTTTCCATGAACCTATCCTGGCACCAGCTCATAGCACCACTGCTACACTACAAATGTTTCCAGCCTCTAAGGACCACAGCAGTATTAGTATTGCTCCAATACTGTATTGATTGTGATAAATGATATGAAAGAAAAAAATATATATTTTTTACTGCATTTCTTTGTATCTTTGTGTTTGATGAAACAACAGCAAACTGTTGTGGAGAAAAAGCATCTGCTAACAATGGTGAAGTAATCTAGCTATACTGCAAAATAATGCAAAAATAAATTGCTGGGTGTTTCTAAAAAGCATTCTCTGAAGTCCATAAAAATTGGAAGCATTTGACTTTGTTGTAGTAAGATTAGGAAATATCAGACAGAAAAATGTGCTTTGCATTTAAAACAACATATGGTGAGATCAGACAATATTTGTGCAACAAGATGTATCCCTAGAAAATGGCTGTATATATGCACATAAACACACACACACGCACGCACACACACACACACACACACACATAACTTGGTTTACTTTATTGATATGCCCTACTAATTTATACCTCCTGTATTCATCCATTTTCATACTGCTATAAAGAACTGCCTATGACTGGGTAATTTATAAAGGAAAGAGGTTTAATTGACTCACAGTTCAGCATGGCTGGGGAGGCCTCAGGAAACTTACAATCATGGTAGAAGATGAAGGAGAAGCAAGGCACCTTCTTCACAAGACGACAGGAAGGAGAAGTGCCAAGCGAAGGGGGAGGAGCCTCTTATAAAACAATCAGATCTTGTGAGAACTCACTTACTTGTGAGAACAGCATGGGGGATACTGTCCCCATGATCCAATTACCTTCACCTGGTCTCTCCCCTGGCATGTGGGGATTATGGGGATTATAATTCAAGATTTGGGTGGGGACACAAAACCTGACCATATCACCTCCTAGACCTAGTTTTGGTATCCAAACGAATGGCAAAGTTTAAGCTGAAAATGAGAGGAGTTAATGTCAATTAAAAAAATAAGCTATTATTTTGTAAAACTAAACAATGGAAATGAAACCTATAAACCTTCTAAGTTTCCCTGGATGTTTGTCTTAATTTAAAACTAGTATTGTATGCCTTATTATATGTTAGTATACATAGTGGTTCATGTAAAAGGATATGGTTTCACAAATAAAGATATTTCTAATAATTAAATGAGTCATTATTCCAACCCACATAACATTTTTCTAGTAAAAATGAAAGAAACCTTGTAATGAAGTAACTTCATTTTATACAATCTAAGAATCCTTTTTATTAAACTTTATATAGATATGAGGCTTTTCTTTTCATGTTGGAAAAGATATTAAAGTTTTATTGCTCTACAGATTTTTGAGTATATCCAGTAGCTTATGTTAAATTTAATATGCCCTTGCAAATCCTTACTAAGAAGTTAAGAAAATTGTGGTTATAATATTTCTAAAAATAAAGGAAAAACTTCAGTTCTAAATTAATGCCAAATTTTTAAACTCAGTTTGAATATCATGGATGTAACAGAATATTTTCTTAAATTACTCTTAGCAGTTAAGAGTTCTCTAAATCAATCTGATTAAATTGTCCGTTAGTATTGTCTTGTGTTAAACACATTCAAAAATGAACTTAATAGCCATAAAACTGTTCAAGCATTTAAAATTTAAAATATACAATTCAAGTGAATATGTTTTTTATTTTAAAAATAAACTTTAGTTTTTCATTTCTCCTTTAATCATCTCATTTCCTAATCATGAATGCAACCAAAAACTACCAAAATATAAGTACAAAATCATACATCTATATTAGTGGCAACTTAATAGATGCTTTGAAATAAAATATGCAAATATACACATAATACATTAGTGGTTATTTATGCTAAGAAAAAATCTCCGATTTATTAATGTCACCAGTTTCACCACTGTCACATGATTTCACCATTACGGCATGGCTGAAACTATCCTGCAACATTTTGTTATTAGTGAGCTTCAAATCCTCTCCAAAGGCATAACATGTTATGTATGGCAGAAATGGGCAAAAAGCAGTGAGGAGCACAGACAGCAAAACAGTAGTCCTAGCAATCTTATTAAATGACTAGCAAGCTTTAGTCAATGTCACTCGAAACCCTCCAATGGGCTCCTATATCCCTTAGAGTAAAAGCTAAAATCCTTACAGTGACCTACAACATCCTACATGATCTGACCCCGTTGTTTCTCTGACCTCACATCATATAATCTCCACATGCTTTCTCTACTCCAGTCCCACTGCAATCCTGGAAGTTCTAAGAACTCACCAAAGATGCTCCCACTTCAGGATTTTGCACGTGGGAAATCCTGGAACATTGTTGCTATAGCCCAAATAGCCACCTCCTTCAAGTATGCTGAAGAGATTTTCTTAGTGAGACCATCCATATCCACAAGTACCTATCCCACCTCCCAGCACTCCCTATCCTCCTCTTCTGTTTATTTCTCTCTCATGCATAATACACCTCTACTGCACTATATAATTTCCTTTGTTTTAATTTATTGCCTGACTCTTGCACTAGACTTTAAGCTCCTAAAAAATGGCAATTTTTCAGGGAAGGGTGGAGAAGTCTGCATTTTACTCTCTTGTATCCCCAGCACATTTGGCACAGAGAAAACACTCGAAAAGTATCTTATAGAATGTTGAATTGGGAAGATTGTGGAGTAAAAAATTAAATTTGAGATTCAAAAATACTTTTTCTTGTTCTTGTGAAGCGAATATCTTCTGAAGGTGCAGTTTGTCAATTATTCCTTTATATTCAGTTCCAAAATCACCAAATCTTGCAGACCAAGTTACTTTTATTTTTAAATGCCAAAAATACTCTATGACAAAAGCAGGACTGGGAAATTCTATGAGTCCAAGTTCTACCCTTTATTCAGTCAGTGACAGAAACTGAATCATACCTGACGGGCATCCCAGCTGCTAAGGAACATGTTAGCAAAATACTGACTTCTTAAAACTGCTGTATAAGGCCAGGGATTTTGTGATACACAAAAGGTTTGCTGTCCAAAAGATAACCTACATTCAGGAGAACTTCTGTTCAAGGTTACCGGATTATTTAGACATAAGAATCACTGAAATAAACCGCAGGTCAAAGGCCAAGAGTGTGTTATGGACACACTTTGCCAATGTAAAAGAGAAGAAAAAGTCCATTATATCTTTAGAACTAATTCTAAGGCTAGAAAAAATTCTGTTCATAGTGTCTTTGAGCTGAAAAGGATCTAAAAGATTGTCTTCCCTGATTCCATCCTTCTATAAATGTCCTGCACATAAGAGGTGATAAAAAAATATTTGTGGAATAAAATGAATAAAGTTAAAGGCAAGAGTTTATGTGACTTGCTTTAATTCAGACTAAAGGGCAAAGGAAGGAGTAGAACACAAATCTGGTTTATAGTCACAGCAAACTAAATAATACAAAGAAGTAAAAAGCTGAAATTAGAATGATAAGAATTAGTCAATTCTGAAGTAAATCTGCATTTTTTAAAAAAAGAGGAATTTTGACCAAGAAGAAAATAGACTATAACAGTGTTTCCCAGATTTACCTGATCATAAGAGTGGCATAATTTTTTAAATCAGATTTCCTAAAGCCCTATCATGGAACAAATAAATCAGAATCTGCAGGGGAACAACCTAAAAATCTGTTTTTCCAGTCTATACTCCAGGTGATTATAGTTAAGCCAGTTTGGGGAGCAGTGGACAATAATGATCAGGTAGTTGCATTTATTTTGGTCTCATCACCAATCAATGGTGATAATTAAAAGACCGTTTTTGCTCTCAGGTCTGTTATGATGAGTGAGGAACAAAAACTTACAAGATTTACTACAGTGTGTAGCAAATTTACTACAAAATTTACTACAATTCATATTGTCACTCTCCAATCTGTAAGACAAATGCTTTCTCATTTACACTTCATTATTTTATACTTGAACCACAGATCGATCTCTCTCTCTTTCTCTCTCTCTCTCTCTCTCTGAGTTTTCTGGGTTCAAAGAAACTTCTTAGAATCTATAGTTAGAAACAAAGTTTAATCTCATAAAAATCTAAACTATCTGTAGTTAAGCTTGAGAGTATTAGCAATTCACATTCATTTGCCAAAATTCAAATATGTTTAATATGTTTACTTTTTCAAATTTAGCTTACTTCCACTCAACAGATGCTCAATTATAGAGTTATGCTAACTTCATATTCAAGTTTTAAGTTCATGGAGTTTGTCTATCTTCTTTAAAAGAAGAAAAAAACAAAGACATTTAAAAATGAACTGTTTCTAAACATAGTTTTTTAAAAAGTACTGTCCTATAAACTATTTCTTATAATGACTATTTCAATATTTTTTCTTTTTATTTGAAACAATATTTTCAAAAGCATTATTGGTTTGCAGAATTGTCATGCTTGATCTTTATTTCTAGCTCCTTATCAACAAAATCTTCAGAAAAAAAGGTGAAGCAAAGTTTAAGGTAAAATTTTACACACATAGAATTTTCAAATCATTATCAATAACATCATAAGTTTTCAACACCACAGGTGAGAAATTAGAATAAATTTTTTCTTGAATTCAAGATGATCATAATTTAGAAGGAGAACATAACCTACTCAGAAAAAAATTAACTAAGAAAACTAATAATTATTTACAGAAAGGAAGGACTTCTAAAAAGCTCTTCATAGAAGCATGCCAGGATAGGCCTTTAGACAAGTGATCACAAACTTTAGGAAGCACAATAAATAGCAGGTTTTTTTTTTTTAAATGAATATTCCAGGATCTGAACTCCATAGATTCTGTTTGAATAAGTTGATAGTGTAGCTCAGTAATCTGCATTCGAAAAACACCTCAAGTAGCATTTGGACCACACTTTTGGAACTATAATTTAGGTTCTTCAACTCAAACATTGGAGAATTATATGGCGAACTTAAGGAAATGGTGGAGACCTTGGGATAAGTGCATATTCTCAGCTAGGTCCCTCAGTGCCACAAACACATCTCTCTGTCTTAAATGCCATTGCAAAGATAAATGGAAAATATAACTGCCCATGTTCCATTCTTGATGCTAATACTAACAAACTAACAATTAGGCTGGGCTGACACTTCCTTTCACTAGATTAGGAAAGACCATTTCAAATAAAGATCTCCAGAGAAACACTTTCCCTAGATCATCCAATTCTGACTCCCAATAAAATCAGAAACATTTTCTCCTAAAATGTTAATTTCAATATTAGATGTATTGTTTGTTAAAAAAATAATAATGGACCAAGTGAACACCATTATGTGCCTTCTGGGTCCTATTTGCTCACTTACAAAGATGCAACAAAAAAGAATACATTATGAGTAGTAATCAAATAAGTAGTTACTATAAGAAAAGTTTTAGAAAAATAAATCCCTCCAATAAGCTCCATTTCAGGTCCAGCTCATTTCTTCAGTCTAATTACTCTATACTTAGAAAACCAGTTAGAGCCATTTCCTTTCCTTAACATAGGTGTTTTACAAACATCAAGAGAATTGAAAACAAATACTGCAACTTAGCGTGCCTTTTCTTTTCACAATCGTGCCTCTCTGAAGAGGTTAAGCTTTGCCAGAACTTACTTAGGAGGCCCATAATGATTTTTCTTTTCCTTCCAATCATACTAAATAAAAACCAAAATTGGTAGTAAAAAACAAGGACTTCATCAAGCACATTAAATGTATTTCTACTTTTCCTGTCAAAATGTAGACAAGGTGAAGTTCAAGTGGTTGGAATGAGGATTCTGTACAAATTTGATTTGTCCTTTAAATTTTGTGAATACATGACTCAATCTAATGAAATATATAAATGCTACTGTTAAACATTAATATGGCTCTATTTTAGAATACACACAGAAGTTTAAGAATAAGAAAGCTTCTGTATTGAAATCTCTAGTTTTCCATTAAATAGGAAAAAAAGAGATTATAGGAAGAAATAGAGGATTTTTAATAGCCAGGGGATTATTTGTCTAAAATAGGCCCTATTTACAAAACCATGGTAAAGAGACAGATTCTAGTTTTAACTTTACTACTAACTAGCTGCATGACCTGGAATCTCACTTACCTTCTTTGAATCTTAAATTCCTTACCTTTAGTAGGAGTCTATTATACTCAGCAATCTCTAAATTCCTTAACTAGTTGAAGACTCTCATTCCAGATTAATCAGAGAAGGTTTTTTACAACTAGTTTTATTGAGCAGTTTATAAAAAGAAAAGCCTATTCTGGTAAACAAGCAGGAAAATGAAAGAATTTACAAGAGGCATTCAGAATCACTCAGGGTCTTATTTCCTAAGCCAAGTGACTGGAAATATGTTGATTTAATTTTGACAAAAATATACTCTTCAGTATCTAAAGGAAAAAAAATTTAACTGATTAAAGACAATTCAAAGAGCTTTAGCTGTCCTCTATAAATTAGACTTCAAACAGTTCTTATAAATTATTTTACTGATTTTAAGTATTATTATTCCAACATATGGATTAAATTGTGTAAGAGTATAAACAGGTCAAATATTAAGCCAGTAATAGCTAGAGAAAAAAATGATTTAGGATTTTACTTGTCCTCAGTTGTCTGCAATTGAATTATCTCTAAATGGGGAAAGGTTTTTCTGTTCCTTATATATAAAATACAAAACTAATTAAAATATCAGGTTTTTCTATCCATCTTCATTTATTATTTTTGAAATATTTCACTAAAAAATAGATGAAAATCAAGAAATGTCATGAATAATTGTACGACTGCTTTAAGGATCATTCTAATTATATAACTTTGGTTCAGCAGGGACTTCAGATTCCATGTAACCCACGTTCTTTAATTTACAGATCAAAAACAACAAAGCACATTCAGATAAAGGGACTTATCCAAAATCACTTTGGATAACTCACTAAGCATGTCAGCAAAGAAAAAGCTTTTGTATTATTCTGCAGTAAAATTAACTTTACTTGATTTTGTTCAATGTCCCTACTTTTCCTGTTACACATCGTCACTGTTTATTTAATTTGTATTCTGTTGTTTGACACATTATCAGATTCACCATGCAAATCTTAGAATATTAGCCTCAACCAAGAGCCAAATTTTGTCCTAAAACTTACGAACCAAAGATTTCCATTACTTTAACAATATCAGTAGAACCTTGATTAAAGTATGTGGAAATGGATTCAAAGGATGTTAGTCCAGGAAATAAACAACATAAATTTAGGTCAGGCCAAAATTATTCATACAGATACACTGATCAGAAATTCTGAATTGAAAGTGTTAGAGAGGGCGACTGGGCCTGCATCTAATATTTGCTCAATTAGCTGCATAAAACTTGAACTCAACTGTGGCCTAGGTTTAGTAATGAGGTTCCAGAACTTCTTCGATAAAACATAGAAGAAATAATTCAAAGATTTAGGAAGATAGGAGAGTTGACATGAATTTACCATTTTAGACCTATTCAGGCATCCCCGAGATGACTCAGAGCACTTTCTTTATCAAAGCATTGAGAAACTCATTGCGAAGGGAAGCACTAAAACCCCTGAAAACTGCAGTTAACTGTCCTCTATAAATTAGACCTTCATGGAGAGAAATGATGCTATTGAAATGGGCTCCCTGACTGTGAGAAGTACAGTCAAATCCCAGAATGACAACAGCAGCTCTTAACCACCAGAGCAAGTCAAGTGCTGTTACTATAATATAATCCAGACAATAATTAATGTGGTGTTATGACAAAGAATATGACTGCATTTATTGATGTTTGCTGTCAGCTTTTAAGCCCATCTGTCCCTCTTTCCTTTCTGCCCCCTACCTGGGCAAACTGATAAGACAGACTGGGTGCTCCTGCCTTTGGCACCAGAGGGAATTCAAATCACATAAGCGCTGGTTAACCTGGACATGCTTTTGCCTGCCCTGGTCTCCCTAGTCCCTTGTGTGAGCAATACCCTTTATCTCAAATTATTTTGGTATGTGAAGCATCATTGCATTCAACATAATACCTTTCAATGGGAGAGAAGACATTTCACCCTTATGTACTGATCACAAACTAGTTATGATCTGCACTGATCTTTGGTGATGGCTAAATCAATATGGCATCTGTGTGAGAGAAACCTAGAGGGGACCCCGACGATCTCTATCTCTGATTTCCATGCCTTAGTTTTATTCCTTCCCCTTGAGTGCAGGTAAGCCCTTGCTTCTAACCAATAGAATATGGCAAAGGTAATGGATGTCTCTATCGTTACTATATATTATATGGCAAATGTTAGGAGAAGTCACTCTCACAATTACTACCAACACATACACACACACACATACACACACACACTTGCTAGAAGAGAGTCTTGCTAGAAGACAGGCTAGATAATCTCTTTGAGGTCTTGAAATATATAATCATGTTAGAGAACTCTGCATGTCAAGAAACTGCAGGAGGCATTTAGGAACGAACCTCAACCTCCAGCCAATAGCCTGAAAAACACTCTGAGGCCCTCAGCTATAGAGGCACAAGGAAATTAATTCTGCTAACAACTTGAATGAGTTTGGAAGTTAATTCTGCCCCAGTTGAGCCTCTAGATAGAACACAGCCTGGCTGATACCTTTATGGCAGCCTGGCAAAGCCCTGAGCAGCACATCCAACTTAACAGTGCCCCATCTCCCAACCCATAGAGACTGTAAGATAGTAAGTCTGTGTCCTCTGACATGGATGATTGTGGCATTAGTAACTATTATGCAATAATACTTACTAATATAGGATTTCTAAGACTGGGATAAATGAGTAGCTTTAAAAAACAGAAAAAGAAAGATCTGTCTGATCCAAACAGACAAAAAGTCTGAGTTTAAGAAAATGAGGTTTATTTGATTCCACATCATCTGGAATCATAACCCTTTATCCAAATCTTATTTCTGTGCCATTGCCATTGTACATTGCATTTGAATGAATGTGGTTCCAGCTACACCAGAAAGAGAATTATGTAATTCTACCACAAATGACCCTGTATTCACTGGTTAGACTAACAGGTTATATGTATCAGGTAACAACTGCCATTTTGAAACTAAGTTTTCTTCATAGTAAGTTAAATAATTCTAAAAAGTCACCCCATAATTTTTCTCCAAAACCAGAGTGCATGGCTGGAAAGGACTTGTTCAGCATTTGGAAAACTTGCTATATTTACCCTCTGATCCATGGAGTCAGAGCTCTCGTGATCAGAAAACCAAAAATATCGTATGTAAATCCATACAAGTGCCTCTTTCTATCAAAATATTAAAATAAAATAGGTATAGAAAATTCTCAATGAAATCGAATATACCGCCACTATTAATAACTTCAAAGATGCAGAAGTAGTGATTTCTATCATATCCTTAACTCACTTGTTTGGCCTGACAGAATATGGGTGGATCTTTGAGAATTACAGTCAAATTTTACATATTTAACCATTCAGTGACTCCAATTTCAGCTGCCACTATTCCAGGTATAGTCTCTTTAAACAAAACAGCCCCTGGAACCTGGCATGCAGCTACATAACAGAAACAACTTTTTTCCTTCTCAACAAACATAGAACATACCAGAATCAGTTTATTTTCACCTGACAAGAAAAATAGGTTGTTTCCACAGTCTTTCCTCAGGATTACATCAACTCTATTCAATGACAACATAATGTTATCATCAGAAACCATTATTATCTTACTGATCAGCTACATTGATAACATCATGCTGATGGATCTAATAATCAGAAAGTACCCTAGATACTACGGCAAAACAGATATATTCCAGTCTTGGCACAAAAGAAAGAAAAACAAAGGAGGGAATGGAGGGAGGGAGAAAGGGAAGAGAAAACAAAAGAAGAAAACAAAACTCACAGAAGACAAAGCATTTTTTTCCTCATTGGAATAGATACATTCTAGGTATGTTGTTTAGTCTACCTGCCATTCTCTTACCACCATCAACAACTGAGGGCTTAATGAATGCCTTATTCATCTTCATGGTATTTAACAAAATATTGTATCTGAATATGGGGCTTAAATAGCATAAATCTGCCAATAGGCTGTTGCCCTGAAGATTCATGGTGTTAGCATATACCTTAACACCCCAAAGTAGCTCAACTTCAAGGTCTTATTGACAATTCAGTTACACCTGAGAGGTAGTACCTTGTGTGGTTGGTGCTTCCCTACATGCTGTAATTTGCTTTGAACTAAATATCAATTTATGGTGGGGTTACTGATATAGCAAGGAAGCATGGAACTTGGAATCAAGAGGTAGAGATGATGAGAGTACTACCTGTTACTATTGCACCCAATAAGCCCAGCAAACAATTTTATTTCCTGACCACAGAACTCCAGGTTGGCTAGTTTTGAGGTTTTAGAAATCTGATTACCTCCTGGGGACAGAGCAATTATTCTGCTGAACTGGAATTTCAGACAGCCCTATTTTGGATACTCATGCCATCAAAGCAGCAATCAAATAAAGGAGATGACTATAGTGCCTGGTGGATTAGATTCTGAATATCATATAGGAAAAATATTACTTCCACAAAAGAAGGGGTGGGGAAAGGGCAGTTTACATCTGAAGCCACCTGAGTTTACATCCAGTATCATAGGTTAACAGGAGGCTACTGAAATCCAACTCAAAAAGGGCTCTGACCTCTGAGGAATGCAGACATGTGTGCTCACACCAGAAGAAAAACCTAAAGAAACAAAGGGATTGCTAATGATAAATGACACATGGAATGAGTAGTGAGGAAAGAAAGATAGAACATAACTAGGGTCTCATGACCCTAAAAATGAGGATGGAAGTAACTACCTATATTTTCATTCTTCCATATACACATGTGTTGAAACTAATACATAACTAAATGTTGATGGTTATTAACTTAGTAATTTACTACTTCTACCAAAGATATCTAGTTAGGACAATAAATAAACTACTGGAATAATGAACATCGCCCACCTAGAGATAGATACAGTGACTGATGGGCTATGTGCAGGAAAGGGTAAGTGCATTTTTCTTCCTATAACAGAAAGCTACATTGTGTTAATCAGAAGCATGTGATTGTTGTTTTTGCCAGTTAAAAGACTTAGACTAGGTAAAGGGGTAGATATGGGTAAATATTGAGAAATCAAAGAACTGTGCTGGATCTTATGTCCATTGGTCAATGGTGTTTACCCAGAACATTTTACACCTCCCTCCACACAACTTCTATATTGCAGAAATCTGGCATTTTCACCTCTACTTGCAGCCTAGGATTTGTATGTAAATTTGTTTCTGCCAAGTAGAAGTACTCAGGGGACATTTGGAAAGCAGAAGTAAGGCAGTGGACCTGCTGCTGCTGAATCTGTGGAAATTAAGTTAGCAGAGACAAGAGTATTAAGAGGTGGTTTATGATGGTACGGCAATAACAATTTCCTGATCCCTGTATTACAGACATTGCAACGTGTTCTTGAAATCAATAGCACCAGTGTTAGCCTCCCGAATCCAGCTCCTCTAGGACTTCCAACAATTTTGTAAATACAGCATTACTTAAGCACAGTGTTTGTAAGCACATTATTACAGTCTTTTTTGCTTAAAATATCTAGATTGTTTCAAGCTTAAGAAGATAACAAATTGTTCTTAACCTGATAAATAAAGCCAATCAAAATAATAACTTCAAGAAACATAATGGTAAAACATTGTAAACTCCCTTGAGATTGGGAATCAGTAAAGATGCCAACCACCACCAATTCTATTCAATATGACACTAAAATTCCTCGCTAACTCAATAAGACAATAAAAAGACATGAAAAGCATATGCATCAGAAAGGAAGAAATAAACTGTCATTATTCACAGATGATATAAATTTTAACTACTATATATCGAAAGAATCTACAAAACAAATAAGTGAATGTAGCAAGGTCATTGTATAATAGGCCAATATATAATAATAAATTGTTTTTCTATATAAATAAGCAAATAGAAAATAAAATGTTTTAATTGATACTTATTTACAATATTATCAAATACCTAGTAAAGAACATATAGTAAAATACGTGCAAAACTTTGAAAGGAATTAAAGAAGTTTTAAATAGAACCACCATTGGGTTTTCTCTCATTCATATATTATCTTATAGATAACAAGATATCTATAAATTCCTTGATAATAAGAGCTGTCATTCAAGCTTGTATTCCCTCAGGATTTTGTACCATGTTTGGCATATATTAGGTGCTCAAACAGGTGAATCACATTTAAACCTACATAATTTTATATTATTTTAACCATTATTTCCCAATCCCTACAGAATGTGTTACTTATATTAAAATCTGACAGCTCCCATCTCTTCAAAGTTTGACAATGGAAAGAATTACATCACAGATAAAAACATGAAGCCATCCAAGGGGAAGGGAAAATAAGTGTTGTAAGAGAAAGGCAATCCAGTGCACCTGACACAGAAAGTATAAGTTAGAAGTAAAAAGGACTAGACTCTCCAAATCTTAAATTTGAATTTCTCATTGCCTATAAAAAATGAATTGCACTTTAAAAAACATGTTTTAGAGGTTTTATGCAAATTACATATCTGTTTCCTAATTATTTTGACTACTATCTTTGAGTAAATACAGTAGGTTAAACTCCTATAATAATGTAATGATAATTATTATTATTATTATTATTATAACTCCTTGAATTGTTTTTCATCTTAAATTCACTTCCAATAAGATTGTGAGCTGAACTGACTGACAACTTAAGTACTGAGTTATTTAGATATTTGGAACCACAAGTTTCAGATATTCTGTTGCACTCAATCGTACCTATTGGGACAATGTCATGAGAACATGTGTTAATTTTCTAAAAGTTTTAACTATTGCAGCTGCTTAGGAATTTAAGAGAAGAGCTGTAGTGGTCCACTTGGACATGGACCACTATCCCCACCCGCCATTTCTTCTAATAGCCATAAGGTCTAGAGTAAACAACATCTGACAAAAATAATACTGTTAGCACATCTGTGTTAGCACATACCCTGTGTCACATGTGTGTAGTGGGAGGAGGCTGTGTCCCCACTGGGGCTGTTAGTCCATGTCTCTGTCTTCATTATTCTTTGTGCTTGTGGTGTCCAGAAAATAGTAAAATCTCAATAAATTATTGGTGAATGAATGGATGAATGAAGAATGAATGCTAGATCTTCTTTGGTATAAAATAAATGACAAAGGAAATAAAATGTAATATAATTAATATTTCATCCAGCATATTAGTGTGTGGAGCCATGCATTTTATACCATTGGAAAATTTTAAAAACAGCAAATAAAAAAGTTTCAAATTTAAACTTAGCTCATGACTTCACATTTCTGCCTAGTTTTAGAAAATTTAATCGTACATGTGCAAAACACTCAGTGTCATTTGGTTTAAAACTCAGTTTCTCTAGATTAATTATTAGTCAATTTAGGTTTATCTTACCCCTTCTTGCCATATCCCCAGGTGGCATCCAGACTTGGGAAAGGCCTATAAATAATTTCATGGCATCAGAAGGAAAATGTGCATTGTGGAAATAAAGACACCCAAACAGGAACAAGCAAAGGGTATTTATTCAGAGCTTGCTTGCTATAGCAAAGGAGACAGCCACCATTGCTTATGTTTGGCAGAAATTCAAAGGCAGGCAGAAGAGTGGGAAAGCTTTATAGTAGAAAAAAAAGGGGAAGGCTTTAAGCATGCCCTGATTAGATATTTTTGGCATGGGGAAGCTGGAGGTAGGCTAACTAGAAGCAGGACATCCTATGTGATTGATTAGCAGAGCACTTTCAGCTTTATCCTAGGTTGGAAGTGGGGAAAGAAACAACGCAAAAAATAGAGAAGTTTGCAGTTGTTGATCAAAATCCTAACTTTTTGGGGCTGATTGCTATAGAGGTTGTGGTTGGCTTCACAGACTGGCTGCTACAAAGGTTGTGGGTCAGATTTCTATTTTTATATATAGTCTGGCTATTGTCCATTTGTATATGGAATATCTCTACATTTAACCCAAGGTGGTTTTCTGCCATTCCAGGCCTCTGCTGAGTTGTTGTTTGTCCTCAAGTGTGTTGGTCTGCATCATTTGACCCAGCTAAAAATATTTATGTTCACTTGTAGTTCCATAACCTCCAAACACATTGAAGGGTCTCTTCCAGGCATCTGTCTCTCTTAGCCATTTCTGCCCCCTTCCTAGGGCATGTAATGAGATATGGAGTGGCCTCTGAAATGCTGCTGTCAGACATGCCAGACTCCGGCCTTCTCAACAAGGCTGTGACCAGGTTACACCAAGGCTAGCTAGACAACAGTCCTGTGTACTAAAGAACTTGTCTCTCCTGACTTCTCTGGCATTTCCATTGAACTTTGTGTCACCCTACATTCTCTCAAGAATTTAGCATAGAAAATGGGACACTAGATCTTTTTTAAGAACTCATGCTCCAATTACTTTTCCTTTCATTCTTACATGCTTTTTAATGGAAAGTAGAAGTTATACAAATTTTTTTCCCATTCTTAGGTTTATAGAGTATAATCTAAGCTCTGTGTTCTCTAGAATTTGATGCTAAAAGTTAAAACAAAGAGTTTGGAATTAAAACCAGACTAACAGGCATATTTTTTCCCAACAAATAATGGCATCCCAATGCCATGGCTGTCAGTGTAAGGCCTTTTCTAGAGCTTTCCAGTAATCTTCTTAAGGGGTCAAAAGTCAAAACCGTAATTATTTGTTGGCTCTCTAGTGTTTCTGTCTAAAGGCAGTGACAGAAAGCCATCATTACTACTCAAATGGCATTGGGGAGAGGAGGCTTGTGAGTAGACTGTTGCCTGAGGAAGGGAAAAGAAGTTAGTAAAAATAATTGTAAAAGTATTATATTAAAATCTTTCTCCACTCTCATTTTAAAGAACCATACATTTATATACTTTCATATATGTTGATTAATTTGATTCTCAAACAGTCCTGCATAGAATTATAGCAATGTTTTGTGCTAATAAAGGGACAGGTCCAATGTCCTGACCAAAGGTCAAACAAGTTTGAAATACAAAAGTTAAAAATTAAAGTATCAGGAAAAGCACTCCTCCTTTAACAAACTTAGTATATGTAAAAGGAGTACACAGTAATGAAATTGGCTTCTATTACAACCATTTCTTAATAATGGGTTTACACAGATTTTTTTCATTAAACATTCAGTATTCCTTGCCTAATTCTGAAGCAAGCACACTTTCCAGGATAAAGTATAATCTGAAAGGGAAATGAATTCTAATCATGAGGATGTAGTGCTAAAAATAATTGAACTGGCCTTGTCCTGTTTTTCAAAACTGGCTGCAAATGGATATTTGATATTTATAATTTATAGTATTTAATTTAGTCTTCAAAATGTTCTCAGCCACTTAACTATGAACAAGGATTCAGCACTGTTCAAGACAATTCTTTTCTAAATTTATGTTTCTCAGTACCTTTCAAATAGTGAGAAGAGAAAGAGATGCAACAAAAGTTTCATAATTTTTTTAGTTTGTCATTTTTAATTTTTGTGGGTACATAGTAGGTGTATATATTTATGGAATATGAGATGTTTTGAAATAGGAATGCAATGCATAATAATCACATCATGGAAAATAGGGTCTCTATTTCCTCAAGAATTTATCCTTTGTGTTATAAATAATCTAATTATACTCTTTTAGTTATTTTAAAATATACTATTAAATTAATATTGACTATAGTCACCTTGTTGTGCTGTCAAATACTAGGCCTTATTCATTCATTGTAACTAGTTTTTGTAGCCATTAACAATCTCACTCTTTCTCCTCAGCACCACCACCACAAACTACCCTTCTCAGCCTTCTACTGTCCATGTTCATGAGTTCAATTGTTTTGATTTTTAGAACCCACAAATAAGTGAGATCATGCGATGTGTGTCTTTCTGTGTGTGGCTTATCTGACTAAACATAGAGACCTCCGGTTCTATCCATATTGTTGCAAATGACTGAATCTCACATTTTTTTATAGCTGAATAGTACTCCATTCCATATATGTAACACATTTTCTTAATTCATTAATCTACTGATGCACACTTCAGTTGCTTCCAAACCCTAGCTATTATGAATAGTGCTGCAACTAATATGGGAGTGCGGATGTCTCTTTGATATACTGATTTCCTTTATTGTGGGTATAGGATCATCTGGTACCTCTGTTTTTAGTTTTTGAGGAACCTCCAAACTGTTCACCATGGTGGTTGTACTAATTTACATTTCCACAACAGTAAACAAGAGCTCTATTTTCTCCACATTCTTGCAAGCATTTGCTACTACGTGTTTTGGATAAAAGCCATTTTAACTGTGGTGAGATGATATCTCACTGTAGTTTTGATTTGCATTTCTCTGATAATCCGTGATGTTGAGCACCTTTTCATAAGTCTGTTTGCCATTTGTATGTCTTCTTTTGAGAAATGTCTATTCAAGCTTTTTGCTCATTTTAAAATCAGATTATTAGATATTTTTCCTATAGAGTTGAGTTCCTTATATATTCTGGTTTTTAATACCTTGTCAGATAAGTTGTTTGCAAATGCTTCCTCTTATTCTGTGGGTTGTCTCTTCACTTGGATGGTTTTTTCCTTTTCTGTGCAGAAGCTTTTTAACTTGATGTGATCCCATTTGTGCATGTTTGCTTTGGTTGCCTGTGTTCGTGGGGTATTCTTCAAGAAATCTTTGCCTAGACAGATGTTCTGGAGAGTTTCTGCAATGCTTTCTTGTAGTAGTTTCATAATTTGAGGTTTTAGATTTTAGATTTAGTTCTTTAATCCATTTTGATTTGATTTTTGTATATGGTGAGAGATAGAGGTCTAGTTTCATTCTTCTGCATATGGATATCCAGTTTACCCAGCACCATTTGTTAAAGAGACTGTTTTTTCTCCAGTGTATGTTCTTGGCACCTTTGTCAAAAATGAGCTCACAGTAGGTGTGTGGATTTGCTTCTGGGTTCTCTATTCTGTTCCATTGGTCTATGTGTCTGTTTTTATGCCAGTAGCATGCTGTTTGGATTACTATAACTCTGTGCTATAATTTGAAGTCTGGTAATGTGATTCTTCCTATATTAGATTGTTCTTGCATTACTATAGAGAAATACCTGAGACTGGGTAATTTATAAAGAAAAGAAGTTTAATTTGCTCATGATTCCACAGGCTCTATAAAAAGCATGATGCTGGTATATGCTCGGCTTCTTGGGAGGCCTCAGGAAACTAACAATCATGATGGAAGGTCACTCTTACATGGAAGGAGCAGAAGCAAGAGAGATCACACTTTTAAACAACCAAATCTTGCAAGAACTCAATGACTATCAAAAGAACAGCACCAAGCAGATGATGCTAAATCATTCATGTAAAACAACTCCATGATCCAATCACCTACCACCAGCTCTCACTTCCAACATTGGGGATTACACTTCAACATGAGATTTGTGCAGAGACACAAATCCAAACCATATAATTCTGCCCCTGCCCACCCCCAAATCTCATGTCATTCTCATATTTCAAAATACAATCATGCTTTCCCAATAATCCCCAAAGTCTTAACTCATTCCAGCATTAACTCAAAAGTCCAAAGTCCAAAGTTTCATCTGAGACAAAGCTAGTCCCTTCTGCCTATGAGCCTGCAAAATCAAAAACAAGTTAGTTACTTTCAAGATACAATGAGTATATAGGCATTGGGTAAGTACTCCCATTTCAAAAGAAAGAAGTTGGCCAAAAGAAAGGGGCAACAAGATCCATGCAAATCTGAAACCAAGCAGAAAGTCATTAAATCCTAAAGCTCCAAAATAATCTCCTTTGACTCCATGTTCCACATCCAGAGCGCACTAATGTGAAGGGTAAACTCCCAAGTCCTTGTGCATCTCTATCTCTGTGGGTTTGCAGGGTTCAGTCCCCATAGCTTCTCTCACAGGCTGGTGTTGAGTGCCTGTGGCTTTTCCAGGCATAGAGTGCAAGTTGTCAGTGGATCTACCATTCCAGTGTCTGCAGGAAAGTGGACTTCTTCTCATAGCCATACTAGGTAGTAAAACAGTGGGGACTCAGTGTGGGGGCTCATCCTCACATTTCCCCCTCTGCACTGCCCTAATAGTGGTTCTCCATGAGGGTTCTTCCCTTGCAGCAGGCTTCTGCTTGGACATCCATTCTTTTCCATACATGTGGAAGTCACCAAGGATTATGGCTTGAACCCTCTGAAGCAGCAACCTCAACTGTATCTGGACCCCTCTGAGCCACAGCTATAAGTGGGGCTACTGAGATGCAGGAAACTGTGTCCCGAGGCTGTACAGGGCAGAGGGGCCCTGGGCCTCATCCATGAAATTATTCAGTCCTCCTAGACCTTTGGGCCTGTGATGGGAGGGGCTGCCCCCAAAGGTCTCTGAAATTCCTTCAAGGACTTCTCCTTATTGCCTTGGATTTTTGAACTTGACTCATTTTTTACTTATGCAACTTTCTACAGCCTGCTTGAATTCCTGCCCTGAAAATGGGCTTTCCTTTTCCACCATGTGGCCATGCTGCAAATTTTCCAAATTTTACACTCTTCTTTTCTTTTAAAAAATGTAAGTTCCAACAACTCATAAAAGCATAGGTTGCTAGAATCAGCCAGTCTACATCTTGAATGCTTTACTGCTTAGAAATTTCTTCTGCTAGATGCCCTACATTATCATTCTCAAGTTCAAACTTCCACATATCCCTAGGGCAGGGGCACAGTGCAGCTAAGTTCTTTGTTAAGGCATAACAAAAGTGACCTTTGCTCCAGTTCCCAATAAGTTCCTCATTTCTATCTGAGAACCCGGCCTTAGCCTGGACTTCATTGCCCATACCACTATCAGCATTTTGGTCACAACTATTCAACCAGTCTCTAGGAAATTCCTGAAATCTTCCTTTCCAATTTGGATGCCCTTCACTTCTTTATCTAGTCTGATTCCTCTAGCTATGACTTTCAGCACTATATTGAATAATGGTGGTAACAGTGGGCATTCTTTTCATGTTCCAGGTCTTAGAGAATAGGCTTTCAGTTTTTCTACATTCAGTACGACACTAGTTGTAGGTCTGTCATATATGCCTTTTATTATGTTGAAGTGTGCTCTTTCTATAACTAATTTTTGTAGGGTTTTTATCATAAAGGAATGTTGAATTTTGTCAAACGCTTTTACAGCATCAATAGAAATTATCATATGGTTTTTGTCTTTCTATTCATATGATGTATCACATTAATTGGTTTGCATATGTTGAACCAAACTTGCATCACTGGAATAAATCCCACTTGGTCACAATTAATTATCTTTTTAATGTATTGTTGAATTCAGTTTGCTAGTATTTTGTTGAGGATTTTTGCATCAATGTTCATCAGAAATACTGGCCTACAGTATTTTTTTTTTTTTTTTTTTTTTGATGTCTTTGTCTGGTTTTGGTATCAGGGTAGTTCTGGTCTTGTAGAATGAGTTTGCAAGTATTCCCTCCTCTTCAATTTTTCAGAAAAGTTTGAGTGGGATAGGTATTAGTTCTTTAAATGCTTGGTAGAATTCATCAGTGAAGCCATTGGGTCCCCAGCTTTTCTTTACTGGGAGATTTTTATTAAAGCTTCAGTCTTGTTATCTGTTATTGGTCTATTCAGGTTTTGAATTTCTTCCTTGTTCAATTTTGGTAAGATGTATGTATCTAGGAATTTGTCCATTTCTTTTAGATTTTTCATTATATTGGCGTATAGTTGCTCGTAGTAGCTAATGATGAACCTCTGAATTTCTATGGTATCACTTGTAATGTCTCCTTTTTCATCTCTGATTTTATTTATTGGATCTTGGCTCTTTTTTAGTCTGGCTAAAGGTTTATTTTGTTTAACTTATTTAAAAAACTTTTTCTTTCATTGATCTTTTGTATTTTTTTCTTCATTTCATTTTCATTTATTTCTGTTCTGATCTTTATTATTTATTTTCTTCTGCTAATGTTGGGTTTGGTTTGCTCTAGTTTTTTTAAGATGTTGTTTTTAGGATTCTTTCTTTATCTTTTACCTTTGCAAGTTTGATCATTAAATGCCTGAGGTAGTCTTTTTTGGGTTAAATCTGCTTAGTGTTCTATAACCTTCTTGTACTTAGATATTGACTTATTTCTCTAGGTTTGGGACGTTCTTTGTTTCTACCCCGGTCTCTTTCTCTACCTCCTATTTAAGGCCAATAACTCTTAGATTTGCCATTTGAGGCTATTTTCTAGATCCTATAGGTGTGCTTCATTGTTTCTTATTCTTTTTTCTTTTATCTTCCTGACTGTGTATTTTCAAATAGCCTATCTTCTGCTCGATCAATTCTGCTATTAAAAGACTCTGAAGATTCTTCAGCATATCAGTTGCATTTTTCAGCTCCATTTTTCAGCATGTCGATGGCATTTTTCAGCATTTCTCCTTGTTTCCTCTTAATTATTTCAGTCTCTTTGTTAAATTTATCTGATAGAATTCTGAATTCCTTCCCTGTGTTACCTTGAATTTCTTTGAGTTTCCTCAAAACAGCTATTTTGAGTTCTCTGTCTGAAAGATCACATATCTCTGTTTCTCCAGGATTGGTCCCTGGTGACTTATTTAATTCATTTGGTGAGGCCATGTTTTTCTTGATCATCTTGATACTTGTATATGTTTGTCTGTATCTGAGCGTTGAAGAGTTAGGTATTTATTGTAGTCTTTGCAGTCTGGGCTTGTTTGTACCCATCCCCCTTGGAAAGGCTTCCAAGATATTTGAAAGGACTTGGGTCCTTCATACAGCTTATGATCTAAGCTGTAATTTCTTTAGAGGGGATCCTAAGCTCAGTAATGCTGTAGTTCTTGCAGACTCATAGGGGCACTGCCTTCATGGTCTTGGTTGGACAAGAACTGGAAGAATTATATGGATTACCAGGCATAGATTCTTGTTCTCTTGCCTTACTGTCTTCCAAACAAATAGAATCTCTCTTTCTGTTCTGAGCCATTTGGAGCCTGTGGGTATACTGACAGAAGCTCCCTTCTCACCACCTTACATAGGATTGCACTGGATCAGACCTGAAGCCAGCACAGCACTAGGTCTCACCCAAGGCCTTCTCTAACCATTTCCTGGCTAGCACCTCTGTTTACTCATAGCCCTGAGGACCTATAATCACCAGGTGACAAAGTCAGCAAGATGTATGTCCTTCTCTTCAGGGAAGTGAGTTCCCCGCAGCCCCTGGCAGGTCCAGAGGTGCCTTCTGGAACCAAAGGACTAGAGTTAAAAACCTGAGAAGTTGGCCAGATGCGGAGGCTCACGCCTGTAATCCCAGCACTTTGGGAGGCCAAGGCGGGTAGATCACAAGGTCAAGAGATTGAGACCATCCTGGCCAACATGGTGAAACCCAGTCTCTACTAAAAACACAAAAATTATCTGGGTGTGGTGGTGCGCACCTGTAGTCCCAGTTACTCAGGAGGCTAAGGCAGGAGAATCACTTGAACCTGAGCTGAGATTGCACCACCGCACTCCAGCCTGGCAACAGAGTGAGACTCTGTAAAGAAAAAAAAAAAAGAAACCTTAGAAAACCCTATTGTACTGCAGCTGAGCTGGCACTCAAATCACACGATTCAGTCCTTTCCAACCTTCCCTCCACTTACCAAAGGCAGAGGAGCCTCACCCCATGGCCACTGCCACCTCAGGATCATGGAGAATACTGCCAGACTACCACCAATGTTCCCTTATGGTCCAAGGCCTTCTTCAATCTGCTTGTGGTGAATGCTGCCTGGCATGGGACTCACCCTTCAGGGGAGTGGTCTCTTTTCGGTCCAGGGCAGGTCCAGAAATGCCATCCAAGAGTCAAGTCCTGGAACTGGGGACCCCAAGAGGCCACCTGGTGCTCTACCCTGCTGTGCCTGAGCTGGTACCTAAGGTGCAAGACAAAGTCCCCTTTACTTTTCCCTCTGCTTTTCTCAAGCAGAAGGGGCCTCTCACCATAGCCACCACAGCTTGGAATGTGCTGAGTTTTACCTGAAGCCAGCCTTCAGTGTCTCACTCAAAGCCCTCAACATAGTACCTGGCTATGGCTGCTGGTTATTCAGGACCCAAGGGCTCATCACTTAGCAGGTGCTTAATTCTGCCAGGACAAGATCCTTCCTTTCAAGGCATTGGGTTCCCTTCTGGCCCAGGGTATGTCTAGAATTGTCATCTGGCAGCTAGGGCCAGGATATGGACCCTCACAACTCTGGCCAGTGCCCTATCCTGCTGTGGGTGAGCTGGCCTGCAAGATGCAAGGCAAAGTCTTCATCACTCTTCCCTTTCCTCTCTAATGCAGAAGGAAAGCGTCTCTTTTGAATCCACAAGCTGTGCAGCCCACTGTTAAGGGAGAAGTGATGCCAGGACTCCCTTAGCCATCTCACTTGGTATCTGAGTAGGTTGCCTGCCTCCCCACCAGCTCCACTACCAGTCCACTAGCTCTGGGCCCGGTTCAGCACTAGGATTTGTCTAGGTGTTATAGTCCTTGTGGCCCTGACTGCCTTTCAAGTTTATTTGGAGCCACTGAGCATTTTAGCCCACCACGGCGAGGCTTGTGGAAACTCAAGTTCTGACTGCTTGGTTCGCTGATTCCCTCTGGTAAGAGCTGGTTTGAATATTCCTCTGGTGGGTGGACATTGGCTAAGTTTGATCAGGTTTAGCTTTCTACTATAACAAGGACAGCACTGAGTTCCATACCTCACAATTGCTGGCTCTCCCTCTCCCCAGAGTACAGAATTGCTCTCAGCACCACACCACTGCCACTGGGGGATGGGGGAAGTGTGTCATTGGCAATTCAAGACATTTTCCTACCTCTTCAGTGCCTCTTTCAGGGATATGAAGTTAAAACCAAGTGCTGTGAGTGCTCACCTGATTTTTGGTTCTTAGGTAGGTGGTTTTTTTGTGTAGACAGTTGAATTGGTGTCTTTGCCCAGGAGATGATTGATAGAGCTTTCTATTCTACTGTTTTTCTCCATTCCCCAATCTTTAGTTTCAATCCAGAATTTTATTCTTATTTTAAGGTTCTCTTCTTAAAAATCTTTACTCCCGTTTATAGTACTCATTAAATTAAATTAAAAGTATAAATTAAATAAAAAATTATATAACCCCTTTTCTTCTATTCATAGATTTTTAAAATAATATTTAATGCCAAGAGAAGAAAGTGAGACAGAAACTATTATAAACTGCTACCAAAAGCGTAAATTTGTATGAATGACCTGCTGAGATTTTTTTTGTATTTCAGTAAAAATTGTATCTTTTGTAGTACATTTTTCTGAGTTATCACATTCTAATCCTGTTTGTTGTCTTGAAGCAAAAAAACAGTTTTTTAAAAAAGTGTAGGTAACTGATAGATATACAAGTGCTATCCTGCCTGCTAGTGATTTTAATTGGCTTCTTCACCACCACTGCACCATGAAAAACCAGTCTTGTCTCCATGTGCTGTTCTCAGTATTCTATTACTCCATATGAATTTGTCCTATTTTGACTTTTCATTTGAATTGGTTATAACATTTTCCTGATTCCCTAATATCTTATAAGTAAAATAAATTCTTTAATAGGTATTCATTTTTTATCTGCATTAAGAGCTATGATTTTACCTTTTCTAAAAATTATCTCAACAAACCTTTCTGAAAAATTATATGACAGTAGTTACCAATAGCTGTAAAAATGTTCAAGTCTTGTGTTCAAATAATTTCACCCCTAGGAATTTGTCCTAAAGATATAGTAAGATTTATATTTACAATGATATTCATTTCACCATTATATACAATGACAAAAATGTTTAGATATGTTTAAAGTTGTTTAAGTTATTGAATAAAGTATTATCATACATTAAAAATCATAAATGAAGTAGAACATTAATAAACAAATTCAGGAAAGTTATAATATACAAAATCAACACCCAAAAATCAGTTGTGTTTCAATATGCTAACTATGAACAATCCCAGAAGTAATTAAGAAAACAATTCCATTACAAAAACAATAAAAATCAAGTTGGATATTTATTTTATATCATATACAAAAATTAATTTAAAATTAATTAATGATGTAAGTTTAAGAGCCAAAACTATAAAACTCTTAAAATAAAAATAGAGGAAAGTTTTGTAACATTAAATATGGCACAATTTCTTAAACATGACACCAAAAGTACAGGTAACAAAAGACAAAATAGATAAGTTGGACTACATCAATATTAAAAACTTCTGTAGATCAAAGGACACAATCAACAGAATAAAAAGGTAAAACATGTAATGGGAGAAAATATTTGCAAATCATATATATAAGAAGGCTTAATACCCAGGATATGTAAGTAAATCCAACAACTCAACATACACACACACACACACACACACACACACACACACACACACACACAAATAACCTGATTAAAAAATGGGGAGAGGACTTGAATAGACATTTCTCAAAAAAAAAAAAAATCTACAAATGGCTAATAAGCATATGAAAAGGTGCTTATTAGGAAATGCAAATGAAAACCACAGTGAGATACTACTTCACACCCATTAGAATGGCAACTATCAAAAAATTAGGAAATAACAAGTGTTGACAAGGAAATGGAAAAATTAGAACCCTGGTTCATTGCTGGTGGGAATGTAAAATGGTGCAGCCACTATAGAAAACAGTATGCTTCTCCTCAAGAAATTAAAAATGAATTATACAGTTCAGCAATTATGAGATCTCAAAAAGATATCTGTACACCCATATTCAAAAGAGGAGTACACAATAGCCAAAAGATAGAAGAAACCCAGTGTCCACTGATGGAAGAATAGATTTTTTTAAAAGGTGGTACATACAAACAATGGAATGTCATTAAGCCTTATAAAGGAAGTAATGCTGACACATGCTCCAATACAGATGAACCTTGAGAACATTAGGCTAAGTGAAATAAGCCAGTCAAAAACAACTAATATATAATTTCACTTAGATGAGATACCTAGAGTAATGAAATTCATAGAGACAAAAAGTGGTTGCCAGGGTCTAGGCATAAAGGAAAATGAGGAGGCATTGTTAAACTCTATATATTGGATACAGAGTTTCACTTTTACAAAATGAAAAGAGTTCTGGAGATGGATAGTAGTGGTGATGGCACAACAATGTGAATATACTTAATGCCACTAAACTGTACACTTAAAAATTCTATTGTTTTAATATGTGTATTTTACCACAATTAGTTTTTAAGGTAGCAAACTATTGATAAAATGCTATATAGTGTTTGCTTACTCTATGCACTATCTCATTTGAACCTTATACTCACGGTCTGAGAAGTATGCTATCTTAATACTATGTAGCAGTGTAATGGCATTGTTAACAGCACAGGCTGTGGAGGCCAACTGCCTAAAGTTTAATCCTGGTTTCACCATTTTCTCATCCTATACCTTCAAGCAATTATTAATTTCTTTATGCCTCAGAGTTTTTATTTGTCAAAAGAGAAAAATTGATTTAAAACTTGTAAAGCACTTAGAACAGACCAGCTAACAGCAAGCATTCAATAAAATGGAACAATTATTATTTCCAGCATTTAGACAATTTTTTCAAAATCATGTAGGTAGTAGATTATGGAGCTACACTGATAATGACAGGAAGCAGCCAAATGTCTAGGCAGATAAGGAAGGTCCCTGGCGAAACCCCACCTTCAAGCCAAAAAAAAAGAAAAAAAACCAGCCTGAAACCTGCGGCCCAAAGTGAGAACTTCTATCCAGCTTGCTCACTCTCTCCTGATTGGTTCTTTCTGAATAATGCCTTTTTACCAATCAAATGTTGCCTTTTCCAAAACTGCCTACAGCCCACCCCACCCCCATCCTGTGTCTATAAAGACCCCAGATTCAGTTGGTAGAGAGAGAGAGACAGACAGACAGACAGACAGACAGACTTTGGGAAAGAAATGATCTGACTTTGAGGACAACGACCTGCCCTTCCCACCCCCTCTCCAGCTCTCCTCTGTGCTGAGAGCCATTTTCATTGCTCAATAAAATTTTCCACCTTCACCATCCTTCAATTGTCTGCACAACCTCATTCTTCTTCGATGCCAGACAAGAGCTTGGGAACCACCAAGTGCAGGTACCCAAAAAAGCTGTCACATCAGCCCTTTGCTCTCACTGGCAGAGGGCAGCCACCCCATGTGATGAGGCAAGGGGCCAACTGAGCTGCTAACACACTGCCATCCATGGACAGCAGAGCTAAGAGAGCACTGTAACACCCCTCTGGGGCTTTGGGGTTGTAGGCTCCCCAACCTGGGTACCACCATGAGCCCTGCACAGAGCTTGTTCCTGCCAGCACCTGCAATGGCCAGCAGGATCTCACATTCACTCACCCACATGCTCGCTCCTGCAAGGGGTTGAGAATGGTGGGCTGAGCAAAGGGGCCAAGAAAAATCCTGCATCAACATTATTAATGTAAATGTATTATACTCCAAAATCCAAGCTGATAACATCAAGTAAAACAACATCTGTAGTGAATACTGTCATTAAAATGGCATTCTAAAAGTTTTTAACAGGAGTATGTGCATATATGTCTGTATCGCTCATATATTCCTGTTATATACCTATTCACACACCCAGAGTAGAAAGTCAAATGGCAACAAGCAAGAAATAAAACATTTACAAAATGTTCTCACCTTTAATTTAAATACACACACACACACACAGAAAAACAGAAATCCTTGGAACAGAAATCCTTGTCCGCTTCCATAGTACCGTTCCCTCTGGCCCTTTTAGGCCTGCAGGTTGTTGACAGCGTCCACTAAGGTTCGATTCTCAATATTTCACTTTCCATTGTTAGTTTCTATAACTCTTCCCATTCTTCATTCATTAGTCCCTTTATTAAACCATTCTCAGTTATTCATTTTGAGTTATCTTCTATTTCCCACCTACCTCCTGGTTGATACAATCATTACTGAGGAACTAATTTGGTTCAACAGGAAATTACTAGGTCCCTATTTGTGCAAGATGGTGGACATAAACTAGAAATAAATAGGTATTGACTCAGTGTTAGCTATCTATTGCTATATAACATATTCACCAAAACTGAGTGGCCTAAAAAAGGCTCATTTCCAAACTAGAAACTCTCTTAGTTTCTGCTGGTAAGGTATTTGGATACTATTTAGGAGGTTCCTTTGGCTCAGGGTCATTCACAGATTATAATCAAAGTGTCAGCTGGGGCTGCAGTCATCTTTTATGGCTTGACTAGGGGAATCTGCTTCCGGGCTCACTCTTATGAGTACCAGCAGAATTTAGTTTCTTGCTGCTGTCAGAGATCACCCTCAGTTTCTTGTCATGGACCTCTTCATAGGACAACACATAACTAGGAAACTAATTGTTTAGGGCAAGTGAGATAATAAGAGAGGACAAATAGTACAGACAGAAGTAGAATCTTTTTGTAACTCATCTCTGAAGTGACAGCCCATCATTTTTTCTGCATTATATTCACTAAAAGGAAGTTAATAGGTCCAGCCAACAGTCAAGGGCAGAAGATTACCCATGGGCGTTAACATCAAGAGGCAGACATCATAGGGGGCCACCTTAGATGCTGCCTATCATATTTCCTAACCTGTCTAATGTTCCTCACTATGTCCTTCCTTAAAGTTTGCAAGAATTACCAATAGAGGCTTTTGAGACTACAGCCAAAAAACTCTTTAACTCTCCTTTCCCATATTAGAAATTAGTAGATAGATAACTACCGTTTTTTTTAACACACTCACCACAAAAATATGTATCAATTAGAAATGTACCACATCACTTTTAAATGAAATTGCCACATAAAGGGAGGAGAAAGATGGAATCTGGGTCTATACAAATAACTCAGTAATTTCTTGATATTGATTTCTAAATAACCAATCCTATTCAGCACTTTAATGGAATCTCTAACTTTGCTCTGTACCCTTCCTCATTCACAGTAGGCGAAAATGATAAGCTAATTTGGATGTGGATATTTAGCGACAATAACAGAGACTTAGATCCTTAAACACATAGTTAAAATAAAGTTACATTTTTCTTCCCTTTGTTGTATCCTGCTATGGATGCTTCTATTCTCTAAAGCCATGTCACCTCTTCTTTGAAAATAATATTTGTAAGATGGAAGGAATTTATTGAGTAAAATTAGATTTCCAAAGAGATCAGCAATAGATGTACCCTTCAAAGTAATGTAATTTACACCACTGAGTGTCTGTTGACCTGTAAATTTACAACAAGCCTGCTGTCACTTTCTTGCTCAATCATGGAAGATGTGGAACATCAGTCTTTGAAAAAAGACAGAGTACTTCACAACACAACAGGCCTCCAGGGCTCTTCAACAATAGAGTCTCAAAAGAAATTGCATTTTGTTTTTGAAGTGTGGGCCAATAAATAGTTCTGCAACACTAAGTTCTTTTTAAATTCACCTAACAAAACTCTCTTAAGAAAGAGAGTATGATGCGGAACGAATTCTAAATTAACAGCCAATAAGTTTAATTGAGCCCATTTTAAAATATCTCTTTAGGCTCACCAGGTTAAAGTATAAACAGCAAAGAAGAAGAAGAAGAAGAAATTGTGGTCATTAGGCCAGCTTTTCCAAACTCTCTAGGTATTAATCTTGTCTTTTTAATAAGAAATTCTTATTAGTTATTGCGTTTTCAGATGATACAACATCACATTGGAAAGAGCTCATTTTAAGCACTGATTTCTATCTTCTGAGTTCTTAACAGAAAAATTAGATTCAATACACAGCAAATTATACCATTCTAGTAACCTTAACCTTACTTCTTACACTGGTTTCTTTTTTTATTAAAATAAATTCAAGTCTCTCCAACATTTAAAATATGCACACTCTTCTAAAAGACTTGTCTATATTCACTAACTTCCCTCTCATAGCCTTGACTCCCATAGGGTTAAAGTATTTAGCTTTGAGTCCCTCTTTTACCACCATCTTTATCTGTTATTAATTTACCAAAATTCTTACAAATTTAGCAGCACTTTGATCCAGACCAAATGGACTTTCCAATTTTGCTCTCAATTCCAGATATCGTATTCACATTTGATTATAGTTTTCTATCTCTTAAAGAAGAGACCTCTCTTGCCTTGAACAGTTTCTCATTTTTCTCTTCTGTCCTTAGTATCATCTCAAGCTGTCCTCCATTTCCTGGTCTCCGTCTCCATTATGGCCCAGGCTCTACATCTGAATTGAGGCAACAGCCTCCTAGCCCACTATTTACCCCTCTTCTAGTGATGTGATGTAGCCAGTCTGTACCAGTTTGTGAGAGTAGGTCATTACATTTTCAGGAATTGTGCCAGCTGGTTTTAAACAAGTAATTATTAAATATTGAAATATATAAGTTTATGCTTAAATAAATTGTATTGTAAATGAAGGTAATAATTGTGTATCCCTTACTACTTTCTACATTTTTCTATGTTTATGGTCTTGGGTTTATTTGCCTCAATTGTATCTGCAGAATGGAAATATTATATTATATTGAAAGACTGCTGCGTATCTCTTCCCGATACTGCTTTAAGTAATGTCTGAAATCAACACTGGTGAGAGTGTTTACACTACGAAACTGGCAAATACTACAGATCAGAACTTTGGTTTTTAGAGAGCAAGCTGTTAAACACTTGACAGCCCACCATTGCCTATCCATGTGCACAACACACCAGTCACTGCCTCCTCATCCCTTTCTAAATGAAGAGCCTGTGATGGGATAGGTGATCATGTGGCCAGTCAGTGAAGATGCTGCAGAACAAATACTGGCAAAGTGGATATCTCTGGCCGATAAGTGTGGTTTCAGGTAAGAGGGACACAGGGAAAAGAGGCAAGATGAAATTGAACAGGGGATAAGGCAGGTAAGCCTGAGAACAGGATCTAATCAAGAAGGCCTGGGACAGATAAGCACCATAACATGGAAGACGAGCCTTCTTAGTTCAAATACTAACTCTGTCTGTATCTCATCTACAACATTGTAAATCAGATGAGAAAAAAATAAAGATCTCTGTTTCTTGGATACAGGATCTCCCACTTACAATATCCAGGCCTTATGACAGAAAAATCAGAAAATCTATGCACTTAGTTTCAAAGAAAGTTAACGTTCCTCTTTCTTGCTGGCTTTCACTGTACAAAGTTTTTTGGATGTTATAAAAATTCTTCAGACATTCTTTTTTTTTCTGTAGTTAACTTTAAACAAAATCATCAGAAAGACAGCTTATAAGTTGTGACTATAATTTAAATTAGATGAAGTACCTTGTGGCTGTCTCTTGAAGTATAATCAGCAATAAGAACTGGAAAATTCCCATTCAATAAGAGTGCTTCCACCTCTTTGATGTTTACTGTATAATTTCTCTGTCTCAAATGCAAGATGGTTAAGACTTTCATCTTTCTTTCTTCCTCATTATTTGTGACTCATAGATTTTGGTTGAAAGTATTTGTAGCAGAACTTGCCGGAAAAACTTTTTATATTGTATTATAATATCGTTTATTAGTCATGTTATTATCCAAAGTAAATTCAGTAATTCTGAATTAGTATATTGCATATATAATGCTACAGTTAAATTTTTCTCAATAAACTTACTTTTCTAGAAACTATAAGGACCAAATTGGTTATTATCCTCTGATAATTACTTTGATAGATCTCACTCTCAAGAAAGGTAATAAACAATATTTTTATTAAATATGTTTTAAACATATTGTTATTTTTAGTTACTACATATGTCTTTCTTCATTTTAGTTTCTAAAAGGTAATGAGAGTAGCTTATGATACTAATTCTATTTCACAGCTCTGAATTTCAAATCTTTATTTTTCAAATATCAATACATTCTCCAAAATCAATTTTCCTTCTTCAAATTGACTAGTTAAATGATTCTCTATTAAAAACAGATTAATAGAATACTTTCTCTAATAATAAAAATAATGCAGAAGTAGAAATTATTTATAATCAAACCATTAGAATTAATGTATAAAAGCTTCATTTTTATACCTCTCTGACTTATTCAAATTTGTTACAATGAACATGCACTAAAAAAAAAAGAATTGAGAGTTGATTGTTGAAACATAATGAATTTATTATAAAAATAATTGTTTCATATTGTATTATTAAAAGATTAACATTAAGCCAATGTCCTGGCAGCAACCAGAAAACAAAACAAATTAGTAGCATATCACTATCATTTTCTGCATTTCTTTCAAATTCTCAGCACCATTCTTTATTGGTTTGGAGAATTATAGAAGTCAGCTATTCCTTTCATCTTCATTCATAGACACTATGAATTTGGTTGTTTTATTAGTCTGTTATCATGCTGCTAATAAAGACACACCCAAGACTGGGTAATTTATAAAGGAAAGAGATTTAATGGACTCACAGTTCCACATGGCTGGGGGGCCTCACAATCAAGGTGGAAGGCAAATGAGAAGCAAAGGCACATCTTACATGGTGGCAGCCAACAGAGCCTGTGCAGGTGAACTCCCATTTATAAAACCAACAGAACTCCTGAGACTTATTCACTACCAGGATAACAGTATGAGGGAAAAATCACCCCATGATTCAATTATCTCCACCTGCCCCTGCCTATGACCCGTGAGGATTATTACAATTTATGTTAAGATTTGGCTGGGACCACAGCCAAACCATATCAGTTGTCTTCCATACTTTCTTTAATGAGAATTTGATGTTAATAAATCTAACATGATAGGGTCAATTTCCACTTAAACTTGTTTGCATTTGTGACTAGAATCTTTCCTGGACCTCTACTAATATTGCCACATGTATCTTAGTAAAATTAAACAGAGAAACCAGCAAAAGACTGTAAGTGAACAAATCAACATTTACACATTTATAATCTTAAAAAGAAAAAGAAGACTCAAAACATGAGACTTTTCGGTAATAGTTCAGTAGCCATATATAGCATTATGCAAATATAAAGGACAGCATAGGTAAGTAGGGTTAAAAACAGGAATGTTACCAAAGTTAGGAAATCTAAGTTTGAAACTAACATGGGCAACTTGAAGCCTTGATTTAAATTAGTGTCTCAAATACTGTGCATTTCCATTTCCTTGTAAAAATGAGCATATCTGCCACTAAGGGATATTATGTATAATATGATTACTCATATGTATTCATATCAGTAATATAATTAACATTATAAAGGCACAAGATCTCAATAGCAAATGTTAATTCACATAAACCCTAGGAATATCTCTTATTTTGTTTCACTGAAGTTCTCCACCAATGCAACTCCAACTGGAAAAAGCATTTACCATTATTTCAAATATTTTGCTAACCAATAATTACATATCTTCACTAGTATATATTAAATTAGAGAATAGAAGATATTTGTCAGACTTTTAAGACAGAGATAATTTCCTTTTAGTGAAGGTGGTTGTCTTAGTCCAATACCACTGTTATAACAAAACACCACAGTCTGTGTAACTTATGAATAATGGAAATGTACTTCTTAGAGTTCTGGAGGCAAGGAAGTCTAAGGTCAAGGAGCCCACAGATTTGGTGTCTGGTGAGGTCTTGTACCTTCTTGCTGTATCCTCACATGGTAGAAGGCATAAAGGCAAAAGAGACTAGGGAGCTCCCTTCCATCTCTTCCACCATGTGAGGACACATAGGCAGCACCAGCTGTGAGGAATGGGCCCTCACCCAAAAGTGAATCTGCTGGGCACTGTGGCTCACGCCTGTAATCCCAGCACTTTGGGAGGCCAAGGCAGGTGGATCACCTGAGGTCAGAAGTTCAAGACCAGCCTGGCCAACGTGGTGAAACCCCTTCTCTATTATAAATACAAAAATTAGCCAGGCAGGTGCCTGTAATCCCAGCTACTCTGGAGGCTGAGGCAGGAGAATCGCTCGAACCCAGGAGGAGGAGGTTGTAGTGAGTCAAGATGGTGCCACTGCACTCCAACCTGGGCAGCAGAGTGAAACTGTGTCTCAAAAAAAAAAAAAAAAAAAAAAAAAAGAACAAAACTGAATCTGGCAGCACCTTGATTTTGGATTTTCCAGCTTCTAGAACTATGAGAAACAAATCTCTGTTCTTTACAAATTACCCAGACTGAAGTATTTTTTATAGCAGCACAAACAAAGACAGTAGTTGAGGAGTAGTGGAAAGAATATTGAAAGTATTCTTGGCTGGGTGCAGTGGCTCACACCTGCAATCCTAGCACTTAGGGAGGCCAAGGTGAGAGGATCACTTGAATGTAGGAGTTTGAGACCAATCTGGGCAACATGGCA
The DNA here is from genome assembly GCF_000001405.40 of Homo sapiens. Classification (NCBI taxonomy): domain Eukaryota; kingdom Metazoa; phylum Chordata; class Mammalia; order Primates; family Hominidae; genus Homo; species Homo sapiens. The sequence continues at coordinate 83,328,362 of NC_000012.12, read as the reverse complement.
AGACCCTGTCTCTACAAAAATAAAAATAAATTTTAAAATATATTCTTAAAAAATTTTTAAAGGTAAATATTCTTGACCCCATGAACAGCTGGCCTTGACAACACTTCATTAACTGGTTGAATATATTTTTTTTTCATTTCATCAAATAATTTTATGTATCTACTAGAGACTATGTCTTTCTGGGTACTGGGGGTACAATAACAAGAAACAAAAAATATTCCTGGCTTCCTCCCAGCTCACAGTTTAATAAAAATAATAGGCAATTAATAGAATACTGACAATTAAATGTGATGTTGTAGAAGAAGTAGGGGTTATAGTGAGAATGCATAGCACAGATGCTCAAGAAGATCTAGGAGCTGGAGTGCAAGGAAGATTTCACAAATTAGGTGGCATCTAAGATTTCCTTCCCCACTCCTCTCGCTCATTATGTTCAGCTCCACAGAACTTCTTTCTATTCCTTGATTACTCAGGACCTTTGTTTATTGAAGGGTTCTTGTTCTAGTTCTTCATGTAAGTGGCTCCTCTTCATCACTTGAATCTCAATAAACATTTGTGCTTCAAAGAGAGCTTTCTGAATTATCTTAAGCAGTCGCAAACACATCACCTTGTTTTAGTCTCATCTTTACACGTATAAGTGACTGAAGTGATCTTTCCTTATTAACTATAAACTATGTATTAACTATTTTAACTATATATTTAACTATTTGTTATCTATTTAACTACATGTTTTCTATTTCTGGCATCGGTATAGGAACTCCAGGAAGGCAGGAGTTCCTGTTTTACTTAATCACTGTTGAATGATCAAGATCTAAAGCACTATGGTTGATTTATAATTATTTGTTCAATAAATGAATGAATTTGCCTTGACTATCTCACCGAATGTTTAGACAATCAAATAAATAATGATTACCAACAACAGTGGCAAAAGCTCTGACAGTTTATATAATATTTTCTAAACTACAAAATAATATTGCATACATTATCTCACTTGAATCTCCTATTAGTTCCACAAAGGAAGTTGAGCATGACTGAGAAAGTAAAAGCTTGTAGAAGTCTAGTGACTTCTTCAAAGTCATGAAAATAGTATGCAAATAATAGCAAAGCTGACATGAAAATAGAGACCTTCACAGGACAATTTTATTCTTTTACTATATCACATGGAAATGTGAACATTTTTATATATGTTTATGAATAGTAGACCTGAACAGTGGAGAACCTCAAATAAGCCATAAACTAGAAACTCATCAGCCAGCTCTTAATACACTTTAACTAGAAAATAATTAATCCCCAGATATTAATGATGAATCCATGCATTCAGTTCCCTTCCCCACACAAAATGTTATTGCATTCTGGTAACAGTAGCATACTTTTACCATAGAAATGTTCTCATTAAACTGAAAAGAGAAAATTTAATTATTCATTAGCTATTAGTCTGTACAATTATGTATGCTTGTTACATGTCAGATGCCTAGATGGGACTTGGCAGAGAAACATGGAATTGAATCAAGAACTGAAAGTGCAATATTCTTCACATGATGTGTGAACCTGAGTAAGGGACTCAGTGGCAAAGCAAACCAAAGAAGTAGCAACACAACTTAATACATGAAACTAAGGTCTCATATATTAATTACAAGTAGCATTTGGAACAAATTAATTAATACACACTCCACCAATTCCCTACAGATGCTCAAGTTTGAAGCCACTTGGAAACAGAAATATAAGTTGCGTTAACTTTCTGAAAAGTACTACAAAATTATGACTACTGAGCCTTTTTTTACTAAGTATATATTTTTCTACTGTGAAGATTAGACATGCAAAGTGGGGAAGCTGGCAACTCTATTTTTTAATCCATTATTTACTTAGGACAGGGAAAAAGGCCTTTGATAGAGAACATAAAGCTTCTTTTAGACATTAAAAAAAACTCCGTTCTTACTATGTTAAATTAGCATTGCTAGGGAAAGCATTTTCTCTGAATCATTGAAAGAAAACGTTCCCTTTTGGAGTGAATGAAAGGTCATGTGATCAGTGTGATGCCAGCAGAAATATTTGCAAAAATAAAGGCCTTAAATGAAAAGTAACTTAAGTGCATAAATTTTGAAACAAATTTGAAAATGTGCAATTTCTTAATATTTTTCAAGACCAATTTAGAGCATTTCCCATTGGACTTTATGAACATCTCAATAATGAACCTACGTTGGCTATATTAAAAATGGGAATTTAAAACAATATTTATTTAACACCATTTATTATGCTCAAAATATAGGAAGAAGGCAATTATTCAATAATAATTCAGAAAGCTTTGTTTCTAACCTGAAATAAGTATATCAATACAAATTATGTCAGCTTAACTCAAAAGTATACAGTAATGCACAAAATATTTTTCTGATGTCACTGTTTTCAAAATTATTTAAATATGGTATATCTTTCAAAAAGGCTTTGTTTAAAACATAAAATACACGTATTATTTTCCTTAGGTTATAAAAGGATACAAAAGTTAAAAAGAAATGGAACCTGTTCTAAAACAAAGTTTAAACCCACCGATAATCATACCCAAAACCATCCCCCACAAAATATACGAACTAATTGAACTTGATAAAGAGTTTATCTAGTGAATTAGTAAACAGAGAAAGCTAATATTTATTTATTTATTTATGACAAAGAGTCTCGTTATGACAAAGAGTACAGTGGTGCGATCTCGGCTCATGGCAACCTCCACCTCCCGGGTTCAAGAGATTCGCTTGCCTCAGCCTCCCGAGTAGCTGGGATTACAGGCACGCACCACTACACCTAGGTAATTTGTATTTTTTAGTAGAGACAGGGTTTCGCCATGTCGGCTAGGCTGGTGTCAACCTGACTTCAGGTGATCCACTCACCTCGGTCTCCCAAAGTGCTGCGATTACAGGCCTGAGCCACTGCGCCCGGCCCAGAGAAAGCTAATTTTAAAACAAATGCAATCCAAAAATTCTAACATTTCTTTGGAAGGTTTATTTTCTGTCTAAAATTACCTAGCATAATTTCCTCAACAATAAATACTATTTTCATATACCATGTATGTTGACCTACCTAAAGAGGGAACTTATACAAATAACAACACAGAGTAAAGCCAGTGAGATATACATATATATATATACATACACACATACAGAGAGAGAGAGAGATACAACAGAATGGTATTAAAAAGTATACTACCCCACAAATATCTTCTTTGATGAGGTATACTGTTATTTTTGTTCCATATTACTATAGGTTGCAGAAGTATACTTGCTGAAATAATAAGCCTTTTCCAGAGGGGTAATATTAACCATTATCATTGATTAATAAATTATTGTGGATTAGTTAAGAAAAGAAAAAGCATTTAAATGTAATTTGCCACTTCCCAAGTTTATTACAAAATTTGGTTCTTATTCAGATGTCTTAAGATTTTGATAAAGTATCAACATTTTACAGATACTGTAACAGAAAAAATTCCAAAATTTTTTATTTCTACTTAAAATTGTATATTACAACCCATATAATGACTTAAAGCACTTAAAACACACACACAAACATATGTATATCAATATCTATATATCTATATTTATATATCTATGTCTATATATCTATATCTATTAAGCTGTTGAGAGAGTAAGAAATCCAAAATCTTGTAAATGGAGAAATATACAAATTATCACTCTCTAAAATACATGTAATTACTCTGAGAATAAATTTTAAGTACACTTCCTTTTATATTTGCACATTTTTAAAGGGAATTACGTATTATGTAATTCTCATTACATTAAAAAATCTCTTTTTACTAGTGTTAAAATCTAAAATGAATTTGTCTCATGAATCCTTATAAAAATAACACTTAACACCTAATAAACCACATCTACTGATAAGCTTTGTAGCATACTCAAATATATTCTTCATAGTGTCATTTTGCATATCAATTCTCAATGGGAACCAAATATATAACATTAAATAAAATTTAATGAAGATGCTACATCAAGAAGATAAGCTAATTAATTTTAGGTTTATACATCTCAGGGTTTTTTCCAGCTTGGTAGGAACATATAATACAAACACCCCATATATGAGATATGGAAAACTAGAAGTTCTTAGGCCACAGATGATAATCCACATTTATGATTTTCCTGGTCAACATTTAAATTGGAGAGAATTCACATATCAGTAGTGATATCTCACAAATCCCCTTGAAACAAAGATTCTACCAGAATCTACCACACTGGGCTTGAATACAGGCATGGCCACTATCAGCTGGGACTGAATAGAGACTGCAGCCTTACATAGTGCTTGGATCTGTGACTTCTGTCTGTCATCATTTATTTTAATTACCTGACCAGTCTTCATTCCCAGAGGATTAGATAGCTCGCATTGCTTTTAGATGGAAGGCATGGAAAAAAGTGAAGCTAACAGCTATACTGCACACAAGAAACATTTCAGGATTAGTTTGTAAGCCAGAATACTAGTTCTACACACTTACTTCTCCAGCATTTGGTTAGAAGTAAAGAAATATTCTTAAAGTCACAGAATTTTCTGAAACTACTATAAAGGAATCTCTTTCACCATTTCTGAACATGTTGTACACACCCGTAAGAACAAATCAAAACATGCTGCTAAAATGAAGTGGTACTTGCACATGAGTGGGCGGAGAAAAAATATCCTTCACAGGATTCTAATTTATGGGAAACTTTCTTTAGTTTATTTCAGAAAAGCCCAATTTATTCATTGTTTTTTAAAAAAAAGCAATGAATGAAGAAATTCTGCTGATGGGATGGCAAAAAAAAAATGGAATTTTCACACTTCTCAAAACCTAATGCATTTAGCGTAAAATTATCTGTGTTGTGATGAATTGAGCAAATATGTTCCTTTCCACTCTTGCTTGCTATTTTCTTAAAAGTTATTTTTGTGAAATTCAAATTCCTATTTGATTTTTACAAAGCAAAATTTTAGCAAGACTGTCACAAGAACTTTTAAAACACTTATAGCAATTTAGATATTTTAAAATTACAACTTGCATTTCAATAGAGTTGAAATATTTAACTTAAGAGAAATTCCAACAGGGAACTATACCATGTTTCTTCTTCCCAGCGTATTTATATTTTCATTGAAAGGATTCACATAGGATATTCTGATTTAAAAAAAAAAAAACTTTTGTAATTAGCTGAGAAAATGTTTTCAAAAAAACAGATTTCAGGAAAGTTTGCAGTCCTCCAGCAAACGTCAACACTGAAAACTTGGCAGATGTCTAATTATTATTGCAGTTTTTCAAGAGGACTTTTTATGACTCACCAAGCCTATGAAATCAGTTCCATTAAAGATCTCTCCTATATTCTTATGTCAGAATATCCTGATTTATATGCTATCTTCTGAGACTAATTGTGTTCAGTCTGCCTTTGCAGCAAACATGGCAATACATCTTGTTCTCATAACTCGATTCTACTACCCCCCTTCCATGCCTTCCTCCATCTACTCATCAGAGCCTCTGAGGCAGTAAATATCAATTGTTTCCCTTAAGAGGTAGATAGAATAACCATATTTCCAGGAACTCTCAGAACAGCTAATGTTACCACAGTCCATTTGTAATAAATGGATACTTAGCTCTTTTATACTATAAGGCCAAGTGCAATGTGTGATGGAGTCTTTATCCACAGATATTGTGATTATAATATCTAATGAAATCATCTGTCTATAATGCTAAGTTCAACAATTACCCACTTATGTCCTTAGTTAGCATTGTTCTCCAAAAGAATATATATGTTTTTTGAAATAAAAGTTACCGATGCAATTTAAATCTGCTTAAAATGCAAACAGTTTGAGTTACTAATGGATTGTAAAGCTGAGCTTGAATTTTCCTTGAAATATTTTATAATCAAATGGAAAATAAAGTGTTCTAAAGTGTTCTGCCTAAGGAAATTGAGAGGGAGAGGCATGAATTCAGCTGCCTTGGTAAACGTCATATACTTTATTATAAATATCAACAGAATACTGTTAAATGAGTCTAAAGAAGTATTGCATCCAAGCTAACACAAATGATCAGACTGCCAAATCAGACTTACAAAAGCCAGATATCTTACCCAGATAAAATCATATCAAAAGTCTCAGAAGCACAGAGGCCTAGGAAATTGAAAGCAGTTTCTCAGCTCCTTCCGACATTGAAAGCAGTTTCTCAGCTACTTCCTTTCTGTTGTCGGATGTGTCCTTTTGGCCCAGAACAGATGTCATCACTAAGTGAAGTTCTTGAGTTCTACACACAACTAGAGGTGTTTCAAATGAGAAGTATTTCAACCCCATGAAAAAGTGGGCAAATGATATGAGTAGACACTTCTCAAAAGAAGAAATTTATACAGCCAACAAACATATGAAAAAAAGCTCAACATCACTGGTCATTAGAGAAATGCAAATCAAAACCACAATAAGATATCATATCATGCCAGTTAGAATGGTGATCATTAAAAAGTCAGGAAACAACAGATGCTGGAGAGGATATGGAAAAATTAGAATGCTTTTGCACTGTTGGTGTGAGTGTAAATTAGTTCAACCATTGTGGAAGACAGTGTGGTGATTCCTCAGGGATCTAGAACTAGAAATACCGTGTGACCCAGCCATCCCATTACTGGGTATATAACCAAAGGAATATAAATCATTCTACTATAAAGACACATGCACACATATGTTTATTGCAGCACTATTCACAATAGCAACGACTTGGAACCAACCCACATGCCTATCAATGATAGACTGGATAAAGAAAATGTGGCACATATACACCATGGAATACTATGCAGCCATAAAAAAGGATGAGTTCATGTCCTTTGTAGGGAAATGGATGAAGCTAGAAACCATCATTCTCAGCAAACTAACACAGAAACAGAAAATCAAACACTGCATGTTCTCACTCATAAGTGGGAGCTGAACAATGAGAACACATGGACACAGGGAGGGGAACATCACACACTGGGGCCTGTTGGAGGGTGGGGTGCTCGGGAAGGGATAGCATTAGGAGAAATACCTAATGTGGATGACGGGTTGATGGGTGCAGCAAACCACCATGGCTGTATACCTATGTAACAAACCTGCACATTCTGTACATGTATCCCAGAACTTAAAGTATAATAATACCAAAAAAAAAAAAAGCATGACATGGTCAGGTATGCCTTTTAAAGGTCAAAAGACAAATTAGGAGACTGTTTCAGAAATCCAGGTGAGAGATGTTGGCAGCCTGAATCTGGGTAGTGGCAGTGGAGAAAAGCTGACTGGTTGTAAGATATGCAAGAGACTGAACAGACAGGACACTGAAATTGAATGGATATGAGGGACGAGGAAGTCGGAAGTCAAGATTAACATTCAAGTTTATAGTTGGGCAACTAGGTAAAGAACTTGCTCTTAAAAAAATGAGACAGAAAAGAAAATTGTGTGTTAAATTTGAGGAGTCAGAATAACCACATATAGTGTCCTATAGAAAGTTAGATCAGTAGATCTGATGTTAATGAGAAGTATTTGATTAGAATTATTTATTAAGGAATTATTAGCATATAGTTTGGGATTAGAGTCATCAGGTTAGATGCAATTTTTTGGGAAGACTTCTCCCTCAAGAGAGAAGAGAATGAAATATGAAAATTACATTATGAAGTGGAAGGAGTACAGGTAAGGAAAATTTTTAAGAGTAAAGAAAGAAGAAACAAACCAAGCTAGTTTGGTGTCATAGAAGCTCGGGAGAGGCAATGCCTCAAGAAAGGATTACTCAATAGCAGTATATGATGCTGAAAGGTGGCTGAGAAACACCCATTGCATTTTCAAAAAAGGAAGTGATAAACTTGTCAAGAGAAATATTAATGGCATACTGGGGGCTAGAAACCAGAAAGAAGGAAGAAATGAATTAGAAGTTAGTAAATTAAGAAAGTAAGTAGACAACTATTTTAAGTGAGTTGCACACAAAGGACAAGAGAGAAAGAGGAAGGTAACTGGTGGTAGACAATAGGTGAATAATAACGTTATCTTACTTTGTGTAATTTACTTGTTTAGTTTGATAATAAGAGAGACAGTTTCATTTAAAGATTGTTGCAAAGGAAAAAGAAACAGGAAGAAAAGGAAAAAAGAGAGGGAGGAATTCATAGAAAGTGGTTCCTAGGAAAACAAGTGGAAATGGAAAGATAAATCTTGGAAAGGAGAAGTGAAAATCAGAGGAGAAGTTAAGCATATTTATCAGTTTAGTGGTGGGAAAGAGACAGTTTCTATTTTACATCATCATGTTCTCATTGTAATAGGATATATAGCCATCTGCTGAGATTGAAGGAAGAAAAGGAAAGTCAAGGGTTTGAAGAGAAGGTTCCAAATCATATTTTATGAACATCAGGAAAAAGACTGCAGACTTGAAAAACACATAGGCAAACAAAAATGTTTGGAGACATTGTAAAGTAACTCCTGCTTTGATTAGGGGTTAGAGGGATTATTACATCAAAGAATGAGTTACTCCCTGTTGGGGTCTTCCTCAAAACCACAAAAAGTTATATCATCATATCTGAAAATTTATCTTGGAATAGCCCATTTCTATCCATTGTGGCTCAGGAATTATGATAATCAAAATAAATAGCAAGTTACAGTTTGCCAGAAATACTTCTCATAATTCTCCTGCACCTATGTGACAAGTTGCTTCCTACCATATTGAAAGCTCTCTCATAATTCTTAATATGATAAATATGATAAAGTTAATAATTTTTCTTCAAATTTTTCTAACATTTACTATGACCCTCCCTGCTTTATTCTGTGCTTCTTATCTCATTCTTCACTTTAAATTCTTGGAAACAAGAAAAGTCCTAATTATCTAATGGCATTTACTTTGTTGGGGTTAAACAGACTTTGATTCCAAAATGCCTGAGTTCAAACCCAAGTTCTGCCATTTATTAGTGGATGACTTAAGCAAGCTACTGACCTCTGAATCTCGTGCTTTTACTTGTTAAATGGAAAGAATGATCTCATAGAATATTTTGAGAATTTTATGTAATATAGGATCCTAAATCAATGCCCGATACCTAGTTAACTCTCTACATGTTATTGTTGTTTTGCTGGTATCTGGGGATATGGGACAGGGGCCATGTTTCAGGCAGGCTTCTGTTCACTGTGTGCTCTTCTTGAAGGAATATATTTTGATTGGGGGCATATTTACATCCAGACAGAGTTCCATATTGTAATAAGAGCCTGTCTCACCAGATTAATACGCTGAAGCTTTTCAAAAGGACTGATTACCAAGAAAACCAAAAGGAAAAGTGCTGGAAGGTAGAGAGAAAAAAATATTAAATTGTTGTATTTCCATACCATTTAAAAATTAGATCCACTGCCTATCTCTTCTGGGACCCCTGTACTTGGACCAGAGACTATTTTCATGGCTGGGTTAAATAGCAGGCAGACCTTATTGACTATAAAGGCTGGCAGACCTGGTAATGACTCACAGAAGGAGACTGTGGTGCCTACTTGTCTGAATAATTTTAAGGACTTGGCAGATAATTCTCAAGGACTTTTTAATTGTAGCCCTGTGAAAGCCAGAAGACAGGCTAATGACCTTTGAAGCTTTCTTTCATTCTTGACTCTATAAGAGCAATTCTTAGTTTACCTTAGTATGATATATTTCACATGTAATGTGAATATGATTCATTCTAATTGCACATAGCCTTACTGCCAAAGATGGTCGTGGATAGAGCTCCTTCCTGTCTTCTGTATAAGGCAGTGGCCCTGCCTGTTGTTTAAATTAGCCTTTCATGCAACCACTAACTCAAGTCTAGTGATGATTCAAGCCAGAAGCAGTAATTTTATTTATATGATGTCTTGCATAGAGGGCAGGCTAGTAAAAGAAGAACAAATCTGGAATGGACAATGAATTAAATCAAAGCAGCTTTGTACTTGGGATGTACTCCAGTAGAGTACAATGGAGTCTATCTGCAGAGGTTTATAATGACTCTGCCAATATTAATTATTCACTATGCAGCTTACTCATTTTCAGGGAACTTGGGATAATACTAACAAATATAATTTTCAGAGTTTCCTGCTGAATAATACAGCACATAACAGCTTTAGCTGTCATGTCACTAGCTGACCAAAAAAAAAGGTATTTTCAAGGCAATATTTCAGTGGATAGAATAAGTTCAGATGGTTCAAAAGTTCATAATAAACATACTTCATAGTTTCTTTCTAAATGGTGAAGGAAGGCTTAGTGAGGGAAATACTTTTACATCTGATTCCTTTGGGATAGCAAAATACACATGGTGGATTAAATATATTTAGCCCCTATCTACTTTGAGCTTTCTTCTCCTGCTTTATACCTATAAATGATTCCACTGACTGAAACTTCATATCATATCTGATGTAAAATAGACCAAGCTATTGGTTGGGTTGGCAAAAACATGTTGTCATTTATTGATGGGAAACCAAAAGCCTGTTTTTGTGAATGAAGTCATAAGTAATTTTCTTTGATGGGAAGGAGTCAGTTTGAAAGCAGTATTATAAAAGACCCTGGGTTTTTGATGGATGTTAATAACAGCATAAGAAAAAGGCTCTTCCTAGTCATGTTTTATTGCTTTATTCTATCCTCAGGATCTAGCCTTTCAAAATGTGATACATTTGCCTGAGCAGTGGAAAGGCGTTCTCCCAAAGAGAAATGCCATGACAGTCTTGTCTTTGTTCATTCAGTGAAATGCTGTTTGGATATGTCGTGCGAATATATCTTCCAATTTAACATGTTTATCATGGAAACAATAATAATAATGATGTGATGCTATCCTAAGTCTTCTTTAACTAACCATGTTTAGGAGAGCTGTAAAATATAAGTGAAGTGATTTTGTTTTTAAATATCTGAATGACTCTCTTTAGTTAGGTTAATTTTTAAAACTCTGAAATCTGTGGCTTTTTACATTATTTTGAAATCACTGTATAGTTTGAGTAGCTGAATGAAAATGTAAATGAAATTCATATTATATTTCCTGCAGATAGATTCTCATTCATCCTAGTACTATTAAACTGAGCATCAGGGAAATGCTACACTTTGAGTCAGATTTGATTAAGTCTGTAGGAAAGTCATTCCCAACAAAGACTAAAATCTATTGCCATGTAAAATACATCTTTGCACTTAAAAGAGACATTAAGCATGATATTCTGTCATTATTGTATATTAGAAAAGTGTGTTAGAAAATAAGATTTTATCTAAAAGCCAGTAGGAGTTAAGGAACAGGAGTAATGAGTGAAAAGAAATTTGTAATCATAATTAAAAATGTGTTATTTGTAACCGGATGTGGAGAAATTACACATTTTAAGGAGTAAGCATTTGAGCTTATTTCACAAAAATAGATAATCTTAGAATAAGCTTTGCAAATATTCCAATTAATCACTAAGGTCTATGGTTAATTATAAAAATTTTGAAACAATGGAAATTATCACATTGTCAAACATTTTTTAGAATTATTAAAGTTCGTGCTGAGGTAGATGTAAGAAAGGCGGGTATATGATGGAACCTTTTTTTATAATTTTTAAAGATCAGCTTGCCCATTACATAAACGTCTAAATATAAAAGAAAAAATATATGTCTGATGATTAAATAAAAATTCTAGTTACCATAATATTTACACTATGGTTGTCCAAATTTTCATATTTTGAAAAATATGAACATTTCAAAAATTCTTATTCTTCATGGATATGCAGACTGCTAAAATGTTATGTATAATGGGATGAGGAAGCCATCTATAAGATTTATGAAGATAATAATGAGTTAAAATATTCAGTTTTGAATAATTTGAAACCTCCTACACTAACACTCTAAGTCAAAGTCATGATCAGGTAAGTGCTTCTAAATTGTCATCATATTTGACCCTAAATATACTGTATTTTCTTTCCCAGTAGAGTTGATATGATTTGGCTCTGTGTCTCCACCCAAATCTCATGTTGAATTGTAATCCTCCATGTTGGGGGAGGGACCTGGTAGGAGGTGACTGGATTATAGGTTGGATTATCCCCTTGCTGTTCTGGTGCTAGTGAGTGAGTTCTCACAAGATGTGGTTGTTTGAAAGTATGTAGCACTTCCCCCTTCGCTCTCTCTCTCTCTCTCTCTCTCTCTCCTGCCACCATATGAATATGTACTTGCTTCCCCTTCAGCCTTCTGCCATGATTGTAAGTTTCCTGAGGCCTCCCAGCCATGCTTCCTGTACAGCTGGCCGAACTGTGAATCAACTAAACCTCTTTTCTTCAGAAATTATCCAGTCTCAGGTAGTTCTTTATGGGAGCGTAAGAATGGACAAGTACAACACTGGTCTACTAAGGCATAGGGACATAATGAATACACACAAGCAAGAATGATCACTGAGAGACAACTGGAAAAAAAAACTTATCTCTAAGATTCTCCTTAATATAGCAAAGATTAAAAACATTCACTGCACAGCAGTTAAAGTTCTATCAGTCACCTCCCAGAGAGGTAGACAGAAGAAGAGGGCATCTATTCAATCGCAGGAAGATGTTGTACCTGCTCCCTTTAGTATTAGTCACGGTTCTCTAGAGGGACATAACTAATAGGATAAGATATATACATATATAAAGGGGAGTTTATTAAGTATTAACTCACACAATCACAAGGTCCCACAATAGGCCCTCTGCAAGCTCAGGAGGAAGGAGAGCCAGTCTGAGTCCCAAAGCTGAATAACTTGAAGTCTGATGTTCGAAGGCAGGAAGCACCCAGCATGGGAGAAAGATGTAGGCTGCGAGGCTAAGCCAGTCTAGCCTTTTCACGTTTTTCTGCCTGCTTTGTATTCTGGCTGCAATGGCAACTGATTAGATGGTGCCCACACAGATTAAGAGTGGGTCTGCCTTTCCCAGCCCACTGACTCAAATGTTAATCTCCTTTGGCAACACCCTCACAGACACACCCAGGATCAATACTCCGCATCCTCCAATCCAGTCAAGTTGACACTCAGCATTAATCATCACACCTTCCTATCTTTTTCAGACTTCATCCTCCCCCTCCCCCTCAGCTCCCACATTGTTCAATACACATAGTCCTGTTTGTTCTTGTACATGTCAACATAGGTTAACATAAATTGTTCAGGCTGAACAACCACAAAAGAACCTACTTGTGTTCCTCACTGAGGATCAAAAGTTAGCCACTTATATTGTTTTCAGGTAAAAAGTTCCTCTGCTTTATATGTGTAGTCAAGTAACATACATACAGCAAGTCAACTCACAGTGGGATATAAATATTGCTTTGCCATAAGTTTTTGAGACAACTTCTGAAGACAAATAAAAACTAACATTTGTTAAATGCTTTACATTATCTGTGAACACTAACAGTGAGACAGAGAAAAAAAATGTTTGTGTACTGCTTCCAAAGTATGACATAGTCTATTTAGTTTACTAATAACTGGACAGTATTGGCCATAGCAGAAGATGTGAATAAATGGGGTTAAGTAATAAGTGCATTAATAATTTATGTATATTGAATACTTAAAATTCCATTAGGCAATTTCATACATATTATTCACTTGCATATTACATATGATCAACAAATAAGTGTATGCATCGACTAAGTGTGTAGGCCTGTGGTAAATGCAATAGAGAATATATGGAAGTAGAGCTAACAATCCACAGCTTCATGGAGTTCCCAGTCCTTTTGGGGGACAAATAATGTGCATACATGGGAAAACTTAAATAATAATCATATATTAATGATAATGAGTGTGAACAGTATTTATTTGATCTGTACACAAACCTGCAAGATGTGTATACTATGTAGACACTAAAGTGGTATTATACATATAAAGGATTTAAACAGAGGAAGTGCCAGGATTTCCTGTTTGCTAAAAACAAAATGCCCCAAACTTACTGTAGAAATTAGCAGATAACTCTATTTTCTGAGATGGGATATATAAATTTTCTGTCACTCACTATCATTGTTCAAGGTTAATGCTATTAACACACTATCTGTATGCATAAGTATAAGTGGAAAAAAAACACTCGATGATTTAAGGCATTTCTGTGTAATGTGGTAATGTTTATCTCCAGGTATCCCCACCAGAAAGAAAAAAACAGATCTTTCTTCATTGATGTTTCAGTTAATTCTTTTATAGATTTTTCCCACTTATATATCAAATAAGTAAATCAAAAGAAATTTTTCTTAAAATCAGAGCTACTTCTGGGATTTGACCTTTGAGAATACTATAGCTGATTTACTGATTCCCAGATCTAACATACATCCTTTATCTGTTTTCTCCAACTACCTTTTTCTCCAGCTGATGTCTGTAGAGCCCCTTTCCTGGAATCACATTTTTAACAATCCTGCTCAAATTCTAAGCACCAAATTGCCTTTCCTTGAAGAATGTCTGAGGCCTGTACACATAAGATAAGATACTAGAAGATGACATAGTCTATGCAATTTGTCTACAGAAATCTTCACCAAATGATCAATGACCACTTCTAATGGAAATATGGTTTCAATTCTCCCTTTGACAGATGGTCTAGCCTACATTCCCAAGAGATATGTTTTTTCTGTCAACTTTTTTTTTTAAATATATGTGCTCATGTTTTGGGCCAATTTAACAACTATATTACACTGTTGGTGCTATCCTGAAGTACCACATCTGCTTTCAAACTGAGTTGTTTTTCCTATAAAGTGATATATATAATCCTCTACGAGAAAGCATTTTCAACTCAGATTTCAATATGGTCATTTCAAATCCAGAAGTAAAACACACAAAGAATCCAATGTGCCTTTTTTTTAGCTACTAAGAGCTATGGTCATGCAGATAATTTAGTTTAAGTTGGTTAATTTGTTCAAGAAAGTATACTGGCACCATCTTTAACCATGACATAATTCAATCAAAAAGGATTTGAGGTCATACATTATGCTGTCAAAAATCACTTCGCTTGTATGTCTCTCAGTCTACAACACTCAAATAACTCAACCTGACAATCAAACTAGCTAAACTAAGAATAAAGTCCTGCTTTAACAAGATTCCAGAAATGCTACTGCTCTAGGACAGAACCAGTTATGACAATCTCCCAGTTACCTCTGCTCCCTTCCTGGCTATTTTGCTTTATCTTTTAGTGCCTGTATGTCACTTAAGTATCCGCCCAGAATTTTGATTTCTTTTCCAGTTCCCAGCTATCTAGACTAGGAATCTCCAGCTTGTTCTTTCTCACTAGTCTATTTCTCTTACCTGAGAAGAATTCAAAACTGGAATTGGATATTTAAAAATCCAAATTAGGGATGTACTCTATGCTGTACTCATCATCAGATGCAATGCAATTTCATTTAGGAAGCATACCTAATTTAAGGGACCAACATGGTGATTTGCTAACAAGTTGTTTGTTTCAGTGGTTCCGTGCATTTTCATTTTAACAGTGGGTGGCCAAGAGAATGGATGTAATAAAATATGAAAACAGCTGAAATAAATACAGTGCTGGTGTTGATATGAAAAGACAGATCATTCTCTTTCAGGAAAACCTTGATAAAATCAAATGCTGATTGTTCAGTGATATTTAATCTTCAATTTTATATATTTGTATATGCATATATAATTAGGTATATATAAATACATAAAGTATAGATACCTATATATGTGTATATATATACTTGTGTATACAGCTTAAGTATATATATACACATATATCATTTTATATATATATATATATATATATATATATATACACTTAAACTGTAAATTGAGCCTAAAAGATAATATTAACTCTTTCTGATTAAAGCATCTTAAGAATAAAATTATGAATCTTATCTATTGGAATGAAGAAATTAATATGCTTGATTATTGCCTCTCCAGGTGGCTTTGAGTTTATGTAAGCCCTGATTTTCTGTGTATGTCTTGATTTAGCTTGAATACCAAAATTACGGCTCAATAGTTTGCTTAGATACTTATCTGATTCTTCAAATCTACCTCAGCTTCCTTGGGATCAGCTCTTTGTTCTCAATGGTTCATAGCCCTATGGTTACAGAGATATTAATTAATATACTATACCAATGGTTTCTCAATACTGGCTGTATATAAGAACATCTGGTGAGGTTTTTTTTTTAATATATTAAATGACCAGGGCCCACACCAAATGAGTTAAATCAGAATTTCTGTGGGGAAAGCCTAGGCATCAACACTTAAAAGTTCCCTAGGTTTGAGAACCGTCATTCTATCAAATATACCAGCTATTTCAGGAGATGTCGCCGGCACTCAAAGGTATTATTATCTCTCTGAAGAGATAATGCAGTTTAAAAAAATTTCAGTGACCAGCCAGGCGCAGTGGCTCACGCCTGTAATCCTAGAACTTTGGGAGGCCGAGGCGGGCGGATCATGAGGTCAGGAGATCAAGACCATCCTGGCTAACACGGTGAAACTCCGTCTCTACTAAAAATACAAAATATATATATATATATCCGGACGTGGTGGCGGGTGCCTGTAGTCCCAGCTGCTCGGGAGGCTGAGGCAGGAGCATGGCATGAACCCGGAGGCAGAGCTTGAAGTGAGCCGAGATAGCGCCACTGCACTCCAGCGTGGGCAACAGAGTGAGACTCCATCTCAAAAAAAAAAAAAAAAAAAAGTCAGTGACCACTGGGAGACAATTTAGATGAAGTTCTTAAGTTCTAGAGTCAAATAAATGTGCATTCAAATTTTGGCTCTGCTGCTTACTAGATAGGTGCCTGTGAGCAAGCTAAACCTTTCTGATTCAATTGTTTCATTTGTAAAGTACGGATTCCGTAATACCTCATAGAGTTGTGAAAATTAAATGATAATGTAGGTAGAATAATCAGCAAAGCACCTGTCCAAAGGAAGTCAACAAATAAGAAAGTGAAATGTCTGTATTTTGAGATAACAAATACAAAAGTTGGAGTAGGAGGAAGACTAGAATTGTTAGGAATGATTCTAACGTGAATGGGGAGCTTAATCCGGATCATAAAGTATGTGGAAAGGTTTTATATAAATTCAACTGTGGCTGTGCCTACATAAAATTATGGATCAATAAGGCTATCTATAGTGGCCTATTAAGTTAAAGCACTAACTTATTGTAAATTAGGCTAAATTGCTGTTTTCATCAAATTCACCTTATATTTTCAGAATTTTGGATATTGACTATGAAAAATACTTTTCTATAATATTGATATATTAAATCTCTTTCTTGTACAAGGATAGAATTTACAGCAAGTGTTTTCAACAGTGTGACCAACCATCTCAGTTGCCCTAGAACTAAGGAGTTTCCTAATACGGACTTTCAGTGCTCAAACCATGATTGCCTCAAGCAAATTCGAATGCTCGGTCACTGTAGATGCTTATAATCATATTATAAACACAAAGCCCCATGCAACACTTCATTACCTAACCCTGCTCTCTCCGTATATGCTGTCTATTATCCAGATAAGTTCTATCAAATTCTTGGCTGTATCTTGCAGCTGAGCCACCTTTGTTCCTGATGATTTCCTGAGCTGGGTTTTCTCAACTTTTTGCCGATTCTTTCTGGGATTCTTCCTTTTCTACTTAAGTAGAATTAGTTTCTGTGACTTGCAACTAAGAACCTTATTAAAGTAGCGACATCAAATAAGGAGAATTCTGAGATGTTATAGATATTATGTATTTTCCAGAATTTTCCTTAAATGCAAATAGATTTTATGGAGCAATGTTGTCTCTGGGGGTCATTGCACATAGTAGATGCTCTGAAAACACTGTCAAAGACTGAATAAATGTTCTCACTCAGGAAACTTGATACCCACCAGCCAGTGCAGGAACACGCTTCTGATACATCTTCATCATGGCAGAAGGGAAAATCAGGAGCGGGGATCCTTGGAAACAGCTGGAGAAACTCATTATTTATTTAAAAACTAGCTTCTTTCAAAATAAGAACCAGGCTTTGAAGATTTAGAAGTGCCTATGGAAAAACTCAAAATGGAATGCTCCTGTAAGTCAAAGTGGTGTGTTTCCAGGTGTTAGAAAGATTACATGAGTGAATAATAGCTGAGAAAATCAAAGAAGCAAGTTTTTCAAATTGTGGTTATTTCATTACTTAAAACAATAAATATGCTAGCCCACTCCAACTCAGAATATTATCTAATCATAAATGTCTGGTGAAATACAGTTAGATTTTATTCATTACTTTTCCCTTGGGAGGATATTTCCTTCAGCATTCTTCTGTCTTTTTCACATTTATTTGGTTTTAGCCTATTTGTTTTTGGAATGTTGCGGTACAATGTATAATCAGTTTATTTTTGTCAAGTTACTTTTATCTTTAAGTTCAACCTCCGAAAATAAAAATATCAAGACATTTCTATTTTTAAGTTCTTTCAAGGCTTACAAACTATTAGGAGATTGTGGATTCATTTTTGCTTAGGAAGTCTATTTTTAATTTACCCATTTTTTAATTAAAAATGTCCATGTTTTAAAAAATGGATAGCATATTCCTTAGTAGTTAGCCAGATGAAATCAAGAATTCCACATATTTGTTTATTTCTGCTTTAAAGACTGAAAAACAGTGTGGACAGAAAATGTAGCATCCAAAGACACTTCTGTTGGTGCTAGAAAAGAATGTTAGATTTTAAGGAACAAGGCAGCTGAAGGTACACATATAGAAACTGAAAATATATTCTGTGTTTCACTTTATTAATATGGCATCACATTATTAACCCATTATCACTATATAACCCTGCAAAATTAAATACCTTTTACCCTAGTTGGAAAAATCCTCATAGCCCCTATTGTCCTTGTGCAAAATTAGTATTCTCCGTTCTTCCTTCCTTCTTCCTTCTTTCTCTTCTTCTTAATAATGCAGTCAAAAAGCCATAAGAAGGTCCTAGTCAGAAAGAAGCAAGGACTGGCAGGAATTGAGGGAAGGTAGGCCCCCAAGTGGGATGGCAACCCATGAGGATTTTGAAATTGAACAAATAAAAAAAATTGAGAATGGAGTCCAATTTTCTCACTGAAAATGAAATGTTATAAATATGAAAGCCTAAGCCTAGAAGATATAGATATAAATTCAGATAAGATATAGAGATCCACTGTACACTGAGAGGGTCTCGGAACAGTGATACCCCACAGCAATGAGTATACACATCACTAAGACCTGCCAGGGCTCCTTGGATTATAATAGCTAACTTTAGGACGAGACCAAGAAAATCACAAAATAAGACTGGAATGTGTTATGCCAGATATTAAGGAAATACATAAAGAATGTTAGGACCCCGGCAGATGTAGAAGCCAGCTTGAAGGGGGTTTCTACTGGCCAAACCTGGGATAATTTACTATTGAAATACTTAGTGATAATAATATATTCTATCCCACTGAATAAAATAGGAATCCATAAGTCTACAATGATGAAAGAAAGGGGGAGGGAGGAAGGGAGGATAAGGTTTACCAAATAGTAAAATTACAACTAATAAATGTAAAAGAGATGATGAAATTTGAAAATCACTGCTTGTCAACTACATTCATAATAATTCGCATGAGAAACATCAACAAAACTTGTTAAAACTATTGGGTGGAATGAAGAATGGGATGTATATGTAGTGTCAAAGTATTTTCCTGCAAAACACGAACAAATTATGAAAGAGAAAAGAACGAAGCAGGCACAGTGGTGTGCACCTGGACTTTCAGTTACACAGGAGGCTGAGGGCTGAGATGATCACTAGGTCCAGTAGTTGGAGTCTCACCTATCTATTTAAAAATAAAAATAAAAAAAGAAGAAAAGAAAAAAATGTTTATTTTTTTTAAAAAAAGAAAAGAACAGCCTTGCAGTAGAGAAACATGGATGATTATGACCTTCCTCGAGTGGTCAAAGTTAACATTACCAGTGACAGAATGAAATAACCTCATGTACCACCTGAGGGAATGCAGTGAAAAGGGCACAGAATCACTCCTATGACATTCCTAATTTGAATATAATAAGAGGAAACACCAGACAACGCAAAATTCTGCAAAATAATTAGCCTGTAATCTTCAAACATCTGAAGGTCATTGTATTAGTCCCTACTCATGCTGCTGTGAAGAAATACCCAAGACTGGATGATTTCTAAAGAAAAGAGGTTTGATTGACTCACAGTTCCACGTGGCTAGTGAGGCCTCAGGAAACATACAATCATGGTGGAAGGCACCTCTTCACAGGGCAGCAGGAGAGAAATGAATGCCAAGTGAAGTGGGAAGCCCCTTATAAAGCCATCAAATCTCATGAGAACTCACTCACTATCATGAGAACAGCATGAGCAGCATGAGGAAAACCACCTGCATGATTCAATTACCTCCCACCAGGTCCCTCCCATGACACATGGAGATTATGGGAAATACAATTAAAGATGAGATTTGGGTGGGGACACAGCCAAATTGGGTGGGGACACAGCCAAACCATATCATTCCACCCCCAACCCCTCCTAAATCTCATGTTCTCACATTACAAGACACAATCATGCCCTTCCAACAGTCCCCCAAATTCTTAACTCGCTCCAGCATTAACTCAAAAGTCCAAGTCCAAAGTCTCATCTGAGACAAGGAAAGTCCCTTCTGCCTATGAACCTGTAAAATCAAAAGCAAGTTAGTTACTTCCTAGGTACAACAGGGGTATGGGCATTGGTAAATACACCCATCCCAAATGGAGAAATTAGCCAAAACAAGGGGCTATAGGCCCCATGAAAGTTTGAAATGCAATAGGGCAGTCACTAAACCTTAAAGTCCCAAAATGATCTTCTTTGACTTCATGTCTCACATCCAGGTCATGCTGATGCAAGAGGTAGGTTCCCACACCTTGGGCAGCTCCACCTCTTTGGCTTTGCAGGGTATATAATCCCTTCATGGCTGCTTTCACACTGGCATTGAGTGTCTGTGGCTTTTCCAGGCACCCAGTGCCAGCTGTTGGTGGAGCTACCATTCTGGGGTCTGGAGGATAGTGGCCTACTTCTCAAAGCTCCACTAGGCAGTGACCCAGTGGGTACTCTGTATGGGGGCTCCAACCCCACATTTCCCTTCTGCACTGCCCTAGAAGAGGTTTGCCATGAGGGCTCTGCCCCTGCAGCAAATTTCTGCTTGGACATCCAGGCATTTTCATACATCTTCTGAAATCTAGGTGGAGATTCCCAAACTTCAATTATTGACTTCTGTGGACCCACAGGCTCAACACCATGTGGAAGCTGCCAAGGCTTGGGGCTTCCATCCTCTGAACAATGGTCTGAGCTGTACCTCAGCCCCTTTTAGCCACAGCTGGAGCAGCTGGGATGCAGGGCACCAAGTCGCCAGGCTGCACACAGCAGGGGGTCCTGGAGCAAGCCCAGGAAATCATTTTACCCTCCTAGGCCTCTGGGCTTGTGATGGGAGGAGCTACTATGAAGGTCTCTAACCTATCCTGGAGACATTTTCCCCCATTAACATTTGGCTTCTCATTAATTATGCAAATTTCTGCAGCAGGGTTGAATTTATCCCCAGAAAATGGGATTTTTTTCTATTGCATCATCAGGCTGCAAATTTTCCAAACATTTATACTGTGCTTCCTCTTGAACACTTTGCCATTTAGACATTTCTTCCACCAGATATCCTAAATCATCTTTCTCAAGTTTGAAGTTCCACAAATTTTGGGCAGGGGCAAAATGCTGCCAGTCTCTTTGCATATCAAAACTGGCCTTTACTCCAGTTCTCAACAAGTTTCTCATCTCCATCTGAGACCACCTCAGCCAGGACCTCATTTTCCATATCACTATCAGCATTTTGCTCAAAGCCATTTAACATGTCTCTAGGAAGCCCCAAACCTTCTAATATCTTCCTGTCTTCTGAGGCCTCCAAGTCTCTAAGAAGTTTCAAAGGTTCCCACATTTTCCCGTCTTCTTCTGAGCCCTCCAAACTGTTCCAACATCTGCCAGTTACCCAGTTCCAAAGTCACTTCCACGTTTTCAGGTATCCTTATAACAGCACCCCACTCTCTGGGGTACCAATTTACTGTATTAGTCTGTTCTCATACTGCTATAGGGACATACCTGAGACTGGGTATTTCATAAAGGAAAGAAGTTTAATTGACTCACAGTTCAGCATGCCTGGGGAGGCCTCAGGAAACTTACACTCATGGCAGAAGGCACCTCTTCATAAGGCAGCAGGAGAGAGAATGACTGCCATGGCAAACAAAGGAGGAAGCCCCTTATAAAACCATCAGATCTCATGAGAACTCACTATCATGAGAACAGCATGGTGGAAACTGCCCTCATGGTTCAACTATCTCCCATAGGGTTCCTCCTATGACACTTGGGTACTACGGGAACTACAAATCAAGATGAGATTTGGGTGGAGACACAGCCAAACCATATCAGTTAAGAAAGACAAGGAAGGATTGAAGAACATTTCTATATAGAAGAGTACTGAAAAGACATGTCAACTTCATACAACATGAGATCCTGGATTATATCATTTTGTTATAAAAGACATTATTTCAATAGTTAGTGAAGACTTTTTTTTAATAAGTTTGGGTATGAGAGTTTTCTGTACTGTTCTTTTATTATTATTATTATTATTATACTTTCAGTTCTGGGATACATGTGCAGAACGTGCAGGTTTGTTACATAGGTATACACATGCCATGGTGGTTTGCTGCACCCATCAACCCATCATCTACATTAGGTATACTGCCTAATGTTATCCCTCCCCTAACACCCCACCCCCCAACAGGCCCCCATGTGTGATATTCCCCTCCATGTCCATGTGTTCTCATTTTTCACCTCCCACTTACAACAGAGAACATGCGGTGTTTGGATTTCGGTTCTTCTGTTGGTTTGCAGAGAATGATGGTATCCAACTTCACCCATGTCCCTGCAAAGGACATGAACTCATCCTTTTTTATGGCTGCATAGTATTCCATGGTGTATACATGCCACATTTTCTTTATCCAGTCTATCATTGATGGGCATTTGGGTTAGTTCTAAGTCTTTGCTATTGTGAAGAGTGCTGCAATAAACATATGTGTGCATATGTCTTTAGAGTAGAATGATTTATAATCCTTTGGGTATATACCCAGTAATGAGATTGCTGGGCCAAACGGTATTTCTGGTTCTAGATCCTTGAGGAATTGCCACACTGTCTTCCACAATTGTTGAACTGATTTACACTCCAACCAACAGTGTAAAAGCATTCCTATTTCTCCACAACCTCTCTAGCATCTGTTGTTTCCTGACTTTTTAATGATCACCATTCTATCTGGCATGAGATAGAATCTCATTGTGGTTTTGATTTGCATTTCTCTAATAACCAGTGATGTTGAGCTTTTTTTCATATGTTTGTTGGCTACATAAATGTCTTCTTTTGATAAGTGTCTGTTCAGATCCTTCACCCACTTTTCAGTAGGGTCGTTTTTTACTTGTAAATTTGTTTAAGTTTTTTATAGATTCTGGATATTAGCCCTTTGTCAGATGGATAGATTGTGAAAATTATCCCATTCTATAGTCTGCCTGTTTACTCTGATGACAGTTTCTTCTGCTGTGCAGAAGTGCTTTAGTTAAATTAGAACCCTTTTGTCAATTTTGCCTTTGTTGCCAATGCTTTTGGTGTTTTAGTCATGAAATCTTTACCCATGTCTATGTCCTGAATGGTATTGCCTAGGTTTTCTTCTAGGGTTTTTATGGTTTTAGGTCTTATATATTTAAGTCTTTAGTTCATCTTGAGTTAATTTTTGTATAAGATGTAAGGAAGTGGTCCAGTTTCAGTTTTCTGCATATGGCCAACCCATTTTCCCAACACAATTTATTAAATAGAGAATCATTTCCCCACTGCTTGCTTTTGTCAGATTTGTCAAAGGTCAGATGGTTGTAGATGTGTGGTATTTCTGAGGCCTTTGTTCTGTTCCATTGGTCTATATCTCTGTTTCGGTACCAGTACCATGCTGTTCTGATTATTGTAGCCATGTACTATAGTTTGAACTCAGGTAGTGTGATGCCTCCAGCTTTGTTCTTTTTGCTTAGAAATGTCTTGGCAATGCGGGGTCTTTTTTGGTTCCATATGAATTTTAAAGTAGTTTCTTCCAATTCTGTGAAAAAGTCAATGGTAACTTGATAAGAATAGCATTGAATCTATAAATTACTTTGGGCAATATGGTCATTTTCATGATATTGATTCTTCCTATCCATGAGCATGGAATGTTTTTCCATTTGTTTTTGTCCTCTTTTATTTTGTTGAGCAGTTGTTTGTAGTTCTCCTTGAAGAGGTCCTTCACACCCCTTGTAAGTTGGATTCCTATGTATTTTATTTGCTTTGTAGCAATTGTGAATGGGAGTTCATTCATTATTTGGCTCTCTGTCTGTTCTTGGTGTATAGGAATGCTTGTGATTTTTGCACATTGACTTTGTATCCTGAGACTTCACTGAAGTTGCTTATCAGCTTAAGGAGATTTGGGGCTGAGATAATGGGGTTTTCTAAATATACAATCATATCATCTGCAAACAGAGACAATTTGACTTCCTTTTTTCCTAATTGAATACCCTTTATTTCTTACTCTTGCCTGATTGCCCTGGCCAGAACTTCCAATATTATGTTGAATAGGAGTGGTGAGAGAGGGCATCCTTTTCTTGTGCCGATTTTCAAAGGGATTGCTTCCAGTTTTTGCCCATTCAGTATGGTATTGGCTGTGGGTTTGTCATAAATAGGTCTTATTATTTTGAGGTTTGTTCCATCAATACCTAGTTTACTGAGATTTTTAGCATGAATGGGTGTTGAATTTTGTCAAAGGCATTTTCTGCATCTATTGAGATAATCATGTGGTTTTTCTCATTGGTTCTGTTTATGTGAGAGATTACGTTTATTGACTTGCATATGTTGAACCAGTCTTGCATCCCAGGAATGAAGCCAACTTGATCGTGGTGGACAAGCTTTTTGATGTGCTGCTGGATTCGGTTTGCCAGTATTTTACTGAGGATTTTCACATCAACGTTTTCAGGGATATTGGCCTGAAATTTTCTTTTTTTTCTTGTGTCTCTGTCAGGTTTTGGTATCAGGATGATACTGGCCTCATAAAATGAGTCAGGGAGGATTCCCTCTTCTTCTATTGTTTGGAATAGTTTCAGAAGGAATGGTACCAGCTCCTGTTTGTACCTCTGGTAGAGTTTGGCTGTGAATCCATCTGGTTCTGAACTTTTTTTGGTTGGTAGGCTATTAATCACTGCTTCAATTTCAGAACTTGTTATTGGTATATTCAGGGATTCGACTTCTTCATGGTTTAGACTTGGGAGGGTGTATGTGTCCAGGAATTTATCCATTTCTTCTAGATTTTCTAGTTTATTTGCATAGAGGTGTTTATAGTATTCTCTGATGGTAGTTTGTATTTCTGTGTGATCAGTGGTGATATCCCCTTTCTCATTTTTTATTGCATCTATTTGCTTCTTCTCTCTTTTCTTCTTTATTAGTCTGGCTAGCGATATATTCTGTTGATCTTTTCAAAAAACCGGCTTCTGGATTCATTGATTTTTTAAGGGTTTTTTGTGTCTCTACCTCCTACAGTTCTGCTCTGATCTTAGTTATTTCTTCTCTTCTCCTAGCTTTTGAATTTGTTTGCTCATCCTTCTCTAGTTCTTTTAATTGTGATGTTAGGGTGTCGATTTTAGATGTTTCCTGCTTTCTCTTGTGGGCATTTAGTGCTATAAATTTCCCTGTACACACTGCTTTAATTGTGTCCCAGAGATTCTGGTACATTGCATCTTTGCCCTCATGGGTTTCAAAGAACATCTTTATTTCCGCTTTCATTTCGTTATTTACCCAGTAGTTATTCAGGAGCAGGTTGTTCAGTTTCCATGTAGTTGTGTGGTTTTGAGTGAGTTTCTTAATCCTGAGTTCTAATTTGATTGCACTGTGGTCTGAGAGGGTGTTTGTTGTGAATTCCATTTTTTTGCATTTGCCGAGGAGTGCTTTACTTCCAATTATGTGGTCAGTTTTAGAATAAGTGTGATGTGGTGCTGAGAAGGATGTATATTCTGTTGATTTGGGGTGGTGAGTTCTGTAGATGTCTATCAGGTCCACTTGCTCCAGAACTGAGTTCAAGTCCCGAATATCCTTGTTAATTTTCTTTCTTGTTGGTCTGTCTAATATGACAGTGCAGTGTTAAAATCTCCCACTATTACTGTATGGCAGCCTAAGTCTCTTTGTAGGTTTCTAAGGACTTGCTTTATGAATCTGGGTTCTAATGTATTGGTTGCATATACATTTAGGATATTGAGCTCTTCTTGTTGCATTGCTTCCTTTACCATTATGTAATGCCCTTTTTTGTCTTTTTTGATCTTTGTTGGTTTGAAGTCTGTTTTATCAGAGACTAGGATTGCAACTCTTCCTTTTTTTTCTGCTTTCTATTTGTTTGGTAAATATTCCTCCATCTCTTTATTTTGAGCCTATGTTTGTCTTTGCATGTAAGATGGGTCTCCAGCACACCTATGGGTCTTGACTGTTTAACCAATTTGCCAGTCCGTGTCTTTTTATTGGGGCATTTAGCCCATTTACATTTAAGGTTAATATTGTTATGTGTGTGATCCTGTCATTATGATGCTAGCTGATTATTTTGCCCATTAGTTGATGCAGTTTCTTCATAGTGTTGATGGTCTTTACAATTTGGTATGTTTTTGCAGTGGCTGGTCTCTGTTGTTCCTTTCCATGTTTAGTGCTTCCTTCAGGAACTCTTGTAAGGCAGGCCTGGTGGTTACAAAATCTCTCAGCATTTGCTTATCTGTAAAGGATTTCGTTTCTCCTTCGTTTATGAAGATTAGTTTGGCTGGATATGAAGTTCTGGGTTGAAAATTCTTTTCTTTAAGAATGTTAAATATTGGCTCCCCTCTTTTCTGGCTTGTAGAGTTTCTTCTGAGAGATCCACTGTTAGTCTAATGGGCTTTGTGGGTAACCCAACCTTTCTCTCTGGGTACCCTTAACATTTTTTCCTTCTTTTCAACCTTAGTGAATCTGACAAGTATGTCTTGGGTTGCTCTTTTCAAGGAGTACCTTGTGCTGTTCTCTGTATTTCCAGAGTTTGAATGTTGGCCTCTCTTGCTAGGTTGGGGAAGTTCTCCTGGAAAATATCCTGAAGAGTGTTTTCCAACTTGGTCCCATTCTCCCCGTCAACTTTCTGGTACACCAATCAAACATAGATTTGGTCTTTTCACATAGTCCCATATTTCTTGGAGGCTTTGTTCATTTCTTTTCATTCTTTTTTCTCTAGTCTTGTCTTCTCACTTTCTTTCAGTAAGATGTTCTTCAATCTCTGATATTCTCTCTTCCGCTTGATCGATTCGCTTACTGATACTTGTGCATGCTTCACGAAGTTCTCATGCCATGTTTTTCAGTTCCACCAGGTCATTTATGTTCTTCTCTAAACTGGTTATTCTAGTCAGCAATTCGTCTAACCTTTTTCCCAGATTCTTAGCTTCCTTGCATTGGGTTAGAACATGCTCCTTTAGCTCAGAGGAGTTTGTTATTACCCACCTTCTGAAGCCTACTTCTATCAATTTATCAAACTCATTCTCCACCCAGTTTTGTTCCCTTGTTGGTGAGGAGTTGTGATCCTTTGGAGGAAAAGAGACATTCTGGTTTTTGGAATTTTCAGCCTTTTTGTGGTGGTTTCTCCCCATCTTTGTGGATTTATCTACCTTTGGTCTTTGATGTTCGTGACCTTCAGATGGGTTCTCTGAGTGGGCGTTCCTTTGGTTGATGTTAATGCTATTCCTTTCTGTTTGTTAGTTTTCCTTCTAACAGTTAGGCCCTCTGCTGCAGGTCTGCTACAGTTTGCTGGAGGTCCACTCCAGACCCTGTTTGCCTGGGTCTCACCAGTGGAGGCTGCAGAACAGCAAAGATTGCTGTCTATTCCTTCCTCTGGAAGCTTCATCCCAGAGGGGCACCCATCAGATGCCAGCCAGAGCTCTCCTGTATGAGGTGTCTGTCGGTCCCTACTGGGTGGTGTCTCCCAGTCAGGATACATGGGGGTCAGGGACCCACTTGAGGGGGCAGTCTGACCCTTAGCAGAGCTTGAACGCTGTTCTGGGAGATCCACTGCTCTCTTCAGAGCCAGCAGGCAGGAACGTTTAAGTCTGTTGAAGCTGCACCCACAGCCACCCCTTCCCCCAGGTGCTCTGTCCCAGGGAGTTGGGGGTTTAATCTATAAGCCCCTGACTGGGGCTGCTGCCTTTTTTTCAGAGACGCCCTGCTCAGAGAGGAGGAATCTAGAGAGGCATTCTGGGCACAGTGGCCTTGCTGAGCTGCGGTGGGCTCCACCCAGTTCCAACTTCCCAAAAGCTTTTTTTACACTGTGAGGGTAAAACCACCTACTCAAGCCTCAGTAATGGCAGACGCCCCTCCCTCACCAAGCTCAAGTGTCCAAGGTCGACCTCAGACTACTGTGCTGGCAGTGAGAATTTCAAGCCAGTGGATCTTAGCTTGCTGGGCTCCCTGGGGGTGGGATCCACCAAGCCAGACTACTTGGCTGCCTGGCTTCAGCCCCCTCTCCAGGGGAGTGAACGGTTCTGTCTCACTGGTGTTCCTGGTGCCACTGGGGTATGAAAATAATCTCCCACAGCTAGCTCCATTTCTGCCCAAAGGACCGCCCAGTTTTGTGCTTGAAACCCTGGGCCCTGGTGGCATAGGCACCAGAGGGAATCTCCCGGTCTGCAGGTTGCAAAGACCACGGAAAAAGCGCAGTATCTAGGCAAGAGTGCACCATTCCTCAGGGAACAGTCCCTCATGGCTTCCCTTGGCTAGAGGGGCAAAATCCCCCAACCCCTTGCACTTCCTGGGTGAGGCAATGCCCCACCCTGCTTCAGCTCACCCTCCATGGGCTGCACCCACTGTCCAAACCGTCCCAATGAGATGAATTGGGTACCTCAATTGGAGATGCAGAAATCATCTACCTTCTGCGTTGAGCTAGCTGGGAGCTACAAATCAGAGCTGTTCCTATTCGGTCATCTTTCCAGCAAATGCTCTGTACTGTTCTTATAACTTTTCTATAAGTTTGAAATTATTTCCAAATAAAAAGTACAACTTCAAAACATTCTATGAATGAGTAAGCAAAGGTAAAATGCCTGACAATGTCAAAAGCTAATTAGCATCAGAGTGGGCACAATTCCAAATTATCATTTGAGTATTCTTTCCTCCCTTCTCTTTCTTCAGGTAGAAAGAAATATCAATCCATAGGGTGAGGGGGGTTGTTGTCTACACTGCCAGATCCAAGTGCCTACAATAGTAGCAGGCTCACATTTGGTGCTCAAAAATACTCTGGATTACTGTATTTTTATTATGAATACTTCTGCCTTTAAACTATGATTTTTTAATGCTTTCAATCTCCATTTCTAAATTGATTATTTCTAATCATAGCAGAACAATAAGGAAAAATGCTCCCTTCTGCTCTCAGTTTATGCAATCTCTGAAAAGTAAAAAAGAAATGTTCCAGTGCTTTTCAGGAAGCAGAGACAGAACATACAAACAGCAATATGGCTCACTGAGTTTTCTTCATCCTCATTCATGACTCTGAAGGCTATGCCACTCCATTCATGCACTCACAATAAATGTCACTCTTTGCCCTTTACAGTCTGCAGTGACCTTCAAAAGTGAGTCTAACAGGTTAGTTTTCTCATTCCTTCAAGGACAATATTTAACAACCATAGGTACTTATAAATGCTTTATAGATACTCTATATAACTATAAACCAAAACAAATTTATATATTAAGTGGGAAAAGACCATACAACCATTAAAATTCAGTTGATAACATAATTTAATGTTATAGATCATGTTGTATTCCTGACACTACATCATCAATTTTGAATTTTAAAGTAGAAAGCTTTATTTATGAGTTTAATTGGTTGCTTGTCAATTTGATTCTTTAATTTGAGGCAAGAGAGACCATCTATCCAAACAAAAATGCTATCTAATGACAAATTTTCCAATGGGTATCTACAGCTAAAGTACTGATAATTTACTGCTTTATTCACTCACTTAATATTTATTACTTGTCAGTCTCTGTTTCAGGTTCTAAAACTATTGCAAAAAAATACATACAGAAATTAGAATGTGATAAGAACATCTTCTCAATAGCTAAGTATGGTACTGCCGTAAGTTCTTTTTGAGTTCAACATGCTTATACTACGGCTGGGCGCTGTGGCTCATGCCTGTAATCCCAGCACTTTGGGAGGTAAAATGGTAAAATGCCTGACAATGTCAAAAGCTAATTAGTGATCCAAGGCAGGCAGATCACCTGAGGTCAGGAGTTCAAGACCAGCCTTGCCAAAATGGCAAAACCCCGTCTCTACTAAAAATACAAAAATTAGCCAGGCATGGTGGGGTGCACCTGCAATCCCAGCTACCCAGGAGGCTGAGGCAAGAGAATCGCTGGAACCCAGGGACAGAGGCTGCAGTGAGCCAAGATTGCACCACTGCACTCCAGCCTGGGCAACAGAGCAAGACTCCATCTTAAAAAAAAATGCTTATAGTAGCACTTACCACTTTTATAAAATTACTACATAAATTTTATTGGCACAGTGTTTCATAAAGTCAGTTGGCTTCTACTTTGGGGGAGTTCTACTTTAAGCACAAAACCAAATTCTTGGTTGCCATCATACTGAGTCATATTTTAGACTTCATTATGGTAAATAGATGGTATAAAGTACAAGTGTATCTCATCCAAAATGTCAGTTTTAGCATCTTAACACAGTATGCAACGTATTATTGATAATAAATATTTATTGAATTAAATATGAAGGAGTGAACAAATAAATGCTCATGTTTCTCCCAGAGCTCCTATTTCCTAATTAGAATAGTTTAATTAACCAAACTGAAAGGCAGTAATCATATGGCAATTTTTATCAATGTTTGCAAATACAAGTGAGAAATTACATTGCTATCAGTCCATTGTTCTTGCGGCTTTTGAAAGGTTTTAAGAATACAGGAAATCTCAAAGTTTTGTTAATTTATTGGAATTGGAAAAGGATTTTTGCATTGGATGGTATGGTAAGGACCTCTTCCATGATTTACTCAAGTTGTCTTTTCCTTAGATGCCAAAAAGCACACAAAACGATGAACTCAGAAACAGCAGAGTGTCCAGACTGAAAGGACTCATAAAATCCTAATATAATTAAAAGGGAGACAATACCAGATGATATTTTCAATTTTAAAATAAATCTTGTCCACAGCTTTGGAGAAAAGGGAGAAAAACATGATTTCCAAAGTAGGTTATGTATTTCACACCAGGAAATCAATTATCCATGCATATTAGTCATAAGATAAGTAAGAGATTCTTCTCTATTTCTGATGGCTCACTTCATTAAAAAGAGAACACTTCCAGAATAGGTTATGCTTTTGAAAAATAATAATAGCTTCACTTTAGGGCTCCATCTGCTCTCAGACAAAGTAGAACCAATGAAGTACAAACTCTCCAAAGAATACTAATCAGATTTGTATATAAACAATATTGTACTCCAACTTCTGGCAGTTTGGAGACAAAACATATTACTGAAAGTTCTACATTTTTTTAACATGTTAGTGGTGGTGGGAAAAGCAGAGAAGGATAAGTAGGAAGAACTTTTCTTGAAGTGGGAATTATGAAATTTTCAAGACGAAAAGATAAGGTTGAACTATATCTATCCCAGTGTGTTTTTGCAAGTATCAGCTCCCATAATGTCATCATGTAAGATCTCAATTTATATAGACACTATGTATTAATGATCAAAGTGCAGGATTTCTCTCTTCCTCCCCAATGTGGTAAAGTTAGAGTAGAAGTGGGGTCATTTTTCATGATTTGTTGTATTTGAAATGACAATATGGTCTCCTATAAAAATTTTAGAAATCAAAGTCATGTTTATTTTTTTCTCTTTGTGATATTTAAGTGTTAAACCAAATATGTTGTAAGTTATCCAGTGTCATTAAATACTAATACACATACACGCACACCTACACACACACACATTGCATTTAACTTAAAAAAATAAAACCAGTTTACTTATAGCATTATACAATAATAGAATCAGCCCAACCATCTTACTTTCAGCAGGAACATAACTAAAACAGCCAATGAATTATCTACTAGCTTATTTCTCTTTTTATAACTTAGCTTTTCCTTCTTTAAGTTTTACTTTTATAGTGTCATTATGTTGTATTCTAACTATAAACATATCCAGGCGATTTCTAGAAGTTGGTGAGTATTTTTTTAGTTTAATAAAATAACCATTTCTGAAGTATTTAAGGACAATATACTTACTGGGTCTCAGAAACACATTAATTAAGCCTCTGTTTTGTGTCAAGTACATTTCTGTTAGTTCCACTTTCTCAAAAACCAGGAGATCAAACAAAAATTAATTTTTACATTCAACAAAATTTTGTAACAAATTTTAATCTGATTATAAATTTTAACCAGAAAACAAATATATTATTGTGATTTTTAAGACTGCAAAAGAAAGTTTTACAGTACTATAAATAGTTAATAGTATACTGGTAATGTTTAAACTGAAGAAGAAAATAATCAAATGACACCAAGAGTTCCCTTGTCAGAATGTTTTACAGCATAGCTCCTTTAACCAGTGGCCAGGTAGATTCTGCCTCTTTTTAAAAGAAAATATTTGTGGGTATATATAGATATTTTCTGCATTATGGGGTACATGAGATATTGTGGGTACATACAGATATTTCTGTATTATGGGGTACTTGAGATATTTTGATATAGACATACAATGCATAATAATTACCTAAGGGTAAATGAGGTGTCCATCACCTCAACCATTGAGTCTTTGTGTTACAAACAATCTAACTATACTCCATTAGTTATTTTTGAATGTACAATATATTATTGACTATAGTCCCTGTTGTGCTATCAAGTACAAGCTCTTACTCATTATATCTAACTATTTTTTGTACCCATTAACAATTGTCACTTTCCCTACCTACTACCCTTCCCAGCCTCTGTTAACCATCATTCTACTCTCTATCTCCAGGAGTTGAATTGGTTTAATTTTTAGCTCCCACAAATAAGTGAGAACATAAAAAGTTTGTCTTTCTATGACTGGCTTCTTTCATTCACTTAACATAATGAAATCCAGTTCCATCCATGTTGTTGCAACTGACTGAATCTCATCCTTTTTATGGCTGAGTAGTACTCCATAGTGTATATGTAACACATTTTTCTTTATCCATTTATCTGTTGATGGAGACCTACGTTGCTTGCAAATCTTGGCTATTGTGAACAGTACTGCAACTAACATGGGCGTGCAGGTATCTCTTTGATATACTGACTTCCTGTCTTGTGGTTATATACCCAGCAGTGGGATTGCTGGATTGTATGGTACCTCTATTTTTAGTTTTCTGAGGAACCTCCAAACTGTTCTCCATAGTGGTTGTACTAATGTACATTCCCACGACACTATACAAGAGTTCCCTTTTCTCCACATCCTTGCCAGCATTTATTGTTGCCTATCTTTGGGACATAAGCCACTTTAACTGTGGTGAGATGATGTCTCATTGTAATTTAGTTTGCATTTCTCTGATGATCAATGATGTTGAGCACCTTTTCATGTCTGTTTGCCATTTGTATGTCTTCTTTTGAGAAATGTCTACTCAAATGTTTTGCCCATTTTAAATCAGATTATTAGATTTTTCCTATGGAGTTGTTTGAGCTCCTTATGTATTCTAGCTATTAATTCCTTGTCAGATGGATGGTTGCAAATATTTTCTCTCATTCTTTGGGTTGTCTTTTCACTTTGTTGATTGTTTCTTTTGCTGTGCAGAAGCATTTTAACTTGATGTGATTTCACTTGTCCACTTTTGCTTTGGTTGCCTGTGCTTGTGGAGTATTACTCGAGAAATCTTTGCCCAGTGTTTTCTTTTAATAGTTTCATACATTGAACTCTTCTACCTTTATCTCTCTCTTTACCTCCTCTTTATGTCCAGTAACTCAGATTTGCCACTTTGAGGCTATTTTCCAGACCTTGTAAGCATGCTTCATTTTTTTCTTCTTTTTTCTTTTATCACTTCTGTGTATTTTCAAATAGTCTATCTTCAAGCTCATGAATTCTCTCTTCTGCTTGATTGATTCCACCATTAAGAGACTCCAATGCACTCTTCAGTATGTCATCACATTTTCAACTCCAGAATCAGGGCTTGTTTCCTTTTAATTATTTCAATCTCTTTATTAAATGTATCTGATAGTATTCTGAATTTCTTTTCTGTGTTATCTTGAGTTTTGTTGACTTTCCTCAAAAGAGCTATCTTGAATTCGCTGTCTCAAAGCTCACATATCTCTCTCTCTCTGGCATTGGTCCTTGGTGCCTTATTTACTTTGTTTGGTGAGGTCATGTTTTCCTGTATCGTCTTGGTGCTTGTGGATTGATATAGTTTGGATGTGTGTCTCTGCCCAAATCTCATGTCAAAATATAATCCCCAACGTTGGAGGTGGGGCATGGTGAGAGGTGATTGAATCATAGGGGCAGTTTCTCATGAATTATTTAGTATCACCCCCTTGGTACTGTCCTCACCATAGTGAGTGAGTTCTCACAAGATCCTGTCATTTAAAAGTTTGTGGCACTTTCCTGCTCTCTCTCTTGCACTTTCTTTTGCCATGTGACATGCGTGCTCCTTCTTTGCCTTCTGCCATGAGTAAAAGCTCCCTGAGGCCTCTTCAGTAGCTAAGCAGATGCCAACATTGTTTTTTCTAGACAGCTTGCAGAACCATAAGCCAATTAAACATCTTTTCTTTATAAATTACCCAGTCTCAGGTGTTTCCTTATAGCAATGTGAGAATGGCCTAACACTCGGATGTTCACCGGTATCTAGGTATTGAAGAGTTAGGTATTTATTGTAGTCTCCACATCTGGGCTTGTTTGTACACATCCTTCTTGGGAAGTATTTCCAGGTATTCAAAAGGACTTGGGTGTTTTGATCTAAGTTTTTGGTCACTACAGCCATATCTGCATTAGAGGGGACCCCAAACCCAGTAACACTGTGGCACTTACAGACTCATAGAGGTACTGCTTTTGTGGTCTTGGATA
This sequence comes from Homo sapiens, assembly GCF_000001405.40. Lineage (NCBI taxonomy): Eukaryota > Metazoa > Chordata > Mammalia > Primates > Hominidae > Homo > Homo sapiens. The sequence continues at coordinate 83,293,394 of NC_000012.12, read as the reverse complement.
AGACCCAGAAGAATTCTCTGGATCACCAGGCAGAATCTCTTGTTCTCTTCCCTTACGTTGTCCCAAATAAATGGGGTCTCTCTCTTTCTGTCTGAGCTGCCTGGAGCTGGGGGAGGGGTGAAACAAGCATCCCTGTGGTCACCACCACTAAGACTGTTCTGGGTCAAACATGAAGCCAACACAGCACTGATCTCACCCAAAGCCCACTGCCTGGCTACTGTCTATATTTGCTGAAGACTCTAGGACTCTATAATCAGCAGGTGGTGAAGCCAGCCAGGCTTGTGTGCTTCCCTTCAGAGCAGCATGTTCCCCCTAAGCCCCATGTGGATCCAGAGTTTCTATCAGGGAGCCAGGGCCTAGATTCTTAAACCTTGGAAATCTATCTGGTGTTCCATTCTACTATGGCTGAGCTGTCACCCAAACCACAAGATGAAGTTCTTCCCACTCTTTCCTCCCCTTTACACAAGCAGAGGAGTTTCTTCCTGTGGCCACCACCACCCCAGGCCTGCGGCAAGTATTGCCTGATGTTCACTGAAGGCCTAAGGGCTCTTCAGTAAGCTTACGGTAAATGCTGACAGGCGTAGGAGGGCAGTGGGTTCCCCTCTGACCTAGGGACAGTCCAAAATTCCATCCAGGAGCCAAGGCCTGAAATCAAACACCCCAAGAGTCTGCTTGCTGCTCTACTCCACTGTGGCTGAGCTGGTACATAAGCTGTGAGAAAAAGCTCCCTTTATTCTTCCCTCTCCTTTTTTCCAACAGGAGTCTCTCCTTGTGTCCAACACAGCTAGGAATGTGCTGGGTCACACCTGAAACCAGCACATCTGAAAGTCTCACCCAAGGCCCACAGCATGTACTGCCTGCTCCTTGCTGCTGATTATTTAGGGCTCAAGTGCTCTTTAGTCAGAAGGTGATGAATCCTGCTAGGATTTGGTCCTTCCCTTCGAGGTAGTAGGTTCCCTTCTGGCCCAGAATATGCCTGGAGATATTGTCTGGGAGTTAGGGTAGGGAATGGAGGGCCTGATGCCCTATTCTACGCAGCTGAGCTGGTATCCAAGTTGCAAGATAAAGTCCTCTTTACTCTTCCCAGGGATTGCAGTTCTTGTGGCCTAGCCTGCATTTTAAGTTTATTTAGAACCCCAGAGCACTTTAGTACATGGTAGCAAGGCTTGCTGAACTTCAAGTTCCGACTGCTAGGACAGATTATTCCCCTCTGTCTCAGTTGATCTATATGCTCCTTCCATGGGCACTGACTGAGTCATGCTCAGTGCTGCTTTCTGTTGTGACAGGGCGGCACTGAGTTCCAATGCAAAGCCCCACAATCACTACACTCTCCCTTGCCCAAGTGCAGAGTTTCTGTACTGCACAGCCACTGCCAGGGGGTGGAGAAGGGGTAATGGCTGCAATTCAAAACTATTCTTCCTGTTCCCTTCAGTGATATAAAGTTAAAACCAGGTACTGTGATTGCTCACCTGATTTTTGGTTCTTATGAAGATGGTTTGTTGTGTAGATAGTTGTTAAATATGGTGTTCTTGCAGGGAGAATGATCAGTGGTGGCTTCTCTTCACCCATCTTGTTCCACCTCCTCTCCAAATCCTGTATCTTTATATATATAAGAATTGGATATCATATATGTGTGTGTGTGTGTGTATAACTCCAATCTCTTGTTGACTTAAATTCAGATTCTCACCTGGATAAACACCATAGCTACCTAAATGGTTTTCTGACATGAGCTTCACTATATTTCAAACCATTTCCACCAGTGTTAATGTCACCACAAAAGTGTTACTTTTATAAAATGCAAATTTGATTATGATATTAAAGATAGAAATGGCCATTGAGTTAACACTTTTTAAAGCTGGATGATATGTAAATTACAGTTTATTATACTATAATCTGCATTTATATATATATATATATGAAAATATACATTAAAATAATTCCCAAAAACTGCATAAGTATAAAAGGAGATGGGGACAATTCCATATTATAATGTTTCTCAGATATATATTGATGTTAAAGGCTCTGCCTAGAGTCAAACAGATTCAGGTATTTAGTCCTCCAGTTTAGTCTTCTATTAGCATCCCAGTCACTCATATTGGTGGATCAAATTTCATCATTTTCCTACAGAAAAATTAATCACTGAAGGAAAAATGGGAATAGGTAAGAATAATTAAAATGAAAAGTCAAAGCTGAATACTGATTTCTATCTCAGCCGATGTGAATCTTGGAATGAATTAATCTTTCAGAACAGTCTCCCAGTGCATGAAATTACAGTTATTATTTATTCCAAGCACCACTAAAAATTTTTCCTTAAGTGGTGTCATTATACAAGTGCAAGCTGTAGTTAAATAAAACAAAAGTGTCCGGGTGTGGTGGCTCACAGTTGTAATACCAGCACTTTGGGAGGCTGAGGCGGACGGATCACTTGAGATCAGGAGTTCGAGACCAGCCTGACCAACATGGAGAAACCTTGTTTCTACTAAAAATACAAAAATTAGCCAGGCATAGTAGCACATGTCTGTAATCTCAGCTACTCAGGAGGCTGAGGCAGGAGAATAGCTTGAACATGGGAGGCAGAGGTTGCAGTGAACCATGATCACACCATTGCACTCCAGCCTGGGCAACAAGAGCAAAACACCATCTCAATAAATAAATAAAACAAAAGTGGAGCACAATTTGGTAAAGTACACTGAGCAAAACCTTGCACATTGGCAAACGTTTAGGATTTAACTAAAAAGTGTTAGGAAGTACAAGTCAAAATTTTGATAATTTAGTTCAAATGATACCAATCATCTACTAGTAAGAATATACATCGTGCTGACTCTCCTAGTCTGGACAAATATTCAGTGGTCTTTCATTAGGCTGCTTTAGATGATCTGAAAATCTACAAGAGATCTTATGAGATTACTAAAGGTGGTCAGTAATAATGATGGATTTTTTGGTTTGGGCCTACCTCACATTCAGCTCCCCTTTTTGTAATAAGGACATCTCAAATTTCATTTAAGGAGCAATCCCTTTTCAACTCAGCTCATAAAATTCACATTGGACTAATACCACCCGCTTCAGGCCCAGATCTAGCTACCAGTGAATCCCATCCCACTGGTACCAACAATTAGTTCAGAGATAGCATATGTAATATTATTAAGCACAGTACTGTGATGGTGTATAATAAAGTGCTTAATAATATTACATAAAATCATAACTTTTATTACTTTTAAATGTTTAAATTTCACACACCAATAGAGACAAATGGTGACTTTGCCTGTTACACCATCAGCACTACTAAGTAACAAATATTCATTTAGTAGAATCATTTTATGTTTAAACACACAGAGAGGCATTCTTATGTCTTATTCAAATTTAATACTACAGTAATTTACTCTAGTAGAACAGCTATTCATTGAGATTGAATAACTGAATTTCACATAAAGAAACAATTTCTAATAAACTTAGAAGTTACTTTTGACTTTATAAGTAGAGTGAGTCTGCTCTTTGTCAGTCTTAATGTTACCACCTTCAAGTCCAGTTCACTCCTTCTAATACTTCCATTTCCATCAATTATTTTTGAGCACTAGAACCTGTGATCTAGTGCCTTACATGCTTGTCATTATTAGCTTCCTCATCCCATGTCCTTCCTTCTTCACTCAACAAACAAAAACTCCAGGTCCGTTTCATAAAACCTCAAATCCCTCATCCTTGTCTCCTTTTATAACACTCATCTGGCAAAACTTCAAATCTGGTTAAATAAAATTCTTCACCTATTTTATTGATATGCATAAGCAGCTGAACTTGCTATAGAAAAACAACATGATAAATGTACTGAATGAATCACTTTACTTTTAGGACCACAAATATCAAGTAGGTTGTAACTGGTCCAAGACAATCCTTTCATATTCTCCAAGTCATTTTATTCTCCCATCCAAAAAACAGCACTATTTCACACCTTCTCCTTTCCCTTCACATTTAAGTAGAAAATAGTAACAATCAAAAGAGAACTTTCTCATTCTCTCAAAACCAAAGATAAAAATGTATGTGTGTATGCACTCAAGTGTTTAGCCTTCTCACCAATCACAATAAATGAAATATTCCTGCTTCTATCTAAAGCCAAATCCTCCAATTATGCACTGCATTTATATACCTTCTGAATACCTAAGTATTTTTTCCTGTAACTTTTTCCACTCTCACATCATCAAATTTTCCTTATAATCATATTCACATTAGTATTTAAACTCCAATATAAAAAATTGCCTATGCCATAGGGTGTAGAGTTAGAAGAATTGATTATTGAGAAGATTTTAATTCTGATTACATAGGTTCAATTACCATCTTCACACATTACTAGCTGTATGACCTTAGGCAATTATATATTACTTAATATCTCTCTCCTCAAATTCCCAACTAAAATAGGAGTCCATCCCTCCTAGAGTAGTTATGAGCATTAAATCAGTTATGTCCTAGTGTACATTAAAAATGTCTGGAACACTGTAATTGATATATAAATGTTTGTTAAGATAATAGATTTGACCCTGGAACAATGTGAAGATAAGGAGCACAGAGTTGAAAATCCATGTATAACTTTTGACTCCCCTAAAATTTAACTACTAACAGCCTGCTGTTGACTGGAGGCCTTACCAAAAATATAAACGGTTGATTAACATGTATTTTGCATATTAGTTATCTTATATACTATAGTCTTACAATCAGATAAGCTAGAGAAAAGAAAATATAATATTAAACATTATAAGAAAGATAAAATATAATTACTATTAAGTGGAAGTGAGTCATTATAAAGGTCTTCATTCATGTCATCTTTATGTTGAGTAGGCTGAAGAGAAGAAAGAGGAGGGGTTGTTCTTGTTTTCTCAGGAGTGGCAGAGACAGAAGAAAAATCCATGTGTAAGTGAACCCACACAGTTCAAACCTATGTTGTACAAGCGTCATCTGTAGCAATCACCTAGATAAGTCCCTGTGATATGATTTGGATGTGTGTCCCCACCGAAATCTCATGTTGAATTCTAATCCCCAGTGTTGGAGGTGGGACCTAGTAGGAAGTGATAGGATCATAGGGCAGATTTCTCATGAATGGTTTAGTACCATCTCCTTGCTACTGTCCTTGTGATAATGAGTTCTATCAAGATCTGGTCATTTAAAAGTGTGTGAAATGGCTGGGTGCAGTGGCTCACATCTGTAATCCCAACACTTTGGGAGACCAAGGTGGGCAGATCACAAGGTCAGGAGGTTGAGACCATCCTGGCTAACACGGTGAAACCCCGTCTCTACTAAAAATACAAAAAAATTAGCCGGGCCTGGTGCAGAGTGATTGTAGTCCAAGCTACTCAGGAGGCTGAGGCAGGAGAATGGCATGAACCTGGGAGACACAGGTTTCAGTAAGCAGAGATCGCGCCACTGAACTCCAGCCTGGGTGACACAGCAAGACTCCGTCTCAAAAAAAAAAAAGAAAGAAAGAAAGAAAGAAAAAAATACAAAAAATTAGCCGAGACTCCATCTCAAAAAGAAAACATTAAAAGTGTGTGAAATCTCCCTGCTATCTCTCAGTTCTTGTTTTCACCATGTGATGTGCTTACTCTATCTTTGCCTTCCGCCATGATTGTAAGCTTCCTGAGTCCTCCCTAGAAGCAGATGCTGCTATGCTTCTGTACAGCCTGCAGAACTGTGAGTCAATTAGACATGTTTTCTTTATAAATGACCAAGTCTCAGGTATTTCTTTATAGCAATGAAAGAATGGCCTAACACACCTTGTTTTAGCATTAGACCTATCTGTAGCTCTTGCTTAATTTATCTAGAGTGGTGCTATGTGCTTGCATTTGTACACTTTCATATCTAACATTTGCTCTTGAACGCACATCACTCAAGCTTCATTCTTCCCCATCTCAATAAAACAACCTTATCAAGGTCACTGATTCCATGTTTTTAAATCCAGTAGTGATGTATCAGTTTTCATTGTACTGTATATTTCAGCAACATTTGAATCAAATGATCTTTCCTTCTTTTTTGAAACACTTCCTTCAGTTATTGCCTGGTACAAGCTCTCTTGCCTCTTTCACTAACCCAGCAGTTATGCCTTCTCTTTTAACTGGCTTCTCCTAGTTTTTTTAACTGACTTCTAAACTTTAAAGTGTCATAAAGTGCAATACTTCTCTATCTACTTGCATTTCCTACATGAGTTTCCATGTGTGTGGCTTAAATACCACAATAGGCTGGTAACTTCCAAATGTGTGCATTCATCAGTGACCACTCACCCAAAATCCAGACTGGAAAATCCAACTCAACATGACAATATTAATATGCTACCATTGAACTCAATTTTTTCTAAGATCCTCCTAGCCTATTCCTTTGACCATTTTCTTCATTTTGGTAAAGAGAAGCAACTCTATGCTTCCAAATGTTCAAGACAAAAATGTGAAGTCAACCTTGACTCCAATCTTTCCATCACATCCCAAATTCAACTTCTTAGCAATTACTATTGATGCCACCTTCAGAGTATAACTGCAATCTTTTCCCCAAGATCTCTACTCTCACTAACCTAGTCAAGGCACCATCGTCTCTCACCTGAATTAGCATCTTAATTCATCTCCCTCTTCCCATCTATTATTGTTGGGTTCTCGAGGAAGCAGATAATAACATGGCATAAAAAGTGAAAAAAGTTTATTGGGGAGTAAGATCTTGAAAAGAAAGCCAGATTGGGCAGAGGTTGCTGTTAGACAGTGATGCCAACCTGACACAGTGTCTGCTGGGCCAACAGGAGTCTGAAGCAAAGATTTCCCATTGGAAAACCCCACATTTGAAGGAAATGGCTAGCCTGTTGTACCTCTACTTGCTCAGTGATTGACTGAGCCACTTAAAGTGACTGGAGCCACTTTAAGAAGTGTTTGACTACACCTGAAAAACTAAGGTGGAACCCTCATGAAGCTAACAACTGGAGGCAGTCAGCTAACCACACTTTTCACATCTGGGAAAGTGAGCCCCTTCTTCAAGGGGATTGAAGTGATACAAGTCTTTCTCTGCCAGAAAACCTTTGCTCCCATCTGTTCTTATTTCTCTACCGTCTATTCTACACGTGGCAGCTAGATGTTACTTTTAAAATGTAAGTCAGATCACGTCATTCCTCTGCTCAAAAGCCTTCAATAGTTTCTCATATCACTCAACATAAGATCCATGACCTAGAAGATACTACATCACTTGTTCCTTCACTGTCCCTCAGACTTCATTTAACCACTTCCCTTTTATCTACTCCAATCCAACCCCTTCCCAGGGACATGCTTCACCAGACCCTCTGCACTTGCCGCTTCCTCTTCTTAAGCTTTCTTCCCTGAAATATCCTCAATTTTTTCAAGTGTTTGTTCAAATATCACCTTTATTTAAAATAACCCACACACCTCCACTACCACTTTCTATGCCTTTATCCTGTGTTATTTCTCTACGTGGTGTCATTTTATATATCATATATTCATTTTCATGTAAGCATCATGAAAGCAGAGACTTTTTCCATTTTATTCACTGCTGTATCTTCAGTTGCTAAAGTAGAAATATAATAAGCACTACATAAATATTTTGAATGAATTTTCTTCCTGCTTCCTCCCTCACCCTCCAAAAAGTTAGTCTCAATGCAGCAGCCAGAGTAATACCTCTAAATTTAAATCAGATAATTAGAGCCCAAAATATTCTAATAACTTCTCACTGCACTTAAAATCCAAAGTTCTTATGATGCTATTTGTGATCTAGACCCTGGATACTATCAATTATAATTACCTTCTGGTTTATTTTCTCATCCCATCCCTGCCACATGGGCTTGCTCTGTTTTTTTTTGGACACACCCAGTATATCTGACACTCATTCTTTCCTTAGCCTACAGTGCTATTCTACAAAGATGTTCACATGGTTTTACTCAAGTCTTATCTCTAAAACACTACCTCAGAGAGGACTTATAAGATCTGACAACCTAATTTAGCCTCCTCTGTCAACTTCTAGCCCTGCAGCCAGGTTTGATTTTCCTCACAACACTTATTGCTACTTGATTCGTGATGTATTTGTTTGTGTCCTTTCTTTGTGTCCTTTCTACCAAAATGCAAGTAACTTGGAGGCAGGGACTTTTTCTGGTATTTAGGGATAAACAAAGCAAGTAACATTTAATCTAATGTGTCCTCATAACAAACATAAATTTGAAAGATCCGTCCAATTGTTATGGAAATAAAGCTTAATAGTAAATAAGGCTTAGAAAGACCAGCATTGGTGAAATTATAGCACCTGAATTTCAGAAGTACTCATGTCTAATTATGCATGAAGCAAACTCTTCAATCCTGTTGAAAGTAAGCTATTTGAGAAAGTTTCTTTATGTTATTCACTAGCTGATTTTATATAATTTCAAGTCATATTTTTGTTGTCCTGCAATTTCCAATATGTTATGTAGATCCTAGCCCCTTTCAGCCATGGCTAGAGCAGCTGGGACACAGGGCACCAAGTCCCTAGACTGCAGACAGCAGGGAGACCCTGGGCCCAGCCCACAAAACCACTTTTTCCTCCTGGGCCTCTGGGCCTGTGATGGGAGGGGCTGCCATGAAGGTCTCTAATATGGCCTGGAGACATTTTCCCCACGATCTTGGGAATTAACACTAGGCTCCTTGCTACTTATGCAAATTGCAGTCAGCCTGAATTTCTCCCCAGAAAATGAGTTTTTCTTTTCTATCATACAGTCAGACTACAGATTTTCCAAACTTTTATGCTCTTCTTCTCTTACAAAATTGAATGCCTTTAACAGTACCCAAGTCACCTCTTGAATACTTTGCTACTTAGAAATTTCTTCCACCAGCTACCCTAAATCATCTTTCTCAAGTTCGAAGTTCCACAAGTCTCTAGGACAGGGGCAAAATGTCACCAGTCTCTTTGCCAAAATATAACAAGAGTCACCTTTGCTCCAGTTCCCAACAAGCTCCTCATCTCTATCTGAGAGCACCTCAGCCTGGATTTTATTGTCCATATTGCTATCAGCATTTTAGGCCAAGCCATTCAACAAGGCTCTAGGAAGTTTTGAAATTTCCCACATTTTCCTGTCTTCTTCTGAGCCCTTCAAACTGTTCCAGTCTCTGCCTGTTACCCAGTTCCAAAGTCACTTCTGCACTTTTGGGTATCTTTTCAGCAATGCCCCACTCTACTGGTACCAATTTACTGTATTGGTCTGTTTTCCTACTGCTGATAAAGACATACCTGAGACTGGGAAGAAAAAGAGGTTTAATTGGACTTGCAGTTCCACAAGGCTACAGAGGCCTCAGAATCATGGCAGAAGGCAAAAGGCACTTCTTACATGGCAGCAGCAATAGAAAATTGAGGTATAAGCAAGAGCATAAACCCCTGATAAACCCATCAGATCTCATGAGACTTATTCGCTATCACAAGAATAGTACAGGAAAGACTGGCCCCCATGATAAAATTACCTCCTTCTGGATCCCTTCCACAATAGATAGTTCTGCATGATATGCAGATATGCATGCAGATATGCAGTTCTGCATGATATGCAGCACTATAGCCCCTTTCCAGGACATCCCTGAAGGACAGTCCTGAAAGGAAATCTTCCCAGTGGGCAGAACTTTGAGCAGTGAACCTGGTTGTGCACTTTGTATGGAAGGAGAAATCACTAGATGTGCAATTATATACTGATTCATGGGCTGTAGCCAATGGTTTGGCTGGATGGTCAGGAACTTGGAAGAAGCATGATTGGAAAATCAGTGACAAAGAAATTTCGGGAAGAGGGATGTAGATGGACCTCTCTGAGTGGTCAAAAACTGTGAAGATATTTGTATCCCATGTGAGTGCTTACTAACGGGTGACCTCAGCAGAGGAGGATTTTAATAATCAAGTGGATGGGATGACCCGTTCTGTGGACACAACTCCGCCTCTTTCTCAGCCACCCCTGTCATCACCTGATGGGCCCATGAACAAAATGGCCATGGTGGCAGGGATGGACGTTACTTATGGGCTCAGCAACATGAGCTTCCACTGACCAAGGCTGCCCTGGCTACAGCCACTGCTGAGTGCCCAATTTGTCAGCAGCAGAGGCCAACACTGAGCCCCTGATATGGCACCATTCCTCAGGGTGATCAGCCAGCTACTTTATGGCAGGTTGATTATATTGGACCTCTTCCATCATGGAAAGGGCAGAGGTTTGACCTCACTGGAATAGATACTTACTCCAGATACAGGTTTGCCTATTGTGCACACAATACGTCTGACAAGGCTATTATCTGTGGACTCATGGAATGCCTTATCCAACATCATGGTATTCCACACAGCATTGCGTCTGACAGAGGCACTCACTTTACAGCTAAAGTGTGGCAGTGGGTTCATGCTCATGGAAATCACTGGTCTTACCATGTTCCCCATCATCCTGAAACAGCTGGATTGATAGAACAATGGAATGGCCTTTTGAAGTCACAATTACAATGCCAACTAGGTGACAATACTTTGCAGGGCTGGGGCAAAGTTCTCCAGAAGATCATGTATGCTCTGAATCAGCATCCAATATATGGTACTGTTTCTCCCATAGCCAGGATTCACAGGTCCAGGAATCAAGAGGTGGAAGTGGGAGTGGCACCACTCACCATCACCCCTAGTGATCCACTAGCAAAAATTTTGCTTTCTGGTCCCACACATTATGTTCTGCTGGCCTAGAGGTTTTATTTCCAGAGGGAGTAATGCTGCCACCAGGAGACATAACAAAGTTTACATTAAACTGGAAGTTAAGATTGACACCTGGACACTTTGGTCTCCTCTTGACTTTAAGTCAACAGGCTAAGAAGGGAGTTACAGTGTTGGCTGGGGTGTTTTGCCTGGACTGTCAAGATGAAATCAGTCTACTACTCCACAACGGAGGTAAGAAAGAGCATGCATGGAATACAGGAGATCCATTAGAGCATCTCTCAGCATTACCATGCCCTGTGATTAACGTCAACAAGAAACTACAACAGCCCAATCCAGACAGGACTACCTGTCTGGCCCAGACCTTCAGGAATGAAGGTTTGGGTCACTCCACCAGGAAAAAAAAACACGACCTGCTGAGGTGCTTACTGAAGGCAAAGGGAATACAGAATGGGTAGTAGAAGAAGGTAGTCATCAATACCAGCTATGACCACATGACTAGTTGCAGAAATGAGGACTGTAATTGTTATAAGTATTTCTTCCTTCTTTTGTTAAAAACATGTTTGTGCATATATACATTTGTACTAAGAAAATATCTTCATTGTATTTCCTTTCTCCTTTATCATGTGACGTAAGATTTATTGACTTCATGTCAGCATTTAAGTATTGTTAACTTATGTAATAGCATTTTGATTGAGAATTGGTGTGTTTCTGGATATACAAAGGATAGTTGTATTATGTTAGGAATAATTATGACCTTATTATTGTCTTTATTTGAAGATTATGTATGATCTCAGGAGATGTGTATGAGTTCAAGTTGACAATGAGTGAACTTGTGATGGTTAATACAGAGTTTCAACTTGATTGGATTGATGGATGCAAAATATTGATCCTGGGTGTGTCTGTAAGGCTATAGCCAAAGGAGATTAACATTTGAGTCAGTGGGCTGGGAAAGGCAGACCCACCCTTAATCTGGGTGGGCACCATCCAATCAGCTGTCAGTAAGGCCAGAATATAAAGCAGTCAGAAAAACATGAAAGGCTAGACTGGCCTAGCCTTCCAGCCTACATCTTTCTCCTGTGCTTGATGCTTCCTGCCCTTGAACACTGGACTCCAAGTTTTTCAGCCTTTGGACTCAGACTGGGTCTCCTTGCTTCTCGGCTTGCAGATGGCCTATTGTGGGACCTTGTGATTGTGTGAGTTAATACAACTTAATAAACTCCCCTTTATATATACATCCTATTAGTTTTGTCCCTGTAGAGAACCCTAACAAATACAAACACCCATTTTGGACTTCATATGAATAAGAAATATAGTTAAATAATACTAAACTACTGAGATATCACTATTTCAAACTAGTATTTATTTAACTACTTTGTATCAAAAATGGAGCAAGACTTTCAAGATTTCCTAGAAACACACTATTTTTACTGTATTTTCCTCTACAAAATAAAACTGTTGCCAAGATGACTTATCACCTTTGTTGCAGGGCATTCCTTAGTTGTGGACTTACAAGTAGCCAAGAAGTTTTTAGAATATGATGAAATCATTGAATTCTGAGACAGTCTAGTATTCAATAGACAGGGTAAAACTTCTGTTTTTATTGATGTTAAATGCTGAAGCAACACTTTGGCAAAACATGCCATAGATAGTACTAAAAATAATGTTCTCTGCAGAGGAGAATTACACACAGAGTAAACAGAAGCTTTTGCCTAATAGGACCCATGATTACTATATAAAGGAAAGGATCAAAATTAATGATTATAAGCATATCATGTGTTTTGCAATTTAATCTGCTCCTAAATATTTTGTGAGACTCACTTTTATTATTATTATTATTATTATTATTAGTACTTTAAGTTCTGGGTTACATGTGCAGAACATGCAAGTTTGTTACATAGGTATACATGTGCCATGGTGGTTTGCTGCACCCATCAACCTGTCACATACATTAGGTATTTCTCCTAATACTATCCCTCCCCCAGCCTCCCACCCCGCAACAGGCCTCGGTGTGTGATGTTTCCCTCCCTGTGTCCATGTGTTCTCATTGTTCAACTCCCACTTATGAGGGAGAACATGCGTTGTTTGGTTTTCTGATCTTGTGATAGTTTGCTGAGAATGATGGTTTCCAGCTTCATCCATGTCCCTGCAAAGGACATGAACTCATCCTTTTTTATGGCTGTGTAGTATTCCATGGTGTATATGTGCCACATTTTCTTAATCCAGTCTATCATTGATGGACATTTGCTATTGTGAATAGTGCCACAATAAACATACGTGTGCATGTGTCTTTATCGTAGAATGATTTATAATCCTTTGGGTATATAGCCAGTAATGGGATTGCTAGGTCAAATGGTATTTCCAGTTCTAGATCCTTGAGGAGTCACCATACTGTCTTCCACAATGAACTCACTTTTTAGGGTACAACTTTGCTTATGTATGCAAGCAAATACTCCCCACTGAAGTATTTGTTCACTCTTTGTAGGCACACCCTTCTATCTTGACCATCACTATTCCCAGCAATGCCTATACCTGAGAAATTCATGTTCTATTGCATTTATTTTACAGTATCATTTACCAATAGACAGTTAATTAAAAGTTCTCTTGATGCTCTTCTTCTGATAGACCAGGATTTACCTATAAAGGTACATAACAATAGTGAAAATAGACTAGTATTTTTCTTGGGAGGGGAATAATATTTTATAAGCATAGGACACATTTGGAAAGATACACAAGAGACCACTGAATTTTTCCCCCTGGAGAGAATAACTGGGGGCCTTAAAGTGAGGAAACAAATTTTTTCACTTCGGGACGTCTGAAAATTTTACGATCTGTGTGTATTACTTATTCAATAAATAAATTAGTTCATAAAAAAGTAAAAAACAAAAATCGTCTTAAACAAAGTGGTCAGCATTTTAAATGAAGCTACAGGAATTCTTGTTTTAAGAATGCAAGTCTTTCTTAGGTAATGGAAAGTCACCCACCATAAAGGGAGACATGAAGAAATCTTGTTAATATTTCAAAAAGAAGCCATCATGTTATCTTGGCCACATGAATACATGGGAAGTATACTTGAGGAGTAAAATAAATTGATCTATATGATGAGTTGAACTCACTGTTAATTTACTTAAATCTGGATTATAGGATACTTTTAAAGGAGACTTCTTTTACTCTTACATAGTATCGCTAGTTTGTCTAACAAAACATTGCAAGAAAAATCTTCATTGAACCTGCCTTAAGTGGTAGATAGATATACTCATAGCCAAACACCATATTAGATACCATATTAGATACTTGAATTAAATATGCTTTTTAAATGTTTGTGAGATTTTTGGTTTATTTTTCTTCCACGCTAAGAATTAACAAAGAAAATATTTTATTTGCTCTGAGAAATCAGTGCAAATCTCACCTTTTTGAAACTTTGCTAAAACTTTTATATTAACCAATGGAAGTAAATTCTAGGTCTCTTGCAACAGAAATTAAATTAATATACTTTCTTGTGACTCTAACTAACATAATATGATACATTATTTAATTGTTTAATGGGTTTGAATCATTCCAGATCTGCAAGACTTAAAGGAGTACAAACATTCTCCACAGTAAAAGGGTACTCTTATTCTCCACTCTTCAGAATTCCATGCAGAGGGACTTCCCTGAAGTAAAATTCTGGCCTTTATCCACGGGCACCCTTAATCAGTCTTTTACAGGGAAGACTAATCACTCATCTGATTGGTGAGTTTGGAAGAAAGAGTCAGCATGCCCCTCATCTCTCCTTTCTCTTTGTGAGAGGCAGCTGCCCACAGGAAGCCCATAATCTCTATCCCCCACAACTTGCCCTAAATGTTACACATTCAGGTATCCAGAGGGGAGGTCAGTGGCTTTTAGAAATGCCTGTGACTACATCGTAGGCTAAATTCAAACATCAAGTAGTGACAGGCCTTCCTATGCTACAGGCTGAGCCAAACTTCTCCAAATACAGTTTTGAAACACAATTCACACATCTGTTTCTTAGGTGCTTTTAAATACAAGCAGAGAGAGACTGATGTTATACCTTGACTTACCAACCTACCAACAACCATATCAATTTTTCTTATAATTCACTACAGGGTAAGATAGTTTGATCAGTAAGTATTTACCTGCATCCTCTTATGAAAGTAGCATGACTTTAAGGTATTTGAGCAATGATTTTGTCTAATCTTGTTTTCTCTACCTATAATAGTTTAAAGTTCAAAAATCTTTTATGTAGAATAAGAATAAGAATAAATTTGAAACATAAACCAAAGACAGAATTTAGTGTCATAAAGTGTAGTCTCACTAAGGGCTCTTTTCTTTTTGATTATTATGGGTTGACAATCTTCATTCAGAAGAGAATAAAGAAAAGCACTGCTTCCATGAAATTCCCACCTCACCTTGCCTAACCTTGAAATCCCATATCCCTCATGTCAAATGAGTGTGATGAATGACACCCAGCCTCACTGACTCTTACTAGAATTTCAGTTAATCATGCCTTTTAAATTCCATGATTCTCTCCGTCCTTTCTTGGTCTATCTCTTAGAAAACTTCAGATACTTCAGTGTTTAAAAGCTTAATTTTTCATGAATACTTTCACAGTTATCTCAGTAAGTCTATTTTCAGAGTAGATGTGCAGCTGGAATTTACTGCCTATTGAAAGAAGAATCTATTCAATGAGTATTACTTATAAAATACATGCTTTATAAAAGGCCTGCAAAAAAAAAAATGGGGACGGAAGAAGTGACCTACAGTGAATGACCCTAATGGCAGACTAGTTTGTCAATAGAAGTTCTTAGGGAATTATTAAGGATCTGAGCATCAAATTTCAAACCAAAATCTGTAAGAAAAGGTGAAATATACATAGGCTGTGTTTTGGGGACTACTACATACATGCACGTATCTTTAAAATATATATTTTCATGAAAGACACTTATACCAGGTTAAATTGTGAAATGACTACATGGTAGTAGGAGCCATTAAAAAACTGCCATATAACACAGTAGATGAATATCATACATCTTGAGATTTATTTTTTTTCTCTCTGGAAAAGTATCCAAATATTTTATTGGGTTTGATTCTCCCCACAAAAGACCACCCATAAAAAGCTCTGATTTGCTGCAATCCTACCAGGGAAGAACTATGCCAAGCAAGAGTTAATATGTTTTCTTAATGAAAATTCATTACGGATTAGAATTTACATGTATTAAATGATTTGGAAAATGATGCAGACATGAATATATGGAGAGAGAATAAAATTTTTTACTCAAAAATTCAGTAAACTTAAAGTGAGTGAAATTCAGAAATTGAAGAACAAATATTTATGTTTAATAAATATACATTGAATGAATAGAAAAATTAATGCTTGAATGAATAGATGAATAAACATTCAATAACAGTTTGCTAAAAACTGAATAATTTTTTCTCACAATATTTAATGTTATGTATGTGTGTGTTTATGTGTCTGTGCACACAGAGAGAGAAATGGATATATGTAATGCAGAAATGGATATATGTAATGGAGAAATGTAATGCATATATTATTGGTAGCTATAATTACAAACTATGTATGCAATGGACTACTAAAAATGGTCCCTTTTATATACTATACACACCCATTATAAATATTACATAGTCGGCTATTTTCTCTCTTGTTTTATTATATAACTTTTTGGTATGGTCAACAATTTTTGTCTACAATTTGTGACTATTCTATACAAAAAATACCAATTTTTAAAAATTTCTTTCAAAATGCTATGTCTAGGATATATGTAAATTTATACTCACATGATTCAGTATCTCAGAGAAATAGAAAAAATAATAGTGTGTTAGTGCTTGTTTTATAGCCACATAACAACTGGCAGAATTTACATTTCTCACATCACTAAGGTTGCTATCAAATTGTTTTTCTCTCATGAGTGTATCTCAAAACAATATTATAAAAGTTAAAGGAATCTTGGGTTCCCCCAGCACAGTGTTTGAGCTCTGATAAGGGAAAGACTACCTCCTCAAGTTGGTCCCTGACCCCCCGTGTATGCAGACTGGGAAGCATCTCCCAGTAGGGGCCGAAAGACACCTCATACAGAAGCGCTCTGGCTGGCATCTGATGGGTGTCCCTCTGGGACGAAGCTTCCAGAGGTAGGAACAGGCAGCAATCTTTGTTGTTCTGCAGCCTCTGCTGATGATAACCAGGCAAACAGGGTCTAGAGTGGACCTCCAGCAAACTCTAGTAGACCTGCAGCAGAGAGGCATGACTGGTAGAAGAAAAACTAACAAACAGAAAGGAATAGTATCAATATCACCATAATCAAAGACCAAAGGTAGATACATCCAGGAAGATGGGGAGAAACCAGTGTAAAAAGGCTGAAAATTCCAAAAAACCAGAACGTCTCTTCTCCTCCAAAGGAAAACAACTGCTCACCAACAAGGGAACAAAACTGGACGGAGAATGAGTTTGATGAATTGACAAAGTAGGCTGCAGAAGGTGGGTAATAACAAACTCCTGTGAGCTAAAGGAGCATGTTCTAACCCAATGCAAGGAAGCTAAGAATCTTGAAAAAAGGTTAGATGAATTGCTAACTGGAATAGCCAGCTTAGAGAAGAACATAAATGACCTGATGGAGCTGAAAAACACAGCATGAGAGCTTCGTGAAGCATACACAAGTATCAATAGCTGAATCAATCAAGCAGAAGAAAGGATATCAGAGATTGAAGATCAGCTCAATGAAATGAAGTGAGAAGACAAAATTAGAGACAAACGAGTGAAAAGAAATGAACAAAGCCTCCAAGAAATATGGGACTGTGTGAAAAGACCAAATCGACATTTGATTGGTGTAGCTGAATGTGACAGGGAGAATGGAACCCAGTTGGAAAATACTATTCAGGATATTATCCAGGAGAACTTCCCCAACCTAGCAAGACAGGCCAACGTTCAAATTCAGGAAATACAGAGAACACCACAAAGATACTCCTCAAGAAGAGCAACCCCACGACACATAATTGTCAGATTGATTCACCAAGATTGAAATGAAGGAAAAAATGTTAAGGGCAGCCAGAAAGAAAGGTCGGGTTACCTACAAAGGGAAGCCCATCAGACTAACAGTGGATCTCTCAGATGAAACTCTACAAGCCAGAAGAGAGTGGGGGGCAATATTCAACATTCTTAAACAAAATAATTTTCAACACAGAATTTCATATCCAGCCAAACTAAGCTTCATAAATGAAGGAGAAATAAAACCCTTTATAGACAAGCAAATGCTGAGAGATTTTGTAACTGCCAGGCCTGCCATACAAGAGCTCCTGAAGGAAGCACTGAACATGGAAAGTAACAACCAGTACCAGCCACTGCAAAAACATGCCAAATTGTAAAGACCATCGATGCTATGAGGAAACTGCATCAACTCATGGGTAAAATAACCAGCTCGCATCATAATGGCAGGATCAAATTCACACATAAAATATTAACCTTAAATGTAAATGGGCTAAATGCTCCAGTTAAAAGACACAGACTGGAAAATTGGATAAAGAGTCAAGACCCATCAGTGTGCTGTATTCAGGAGGCCCATCTCACATGCAAAGACACACATAGGCTCAAAATGAAGGGATGGAGGAATATTTACCAAGCAAATGGAAAGCAAAAAAAAGCAGGGGTTGCCACCTAGTCTCTCATAAAACAGACTTTAAACCATCAAAGATCGAAACAGACAAAGAAGGGCATTAGATAATGGTAAAGGGATCAATGCAACAAGAAGAGCTAACTACCCTAAATATATATGCACCCAATACAGGAGCACCCAGATTCATAAAGCAAGTTCTTAAAGATCTACAAAGAGACTTAGACTCCCACACAATAATAGAGGGAGACTTTAACACCCCACCATCAATATTAGACAGATCAATGAGACAGTGAATTAACAAGTATATCCAGGACTTGAACTCAGCTCTGAACCAAGCAGACCTAATAGACATCTACAGAACTCTCCATCCCAAATCAACAGAATATACATTATTTTCAGCACCACATTACACTTATTCTAAAATTGACCACATAATTGGAAGTAAAACACTCCTTAGCAAGTGCAAAAGAACAGAAATCATAACAAACAGTCTCTCAGACCACAGTGCAATCAAATGAGAACTCAGGATTAACAAACTCACTCAAAACCACACAACTACATGGAAACCGAACAACCTGCTCCTGAATGACTAAAATAGACACCCTAACCTGACAATTAAAATAACTAGAGAAAGAAGAGCAAACAAATTCAAAAGCTACAGAAGACAAGAAATAACTAATATCAGAGCAGAACTGAAGGAGATAGAGACACAAAAAACCCTTAAAAACTCAATGAATCCAGAAGCTGGTTTTTTGAAAAGATCCCCAAAATAGATAGACCACTAGCCAGGATAATAAAGAAGAAAAGAGAGAAGAATCAAATAGACCCAATAAAAAATGAGAAAGGGGATATCACCACTGAGCCCACAGAAATACAAACTACCATCAGGGAATACTATAAACGCCTCTATGCAAATAAGCTAGAAAATCTAGAAGAAATGGATAAATTCCTGGACACATACAACCTCCCAAGACTAAACCAGGAAGAAGTCGAATCCCTGAATAGACCAATAACAAGTTCTGGAAATTGAGGCAGTAATTAATAGCCTACAAACCAAAACAAGTCCAGGGCCAGAAGGATTCACAGCCAAATTCTACCAGAGGTACAAAAAAGAGCTGGTACCATTCCTTCTGAAACTATTCCAAACAATAGAAAAAGAGCGAATCCTCCCTAACTCATTTTATAAGGCCCGCATCATCCTGATACCAAAACCTGGCAGAGACACAACAACAACAACAAAAAATGCAGGCCAATATCCCTGATGAACATCAATGTGAAAATCCTCAATAAAATACTGGCAAACCAAATCCAGCAGCACATTAAAAAGCTTATCAACCACAATCAAGCCAGCTTCACTCCTGGGATGCAAGGCTGGTTCAACATATGCAAATCAATAAGCATAATCAATCACATGAACAGAATCAATGAGAAAAACCACATGATTATCTTGATAGATGGAGAAAAGGCCTTCACCAATATTCCACAGCCTTTCATGCTAAAAACTCTCAATAAGCTATGTATTGATGGAACATATCTCAAAATAATAAGAGCTATTTATGACAAACCCACAGCCAACATTCAATGCTATCCCCATCAAGCTACCATTGATTTTCTTCACAGAATTAGAAGAAACTACTTTAAATTTTACATGGAACCAAAAAAGAGCCCGCATTGCCAAGACAATCCTAAGCAAAAAGAACAAAGCTGGAGGCATCATGCTACCTGACTTCAAACTACACTAAAAGGCTACAGTAACCAAAACAGCATGGTACTGGTACCAAAACAGAGATATAGACCAATGGAACAGAACCAAGGGCTCAGAAATAACACCACACATCTACAACCATCTGATCTTTGACAAAGCTGACAGAAACAAGCAATGGAGAAAGGATACCCTATTTAATAAATGGTGTTGGGAAAACTGGCTAGCCATATGCAGAAAACTGAAACTCAATCCCTTTCTTAAGGGTTATACAAAAATTAACTCAAGATGGATTTAAGACTTAAATGTAAGACCTAAAACCATAAAAACCCTGGAAGAAAACCCAGGTAATACAATTCAGGACATAGGCATGGGCAAAGACTTCATGACTAAAACACAAAAGCAATGGCAACAAAAGCCAAAATTGACAAATGGAATCTAATTAAACTAAAGAGCTTCTGCACAGCAAAAAAAACTATCATCAGAGTGAACAGGCAACTTACAGAGTTCGAAAAAAATTTTGCAATCTATTTATCTGACAAAGGGCTAATATCCAGAATCTGCAAAGAACTTAAACAAATTTACAACAAAAAAACAACCCCATCAAAAAGTGGGCAAAGGATATGAACAGACACTTCTCAAAAGAAGACACTTATGCAGCCAACAAACATATGAAAAGAATCTCATCATCACTGGTCATTAGATAAATGCAAATCAAAACCACAATGAGATACCATCTTACATCAGTTAGAATGGCGATCATTAAAAAGTCAGGAAAGAACAGATGCTGGAGAGGATGTGGAGAAATAGGCATCATTTTACACTGTTGGTGGGAGTGTAAATTAGTTGAACCCTTGTGGAAGACAGTGTGGTGATTCCTCAAGGATCTAGAACTAGAAATACCATTTGACCCAGCAATCCCATTACTCGGTATATACACAAAGGATTAAAAGTCATTCTACTATAAAGACACATGCACACGTATGTTTACTGCAGCACTGTTCACAATAGTAAACACTTGGAACCAACCCAAATGCCCGTCAATGATAGGCTGGATTAAGAAAATGTGGCACATATACACCATGGAATACTATGCAGCCATAAAAAAGGATAAGTTCATGTCCTTTGCAGGGACACGGATGAAGCTGGAAACCATCATTCTCAGTTAACTAACACAGGAACAGAAAACCAAACAACGTATGTTCTCACTCATAAGTGGGAGTCGAACAATGAGAACACATGGACACAGGGAGGAGAACATCACACATCAAGGCCTGTTGGGGGGTGAGGGGCAGGGGCAGGTACAGCATTAGGAGAAATACCTAATGTAAATGACGGGTTAATGGTTGCAGCAAACCACCAATGCACATGTATCCTACGTAACAAACCTGCACATTCTGCACATGTATCCCAGAACTTAAAGTATTAAAAAAAAAAACTTACAGAATTTTACCCAAATATTTTTCTAACAATATAATAGATCATATTGATACACAGAGTTATAAACAACAAACATGTTCCAAATGAAAGAGGCTATTAACAATTTAAAAAGTAATTAAACACCAAACTAAAAGCAGCATTTGAATGTGAGGAGGTTACATCCAAAAGCAATTTTCATCACCATCGATTTATAAAACTGGATGCAAATGTAATCTCTACCTCTCACTCCTAAATAGGCACCAATTGCTATTTTTAACTTTCTTCTCTTTTGTATGCACTCAATAATAATGAGGCTACAGATTAATAAGAAATGCTTATTTATTAAGCTTAACTACTGAGACTTTAGCTTGTGGTCATATCACATTGAAATATTTTATTTGCAAACTTATGTAAAATGTGTAATAAAAAAACTCATAGCATATGTCAGAGATAGCTTTTACTATTATGGTCAAGGGCTGTGCAGCACACAAAAATTACCTTTATTGACCTAAACTATAAATCACTTGCCAGTGTTACTTTCTTCTCCTGGTAGAGCAACTGAGTATTCTTTACAGAAGCAATAAACTACTCCAAACTCAGTGATTTACAAAACACTGACTTAACATTTGCAAGCTTTTACCTTTTTAAAACCGCCTCAGATCTTATAGCTCGTCCTGACCTCCCAAGGGCCCTGGAAAGTAGGTAAAGTGTATATTTTTTATTTCAGTGTTAGAGGATGAGAAACATCTCACTTTATAACTGTCTAGAAGGGGTCACTTAGTCTTCAGATAAGGAAAATATCACTGCACTCTGTATCTAGAGTCTTTCCAAATGCAAGGATTCCTGTGATTTTGTATCCTGGCTTTAGAAGTGTGATATATCTTACTGGTCTAGAGCTACTCATCAAACTGGCTAGTCTTTTACTCTTTCTGATAAGATCTGGAAAACCTATCTTGACTTTTTTTTTCTAACCTGTACACATACTGATATTTGGGGGAAGATTCTTGCTAAACATAGGTATTTGTGTGCCAGTGTTACCCACTGTAATATCTATGTGTCCAAAGTGAGTTTCTACCCCACCTGAACTCTGCTTATCTTTAAGAAACAAGACATCTGAGGTCAGAAGTTCCCCCTCATGACCAAACCATCTAAAACTGGTGGGATCCAAGAGGACAGTTGACTTGATCTTTGAAGAACCTCTAACTTCGTTATAATCTAATTCCCATGCTAAATGACATTCCCACCAGCACCATGACAGTTGACAATCACCATGACATCAACATGAAGAAACCATACAAAGACAAAAAAGGAAGGTGGCACTCTGATTTCAAGAAGTTCTCCAGTCATTTTCAAAAAAGACATGAATATTCCTCCCTTGCTTTTAATGACCAACCCTTTCATTACAGATGCCCTATGTCTGTGGCTTCGCAGCTCTCAGGAGCTGAGAAGTTGATTCGTGAGTTGTGTTCCCACTTCTCAATTCAATGGCCACGGAATAAAGCTTGCACTGCTTCATGTTTACTTTTGGTTTCATGTATTGGCTTCAAGATACATGTTTTTAACAGGAAAGAATCCCACCTTTTGGGAAAAGCCAACTCAGTCTGTAATACCAGTTTATGCAGTTTTTTAAAGATTCTCTGTGGGCTGGGCGTGGTGTCTTACACCTGTAATCCTAGCACTTTGGGAGGCCAAGACAGGCGGATTGCCTGAGCTCAGGAGTTAGAGACCAGCCTGGGCAATACAGTGAAACCCCGTCTCTACTAAAAAATACAAAAAATTAGCTGGGCATGGTGGCGTGAGCCTGTAGTCCCAACTATTAGGGAGGCTGAGGCAGGAGAATGGCTTGAATCTGGGAGGTGGAGGTTGCAGTGAGCCAAGTTCATGCCATTGCACTCCAGCCTGGGTAACAGAGCAAGACTCCATCTCCAAAAAAAAACAAAAACAAAATAAAACAAAACAAAAAACAGAGTCACTCTGGTTTTCTTAAAAGCCGAGAGACCAGACTTGTCCCTCTTGACTCTGTCCCTCACATATTCGATTTACATATATATGAGATGATTTCTCACATCCCTCTACCAAGTTGCTTTTCTCATTGAAAGTCAGATGCAACGCCAAATTTCCTCACTTTATTTCCCTTCATATTTTAGTTTCCTTCAAAACTTCTCCTCCAGTGACTATTCAATTGCAAGTAATAATTCATTATTTATAAATTGATCACTATAAATTATAGAAAATCCATAATCTACAAATTGTTCAACCTATACAGAGGCACAGCTTAATAACAAAGGGGAAAGAAAGTGGACTAAGAGTCCGATCTCCCAGTCTGTCCTGAATTAACGAGGAGACATCTAGCAAGTCACTCACTGCGTCTGTTTTCTAACTTATAAAGAAGAGAGATTCAGCCATATAATCACCAACCCTTCTAGCTTTAACATTTTATAATTGTACAAAATAAAACTGTTTGGAGAATATAAATGTTACTTACTAATCTGCAAATAAGAATAATAGACAAAATAGAGCCTACATTAGTTAAAAAGTAGGATGTCATTAGTAAAACTATGTCCCTCTGATTTAAAACTTTTTCTGCCACTCTGTTAATTAAAAATTTTCATTATTATTTTGCCTAAAGTATAAACCAAGACAAATATTCTAAGCAGCTTTAAATTGATGGTCCTAATTGGAAACTTTCACAAGGCAACATAGTGCATCCATCTGAAACAAATACCATTATTAACTATTTACTACCGATCAATCTATTGATCAATCATCTACCTACCTACCAACCTTCCTATCTATCTCTACATCCAAATCATTAATAAATGAAAATTATGGCTTGATTGTTATTCTTTACACACAACAATGAAAATAATTTAGCGGACCCGGCGCAGTGGCTCACACCTGCAATCCCAGCAATTTGGGAGACCAAGGCAGGCAGATCACGAGGTCAGGAGATAGAGACCATCCTGGCCAACATGGTGAAACGTTGCGTCTACAAAAATACAAAAAATTAGCTGGGCATGGTGGTGCATGCCTACAGTCCCAGCTACTCGGGAGGCTGAGGCAAGGGAATTGCTTGAACCCAGGAAGTAGAGTTTGTAGTGAGCCGAGATCATGCCACTGCACTCCAGCCTGGTGACAGAGCAAGACTCCATCTCAAAAAAAACCGGAGGCGTCGTGTTACCTGACTTCGAACTATACTACAAGGCTACAGTAACCAAAACAGCATGGTACTGGTACCAAAACAGAGGTATAGACCAATGGAACAGAACAGAGGCCTCAAAAATAACACCACACATCTACAATCATCTGATCTTTGACAAACCTGAAAAAAACAAGCACTGGGGAAAGGATTCCCTATTTAGTAAATGGTGTTGGGAAAACTGGCTAGCCATATGCAGAAAACTGAAACTGGACCCCCTCCTTAAACTTTATACAAAAATTAACTCAAGGTGGATTAAAGACTTAAACATAAGACCTAAAGCCATAAAAACCCTGGAAGAAAACCAGGCAATACCATTCAGGACATAGGAATGAGCAAAGATTTCATTACTAAAACACCAAAAGCAATGGCAACAAAAGCCAAAATAGACAAATGGGATCTAATTAAACTAAACAGCTTCTGCACAGCAAAAGAAACTATCATCAGAGTGAACAGGCAACCTACAGGATGGGAGAAAATTTATGCAATCTATCCATCTGACAAAGGGCTAATATCCAGAATCTACAAAGAACTTAAACAGATTTATAAGAGGAAAAACAAACAACCCCATCAAAAAGTGGGCAAAGGATATGAACAGACACTTCTGAAAAGAACACATTTGTGAGGCCAACAAACATATGAAAAGCAACTCATCATCACTGGTCATTACAGAAATGAAAATCAAAACCACAATGAAATACCATCTCACACCAGTTAGAATGGTGATCATTAAAAAGTCAGCAAACAACAGATGCTGGAGAGGATGTAGAGAAATAGGAATGCTTTTAAACTGTTGGTGGGAGTGTAAATTAGTTCAACCATTGTGGAATACAGTGTGGCAATTCCTCAAGGATCTAAAACCAGAAATAGCATTTGACCCAGCAATCCCATTACTGGGTATATACACAAAGGATTAGAAATCATTCTATGATAAAGACACATGTACATGTATGGGGTGTATACACAAAGGATTAGAAATCATTTTACAATAAAGACACATGCACACATATGTTTATTGCAGCACTATTCACAATAGGAAAGACTTGGAACCAACCCAAATGCCCATAAATGATAGACTGGATATAGAAAATGTGGCACATATACCCCATGGAATACTATGCAGCTATAAAAAAGGATGAGTTCGTGTCTTTGCAAGGATATGGACGAAACTGGAAACCATCATTCTCAGCAAACTAACACAGGAACGGAAAACCAAACACTGCATGTTCTCACTCATAAGTGGGAGTTGAATAATGAGAACACATGGACACAGGGAAGGGAACATCACACACAGTGGCCTGTCAGGGGGTGGGAGCCTAGGGGAGGGACAGCATTAGGAGAAATACCTGATGTAGATGACGGGTTGATGGGTGCAGCAAACCACCATGGCACGTGTATACCTATGCAACACACCTGCACGTTCTGCACATGTATCCCAGATCTTAAAGTATTAAAAAAAATTTAAAAAAAAAAGTAGAGAAGGATCTTGCTATGTTGTCCAGGGTGGTCTCAAACTCCTGGCTTCAAGCAAATCCTCCAACCTCAGTCTCCTAATATGCTGGGATTACAGGTATGAGCCACTGCACCTGGTCAAGAGTTTGTTTTGACCTGGCTTATTTTTAGTAAGCTCATGCTAGTTCCTAAAGACAAAAAAAAAATAGCTTTTTTTTTTTTACCCAAGTTGGTGAATTGGGCTCTAAAAGGTAATATTTTTTTCATACACAAAATTCTTTTAGGATGTCCATGTTGGTAGCCACCTCAAAAAGGCCATTCTCCTTCAGGGTACTTAAATATGTCAAGAGAGGCACATATTAATTGATAATGACATATACATTTCACACATTTTAAGTCAGAGAAAACAAGGTAGTTTAAAATTTAAGCTCCAAGTCAAAATTATAAAAGTAGACATTTAAAATTGAGAGTGCCTTGCCACCAAATGACTTCTCAAATAGGGAGCTCTAGCTAGCTGCTCAAAGGTGAATAGCAACAGAATTTTTTACACTCAAACAATTACAGATGATTTCTCTAAACAATGGGTAGACAGCTGGTCATCAAATATTAATTGCCTAGGGACAATCAAAGTTCATGCCTAAACTAACTGGTTCTAGTTTATTCATTAACCAAGAATGTTTGCAAATAAAGTGGGTCAAATTATGTTATTGAGATGGAAAGTAAAACAATATCTGTGAATTGATGTATGTTTTTATAGAGAACTTTATCAACTATGAATTTTATCTCATACCAGAAATAAATACAGAGATGAAGTAGACCAAATTGAAGTCTCATTGGCAGAGTAAGGTTAAAGGACACCAGAAATTAAAAAAAAAAAAAAACACACACACACACAAAATAAACATACCCCATTAGGATATTTCATCATCTTGATATTGGTTATGAATTTTAAAGCTGCTTAATGGCCTGATTAAAACTCAGTGTACTCAGAAACTGGGTTACTAAGTCTGAGACAGCTCCAAAACTATCCTCAGTAATGACATAAAATGTAATTTTAATGCAAAACCATAGCAATATCATCAACAAGTTGTAACTCTTTATTAGTCAGAATTTGCTAAAATGTGCTAGATAACAAGTGACACAAAATCTCAGTGACTTATGACAACAGTCAATTTTCACTGAAGCTATGTATGTGTCAAGGGTGGTTAAGACTTAGCTCCATGTTGTATTCTTTCCAAGATGAAGTTCTGTATCTGAAATATTGATGGTCTTTGGCAGAGAGAAACAAAACATGGAGAATCATATACAGGCCCTTGAGGTTTCTACTTATAATTTATGCAAGTCATCTCCACTCATCTTTCTTTGGCTAGAGCAAATCTCATGATTACTCATGGAGTTCAGCAGTGCTGGGACATAAAAATCCTCTCTCACAATAGGGACACCACAGAGAAGGAACACTACAGAGAGAAAAATTGTAATATAGGAACATCCTAGTGAATGACCATACATTGTTGTGTTGCAACATTGTATTGAGTTTTTGTAAACATACATTTTCAATACCAAATTTAAGTTTACATACCAAATTTATGTACATAAAATATGTAGTACATTATACAAAGTAGATCATTGCAAACCAAAAAACTTTCTACCAAAAAATAAAAAAAAAACCCATAAACTGGAGAGATACTTGTGTACTATGGCTGTATTTAATAAAAGTGTTCCAATCTTCCACAAAATTCCAAACATGTTTATCCCATTTTATCATGAATATTTTCTCTTTTGTTATATATAAACATGCTAGGAGTTAAAATGAGGCGGTAAGTGTATTGGTTAAAAGCACATTCACTGGAGCCAGACTCAAGCAATTCATATGCCAGCTCTGCTACTTATTAGCTGTAGAATCTTGGGCATATTCCTTAACTTTTCTGTGTTTCAGTTTTTCCATCTATAAAATAAGGATAGTAATGTTATCTTCCTCATAGTATTGCTATGAAACTTAAATGAGGTAGGACAAGCAAAAGCACCAGAACAATGCTTGGCACATGCAAAAGCCCATTTAAGTTCAGCTGATGGCCTAAAGTTGACATGAAACATCCTGTGTGATATTAAAACAATTTATTAAAAATGAAAAATATGGCCATGAGCAGTGGCTCACTCCTGTAATCCCAGCACTTTGGGAGGCCAAGGCGGGTGGATCACCTGAGGTCAGGAGTTCGAGACCAGCCTGACCAACATGGAGAAACCCTGTCTCTACTAAAAATACAAAATTAGCCAGGCATGGTGGCACATGCCTGTAATCCCAGCTACTCAGAAGGCTGAGGCAGGAGAATCACTTGAACCTGGGAGACGGAGGTTGCAATGAGCCAAGATCACACCATTGCACCCCAGCCTAGGCAACAAGAGTGAAACTCCACCTCAAAAAAATATATATATATGTGTGTGTGTGTGTGTGTGTGTGTGTGTGTGTGTGTGAGATCAAGGTATTATTTAGCAAGCTGTATCCAGAAGATAATTACCTGCATAAAATTCTGCTATTTAAAAACATCATTGAAGTCAGTTTGAAAGGTCAAGAGATAATCAACAAATGATGTAAGACTTTAATATATATATTGCTGATGTGTTTTCCAATTCAAATATTCTAGTTAAAAATTGTGGTCAGGTAATTTAGTTTTGGACTAATCAAGAGGATGGTATCATATGATATTCCTAACATAAATTAAAAAACTACACTCTAGTTGTACAATCCTGTTCTGGTTTTCTTAATCCTCCGTTTCCTTCACTTCTTGAAAATATGTAACATACTTGACCAAAATCTCTTTATTAAAGTATTCTCTTTCATTCGTCATATTGCAATGCCTAGGTGAACTTTCTCAGTAAATCCTTCCTTCCTCTATAGTCATATGAGTCACTATTAAAACTACTGTATTTAGTAAGAAAATAAAGGTGATAGTGTATACATTATCAAAATACTTTCTTAGTGGCCATAACCAATTAGAAATGGAAATACTATTAAATATTTAATTTGCAAGGGTGAAAAATATCTATAAAGTCATATACATTGAACAATCAGAAATATGTTCTTGTATGAGAAGGCCTGCAATTTAAAAAAATTTTTAATTTGCAATTTAATATTAATTTCCAATTAATATTAAAGTAATGCAATTTCAATTAAAAACTCAATGCTATGTGTTGCTCATTTTCAGAACTAGAAAAATATTCAATTAAATATAGAAGAATAAATCTAGCAAAAATTGCCAAGAATGTTCAAAGAGAAAAAAAAGAACAGAGGAAAGGAAGAAATAGCAGCTTTACCTCTAAATACAATTTAAAGGTACTCTGAAGCCACTGAAATGAAAACAGTTTGGTACTGGCCTAGAAAGAGAAAAGTAGATAGACCAATGGAGCAAGAACCAAAATGAAGCTAGGTTTGTTCAATCATACTTAAAGAGGCTACTTTTGGTTTATTTTGTCTCCAAATAATTTTGCTTCTTGTTGTGAGCTTAGACAAAGTTATGTTGTTAAGAGGTCATGCAGTTTATGACAAAGAGCTAGCCACGTTCAATTTAGGTATCCAAAGAAAAAGATCTGTTAGGATCAATTCGTATTCTTTTAATGATTCACAGAAATACAAAGGAAGATATTAAACTTCTTGCTTGTACTGCAGAAAACCTAGAAAATGACAAATTTTCAAGTAATGTGTCAGAAGTCCACTGTGAAAAATCAAACTTCAGCACTCCAGTTCTACTCTGTGATCTACTAATTGTTGGCTGTGACTAAGCCATTTCTCCTGTCAGAGTCTGGATAATCATGTATATTACACAGAGAGTTGCAAACTACACATGAGACCATTTATACAAAAAGTATTGGGCATAATATCAAGCTAATATGAATGTCCAATGTGTTGTTTTGCTTTGGGTTTATTGATTAATGTCCAAACTAATTTTGATTTTCTAAAATGTTATATTTCTTATAAATCACTTGGGCTGTGTTCTTTTCAACTTCTTTAGTAAACCAAATCCCTACTCTGATATATCTGAGTTTTCTTTGGCACATGAAGCTCATTAGCTTTATAGCAAACAGATTTTGAATGACAGTCTTTTAATCTCCAATTTTTTGACTACAAATACGTTCTGCTGAGCAAAAATAATAATGCTCAAAACTTGTTTATTCAGCAGTATAACTTCAGGAAGCATTAATTGCCTGTCAACTGGAGTAAAACCTGTTACTTTTTGCTTGTGGAATCTGCTATCATGGCTTCGGTTATCCTCTCAAGAGCCTGGGCAAAGCATTGTCCTTGTGATCATGATCCATCTTCATAAGTGTGAACGGTTTGTGACAAGATAAAAAATACAAGCTTGAAAATGAAGCTGAAGTTTCAGTGAAAAGTTTGGCCTTAAGTTTGCAATTGGCATAATTTCAGATAAAGAACAGAACAATTAGTTTCTTTGCATAAATAATTTAAGAATCAGCCTCTTTGGTAGCAGCCACAGTGAATGTAAATTGCTCTATCTGCAGATGTGAAGTTCTCTGACATCAGTAATAGACACTTAGACAATACAGAACTCACTTCCAGGCAACACTTAGGAGATAAAATATTCATATTAAATATTACTTGCTTTTCCCAAACAAGGCTTTTAAACAATTGGTCTAAAGGTTAATACCGTAGGATCACTTGTTGTATAAAAACTAGAATGGTAGTTAATATAAAGAGTTATTGATGGGTTAAGACACAAAATCAGATCTACCTGGTTTCAGTTAATTATGCTTTATGTGGATATTCTTCCTTGATTTTTTTCTATTGTCATTATCTTTTATTTTGAACAGGAAGAAGCGTTCAAAAACTAGTTATCTAGAAACTTCAAGTTTATAAGGATAGAACAAGAAGTTAGGGTGAACAAACCCTTTGTGAAACTAATCTACAAAGTTTAGTTGTACACATCTTTAGTGCAGAAGGGAATGTAATGGAGGTTATGCAGGGGTTCTTGAGGTTATGGAGGGGTTTTTATTCTTTAAATACCTGTCATTCTGATAGGAAATAAAGTTCTAAGGAGATAAATTTCTTGTAATTCACACACACACACAAAACATACACCCTGAGATTAAAGGTAGTTCTACCAGTATTGTCACCCACCTCAGACCACTAGAGGAGCTCTTGGCATTTTGTGCAGTACTGAGCTGTATGCACAGTACATGGAGCTTCTCTGGTCCTTGTCTACCAAATGATGGTATTATTCCTTCCTCAATAGGACAAACAACAACCCTACACATTTACAACCATCACCCTTCAAGAAGGGACTGCAGGTATCATGTATGGTAACCAAGTTAACTACTAGAAATTGTGTTGAGGAAACAATATGTCAGATAGCTCTTGTAAATAGTATTAGATACTGCAATAATCACCACTTTGCTGATGACTTTAAGGACAAAAAGGAAAAAGAGCCAGATATTTTTCTGTCCTTAAATTTACCTCTTGACTAATCCCCTAATATCTTCTAAACAAGTAGAAGATGTCTTGCCAGATGGGTATCGGGCTATTCTTTTCCCCTTTCTTTATCCATTATTCTCCTAATGATTGAAGTTACTCAGTTTAGTTGTATTTTTTATTACAAAATAGTTCAATCACACAGAAATATAAGGAAAATATGATGAATTCTTATGTACTCACTACTCAGTTTAGTAAATAAAACATTACAAATAAAATTGAAGTGGCAATATCCTCTTCTTCAGTCCCCTTCCTCTCCTGCTCTGAGTAGTGGTAACCACGACTTTGAATTTGGTGTTCATCATTCTCATGCATTTTTAAATAGTTTTATTACATCTGTTTGTATATCTGTAAATAACAGCTGGCATTTTCATATCTTTTTATACTTAATATAGTTTTATCACAATATACGCATTTTTTTACAACTACCTTTTCCACTCAACATTGTTTGGGAAATATGTTCATTCATACATTTAGCTCTAGTTAATTTATTTTCAATATTACACATATATTCTATTTTATAGATACACCACAATGAATTTATTCATTCTCCTGACAATGAAATTTAGATTATTTCTATTTAGTCTCCATTACATATACATGTCACATATATATACGTATATATACATATACACACACACACACACACACACACACACATATATGTATAATATTGCAAATTGCAATGGCATTTTTAAGCATGTTTTCTTGAGCCCATGCCAGGGTATTACTGGTTAATATACTTAAAAGCAGAAATACTTGGTTGAAGGGTATATGTATCTTTAGCTATTATAAACACTGTCAAATTGTTTTGTTTTTTTTTTACCAACTTACACACTTCCATAAGCAGTGC
This sequence comes from Homo sapiens, assembly GCF_000001405.40. Lineage (NCBI taxonomy): Eukaryota > Metazoa > Chordata > Mammalia > Primates > Hominidae > Homo > Homo sapiens. The sequence continues at coordinate 83,261,012 of NC_000012.12, read as the reverse complement.
TATAAGAATTTCTATTGTTCATGGCAACAAAAGCCAAAATTGACAAATGGGATCTAATTAAACTAAAGAGCTTCTGCACAGCAAAAGAAACTACCATCAGAGTGTACAGGAAACCTGCAGAATGGGAGAAAATGTTTGCAATCTACCCATCTGACAAAGGGCTAATATCCAGAATCTGCAAAGAACTTAAACAAATTGATAAGAAAAAAATCAAACAACCCCGTCAAAAAGTGGGCGAAGGATATGAACAGACACTTCTCAAAAGAAGACATTTATGCAGCCAACAGACACATGAAAAAATGCTCATCATCACTGGCCATCAGAGAAATGAAAATCAAAACCACAATGAGATACCATCTCACACCAGTTAGAATGGCGATCATTAAAAAGTCAGGAAACAACAGGTGCTGGACAGGATGTGGAGAAATAGGAACGCTTTTACACTGTTGGTGGGACTGAAAATTAGTTCAACCATTGTGGAAGACAGTGTGGCAATTCCTCAAGGATCTAGAACTAGAAATACCATTTGACCCAAAGGATTATAAATCATGCTGTTATAAAGACACATGCACACGTATGTTTATTGCAGCATTATTCACAATAGCAAAGACATAGAATCAACCTAAATGCCCATCAGTGATAGACTGGATATAGAAAATGTGGCACATATACACCATGGAATACTATGCAGCCATGAAAAAGGATGAGTTCATGTCCTTTGTGGGGACATGGATGAAGCTGGAAACCATCATTCTGAGCAAACTATCACAAGGACAGAAAACCAAACACCGCATGTTCTCACTCATAGGTGGGAATTGAACAATGAGAACACTTGGACACAGGATGGGGAACATCACACACCGTGGCCTGTAGTGGGGTAGGGGGAGGGGGGAGGGATAGCATTAGGAGATATACCTAATGTAAATGACGAGTTAATGGGTGCAGCACACCAACATGGCACATGTATACATATGTAACAAACCTGCACATTGTGCACATGTACCCTAGAACTTAAAGTAAAATAATAATAAAAAATAGAATTTCTATTGCTCTATATCTGCATAAATATTTTAGGCTTTTAAATTTCTGCCTATCTAATGTGTGTGAATTATATGTCAATTTTTTTCATTTCTATTTCTCGATTTTTGAAGAGGTTGATCACCTTTTAAAATATGTATTGCCCTTTTGTGTTTCTACTTTGGTGAATTTCTTGTGTATCTCTTCAGCAAAGCCTACCACTGGACACTCAATAGCTATCTTCTAGAGAAATGGGACTTTCTATTTGTAATTAAGCACATCGCCACCCAAAATAAAGACTTTATTTCTGAGTCTCTGTAGAAGTTAGGTGTGGTTATGCACCACGGTTCTGGCCAATGAGATATAAGCAGAAAATACGGTGTGTGAATTCTAGCAAATGTCCATAAAGTGGGAGAACTTGCCCATCTCTTCTCCTTTTCCCCTTCTTACGGGTTTAAATATGGATATGATTTCTGGAGTAGGACTAGCCATCTTGGGCCACTGGGTGGAAGTCACAAGTGGAAGATGGCAGAGCAATAGGTTAAAAGAATCACTGATGATAGAATCATTATCAGCCATGATAGTGAAATGACAGTGAAATTATCAATGAGCCTTTGAACTACTCACTGATGATCTTGACTGATTATCTTGTTACTCCTTTATGTGAGGAAAAAAATAATTTCTCTTGACTATTTTCAGGCTTTTTGGCACATGTAGCCAAAAGTAATTCTGATATATTTTATCTATTTTTCAGGTTATTTTTAGGTTTTTGTCATTGTCTTATTCATTTGTAAGAGTATTTTACATGCTCTGTATATAAAACTTTGTTGGCTACATATGTGCTACAAAAACTTCTCCTGTGACTTTTGTTATTTTACTTATAGTTTCTTTTCATATAACAGTTATTTTAATCAGTTAAAAGTATTAGTCTTTCTTTTTTAGTCAGTTTTTATTTTTGAAATTCTCTCTCTAGGGTCATAAAGATTTTCCTTTTTTTCTCTAAAGGAAGGTATAGACACTTTTTTATTTTAATTTTATTTTGTCTCCATTTCACTTATCGAAAAATCCTTATCTTTCTGCTGACAAGTTATTACATGTTTTCCTGAGCTTATCAGTAAAGCAAAGATGAAAGTGTATGGCAAAGACTCAGAGGAATATGGTTTTCATGCAACTGAGCACGTCATTATCTAAGTTTAATAAACTTCCAATCTCATCTTTTTATTCTAGAATACTCAAGATATGATTAAAGATATTTAAAGTACTAAAATCAGGCACACCCCGATTTGAATTCAAACTCTGCAATTAGCTAATTAATTTACCATAAGCAAATCACCTAACCCTCTGAGCCTCAATTCTCTTATCTAAAAAATTGGAATAACACTTTTATAGTATTTATAATAGAGATTAAATGAGCTAATTTATCCAAAATACTTAACAGTGAATATTGCATAGAATAACTACTTAATAAATACAACTGGTTTTCTGATGCTATTATTTTCATTTATCTGGAAGAAGGTAAACAGAGATAATTTATTTCACCAATGTGGATTTCGACTCCTCCATCTTCCATGGGATATACCCTATCTCCTGGCTTTTACATAGACCATAACAGTTCTGTCTGCTAGTAGGCATTTTAGGTTTTATGACAAAGACAGAGAGGAAATAAAAAATTATATAAGAAGAGATCAAATGAGAAGATTAGTAAGTTTATAATTGTAACAATAAAAATCATAAAAACTAGAAGCTATCCATGGAAGTACTTTACACGCATTATACCAATTTAATCTCTGTAATACTCTATTAAAGTAGGTACCATACCATCAAAAGTTAATTCAAGTTCCCAAACTCACATACAAGGAAAATAGGAGAGCAAGAACTGAAACTTAGGTTTATTCTGACACAAAAATTCTTGCTGTTATCTACTGTACAATAGTTTGAGAAGACAGTGTGGAAGCTTGGGAGTCATTTTTACTCCCTCAGTAATGAGTGAACACTCATAAAGGAAAAGCACACTCCAGTCTTTATACCCACTAATTCCCATTCCAACCACTGGCTTGCATTCAATTGCACCCATCAGTTCAGTCAGAACAGTAGTTACTTTCAATACTAGGCTCTACCAATTAGTTTTTATTTAACAGAGTTGTGGCAGACAGAGTTTAAGTGAAAGTAACACACAAGGCAGCAAACATTATTTTGCATTTGCATGTGGACTCTTTTCACTATACTGGAAATGAAAATTAGGCAGCCTTATCAGTCACACATACATACATACTCAAAATAAAATAAAATTTAAACAACTGTGTAATAAATGGCTGGTCATTTAACCTTCATGAGTATTTGGAAAGATGCTAGGATTGTGAGATACAAGAGAAAGAAAACAATTTTCAAGTTTTCTTGAAGGCAGTTGTGCTGGAAAAGATGGTGAAAAACTAAAATATTAAAATGCAATATGTTTATCCTGCTTCTAGTGAGGTGAAAGAAAATACTTTGAGAGGCAATAATTATACATTTCATTTATAGGAGTGAAAATATGGGTGACTGCACCTTGCCCCCCATAAACAATCTCTAGATAAGGCAATTATCTTTTTTTTTCCAGCTCCCATGGAGCCACACGCATACATGTAGCACTGTATGCAAACAGAGTAGAGAAATAAATATCACAATAATGTGAACTGCTAAAGTTCCCTCTTTTATTTTGTTTCAAGTCAACACAGTCCTGTACTGGCTGACTTTACGATTTCAGGAAAGAAAAATGTAACATCTATTGATGTACTCATTGAGAAGTTTTTTTTGTTTGTTTGTTTGTTTTCTAAAAGTTCCCTTTTATTTTGTTTCAAGTCAATACAGTCCTATACTGGTTGACTTTGCCATTTCAGGAATGAAACGTATAACATCTATTTATGTACTTATTGAGACTTTTTTTTTCTCTCTTTCATTACATAAAAGATTGCAACAAACAATATTTCCCAAAGAACAGAAGAAGGGCCATATTGTTTTCTGTGATTACTGAACTTTCAGACCCCAGCAGTGGCTTCAAAGGATTAACACAGGAGAAGATTGCTTTGTGCAGTGAAATTCTCTCCAAGGCTGCAGCATGAAATATGGCAGGTCACCTTCCTCCTTGCATTTCAGTGTCCCTAGATGCCACTAAGGAGTTAATAATGCTTATCACCAATTCCCTTCAGGCAAGGTTAAGAGGCTAACTGGAAAAGACTATAAATTAATGACTTACCAAAGACATGCTCTGGCGACATGGCGCCTCATGCTACCCTCAGAATACAATTACACAAAGAACTGTGCAGGCCCCGGCCCAGCCTGTATTATATATACCCTCTCCCTATGGTGCTGTACCATGTCCATATGCACAATTTTCAACAGACTCTCATACAGAGAAATCTCTGCAGTAGAGTCAGCCCAATTAAGATCAGAAAGAATAATTTGATCACCTATTTATTCTAATTTTCATAAAGTTATAAATTGCTGACCATAAAATCAAATCCCATAATATGAAAACCAGGCCACATGGGCCAGTTCTCATTGGTTCTTTGAGCAGAGTTCAACTAAACTGACATTCTAGCTCCTTACATCTGCTCCTACTTCCCAAAGGAGACATATTCCATATTCTGAACAGGTAAAGCCCATAGAAGAAAAGGCAGGTGACTGAAGGAGCAGGGTACACCCTGTTATTAAAGCTACTTGTGTATTAGCCAAGGATCGTTAGAGAAACAGAGCCAATAGGATGTGTATATATATAGAAAGAGAGAAAGATTTATTTTAAGGAATTGACTCACATGAGTAAGTCCAAAAATTGCAGGGTGGGCCAACATTGTGAAGACCCAGGGAGAAGCTGGTGCTGCAGTCCAAGTTTGAAGGTCCTGTGCTGGTGGAATTCCTCTGGGAGTCAGTCTTACTCTAAGAAGACCTCAACAGTCTGAATGAGGCCCACGTACCTTATGAAGGGCAATCTGCTTTAATCAAAGTCCATCAATTTAAAATGTTAATCTCGGCTGGTGCGGTGGCTCACGCCTGTAATCACAGCACTTTGGGAGGCCGAGGTGGGCAGATCACCTGAGGTCAGGAGTTCGAGACCAGCCTGGCCAACATGGTGAAAACCCATCTCTACTAAAAATACCAAAATTAGCCGGGTGTGGCAGCAGGCACCTGTAATCTCAGCTACTCGGGAGGCTGAGGCAAGGAAATCGCTTGAACCCAGGAGACGGAGGTTGCAGTGAGCCGAGATCGCGCCATTGCACTCCAACCTGGGGGACAAGCACAATACTTCATCTCAAAAAAAATAAATAAAATAAAATAAAATGTTAATCTCATCCACTAAAAAACCCTCACAGAAACATCCAGAATCAAGTTTGACCACAAATCTGGGCATCATCATGGCCCAACCAAGTTGATACATAAAGTTAACCATTGCATCTTGTAATTATGTATTTGTATTTCCGTTTCACCTGTTAAATTGAGGAAGCAAGGGGTATGATAGTATCTTAACTGCCTTTTATGTTTAAGATCTAGCCTAGAACTTTGTCCCAAATAAGTGCTGAAAAAATATGTATTAAACTGAAATATTTTGGGTCTTGTTTGTGCACTTCTCTAGGCTACTACACAGCATAACCTTAAGACTGTTTCTTTCGAAGTTATCCATTGAAAGATTCCCATCTGTTATAGACTGAATTGTGTCTCCCAAAATTCATATGTTGAAGCTCTAACTCCCAATGTGACTTTACTTGCAGAAACAGCCTTTAAAGATGTAATTAAGGTTAAATGAGATCATAAGTGTGGTAATCCAATATGACCAGTGTCCTAATAAGAAGAGGAAGAGACCTGAGGGATATGTGTGCATGAGAAAGGCTCTGTCAGGACGTAGTAAGAAGGCAGCCATCTACAAGCCAAGGAGAGTGGTCTCAGGAGAAACCAATCCTGCTGGCATCTTAGTCTTACACTTCCAGCCTCTAAAACAGTAAAAAAGTAAATTTCTGTGGTTGTAGCTACCCAGTCTATGGCATTTTGTTATGGCAGCCCTAGCAAACTAATATATCGTCTAACACACTGCATCCCAACTCATTAAAAAAAAAAAAAAAAAAAAAAAAAAAAAAACAACTATCCTAGGCCTGGCTCTGGGTCAGGATAGGGGCCTATAAATGTTCAGTGAGGAAAGCATAATTGGTTTTGTCTGAATGAAGCTAATGTGATGAGTGGACTGGGCAGAACAGTTATGGGGTTCCTTTGAAGGAACTAAATATCTGAAAGAGGTGAATGATGCAGATGGGCCTTCCTCCTGAGCCTTCAAATGAATAATTAGACTTTCATTTTCCTGAAGTAAAAAATGGCATTAACACCCTTCCTGGAGTGTTTTTAAATTTAAAGTGAGTTGCAGGGATATCAGTCATTCATATCTTGTTTTGTCTCCTTTCTCAAATAACAGAGATTGGTCAAAATCTGAGAAAAGAGAGAAAGGAAAAAAAATAAGCTTGAAGCAAAAGAGTTTAATTGAGGTGATATAGGGAAGAATTTAATGCATTAAGAATTCAGAAACATACTAAGGATATGGGCCCTTCTTCCAAAATTTACCTAGAGTTGGCCTTATTATCAGCTGCATATTAGAGATGGGCCAGAGTTAAAGGTCTTTTAAAAAATGACCATTATATTTCTGTTTCTGTCTTTCAACATGAAGCCAATAAGAATAAAAACCTTGATGCTACTGCCTCTCCTTCAAGCATTGTTTTTTCCCTGTCTTTTTTTCTCAAATTTATTGAGCTTCTCTATGTTAGCTCCTTAGCTGTCCACAGTATTTTCTTCAAAAGTGCTTTTTCTCCCTTGACTTCCTTAAGACATCTAAATCCTAGCCATCCTTAAGCTACAGATGAACTAAGAGAACCCTCTGTTAAGCCTTCCTGATTAGTTCAATTGAAAATTCTCTTCCCCTTTTAACCTCTTTGTCCCTTTCATTTATTTGACACTTAAAGTATAAACATAAAGTTAATTGCCTTTTCAAACATTAGTCTCAATTCACTAATTAGATAAAGTTCTTTCACAACAGAGAACATTTTGTATATTTAACGATAGACCACTTAAAGCATTAACTGAATCTCAAAACACATAATGTCTCCAAAATCACTGCACTGATTGATTGGTGGGTAAGTGATTAAATAACAGTCCAGCCTTGCTCCCAAGTGTCTGCTCATTAAACATAACTTTAATGTTTACAATGATGTTTTAGCATGTGAATATATGCTGCCTAGCGTGTCTCATATGTAAAGAAACAAGGCGCTAAAGAATTCTAACAGGCTATGGAACTGCCTTTATTTCTTTTGTCTTTTGATTCCACACACACATTTCTATCTGCAACAGGGACCTATATGCAAGGCTAGCGTTCTCTGAGGACAATCTAATCATTGATTCATAAATTATTTATTATATTCATATTGTTGTCTCTCACTCTGAGAGGTCCTGGAGATATAGTTATGAGTGTGTGCCTATGTGTATGTGCAGGTTAGGGGAGCAGGTGGGAGACAAGGGTTAGAAGGACAAGTAAGGAATTTGACTATAAAGCAGGTTAACTGTGCATTAGTTACCAACTCGTCTGAGTCTGGTAAGACAGAACACACTCATACTAAAAGTTACATGAAGTGAATTTATTAGTTACACGTTGGCAACTCTTAAGAGACAAAAACCTAGAATTCATCACAAAGCATACCCCTAAGACTCAGGAAAGTTTTCCTGGGTGGGGTAAAGATTACATTGATTGTACTCCCTGGTGCCACAGCAAAGGAGCCCCAGAAAGTAGCCCACCCTGGGTTTTATCCCCCAGGGCACCATGATTCACTAGGCTAAAGCATGAAAGACGTCCTGTTTCTAGGGGTGACTGGAACAGAACCTGGGCTGTTTCAGCAAGCTCCCCCACATCTCAATATGTCACATTCCAGCACAGTCTGCAATTAAATGAAACCAATAGAAAGACCACTGCTTATTGCCTCCCCTTCAATCTGTCTTTCCACTCATGTAATATTGCAACCATGAAGTCCTACAAAAGGAAGTATTTAGCCAACGTGGTACGTAGCACCTAAAATGGCCTCCAGTCATCCCTAACTTCTAGAATTATGTTCTGGTGTGTGAGCTGGATCTATGCGTTGCTTCCAATGAATAGAATACAGCGAGGTTAGGTTATGAATGAACTGACTTCTCTCTTGCTTTCACTCTTTCTCTGGCCCTTCTTGTTCACCCTCTAAGCTGCCATGTTATCAGCTATCCTGTGGCAATGCAAGGAACTGGAATATGGCAAGAAACAGAGGGCAGCCTCTGCCCCCTAGCCTGAGAAAAAACAAATCCTGCCAGAAACCATGTGATTAAGACTGAAAGCAGATCCTCTTCCAGCTGAGGCTTGAGATGACTACAGCCCTGGATGACACCTTGAGTACAGCCTTCTGTTATACTCTGAGCCAGACAATTCTGTGAAGTCATGCCTGGATGCCTAACCCAAAGAAACTTTGAGGGGATAAATATTTGTAGTTTAAGTTTTGGGATAATACATTTTGCACAATACATAACTAACAGAGTAAATAATGTTGGGAGGTCTTTCATAAGGAATTCCTTCATGTATGTGGGAATAAAGATATATAATAGATTAAGGCAGAAGTTAATTTTTGTAAGAGGTATTGCATTGTAGTAAAGATATGGAATAAAGAATTCACCTCTCTAGTTCTATCTGAGACTCTAAATAGATACATGACTTTGGATGGACAAGGTATATTGTCTATAATGTTTTTTGACCTGAATCTCTTTTTCATAAATTAAAGGGAAAATTTAGTTTAGGTCTAAGGTCTCTCCCTGAGCTAACAGCCCTTACCCATATGAAAATTTAAAAATCAGGTTGATTGAAACCTACAAAGCTATCCAGCTTTGTAGGATGTGTATTTCATTTCAGTATTATTTTTTATGTGAATTGGATTCCTTTGTCACCAGTGCTAGGCCAACTTCTAATGCTATATATTCCAGCAGAGCAGCTTTTTTATGTCTCCTTGTCTTATTCTTTTTGCTTAGATTTTATATTCACATTGAGATTTCACGCCACCAAATTATGACAAAAAACCAGCATGCCTCACTATAATTACTTTCAAAAATAGCAAAAAAATCCATTTTCATATACTAAATCTTAGTAAGGTAGTTTCTATATTCAATGCATTCATTTTGTCTAAAAACAGAGATTTAGATTATCAGTTTTATTGTCTATAAATAAAACCAATAATAGAAACAAAGCGTGGAAATGGCATAATCTACTCATGACAGATTGTTTTAACATATTTTAACAGCTTTTCTCAGTATATCTTTTTTGTTATTTTAAATAAATGAAAACACACTAAATTATTATATTAAAATGCATTATACCAACAGTTTTAAAAGAAAAGAGAAAAATAAGTATCCTTGGTGGCCAAAAGTAACAATTTAGACTAATTCAAAAATGACTAGAGAGAAAATATCTAATCTTTCTGCATACAGTCCCTTCCTTTCTATGTAAATGGTGCATATGTGTATTTCTGATTTTTCCTCCCCAAGTACATCCACTGCAAGATATGTGGCCTGCAACTAAAATGTGAATTTATTTATGAATCTTAATAGACACTTATGCTAAGAAATTCTGTATTCCCAATTCCCCATTAAAATTCTACAAAGAAGTCTTCAAAGCCTGTAAAGACTTTGTGCCTGTTTACCACCAAGGAATTCCATTGGCACTGGTTCATCTATTTAGCTGAATGGAATTGGGTAAGCCAAAAATTGGTGTGATTACTTTATGTGAAAAAACTGGTGTACCACCAAAATGCCTCAAAGCCTGGACATGAGCCTGATTCTAATCAGAATTATTCTCTCTGAACCACTCCTATATACACATACCCTTCTCTCATCAGAATCACAAAATTTTTGCTGAACTGGCAAAACTGTTCAATATAAAGTGTTGGTTTACAAATATTTATTGAGTTGGAATACAGAGATAAATTAAAGAAGACGCTTTGGTTCCCAATCATTCCCCTCATTGAGCTCTCATTAAATTCATGAAATGTCAATCAAATAAAGAATGTTGGGAATATTTTGTTATAATTATACTACACATGTTTTCATTAGAAGTTTTATAAATGGGTCACAGAGTAAAAGAGGACCAAATCCCAGAAGTCTGAATAATGATCCACATATAAACTACCTTAACTGATGTAATAAGCAACATATCAGGTTATCAATTTAATGATGAATTGCATTATAGAAATTAAAAATGGAGGTGTAGGAGCCAAGATGCCCAACTAGACACCGCCAGAAAGAACATCTCCCACCAAGAAGTAAGATCCAACTATATACTGTCTTCAGGAAACCCATCTCACATGCAAGGATGCTTATAGTTTCAAAGTAAGGGGACAAGGAAAAATCTACCAACCAAACAGAAAACAAAAGAAGTAGAGGTTGCTAATCTAATTTCAGACAAAATAGTTGTATTAGTTTATTCCCACACTACTATAACTATCTGTAACTGAGTAATTTATAAAGAAAAAAGGGTTAATCAGCTCACAGTTCCACAGGATATATTGGAAGCACAGCTGGGAAGCCCTCATGGTGGAAGATGAAGAAGGAAGCATGTCTTATATGGCCACAGCAGGAGGAAGATAGCGAAGGGGCAGGTGCTATACACTGTTAAACAACCACATCTCTTGAGAATTCTATCATTACACTACACCAGGGGGATGGTGCTAACCATTAAAAACTACTCCCATGATCCAATAACCTCCCACCAGTCCCCACCTCCAACACTGGGGATTATAAGTCGACATGAGATTTGGATGGGGACACATATCCAAACCACATTATTCTGCCCCTGGACCCTACCAAATCCCATGTCCTCTCATATTTCAAAATGCAATTATGCCTTTCCAACATTCCCCCAAAGTCTTAACTCATTCCAGCATTAACTCAAATGTCCAAGTACAAAGTCTCACCTGAGACAAGGCCAAGTCCCTTCTGCCTATGAGCCTGTAAAATAAGAAACAAGTTAGTTGCTTCCATGATACAATGAGGGTACAGGCATTGGGTAAATGCTCTCATTCCAAAAGGGAGAAATTGGCCAAAACAAAGAAGCTACAGGGCCCATGCACATCCAAAACCTAGCAGGGCAGTCAATAAATATCAAAGCTCCAAAATAATTTCTTTGACTCAATGTCTCAGGCAACACTGATACAAGGGGTGGGCTCCCAAGGCCTTGAGCAGCTCCACTCCTGTGGTTCTGCAGGATACAGCCCCTGTGGCTGTTTTCATGGGCTGGTGTTGAGTGCCTGTGGCTTTTCCAGGTGCATGGTGCAAGCTGTTGGTGAATCTACTATTCTGACATCTGGAGGATGGTAGCTGTCTTCTCATAGCTCCACTAGGCAGTTTCCCAGTTGGGGCTCTGTGAGGGGATTCTACCTCCACATTTCCCCTCCACACTGACATAGTAGAGATTCTCCATGAGCTCTCCACCCCTGCAGCAGACTTCTGCCTGGACATACAGGCTTTTCCATACATCCTCTGAAATCCGGGCAGAGGCTTCCAAGCCTCAACTCTTACCCTCTGTGCACCTGCAGGCTTAACACTATGTGGAAGCCTTGGCAGTTTTGGGTTTGTAGCCTCTGGGGCAGTGGCCTAAGATGTATCTGGGGCCCTTTTAGCTGCAGCTAGAGCTGCAGCAGCTGGGATGAAGAAAGCAGTGTCCCAAGGTTGCACAGGGAAGCAAGGCCCTCAGCCTCACCCACAAAACCATTCCTTCCTCCTAGACCTCCAGGTCTGTGATGGAAGGCACTCCTGTGAAGGTCTCTAAAATGTCTTCAAAGCATTTTTCCTGTTGTCTTAGTTATTCCTCCCCAGAAAATAGGTTTTACTTTTCTACCACATGGTAGGCCTGCACATTTTCCAAACTTTTGTACTCTGCTTCCCTTTTAAATATAATTTCCAGTTTCAGATCATCTCTTTGCTCACGAATATAAGCTTATGAGTAAAAAGCAGCCAGGCCACATCTTGAATGTTTTGCTGCTTAGAAATTTCTTTCATCAGATATCCTAAGTCATCTCTCTCAAGTTCAAAGTTCCACAGATCTCTAGAGCAGTCACAATGCTGCTAGTCTCTATTCTAAAGCATAGCAAGAGTAACCTTTACTCTGGTTCCAAATTAGTTCTTCATCTCCATTTGAGAGCATCTCAGCATGGACTTCATTGCCCATATCACTATCAGCATTTTGGTAACAACAATTTAACAAGTCTCCGGGAAGTTCCAAACTTTCCTTCATCTTTCTTTCTTCTTCTGAGCCCCCCAAGCTGTTCCAGCATCTGACTATTATCCAGCTCCAAAGTTGCTTCCACATTTTGGGGTATCTTTATTGCTATACCCCACTAACTCATTACTAATTTTCTGTATTAGTCCATTATCACACTGCTATAAACAACTAACTGAAACTGGGTAATTTATAAACAAAAGAGGTTTAATCAGCTCACGGATCCATAGGCTGTACAGGAAGCATGGCTGGGGAGGCCTCAGGAAATTTACAATCATAGTGGAAGGAGAAGAGGAAGGAGGCACCACTTACATGGCCAGAGAAGGAAGGAGAGGGCAAAGGTGGAGGTGCTACACACTTTTAAACTCTATTATGAGAGAGCACTAGGGGGATGGTGCTGAACCATTAGAACCCACCCCCATGATCCAATCACCTCTCACCAGGCTCCACCTCCAACACTGTGGATTATAATTCCACATGCGATTTGGATGGGAACACACAGCCAAACCATATCAATAGTCTTTAAACCAACAACTATCAAAAATAGCAAAAGAAAAAAGGGCAGGGGGCATTATGTAAGGGTAAACAGGGTTCAATTCAACAAGAAGACTTAACAATGCTAAATATATGTTCACCCAACACAGGACCACAAAAACTTATGAATCAAAGTCTTACAGACCTATGAAAATACTTAGATAACTACAAAATAATAATGGGAGACTTCAACACCCCACTGACAGCATTAGATAGATTACTGAGGCAGAAAACTAGCAAAGATATTTGGGACCTGAACTCAACAATTGACCAAATGGACCTAACAGAAAACTACAAAACTCTCTATCTAAAAAGAACAAAATATATACTCTTCTCATCTGTACATGGCACATAATCTAAATCTACCACACAATTGACCATAAAATAATTCTCAGCAAATTCAAAGTACATACCAAAATCATACCAACCAATCTCTTGGGCCATAGTGCAATAAAAATAGAATTCAAAGGTAAGAAGATCACTCAAAACTATATAATTCCATGGAAATTAAACAATCAGCTCCTAAATGACTTTTGGGTAAATAGCAAAATTTAGGCCAAAATCAAATACTTCTTTGAAATTAATGAAAATAGAGATACAACTTACCAGAATCTCTGGGACACAGCAAAAGCAGTATTAAGAGGAAAGTTGATAGTGCTAAATGCTCACATCAAAAAGTTAGAAAGATCTCAAATTAACAACCTAATATCACACCTAGAGAAACTAGAAAAACAAGAGCAAACAAACATGATCATCTCAATAGATGAAGAAAAGGCTTTTGGTAAAATTCAATATTCCTTCATGTTAAAAACCCTCAATAAAGTAGGCATTAAATTTACACACTTCAAAATAATAAAAGCCATCTATGACAACCCCACAGTCAACATCATACTGAATGGTCAAAAGCTGGAAGCATTTCTTTTGAGAACCAGAACAAGACAAGGATGCCAACTCCCACCACTTCTATTCAGCATAGTATTGGAAGTCCTAGCCAGAGCAATCAGGAAAGAGAAACAAATAAATGTCTTAATAAGAAGACAGGAAGTCAAACTATCTCTATTTGCAGACAATATGATTTTGTACCTAGAAAACCCCATAGTATGTGCCCCAAATCTTCTAGATCTGATAAACAACTACAGAAAAGTTTCAGGAAACAAAACCAGTAGCATTTCTGTCCACAGAAATTGTCAAAGCTGAGTGCCAAATCAAGAATGCAATTCCATTCATGATAGCCAAAAATAAAAAATAAAATATGTAGAAATACAGCTAACCAGGGAAGTGACAGATTTCTGCAAGAAGAATTACAAAACACTGCTAAAAGAAATCAGAGACACAAACAGATAGAAAAATATTTCATGCTCATGGATATGAAGAATCAGTATTCTTAAACTGGCCATAATGCCCAGGGCAATTTACAGATTTTAATGCTATTCCTATCAAACTACCAATGACATTTTTCATAGAATTAGAAAAAAACTACTCTAAAATTCATATGAAACCTGACAGAGCAGGAGCACCATCATATTGGACGAACACCACCACTTTAAGTTCCAGCTCCCTTTCTAGCCTCATGCATTTCAAGGGAATCACTTCTCTTCTAACTATAAGCAGCCAGAAGAAACAGATAGTAAAACACAGATAAGACAGCTCGGGCACAGAGGGAGGTGGGGGGAAAGTCTCTTGGGTAACTGCCAAACTACACCCTCATACAATGGGCCCCAGTAAAACAGTGGGCCTTAATAAGCACATTCCTTTCCCTTCCGGTGCACTAAGATAGGGAAAAAGAGCCCGAATAGCCAAACCAATCCTAAGCAAAAAAAATCAAAGCTGGAGGCATCACATTGCTCAACTTCAAACCATACTACAAGCCTATAAAAACCAAAACAGCATGGTATGGGTACAAATACAGACACATAGACCAGTGAAACAGAATAGAGAGCTCAGAAATAAATCCACACACCTACAACCATCTGATCTTCAACAAAGACAACAAAAACAACCAACGGGGAAAGAACTACCTATTCAATAAATAGTGCTGGTATACCTTGCTAGCTATATGCAGAAGATTACACCATATACAAAAACCAACTCAAAATGGATTAAAGAATTGAATGTAAAATCTAAAACTATAAAACCCTGGAAGATAACCTGGGAAATACCATCCCAGACATAAGCCCTGACAAAAATTTCATGATGAAGACGCCAAAAGCGATTGCAACATTAACAAAAAATTGACAAATTGGACCTAATTAAACCAAAGATCTCCTGCACAGCAAAACAAACTATCATCAGAGCAAAAAACAACCCCATTAATAAGTGGGCAAAGGACATGAACAGACACTTTTCAAAAGAAGACATACATGCGGCCAACAAGTGTATGAAAAAATTCTCAACATCGCTAATTGCTAGAGAAATGCAAATCAAAAACAAAACAAGATACCTTCTCACACCAGTCAGAATACCTATTATTAAAAAGTCAAATAATAACAGATGGCTGGTGAGGTTGTGGAGAAAAGGGAACACTTATACAATACTTTTAGGAATTTGTAAATTCATTTAGCCATTGTGGAAAACAGTTTGGCGATTCCTCAAAGATCTTAAAACAGAATTACCAATCAACACAGCAAAACTATTATTGATTTTATACCCAAATAAATGTAAATCATTCTACCATTGATATGGTTTGATTCCCAAACCTCATCTCGAATTGTAATTGCCATGTGTCAAGGGAGGAACCTGGTAAGAGGTGATTGGCTCATAGTGGGGGTTTCCCCCATGCTGTTCTCATGACACTGAGGGAGTTCTCATGAGACTTGATGGTTTCGAATGTGGCAGTTTCCCTTGCGTGCTGTCTCTCCTGCTGCCTTGTGAAGAAGTTGTCTGTTTCCCCTTTGCCTTCTGCCATGATTCAAAGTTTCCTGAGGCCTCCTTAGCCATGCAGAACTGTGAGTCAATTAAACCTTTTTTGTTTATAAATTACCCAGTCTCAGGTATTATCTTTATAGCAGTGTGAAAATGGACTAATACAGCCATAAAGACACATGCACATGTATATTTATCGCAGCACTATTCACAATAGCAAAGGCATGAAATCAGCCTAAATGCCCATCAATCGTAGACTGGATAAAGAAAGTGTGGTAAATATATACAATGGAATACTGTGCATCCATACAAAAGAATGAGATCATGTCCTTTGTAGCAACATGGATGGAGCTGGAGGCCATTATCACAAGCAAACTAATGCAGGAACAGAAAACCAAATACTGCAAGTTCTCACTTATAAGTGAGAGCTAAACAAGAACTCATGGACACAAAGAGGGGAAAAACAGACATCAGGGTCTACTCAAGAGGGGAAGTAGGAAGAGGGAAATGATCCAAAAAAATACATATTGGGTACTATGCTTATTACCTGGGTGGCAAAGTAATCTATACACCAAACTCCCAGGTCACACAGCTTACCTATATAACAAACCTACACATACACCCTTGAAGCTAAAATAAAAGTTAAAAATAAATAAAATATTTTAAAAATTAAGTTTAGGTTTCAGTCTAAAATACCAAGGAATAACTGACACAGGCTAATGTTTCTTTTGGAAAGGAGCTGACTTACTAAATAGGTTTGTTTTATGTAATGAGAAATTGAGGCTCAGATTCATAAAAGATTCCTTCCTGAATCTAGAAAGAAAACCACATAGTCCAAGAGACAAAGCTATCCATCTCTATCAGTCTTACTATTTACACCAACAGATGCTTTTTTTTCTAACCCTATTCAAATTTAATTCTGTAGGCATAGACTTAGTTGAGGAAAAAACAAATCAAAACACTTTTATTCATTCAATACCCCATTCATCCTTTTATCATTTATGCATTTGTATGTCCAATTAGTCAATTTAACAAGTATTTAGTAACTTTCTTATGGTGTGTTAGGGAATAGGAAGGAGACTTGGCTGAAGCAGAGAGCTAGGTCAGAGATATAAGTTGGAACCCATCCAAAAGGCATTATTGGGACTAATATACAGAGTACAGAATTTCTTACAAATGAGAGATTAACCCATTCAAAAGTTTTACATCAATTCTTAAACTTCTATGAGGATAAGAGTCACTTGGTAAACTTGTTAAAAATACAGAAGCATGAATGTCATTCTTTTGGGTTAGGTGCTGGTGTGGGGCTAAGAAACATGAATTTTTACAAAGCCATAAATTACCACCACCAACTATCAGCTATCAGCCAACTATCAGCCAACTCTGAATGCAGTGATTCTTATATAGTCCTTCAAGTACATTTGAAAAAACCCTCTGCTATGATACACAGTATCTCCTAAAATAGTGTTAATTAAATTTCACATGCACACATTCATCTACAGACAGTGATAAAAAGCAGATTCTGACTCAGTGGGTCTGAGGTAGGTCCTGAGATCCTGCATTTCTAACAAGCTCAGAAGTGGTGCCAATGTGGTCAGTCCAAGAATCACACTGTGACTAGCCGGGACCTATTACTGTGCCAGCAATCTTGTGATTAAGATGTTACAGATTAATTCTTTTTCATAAAAAAGTTTACAAGCTAAAGAAAGAAATGGAGATATAGCCAGGATGCTTTGGGAGGAGGAAGTATATGAAGGGAGAAGCCAGGGAAAGCTTACTTAGAAAGGGACTCTTGAGCTGAGATTTGAAAGAAACAGTCTGATTCAGTCGCATGATCTTCAGAAATTTACTACTAATATAAGAAAAAAACCAAATACTAAAACAAGTAATTTAAGGCATATTATAACTAATACAGGCAAATACTGTAGATCTTCAAGGAAAAGGAGTTTACTTCTGACTGTTCCTCCTGTAAATATTCCATAAATTTAACAATGATTTCATATCTGTGTACCAATACATCTCTTCCAGCAGACAAAGTTTTCAGGGGCAGAAATAATTGTATTCTTAGTGCTATCAATATCCAGCCCTTTAGCTCATATACAACACAAATTTTAAAGTATTTGTTGAATTATCACTGCAGGTTTCAAAGAGAAGGTGGGTTTGTAGCCCATATAAACTTTTCAAAAACGAAGGTGTTTAAAGGACAATATTCCAAAGTGGAGAAACAGTGTGAGTTGCCATTACCACTATGGTTCTACCACCCACATTTTGAGCACTTGCCAATATCACAGACTGGCACAAAACTCTTTATGTTAAGCCCCAATTACACAAAAATATATCAAAGACAATAGAACCAAAGTTTATTTAGTGAAAGACCCCGGAAGAACATCATTCCTTTAGTTTATTTGTAGTCCTTGTCACCAACGAGAGTCATATAAGAAAATTGTTGGCCGGGCATGGTGGTTCATGCCTACAATCCCAGCACTTTGGGAGGCTGAGGCGGGCAGATCACCTGAGGTCAGGAGTTCAAGACCAGACTGGCCAGCATGGTAAAACCCCATTTCTACTAAAAATATAAAAATTAGCCAGGCGTGTTGGTGGGCGCCTGTAATCCGGGTTACTCAGGAGGCTAAGGCAGGAGAATCGCTTGAAATCGGGAGGCAGATGTTTCAGTGAGCCGAGATTGCCCCACTGCACTGCAGCCTGGGCAACAAGAGCGAGACTCCATCTCAAAATAAAATAAAATAAAATAAATTTTAAAAATGTTCAGATTGCTTCACTCTTAATGTTGACAGTTTCATGAAGATCAAAAGCACTTGTGAATTAAGTTAACTCACCCAAAACATCTCAGGAAGGCTCAATTCCATTGTACTACACATTTGAGAATCAAGAGATAGTAAGGCATGGTCAGTCTCATCTACAAACAGCTTTGGAAGACAGGTGTATTAGCAACTCATTGTGATACAGTGCGATAAGGTGAATACTACTTTAAGGGCATGACCCAAGACCTCTCTTCTTGGCCCATGAACAACATCTCTGTGAAATGCTCTTCTGCCAGATATCCAGAAACCTCATTGTACTGTATAAGAGATATAATTCTTTTCCATAAAAAAATTTATAAGCTAGAGAAAGAAATTACTTTTCTTCTTCTTTGCAGCCTTCTTGGCTATGATTACCTGGGCCAAAGGCAGAAATCAGACCAGAAGAGGTTACCCATTGACTAGCAGGCAGATAGGAACTTTCTTTCTTTTTTGTTTTTCTTTTTTTTTTTCGAGACGGAGTCTCCCTCAGTCACCCAGGCTGGAGTGCAGTGGCAAAATCTCGGCTGACCACAAGATCCCCATCCCGGGTTCACGCCATTCTCCTGCCTCAGCCTCCCAAGTAGCTGGGACTACAGGCGCCCGCCACCACGCCTGGCTAATTTTTTGTAGTTTTAGTAGAGACGGGGTTTCACCATGTTAGCCAGGATGCTCTGGATCTCCTGACCTCGTGACCTGCCAGCCTCGGCCTCCCAAAGTGCTGGGATTACAGGCGTGAGCCACCGCGCCCGGCCAGGAACTTTCTTATAAGAATAGGTTCCAACTGACATAGACACAGAAAGGTGGGAGTTGAGTGATATTGTTAGTGAAATATTAGCATGAAACATTACCTTCATTACTGCTGCTTCCCCAGAGTTACTGCTGCTGTTCCCACAGTTACACTAGTTTACTCTTTTCCTGAGAACTCATGGTGATTAAGGACAGAGATCACTGAGGTAGACTTTCTGAGTTTGAATCTGAGTTCTTTTCCTAATTAGCTGTGTGACCACAAGCAAGTTACTTAACCTCTAAATGACAGTATCATCTATCTCATAGGGTTGTTGTCAGGATTGAATGCTGTGGTAGACAGACTTCTAAAATGGTACCGAATGATCTATGCTTCCTGTATAGATCTCACTTGCATGTGAGCTGAACCTAGTGACTTGCTTCTAACCAACAGAGTATGACAAAGGTAATGGGATGACACTTTCATGATTAGGTTACAATAATTTTAACTTCTCTTTTGCTATAAGGCTTTCTGTCTTGTTTGCTTTGATGAAGAAATCTTCCACGTTGTGGATCCTGCATGGCAACAAACTGAAAGTACCCTCCAGCCAATAGCCAGCAAGGAACTAAGACCCTCATTCCAACAGCCTTCATGAAACTAAGGGGTTGGTACTGAGCTTAGAAGTGAATCTTTCTTTAGTCAAGCCTTTAGATAATACTGCAGACCCTAGCTGACATCTTTATTTCAGCCTTTTATAAGGCTATGAAGTAGAAGGCACAGCTAAGCCATGTCTAGGTTTCTTGCCCATAGAGATTGTGATATAATAAACTTGTATTGTTTTGAGCCACACAGCTTAAATTAATCTGTTACTCAGCAATATATAATAATACAGATAGGATTTTACTTGTTACTTCCAAACAACAAAAGGCACAAGTGAGATATGGAGAAGGGAGAAATTATTTCTACCCGGTCATAAGCATAAGAAAACTTTCCTTTAAAAACAGAATACTTGCATTGGGGTTTATGTAATTAGTAGAACTATAGCTTGCTGAAAAGGTATGCTGTGGCTCATGCCTGTAATCCCAGCACTTTGGGAGGCTGAGGCAGGCGGATCACAAGGTCAGGAGTTCGAGACCATCCGGGCCAACATGGTGAAACCCTGTCTCTACTAAATATACAAAAATTATCTGGGCATGGTGATGGTCACCTGTAACCCCAGCTACTCAGGAGGCTGAGGCAGGAGAATTATTTGAACCCGGGAGGCGGAGGTTGCAGTGAAATGAGATCACACCAATGCACTCCAGCCTGGGTGATGGGGGAGACTCCATCTCAAAAAAAAAAAAAAAAAAGGAAACAAAATGATCAAAAGCATAAAAGCATAGGCTTTCTAACATTTTCCTCCTTAAACTACAATTCAGGAGATGTTATACGGCCCACAGTATCAAGAATGAGAGGAAAACAGCAGGAGAATATACTGAAAAGATCAGTTAGAAATAGGATTTGAACAACTTTGACACAGACATAGGAGTCTGAATAATTTTTTATGGCAATGAGAAACTGAACTTAAGATTTGGTAATAAGAATGGAAAGAAAGGGAGAGATTGAATAAAAAAATTTCTAAGGTAGAATTAGAAGAGCTTGTTTTCTAATATATTGAGTTAGTAACAAAGTAGGAGAGCAAATTATAATAAGCAGCATCTACTTTGGTTCCTGGATGTAGAGCACGAAGTCAGTTTTGAAAGTCAGGTTGGTCACTCTGAGTTTAAGATACCCATCTCAGTGACGATATCCAGAAAGCAAGCAAATATGTATTGAGTAGCAATCAGCATATCAGAAATCATGGGAAGACATTAAAGTGATGTTAAACTGCAAACTAAGAAGAGATAAAGAATAAAATGGGGAACCGAAGGAGATAGACACATGAAAAATCCATCAAAAAAGTCAATGAATCCAGGAGCTGATTTTATGAAAAGATTAATAAAATAGACTTCTAGCTGGACTAATAAAGAAGGAAAGAGAGAAGAATCAAATAGACACAATAAAAAATAATAAATGGGATACCATCACTGACCCCACAGAAATACAAATTACCATCAGAGAATACTATAAAAGCCTCTATGAAAATAAACTAGAAAATCTAGAAGGAATGGAAAAATTCCTGGACACATACACCCTCCCAAGACTAAACCAGGAAGTCAAATCCCTGAATAGAACAATCCCAAGTTCTAAAATTGAAGCAGTAATAAATAGCCCACCAATCAAAAAGCCAAGGACCAGACAGATTCGCAGCCAAATTCTACCAGAAGTACAAAGAGGAGCTGGTACCATTCTTTCTGAAACTATTCCAAACAACTGAAAAGGAGGGACTCCTCCCTAAACTCATTTTATGAGGCCAGGATCATCCTGATATTAAAACCTGGCAGAGACACAACAAAAAAATTTCAGGCCAATATCCGTGATGAACATCGATGCAAAGTCCTCAATAAAATACTGGCAAACAAAATTCAGCAGCACATCAAAAAGCTTATCCACCGTGATCAAGTTGGCTTCATCCCTGGCAATGCAAGGCTGGTTCAACATATGCAAGTCGATAAATGAAATTCATCACATAAACAGAACTAATGAAAAAAAACACACACACATGATTATCTCAATAGAAACAGAAAAGGTCTTCAATAAAATTCAACATCTCTTCATGTTAAAAACTCTCAATAAACTAGATACTCACAGAACATTATCTCATGACAAATCCCCAGCTAATATCATACAGAAAGGGCAAAAGCTTGAAGTATTCCCTTTGAAAACTGGCACAAGACAAGGAAGCCCTCTTTCACCACTCCTGTTCAACACAGTATTGGAATTTCTGGCCAAGGCAATCAGACAAGAGAAAGAAACAAAAGGTAGTTGTCTCTGTTTGCAGATGACACAATCCTATATCTAGAAAACCCCATCGCCTCAGCCCAATAGCTCCTTAAGCTGATAAGCAACTTCAGCTAAGTCTCAGGATAGAAAATCAACGTGCAAAAATCACAAGCATTCCTATACACCAACAATAGACAAGCAGAGAGCCAAATCATCAGTGAACTCCCATTCACAATTGCTACAAAAAGAATAAAATACCTAGGAATTCAGCTAACAAGGGAGGTGAAGGACCTTTTCAAGGAGAACTACAAACCACTGCTCAAAGAAATAAGAAAGAACCCAAGCAAATGAAAAATCATTCCATGCTTGTGGATAGAAAGAATCAGTATCATGAAAATGGCCATACTGCCCAAAGGAATTTACAGATTCAATGCTATTCCCATCAAACTTCCATTGACATTCTTCATAGAATTAGAAAAAACTACTTTAAAATACATATGGAACCCAAAAAGAGCCTACATAGCCAAGACAATCCTAAGCAAAAAGAACAAAACTGGAGGCATCGTGCTACCTGACTGCAAACTATACTACAAGGCTACAGTAGCCAAAAGAGCATGGTACTGGTACAAAAACAGACACATAGACCAGTGGAACAGAATAGAGATCAGAGAAATAAGTCCACATATCTACAATCACCTGATCTTCAACGAACCTGACAAAAACAAGCAATGGGGAAAGGATTCCCATTTAATAAGTGATGCTGGGAAAATTGGCTAGCCAAATACAGAAAACTGAAACTAGACCCTCCCCTTATGCCTTATACAAAAACTAACTCAAGATGGATTAAAGACTTAAATGTAAAACTCAAAACCATAAAAACCTTAGAAAAAAATTTAGGCAATACAATTCAGGACATAGGCATGGGCAAAGATTTTATGATGATATCTGCAAAAGCAATTGCAACAAAAGCAAAAATTGACAAATGGGATCTAATTAAACTAAAGAGCTTCTGCACAGCAAAAGAAACTATCATCACAGTGAACAGGCAACCTACAGAATGGGAGAAAATGTTTGCAGTCTACCCACCTGACAAAGATATAATATCCAGAATCTACAAGGAACTTAAATAAATTGACAAGAAAAAACAAACCCATCAAAAAGTGAGCAAAGTACATGAACAGACACTTCTCAAAAGAATACATTTAGTGGCCAATAGGTATATATTAAAAAAGCTCAACATCGTTAGATAAATGCAAATCAAAGCCATAATGAGATACTATCTCATGCCAGTCTGAATGGCAGTTGTTAAAAAGGCAAAAAACAACAGATGCTGACGAGGTTGTGGAGAAAAAGAACACTTTTACACTCTTGGTGGCAGTGTAAATTAGTTCATCCATTGTGGAAAACAGTGTGGCGTTTCCTCAAAGACCTAGAACCAGAAATACCATTTGACCCAGAAATCCCATTACTGGGTATATACCCAAAGGAATATAAATCATTCTATTATAAAAATATATGCAGGCATATGTTTATTGCAGCACTATTCACAATAGCAAAGACATAGAATCAACCCAAATGCCCATCAGTGACAGACTGGATATAGAAAATGGGGCACATATACACCATGGAACAATATGCAGCCATAAAAAAAGGATGCGTTCATATCTTTGCAGTGACATGGATGAAGCTGGAAACCATCATTCTCAGCTGACTAACACAGGAACAGAAAACCAAACACCACATGTTCTCACTCATAAGTGGGAGTTTAACAATGAGAACACACAGACACAGAGAGGGGAACAACAAACACAGCTGGGCCTGTCAGGTGGTGAGAGGAGGCAGAGTATCAGAATAAATAACTAATGCATTCAAGGCTTAATAACTAGGTGATGGGTTGACAGGTGAGGCAAATCACCATGGCATACGTTTACCTATGTAACAAACCTGCATGTCCTGTACATGTATCCTGGAACTTAGAATAAAATTTTAAAAAAGAATGAATTGGAAACCTGGAAGATCAGAACAATTAAGGAATAGATTATTAAAAGTCAATTGAGTTTACTGAAAAGGAAGTAATATGAGAGGCAAGAGTAGACGTTGTCTGAGGGAGGTCATCACTATAAGTTCTGTACATGTCAAAAGGATAAATTTGTAAGAAAAAAACGTGAGATATTGTAACCAGAACAGTATTGTTGACCACTGAAAGTGATTTTAACAAAGAGGTGAACTCAAACTTCTGCACTTTGAGGAACAGCTAAGGGACTGAAGTGAACAGCAGTAATAACAAATTTAATCATTGTCAAGAGGCTGGTGGTAAATAGAAATCAAGCAAGCAAATTTTTGAACAAGTGTAGGACAACTGAAGCTAGTTCAGTGTCTAATTAATTTATTTTTTTAATTAAATTATTCCTTTGGGTATATATCCAGTAATGAGATTTCTGGATCAAATGGTATTTCTGGTTCTAGGTCTATGAGGAAACGCCACACTGTTTTCCACAATGGGTGAACTAATTTACACTGCCACCAAGAGTGTAAATAATTTTATTTAAAAATAAAATTACCTTAAATGATTTTATTTGAAAATAAAATTATCTTTAAATGATTTTATTTGAAAATAAAATTATCTTTAAATGATTTTATTTGAAAATAAAATTATCTTTAAATGATTTTATTTGAAAATAAAATTACCTTAAATGATTTTATTTGAAAATAAAATTATCTTTAAATGATTTTATTTGAAAATAAAATTATCTTTAAATGATTTTATTTGAAAATAAAATTATCTTTAAATGATTTTATTTGAAAATAAAATTATCTTTAAATGATTTTATTTGAAAATAAAATTATCTTTAAATGATTTTATTTGAAAATAAAATTATCTTTAAATGATTTTATTTGAAAATAAAATTATCTTTAAATGATTTTATTTGAAAATAAAATTATCTTTAAATGATTTTATTTGAAAATAAAATTATCTTTAAATGATTTTATTTGAAAATAAAATTATCTTTAAATGATTTTATTTAAAAATAAAATTATCTTTAAATGATTTTATTTAAAAATAAAATTATCTTTAAATGATTTTATTTAAAAATAAAATTATCTTTAAATGATTTTATTTAAAAATAAAATTATCTTTAAATGATTTTATTTAAAAATAAAATTATCTTTAAATGATTTTATTTAAAAATAAAATTATCTTTAAATGATTTTATTTAAAAATAAAATTATCTTTAAATGATTTTATTTAAAAATAAAATTATCTTTAAATGATTTTATTTAAAAATAAAATTATCTCCTGGCTAACACGGTGAAACCCCGTCTCTACTAAAAATACAAAAAATTAGCCGGGCGTGGTAGCGGGCGCCTGTAGTCCCAGCTGCTCGGGAGGCTGAGGCAGGAGAATGGCGTGAACCCGGGAGGCGGAGCTTGCAGTGAGCCGAGAACGCGCCACTGCACTCCAGCCTGGGCGACAGAGCGAGACTCCGTCTCAAAAAAAAAAAAAAAAAAAAAAAAAAAAATCTTTAAATAATTTTATTTAAAAATAAAATTATCTTTAAATAATTTTATTTAAAAATAAAATTATCTTTAAATAATTTTATTTAAAAATAAAATTATCTTTTAAATTTTGTATAATTTTACATTATGAGAGAGAGTCAGTTATGTTCAAAACATGAAGAGAAGGAATCAAAATGGGGGAATAGAAGAGCATTAGAGATAATATGGAAACGTGGAGTCAGTAATGGGGCAAAGACATAAAAAACTGATGTGGATGAAGAGACCATTTTCTTTGACAGGAATAATAAAAGTAAAAATTTGTAAAAGTATAGTTTAGTGTGGAGAAGATAAGAAGAAATTTGAGCAAGCCAATGTTATCTGATCGAGACCAAAAATTCATCTTTTGATAGTGAAGACTCAAGGATAAACTGAAAATCTTAAAGAAAATGGTAATGGGCCAGGTGCAGTGGCTCATGCCTGCAATCCCAGCACTTTGGGAGGCCGAGGTGGGTGGAACACAAGGTCAGGACATCAGGACCATCCTGGCCAACATGGTGAAATCCCATGTCTACAAAAATACAAAACTTAGCTCAGCGTGGTGGCATGTGCTTGTAATCCCAGCTACTTGTAAGGCTGAGGCAGAAGAATCGCTTGAACCTAGGAGGTGGAGGTTGCAGTGACCCAAGATAGCACCACTGCACTCCAGCCTGGTGACAGAGCAAGACTACATCTAAAAAAAAACAAAAACAGAGCCCTCAGAAATAATGCCGCATATCTACAACTATCTGTTCTTTGACAAACATGAGAAAAACAAGCAATGGGGAAAGGATTCCCTATTTAATAAATGGTGCTGGGAAAACTGGCTAACCATATGTAGAAAGCTGAAATTGGATCCCTTCCTTACACCTTATACAAAAATTAATTCAAGATGGATTAAAGACTTAAATATTAGGCCTGAAACCACAAAAACCCTAGAAGAAAACCTAGGCATTACCATTCAGGACATAGGCATGGGCAAGGACTTCATGTCTAAAACACCAAAAGCAATGGCAACAAAAGCCAAAATTGACAAATGGGATCTAATTAAACTAAAGAGCTTCTGCACAGCAAAAGAAATTATCATCAGAGTGAATGGGCAACCTACAGAATGGGAGAAAATTTTTGCAATCTATCCATCTGACAAAGGGCTGCTATCCAGAATCTACAAGGAACTTGAACAGATTTACAAGAAAAAAACAAATAACCCCATCAAAAATTGGGCAAAGGATATGGGCAGACACTTCACAAAAGAGGACATTTATGTGACCAAAAAACATATGAAAAGAAGCTCTTCATCACTGGTCATTAGAAAAATGCAAATCAAAACCACAATGGGATGCCATCTCATGCCACTTACAATGGTGATCATTGAAGGGTCAGGAGATGGCAGATGCTGGAGAGGATGTGGAGAGGTAGGAATGCTTTTACACTGTTGGTGGGAGTGTAAATTAGTTCAACCATTGTGGAAGACAGTGTGGTGATTCCTCAAGGATCTAGAACCAGGAATACCATTTGACCCAGCAATCCCATTACTGTGTATATACCCAAAGGATTATAAATCATACTGCTATAAAGACACATGCACACACATGTTTATTGCGGCACTATTCACAATAGCAAAGACTTGCAACCAACCCAAATGTCCAACAATGATAGACTGGATTAAGGAAATGTGGCACATACACACCATGGAATACTATGCAGCCATTAAAAATGATGAGTTCATGTCCTTTGTAGGGACGTGGATGAAGCTGGAAACCATCATTCTCAGCAAACTATCGCAAGGACAAAAAACCAAACACCGAATGTTCTCACTCATAGGTGGGAATTGGACAATGAGAACACATGGACACAGGAAGGGGAACATCACACACTGGTGCCTGTTGTGGGGTGGGGGGAGGGGGGAGGGATAGCTTTAGGAGATATACCTAATGTTAAAGGACAAGTTAATGGGTGCAGCACACCAGCATGGCACATGTATACATATGTAACTAACCAGCACATTGTGCACATGTACCCTAAAACTTAAAGTATAATAATAATAAAATAAAATAAATAAATAAATAAATACAAACAAAAAAAAAAAACAGAAAAGAAAATGGTAATGGTGTGGCTGGCAAGATGAATGAAAAGGAACAGCTCCGGTCTGCAGTTCCCAGCAAGATCAATGCAAAAGGAAGGTGATTTCTGTATTTCCAACTGGGGTACCCAACTCATCTCATTGGGACTGGTTAGACAGTGGGTGTAGCCCACAGAGGGTGAGCGGAAGCAGGGTGGGGAGTCACCTTACCCGGGAAGTACAAGGGGTCAGGGAACTCCCTCCTCTAGCTAAGGGAAGCTGTGAAGGACTATGATGTGAGGAATGGTGCGTTCCAGCCCAGATACTGTGCTTTTCCCACAGTCTTCCCAAACTGCAGACCAGGAGATTCACTTGGGTGCCTACACCACCAGGGCCCTGGGTTTCAAGCACAAAACCGGGTGGCCCTTGGGGCAGACACTGAGCTAGCTGCAGGAGATTTTTTTTTTTTGTACCCAGTGGTACCTGGAATGCCAGTGAGACAGAACCATTCACTCCCCTGGAAAGGCAGCTGAAGCCAGGGAGCCAAGTGGTCTAGCTCAGTGGATCCCACTGCCAGGGAGCCTAGCAAGCTAAGATCCACTGGCTTGAAATTCTCACTCCCAGCACAGCAGTCTGAAGTCGACCTGGGATGCTTGGTCTTGGTTGGGGGAGGGGTGTCCCCTATTACTGAGGCTTGAGTAGGCAGTTTTCCGCTCATAGTGTAAACAAAGCCACCGGGAAATTCGAACTGGACAGAGCCCAGTGAAGCTGCCACAAAGCCACTGTAACCAGACTGCCTCTCTAGATTCCTGCTCTCTGGGCAGGGCATCTCTGAAAGAAAGGAAGCAGCCTGAGTCAGGGGCTTATAGATAAAACTCCCATCTACCTGGGACAGAGTACCTGTGGGAAGGGTCAGCTGTGGGTGCAGCTTCAGCAGACTTAAATATTCCTGCCTGCTGGCTCTGAAGAGAGCAGCAGATCTCCCAGCACAGCACTTGAGCTCTGCTAAGGGACAGACTGCTTCCTTAAGTGGGTCCCTGACCCCCATGCCTCCTGACTGGGAGACACCTCCCAGTAGGGATCATACAGGAAAGCTCCAGCTGGCATCTGGCAGGTGCCCCTCTGGGATGAAGCTTTCAGAGGAAGGAACAGGCAGCAATCTTTGCTGTTCTGCAGCCTCAGCAGCTGATACCCAGGCAAACAGTGTCCAGAGTGGACCTCCAGCAAACTCCAGCAGACCTGCAACAGGGAGGCCTGACTGTCAGAAGGAAAACTAACAAACAGAAAGGAATAGCATCAACATCAACAAAAAGTATGTCAACACAAAAACCCCATCCGAAGGTTACCAGAATGAATGAGCAAAGGTAGATGAATCCAAAAAGATGAGGAAAAACCAGCGCAAAAGGGCTGAAAATTCCAAGAACCAAAACTCCTCTCTCCTCCAAAGGATCACAACTTCTCACCAGCAAGGGAACAAAACTGAACAAAGAATGAGTTTGACAAATTGACAGAAGAAGGATTCAGAAGGTGGGAAATAACAAACTGCACCAAGCTAAAGGAGCATGTTCTAATCCAATATAAGGAAGCTAAGAACCTTGAAAAAAGGTTAGAGGAATTGCTAACTAGAATAATCAGTTTAGAGAAGAACATAAATGACCTGATGAAGCTGAAAAACACAGCATGAGAACTTCATGAAGCCTACACAAGTATCAATAGCCTAATCGATCAAGCAGAAGAAAGGATATCACAGACTGAAGATCAACCTAATGAAATAAAGTTTGAAGACAAATTAGAGAAAAAGAATAAAAAGGAATGAACAAAGCCTCCAAGAAATACAGGACTATGTGAAAAGACCAAATCTATGTCTGATTGGTGTACCTGAATGTGATGGGGAGAATGGAACCAAGCTGGAAAACACTATTCAGGATATTATCCAAGAGATCTTCCTCAACCTAGCAAGAGAGGGCAACTTTCAAACTCTGAAAATACAGAGAACACCATGAAGATACTCTTTGAGAAGAGCAACCCCAAGACACATAATTGTCAGATTCACCAAGGTTAAAATGAAGGAAAAAATGTGAAGGGTCCCCAGAGAGAAAGGTCAGGTTACCCACAAAGGGAAGCCCATCAGACTAACAGCAGAGCTCTCAGCAGAAACCCTACAAGCCAGAAGAGAGTGGGGGCCAATATTCAACATTCCTAAAGAAAAGAATTTGCAACCCAGAATTTCATATCCAGCCAAACTAAGCTTCATAAGCGAAAGACAGACAAGCAAATGCGGAGAGATTTTGTCATCACCAGGCCTGCCTTACAAGAGCTCCTGAAGGAAGCACTAAACATGAAAAGAAAAAACAAGTACCAGCCACTGCAAAAATATACCAAATTGTAAAGACCATCGGCACTATGAAGAAACTGCATCAACTAATGGGCAAAATGATCAGCTAGCATCATAATGACAAGATCAACTTTACACAAAACAATATTAACCTTAAATATAAATCGGTGCAATTCCCCAATTAAAAGACACAGACTGGCAAATTGGATAAAAAGTCAAGACCAATGATGTGCTGTATTCAGGAGACCCATCTCACATGCAAACATGCATACAGGCTCAAAATAAAGGGATGGAGGAATATTTACCAAGCAAATGGAAAGCAAAAAAAAAGCAGGGATTGCAAAGCTAGTCTCTGAAAAAACAAACTTTAAACCAACAGAGATCAAAACAGACAAAGAAGGGCATTACATAATGGTAAACAGATCAATGCAACAAGAAGAGCTAACTATCTTAAATATATATGCACGCAAGACAGGAGCACCCAATTCATAAAGCAAGTTCTTAGAGATCTACAAAGAGACTTACACTCCCACACAATAATAGTGGGAGCCTTTAATACCCCACTGTCAATATTAGACAGATCAACAAGACAGAAAATTAACAAGGATATTCAGGACTTGAACACAGCTCTGGACCAAGTGGACCTAATAGACATCTACAGAATTCTTCACCCTAAATCAACAGAGTATACATTCTTCTCAGCACCACATCTCACTTTTTCTAAAATTGACCACATAATTGGAAGTAAAACACTCTTCAGCAAATGCTAAAGAACAAAAATCATAACAAATGGTATGTCAGACCACAGTGCAACCAAATTAGAACTCAGGCTTAAGAAACTCACTCAAAACTGCACAACTACATGGAAACTGAAAAACCTTCTCCCGAATGACTACTGGGTAAATAAGAAAATTAAGGCAGAAATCAATAAGTTACTTGAAGCCAATGAGAACAAAGATACAATGTGCCAGAATCTCTGGGACACAGCTAAAGGAGTTTTTAGAGGGAAATTTGTAGCACTAAATGCCCACAGGAGAAAGCAGGAAAGATCTAAAATCAGCACCCTAACAACACAATTAAAAGAACTGCAGAAGCAAGAGCAAACAAATTCAAAAGCTGGCAGAGGGCAAGAAATAACTAAGATCAGAGCAGAACTGAAGGAGATGGAGACACAAAAAAAAAACCCTTCAAAAAAATAAATGAATCCAAGAGCTGTTTTTTTTTAAGATTAACAAAATTGATAGATGGCTAGCCAGACTAATAAAGAAGAAAAGAGAGAAGAATCAAATAGACACAATAAAAAAATGATAAAGGGGATATCACCACTGATCCCACAGAAAAACAAACTACCATCAGAGAATAATATAAACACCTCTATGCAAATAAACTAGAAAATCTAGAAGAAATGGATAAATTCCTGAACACACACACCCTCCCAAGATTAAACCAGGAAGAAGTCAAACACCTGAATAGACCAATAACTAGCTCTGAAATTGAGGCAGTAATTAATAGCCTACCAACCAAAAAAAGCCCAGGACCAGATGGATTCACAGCCAAATTCTACCAGAGGTACAAAGAGGAGCTGGTACCATTCCTTCTCAAACTATTACAAACAATAGAAAAATATGTACTCCTCCCTAACTCATTTTATGAGGCCAGCATCATCCTGATACCAAAACCTGGCAGAAACACAACAAAAAAAAGAAAATTTCAGGTCATATCCCTAATGAACATTGATGCGAAAAACCTCAATAAAATACTGAGAAACCAAATCAACAGCACATCAAAAAGCTTATCTACTATGATCAAGTTGGCTTCATCCCTGGGATGCAAGCCTGGTTCAACATATGCAAATCAATAAATGTAATCCAGCATATAAACAGAACCAATGATAAAAACCACATGATCATCTCAATAGTTGCAGAAAAGGCCTTCGATAAAATTCAACACTCCTTCATGGTAAATACTCTCAATAAACTAGGTATTGATGGAACGTATCTCAAAATAATAAGAGCTATTTATGACAAACCCACAGCCAATATCACACTGAATGGGCAAAAACTGGAAGCATTCCCTTTGAAAACTGACACAAGACAAGGATGTCCTCTTTCACCACTTCTATTCAACGTAGTATTGCAAGTTCTGGCCAGGGAAATCAGGCAAGAGAAAGAAATAGAGTATTCAAATAGGAAGAGAAGAAGTCAAATTGTCTTTGTTTGCAGATGACATGATTGTATATTTAGAAAACCCCATCATCTCAGCTCAAAACCTCCTTAAGCTGATAAGCAATATCAGCAAAGTCTCAGGATATAAAAACAATGTGCAAAAATCACAAGCATTCCTATACACCAATAATAGACAAACAGAGTGACAAATCATGAGTGAACTCCAATTCACAGTTGCTACAAAGATAATAAAATACCTAGGAATACAACTTACAAGAAATGTGAAGGACATCTTCAAGGAGAACTACAAACCACTGCTCAAGGAAATAAGGGAAGACACAAACAAATGGAAAAACATTTCATGCTCATGGATAGGAAGAATCAATATCGTGAAAACGTCCATACTGCCCAAGGTAATTTATAGATTCAATGCTATCCCCATCCATCTACCACTGACTTTTTTCACAGAATTAGAAAACACTACTTTAAATTACATATGGAACCAAAAAAAGAGCCTGTATAGCCAAGACAATCCTAAGCAAAAAGAGGCATCATGCTACCTGACTTCAAACTATACTACAAGGCTACAGTAACCAAAACAGCAGGATACTGGTACCAAAACAGATATATAGAACAATACAACACAACAGAGGCCTCAGAAATAACACCACACATCTACAACCATCTGATCTTTGACAAACCTGACAAAACGAAGCAACGGGGAAAGGATTCCCTATTTAATAAATGGTGCTGGGAAAACTGGCTAGCCATATGCAGAAAACTGAAACTGGACCCCCTCCTTACACTTTATAGAAAAAATTAACTCAAGATAGATTGCAGACTTAAATGTAAACCCTAAAACTATAAAAACCCTAGAAGAAAACCTAGGCAATACCATTCAGGACACAGGCATGGGCAAAGACTTCATGACTAAAACACCAAAAGCAATGACAACATAAGCCAGAATTGACAAATCAGATCTAGTTAAACTAAAGAGCTTCTGCACAGCAAAAGAAATTATCATCAGAGTGAATGGGCAACCTACAGAATGGGAGAAAATTTGTGCAGTCTATCCATCTGACAAAGGGCTGCTATCCAGAATCTACAAGAAACTTGAACAGATTTACAAGAAAAAAACAAACAACCCCATCAAAAATTGGGCAAAGGATATAGGCAGACACTTCACAAAAGAGGACATTTATGTGACCAAAAAACATATGAAAAGAAGCTCTTCATCACTGGTCATTAGAAAAATGCAAATCAAAACCACAATGGGATGCCATCTCATGCCACTTACAATGGTGATCATTGAAGGGTCAGGAGATGGCAGATGCTGGAGAGGATGTGGAGAGGTAGGAATGCTTTTACACTGTTGGTGGGAGTGTAAATTAGTTCAACCATTGTGGAAGACAGTGTGGTGATTCCTCAAGGATCTAGAACCAGGAATACCATTTGACCCAGCAATCCCATTACTGGGTATATACCCAAAGGATTATAAATTATTCTACTATAAAGACACATTTACATGTATGTTTATTGCAGTAATATTCACAATAGCAAAGACTTGGAACCAACCCAAATACCCATCAATGATAGACTGGATAAAGAAAATATGCCACATATACACCATGGAATACTATGCAGCCATGAAAAAGGATGGGTTCATGTCCTTTGCAGGGACATGGATATAGCTGGAAATCATCATTCTCAGCAAACTAACATAGGAAGAGAAAACCAAACACTGCATGTTCTCACTCATAAGTGGGAGTTGAACTGTTAGAATACATGGACACAGGGTGGGGAACATCACTCACCAGGGCCTACCAGGGGGTGGAGAGCAAGGGGAGGGATAGCATTAGGAGAAATACCTAATGTAGATGACGAGTTAATGGATGCAGAAAACCACCATGGCATGTGTATACCTATGTAACAAACCTGCACATTCTGCACATGTATCCCAGAACTTAAAGTATAATTAAAAAAAAAAAGAAAGAAAGAAAAGAAAACGGTAATGGTTCCTGTGAGAAACAGGAAAAGGAATTGACTGGGGATTAAGTTGCTAAGCAAAGGTGTTCTTAAAACGGCCAAAAGAAGAGGTGAATAGAAGTCAATCACTTTAGTAGGAAGATCAAGTTTATCTCAGACCTATTGGTTGAAATTAGATCCAAAAAGGCAGATAACTCTGAATCATGGGAATGTCAAAAATCTTTTTTTCTTTTTCTTTTTTTTTTGGTGGGGGGGGACGGAGTCTCGCTGTGTCGCCCAGGCTGGAGTGCAGTGGCGTGATCTCAGCTCACTGCAAGCTCCACCTCCCGGGTTCACACCATTCTCCTGCCTCAGCCTCCCGAGTAGCTGGGACTACCAGTGTCTGCCACCATGCCCAGCTAACTTTTTGTATTTTTTTAGTAGAGACAGGGTTTCACTATGTCAGCCAGGATGGTCTCGATCTCCTGACCTCGTGATCCGCCCGCCTCGGCCTCCCAAAGTGCTGGGATTACAGGCGTGAGCCACCGCGCCCGGCCTGGGAATGTTAAAAATCTTAAAAGCAATGTTTTCTTATTTCCCAAATACCATCAATTACAAGGCATATTATCAATTAAATGACAAGTTTAAAGGATAAAACAAATTTTAACTATGTCGGGCAAAATTATTTTATAATGAAAGACTCAATCATATTCTAGAAACATTAAAATATGGAAATACATTTGAAGAAATACACTTATCATCTTAAGAGACAAGTTTTCTCTTTCAATCCCTTTATATTCTCAACAGACTTAGAGTAGGATCTTCCTAAATTTGTTGTGATATATAAGTTTTTGCTGACTGTTAAGTTTTCATTGCAATGAAATAAGGTCCTAGTGGTAACTAACAATGAATAGAATGGAAAAGAAAAGGTTATTTCTCCTAGCGTAGAGTGACATGGAGATGTTTCAAAGCTCATTTGGAACTCTGATAACCTGAGATTTGTGATCCTGTAGTTGTAGCATTAAAAGAAAGTTGATTTTTCACAATGCATACGAAAAGACTTAACTAAGTAATAGTGCAAATATCATTGCAAGAAAAATGCTGTACCTAAGTGAGCAAAGAAAATTTTTAAATACATTAGAAGTAATAACAAATATGAAAACATATTACATTTAATTACAGTCCATGGCATCTATTCATTAAGACCATTTTTAAGGTGTCACTATTGGACATTACTTTGGTGTTCTAAATTAAGATAGTACAGTAATGATTTACTTTAAAGTACCAAAACAATTTTCTTAAAGTTTTCTATGATTGAGGCTATTCTTTATTTTGGAGGCTCTTCCCCTGGATTATTCTGCATTAATAAGGTAAGCGCTGCCTGGGCATCTCAGTGTTTCTAACAGCTCCCTCCTGGGCCTTCTCCCAGTTCCTTCCATTCCATGGTCCAATCCAAAAGCTCTCAGGTTTGGCTGGAAGCTCTGGTATATCCTATAGCCTCATATCTAGACTCTGCCTCTCAACCTCATCCCTTTGGAAAGATGCCTTATTTGAACTATCTGCCTCAAATTTCATTTTCACATTTGCTTCCTCAAAAGTATATTTTATGTCACGTTGGATGTCATTATCTGGTGTCCTCAAATCAGTCCTGTGGATCTGTTATGCCCAGACCTGAGGCACAGCCCAGGCCTCTGAAGCTCAGTTGAACTCTGAGCTCCATAAGAATAAATATCATGCTGGTATGTATGAGGAACTCACTTAATAATGCATTAGTTAAGAAATATTCTAGTCCAGACCCCAAAACCAGTGTATCTGTTTGTTGTGGGGAGAAATTTACACAAGTTCCTCCTTTACTAGACTACCTTGCATCTGATACAGAATCAATGTTGCCTTATGTGCCTATAAAATGACATACAAGGAGAGTAACACCAATTTCTAGCTTCCAGTAACTCCAGAAAAAATCTAAAGTTTTAGATGTCTGATGTCAATTGACAACTATGGCTGAAAGCCATTTCCAAGTGACAAGGATGTTGGAGTTGCTATAAGATCAGAACAGCTAGTTAGTCCCCCTGTTTGTGTGACGTGAAAGGTAATTTGTGGGAAATAAATCCTGCTCTTAGATATTTATGTCCTGAATTATCATTGTAAGTCACAATTGAAGCCTTTAAAGTTTCTCCAGCAAAAGTTTCCTGGAATTTTTCAAAAAATTCAGTTTAATTTAAGATAGAATTTAGCATCTTCAATGAACTTTTTAAAAAGGGAAGGAGTTATGTAATTTAATGCTCAGAAACTGATGAGTGCTGTACTTCCAAGAAAGTATAGCTCTTCTGATGAGTCTGACAAGAAGTACCATGATAGAAATTGGTACCTGAAAATGTGGTTAGCAAAACAGAGTGCAACTATATTTCTTCCCCCCAAAGAATGTCATCTCCATCTGGAGCCTAGAAATGCGAGCTCTTCGTGGAGAATATGTTTTTGAAGAGCACAACAATCAGGGTAAATGTCATCCTCATTAATCATCCTCTGATATAATAGAGTCAACTGTAAAAAGTGTATTAAGTCTAATTTCCTGAGAAGGTGAAGGGAACCGTGAAGCTTAAGCAACTGTAAGACCTAAATGTTAACTTAAGCAAGTCTCTTTCATCATGTGCCGCAGAGTGTTATTGGAGTTCCTGCAACTTCCTCATTTTATCTCCATCTCTCCTCCCCCTCCCCGCCACACATTCTGTGGAAGAACAAAAGCAAGGGGAAAATTGGCAATGGCTCTTAAATGAAAAGTCTACTTTAGACTGAAAAGAGCAGTCCAAATACATTCTTCTTATCAAACAGGATTTGCTTTCAATCTATCAAAAGCACTATAAATATCACTTAAAAAATAACCTATGACAAGGCTGTGCGCAGTGGCTCACCCCTGTAATCACAGCACTTTGGGAGGCTGAGGCAAGTAGACCACTGGAGACCACAAGTTCGAAACCAGCCTGGGCAACATGGTGAAACCTGTCTCTACTAAAAATACAAAAATTAGCTGGGCGTGGTGGTGCGCACCTGTAATCCCAGCTACTCGGAGGCTGAGGCACCAGAATTTCTTGAGCCTGGGAGGCTGAGGTTGCAGTGAGCCGAGATCGTGCCACTGCACTGCAGCCTGGGTGATAGAGTTAGACTCTATCTCAAAAACTAATAATAATAATAACCTATGACAAATTGTTATTAGCATAATCTCTTCTGATTTTCACAGAAAAATATTCTAGTGCAACATATAAGGGTTTCAGAGAACTTGGAAATGAATCTTTAATTCACTGACAGTGTTTTATAGACAAAATTACAAGTTTTATTTAAGATCTTTTACAATCATCTTAAATAGCAAGACAATTGAAACAGATACATTACTGGCTTGATAATTTTAAGTGAAGTGGGGTGGTTAATTTTATGTAACAACTTGACTAGTCTGAAGGATGTCCAGATAGCTGGTAAAACATTATTTCTGGATGTATCTGTGTCATCTTTTCTTTTCTTTTTTTTTTTTTTTTTTTTTTTTTGAGACAGAGTCTCACTCTGTCCCCCAGGCTGGCGTGCAGTGGCACAATCTCAGCTCACTGCAAGCTCCGCCTCCCGGGTTCACGGCATTCTCCTGCCTCAGGCTCCCGAGTAGCTGGGACTACAGGCGCCCGCAACCACACCAGGATAATTTTTTGTATTTTTAGTAGAGACGGGATTTCACCGTGTTAGCCAGGATGGTCTTGATCTCCTGACCTCGTGATCCGCCTGCCTCGGCCTCCCAAAGTGCTGGGATTACAGGCATGAGCCACTGTGCCTGGCCTCTGTGTCATCTTAAAGACAATATTATTTGAGTCAGTATACTGAGCACCACAGTCTGAATGTTCGTCACCCCCACAAATAAAAATAAATAAAAATAAAAAATAAAAAAAAGATGTGATGAGATCCTAACCCCCAAGGTGACTGTGTTAAGAAGTGGGGTTTTTCAGGAGGTGATTAGGTCATGAGAGCGAGGCCTTCATAATGAGATTAGTGCCCTTATACAGGTACAAGGGAGCTTCTTCAATCCCTTCCAACATGTGAGGACACAGCAAGAAGGTGCCATTCTATGAACTAAGCAGTGGGCCCTCACCGGACACCAAATCTGCCAGCATCTTGATCTTGGAATTTTCAGCTTCCAGAACCATGAAAAATAGATTTCCATTGTTTATATGCCACCAAGTTCATGGTATTTTGTTGCAGAATCTCAGATAGACACTGAGTAAAGAAGATTCTCCCTCACCACTATGGGTGCGGATCATCCAATCAGTTGGGGGCCTGAATAGAACAAAAGATGGAAGAAAGGCAAATTCTCTCTCTCTCCTTGAGCTGGAACATCCATCTTCTCTTGACCTTGGACACTAGAATTCCTGGTTCTCGTGTCTTCAGACTCCAGGGTTTGTACCAGTGGGGCCTCTGAGATTCTCAAGCCTTTAAGCTCAGACTAAATTACACCACTGGCTTTCCTTGTTCCCTAGACTGCAGATGGCAGATTGTGGGACCTCTCAGTCACCATAATAGTGTGAGCCAATTCCCATAATAAATTTTCTCTTACATGTATCTCTAACCTATTTGTTCTGTTTTTCTGAAGAACCGTGACTAATACAAACAGCTACTGGTTATTTACTTAAAGTAAAATCAATTGAAATGCTAGTATGAGAGAGAATAACAGATTGAAAAATGAACAAAGCAAAGATGCACTTTTAAGACCCAAAACACACACACACACACACACACACACACACTTCCAAGAACACCAACAACAGAAATCCTTATTATAGTGCAATCAATAAAAATCTCTAACAGTCTCAATAAAATACATTTTTGTTTTGCAAGCTTTTTCTGTAAAGGACCAGAAAGTAAATATTTTAGGTTTTCTGGGCAATACATTCTCTCACAATTAGTCAACTCTGTGTTGTGGTGTGAAAGCAGCCACAGACATAGTCAACCAAAAGGATGTAGCTATGTTTTAAAAATCTTTATTTGCGGCTGGGCGCGGTGGCTCACGCCTGTAATCCCAGCACTTTGGGAGGCCAAGGCAGGTTGATCACAAGGTCAAGAGATCAAGACCATCCTGGCAAACCTGGTGAAAACCACGTCTGTACTAAAAATACAAAAAATTAGCTGAGCATGGTGACACGCACCTGTAGTCCCAACTATTCAAGAGGCTGAGGCAGGAAGATTGCTTGAACGTGGGAGGCGGAGGTTGCAGTGAGCCAAGATTACGCCACTCACTGCACTCCAGCCTGGGAACAGAGCGAGACTCTGTCTCAAAAAAAAAAAAAAAATCTTTATTTGCAAAAATAGGTAGCAGGCTGCATTTAGCCAGTAAACCAGTTTACCAATGCTTGACTCACACTAGTTCTACAGTACATGTAACATGTCAGGCATGCAGAATGCACTTCCTAAAATTTGAATGAATAAATCACTACAATGTGAATAGGACTTTTGAATGAACACATACAAATATATTCATTTCAACAGAGAAGAACTGTATCATGTGGGAGAAGTAAATAATGGAAACTGACTTTTAGAACTGGAAGTAACCTTAGAAATATCTAAATATCAACTCACTAATTTCATGGATGAGGAAGCCCAAGCCAATAGTATTCAAATGGCAGGCACTATGTTACATATACCTTTCTTTAAAATGAAAAAATACATTTCAAAAAAATCCTAAATAACCAAACAAAAAATGCCAAAAATAAGACCTCACTAGATTTAGTGATAAGAATAAGATAAACATTATTGTAGGATTTTATTGTTTGTCATAGTATACGACAAGCAGCAATTTTAACATTCTCTAGTTTTTTTATTGCTCTGTCACAATTTTCCCATAAACCACGTTACTTAGAGAAATAACTTTTTCTAACAAAAATAAACTAAGTTCCTATCTATCAACATTGTGAGGAAAATTGTCAGGCATTGCAGAAAGAAATATAGGCTCAATTTTATTTGAGTAAGGTAAGAACAACTAATATATTACCCATTTCCCCATTACATGACTTCTTTGGTTATCAAACATACAACACTTTATCTACCCTGAATTTACCATACTGTTTCTATAAAGAAGGGCTGCATATAAAATAGAAGATTATACAGACATCTATATTTAAATATATCAATGGAAGGGAAAGAGTTTGTATTTCTATTCAATAGCTACTAAGGAAAGTGAAAAACCTCAGTTTTGTATAAATGAAATATTAGGGTAAATTTAATAATGTATACAAAAACAATACTTTATTATCATTGAATTAGTGTACTGTATTTTAGGGAAGAACAGAGGATGTTCTAAGGAAATGGTTACTGGGGGAGGCATAAAGCATAGCCCAGTGTGGTTAACTACCATCAACTGGTGTATATCAAGTGTTGGCTCTTCTTCCAAATAATTATCACTATTTTACGTTTCCTTCCTTAAAACATTCCTTGTTGTTATAAGATCATGGAAAAAACACACAAGCCAATTCACTGAAAAAAAAAATAAATACATTAAATAGAAAAGATACAAATATGACTAAGTCAAGGTTAAGAATACATGTAAAGTTACATAATCTTATTTATCTGAAAGAGAAGTAGCCCATGAAGATAAAGCATCAGAATTTAATAGAAATAACAGAAGTTTGCCAGTGGTAAACTACCTCGAACCAAACACTTTTTCTTCCTATTCCTCCATTTTTTGGTTTCTGAAATGCAGGTTTGGATGAGGTGTTCTGTAGGTTCCTTAGAGGTCTATAATTTTAAATATGTTTGCTTAAATGCTTTACATTTTCTAAATCATTTTGTAACTAAATTAAACATTACCTGAACCTCAGGGTAATATGAGATCATGCAATGAGGGGACATGAAGCCATTGACCATTTCACACTTATCTTTCATGAGAAAAATGGCTTTTAACCAGAATAAAATTCAACAAGAACCTTTATATCACAAACTGAATGACAACTCAAAATAACATTTAAAAAGCTTTGAATACATTAATCATGTCTGGAGAACTTACTAAGCCAATGCATAATGCTTCTTTTTGTAAGGTAACACAAAATTTTTCTGTTTAATGTTGCCAACGACAGGGCTGACTGCATGATAATTAAATGAAATACTATTAGTTTACCCAGATACTACATTGTCATTATAGATTAGAATACAGGCAGCCCCCAATTTACAGTGGTTCAATTTACTATTTTTCAACTTTATAATGGTGCAAAAGTGATACACATTCAGTAGAAATCTTACTTTAAATATCATTTTTGATGTTTTCCTGGGATGATGTTATGTAGTATGATACTCATGATTCTGGCCAGTTGCAGTGATCCACAGTTCCCAATCAGCCACACAATCATGAGGGTAAACAACTGATATTCCACAGTATACTGAGTTTCCAGCATTGTTTGGATATTGTGTTTTATGTTTTTGCATCCCATCATGTCTAAAATAGGCCAGTCTGTCTCCTGTGTCTGGTGAGAAGTGGAAGGCAATTACTCTTGAGAACTCAAAATAATTGCTCAACAAGGTGGCAAGCCAATAATGGCTACTGCATGTGAGTTAGGACTTTCACAATCCACAATCTCAACCACCTTAAAGGATAAGAAGTGAATCCGTGATGCAGTGAAATCATCAGCATCAGTTAAATGCACTGTTACCACCATTAAAAACCTGGGTCAGTTAATGATATGGAAAAATCACTTGTCATGCGGATAGAAGACAAGATACAGAAGCAAATACCACTTAGCCTACTGCCGATCCAGGTTAAGTCAATAAATCTTTTCAATACATTAAAAGAGCATGTCTACCTGCAAATGTTGACAGCAAGTCAAGGTAAAAGGTATCAGAATTTTCATAATGTGAAGGTCCGTGGCGAGGAAGCAGATGCCAATAATGAAGGTACCGAAGTTTTTAAGGAAGAGTTGCATAGGATACTTGATAAGAAATATTTGCCAGAACAAATATTTGGTGTCAATAAAACAAGCTTGTTCTGGAAGCGTATGCCAGGGCATATATACATTCATCAACAGCCCAAGACAATGCCAAGATTCGAGGCATTCAAAGACCATGCAATGCAATGATGCTTTCGGTTGGAAATGTTGTAGGGTCAAATTAAAGCCTTTACTAATCTACCATTCTCAGAGCCCTAGAGCATTCAAGAATGTAAGTATATTCTTCCTATTTATTATTACCATAACAAGAAAGCCTGGATGATGTTAGCATTGCTTGAAGACTGGTTTTTGAACTGTTTAATTCCATAGGCAAGAGAATACTGTAGGCAAAACAATATCCCATTCAAGATTCTTCTGATCTTAGACAATGCACAGCATATTGGTGATATGCATCCTGATGTAACAAAAAGTTAACTGCTGTCTAACATGACTTCACTCATTCAACCAATGGACAAAATCACAATACTGTATTCAGAGCATACTATCTACACCAAATGTTTGCACAGGCTGCTGAAGTGACTAAATCTGGCCAAACACGGATAGTTTTGGAAAGATTTTAACATTCTAAATGCTATCTGGAACATTGTTGCAACAAGGGAGGATGTCGCACAGCAATGCACCAATGGCATTTGGAAGAAAATTTTGAAGACGTGTGAACACATTCAAAGGCTTTAACAAAGATTCTGCTGTTGATGAAATGGTAAGGAACAAGATTTTAGTGCTTGGGAAGTAGCTAGAATTGGACATTGATGAAGAGGATATTCATGAGTTTGTTGGCATTGGGGCTGAGGGACTGATTGAACTGGAGGAAGAAAGAAGTAAAGAAGTTGAGGCAGAGGAAGAAGTTATATCCAAGGCACCAAGAAAGTTCACAGCAAAGAAACCGGTGTAGGTGTTTGCTACTGTTGGTAGCGGCATATGGACGTTAGAAGAGATGGTTATCAATTCCAAGAGACTCTCAAGAGCTGACAGGCAGATACAGGATATTCTTTCCTCCTATAGAGAAATACACATGCAATGAAAAGAAGAAGCGAGCTATACAATCAAAACTTGATATCTTCCTGAAGAACACTATGCCTGCTAAACTGTAAACATGCTGATGCCCCAGTGACTTCCTCCAGCTAGTCTCAAGCCTCATTGGAAGAGAAAGAAATTGATGACCCTGTTGCTGTAGCATCCCCATCATTTAGCAATTAATCTTGGTTCAATGCTTCATTCTTCAGGCCCAGTGTGCTTTCAGCTGTGTACATTAACGGTAAATACTCATATAACCATTCTGTTTTTTCACTTTCAGCATTTGATAAGTTATATGAAATAGTCAACACTTTATTATAAAATAGGCTTTGTATTAGATGAATTTGCCCAACTGTAGGCTAATGTTAAGTATTCCGAACACATTTGAGGTAGACTATGATGTTTGGTAGGGTTAGGTGTATTAAATGCCTTTTCACTTCATGATATTTTCAACTTACGTTGGGTTTATTGTGATATAACCTCACTATAAATCAGAGAGCTTCTGTACTGTATTTGGACAGTATATTTCTAAAAATGTTTTATTGAGCAAAGTAGCTAAATTCTTTCCTGATAGAAAAGTTACTGCCCTTGTGCCTATGTACTTTTGAATAGACAACTCTGAAAACCAACATGTATCTTCCAAAAGGTTCAATGCTAACAGAATTAGCACACATTTCTAATCCTCACCAATATCAATACAGTCTAAAACTGTTTTCCCTACTCCTTGTAAATTACTATTTTTAGGTGGCTTTTTTACAATTTTATAATCCAGGGCAAAATTTATTATCCATTCATTTTTTTTCATTCATTTGTTCAAGAAATACACAATGAGCATCAACTATGTGCCAGGTATATATAGTTTTCTGGTGTCTTCCAAAACATTCACAAAACTACTTGGGAGAATAAAAAGCTTTTGGTTCAGCTAGAGCTAGATATTTAATCACATAACCATTTGTTCTTCTCCAGTGGTTTTTTTCTTCTTTTTCCATTAGCTGTGCTTTTACCTAATGCTAACTTTAGCTTAATAACTTTAAAACATAGATGGAAAACTGCTCCTCCCTCAA
This sequence comes from Homo sapiens, assembly GCF_000001405.40. Classification (NCBI taxonomy): domain Eukaryota; kingdom Metazoa; phylum Chordata; class Mammalia; order Primates; family Hominidae; genus Homo; species Homo sapiens. The sequence continues at coordinate 83,216,819 of NC_000012.12, read as the reverse complement.
GTGGTGAACCTAAATGTCTTATAGTGCTGGAGACTCTCAATCCTCAGATATATGAAGCTCTCATCTCACTGTTTCTGGCCTTTGAGCCAAGCCTCCCTGTTTTCTAATCCAAAATTCTTAATCTCGGTACTAGAATTCATACTTCTAGAACCCATAGGTATTTATGCCCCTAAAACCTCATAGAAAAGCATTCCACAGAGTATAGTATGCAATGGTAGAGAAGTGGACATTTGAAACGGCAAGGGTGATAATAAAAGCTCATATTAGGTGCATCTCTGTCCCGCACTATACCGAGTTCTTTACACACAGTATTTCATGCAATCTGACAGCTTCTCTGGGGAGAAGTTATAATCACTCTATTTTTTAAAGTGAAAAAGTTGAGGTTCAGAGAAAGTTTCAGAACTAGCACAAATTAGTCAGACTCAGCCCTCTTCTGTTTCAGAGTATTAGAGAAACACAAATAGACCAGGAGAAAAAAAAAAGTAAATCCCCAAAAACACACATATATGCTCCTTCCTTCCCCAGCCTATGTCCAATGAGTACAGGAATCCAGGAATCCAGGAATCCAGTTGCTTTTGCTGCTCACTGAACCCACAGCAATAGCTGGGAAACTTGTAACTATTTCCTAGACATTGTTAAATAAATTATAATTAATTTACAGGCATATTATTCCTCACCACCTTTATAGGGTACCTTTTTTTTTTTTTTTTTTTTTTTTGAGACAGGGCCTCACTTTGTTGCCCAGGCCGGAGTACAGTGACATGATCTTGGCTTACTGCAGCCTTAACCTCCTAGGCTCAAATGATCCTCTCACCTCCTGAGTAGATGAGACTACAGGCGTGTACCACAACGCCCAGCTAATTTTTTTGTATTTTTATAGAGATAGGGTTTCTTCATGTTGCCCATTCTGGTTTCTAATTCCTGGGCTCAAGTGATCCACCTGCCTAGGCCTCTCTAAGAGCTGGGATTACAGGCAAGCGCTACCATGCCTGGCCTACATGGTGCTTTTTAGTGTTCATCACGGATAAAAATAAATAAGACAAATATAAAAATATATAAGGTATGGAAAATTGTATACATATTACAATAAAAATCATTGAGCATTATGAAAAGTAAATACAAGCTTAAATATTTTTAAATGAATATTAATTGGCTTTGACTTCTACATTGCCAGAGAATAATAATGTACAAATACACAAATAAGCAAAAGGAATAAAGGGTTACTGTTAACTAGCTCAGATTTTATTCTTGGCTAATTTCACCAAAATCTTATACTAGTCAGATTTATCACTTAGATGATCTTTCTGATTTAGAGTGGAACAAATTTGTTAGAAAAGGGGTGCTTATGATTCTCATTCTCTTAAAAATGAGAATTCCCTCCCCATGGTGTAGTGAGGTAAAGAATATGTTTAAAAATAGAAATTTGTGCTTACTGAGGTTGAAGATAATTGTCATTTTCCAATGCAACTCTGAATTTTATTTTTAGTACTAGATAATGTTCAAAGTCCCAAACTTTCTAATTAATGTGTGCAGTAATATTGATCTCTAAGCAAAAATAGGAACTGAAAAATGGACAACAGACATTTGGTCTTTCAAACCTAAATAAAACACCACAAATTTGAAATGTACATTAAGATCTCATTGCCAAGAGTCAGCACTCTTAGAAGAGAGGTCATATGGCAAGCAGACATGAGTAAAGCGAAGAAAATAACTCCTTCACCCAAATATTCAGCTGGTTAGGAGGGTTAGAGAATCAGAGGATTCCTGAATACCGACTAGAATAGAGAACTTCTGTATGAGAAGTCCTCTATGAAACAACAGGTGTGCAGGCTGGTTCTTCTTTCCCATTCTTGCCTCTTTCCTTGTCTTCATCACGGGGACTTGGTTCTGTACAATATTGTAAAAATGTAAATAAACATGGGATTTGGAAGTAATCAAACCTACTCATTCTAGGTTTCACCACTTAATATAATTTGACCTGAGGAAAGTACCTTCTTCAAAATTCAATTTCCTCTTTTCAGGAATCTAAATTAGATGACTACAGGTTATTGGGAGGATTTGAAATAATGATTTTAAGTGCCAAGCACTGACATAAAATAGATATTCATAAAGTCATTGAAGTTATTGCCGTTGTTGTCATTACTAGTTCAAAAGCGACAAGAGTTAGTAGCAACATTAGTAGGAAACTATTTAGCTAGAAACATTAGAATGCACTCTCTTTTTGCTATATATAAGGAAACTTTAGTGGAGTTAAACTAACCATCTTCTTTTCCTCCTCATTCTTGTTTATAAAAATTATGGTGTTAGAGCTTTTTATTCATTTTTCTTAGATAATACCCAGATTCCCACAATTGAGCTTGAAAATTAATGACTTAATCACATAGTCTGACATCACTTCTGGTTACTCTGTCCCAGATAATGTGTTGCTGAAGCCAGTTCTTCCATTAGTGATAGATGTGCTGTTCCATGTTCAAAGCCAGTGAGTCACACTCTTCAGTGATTTGCTCTTCAACTGATAGAATGCTACTGACCATGAGCAGTATTTCAAATTCGGTTTTAATTCTAGCTTTTCTTAGACCAAGATTTAATATTTAAACCTGTGGAAAATAGTGACAAAAATAAATAAAACTGGACATTGATGACCACTATTAAGTCTGCCTAGCCAATGCAATAGCAGCTAACTTCTTAAAAACTGGTAAACAATATCTATATTGGATAATGGAACCATGTGGGAGGAACAATTTTAATTAAATTCAACTACCAAATTTAGAAAGTGATAGATTAATGAGACAGAAGGAAATTCCCAATACACATTACTGCAGGGGGCATTTTTTAAAAAGTTGAACAGCATATCAGGTAATTTAAGGTCTGTTCCTAACAAGCCTGGAAAGTTTGTAGACTCTATCAGTCTTCAGACTTTGCAAAACTATGATAGGCAGCACTTTCAACTAAATTAGAAACAGTCTGAATTGATAAATCCATAGCCCCTTAATTTTTTTCTTTATAAGCGCTTTTTTTCCAAATTAAATGATCAGCTTGGAAGATTTCAAGAAGATATCCCTCTCCACCTTCCTATGTGTGTGATCTTACCTTGAATTTATGTCACCTGATGCTCTGTAGAATATACACCTGTTCAGACACAGCCCTGTTCAGACAAAGCCCAGCTTTGCAATTCTCATTATATCTAGTGTTGGCTTCCTGTGAAAAATGGATAGTTCCATCTAGTAATCCCCTCTATTCTCCTGTTGAAAGCATTATTTGATTTTATGTATTATTTATTTCTCTGGCTGCTTGATTTCTTAAGGTGAGTGGTTATCAAATAAGGACCTAAGACTTCTCTGTATCAAATCTCACCTAGGGCCAGTTTTGATCTCCAAGGGACATTTGGCAATGGCTGGAGTTATTTTTGATTGTCACAACTAGGAGAGCACTATTGGCATCTAGAGGATAGAGGCCAGGGATGCCTCTTAACATTCTATAATGCACAGGACAGCCCCTCACAACAAGGAATTATCTGGCTACAAATGTCAATACTGCCACTGTTGAGAAACCCTGCAAAAAGGAAGCAATGGATATTTTGAGTTATTTTCAATAACTTTTAAAAGCTTAATAAAATGTGTACTTATCTAAAATCACAACATACAAGCTAAATAAAATTTAAATTATCTTTGTTTTTGGTTGATTTCAAAATAAATTGGTTTAGTGTTGCCTCTTATTTCATGCTCATGAGAAGCCCTGGTTGGCAATTGTCTATGCTACTTAATAAGAAATTGTTCGTTTATAATAAATGTAATTGAGCTGGCTTTTTTTTAAAGATAAGGTTAATGAAGGAATAGATGAATTAAAGCAATAATTACTGCTGATAAAGCTAATAACCACTGATAGAGGTCTTATTTATCACAAAAGAATGTTTAATCTCATATAAAGGATACATAATCTTGTTTTCTGAAAAAACTAAAACAAAAAAAATTTCCAAGTGAGTTTGTCTTCTTTTCTAATTAAAACTTCATCATAGTTTCCCATACTAGCTTGCAGCCTATCATTTTAGTTTTGATTTTAATTGGTTATTCATCTCCCTGCTGTTTGATGAATGTACAGATCTCTTTATGGGACTTTCAGACTTGAAAGCATTTTCTCAGTTCCAAATGAGAAAATCATTTTCTTGACCTAACTATTCTGCTCTTGTACATTTCTCTTTTTTCCACTATAGTTTTCAAGTGGAATGCCTTTTGCCTTTCTTTTGATTAGCTCTCCTCCATCTTCCTGTGGTGTGGATTTACTATTTTTGATCTGTAAGAACCACTATGACCCAGGTCAACAACAATCCTTCTCTAACTATGTATGAAGTTCCCTTCGATCTCCATTTGCCTTGATGCATAAGGCAAGTAAAAAGCAGTGGGAATCGTAAGGACAGTTGGTGACCCACTTTTAACACTGAAACATGTTGAAGGGCATTACACTATTTCCAAGGTACAATCTGTGTGTTATACGTTTCTCTTCAAAACCAATCCTCACACCACTCCTGCTGAGACTTTGCTAAGTCTCTCTACTTTTGTGTAACATAATTTTGTAAAGCCTTGAAACATATATTTTTTGGTCATTCTATTCTCTAGACTATTATAAGCTTCTGCTACCTTTTAGTAGAGTTGAGTGGCTACTTCAGCCTCCAAAGAGGATGAAATTTAAAGGGCCTGCAATTTTGATAGTTGCAGAATCAACATAAAAGTGCCCTTTTGAGTAGATGGCAAAATCAACTCACAGTCACTATGAATATTGTATATCCTAAAATTTAAAGATTGTGGGGTATAAATTTTCATTAAATCAGTTGATAATTTTGGCTGAATGCAATGGTCCAAGACCCAGGCTAGGTGCCAGTAAAATAAACATGATCCTCTCTCAAGGGGTTCATATCTTGCTGGAGGAAACTTACCGGTAAGCAAATACAATGTGTCATGTGGCATATGTGAGATATGCACAGCATATAGAAATAAATACAGTATAATAGAAACATGAAGGGACCTGTTCAATCCTACAGAAGCAGGGGAGGGGAAATTGGGGAGACTATCCTTATTACATTCTCTATTTAAAATTTTCTACAATACTCTATCTACTATTCCCTAAATCTTTGTATAAGATACAATTTACTCCCTCAGTAAAAACTACCAGCATCTCTGCTTTCTCATCATCTTTTTCCTTCTGCTATTTATATTCTTTCTTGTTTCCTCAATTGCTTATTTTCTCCATTTCTAACCATGAAACCGCTATCTCAGTAATAAATATCTGACTGGGGACATCTTGATTTCCAGGACACTTTTGACTAGTTGTCAGAGGAAATAAATTTAGTTTGGGAATATTTTCATTCTTTAGGTATTAATTCTACTTTCCTTTTACTCCATTAGAAGTTTCACAGAGAGGACCCAAATTTCTAGCTAGATATTTTGCCTCTGCCTCAATATGGGACTTGTAAAACTTTCAGATAGGAAGAAGGCACAAAAGCCTGAGCTATGTCACACTTTCATTCAGAAAGTAAGACTTTATGGGAATAGCCCAGTTTAAACTCGGCTTTTATTCTGTAAATAAATTCAAGTCACTTGATCTTCCTTTGAAACTTTCTAGCTAATCCTTTTGTTGAGTCCCTCTGGTGCTTAAGCAAATGGTTAGAACTAATTGTTTCCTACCTTGGGGAAAACATTTGTTGTAGAAGAATTAACTTAACTAGATCAACAAAGCAGCTACCTCCTTTGTTATCTTAGATTCCTACCATCTCTAATCCCCAGAATGTTCTGACCCTGAAGCCTGCACAGGCTGGATATTTTTAGTATTCCTCTCCAATATCCTCTGAAAAGTAGTTATCTGATTTGGAAAAAATACGCTTGTTAAATGTATTTTAATAATACAAATTACTTACTTCAAAATCACCTATGTGTCTGTATATACACATCTATATGATACATAATTATATGTATATTTGTGTATGTATAATTATATGTGTCATATGATATAAATTTAAGCACCATGTGTATATAGATGCAAACACAAATTTAAGTTAGATTAGAATGATTACATCTAAGAGCTTGTAAGAAAATTAAAATAATAACCTACCCTGACTTCGCTTCCAATTTAAAAATAAATTAATTGATGTACAGAAATCTAACATAACTACTCAAAGTCATACAAGCTAGTTAATAACAGAATTAGCTTGAACTAATAACAAGTATTCCACATTTCTACTCCAGTGCCTTGTCCATGTTAAAAATTTCACAATTAACTTGTAGTGTAGGCAGAGTCATTTCTATTGCCACCATCTGTGATAGGATATCAGAGGTATGTGCTCTGGAGCGATGAGATTTTATCAACCAAACAAGGATGACTAAATGAGAAAATGCTGTCTAGTACTTACCAAACTGCCTGGCACAGAATAAATTTTTAATAAATCTTAGCTTTTGATGTTGTAGTTGTTTTGGTTGTTATTGACACTTAAATGTTGTAAATACTTTAAAGACGGCTGCTAAAGATCCAGTGTAATGGCTCACACCTATAATCCCAGCACCTTAAGAGGCTGAGGCAGGAGGATCCCTTGAGGCCAGGAGTTGAAGACTAGCCTGGGCATAGCAAAAACTCTGCCTCAACAAAAAAAAAATGATAATTAAAAAATTAGCCAAGTGTGGTGGTACACACCTAGAGTCCCAGCTACTCAGGAAGCTGAGATGGGAGGTTCTCTTGAGCCTAGGAGGCTGAGGCTACAATGAACTGTAATTGTGCTACTGCACTGCAGCCTCAGTGACAGAGCAAGACCCTGTGTTAAAATAAATACATAAATAGATATTAAAATGGCTGCTAAGTAGTTATGACCAGATAATTTTTTTTCTAATGAAATTATCTGGTCAAATAGAACAGAACAGAGGCCTCAGAAATAACACCACACATCTATAACGATCTAATCTTTGACAAACCTGAGAAAAACAAGAAATACGGAAAGGATTCCCTATTTAACAAATGGTGCTGGGAAAACTGGCTAGCCACATGTACAAAGCTGAAACTGAATCTCTTCCTTATACCTTATACAAAAATTAATTCAAGATGGATTAAAGACTTAAATATTAGACCTGAAACCATAAAAACCCTAGAAGAAAACCTAGGCAATACCATTCAGGACATAGGCATGGGCAAGGACTTCATGACTAAAACACCAAAAGCAATGGTAACAAAAGCTAAAATTGACAAATGGGATCTAATTAAACTAAAGAGCTTCTGCACAGCAAAAGAAACTACCATCAGAGTGAACAGGCAACCTACAGAATGGGAGAAAATTTTTGCAATCTACCCATCTGACAAAGGGCTAATATCCAGAATCTACAATGAACTTAAACAAATTTACGAGAAAAAAAATCAAACAACCCCATCAAAAAGTGGGCAAAGGATATGAACAGACACTTCTCAAAAGAAGACATTTATGCAGCCAACAGACACATGCAAAAATGCTCATCATCACTGGTCATCAGAGAAAGGCAAAACAAAACCACAATGAGATACCATCTCACACCAGTTAGAATGGTGATCATTAAAAAGTCAAGAAACAACAGGTGCTGGAGAGGATGTGGAGAAATAGGAATGCTTTTACACTGTTGGTGGGAGTGTAAATTAGTTCAACCATTGTGGAAGACAGTGTGGTGATTCCTCAAGGATCTAGAACTAGAAATACCATTTGAACCAGCCATCCCATTACTGGGTATATACCCAAAGGATTATAAATCATGCTTGCTGCTATAAAGACACATGCACACATATGTTTATTGTGGCACTATTCACAATAGCAAAGACTTGGAACCAACCCTAATGTCCATCAATGATAGACTGGATTAAGAAAATGTGGCACATATACACCATGGAATACTACGCAGCCATAAAAAAGGATGAGTTCATGTCCTTTGCAGGGACATGGATGAACCTAGAAACCATCATTCTCAGCAAACTATCGCAAGGACAGAAAACCAAACACCGCATGTTCTCACTCATAGGTGAGAATTGAACAATGAGAACACTTGGACACAGGAAGGGGAACATCACCCACTGGGGCCTGTCATGCGGTGGGGGGATGGGGGAGGGATAGCATTAGGAGAAATACCTAATGTAAATGACGAGTTAATGGGTGCAGCAAACCAACATGGCACATGTGTACATATGTAACAAACTTGCACATTGTACACATGTACCCTAGAACTTAAAGTATAATAATAATAAAATAATTATCTGGTCATAATTTATTTTATGTGATTAATTGAATTATTAAAATATTCATTAATTTAATAATTCTAGGGCAGCTTTTTTTTTTTTTTTGAAATGGAGTCTCGCTGTGTCACCCACACTGGAGTGCAATGGCAGGATCTCGGCTCACTGCAACCTTGACCTCCCTGGTTCAAGTGATTCTCCTCCCTCAGCCTTCTGAGTAGCTGGGACTACAGGCATGTGCCATCACACCCAGCTAATTTTTTGTATTTTTAGCAGAGATGGTGTCTCACTGTGTTAGCCAGGATGGTCTCGATCTCCTGACCTCGTGATCCGCCTACCTCGGCCTCCCAAACTGCTGTGATTACAGGCGTGAGTCATTGTGCCCGGCCAGGGCAGCCATTTTATTTATTTACTAATCTTGCAGACTAGAGATTCCTGCTTCGGGTCTTTGAGACTTAGAGTTTCATGAACGTGTTTAAGGAGGCTTGTAAATGCCCAGAATATATGCTTAAATTGTTTAATATATGTGGAAATGTCTTATTCTGGAAGAGAAGTGATAGTCTTTATCAATTCTCAAGGTTCACCCATGTCGTAGTATGTATCAGTACTTCATTCCTTCTTATTGTCAAAAAATATTCTATTGGACAGATTACATTTTGTTTTTCCATTTATCAGCTGATGAACATTTCCACTATATGGCTATCAAAAATAATGCTAATATGAACATTGTGTACAAGTATTTGTGTGAAAACATTTTTGCAATTCTCTTGGGTATGTACCTAAGAGAATTGTTGGGACAAATGAAAACTTTATGTTTAACTTTCTGAACAATTGCCAACTTGTTTTCCAAGGGTGTTGCACTATTTCACATTCCCACCAGCAACATATAAGGGTTACAATTTTACATCCTCACCAATTTTCCTTTTTTTAAAAAAAAATTATATTCATCCTAATGAGTGTGAAATGGTATTCCATTATGGTTTCCATATGTGTTTCCCTAATAACTAATCATGTTGAGAATGTTTTCCTGTGTTTATTAACCATTTGTATATTTTCTTTGGGGAAAAAAATAGTCGGCCAGGGGCGGTGGCTAACGCCTGTAATCCCAACACTTTGGGAGGCTGAGGCAGGTGGATCACCTAAAGTCAGGAGTTCAAGACCAGCCTGGCCAACATGGTGAAACGCTGTCTCTACAAAAATACAAAAATTAGCCAAGCATCATGGCCGATGCCTGTAATCCCAGCTACTGGGGAGGCTGAGGCGAGAGAATCACTTGAACCCCGGAGATGGAGGTTGCACTAAGCCAAGATTGTGCCATTGTATTCCAGCCTGGGCTACAGAGCAAGACTTCATCTGAAAAAAAATTTTTTTAAGTCATTCAGATTCTTTGCCTATTTTTTTATTGATTTATTTGTCTTTTTTTGGTTTAATAGTAAGAGTTATTCATATATTCTGAATACTAGATCCCACCAGATACATGATTTGAAATATTTCTCCCACTCTTTGGGTGGCCTTTTCACTTTATTGATGACATCCTTTGAAACACGAAAGTTTTAAATTTTTATAAAGTTCAATTTATCTATTTTTTTTTTTTGCTTGTGCATTAGCTATTATGTGTAAAAATTATTTGCTTAATTCAAGGTCAAAAATATTTAGATGAATAATTTTTTCTAAGAATTTTATAATTTTACCTGTTACATTTAGGTCTTTGATCTCTTTTTAGTTAATTTGTGTATATGATGCAAGCCAGACATCTACCTTCTGGTATATTAATACAATATACTTTAGGAATACAATTAATACAATAGGAAGCAGATACCTAAATTATATCATTCCTCTTAAGATCTTCTCTAATTCAAGGTTGAATACAATATATTTCATTTTAGATAAAGAAAAATTTTTATAACCTAGATTTTTTTAAAGAATTAAATTTTATGTGTCTGGCTTATTTCACTTAAGATAATGACCTCTAGTTCCACCTACATAGCTGCAAATGACAGGATTTCATTCCTTTTTTATGGCCAAATACTATTCCATTGTGCTTATACACCACATTTTCTTTATCCATTCATCCTTTACTAGACACTTAGGTTGATTCCATATCTTTCCTATTGTGAGTAGTGCTGCAATAAACATACGAGTGCAGGTATCCCTTTGATATACTGATTTGTTTTCCTTTGGATAAATACTCAGTAGTGGGATTGCTGGATCATACAGGAGTTCTATTTTTAGTTTTTTAAGAAAACTCTGTACTGTTTTCCATAGTGGGTGCACTAATTTACATTTTCACCAACAGTGTATAAGTGTTCCCTTTTCTCTGCATCCTCACCAGCATCTGTTATTTTTTGTCTTGTTAATAATGGCCATTCTAATTGTGGTAACATAATATCTCATTATGGTTTTAATTTGCATTTCCCTGACGATTAGTAATGTTTAGCATCTTTTCATATACCTGTTGGCGCTTTGCATGACTTCTGAGAAATTTCTATTCATGTCTTTGTCCACTTTTTAAAGTTTCTTTATTGTTCAATTCCTTGTAAATTCTGGATATTAGTCCTTTGTTGGATAAATAGTTTGCAAATGTCACATGTTCTCACTCATATGTGAGAACTAAAAAACTTAATCTCATGGAGGTAGAAAATAGAATGATAAAGATACCAGAGGCTGGGAAAGGTGTTGGTGGGGATGAAGAGAAGTTAGTTAATGGTACAAACAGTTAGATAAAAGAAATAAGTTCTAATGTTCAGTAACTGAATAGGGTAACTATAGCTAACAACAATGTGCTATATATTTCAAAATAGCTAGAAAAGAGGACTTGAAACGTTTCCAATACTCAGAAATAATAAATACTTGATGTTATGGATACCCAAAATACCCTGACTTGATCATTTCATAGTCTATGCATGTAACAAAATATCACATGTACCTCACAAATATGTACAAATATCTGTATGAATAAAAAAGAGAAGAAACATTCGAATAAGAAAAAAGTTATAAATTGCAAATATTAAAAAACTAAAATTTTTAAATTAAATGTTAACAAATTATTCTTAATGAAGAAAGGAGGTGTAGCTCTACTACACTGAGATGTAATATAATTAGCATTGCATTCCATCTGACCTGGGGGAAACACCATCAAATCACATAATCTTGAGTAGCTCATAGAACATTCACAGCAGAGAAAATGAAAATAGTGCCAGAGTAATAGAAATAAAAGAGCAATCTCTGAAGTAAGAAACAATTAGAACTGGTATTTTGATGACCACATTGTATGAGTGCATTATAAGTATCAAATAAACTTAAATTTAGAACAATTATATGTATCAAAAATAATTAACAGTAATTCAATCCCAATGCAAGAAAATAATATCCCAGCACAAATTTAAAAAGATACTCAAAGTATCAACAAAATTTGGATAACTCCCAAAGTGAATTCCAGACTCAACCAAGATAGAGATAATTATCTTAGTTACATCTGGATAGGTACCTGGTCTCAGTAAACTCTCACTAGACTATTATCTTGATTCTGGTTTGAAGACTAGGCAAATCAGGTAAGCAACACCAAAACATCATTATCTCTAAAGAGAGATGTACACACCTACTTGTGTATGCAAATGCCTTATTAGGATGTTAGAAAAAAATAGAATCTCTATGTTTTTAACTTTGAAAATGAAAACATTTAATGTTTACTGGTATTGAACTATTAATATGATTCCATATGATGACCATGTTCAGTTTATAAATTAGATGATATTATGTCACGTGGAAGATTTATCCCAAAGAAAGAGTGAAAGTTCTGCAACTTGGAGAGGGTAATAAGAAAGGTCTCATTAATTGATTTGCTTTAAACATAAAGTATCATATTTCAGTGCACATGTAACCAGAAAAGAGATGTATTGATTAGATTATCCGGTTTTAAATAAACTAATTCTCATTAAATAGGCAAAAAACTATAGACTATTTCTGTAAAAATCTGGATTTAAGATATTACTAGTCATAAGAAGGGGGAAAATTGGACAATAAGAGAATTGTAGAACTAATTCCTATACTCTCTAGCAGAAAAACTTTATCAGCCACATTGGAAGATAAACAATGATAATCTAGTTGGAGCTGACAAAAGGTGCCAAAAATGTTAAAATTATCTAAAAGGCTTTTGAAACATGAGTTTATGTATTATTTACAATGAGCGGTATTACAAAATATTTGTGATTTTAGTAAGTAAGTGATTGGCTTTCAAAAGAACTTCATGTTATAGAAAGTGTTTTAGAGAAACAACTTTTAGAAATATTGATCTTTATGTATCATTACTGCTGAAATATAGGCATATCAACATTTAAAGAGAAAAGCTTAACTTTTTCACTTAAAAAATTTGAAAACATAACTTTCAAAACATCCTAAAGAAAAGTGCTAGATATTTAGGCCATTTTTTCAGAAGCTAGAATTTGTTTGCAAGAATAAATTTTTGACTTCCAGGGAGATGATAATTCATTAGATGAATTTCACCTATAAATCTTTGCATAAGTAAGGAATGCAGTTTAAAAGTAAATTTCATGTTGTATTAATTGCAGCCGTGAAATGTTCCTTCCATTTAAATCTATTACTGCCATTAAAACCAATAATCAAGAACTTGATTTTTTTATTTATTTTTATTTATTTTTGAAACAGAGTTTCACTCTTGTTGCCCAAGCTCCAAGCTGGAGTGCAATGGTACGATCTCAGCTCACTGCAACCTCTGCCTCCCCAGTTCAAGCTATTCCTCCTCAGCCTCCCAAGTAGCTGGGATTACACGCATGCACCACCATGCCTGGCTAATTTTTGTATTTTTAGTAGAGACGGGGTTTCACCATGTTGGTCAGGCTGGTCTCGAACTCCTGACCTCAGGTGATTCACCTGCCTTGGCATCCCAAAGTACTGGGATTACAGGTGTGAGACAAGGCACCTGGCCAAGAACTTGATTTTTAAGACACTTTGTCAAATGGTATTTAAACCAACATTTTCAAAAATAATAAGGCATATTCAAATAGACTGTATTTGCTGAAATTTTATTCATAATTTTTGGTGAAAACAGAAAAGGATGTTTGTACTACTAATAAAAATAAAATTATTTTTGAAGTGTTATTACTCTTTATATCATTCTTTTATATATCTCATAAAATTATAGTACTTTAGTAAGTAATAAACAATTTTAGACATATTGAGGGTATTCTCAAAATTATTCATTAAGATGTATCATAAAAAATTTGGAAATGATTGCTCAAGAGAGCGTTGGATAGCGTAAGTTTATTCCTCTCTGAATGTACTTTATGGTACACAATCATCTAATATAGTGGAAATAGCCCAGCACTGAGTGACCTAGATGCTAGTCCAGTTTAAAAATCTATAAAACCTCAGACAAGTCAACTCAGCTCTCTGGGACATTTTTGTCTATCTGTAAAACAAAAAGTTTGGATTGGCTGATCTCTAAAGACCCATCCAGACTGAAAATTCTGGTTTCAATATATTCTTCCTATGAGACTTTGAATGTACGGCTACATTATTATTTACTGTATTATGATAATTCATCATAGAACAAGTTACTTTAAGAACATGGAAGACAAATTAAAAAGCAAACTAATTATGAGAAAATGAATTACAATTTATATTAAATGTCAGATCTTGAGAATGAAAATCTGATTGATCATTTTACGAGCACGTATTGCTTGCCAAATGTCAGGCAGTGTCTTTGCTTTTGGAGGAACACAAAGACTAATAAAAATGCTATCCCTGACATTCTAGAGCTCTCAATTACATTCTACACAATACTTTGTAAATAAGTAACGTCAGCAGAGACTGAAAGCTCATATCATTCCTTAATTCTCATTTTACAATAGAATTATGCTTTTTTTAAGGAGAGTTGCATCCTCACATGCAAAAGGAAGGAAATAAAGCAACCTATTCAGATGACCCCGACTAAAATGCAAATTCTTGTTTTGGGTGAAATGCAAAAGTAGTTTCATCTATCATTTATCCAGGCTTTGTTCCAAAACTTTCTTTTACATATACACCACTTCCCAAATTACACTTTTTGTTACAAAGAACTAAATGTATAGTCCTTTTTCCTCTTTAATGTTTGCAGTTTTTCTACTGAGGATGATTAAGGTAGACAAGACCACAAAAATGTCACTCAATCATAAATGACAATCTGCCTTAATTTACTATAATTTATATTCATAAGCATGCTCTAAAAGAAACTGTTGTCCCAAAATGTGCACATGTCTGAAATGGTTTGGGGAAAACAATATTTTAGTCACATGATGAAATCATTCCTGCCTCAGAAACTGAGCCTGAAGCCAGTTCTACCCAACACGAGCAGATGTGGGTATGATTGAAATATATGGTTAATCTGATATACAATAGTTTCTTAAGGAAACAAAAATTAACTTCCTGATTCACTGAATTATTTTATTCACTCCTCGATTCAACAGATACATTATTCAAATTCCCACTATACATTGTGCGTTATTGTAGAGCTTGGGGATTTAGTAGTTAACAAGACAAAATTCCTATCTAAGACTTTCCATGCCAGAGAGAGAAAGAAGTTATTAAGCAAATAAATAAGTAAATATTTTAATTCCTGCTAACGATGAATGCTCTAGGAAAACCACAGCAAGTTTTTGGAAGCCAGAGTGGCTGTAATGTACAGTAAGGTATTTTCAACAAGATGTAAAGGCATGACTCCAATGAAGTGTTTAGAAGTTTTAGTCCTGGAAGAGATTGGAGAAGTTTGGAATTTCATGTTTAAGAGTTCTAGATTATATCAAAACCTGTGGTCTGACCATGAATGAGTTGAGCATAATTTGTATGAGTTGGAATACAATAACGTACTCTGAGGCTAAGGCATCAGGTGGGCCAGGAGCACAAATATTAAACCAGAGAGAAAAATGAAGAGAGAGATAGATTAAGGCAAGTAATGAAAATTACTGATCATATAGAGATGGAACTGAAGATAAAAGAGAGCCATTTTTAAAATTAGGAGGGTACAACTGGGCTCCATTAGCCTAGAATAATGAATAGGTTTTGCAGGGGATGAAAGAACAGTAATCTTTTAAAATCACTCAAAAAATATTTTTAAAATGCTTAATTGATCTATATTAAATCTACGAACCAGGCCATGTAGAAGAATAAACAGCATTTGAAATGACTACTAGAGCAAGTACCATGAAAGGACAAAGGAAACTAAGTCAAACATGAGAAGGGATTCAGAAGCCCTCTGTGAAATAGAAGCATTCTGTGAAGAGGTAATGTAGCAGGATGAGCTGCAGACAAAACCCCTCAGACACAGAGTTAAAGAAGGAAGGGCTTTATTCAGCCGGGAGCATCGGCAAGACTCACGGCTCAAAAACCGAGCTCCCTGAGTGAGCAATTCCTGTCCCTTTTAAGGGCCCACAACTCTAAGGGGTCCGTGTGAGAGGGTCATGATTGATTGAACAAGCAGGGGGTACGTGACTGCGGGCTGCATGCACCAGTAATTAAAATGGAACAGAACAGGACAGGGGTTTTCACAGTGCTTTTCTATACCATGTCTGTAATCTATAGATAACATAGCCAATTAGGTCAGGGGTCGATCTTTAACTACTAGGCCCAGGGTGTGGCACCGGGCTGTCTGCCTGCGGATTTCATTTCTGCCTTTTAGTTTTTACTTCTTCTTTCTTTGGAGGCAGAAATTGGGCATAAGACAATATGAGGGGTGGTCTCCTCCCTTAGTAAAACATGTATAGAAAAATAGAATGAAATGAAAAGTTAGCTATGGAACAATACATCTTGGGATAGAGGAAAGCACAGAGCAGAATATGGATTCTTAAGAGGAGAGATAGAAGAACTTATATTTTATTCGTGTCTGTAAATGACAAGGATGTGAATGATTAAAGAGATTAAAACATGTAAAGCCAATTCAAATAACTAGACACTAGCAAATACATACACCTATATATACACCTATACAAATACATCACAGATATAAAATATTATGTAATGCATATAATAGATTCTGTAGCATACATTAGGTATATGTAATATGGTACCTTTTTTCCTTCTTAAGATATTTTAGAAGGCTTCATTCATTCATTATTCCAAAACTATTTTTTAAGCATCTATTTATTGCTCAAAAACATAATCCAGAATAGTATGTTGAACACGAACATGCAAAAACATTCTGTAACATTAGGTTTCAAGACTACTGTATAAAACAATAAAATAGTCATTAACATTAAAATAATAAAATAGTTTGAATTATTTCTCTTCTCTGATAAAGCTCACTTTATTGCTACCTGATTTAGTGGTTGGAAAGCAAGAATTGACAGATGAGCATGAATTTATAGAAATCTAGCTACATAATTTTTACTAAATTCTGAAGCTTAGAAACTTACCCTTGTGGTGATACAATCAGGATTGTGAGCTTACATTGTTTGTGAACTTGTATTGTTAATCAGTACATTAATTTTACATTCATTTTCCCATTTTTCTCCTCTGTCATCTTTGGCAAACCCTTGCTAAATGTCTAAATGGTATACAAATAAAGATTATTTCACAATCCAGATTGTAGTCATCCTGGGGTGAAAACTCTTTAACATGATACCTTCTATTACCTAAGTAATTTGTTATTTAGCAAATTAGTCTATTATCAAAAAATATCTGTATAGGTATTCACAATTAATGTGTCTTGGTAGTAGCAACCCTTTTCTCATCTCTGGTTTTTAAGTTAAACCACAATAATAAGCAGCTAAAAGCAAATAATTTACTTAATAAGCAGCTAAAAGCAAAGAGCATCTTAAGCAGCTAAAAGCAAAAAAACAATTTTTTAACTTCTTATTTTAGAGAAATAGATTCTTGCCATCAACACAATTCCTTAAAAATACTATGAAAATTATCAGGATAAAATCTGATCTATACTGAGTAAATATTTCATAATATTTCTGTTTAACTGAAAAGGAAACAAAAATTCTGAAAACAAACCAAACAACAGAAAACATAAAATTGGTTATTTTGGTCATTGAAATTCAAAGAATTTACAGTTTCTATAAAACTGGCTAATTGAGTCAATTTTTTTGGTAAAGCTTATCTTTCCAGTCACTGTGACCAAAATATCTTTAGCAATTTAAACCTGTGTTTATGCTGAAATTGTCTATACAATAATAGTGATTGACATTACAACTACTCCAAAAGGAAATTTCCAGATATTTAATCTTTCTTATGAGATGGATGAGGTAAAAGGAAGGGAGGGAGGAGAGGGGAGAAAAAGAGAGAGCAATTGAGATTGGGACTGACTAACAGTTGCTTGCCCTGCAGCATACTTCAGGTAAATAGCTTAAAAGTAGCTTAGTGTAACAAGGGGTCATTTCTTTTTTCTTTCTCTTTCATCCATTCAGCTTTCTTTCTTTCAGTAAAAACCTCAAGATGACACTTCTTTCAAAAACATCTAAATAATATATGAACCCTTCAAGACTCATCATGCAGGCTACATAGGCTTTTGGGTCTTAAAGGAAATTTTACATATTAAAAGAACTCACTGATAATTAAATCAACATTTATGCTGTACTCAAGAAGAAAGACAGTAAAATGGAAGAAATTTCCGGAGATCACTCCCTCCTCACAGAACAGTTTCCACCAGTCCTTTAGCAAATATATCACTCTTTTGTTAGCTACAGATAAATTCTTGGTCTTCTTTGCTTGTGTTTTCACCCTTTTATTCTGTCTGGAGGGCTTAGTTTGTTTTTCATGACAGCATTTGAGATTTCTAAGCTGCGGCAGTAGTGCCAGCCCATACCGTGCACAGTAAGTGAAGAAGAAACAATCTGGCTGTTGTTTTTAACACTTTCCAAACAGTAACTTGTTTCTCCTGCTTGATTTTTGTCCCTGGACATCCAGCAGTGCAATAATCAATTCACCAAATATAAGACAGACTTTCTCTTCATCTTTCACTCCTGCAAATTTGGCAAATTGAGATGAATATTTACAATTCAAAGGAAAGTTTTGTTTTTTAATGATGCATTGGGATTCTTTTACACAATGAGAAATCCATTACCTTCCTCAAAATTTGGCACTAATTTCCAATAAATCACTCCTTGGAGTTTCTGCCAACCATTATAGCAAAGAACAAGGCATTTTTCTTTTTGCTTTTCTTAAAATGGACCTAAATGACAAGACTCTCAATAAAACTAATCCACATTGTAAATTTTCAGAGGGCAAGAATACCTTCTTTTATTGTTTGGATGCAATAAAGCATTTATTAGAGTATTTTTTAAGCATGAATTTACACACTATATGAGTTTAATATATGCACAATAAAATAGCCTCTCTGATAGAAACTACTGGTTTTCTTGAGCAGCAACTGGTTCCTTTTTAAATAATTTAGGTTAGTGATTCTCAATATTTGGTATGAAAATTAATCACCCGGTGGTCTTATTTAAAGTTGAGATTCTTGTCTAAATCCTAGAGATTTTCCTTCTGTAATTATGCAAATGGAACCCCTCATAAACCAAAAATAAAACATTAGAATAGAGATAGAAAGAGTGACAGAACAGATACTTTGTAGCAGTAAGATAACAACTCCAACCTGACTCTCATATAACATCACATAATAGGTAACAGGTAAAGGAAATCAAAGTATTTTATTCCAACATATATTTCTTTCACATATTTTGAAATGGCCTTGTAAAGGCATCTCTTCTCGGGAAGATTTACATTCTGCAGAGATTCCCTTTCCCTTTCCAAGTATTTTCCTAATCCAGGAGAGATTTAAGTAAGAGTGTTTAATACCTTTTATGATCTGATAAGAAACATTTGTCGTCTATTCTCTCTGAAGCCTGCCACCTGGAGGCTTCATCTACATAACAAGAACCTTGGCTTCCACAACCCCCCTTATCTTAACCCCAAGAATTTCTTTCTGCTGACTTCAACTCTTTAGGCAAAGCTTAAATCTTTAACCAATTGCCCATCAGGAAATCTTTGAATGAAATCTACGACTTGCAAACCCCTGCTCTAACAAGTCCTGTCTTTTTGGGCTAAACCAACGTATAGCCTACATGTATTGATTTATATCTCTGCCTGTAACTTCTGTCAACCTAAAATGTATAAAATCAAGCTGCAAACCAACCACCTTGGACACACATTCTCAGGACTTCCTGAGGCTGTGTTATGGGTCATGGTCCTCACATTGGGCTCAGAATAAATCTCTGTAAATATTTTACAGAGTTTGGCTTTTTTCATCAACACTCTTAATTTGTATTTGGCCAGATGAGTTCTATAGAAACTGGATTTGAGAAATGGCTTATAAATGTAATCTGAGATACACAGTTGTGTATAAGAAGTCAGTTATTCTGGATCTCTGGATACTATCTCCAGCTCTGGGATCCTCTCCCTTTGAGGACTCGTCTTCATAATCAAATCTTAATACCAAAGTGACATAAAGCAACTCTTACACAATCACATTAGAAAAGTGAGACAGGAATAACGAAGGGTGGTTGCAGGAGAATAAAAAATTCTAGTCATCAGTTTCACATGACTAGAGGTTATAAGACCTTGAAAATCCAGGATGTGGAGCACGCTGACTATGACCAACTAGACCCAACATGGTGCTGGATTTGACCTAGGTTTCTTCTAGGACATCATTATATGCTATTTAGCATACTAAATTACATACCCACCAGTACCATGACAGTTCCAAGAACATCCTTATCTGGTGTAAAAATGGTTGGTGTTACAGTTCCAAGAAATCTGTACCTTTTTCCAGGAATTTTCATGAATATTCTACCTCTTGGTTAAGGAAACACATAAAGATAGAAACCCCAAGCCTCACTGTGTGACTTTCTCTTGAGTATGCCAGCACTCCCCTTTCTTGAGTGTGTACTTTTCTCTCAAGAAAGTACAATAAATCTCTCTACTTTCATTAATTTCTGACTCCCTTGGATTTATTCTTGTGGTGGTATCAAGAGCCTGAACACAAGCTGAGATCAAGATCCCACTGGCATTTGGGGACCTCCCCCAGCCCACTGATATTAAAAGGACACAGAAAAGGTGGTACAAACTAATTTGAACTGCTGAATTATTATTTTTATCATAGTCTACCTTTTTTTTTTTTTTTTTTTTTTTGGTGAGATAGTCTCGCTCTGTCACCCAGGCTAGAGTGCAGAGGTGCGATCTCGGTTCACTGCAACCTCCGCCTCCCAGGTTCAAGTGATCCTCCTTCCTCAGGGTTCTGAGTAGCTGGGACTATAGGCACGTGCTACCATGCCCAGCTAATTTTTTGTATTTATAGTAGAGACGGAGTTTTACCATATTGTCCAGGATGGTCTCGAACTCCCGACCTCGTGATCCACCGCCCCCCCCCCCCCCGCCCACCAGCCTCCCAAAGTGCTGGGTTTACAGGCATGAGCCACCTCCCGGCTACTTTTTCTTTCTTAAGACTTGCAAATCTTATTCCATTGGTACTAGTTTATTATATTAAGCAGAAGTACTTAACCTGGGTTTAAAAGGTAAGTCTAAGAACTTCCATATAATGTTTGAAGAATTTTAGATACACAGAAATTTCTCAGATGAAAAAATCTGATTGAGGTTTACTGACGAGATTTCCCTTAAGATATAAAAAAATCTACTACAGTATGTTGGCTGGGCACAGTGGCTCACGCCTGTAATCCTAGCACTTTGGGAGGCTAAGGTGCGTGGATTATCTGAGGTCAGGTGTTCAAGACCAGCCTGGCCAACATGGTGAAACCCCGTATCTACTAAATATACAAAAAATTAGCCAGGTGCAGTGGTGTGCACCTGTAATCCCAGCAACTCTGAAGGCTGAGGCAGGAGAATCGCTTGAACCCGGGAGGCAGAGGTTGCAGTGAGCTGAGATCATGCCACTGCACTACAGCCTGGGCTACAGTGCAAGACTTCGTCTCAAAAAAAAAAAAAAAAAAATATATATATATATATGTGTGTGTGTGTGTGTGTGTGTGTGTGTGTATACACCTACTCGAATTGTCATATGTTATTTTCCACACATTTGACGTATGAATAAAAATTTCCCTTGCTATATAAAAGTATAAAAATGGGGTAACTATAATACACTGTTTCAACCTCCTCGTTGGGTCTTCTCTGACTTTTCCAATTCAAATGTCATCATCCTTCCTCAGATTCTCTAGTTTCCTCTGTGCTGAACGAGTGATGCTATATTTTATATCTAGTTATTGCCAATGTTTATCTATCTTCAGCAGCCAATCTTTCCCCTTTGTAATAACTATGAGTTACATGCCGGAGGTTGGGAATCTTGCTGGAATTATGAATAAAGTGAAAATAGTCTTCAAGAGAAAACATGTTCAATGGCCACAGAATAGCATTTCATTGTTAGTGCAGACACTAACACATGCTCTCTAGTAAGTTGGCTTATAGGTACCACTGAGAAACTGCAGTCTGTTGTATCTGTGCAATAAGCCATACTGTCATGGAAATAAATGAGTGAGACAAGGAAATATGATCTATCAAATCTAAAATAGAAAAAAACTTCAAGAATGGTAATATTTGAAGAAAATAACTACCCTCCAAAACCAAACTGGCTATGGAATTGGTATATATGTCATGAATTTGAAACTTGAAAATATAATATGTAAGCTTAAATCAATAAGCTCAGAAAATCAACTTTCCTTAGTAACTGGAAGAAAAGTAAAATATCTAAAGAAAACAATATAGAAAGCAATTTTTAACAGTTAGAGAATGTCACTGTGTTCATTTGAAGAGCTGAAAGATATGAAAAAAGTTTAAAGAAAGTTGAGTCTGCCCCATGTATGACATATGTAATTGTGATTCTACTCTACAGCCAACACTTGCAGTGAAGTTTCAGAAACTGGTTCACAAAAAAAGTAAAGAAAACTGTGGCTTAAAATAATTTTTCCAAACTGAGACTCTCTTAGAATTATTATAACAGAAACAAAAAGGATTTATCAAGACATTAGATTAATTAATTTAGGTTTAAAATGCAAAATGGAGCTCAATCAGATGTTCGTTAAGGTATGCAAACATTTTCAAAGGTAATTTTAATCCATTTTCCAAAACAGAAATTTGTTTAACACTATAGAAGAATATATAGCTCTGCTTTTCAATACTCATTGAACTTAAAATTGAGGAAGACTATAAGTGACATTGTACTAGTTTAAATGAAAGCTGAGTAACAGCAGCCCCTTGGAAACTTAGTTCAAATAACTTGGTCTGGGAGTACATTGGCTTTCCCATGTAACATATAAAATTGACAGAGGCATGTACGTACTAATAGGAAACAGGAAGAACTATCTGTTGGCCCTAATACATCTGACTCTTTCCACATGAGGAAATCCCCCAGTTTCTTCTTCAACAGGAGAAACCATAGTGTAGAGCTAGCAGTTGGGGCCAGAATAATCTCTCAAAGAGAGTGAGGTTGATTTCCATTTTAATCAATATTGCAGATTAGTTGTTATAAGAAACCCTTCTGTTGCAGAATAACTAACAATAGTATACAAAACATGAATCTAAAAAAAAAAATCATTGAATGAGCTTGCAAAAAAAGAAGGGAAACTCTCAGTGGCCAGAAGTGTCAGGAAAGTACAAACCCATAAAGCCCAGAAGCATCAACAAAACTAGCAATCCCAGGGGTTTTTTGTTTGTTTAGTTTTTGTATTTTGAGATGGAGTTTCGCTCTTGTTGCCCAGGCTGGAGTGCGATGGCACGATCTCCAGCTCACCACAACCTCCACCTCCCGGGTTCAAGCGATTATCCTGCCTCAGCCTCCATAGTAGCTGGGATTGCAGGCATGTGCTACCATGCCCAGCTAATTTTGTATTTTTAGTAGGGACAGGGTTTCTCCTTAGTGGTCAGGGTGGTCTCAAACTCCCTACCTCAGGTGATCTGCCTGCCTCGGCCTCCCAAAGTGCTGGGATTACAGGTGTGAGCTACCGCGCCTGGCCATCTCAAGAGTTTTGTTTTAATCTGCCCACAAGCCTGACTTAATGGAACATAAAAACAAAACAAAACAAAACAAAAAACTATTTCCTCTCTAACTTGGGAGGTCTGAATGGAAACTCCCAAATAATGTTGAACACCTGGAAGACTTTCAACCTTAGTGGATGTGACATAGACAATATATGTTCATCAAAATCTTTCTCCTTCCTGGGCATAGAGGAACACTACATTTCCCCAGCCTCCCTTGCAGTTTGTTTGGGACTGTAAGGTTGTATTCTATCCGATAGGATGTGGGTGGAAATGACTACTCCATTTCCAAACCCGGCCCTTTGGAGTGACTTGTTGCAGACTGTAAAGTTAGAAAAGGGAGAAGGACACCCGCCCCACATTTGACTTGGGTGAGGAAAAATAAACCTTCATTTTCCTAAGCTACTGTGATGTTCAGGGGTTCATTTTTAACTGCATTTAGTCTGTCTATCTTGACTATTATAATAAGTGAACCAGGTAGAATAAATTTTCCCACAAAGAGAAATAACAAGAACACCTGCCCTCACACAAATATTATCCTGGAATTAGTGCATATAGGTAAGATAGAAAAAAAAAAGTCCATGCAAAAAGACTAGAGTGGCCTCAAATTGTTAGAGTGCCCTAGGTATCTTGCAAAATCAAATGCAAATTCTCTCTCAAGAAGCAAACTTTAAATGTAGGATCAAATATTCTAAAAGATAAGAGTCCAAGGATCATAATATCACCCATTACGATATGTGAGAAGTTACACAGAAGTTGGCAAGCCACCATGAGCAAGAAAGCAGAAGCAACAGACTGTACAAGCAGAAATGCAAATGCTACAAATGTTAGGTTTATAATAGAGAGAATATAAAATTAGTATGTTTAAAATGGTTATATTAATACTAAATTAAAATTATAATTATGAAATAAGATAATTTGTAAACTTACCATGCAGATTAGTAAAGAAACAAATGTGATTTCTAGAAACAAAAAGTCAAAATTGAATCTAGAAACTCCAGATTAGACACTAACTAAATCCTGAAGATAAAATAAATGAACTGAAAGACACGAAGACATTATTTAGAAAGTGGCACTAAAAGAAAAATATGAGGTACACAAAAGTAAGTTTAAGAAATATGTACAATAATCAGGTGTTCTAAAATTTGTTTATAAAATTTAACATTGATAATTAGAAATGCAATTGATTCTAGAACTGATAAGACATAACCCAATTCAAATTATTTGAGTAGACTTAACAGTAGAATAGACTGAGAGAAACAGAGAACTAATAGGTAGGTCAAAAGAAAGGATCCCCAATGAAGCTTGGGGAAAAATAAAAAGCAGCAGAATAGAGACAAGAGAGTAAAAATGTTAAAGGATATAGAAAGGCAAAATAATAAAATAATCGGAATCCTGGAAGGAAAGTTAGAGAGAAATAGGGAAAAGGAATAGTCAGACATAATTACAGAAATTTCCAGAACTGATAAAAGACTCCAATACCAGATTCAGGAAGCCAGATACATCACAAGCACAATTGAAGAAAAAACAAAAACAAAAACGCACCATCAGACCCATCCAGGGAAACTGAAGAATACCAGATACACAAGGAAGATATTAAAAATCCAAAAGAAGAAACAGAATAATAACGAAGGGCCTACATTCAGACTGACGATATACTGTGCTTCTCAACAATGGAAGACAAGGGAAAATTGGATTAAATCTCAAAGTGCACAAAGAAAATAACTTTCAGTTTATTAGACCATATTTCAAGAATTGGTGTGAATTAAAGACATTTTTATGCAAATATTTACTAAGAGTATTACCACCAACAAATGCTCGTTAAAGGAACTTCTACTAAAGACTGTACTTCAAGGACACTGACCCAAGAACAAAAGCTAAGATGTAAAAATGTACTTTGAGCATAGAAAATGGCAAACATGAATATAGTATTGAAAGACTGACTTTATCAAACAATAAAAATAATGGTATGTATACTTGATGAAGCTGAAAACTAATGATGAAATGACTTCTGTTTTAGGACAGAATAGGTCAGGACAACAGATCACTCTTGCTACAAAACTGGACAAAGCCAGATAAATTACAACAACATTTCTAAAGACTCAGAGAACTTCAGAAGCAACAAACTAAAAATCCAGAAAGAAGAAACACTTTTATGTGAACGAGAATTTTTATTTTTCCTTCTCCTGGGGGTATTTTCTGATTCTAGGTGCTTGCTAAGAATCTGGCGTGACCCATCAGAGAGCCTCAGCTACGCAAAAGAGAAACTAGCATAACTTTTAGTGATTCTACAGGGCTGGTGTGACAAACTGGAAACCTGAGGGGCTGCAAACGTACAACTGCTTTTCCTCACAGAACATTTGCTAAGTTTTGATGCTATACAGGAGGCTGGGAAACTAGGCCAAAAGCTTATGAAAGACAAAGTGAAATCTCCAGATTCTTGCGCAAGTGGACTGATTGAAAAATATTGCTCGTCTTACCTCCATGGAATTTGCCTTATTTTGAAATGATATAAGGTGGAAGACGAGAGAGCTGGGCTCAGACCTCTGAGAAACATAGCTGAATTTTCTGAAGTCTTCCAAACCTGGGGAGATAAAGATCTATCAGAATCAGAAACAAACAACTATGAATGGGAG
The DNA here is from genome assembly GCF_000001405.40 of Homo sapiens. NCBI lineage: Eukaryota > Metazoa > Chordata > Mammalia > Primates > Hominidae > Homo > Homo sapiens. Next base: position 83,190,975 of record NC_000012.12, on the reverse strand, counting down.
GGGGAGCACAGCAAACATGAACAGGGGTGAAGCAGACTGAGTTTATTAAAATTGAAACCCAGCCCCAACTTCGATTAATGTCTGATTGGATTGACGTGCTCCAAGCCTCCCTATCTGCCAACATAGGAAGATTACATCATCATCTTGAGTTACATTACCTGCAGTGTCCAACATATATTAAGAAATTAGTAAAAATGTGGAGACAAGAAAAGATGACCAACACTCATGAGGAAAGGAGAGGAGAGATGACCCAGATATTGGAGTACACAAACAAGGACTTTCAAAAGCTATGATTAATATGGTAAAACCAATAAACAAAAAGTGGCAAAATAGATCAAAGCCTAGAGAATTTACAAGAGAAATGAAAATCTATATAAAAGACGACCAAATAAACACTCTGTATATGAAAAAAGAAAATATCTGAAGCTAAGAAGTTAATAAACAAGTTGAAGAAACGAGTTGACTGAACACAGCTGAAAACAGGGCAAATTTGAAAACAAAGTAGAAAACAGGTTTTAAAAAACAAACAAGAAGAAAAAAGAATGGGAAAACACACACATACAAGAATGTAAAAATTGTAGGATATTGTCTTTGTTCAAGTGTCCCAGTAAACAGATTTTGATGAAAAGATCTACATTCAGGAGATTTATAGGGAGGGCTCTCAGAAACAACATTGTAAAGGAGTGAGTAAAGTTAAGATTGAGCAGAAGAAGTTAAAATTGAGATGAAGTTGCAAGGATTAGTCAATCATGTAGGTACTCTGGAACTGGGATGGCCTTTCAGAGACATCCCAAATTGACGCAAAGGAACTGGGCATTTTTACCTCTACGTGGACCTGTCAGTGCAGTTGCCTCTGGAAGGAGGCATACATTTGGGTGAAACATCTCTCTTTGGTGAGGGCCATGGCAAGCAAGGGATTCAGCGGTGAGTTGTCTGCAGTCAACATTCCTCACAGCTGAGGGAATAAGTGGGGCATCTGGGTGGTTCATTAAAGCCTACACTATAGTTTACACCTGTGTGCTTAATCCACTCTTTCAAATGGAAGTTTACCCACCTGGGAACAATTCCTCTAGAATCTCTTTTCTTTTTTTCTTTTTTTTTGAGATGGAGTCTCTGTCACCCAGGCTGGAGTGCAGTGGTGTGATTCTCCTGTCTCAGCCACCCCACCACTGCCCTCCAAACCCGAGAAGCTGGGATTAGAGGCATATGCCACCATGCCCGGCTAATTTTTTGTATTTTTAGTAGAGACGGGTTTCACCATGTTGGCCAGGCTGGTCTCAAACTCCTGACCTCAGGTGATCCACCCGCCTCATCCTCCCAAAGTGCTGGGATTACAGGCTTGAGCCACTGTGCCCAGCCTAGGATCTCTTTTCTTGTGTTAATTTATAAGTACAGTGTTAATGGGCACCTCACAGCCCTCAGTATTGCAGGTATTCTTTGAGTTTCAGCTCATGTTTGTCCTTCCCTTCTCTATTAACTATTTCAGGTTCATCTTTGGCTAACGCTTCTGCTCATAAAGATGGCTTATATAGTGAAGTGGCCCAAATACTTATCACTCAGCCTCTTTGCCATACCTTTCTCTGTCAATGGCATCTCCCCTTATCCATTTGCCTTCAATATTGGGCAAGGAAATCAAGTGACACACAACTTGATCATTTGGGTACCAAATATATTCTTCCCTACCTTCAGTGTGCAACAGAAACTCTACCTTTTCCTAAGGATTAGAATCAATTAGCCCTGTCAGCATGGTGACTACTTTACTTGCCTGCTGGTCTCTTGGATTGAGAAACCCAAAGTAATTAGGCGGAAACTATGGCATAAAATGTCATAGGAACCTTATTGTGTCACCTAGTGGAAGTGTTTCTTCTCTGGGAATAAGGATCTCTAGACCTAAAGTTGCAGGCCCAGAAAATATAAAATCTTCAAGTGGATCACCAAGAGTGGGATCATTCTTGTATCCAGCCCTTACTTCTGGTTTCTTGTATTCTAACTACTGGTGACAGAGCACTTTTTAATGATTGCTAATCAGGGTGTATGTATGCTACCTCCCAGAGGATAGTGCCCTATCCTTACAGAGTGCCATTTCCAAGCTGGCACCCTAGCTTCTCCGTCAAAAAACCATACCATTGCTGTATCAGGTCAGCAGTTTCTGGTGGTGTGGTAGGTGGTCCCAAGACGTGCTCACCATTGCTACTCTTGTGCATTAGAGAGGCTCTTGGCACTAAGCATGATATACCACATATCCTGTTAATGGGTCAAGCAATTATAAACCCTCATAGAGTGGTGATGGCTGAAGCTCTGCCCACAAGAAAGACAAACTTATATCTGAAATATATGTCAGTTCCTGTCAAGATGAAGAACTGACTGCCAGGATGTAAGAAATTTGATATACTTGATTTCCTATCAAGTAACTATTTGGTCTCTTCAAGGGATGGTACCATACTGGGGTACAATATTGGTCTCTTTTGCTGGCAGGTTAAATGTTGAACAGTGGCACTCTTAGTGAAGCGGAACCCGTGTAAACGCCATTCCTCACACTATTGCTGTTTCATGCATGAGCCTATTGCACTAGTATCAGAGTAGTGGATGATAGAAGTTGGCTGACTCAACTGACTGAATCATCCTATTTTCTTAATGCCTACTCTGCCAGTTTTCAGTTTATTATATCCCAGTCAAATGCTCCCTTTAAGATATGCACTGTGACAAACAACAGATTCCTTTAAGATACTCTCCCTTAAACTGAGCACAATGTTAAGCTTTCTCCCTACAGGATGCTGCTGGGGTATTACAGGAAGAAAAGGCTTTCTGGAATATCCAGTGTGGTCAGCAGTGTAGGTGTGCAGACACCCCAGTTACAGGCCCAGTATGTCTTCACTGCATTGCCTCAAAGCTATTTCGATTCTTGGCTGGGCACGGTGGCTCACACCTGTAATCCCAGCACTTTGGGAGGCCAAAGTAGGCGGATCACCTGACGTCAGGAGTTCAAGACCAGCCTCAACATGGAGAAACCCCGTCTCTACTAAAAATACAAAAAAAAAAAAAAAAATTAGCCAGGCGTGGTGGTGCATGCCTGTAATCCCAGCTACTCGGGAGGCTGAGGCAGGAGAATTGCTTGAATCTGGGAGGCGGAGGTTGCGGTGAGCCGAGATCGCGCCATTGCACTCCATTCAGCCTGGGCAACAAGAGAGAAACTCAGTCTCAAAAAAAAAAAAAAAAAAAAAAAAAGCTATTTCGATTCTCGCACTCTATGCCATAATCGGCCCATGAAGAACTTGTTCATCTTCTTATTCCATGCTTGTTTACTATGATGTTGTCATCATAGCAATTGGACTTGTTAGGTAGAATTTGTAAGGACCTTAGGAGATCATAAGTACCAGAAAAAGATAAACCCCGTAAAATTCCAGAGGCCCAGCATCTTGTGAAGTTTCTAGAGAGAAACTTTGTAGAGAATGCTGGCATATCCTCTCAAAGATTTCTTTATGATCAATTGAATATGAGAAAAAACTCAGGCTTGATTTACAGAAGGTACTACAAGATATTTTTGTAAAATGAATTGCGTTCATATAACAGAATACTAATCAACAATTAAAATGAATGATAACTAGATTCATTAAAGAGATTAATCTCAAAAATGTAATTTGGTGAAATATTATATTGCAGAAGAATACATTAAGTGTAATTCTATTTATATAAAGGCCAAAGATAGGAAAACTGAAAGTTAAAATGTTTAGAGATATTTATTAGGAAAACAAGGAATTATTAATGCAAAATGTAGGATATGGATACCTTGTATGTTTGAGATAGAGAAAGAAATGGCTGATAATTCTATTAAAAATAACCTAGAGGATTTTGACTGGCAATTTTATATTTTTTAGGCTTATAATGGGATATGCATATTCATTTTATTATCATTCTTTTTACTAGTGACTTACAATCCAGACTGAACCATAGACTCACCTAAGAAGCTTAGAAAACAAAGCAAAGCAAACAACAACAAAAAACTAATGCCCTGATACCAATTTAATTATGCTGGGGTACGTGGGTATTGATATTTCCAAATCTCTCCAAGTGTTTCTAATCCATAAGTAGGTTTGAGAAACATTGCTTTGGACTCTTAATATACCCTTTTGGATTTTATATTTTAAAAAAAAAATTAAAGACCAAGGGAATAGGAAATGAATTTCTATTCCAATTTTCTACTTAGACTTGCTCTGATGTATTGACCCATTTTGCTTCAGTGCTTCATGTCAGCCAGGTCATGTGTTAGTTTATTGGCCTTAAGAGACAAGCCGTATTAAATGTTCTCATGAGGTAATGACTATTCCCAGCCTAACTCAGTCAACTGTATTTGCTCTTTCTCTTTAATCACCACCTCATGTGCTGATAAATTCCACCCTGGCCCAGAAAACTTCCTGCATCAGAAATATAGGCATTTTTCATTGTGCCATTTATTCTCTGACTACTTAAGGAGTGGCTTTTTCTTTTACTGTTTCACTTTTGTCCACCTTGAAGCCTTGTGACCCAATCATTATGGCTTTCTTCTTCTTTCCTTCCTGACAATTTCATTTAGTACTTTTCTTTCCACGACATTTTCTTCACAGAGATGTCTAAACACAGACAGTTTTCTTTTCTAATGAAGGTTACTCTTTTAGAAAAAGAAGGAGAATTAAAATTCATTAACTAAGGATGTAATTGGTAAAAGAAAATATAATTTAATCAAATGAGGACATTAATTCTAACACTGCTACCACAAATTTTTCTCTATTTCTTCAAGTTCCTAAAAATTATGCAGGAGTGAAATCAATACTCAAGTTTTTAAATGTCACTTCTTCAGTTTAGTGTTTTAATATCCCTAAGAAACAGTATATTTTAAACATTCTTGAAGCCCAATGAAAGCACTCAAATGTGTAGATGTTAAAGTATGATCATTTAGGATACACCAAGCCAAGTAAAATCAGTAGTAGCTTTATTTTTATCATGTAAGCAAAGTGTGAAAATGCAAGCCAATAACACATTGGGGAAATTTAAGACATAAAACGCTTCAAATTCATATTACTTAATGTGCAATGCTTAAATGTTAATGGTATGCTGAGAATAATTCCAATTTTTCATCAGCAATTTAGAGAATTATACTGGGACCTATCAGAGGTTTTTTTAACGTAAGACATTGCAAATGAAGTATTTCTCTAACACCTTTGAAGGGCCACTTTGTCATCACAAGTATTTAATAAAAATAGAAAGCAGAATTGTTTTCTGAAATATCTCTGACTTTTCAGATGAGTTTACTTATTTCCAGACTGTGAGTATCTTGAAGAGCAAAATATACAAGGTTTATGCAAATGTTTATGACATTTTTCCAAAATATTTGTTTTAGAAATAAAGTTCACAGATTATAATTTTCCAAATGTAATAGCATAAAAAGACAGAGGCCTTTTTTCCCCACAAACGAGTATGTAAAAAATATCAGTTGCCAAGATACTAACATTGGAATTACTATGCAAAAGCAGTTAATCTTAGAGATAAGACTGATTTATTTAATTATATTTCAAAAAATTCCTAGCCTCCAGTGAGGAAATTTGTATAGATCAAAACAGTCTTTTCAGGAAGGAAGCTAAGATTAGGCAATTAACCTTTTAAGCCACTTCACAGTTCAAATTCCCCTCATTTCAAAATTATGCAGGCAGCACAAAGATAATTGTTGGAATTTAAAAGGGTGTTTGTGAGACAGAGAGTATGTGAGTGAGTGTGTGTGTGTAAAGAAATTTGATAACTAAAAAAGACAAAGCCTGCTTCAGGAGATATTGAAATATTTTAGGAACATTTTAATGGAGGTCAATTTTGAGGTTATTATTTTTATATGTCAATAATTCAAGATGGTGATGAGTATTATATTCTGGATTTTTTTCAAGAAAATAACATTAAAATTTGATAAACAAAATTACTTACTAATTACCTCATAGAATCTAGTTAAAATATGTGTGCAAAAATGATCTAAGGCAGAACTAAAGCACATAGTGTATTCCTGAAAGTCAGTGTGAGGAGGTGGATATACCTTAGTATCAACAAAAGAGTGTCAGGATCTTTATGCTTCTAACCAATGGGATTATTTATTTTTAGCTTAGGTAGTCCCCAAACAAAAACTTTTCAAAGTAAAAAGATTTTAAAATATCTAAACTTTTCCCATAATAGAAATACTACAATTAGCTTAAAGAACTACGATATTTATGATCTCACTTACTATGACATTCAGAGGAAAAGCAGACTCCAAGATTGGTTGATTCAAGAGCACCATATCTTATTCAAAACTAAGTGTGACATTTACTTTTTCTCAGTCTTTCTATACTTTCATTCTTCATGTTGTCTTCATACTGGAGTTGGTAACAAGATGGCTGCATAAATTCCAGATGTTGGATCAAGATCCTGCAACATGACTGAGGAAGAAGGACAAAACCTCATTTGCCCTCTTTTAGCAGTGAGAAAAATTTTCCCAGAACCTTCCAGTAGACTTCTAGCACTTTGTGGGTAAAAGTGCTTCTACCCATTTCAGAAAAAAAATCACTGGCAAGGAGTAATTGATTATCATATGACTAGACCATTCATTTGGGCTGGAATGGATATTGGGGAGACAATTCCAATATTCACTATATAATATAGCTCAACATATATGGCATTCATTTATTCACTATTTCATTCATTTAACAAATATTTCTTAAATGTCTACCATGCACCACTAGATATATAGTAGTAAATAATGCTGTAATTGGCTTTGATTGCATGTAGCCCAGTGTAGCTGAAAAGATGAAACCCAGTGAAACCTGAAAAGGTGGGTTTAAATTTTTCAGAAGTACTTAAATGACTTAACTTTTTTAAATGCTGTTGAATCTAACAAAATATATACAAGATCTACGTGAGGAAAACTACAAATCTCTGACAAAAGAAACAGAAGAACTAAATTAATTGAGATATATTCCATATCCATGGATAGAAAGACTCAATACTGTCAAGATATTATTTCTTTGAAATTTGACCTATAGATTCAAGATAATTCCAATGAAAACCCCAGTACATTATTCTGAGGATATCAATAAACTAATTCGAAAGTGTACATGGAGAAGTAAAAGACCTAGTATAGCTAACACAATACAGAAGAAGAACAAAGTCAAAGAAGTGACACTACCTGACTCCAAGACTTTACTATAAAACTACAGTATTCAAGACACAAGTACTAATGAAAGAATAGACAGACAGGAACAGAATAGACTTATGTATAGTCAACTGATCTTAAACAAAGGACCAAAGGCAATACAGTGGAGCAAAGATAGGCTTTTCAACAAATGATGCTAAAACAACTGGACATCAACATGCAAAAAGGAAAAAAAAGAGTCTCAACATAGACCTTACACCCATCACAAAAATTAACTCAAAATAGATCATAGACTTATTATAAAACATAAATCTGTAAAATTCATAGAAGATAACACTTGAGAAAATCTGGATGTCCTTGGGTATGGCAATGACATTTTACATACAACACTACTATGGCCTGAATGTTTGTATCCTCCTCTAACTTTATGTGTTGAAATCCTGAACCCCAATGTAATGACAGTAGGAAGTAGGGCATTTGAGACATGATTAGATAATGAGAGTAGGGCCCTCATGAATTGGATTAGTGCCCTTATAAAAGAGGCTCCAGAGAATTGCCTTGCCCTTTCTACCATGTGAGGACACAGCTAAAAGACACCATCTATGAATAGAAAGCAGGTTCTCACCAGACTCTGAATCTGCTGGCACCTTGATCTTGGATTTTCCAACTGTAAAAAATATGTTTATAAGCTACAAGCAGTTTATAAGCTTTAAATGTATGGTATTTTGTTACAGCAGCGCAAATGGCCAAAGACAATCACAAAAGTAATTGCTAAGCTCGACTTCATTAAAATTTAAACTTTTACTCTGCAAAATTAAAAATTTAAACTTGTGCTCTGCTAAAGACACTATCAGAGAATGAGAAAATAAGCCACAGGCTTGGAGAAAATATTTGCAAAAGATATACCTGATAAAATCCTGTTATCTAAAATAAATAAATATTAAAAATCATCATCAGAGAACAAAAAATACAATTAAAAATAGTCAAAGACCTGAATAGATAACTCACCAAAGAAGATACACAGATGGCAAATAAGGATATGGAAAAATGCACAGCATCATATCATTAGGGAATTGTAAATTAAAACAATGATATGCCACTATACACCTATTACAATGGCCAAAATCCAAAGCATTGACAACTCCAAAAACTGATGAGGATATAGCACATCCTCATCATTGCTGATGGGAATGCAAAACGGTACAGACACTTTTGAAGACAGTTTGGAGGTTTCTTACAAAACTAAACATGCTCTTAACCATAACATCCAGCAGTTGGGCTTCTTGATATTTACTCAAATGAGTTAAATAATTATATCCTCAAAAAACCTGCACACAGATGCTTATAGTAGCTTTATTCATAGTAGCTTAATAGCCAAAACTTGAAAACAACTAAAATGCCCTTCAATAGGTGAATGGGTAAATATGCTGTGGCACATGCAGACAATAGAATATTATCTGGTGCTAAAAAAATGAACAATTAAGCCATGAAAAGACATGGAAGAACCTTAAATGCAGATTACTAAGTGAAAGAAGCCCACATGAAAAGATTACATACTGAATGATCCTAACTCTTTCGACATTCTGTAAAACGCAAAACTGGAGACAAGAGAAAAAAAGTCACTGATTTTCAGGGATTAAGGAAAAGGAAGAATAAATATAATAAATGAAGCAGAGAAGATGTTAGGGCCATGAAAATGTTCTGTATGGTACTATGGTAGATACATGTCATTACACATTTGTCAAAACGCATAGGATGTGTTACACTAAGAGTGAACCCTAATGCAAGCTATGAACTTTGGGTAATAATGATTTATCAACATAGGTTTATGGATTGTAGCCAATATACCACTCTTGTGTGAGATGTTGGTAGTGGGGAAGTCTGTATGAGGGTGGGGCAGAGAATACATCAAACTCTTTACTTTCTGCTCAGTTTTGCAGAAATGTCCTTCAATAGGTGAATAGGTAAATACGCTGTGGCACAAAAACTGCCGTAGTAAAGACTGCAGTGCAATCTTTACAACCTCAGCCTCCCAGGTTCAAGCGATTCCCCTGCCTCAGCCTCCAGAGTAGCTGGGATTACAGGCACCCGCCACCACGCCCAGCTAATATTTTGTATTTTTAGTAGACACGGAGTTTTACCATGTTGTCCAGGCTGGTCTCGAACTCCTGACCTCAGGAGTGAACCAAAAACTGCTGTAAAAAATAAAAGCTACCTAAAAAATATTATTGGAACCCTAATTAGATGGTGGGAGAGGGGTGTAGAATGGGGAGGAAAGGGCAGTCAGGGAAGGATTCCTTAAGGTCATGGCTTTAGGACCCAAAAGATAAATAAGAATGTTTTGTTTTCCACAGTATATCTTTTGTAGTTAGCTTCAATCTATTCATGGTGAATCTTTAAAATTAGACTAAATTACATCATCAGTTTAATTAATCATAGAATCTCAGCATTAGAAGAAAACTTGTCTCATGCAGAAATATCTCTTCCAAAATGAAACTGTGGACAAATTTAATCTAAAAATTATGCTATGTGTATTTGCCCAAATATGTAAAATGACTACAAAATATGCTTAGATTAGCATAAATAAACAAGAAAGGCTCATACTTTTTTTTTTTTTTTTTTCTTTTGAGACAGAGTTTTGCTGTTGTTGCCCAGGCTGGAGTACAATGGCACAATCTTGGCTCACTGCAACCTCAACCTCCCGGGTTCAAGAGATTCCCCTGCCTCAGCCTCTGGAGTAGCTGGGATTACAGGCACCCACCACCACGCCCAGCTAATTTTTTGGATTTTTAGTAGACATGGGGTTTTACCATGTTGTCCAGGCGAGTCTCGAACTCCTGACCTCAGGTATCCATCTGCCTCGGCCTCCCAAAGTGCTGGGATTATAGGTGTGAGTCACCGTGTCCGGCCATAAAAATTTAAATAATAATTTCAGGTTCTAAGTATAGTTCCATTTGAGAGAGAACTTTTTGTTATTTTCATAGTAAGCAGTCTGTAAATAGCATCAGTATTTATGTTGAAATTTCGTTTTTCTTAACAATCTTCTGACAAATGCAGAACTTCACTTGCAGAAGAGGACACTGAGATGTAGTTCCATTCAGTCTCTTATTTTAGCCAAGTAGAGTAACACCTTGAAAAGTTAGGGGTTAAGACACAGGAGTGAATTTTGCGGACTCTGAGGCCCAGTTTCCTCATTTTTAAAATAGGGAAAATTAAAATACCTAATTCATGGTGGTTCTTTCAGCACTAAACAAATTAATGTATGTAAAGAGCTTCAAATAGTATCTGACATGTAAGTGCTTAATAAATGTCAGCTATTGTCACTTGTTATACTATTAGATATTGTTATTATAAACAAAAATGAGACATCCTATTATCACCACACAAAGCTTCCCCATGTTTCTAGTTTTATAAAAAGGTAACAGGCATTACCTGAAAAAAAAAATTCATAACAAAAAGGGATCCATATGCAAGGATAGCAGGAAAATGTCAGTCAAGTAAAGTTAAACAGATTTTTCTTTAGCATAAATTCTCAGAGCTCTTCATATGAGAATGTATGTTATTATTCTCTGAGAGATGAAAAGGGCATTTAGAAATTTCTGAACTGATTTGACAAAGAAACCCTATATTTACCAGAGCCTTATGCAGAACAAATATTGAATGACTCACACTTTGAAAAATAGTACAGGATTCTACAACATTTCAGAACTTGAAGCCCATTATCTCTCACTGACTGATTGAATGGGCTTAAATACAGTTATTGAAACAAATGGTGGTATAAAATATTAACCTTACTCTATTTAATTAACATGCAAGTAGACTAGCTCTTCACCTTTCCTCACATACCTATATTACCCTTCAAATTGCTCATTATTTCTCATTTTCCCCAAATGCAAAGAGTGCTGGTTACTTATAGCCAAGATATGGTCTTTTCTTTTTACACCAATTCTCATAATTTAAGTCATACTTAAACATAAGTTAACCTCTATAACTACACAAACAGATGTTGACTTTAGACAGAGTACTGAGAGAAAAAAATACATATATATTCAAATAAAAAGGGATTATGAAAACTAAAATTATAAAATGTCACTTGTTGATTTGTAGCCTGGAAGCTATTCCTGGCCGCAGTGAAGCTCTTATGTTTTAAAGCCACAGTCAGATAAAATTTTATAGAATTTGTTTGTTTCAACTAACTCTCCTTAAAAACTCCAACTTCAAATATTTTTTTCAAGACAGTGAAATAATAATAGAGAAAAAACATTTCCACTACTTAGCACAATATAGAAGGGAAGAGAGAAAAACTAGTATGTAGATACTTTGGCACATTTTCTAACTCACCTGTCAAATGTTGATAATCAATAGAAGCAGTACATTTGAAAAGTTAGGTTTAATCTCACTAAAATGTCCAAAGATAATAGGAAACAAAGAATGCTACATTATTCTCATAATTAGTAAATTGATGAAAGTTGACCCACTATGCCTTCTTCTGATTTTGTGAGATAAGGTGGCTGATAAAATTATAAAGTAGCCAAGTTCATTAGATTATATCTAAAATCAGACATTGTAATCATGCTACAAATAAAAACAGATTGTTTTCCATTTTCCTCTCCCACAACTCAGTGCTAAAACCACCGGTTTGTTAAAGTCTGAGAAACTATTACTAAATTCAGGGAAACCTAAATAGCCTTTGCTTCATTCTTGATGAGATCACCAATTAATAGAAAATTAATTTGTGGCTGTGACCGCTTCAAATGAAAACCCCATTATGAAGCTGAAAGTCTATATAATGGAACCACCATCTAATGGAATCCCCACCTTCATGCATGTGAAACCCATATATCATATCATATCATATCATATCATAATCACTGATTTGAATATACAAAATATTTTAATGATAATTCTATCATTTTAAAGAAACACTTGCTTTATATCTGAACAGGCACATTGTTGTTTACTAATGGCTTTAACAATTGTCACGTTGCCACAAGCTAGTTTAATTCTTGCACACCCATATATGTATTTTACTTACTCTAAATGATAACTTATTTTTTTTAAAAATCCTCAGCCAGGTGTGGTGGCTCATGCCTGTAATCTCAGCACTTTGGGAGGCTGAGGCAGGTGGATCGCCTCAGGTCAGGGGTTTGAGACCAGCCTGGTCAACATGGGGAAATCCCGTCTCTACTAAAAATACAAAAAATTAGCCAGGCACGGTGGGGTTCTCCTGTAATCCCAGCTACTACAGAGGCTGAGGCAGGAGAATTGCTTGAACCCCGGAGGTGCAGGTTGTGGTGAGCCGAGATTGGGCCACTGCAATTCAGCCTAGCAACAGAGTGAGAATCCATCTCAAAAAAAAAAAAAAAAAATTCCTCCAAGTTGGCCTTTATTTCATCATACATTTTTAGAGCTTTATACTTAAAGAATCTTAGACATCATCCAATCCAACTCTATCTTTTATAATCGATAGAATTGATGATGTAGAAAATTCCATAATTTGTCCACCTAGAATGCAAGATTTCCAAATGTTAGTCTACTACTTTTTCTGTATTTAGACTAACGTGTTTTTTTGTTTAATTGCCCATTATCCGCGATTGCACTTAAATTGTTAGAGAATGATAAATACTGGCAGGTTGCTGAAACTAGGACACTCAAATAATGCAACTTAGACATCACTATAAGTTCAGGATCCTGTCCTCAGTTTGTGATTTAAATAGCCAGTGTTTTCAGATCACCCAGGGTCACCTCTTTGGAGGGAACTTCCTTTTTCTTCTAATATAAAGTACTCTTCCCCTCAGTAGCGATACTCCCCAAGGCACTCTCTATCCGTTTGTTTTTATCCTACTTGTTTTTTTCCTGAGCATTTATCAGTATGTAACATTTTCTGCTTTTCAGCATCTTTTTATTACCTGCTCTGACTGCTAAATAATAAGCTCCATCTATTTTCAGAGTCTACTCTACCATCAGATTATAGACCTGTGGACTCAAAAGAACACTTCTGCATACATAAAAGAATAAATGAATGAAAAATTATTTATACTGATCTAAATTATAATATTCAGATCTATAACATGTCTAGAATAGTGGAGATACTTAGCATTCCCTCATTTATTCAGCCACTACAAACATTATAAGATATATAAGAAAAGTATAGTGAAATATATACATTTAAAAGTACAATAATGATAAAATATCCTTTCCTACCATTTAGCTAAAGAAGTAAAGGTGTACTAATAGTTTGAATCTGTGTTTTCTCAACCAATCACTTTTCCCTCTCTGACTGAATTTTTTATATATCATTCTTTCTTTTTAGTTTAGCTTCACTGCACATATATGTAAGCCTGAACAAGTTAGTGTATAATTATGTTTTGTCTATTTTTAAACTCTATAAGAATAGGTTAAAATGAATGTTTTCTGAAATCTGCTTTTTTTTAAAAAAATTTTTTTAGTTTTTTGAGACAGTCTCACTCTGTCGCCCAGGCCAGGCTAAAGTGCAGTGGCGCAATCTCGGCTCACTGCAACCTCCGCCTCCCGGGTTCAAGGGATTCTCCCGAGTAGCTGGGATTACAGGTGCTCGCCGCCATGCTCCGCTAATTTTTTGTATTTTTAGTAGAGACAGGGTTCCACCATCTTGGCCAGGCTGGTCTCAAACACCCAGTCTCAAGTGATCCGCCAGCCTCGGCCTCCCAAAGCGCTGGGATTACAGGCGTGAGCCACCGTGCTCAGCCTGAAATCTGCTTTTCTGACTCAGTATTTTGTTCTTTAGCTTCATCCACGTTGATGCAAATAGCTGCAGTTCATTCATTTTCACTGCTGTCTAATAGCTAATGCATGAATACAGCAAAATTAATTTATACATTTTGTTGTCAATGAGTACTAAGTGTTTTTTTTCTAAGTTCTTGGCTATTACTCAAAAAGCTATACTGAGCATTTCTGTAAATGCTTCTTGGTATACATGTTCAAGAGTTTCTCTAGTTAAGAATCTCTAACATAAAGCATCTTAATTATTGTTTTGAATGATATTTGTTTAGATTTTCTTGCACGCTTGCATATCATTGTTCCTTCTGGAATTAGTTTCCTTTTTTTTTAAAGTACATTTTTCAGACATTTATTCAGTGACAATCTCTTATAAATAATGATCCATACTCTGTTTGAAAACATCTATATTTTATTTTCCTTCTTGAAAAAAAATTTACTGGGAGTCAAATTCTACAATAACAATTTTCTCTTAACACTTTGAAGATAACTTGTTTGGATTTCTTGATTACATTATTGAGAAATTATCTGTTGTTATTGAGAAATTACCTGCAAATCTAATTCTAATTGTAGCTCAGTTAGAGGTAATCTCTTTTCTCTTTCTGCCTGTTTTTAAGATCCATCCTTAGGCCGGGCTCGGTGGCTCACGCCTGTAATCCCAGCACTTTCAGAGGCAGAGGCGGGAGGATCACAAGGTCAGGAGATTGAGACCATCCTGGCTAACAAGGTGAAACCCCGTCTCTACTAAAAATACAAAAAAAAATAAAATAAGTTAGCCGGGCATGGTGGCGGGTGCCTGTAGTCCCAGCTACTTGGGAGGCTGAGGCAGGAGGATGGCGTGAACCTGGGAGGCGGAGCTTGCAGTGAGCTGAGATTGTGCCACTGCACTCCAGCCTGGGTGACAGAGCGAGACTCCATCTCAAAAAAATTAAAAATTAAAAAAAAATAATAAAACGATCCATCCTTTGTCCCAGGTGTTCTAAATTCTATGTTGGTTCTAGGTGGATTTTTTTAAATTATTATTTTTCCAACTTGAGATTGGGGGGCTGAGGGAGTACTTCTTGAATATAGGATTAGATGTCTGTCATAATTTTTAGAAAAATGTCAGCCATTTATCTCTTTAATTACAACTCCTCCCATTTCCTGTTTTACCTTCTCCTGAAACTTGAGTTAGTTTTATAGTGGAATTTCTCTTTGTATTGAATGGTTTGGGTTGCATTTTTTATAATTTCTTCAGATATATCTCCTATTTACTACTTCTTCCAACTATGTAATTGTTGTTTACTGTGTCTCTACATTCTATTTTCTAATATAAGTCAGCTTCTTTTAAAATCTAAATGTTCCAGTCAGTTCTTTATTGACAAATCAGACTTTTCAAATTGGACTATCAGAACTGATCATTTGGAAATTTTCTCTTTCTATCCTAACCAGTAACCACTATGTGCATTTAATTTAGAAATCAGTAAAAAATTAGATAGTGGTTAATCTAATAGCAAAGATAATTTTTTCCTTTTTCATACTTTTAGCATATCTCTCTTTTTTAGCTATTAAATACTTCAAATTCTGCATGTGACAATTTCAAAATCAGCGGTTTTGATAGTCTGATTCTGGGTTTGTTTCTTCTAATCTTTTTCATTCATGGTATTACTTTCCCTGTACATTGGTGATTTTTGATGATGAGTTCATATTCTATCATACTTTTATGTGTAAATTCCTTAAGACTGATTTTAAAGTGTGCCCTTTCAGAGTGTTTGCTTTCCTTCTGCCAGTTTCCTCTGCTCACAAGACAAGATAGGCAAATATCTCTTCTATCTCTGAAAAATGTATTATTTAATTCCTCTACTGAGGGTGTCACTTTGTGTTTCCCGACTTTGTTTTTAACAAGCAAGGTTGTTTGATCTAAGTGACTGCCCTCTTCACTCCGGAATTTTATCTCCTGATCTTCAAATGAGTGGTCCTTTAAATCTAGGCCCTGCAGATTCCAGAATATGGGAAACTTTAAAAATCTAATCATCTGGTTTCTCCAATAAGTTAATTGTCAGGAAAACAGAATGAAAGATCACTTATGGATTATAAAAGACATGTCAATCAATAGTAATTTGGATCTCATTTGGATTTTGATTCAAAAAACAAAACACAAACAAGAAAGCCAGACCACTGGGAACATTTGAACACTGACTTGGTATTTGTTGTTATTAAGGTCTAATGTTCATTTTTCAGGTGTAATAATAGTATCACAGCTATGATTAAAGAAGAATATTTATTTTTTAATCACAAAACTAAAATATTTACAGATGAAATGATGTAATTTATTGAATATGCTTCAAAACAATTTAATGTAGGTAGGGGGATAGTGGATAGAGATATAAATGAAATGAGTCCTGAGTTGACAATGATGGGTTCCTGGAGTTCATTATGCATTTCTCTTTACTTTTGTGTATATTTGAAAGTTTTCATTAAAAAAAGAAAGCCAGGCTCTAAACCTCTAGGGAATGTCCAATGCCACTAAATAGCCTAATCTTGAAAGCTGGTTTACACCTTGTAGATTGATTGATAGACTGATTTTTTTTAAATTTGTAGACTTTGAAGAATTCCCTTACTTTCAAACCTGATCATCCATATATTTAACAAAAGATCTCTTGGACTGTATCCAGCAATTGTAGATATTTTGAGCTGGGCAGCATTTCACTTATCATCATGACTGCCCCATTTCAGGAAAAAGAAGTCTCAAAAATAGTTCTAGACAGCCACTCTCTGCAGTTCCTCAACTAGAATCTTGAGACTTTCACTGCTGCTATCTTTTAACCAATCTTGCCTCATTCAGTTTGGTCTGCTCTCATCCAGTCTTCCCACAGCAGCTGAATTCATCTTTTGATAAATAAAAATTATATCATATCAGGCCCCTGCTTAAAATCCTATTATGCTGGATAATAAATCATTAGACCCTGAAATGACCCCAGAGGCCATGCATATGCTCACCTCTGGCCAAAAATCTCCAAATTCATCTGGGCCTATTTTCCCTGTGTTTATTCTCTAAGATCCAATCAGATGACCCTTCGTTTTATTCTTTGTGCTGAGCTCCTCCAAGACTCAGAGCCTGTGCATGTGCTTTGTTCTGCCTGGAATATCTCTTCCTTTTCCACATTAACAAGCTAACACCTTATTCTTTTGGTCTCAGCTTGAATTACTTCCTTAAAAAATGATTTCCCTGGTCCTCCATTCAAACAGGCAGCCACGTAACACATTCCAATAGCACTGGATCCTCATCTCAAATAAAATCTTTTGATCAATATCCTTCCACATTTGTTAGTAAGAGTTAACAAGTCAGAGACCATAATTTTCTTATTAACTCCTCCATTCTCTCTAGTGGCTAGTACAACAATATCGTATAGCACATGCTCAATAACAGTTTAGAAAAAATAAATGTCAAGTATTATGCTACTTGCTATAAATGGTAACCAAGATAAATTCAATTCCTAATTTCAGGGAGTTCATTGCTGAAAAGATGAATAAGGCAGAAAGGTACTCTAGAATAAATGTGGCAATCAATAGTTCTTCCTTTCCTGTTTAACACTGCTCTAACCTCCACTCTCCAGGTCAATGTTGTATATACAACCCTCCAGTCACTTGACAGACTTACAGTGAACATATCTCACCATTGACAGTATCTGGGCAAACACATTGCTGATATCCCAGCCATAGGTCCTATGATAAGTCTGGCGTTGACTTCTCAGGTTTCAAGGTTGACATTCATTCAGTTGCTACTATGGTTTTTGTACATTCAATTTTATTGAATACATGCTCACCTCACTATAAACTGGCACATAGTAGCGGCCTAATTAATATTTGTTGAATAGACGGATTGAGGTTATATTTGTATCGCATTGTAAATACCTCCCAAGGACAAGGTGAACTGGAATCAGTTCTATTCTGTTATTAAGCACTCCATCACTGAATCGTGTACTGCCTAAGTAGGAGACTTTGGAAAGTGTTTAATCCCACATTGTGGCATAATATTTTTGGCTATGTTCCCAGTAACTTGTGTTCTTCTAGCAAGCTTAAAATAAATAGTTTTAAACTTCTTCTAGTAGGCTTAAAAATCAATAATAGGATGGCCCATTCCTGAATCTTCTCCGTCCTTAAACTGAAGCTCGCTGCTCTATAACAACAAAAAACACCTTTATTTATTTATTTATTTATTTATTTAACTTTTAGAAAACAATGCTCCAGAGTGTGTATTTTATATCTGTACTGTCTAAAAAATTTTTGCAGCCATCTGGTACATGAGCAACAGTTTCTTGTAGAGCCGTTCAATTTTTTTTCTTCTTCATTTCTACAGAAAATTTGTGCTCTAGGCTCAGCAGTTTTTTCTTTTTTTTTTTCCTTTTTGACACTATTTAGAGTACTGAGGATGTTTGCCATGATAAGAGGATTCCAACAAAGACTTGTCATAGGCAATTGCATGCAATTTGGTTGAGTATAAGGTTGTGGGTGTGGATTTTGTCCTTGATATAGCGTCTCTGCTAAATTGCTGACAGCAGTTTGTGGCTGTTCTGACTATTCAGTAATATCAAGCCCTGAAATATATTATATTCTTCTTTTTGATGTCTGGAGTACCCACAGGAGACACTGTATATACTTTCTAAATTATTCTTTCCCTTTCAGTCTCATTTCTTGTCTCACGTCATGTCTGTTATTTCCTTTCTCATCTCTGTTTCTTATTCTCTGCCTTAGCTGCACTTTCTTCCCCAAAAGGAAAGAAATTTCTCCCCTTCATGTTTTTCATTTGTGATTCCACAAAGAGCTAGCACTGCGAGATAATATTTCCCAAAAATCACCTAAGGATGGTTCTATGATTAAAGTGATGTGAACCAGCTAACTCTGTCCTTCTCGTCTTTTTTTATGTGAGCTTCAATGGATGGTTTCCTCCAGAGATATCATATATTTTCCTGCCATTATTCTTGAACTCTTCTAGTGTTAAAATAAATGCCTAATGACAATAAAAATGGTAATTTATATTTTCGTATAGTTTTCACACAAATTGTCTGATTTAAGTAAACACATGTGCATATATTTCTTTGAAATTTTAAATACAATTTGAGTCTTCCTTTACCTAGTCTATGAGTAACTAGGCTTTTAAATAGTTACAAAACATTTTTCTAACTTCAGAATTACTTTCTATAATTCTACTAAACAAATGTTTACCAAACTTTAACATGCACATGAATCAACTGGGGATCTTGTTAAAATATAGATCCTGATTCTACAGGTCTGGGGTGGGCCTAAGATTCTGGGTTTTTAACAAGCTCCCAAGGGAGGCCAATGCTACTAGTATGTAGACCACACTTTGAATGGCAAAAGGTTCGATTAGATAACAAGTGCTACTAAAGAGCAAAAACCTTTACTTTCTCATTCACCACTTTTTAATGTACTAGTGTGCCTAACGCATGCTTGGTTTTCAGTAAGTATTTATTAAGAGAAGAATTAACTCCCCACATCATTCATACAGCAATGTAAGCAAGTCATGACAGATACTAATTGTTCCCATTGTACAGAAGTTCCAAAATGTAAAGTGAGTTGATTATGGACTACACAGTAGCAGAACCTTGGTTTTAATCTCACCGTCTACTTTCTTTTAACAAAGAAGAGAAACTGCTCTATTCTCCAGTGTCTGCCCATTTAATATTCTCTTGAAGACTCCAGATGTTTCCAGTGATTTGGGTGTATGTAACTACATTTGACTTCCATGAACTGCAGATGGAGTTGTGTAGAAGGAAGCAAATTTATTTTTGAAGTACTTCTAGGTCTAGTCATGTTGTCATATATAAATGCCCTTGCAGAACTGTGCTGGCTTTTCCCAGAAACCAGTTGGGCCTATCTTGCTTTGAATGGCAAAATTTGGGATTGTCATTTAGGAGGAAGAAGATTTAAGATTCAATTTAAAAATAGGATTATTTTTAGCATTGCCATATCACTGCTCCTAAAAACATAAAGTACAGAAATTGAAGCATGTAATCACCTTGCTAAATTTGGAATTGTAAAGACAAGGTAATCAGGAAACAAAAATAAAGCTGTCCTGTCAAGACTGTGATTTAGGGGCTGCTATTACTAGCTACTGAAGTAGTGGGAAAAATCATTTTCAAATGTTGGAAGCCAATTAATGATAATGAAATATAGTTGAATAACAATTAGTAATTCTACTTCAAAGTATAGTAATGGATAGAAAATAAGCTTTCCAAGGAAGCACATCCATTGTGCAAATCTTTTAAAGGCTGCATTAATTGTCAGGTCCCTTTTGAGTCATGGTGTTCTATCTCATATTTTAGTAGGAATTCTGACAGCTGGGGAAAATTCACCTGCTGAGTTACTACCTTTTAATTACCCAAATAAAGAACAAAGTACAAAGCATGACAAAAATAGAAAAGAAAAATTTAAAGTTAAAAAAAATTACTCATGCATTCTAAGGTGAACTTAACTCACCCATATATGGAGAGAAGAATAACAAGTTTATTATTTACAACTGCCCTCCTTACTCTCTTCCTTTAACTCTCTCTAAGGAGAAGAGATTTAAGGAAACTCACTTGCCCTGCTGAGTCAAATGGCAAGTAAAAATAATTTTTGAGAATGCAGGGGAGAAGGGAGGCAAGGAGAGAAATAAATCATTGCTAAATTGTTCCAAATAAGAAAAGGAAGCACGGCATATGAGAGGAAGGGTGGGGTAGCCTGGAGATTGGAATTGTGGAAACAGATGTCACAGCTGCCAAAGACAGACTAGAGGGTCTTAAAATGCATTTTAAAGGACATTTTGCAAGGTGATATGTTATGTAAGCCCCATTTCAATCCAATGTAAGGTTTCTTAAGTGGGGCATTTTTGGCATTTGGGACTGGATAATTATTCTCTCTGGGAAACTTCCTATGCATTCTAAGGAGTTTAGCAACAGATATTCATACTACCCAGCAGAGACTAGCATCCTTCCCCTAATTGCAGCAACCAGAAATGTCCTTAGACATTGGTGAATATTCCCTGTGGGGCACAATCACCCTCAGTTGAGAATGATGAAACTTATTTCAAAAGTTTTGATAAAGGTCTATATTCATTATTTGTGCTATGTAAGTTCAGTAAGTATATGTGTATAATGTTTTAATTTACTTTTAGTGTTGTTATTTGTTTGTTTCCCTGGAGGTGTGGATTGATCCCAGTGCAGACCAAGGCAAGAGCAAATGTTTCCAAGTGGGTCCAACCACATTCAGATGAATCCTTACAAGTTATTGTCTAGATTATTCACCCTAAAAACCAGGTTCAGCTACAATCCAGTTTGAATTATTAAGTTATATTTCAGTCAGAAATGCCTATAATGGCTGCAAAGGGCATGTCAATGAATATTGAACCGACAGGAGCTATGATGAGAAAGCCCATCGAATTTAGAAAAAGATTGTGGAAACTCCAGAGAATTAAAGTAGTGTTCAAGATTGGCCATTTCGATTGAAGAGGTAGATGGACACAATGCTATAACAGGAAAGTCTATTCTAATGAAAAAACGCAACAGCAACTGGTGTGAAACTCCAGACTGGAAATTGCAGTTTAACACAACCTCTCTGGAGAGGTAGGTTATAAATCATGTTATTTCCTGGGGGAAAAAAACAGCAAAGAAAGATCAAGTATTAGCAGACATGTGCTGGTAAATGTTTAACAATATCTTTTTTTTTTTTTTGAGATGGAGTCTCACCTGTCGCCCAGGCTGAAGGGCAATGGTGCGATCTCAGCTCACTGCAACCTCTGCCTCCTGGGTTCAAGCAATTCTGCCTCAGCCTCCATAGTAGCTGGGACTACAGGCGCATGCTGCCACACCTGGCTAATTTTTGTATTTTTAGAAGACCTGACCATGTTGTCCAGGCTGGTCTCGAACTCCTGACCTAAGGTGATCAGCCTGCCTCAGCCTCCCAAAGTGCTGGAATTACAGGCATGAGCCACCACACCCGGCCTGACAATGGCCTTTTTAAAAGCACTTATTTGTAGCATACATTTCCCAATTTCTATGGTGTAAATGCTCCCACTATGGCTATTTCAAGCTACCAGCATGTCATTATTGAAGACAGAGTCAGGCATGGTTGCACACAATCAGCTCCCTTGAGTCAGCAAATGCAGTCTCCAGCACACCACTGGGTATGAGGCATAAAGATTTGAACTGGTTCAGAGCCTTGTTCTGCTTCACCTGCTCAAAAGTGATCCCTTGGAGAAAGAAATGTCTAGAGGCTGAAGGTAAACTATCATGTAAGTTTTAAAGACACTACTCCATCAGCCTCTTTGCTATTTCAAAATCTTTCCCTTTGGTATCTAATCCTTTATTATGTAAAACAGTTCAGCCACTTTTATCACTGGAACCCTCTGGGGATGTTACTATTTGGCCCAGACTGACTAGAGACATTGGGACTTGGGCAATGTTAGGCATGTAACATATTTGTATTTATATTTAGTTATGTTACACACCTAAAATACTAAAACTAGAAGATGCACACATAGATGGGATATTACCTATGAATCATGATTAAAACATGCCTCTGAGTATTATATTGGTATAATAAGCCTCACAGAAAGACAAGTAATAGAGATGGCCTAGAAGTTTATAGGGTTTTAGTACTGTAATTACATGGGAACTCAATGTCCCAAGCTCTATGTCTATAAAATGTTGCACTTAATTCAAAAGAGCTAAGAAAAGGTGGAGAGATGTATAGACTCTCATAAGCATATATAAAATCACAGAAAGATTTTTCCTGAACATGTGTACCAAATCCAAAGATTTTAATATCAAGATTTAGAAGGTTGTGGGGAGTGCAGGTTGTAGAATTGGAAATGAATGTAACAAATAAAAAATGAACAACATATGAGCATATTGGCACAAGTGACTAAAAAGGCTTAGGATTCCCGAGAGCCTGTATAACCCTTACACATTAGTGAAGACAATTCACCAACAGGGAAGAAAAGTAGAGGGTGCTTACCCTGAAGGAATAAGGAAAACACATAGAGCACCAGTTCACCTAGCTCGTATAGACCTCCCTTAGCAACCCCAGGTTGGCTTTTGGACCACTTACCAGGGAAAAAGAACCAGCGAGTTTCCAACCCCAATCTGAGGCTTGTAAGAGCCAGCCTGAGCCCTTGAATCTGCATGAAATGCAGTAAAGTACAAAGCAAACAAGATTACCATGATAACCTAGACCCTGTTCATCTAGAACCAGACCACAAGGCTGACAGGAACATTCAAGACAAAATTTTAGAATGCTCAACCTGTGAAAGATGGGAATTCTCTGAGATTTCATTGTCAGTAAGTAACTCTGAGAAACACCTACTCATCCCTATTGAAGACATAGGTAAAGTTAAGCATTAAAGTAGGCAGGTAAGCTGGGCTTGGTGGTGCACACCTGTAATCCCAGCTACTCAGGAGGCTGAGGCAAGAAGATTGCTTGAGCCTAGGAGTTCAGTACCAGACTGTGACTATCTCAAAAAAAAAAAAAAAAAAAAAAGAAAGAAAGAAAGAAAGAAAAAGAATGGGCAGTTATTACACTCAGTCCCACCAAAATTCTAATACCAATGGACTTGCCAACATCCCAAGGTCTCTAGTCACATAATAAAATCCTGGAGGTTTCAGTGATAAACTAGGGAGAGGTTGGACTCTTTGTCAGAGAAACAGTGCAACACACTGTGAGGAAGTATACATACACACACACACACATTGTAGCAAAAGTTTAACAGAATAAACTTATTTTCTGATCTATGCAGCTTCAAAGAAAAAGCAGTGACCTTACTACATTGCTTTTAGGATTTATTAGTGGATGAATACTTACATTTTGAGAACTATGTTACAAAACCTCCTGTTTTTAGGTGCATTGATACTAGGGCTAAATTTTTCTACATGATAAAAAATTAGAGATAGCCAAAGAGAAAGATTTTGAAAGACAAGGAGACTGGTGGATCAACATTAGCAATGGGGAAAGAAAAGCGGAGAAACTGATAGGGATGGGTGATGTATAGCTACCAGATTAAAAGGAATTTTGAGGGGAAAAAAAGCAGAAATGATTAAAATTGATTTAAAGGAAATTTTACCACACTAATATAACTTTAAAGCTATCCTTCTGCTCACAAAACCTTGAGTAAATTTCCATATTATTCCTTCTTGCTTCTTTTTTGTTGTTGTTTTTGAGACACAGTTTCGCTCTGTCTCCCAGGCTGGAGTGCAGCAGCGTGATCTCAGATCACTGCAACCTCCACCCTCTGGGTTTGAGTGATTCTCCTGCCTCAGCCTCCTGAGCAGCTGGGATTACAGGCAAGTACCACCACACTCAGCTAATTTTTATATTTTTAGTAGAGACGGAGTTTCACCATGTTGGCCAGGCTGGTCTCGAACTCCTGATCTCAAGTGATCCATTCGCCTCAGTCTCCCAAAGTGCTGGGATTATAGGCATGAGCCACTGTGCCTAGCCTCCTTCTTCCTTTGTAAATTAGATATTTGGCAACATAAAATCAATTCATTAGGCCACAATCAGCATTTTTGAAAATATAATTGGGAATAGAAAATATCAGTGTGCCTTGCATATAATATTATTTTGTAAAAATTTTTTTAGTTATATATATGTATACATGTGAAAGGTTTGTATGTGTACCGCACAACCATGTAAAATGAATTTAATGTTGAGGGCTGGAGTCCAAACAGCTTGATAGCCACTGCCCTAGAATACTGTTGAATGTATCCTAAGAAACAGCAACATTGATAGCAACATTATTTATAACTAAAAGTAGGCAACGTTGAAAATCCTTCAACAGGAAAATGGATAAGTATTTTCTTATCCTTAACTGTGGTATTTTCATATCATGGAATATTAGACTGTAATATAATTGAATACATGATAGCCATATAAAACAGCTGGATGAATCTCAAAAACATAATGTCAAATTAAAAAACTACTCATGGAAGAGAATATACAGAATTATTACATATATATGAACTTACAAAGCAATCACAATAAAAAAATACATGGTTTAGAGATACACATACTTGTGAACAATCTATGAAGAAAGGCAAAGAAATGATAAATACCTGAGGATGATGATTATATCTTTGTGGAGAAAAGCGTATATCACAGTGGAGGGCACACAGAGGGTTCAAAGGAATCATTTTAATTCCATTTCTTAAGCTGATATGAACATACATATATTTATTTTTAATTATACTTTATATGTAAAAATATGTGCAGTTTTTGGTAAGCAGGGTATACAGGCAAACCTCAGTATCTTGTGTTTCACTTTTTTGTGTCATATATATTACAGTTCTTGCAAACTGTGAGTTGTGGAAACCCTGTTTTGAACAAGTCTATCAGTGCCATTTTTCCAACAGCTCACTTTGTGTCTCTGTGTCACATTTTTAGTAATTCTCGCAATATCTTAAACCTTTTAATTACTATTATTT
Source organism: Homo sapiens (assembly GCF_000001405.40). Lineage (NCBI taxonomy): Eukaryota > Metazoa > Chordata > Mammalia > Primates > Hominidae > Homo > Homo sapiens. Next base: position 83,165,616 of record NC_000012.12, on the reverse strand, counting down.
CCATTATGGTGATGTGTGATCAGTGATCTCTGATGTTACTATTGTAATTATTTGGGGCACCACGAACTGTGCCCATAAAAATTGTTGAGTTTAGTGTGTATTCTGACTGCTCCACAAACCAGCCATTCCCCCATCTCCCTCCCTTTCCTTGGGAATCCCTCTTCCCTGAGACACAATACTGAAGTTAGTCCAATGAATAACCTTCTTATGCCCGCTAAGTGTTCAAGTGAAAGGAGAGTCACACATGTATCACTTTATATCAAAAGCTAAAACTGATTAAGCTTTATGAGGAAGCCATGTTGAAAGCAAGATGAGCCAAAAGCTGGAACTCTTGCTCCAAACAGTTAGTGAAGTTGTGAATGCAAAAGAAAAGTTCTGGAAGAAAATTGAAAGTGCCACTTTTGTGAAAACACACAGTAAGAAAGCAAAACAGCCTTATTGCCACTCTAGAGAAAGTTTTAGTGTTCTGAATAGATGATCAAAGCAGCCACAAAATTCCCTTAACCCAAAGCCAAATCCAAAACAAGGCCCTAACTCTCTTTCATTGTATGAAAGCCTTTCAGCTACAGAAGAAAAGTTTGAAGTTAGCAAAGGTTTATTCATGAGATTTAAAGAAAGATCCATCTCCATAACATAAAAGTGTCAGGTGAAGTAACAAGTGCTATCTAGAAAATTCAGCAAGTTATCTTGAAGATTTAGCTAAACTAATTGATAGAGGTGGCTACAATAAATAAAACTAATTTTCAATGTAGATAGAACAGCCTTCTATTGGAAGAATATTCCATCTAGGACTTTCATAGCCGGAGAGAAGACGTCAATGCCTGGCTTCAAACTTCAAAGAACAGGCTGACTCTTTTGTTAGGGGCGAATGCAACTGGTTACCTGAAATTGAATCCACTTCTCATTTACCAATCCCAAAATCCTAGGGCCCTTAGGAATGATGTTAAATCTATTTTGCCTGTGTTCTATAAATGGAACAACAAAGCCTAGATGACAGCACATCTGTTTATAGCATGGTTTACTGAATGTTTTAAGTGTGCTTTTAAGACCTACTGCTCAGACAAAAAGATTCCTTTCAAAATATTTCTGCTCACTGATAATGTACCTGGTCACTCAAGAGCTCTGATGGAGATGTACAAGGTGAATGGTGTTGTCTTCATGCCTGCTAACAAAATATCCATTGTGCAGCCTATGGATTGAGGAGTAGTTTCAACTTTCAAGGCTTCTTATTCAATAAATACATTTTGTAAGGATATAGCTACCATAGACAGAGATTCCTCTGATGCATCTGGGCAAAGTAAATTAAATACCTTCTAGAAAGGATTCACCATTCTAGATGCCATTCAGAACATTTGCAATTCATAGGAGGGGGTCAAAATATCTACCTTAACAAGAGTTTGGAAAAAGTTCATTTCAACCCTCATGGATTATTTTGAAGGGTTCAGGACTTCAGTGGAGGAAGGGACTGCAAAAGTGGTGAAAAGATCAAGAGAACTAGAATAAGAATAAGTAGACACTAAAGATTAACTGAATTTCTGCAATCTCATGATAAAATTTGAACAGGTAAAGACTTGCTTCTTATGGATGAGCAAAGAAAGTAGTTTCTTGAGATGGAATCTCAATTTAATAATTTCAAATTACTTTATAAATGCAAAAATATTTTTATTATTTTTATATTTCCTTTGTCTTTATTATTTATAACCATAGGATTTATGACCATGATGTGATATTAAAAAATAAGATCACAATGTAATAGAGAAAAGACCAAAAAGTAAATAAATTATTTCACACCAACACTGGCAATTTACCAGCACATTAGTATGTAGTCCTTTATGAGTGAGAAATTAATGAGCAGAAATAACTTTACCATTATTATTTATTTTTAAGAGTACAAGAGTAAAAGTTGAACTGCCATCTTGTGAAAATTGTTAAATAGTCATTAAGTGGATTAGTAATTAAAACTCTTCCACAACTTGCTATGTAAATAAATACTGAAGTAGAATTTGACTTAGTTCAATTTAGAATTTTCTTTTTATGGTTCTCCATAAATGTATGGTTTTAAAAACAAAGAATGGATCTTACTACAAATTGCGTATTATGTTAATCATGCCAATCTGTGCATAACTGGTAACTGGTATAGACACATTATTTATAAGAAATGTCAAAAAATGACTTTTGTTTTCACTTCCTCAATATTTTTATATCACAAAATAGAAAAAGTAGTAATAATTGGGTTTATTTTATTCATATAATTTTTAGTGAGTTGTGCAATAAGGATTAGACTAAATGCTAAGCAAATAAAACTCATAATTTCCTGTCATTCTAGTGGGCAAGTCAATAAATAAAGGAATCAAAATATAATGAAAATTAAACATTGTGGTAAGTGCTGTAAATGTGGAAATAGAAAAAGGTAAGGAAGGTTAATCTATTTAGAAGGTAAGAGAAGTTGTCAATGAGAAGAGGTTGTCTGAATTGAAACCTGAAGAATGAGAAGAAGCCAGACTTGGTAAGATTAGAAAGATGAAAATGTCATTCAATGGAACACCACACGTGAAGACTCTGTGGTAGGAAGAGCTTAACCCAGGGTGGCTCAAGGTTTATGGCCAAAAGGTACAGTGCCATGATGAGATTGGATACATAGGAAGGGGCAATAGATGCCAATATTCAGGTTTCATTTAAGACACAATATTTAGGTTTCATTTAAGACACGACAGGAAGCCAGTGGAGCCCCAAGGAGGCAGTGGTATGATTAAATTTATATTTTTAATTGATTGCTCGTCTGCTTTTTGGGACTAGGTTGGAATGAATTGAAGAATGAAGGAAGAAGGAGAACAGTAAGGAGGCTCTTATAGGGATCCAGGCAAGCTATGATGGTGGGTTGGATTAGAATGGTAGCCATGGGAATTGAAGGTTCTGAATAGAATTGGGTCAGAGCTTGCTGATGGAATAGATGCAGAAGTAATGAAGAAGAGGCAGAAATCAGGCAAGACTCCTAGACTTCTGACTTGAGCAAGTAGGTAAATGATGGGGTCATTAGAAGGAAACGGTTTTGAGAGCAGGGTCTGGAGTCAACTGTTCAATCCGAGGTATGTATTTGAAGGGCTGTGAGCCAGCCAAGTGAAGATTCCACATAGGAGGCTGGATATATTAAAAAGAGAGTTTGAAATGTAGATATCATAGCAGGATCATTGCTCATGTTTATTCTAATAATCAGCTGACATATCTGTCTTCCTTGCTACAGTGTGAACCACTTGAGGACTGATACATATTCTTCATTTTTTCCCAAATTTCTGATACTCATATTGAGTGAAAGTATGCATGAATGAATGAATACTATTAACTTAAACCCCAGGCTTGAACATGCACATTTAAATTGTACCATATACGAATTAATAATCTTAACAGTGTTTAGACTTTTTTTTTCCATGCTGCCAAACAGCTGTGTCAACTACTAAAATTGAGATTAAGATCTGGAAAGTGTTTTAAGAATCACCTAATAAAACTCCTCTTTTCACAAGTCAGGAAACTGGGACCCAAACAAAGAGTTACTGAAATAGTTGTTAGTGTCAGGGTTTGGATTAGAATCCAAGTTTCTTATCCCTTTCTACTATTCAATATTCTTCTGATCAAAAGCCAGTAAAATGGTTCAATTAGTTTGCATAGCATATAACTAAAAGTTTCACAGAAGATCACAAACATTTTTTAAATTATAAACTTGCTTATGAAACATTCTCCTCAAAAATAACAAAATGTAGAATACTAACACACCACTTTTTAATTTACTCACTCAAAGAACTTCATAAATTAAAGAGAAAAACCCCACATACACACTACATGACTAAATGGTCTTTGGTTTCCAAAGAATTCTCTCACCAGGCCTTAGAGTAGAGGCATTTATGATGGAAGATGAAGTCACTTTTAGAAAGAAAACATTGGTTCTTTTGAATATAGGGAAAAGCAAATGTGTGTCAATAAGCTGCTGAGTCAATCAGACCACAGTAACCATAGTAGAATACTTTCCGGTGTTCTCAGATTCCTGAATACCTATTTCCCCAAATTAAGAATATGCCTATATGACAATAACAATAAAAAATTTGTACAACATAAACTCCACCACACTTAAAAGGAATACCATAGGTTCCTTGTTTCCAGCACAAGGTTGGTCAAACCTGTGTCACAGACTACATAAATTATTCATAAAATATGTAATGCTTTAGTCTCACATTGCCATTTATAGAGAGCTTAGAAAATACTCAATTTTTCCTACAGGACTTAGAAATGACAACAAATTTGGAAGTACATGTATGCTTAGGACACACTTCATGATAGCTAAGATTTAGAATATTGCCATTGTATAGGATTATTTCAACGATGCTGAACATAGATTAAAAAAACAACAGGGCTCTCTGAAGCTGACCTATACTCTACACTCACTAAAAATTCAGACACATGTGGTACGTCTAGAAGATAGACTGTCTCTGGGAAGAAATGAAGAGACACTTGTGAAAGAATTAACCCAAATAGTGTAGATATACAAGTGTGGTCCTAGGAGATTGGCAACACCACAAATTCAAAACCTTCAGCCTCAAGTTGAAGCTGAGCCAATGACAGAAATCCTGTGTTGTTTCCCAATCCAACATTCATTCCAATCCTACACAACAACTGCAAACTCTGCTCTCCTACAACTTTTAAATTATTCCCCTTTCTCTTTCCCTTTCCCTTTCCCTCCACAGATGGCTTTACTTCCTATCTCAAAGTAGTAATAGAAGCAATCAGATATGAAAATCCTCAACCTCCCACTACCAAAATCAGTAAACCTATTATTATCCACAGCCATCCTTTACCCCTTTACTGCTGTTTCTAGAGAAATGGCACCTTTGTCAAATTCATTTATCAATTAATTCAATAATATGTCATTGTTGAATGCATTGAATTCCACCTTCTTTGGGGAAGGTAACATTGGTTATCTTCTTTTTTCCCCATATTTCAGCCTCTCTCTACTAAATCCCTCCCAGCAGTATTTATACATGTTCAAATTTGCCTCATATTAAAGAAACAAACACACAAAATAATAATAATTATTCCTTTCTCCCTCAGTCCCTAGTCCCCAGCTCCTGCCCATTTTTGTCCTTTCTTTCCAAACTACTCAAACGAGATACCTCAGGGCTCAGACCGAGGCCATCTCTTCTCACCCTTTATACTCAGTTTAATCAATCTTCTCTACTCTTACTAGTTATCTTCCAGTACATGCTAATGATTTTCAAACTTTATTTCCATTTCAGAATTCTCTATTGACTTTCAACCCTTTCCCATATACCCTTGACTTCCCCAGTTAGAGAAAGTTATCCAAATTAATTTTTCAACAACTGGATTTATTACCTCCACCCATCCCCAACCCTGTCACATCATCTTTGTTCCTTAAAACCATAAACAGAAGCACAAATGAACAAATTACTCAAGCCAGAAACTTGAAAATCACTTGACTCCTTTCCATCCCTCATGCCCTCATAGCCATAAAAACTCTAACTTTTAAATCACTCTAGAATCTGTATATTTTTCTCTCTAATCAAATTTATGGTCATTGTTCAACTATTCTACAATAATAGCTTCCTAACTAGCTACCTTGTGAATGCATTATCAATACTGTAGCTAGATTGTGCTTTTAAAAGGCAGTTTCTACTACATACTTCCCTGCTGGAAGTCTTCAATGTTTTTTTATTTTTACTACATGGATTTGCTTCCACAAACAATAGATAATGTTTTATTTATGTTTTAAAAATTTACATCCATAAAATATATACTACATATTCCTTTGGAACTAGCCTTTTTTAACTAAACATTTTATTTTTTAATGCTATCCTCATTAATGCATAAGCTCCAAGGCATTTTTTTCAACTGATGAATAGTATTCCACTGTCTGGCCAAAGCAGGATTTCTTTATTCATCCCTCCACTGAGGGTTATTAATTTGTCCCACTTTTTCATTGCAATGAACATGCTGCGATTAAGTTGCTTGAAAATGTCTCCTGTGCACATGTGTGAGAGTTTCTTTAAAATGAATACCTAGAAAACAAATTGCAAGATCATAGGAATTGAACATTTTGAGCTTCAATAGATACTGTGTCATTGCATAGGAATGATATATTCCAACTGTACTTATCTGGAAAGAAGAGAAGACAGGCAGGGAGAGAGATACGGGTTTAAGATTTTAGCTGAAATAAAACATTTTATTACTTCAAAACTGTTGCTTTTTCTCCAGTTTTTCGCACAGCCATTTACTTATTTAATTCATTCTCATCTCTCAGATCTCAGACTACATGTTACTTCCTCAGGAATCATTTCCTCACCCTCTCAGGCCATTCAATTTTCCTTCATTACACCTTCTCATAGCCATCTTTACTACCCATTTTGTAGCAACCCTTACACTCCAGATTATTTTTTTACATACATCTTCAAATAATAATTGATTGATTGATTTACTTATTTGCATCTATCATGCCCATTAGACTCTGAGTCTCTTAGGGTAGAAACTGCATCTGTCTTGTCTGAAACTCTATTTCCAGCACCCAGCACAACGCCTAGCACACAGGGTTCAATAAATAGTCACCAGAAAATGAAAGTATCAGAGAAGTATGTGAGTAGTACTAGGTAGCCAGCCAAGCTCCCAGTTCCCTATAGACCTGTGAAAATCGAGGGCAAGATTCATGAAATTGTAAAAAATAAAACAAAAGTCATATTACCACAGATCTGTAAGATACTGAGGACATAAAGCAGCAAGGCCTTGAGGCACATATAAGTCCATGTGGCTTGGTTGGCGCTAATTCAACTTTCCACATCTGGTGTCAGAGTTGGTGCAGAATGGAACTGGGCTGGACACACAATTGTATGAGCCACAAGCAGGATCAATAAGATCTGGAATCAAACATTGGACTTTTGAGGGGCAGGAGGCATCGCTGTGACAATCAGAGAAGAGACCAGAATGGCGGAATGTCCAGTCTCAGTTGGGAGCTCTACATTTACAAGTCCTTGTGAGAAAGTGGCAGTTTATCACAGAGTAGGTAGGGGCAGATTCACAGAAATAAAGAAGAGTAACTCTTTTTTGTTGTTGTTGTTGTTGTTGAGACGGCGTCTCGCTCTTGTTACCCAGGCTGGAGTGCAGTGGCGCGATCTCAGCTCACTGCAATCTCTGCCTCCTGGGTTCAAGCTTCTCCTGCCTCAGCCTCCTGAGTAGCTGGGATTACAGGCACTGGCTACCACACCCGACTAAGTTTTGTACTTTAAAAGAGATGGGGTTTCACCATGTTGGTCAGGCTAGTGTCGAACTCCTGACCTCAGGTGATCCGCCCTCCTCGGCCTACCAAAGTGCTGGGATTACAGGCGAGAGCCACCGTGCCCGTCCAAGAACAGTAACTCTTATTGCTGCCTTACCACACAGATATTTGAATATTTTGTCACTGGATCACAAAGGTTAGATAAATAAAATATTTTCACAATTCTGTGTGAGGTGGCAAAGCTAGAAATCAGAGGTGTATACTATTGGTTTCATCTAAAATGCACAAATTTGAGGTGTATTAGATCTTCAAATAAGGGCAGATTTAAGGTAAAAAGAGATCAAGCTTTGCAAACAATCTATGGGTTTTAATAAAAACATCTGTCTTCAACCGTGTCTGTACCTTAGCAGTTGCTGCAAATAATCTGTGTCTTAAGGAAATACTTGTTTATGCTATGTGTATGCACAGAGCTGAATAAACACATCCAGAAATATCTCTTCCCCTGAATATCGATTGTAGTAAAATGGGTTATTTACTCTCCCTGATCCTAAATCACTGAACTGACTGAACTCCCACATTTCAGCTAGTTGTTTAGTTTTTCTGTTAACTATTTCATGGTCAGAATATCGTTTTTGTATATAGAGCTGGCAAAAATAATAAAAATATAAGCAGTTTGAAGAGGCAGTTTTTTAAACCTACGAACTCCCTCACATCTTTTACTCTTACTCCAGTACTGTTATGAAACATATTGCTTTGCTTGCCCTTCTCAGACATTCCTTGGAGCCAATATCCTAGAGCCTAAAATCCACTCAAGATAATTCACTTACTGTCAAGGCAGCAGTTATATCCCCAAGAGTTTCCATAAATAAGTCATTGAATGCATTCATTTCCAGAAGATATGCTCAGCTAGAACCTGGTTCTTTCTTCAAGACAGTGCAAATATTGCCTCAAAATTGAAGAGCTAATTCACTACAGAACAACTATTGGAAAACCTGAGGCAGAAAGAAAACATTTAGTATATGAACATTGAAGTAGATTGTAAATACCTGTTTACTTGCAGATTCATTGCTGTCTTCCAGACCCGCATTTGCAACCACGGGGCAGGAGAGGGAGAGAGAGAATCCCCAAACCAGGGAAGGAATAAAAGCCGGTGGGCCCTACACACAGTTCCTTGCAATTTCCCCGGGAAAGAGGTGCACTGCTTCTAGAGAAGTAAGGGAGGGCCAGGATCAGTATTAGACCTATTTCGTCCTCTCCAGCTGATGTGCATTCACCTTTTCTTTGTATAGCCTTACTGAAAGTGAAAGTAACAATCCCTATCACCTGTCATTCAAATAAATATAATTGCATTCACTTTAACATTCATCATGTGAGGAATAGTATGCCTGCCAGAAAAAATAATGACCACTTGTGTAGCTTTGGCATACAACTATTTTCACCACTTTCCTCTTTTTGCCACTGCTGCCCCATCGTCTAAGTTCTGGTGTTCGCCCTCACAGGCTACCACAAAGATGAACATTGGACCATCCCATGTGGTACCCAGGGTCTAAAGACTTCTGCTGCCAGTCCCAGCCAGAGTGTAAAGACGTTTAGAGAGGCTATGAGGTTCTGTGTGCAGGGTACTGCATCATGAGAAGCCATACCCTAGTGAAACCTTTGCCACTTTGCTGAGCTGGACATGGCATTTGTCAAAAGTACCTTCTCAACCATTCTTTTCAATATTCTGTCTGGTCTACTTTGAATAGAAGCCACATGAAGAAAGAAACCATATCTTTCTTGGCCACTATGTTCCTGGAACATGGTAGTATTTAAGAAATATTTGTTGAAAAAACAAATGTTTTGAATGGGTGGGTGATAGGCAAATACTTTCTCGTGGTCTTTGGGTCTACAAAGTTCAATATTATTTGAAATGAACCATCCCAATATCCCTTCAAAATGGCATAAGTATATATGCTAATACCAGGAAGAGAAAAAAATTATTATTAAACCTCCACTTTGATTCCACCAGGTACAGTTAGTGATATAACAGGAAAGAATGACTTTTAGGAGATATGTATTTATTTAACTCACTAGGAATTCTCATCTGAATATTCTTTGCATTATGTAATCTTAAACATTTTAATATGGTAAATTAACAGGCAAACATATTGCTAGATTAGTAAACACTATTTGGGTTTTCACTGGAATTTGCCCTCCCAATCACATCTCTACATACAATTATAATAATTATGACTTTTAATAAATTTCTAGACCTCTTAATTCTATAGACTGTAAGATGCAGTTAAGGCATTTCATGAGTGCGGCTATTAAGAAGAATCTTATAAATAATATATTTTTAATTTCTTCAACTGTTATTTTAAGTTCATGGGTACATGTGCAGGATGTGCAGGTTTGCTACATAGGTAAATGTGTGCCATGATGGTTTGTTGCACAGATCATCCCATCACCTAGGTGTTAAGCCCACCATCCATTAGCTATTCCTCCTGATAGCTGTAGCTATAGTATTCCATGGTGAATGTGTACCACATTTTCTTCATCCAGTCTATCATTGATGGACATTTAGGTTGATTCCACGTCTCTGCTATTGTGAATAGTGCCGCCATAAACATATGTATGCATGTATCTTTATAATAGAATAATTTATATTCCTTTGGGTATATACCCAATAATGGGATTGCTGGATCAAATTGTATTTCTGCCTCTAGGTCTTTGAGGAATTGCCACACTGATTTCCACAATGGTTAAACTAATTTACACTCCAACAAACAGTAGAAAAGCATTCCTTTTTCTTCACAACCTTGCTAGCATCTGTTGTTTTTTGACTTTTTAATAATAGCCATTCTGACTGGCAGGAGATGGTGTCTCATCGTGGGTTTGATTTGCATTTCTCTAATGATCAGTGATGTTGAGCTTTTTTTCATAAGTTTGTTGGCTGCATGTATGTCTTCTTTTGAGAAGTGTCTGTTCATGCCCTTTGCCCACTTTTTAATGGAGTTTGTTTTTTCTTGTAAATTTGTTTAAGTTCTTTGTAGATTCTGGATATTAGACCTTTGTCAGAGGGATGGATTTCAAAAATTTTCTCCCATTCTGTAGGTTGTCTGTTCACTCTGATGATAGTTTTTCTTGCTGTGCAGAGGGTCTTTAGTTTAATTAGATCTCATTTGTCAATTTTTGCTTGTGTTGCAATTGCTTTTGGTGTTGTCATCATGAAATCTTTGCCCATGCCTCTGTCTTGAATGGTACTGCCTAGATTTTCTTCTAGGATTTTTACATTTTGGGGTTTTACACTTAAGTCTTTAATACATTTTGAGTTAATTTTTGTAAATGTCGTAAGAAAGGGGTCAAGTTTCAATTTTCTGCATACGGCTATCCAGCTCTCCCAGCACCATTCTTTAAATAGGGAGTCCTTTCCTCATTGCTTGTTTTCATCAGGTTTGTTGAATATCAGAGGGTTGTAGGTATGCAGTCTTATTTCTGAGTTCTCTATTCTATTCCATTGGTCTATATGTCTTTGCTTGTACCAGTACCATGCTGTTTTGGTTACTGCAGGCTTATAGTACAGTTTGAAGTTGGGTAGCATGATGCCCCCAGCTTTGTTCTTTTGGCTTAGGATTGTTTTGGCTATTTGGACTATTTTTTTGTTCCATGTGAACAAATGAAATGAAAACAACACACATGATTATCTCAATAGATGCAGAAAAGGCCTTCAATAAAATTCAATATCCTTTCATGTTAAAAACTCTCATAAAACTAGGTATTGAAGGAACACACTTCAAAATAATAAGAGCCATATATAACAAACCCACAGCCAATATAATACTGAATGGGCAAAAGCTGGAAGCATTCCCCCTGAAAACAGGCACAAGACAAAAATGCCCTCTCTCACCACTCCTATTCAATAAATGGTATATTCTGCAGTGCCAGGCATGTGCATAAGGAAGGACAGGGAGGTCACCCTGTTATCAGGCTTTCATATTCTTTCAGTAGGGCAGCAATATAATCAGAACTATGTCTTTGAAAATCTAAAACATAAATTAGTTCTCTCTCAGATGCCTTAGTGCCACTAGAATATTAGCCTTGTTGGCATTTGGAGGAAAAAGAAACTTCTAAGGCATTTTATATTCTGTGAATTTGAGGCTACACATAAACACAAATTTCTTTCCTTTTTTGATGATGAGTCTCTGCTAGTATTTAATAATATAACGCTATGCGTTGAAAATATGTTTCCTGGTTGAAGAATGGACAGAGACAACATTCTAGGACCTCTAAGGCCAAACACTTTATTATTATTATTGATATCATTTTACCTGCAGTCTGGGGAAAAAGTATGTGGACCTGTGCACATATATAAACACTCTCAGAAAACTGTGGAAATATGGAACACTTTTTCAAGATCAAAGAAGAAACCACTAGACTAATAATTATCTCTCAAGGTTACTGGTAATCAGGAGACTAGCTATTGTAATTTGTTGGGTCTTGTTCTATCCGTTAGAGGTTATGCTGAGGATTCTTTCACCTGTACAGAGAGGGGGAAATAAATCAGAAACAAAATTTACATTATCACGAGAAAAAAGAAAAGATAAAGACAACCAGAGTTCTGGTGAGACATGCAAAAGAAAGAATCTGGACAACTATCAGTTTGATCATATTTGGTGGTTGTTTTCCTAAAATAAATAAACACATAATTTAAAGAAATGTGCTATTACACTTTGACCTTCACTATCATTACAGTTTGAGTTCACTGAAAAATCTGTTCTCCTAATTTTGAGCTTCAGCTTGGAGTTTGCAACAGCTTCCTAGGACTTTCTTTTATGTATAAAGTTATTATCCCCTTTTGTATCAGGTCTGTTGTAAATGTTCATTATAATCACTGCTGCTTAATTTAGCAGATGGTTGGAACTGTACAATTCTTCTCAGAGGAATTAAATATGGTTATGTCATTTCCCAAGTTGACTTAAAAGAAGTAATTTGAGATCAAGTAATGTTTCAGTTTCAGTATTAGTTCAGAATCATTGCCATAAGTGTTTTCTTTTCTCTACTTCTACAGTTTTGAGTATCTGTGATGAACTGAGTTGGTCTTCCATTTTCTTAGCTCTTGATGTTCTTCAATAAAGAAATAAAGGTGAATAAATCATTGTACCCAAATCCCATGCTTTGCCACATGATTCTGCAGGAGTCCCAAAAGAGGTTTTCTTATTATATTTGCACAGCACTGTTTCTCATCTGTTGTCAGCCAATACAAGGTGCACAGAAATTATTTCTTACATCAAACTTTTGGTACATATTAATTCCACCTGCAATGACAACCTCGCACTAATCTCAAGATATCAGTGATCAAATGTAATAAGCAAGAAACAGAGAAGCCGTATCTAAAAAAATTCTCAGAATCTCCTACCTACTCAGAATGCCATCTATGTCTTTTGTTCAATGGATATTCAATTGGCTAAGAATGGTTTTACTAGGATCATGCATTTTGAAAGACAAGAAACTAAAAAAAGAGATTGTTCATAGTTCCCGATCTGTCTCTAAGTAACAGGGTCACTTCTCTTCACCCAGAGGGCTCTTCCAAAAAGGTAGTTTTTCTAAACCAAGATTTCAATATTCATAAGGGCTCATTCTTATATGTTATTCAACCTCTTTCAACTTCCAATTTCTATGCCCTGCAACCTCCTACTGTTTGGGTTGAACTTACTTTGGACACTGCGGGAAGCAAAGGGAGGGTAATATTTGAGGGTATGAGAGATGGTTGATTTAGTCAGGAAAGCTCATTACTATGCCATTATGTTTTGTATTTAGAAGCTTTCTTCTGAGAGAGCAAGGATCTTAATTTCAAATAGGAAGTAAGCTTTGCAATTCCCCTGTGAAGCTGGAAAGTTACATGAAAACCAACAGACATCTTTTAGAGAATGCTGGGATTATAATGCAAAGTAGTTAGGAGATCTGGGTTTGTGAATGTGTCTGCCACTGGCTAGTACTTTAGGTCCCTGCATTTTAGTATCCTTTTCAAAACCACAAATTATGGCCATGAAGATTACTAGAATAATATGTTTATATGTATAAAATATACATAGAGGTTCTCTATAAATTATAAAAATAATGTTTGTGTACAAGGTATTTTTTTTTTTTTGTAGTCAGCTATTTAAGTTCTTAAGACATTTAGAACACCAATTTATGAGGATAAATTCCATTCGTCAGGGCAAGCACAGATCGCAGACAGCCCCGGAGCTGAGGAATAGCTTTGATTTTTGGTAAAATTTGTGAGTCCACAGCTTTCTGATCAATCTTGTGATGCTCTATAATCTCATATTTCTCTTTTTCTGTGTCAAAGATCTCACCTTCCTGGTGTCTGGGCTTCTGCAGCTTCTTCTTGAAGTAAGCATTAGTAAGATGTTTTGGGATTTTTACATTGCTGATATCAATTTTGGTTGAGGTGGCAATGACAAATTTCTGGTGTGTTTTTCGTAGAGGAACTCGTTGAGGACCAGAGGTCCAGTCACAAGTAACAAGCCACTAGCCAGCTGCTTCAGGAAAACCACCCTCTTTGCCCCTGTGGCATCCAGTGAGGATGATCAGAATGGTCCCTGGGGTGATGCTGGCTCGCAGTTTTCTACGTGCTGACAGGAGGGTTTTTTGCCGTGGCTCAACAGCTTTCCAGACACATCTTCAATAGGATAATATCTAGGCATTTTGTGAAGTTTAACCACCCGGGTACTGCAGTTCTTTTCACCACCAACTGGTTTGTAACAGTTTCAAGAAACTTCTCCTTCTTTTTCTTTTTAACCTTGGATTTGTGGTTGAGTTCTTCCTCTTTACATGGCCTTTCTGGAATACATAGCAGATCCGGAATACCTGCCAATTCCTCTGACAAGGACAGGATTGCGGCTGCAATGGGGCTTTCTTTTCTGAGGTTTTTTAGCCTTGAGGTTATCCTTTTTCACCTTGCCACCAGCATCAGCCTTCTTGGCTCTGAGTTTTTTCTCTTTAGTATCTGGCTTCTCAACCTTTTCACCCGCCATCTTGAAAGATGGGAAAGAGAGCTATGTACAAGATATTTTTACATTGTTATTGTCAGTAACCTCTTCCTTCTCTTCAGGAAAGTTGAGAAAGGAGTGACAAGATGCCATCTGCAGGCATTCTTCTGCCCTGCCTCAGGCTATTTTCACCATATTGTTTCCCACCTTGGCACTCCCTTCCCCAAACCCTCTGCAAAGAGATAAAAGAACAGATGCACACTCCTCCCTCTGCAAGGTCAGCTAAAAGCCTTGTATCCCAATCACGATGATGGCAGCTACCGTGGTTGTGATACATATCAGCTAAGCCTGGCTGAAGTAGGTATGCAACTGGCAACACAAGACAAAAGCTCTCTGAGCCTGGCAGGAAGCATAAGTGATAGTCAGATAAACTCATTTTCTAATCACCATATATCTGCTTATCTATAAACAGTTGAATCCTGGGCAGTTATGCAATTCTTGCAATTCTTGTAATCTTGGTTTCCATCTGCTAAACTTGAAAGAATGGAATTGCCTATCAGGACATTAAGGATTAAGTGAGAAAACATAGCGAAGTTTCTGCCATAGTTTTGATTACTTACTAGGCCATCAGTAAAAGGTGATTCCTGCCTCTACCCCATCCCCAATTCTTCTACCCTTTGGCAGCAGCCAAGAAGCTATCAGGATCCTCCATGACAGACTCCACCCACACAGAAACAGTACTCCCCAACCACCTCCACAAGAACAACATTTCCCCTAGAAAAAGTTTTCTGCCTTTCTTCCTATAAACTTCAAAGAGACTCATTTGAAAAGTCATCTTTTTCATACTCTCTTGTATGTATTCTCTTGTGATCCAATGTAACTTTCCAACTCATTTCTTATTAGAATTATTATTGTGTTCTGCAAAACAGAATGAGGGGGGAGAGAGCTAGAGAGAGCTTATGTACTTTTCCTTTACATTGTACTATTTTGGTTTAAGTGTTTGTCTCAGTCTAAGTTTCATATGAAACCAAGGCAAAGCTTTTCATCGGTAATTCATTCTTTTATAAGGATTTACAAAATTTTACAGTCAGATTTGCTGTCGATTTGCATTTCTTTTACTTGGGTTCCCTAGTGGTTTTGCCAAATATACAATCAGTTATGTGATTCAGAGATACATTCTTCTAGCAAACTCTGATAAAAGAGTAACGCTTATTGAAACTTCACATGAAAAATGAGTCACTTCAAAGAACATGAATTTCTGGACTACATGAGACCTTAAAGATCACTTACTTCAACATGTTATTTTTAAACAACTACCATTATAGAATATTTTCAAATGCCATGGAGTTCTGCTAAGTGCACCAGATATATTATATGTTTAATTTCCACATTATCTACACTTAACAGGAAAAAACTGAAGATCTGTTTTCCAAGGTCAAGGGCTGGAGGAAGACCTAGAGACTGCTGATACTTAGCTTTGGTTCTTTGCACTAAGCAATGATGCGTTGTTTTATGTGAGAGGAAGATGAGACGAAGGACTCCTAATTGGTTTGAAAAGGGTAATGCAGGCTGGGCGTAGTGGCTCACGCCTGTAATCCCAGCACTTTGGGAGGCCGAGGCGGGTGGATCACGAGGTCAGGAGATAGAGACCATCCTGGCTAACACGGTGAAATTCACCTCATCTCTACTAAAAATACAAAAAATTAGCCCGGCATGGTGGCGGTCACCTGTAGTCCCAGCTACTTGGGAGGCTGAGGCGGGAGAATGGCGTGAACCTGGGAGGCAGAGCTTGCAGTGAGCCCAGATCGCTCCACTGCACTCCAGCCTGGGTGACAGAGCGAGACTCCATCTCCAAAAAAAAGAAAAAAAATAAAAGAAAGAAAGAAAAGGATGATGAAGCTATATAGTGACAGGACTGGAATGAGACGACTGCACTCATGCAAACCCAGTTCGGTCTTCATTTTGACTTTATTACACAGTAATATACTGTAAGATGGGCTGCTGTTATATTTTAATTGAGGCTTTTCACTTAACATGGAAGAATTAAACAAAAACTTTGTCCCCTGTCTTCTATATACTTTGTCTCAATATCCCGTTTATATTCATATTTTCTTTTTTATAATTCTCCACTTCTATTCCCATTGCATAACTTATTTTTATTACATAGGGCATTTTAAATCTCCTCCATTCCTTAAGAAATGAGCAAGGAATTAACAAATGAATAGTTCTATAGAGAAATGAAGAAAGCACAATCAACCTGAAAAAATTTAGGGTTATAAAAACTGGTGTTTTGAATATCAGATGATGCTACTTATCCTCTACACCCTACATTTTACTCTTTACTTTATTTTTTTGTTTTTTTTGTTTTGTTTTTTTGTTTGTTTTTTTGTTTTGTTTTTATTATTATTATTATAATACTTTAAGTTTTAGGGTACATGTGCACAACGTGCAGGTTAGTTACATACGTATACATGTGCCATGCTGGTGCGCTGCACCCACTAACTCGTCATCTAGCATTAGGTATATCTCCCAATGCTATCCCTCCCCCCTCCCCCCACCCCCCAACAGTCCCCAGAGTGTGATGTTCCCCTTCCTGTGTCCATGTGTTCTCATTGTTCAATTTCCACCTATGAGTGAGAATATGCGGTGTTTACTTTAAAAGCAACATAGGCCACTGAGTTTTCGGAAAGGTAAAGGCTGTGGCCCACAGGAGGAACCCAGGGCGCTCTGGGTACTTTTACAGCAGTTGCTTGCACTACCTTCATTTGCCCTGGCATTTTTAATCACTGCATGGCTGGATCCAGGTTCTGATTCAGGGCCCTTTTACCTCACTTTTGATTTCACCTCCAGTGCTTATACTTAATGGCCTAGTAAGGTTGTTTCTCTGAGCTTGAGTCCTCCCAGTTTGCCCAGGCCTAGTCTGAGGCACACACCACTGGAGTCTTCGCCTCTTCCCCCTTCAAGGCCCATTTCTCTCCTGGTTCCAGGTCTCAAACTCCTGCTTTCTGTCCATTGAAAAGCTGCTCAAGATAAGACTGCTCTCCCTGTTTAATCACACATATTCCCCCGTGGTGGTGATAGTTTTATCCCTGTGTTTTCATCATCACGTTGCTTCTTCATGGCAGCAAACGTTAACACAACACAATATAAAACTTTTTAAAATCCACGAAGTCAGAGGATCAAGAGTGTAGTCATAAAGTAAAAGTCTTTTTTATATAAGCAATAACTTTAACATGCGCACAATAGACATGGCTAAGCAGTTGATGACTCAGTATCAAAGACCATCTTGAATTCATAGAGAAAACTGCTGAAACTACTACCCATAGACTTACAGAATGCCTCGTCTGCTGTCACGGTATTCCACACAGCATGGCTCGGATCAAGGAACTCACTTCATAGCGAAATAAGTGTGGCAATGGGTCTATGCTCATAGAATTCACTGGTCTTACCATGTCTCCCACCAACATGAAGCAGCTAGCTTGATAGAATGGTGGAATAGACTTTTGAAGACTCAGTTACAGTGACAGCTTGGCGGCAATACCTTGCAGGGCTGGGGCAAGGTTCTCCTGAAGGCTATATATGTGCAGAATCAGAATCCAATACAATATATGGTGATGTTTATCTATAGCCAAGATTTACAGGTCCAGAAATCCAGGGTTGGAAATCAGAGTTGTAGCATTCATTATTACTCCTAATAACCCACTAGCAAAATTTTTGCTTCCTGTTCCCGTGGCCTTATGCTCTGCTGGCCTAGGTACAAAGGGAGGAATGCTTCCATCAAGAGACACAACAATGATTCCATTACTGGAAGCTAAGATGGCCATCCGGCCACTTTAGTCTTCTCATGCCTCTGAATCAACAGACAAACAAGGGAGCTACTGTGTCAGACTGGAACTATACCATTGGCTCTCTTGGGTCTCCAGTTTGCCAACTGCAGACCTCTTGAGATTTCTCAGCCTCTATAATTGCCAATTCCTTATAACAAATACACACACACATACACACACACTAAAAATACATACATACACACACACAAACGCATACAAAAACACCTACACACAAATCCTATTGGTTGTTTCTCTGGAGAACCCTGACTAATACACCTGTTTAACATTCAATCACTGTTTGTCATTATATAATTTTTGTTAAACCATTTATGATCTGACTACTTGTCCCGTACATATAAGGATAACGGTAATAGCTATTGTTATTATTATGTACTATAATAATTATAAAACCATCCACAACAATAGTAATAATAATACTCAACCCTTGGTTTAAACTTAAAATATTCTAGGCATTGTTTTAAGTACTTTACATATTTAATGCATGCAATCCTTATAACCACTCTGAGTTAGATATTATAATTCCAATTCATTTATAAGGAAACTGAGACACAGAAGGGTTATGTAACATACTGAGAAGTACACAGTATCTGCTGCAGCCAGAAACTGAAGCCCAGTGGACTGACCCTAGACTTGTGCTCTCCTCCAATATGCAAACTGTGTCTTACTTATTCTGCTTTGGAATCCCATAATGGAGGGCAATTGTTTTCTTCATATTGTATTCCCTGCACCTAATGCATCAGAGAAGCAGCTTGAAAGTATGATGGTAAATATCCTGGAATTACACATTTGAATATGGATAGAGATCCAACGTTATCACTTTTAGCTGTGTAATCTTGGGCAAGTTACTTAACTTCTCTGTGCATCAGGTTTTTCATCTCTGAAATGGGAATGACAGAGTACTGCGAAGATTAATTAAGGCGATATATATAAAGTGCTTAGAATTCTATCTTAGAACTTATGAAGTATTCAATAAATGCTTGCTTTTATTATGATACGGGTTTTATTCATCACTTTATCCCCATCATCACCTAGAAAAAGGCATATACTAAGCACTCAATAAATGTTGGATAAATTAACAAATATATTTGTTGTGTTCCACGTTGTATTCTTTTACATGACAACTGTGCTGCCTTCTTTCCTTCACCATCTATAATATCTGTGGCACTGTGTTAGATGCTAGTGACAGAGGTGAGTAAGACATGGTTGATGTCTGTAAGGCATCCACAGTTGAGTGCATAATCTAACATAATACCTAAAATATAGTGTAATGAGTGTGATAGCATCATGACCTAAACATTATGGGAGAACAGAGGATGGGACATCTAACTTGAGTGGAGAGGATGTGGGAGGAACAATGTAGATGTCTTTCTGCCATGAGCTATTTATAGTAACAAAGAGAAATAGACTGGTCTCATAGCCATTCCCCCAAACATCAAAATAATGCTGCTGGGGATACTAGGTTTTTTTTTACTGATAAGCAAACTCAAGTGTGGCTTTGACTGTGGAGATATTAGATAGCTACCTGATCACTGTGTAGTGAAAGAATATCAGGATGGGTCCTCTGGCCCCCACAACTCTCTCTATAAAAATTAAGACCAAATAGGTTGTGCCTAAAGGAAAGAAAGAGGAGGTAAGGTCAGTAAGGAAGACATTAGCCTGTAAGTGACTCAATGCATGCCCACTGAAGAATGTCTTACAGAGAGGGGTTAATTTTTCTCACATGAGAGGAAGTCTGGCAGTAAGCAGGTATTGGCCTTGGTTCAGCTGCTCAACAATCCTATCAGGGACTAAGTTACTTACCCCTCCTGGTGCTGGCTTTTACTCTTATATTCATCACCCCATGGTTGCAAGATGGCTGTTCTGACATCCAGATTTTACTTTCAAATTCAAGGCCGGAAGGGGAGTTAAGATGCCAGCCTTATATGAAGAAAGCCAAGCTTTTCCAGAATTCCTTCTGGCAGACCTCTGCTTGTGTTTCATTGTCACATGGGCACTGCCAGCTGGATTGGAGCCTGGAAAAGCAAGATACAAGAGTATCACAATTGGCTTAGACCAGGGGTCGACAAACTTTTTTTGGTAACAGGCTAGATATTAAATATTGTAAGCTTTGCAGGCCATATGGCCAGTCTCTGTTGTAATCACCCAATCCTGCCATTGTAGCACAAAAACAGCCATAGTCAATACATTAATGATTGAGTGTGGCTGTGTTCTTATACATTTTATGGACAATGAAATTTAATATAACTTTCACGTATTATGAAATATTCCTCTTTTGATTTTCTTCAACCATTCAGCAATGTACAAACCAATCTTAGCTCATAAATGGTGGGCCTGATTTAGCCTACAAGCCCGTAGTTTGCCAGCCTCTGGCTTGGACTAATGACAGCCCATTGACTGGATCTGGGCAAAGTGCTATTATATGTGGGGATTCAGCAGTTATCTGCAGGGGAGAAATGAATCATAGATAGGCAATTAATTTGCAGTAAAGGGTAGTTTAATTTTCTACATGAAATAAGACCTTTATATAGTATTTGGTATATGATCAGAGCATAATATTTTAGTTCATTTCTCCTTCCTGCATTTTAGTATAGAATCTTTTCTGATTCAAAGGCCTTTCTTTTTTGTCGCATTAGTACATCTTATATTCCAGCTCTGGTTTTCAGGTAATTAATTATTAGGAAAGTCTTTTGGAGGTGTAGGTATTTTTCAATCAACATGGGATTGACTACCTCTTATTGTCGAACTTTAAGAGAAAGCTAGAGACCAGGCATGGTGGCCCATGCCTATAATCCAAGCACTTTGGGAGGCCGAGACGGGTAGATCACTTGAGGCCAGGAGTTTGAGACCAGCCTGGCCAACATGGCGAAACTCCATCTCTATTAAAAATACAAAAATTAGGCATAGTGGCACATATTTGTAATCCCAGCTATTCAGGAGGCAGAGGCATGAGAATCGCTTGAACCCAGGAGGCCAAGGTTGCAGTGAACCAAGATCGCACCACTTCATTTCAGCCTGGGTGACAGAGCGAGACTCTGTCTCAAAAAAAAAAAAAAAAAAAAAAAAAAAAGGAAAAGAAAAGAAAAAGTTGGAAAGCCTTAAAATTAAGAATTAGAAACTCCATTCAAGTTTCAAGTTTCATAAATGTTTCACAGTTTTCTTCCTGGGCTTCCAGAGGTGAGGGAAATGCAAATAAAACCTTAGCATAGACAAAGAATTTTTGCATTCTGCTTTGGTCCAACCTCATTATACATTCTTCACTTACAAGAGAAAAAAAATAGATTTGAGCAAGCAAAAACAGGTTCCCTCTTTATACATTTAATTACAAAGGCAATTTCCTTTATAGCCTACTTACAGGAATACCTCTTAGCATGTTGCCAACAGTATCACAACTTGTTTATTCAAAGGTTATGTGTGAATGAGAGCTTTTTGATATTAATCAAGTAATTTGCTAGTGTTTCTGGGAAAAGGCAAATGTTAGCTTTGTCCTGAAAAATGAAACAGCCCATTAATCAAGTTCACTCCATTGAAGACAATTTTCGGGAGAGAGAGGGCAAACAGACCCTTCAGATAAGAAATTCCTAAACTGATGGAGCTTTGAATAGGGTTTGGCGTAGACTTCTGAACAGAAGGTGATTAAGTAAACCAATTTTATTCACCTCACAATTTACATATATCAGGTATTTATGAATTCAAAGGTTACTGTTTCTGATTAATTGGCCTCTCCCCCCGACCTACCAAATGCACCAAATTCAAGAGCAAAATTCTTGCACAGGGGCTATTTTATTGGTGTTCATCCATTATTTCAGTAAAGTTAAAAAGTTCAACAGAATATGTACGTTCTTAAACATCTGTCTCTTTTTCTTGTTACCACAGCAGCACACTCTTTGTAGGTTTATGTCTGGGTTTCCATCAATCAGAATTAAATTCTGCAGTAGAAGGCATTTAAAGCTATTTGTATAAATGCAGCTGAATAGTATAAGGTTGCAAGATAAGGGATATGAAAAATAACTCTATTTTGAGAAATACAGTGCATAAGAAGGAGGTCTTTTTTCTAGCCTGATGAATTGCAAAAATCCATTAGCCAAACACCAATGAGTAATTAAGTTTTATGAGCCAGGCTATATCTGAATTTGTTTTTTGAGAGAAAAAGAAAGAAATGTTTCACAATATTACCTCTTATTTCTCCAATTCATCTGCAGACTTTATGGTTATTAAAATAAAAATTAAAACATTGGTATGATGGAATTTTTAATCCTAAAGAAATGGTCAAATATTTAAAAAAGTCTAGGTAACAATCATTTTTGAACATTTCCAATGCATCTTTACAAGACCATGTAGTACAGAAAAAGCAGACATGTTAACAGCAGACGTCAAAGTCACCTATTAAGGGAGGAATTGTCTTTGATAAGAGGAGTCATACTCAAGTGCCTCTGGAGGCCAGGTAGAAGCAGGGGTACTGGAGACAGTGACACATGTGAGATTTAAGTCCCATCTAAATGGAATAGCAGCTAGTCCGCTAACTCTCACTGTTGCCATGCTGAGACGTGCCCCCCCACCCACGCCGCCACGTTGCCAGATATTTTGTATGTTAAGAAAAGCCAGAAACCCAGATTAAAAAAACAAACCAAACCAAACCAAAAAAACAAAAACAAAAAAAAAAAAAACCCCTCCAAATTCCTAAATGTATGCTTACATTTTTCAAAACGTGCAGAGGCTACATCCAGTCTCTAGGCTGCAGGGTTTTTTGTTTGTTTGTTTTTGTTTGTTTTTTGAGACGGAGTCTCGCTCTGTCGTCCAGGCTGGAGTGCAGTGGCGCGATCTAGGCTCACTGCAAGCTCCACCTCTCAGGTTCACGCCATTCTCCTGCCTCAGCCTCCCGAGTAGCTGGGACTACAAGCATCCACCACCACGCCCGGGTATGTTTCGTAGAGACGGGGTTTCACCGTGTTAGCCAGGATGGTCTCGGTCTCCTGACCTCGTGATCTCCCACCTCAGCCTCCCAAAGTGCTGGGATTACAGGCGTGAGCCATCGCGCCCAGCCGGCTGCAGGTTTTTAAACTTTGCTTCAGGAAAACACTTGGAAAATCGCTTTCTGTATAGTAGGACGGGTCTGGAACTTTTCCGTAAGAAGGTAATAGCAGTTCTGAGATTGAAGTGAGCATGGGAGAGAACCCTGTCTTCTAGGGGCATAAAACCCATGGCAATGGGCAACCAATGGGAAGTTATCGTTGGCAGCTAGAGAAATATCAAGAACCAGTTTGTTCAATATTCAATTTAAGTTATTTGATTAAAACCACTCTGCCACTACAAACCCTTAATGTCGGCCTGTGCCAATGATTTCAGGGAAATCAGAAAAAAGTCTGTTATTCAATTGGTGAATGGAAGAATACAAAGAAGAAAAAGCCAGAAGAGCTCATTAGAAGAAGAGACTCAAGAGTTTCAGAATGCAAGAGCCCGATATTCACCAAAACTGGAAAATAGTACCAGACATCCTATAGAAACATGGAATGGCCCAAATCAGGCCAAGCACCTTTGATACCTAGATTGCAAGAGAAAGCTCAATAGGTACATTTTAAATAGAAGAAATTTAAACCCCTAAGACTGGTAAACAAAAGTAGGTGATCGGACGAAAGTGAAATTATTTTTGTGAGCACATGTGTCCTTACATTAAAGTGATACTCTCCTCCTTCCTCAACCCTCTCACCATATAGGGATGTAGTTGGAAACAGTCTCCAGTTATGAATAAAAGTTTTTTACATAGAAACACTTTTGCATCACATCTGAACTTCAAAGGCTAAGGGAGTAAGAAAGGAGGCAGAAATCCCCTAATGTATTGATCGTGCTCATACCCCTCAATACTTGCTCTAGGTTTAGATCAAAGCTGTAAGATTGGGAGACAAAAGACGTGTTTTCATACTGAATGTAAATCTTGGGCAAGTCATACAGTCATTCTGAGCTTCTGAATCATCATCTGCAGCTTGATTTGAGAATTATGATGTTTCTCCTGTCTATTTTGCCAGATTGTTTTAAAGAGATAAATAGAAAAGACACGAAATCCTTTGAGAACTGTAAAACACTTTGCATGTAAAAGATATAACAGAAAAACATCTTCTTGAGAGTGAAGGAATGAAATCATTGAAACCCTATTCATTCAGATTTATATCTATGGGAAAGGCCGCACTGCGCTGAAATTCCAAGGAGCAAGTTGAATAACATGCCATGTTAGGGGATAAAAGGTCACCTGAAGAGCTAAAACCAAAAAAGAAAGCTGATATTGTGTCCAGAATTGGTGGGTTCTTGGTCTCGCTGACCAAGAATGAAGCCGTGGACCTGGACCCTCACGGTAAGTGTTACAGTTTTTAAAGGCGGTGGGTCTGGAGTTGTCCATTCCTTCTGGTGTTTCGACGCCTTCGGAGTTTCTTCCTTCTTTCCTGCTGGGTTCCTGGCATCGCTGGCTTCCGAAGTGAAGATGCAGACTTTCGCGTGAGTGTTACAGCTCTTAAGGGCAGTGCCAACCCAAAGAGTGAGCAGCGCCAACCCAAAGAGTGAGCAGCAGCAAGATTTATTGCAAAGAGGGAATGAACGAATCTCCCACAGTGCAGAAAGGGACCCACACCTGGTTGTAGCTGCTGGCTTGGGCAGCCTGCTTTTATGCCCTTATCTGACCCCCCCACTCCCAACCCCATCCCCCGCCCCACACACATCCTGCTGATTGGCCCATTTTGCAGAGAGCAGACTGGTCCATTTTACAGAGAGCTGATTGGTCCATTTTACAGAGAACTGATTGGTGCGTTTACAATCCTTTAGCTAGACACAAAAGTTCTCTAAGTCCCCACTAGATTAGCTAGACACAGAGCACTGATTGGTGCGTTTAGAAACCTTGAGCTAGACACAGGTTGCTGATTGGTGCATTTACAAACCCTGAGCTAGACGGAGTGCTGATTGGTGCATATACA
The DNA here is from genome assembly GCF_000001405.40 of Homo sapiens. Taxonomy (NCBI): domain Eukaryota; kingdom Metazoa; phylum Chordata; class Mammalia; order Primates; family Hominidae; genus Homo; species Homo sapiens. The sequence continues at coordinate 83,140,571 of NC_000012.12, read as the reverse complement.
ATCTTCCAGCTAGATAATAGAAGTTCTGCAAGTCTCTACCTGATTGAGGAGCCCAGCTGGCTTCGCCTAGTGGATCCCTCGCCAGGGCCAGGGGCAGAGCTGCCCAGTTGCAAGCCACTGGCCGGCACTCCTCAGCCCTTGGGCTGTCCATGGGACGGGGTGTGGTGGAGCAGGGGCGGCAACCGTCCTGGAGGCTCAGGCCGTGGGGAGCCCATGGTGGGGGGTGGCTGAGGCCCGGCAAGAATTCGAGTGTGGTGTGGGCGGGCTGGCAATGCTGGGTGACTCTGCACTCCCCCCGCAGCTGCTGGCCCGGGTGCTAAGCTCCTCATTGCCTGGGGCCGGCGGTGCCAGCCGGCTGCTCCTAGTGCAGGGCCTGCCAAGCCCACGCCCACCCGGAACTCAGGCTGGCCTGAGAGCACCGCCTGCAGCCCTGGTTCCTGCCCGCGCTTCTCCCTCCACACCTGCCCCCAAGCAGAGGGAGCCAGCTCTGGCCTTGTCCAGCCCAGAGAGGGGCTCCCACAGTGCAGAGGCGCACTGAAGGGCTCCTCATGTGTGGCCAGAGTGGACACCGAGGCCGAGGAGGTGGTGAGAGCGAGTGAAGGCTGCTAGCACGTTGTCACTTCTCAATATAATTGGGGTCTTCCAGTGGGGTATTCATCAGTATTCAGAATTACCAAGTGTGTTGCTTCCTATATTCAATAATCTGTATTGTTTGATCATTGGCTAATGTCCCCAAGACAAAATACATTTAAAACCAAGATATTTAAAGGTCAACTTGGTAATTTTTCTTATCTGGAAAATGAAGAAGTACAAATCTACATTTGTCTTGTCTCCTCTTTCTCCAAGTGGTATTTCTTTCCTAGAATAAGGACAGAAAAGTACCCTATATAGTCCATTTGGTGAATCACAGCAGCAGCTTGATTGTGACAGCGTAGGACAATGTAAAAAGAAATGTGCCAAGATATTTTTAACAGTATCTTAAGAAATGTCTGCCCTCATCTCCTTCTGACCCTTGCTTGTCTGGATCTAAATCATTCACCCAAGGACAAAGGATTGATCACACTTTATTTCTTCTTTTAATCAAGACATTTCAAATTATGTCTCATTCCTCATAATGACTTGCTCTCCTGGAGGATCAAATGTACAGATACTTAAGATTGGTTTAGCTATGGACTTCCCAGGCATGCAGTAGGTTTTTTTACGTGTTTGTATGTGTGTGCACACTTACATATAACAGAGAAAGTGGACAAAGTTGATGAAAGGGAATCAAATAGATTAGCTAATAATCATAAATACTTGTAGCAAATGTATTTACTGTTACACTGCAATGGAAAAGTGACATGCTGTTCATATTTTACAATTATTCTCTGGCCTATAAAGAGCTTTCATCCAGCTAGTATGCTCCAAAAACCTTTAATTTTACAAAAACGTAGCCTAAAAAAAGAAAAAAATGTTATTTATTTATATAATTATTTATATAATTACAACAGAAAAACATTTTCTTGAGAGCGAAGGAATGAAATAATTAAAACCCTATTCATTCAGATTTCTATCTATGGGAAGGGCCCCACTGCGCTGAAATTCCAAGGAGCAAGTTGAATGAAGATGCCATGTTACGGGATAAAAGGTCCTTTCATCATGAAGGATCGCATCCGACTTGTTACGTCTGGTGGGATCTTGCACATTGCACCAGTCTGCAATAGGCAAATGAAACTTAGACCACTGATGCATCACAGACAGGTCAGAAGATATACCCAAGCAGTGTTTTGGATCTTTGGAAATGGTTTAATATATCTTATTGCTTCTATGCGCCACTTTTACTTAGACCAGCTTTGTTTGGTTAGGTATGATTCATAAATTTGTCCTAAAATTAAGATTTTCTGACTAAAACCAGGGACCCAAAATGAACTTAGTTGGAGCTGTGTGTCTTCCCTCTACTCTGAAGAAGAGATGATTTCACAAGTTCTGGTTAGCACTGGGCTTTGCAGGATACAACCTGCAGCTATTACCTCAACATTTTATGTGTTACATTTGCTGTACTGTGAATGAGTAAGTTTAGCCCTATCAATTAACTGCCCTAAGCCACACCTTCTTTATTTGTATGGTGCCTAGACCAAATCTGTGTTTTCTCTTGCTCTCGGATATTGTGATTGATTTCTAAGAGTTATTACTTTTTACTTACTTGAGAAATAGCAACAGATTAACTCATCCTCATCATCACTCAAAAAGCAAAAATTTGAAATAGGACTTCAAACAATAATTGCTTCTATAAACAGAAATGAGAACAAATTAACCAAGAAAGTTCCTTAACTAATTTTATAGGAAAATGTATGCTTTGCTACATTTTATAAATATCATCAACAGGGTAATGGGTAATGATGATAAATATCATCAAGGGGTTCAAATAAAACAAAATATTGTTATACTGTTCCATATCATATAATGCAAAATCATAAAATTTTAATAGAATAGTATGTAGTAACATCAAAATATTTATTGGCCTAGGACAGTTTTTAAAAAATATACCCTGAAACATAATTCCAGTGAAATTTCCCAAATTATCATTATTATACTATATGGCAAAGGCACATTTATAGAATAGTAAGTCATCATTGTAAAGGAAGCATAAAATGTCCACAGACATTAAGCATAACAACATATTTAAAATAGCACAAAAAAGAATGAAAAAAATCTATTGAGATTACTAATTGGCTCTAACTACTTAACAAGTTGTCTTCAGAATGAAAAAGCTAATTGTGATTTAGCCATTACATGCTAAATGAAATTATAAAAAGGGCTCACATTAAAATCAAAGGTAAGCACTATTCTCACACCCTACACACATACACTTGCCCCCTCATCCCTCATCAATTCTGATTTTCTGGTATTAAATTGTCTCTTATATTATATGAGAGAAATATCCAGCTGCAAAAAAGACACTTTAATTCCTTTAGGGTATTTTAAGTATTTTTGAAAACAAATTAAATTGCTTGATTTCTCCCTCAATACATTTTTGAAAACTTGTATTATAGTCTCTAGTTGTTCAATGATATTGCCAAGAGAAAAGACTCAGGAGTTATTTTATTTTGAGTCTACTAGGATGGAAAGGAAAGAGACATGATAGAAAATTATTAGAAAAAGTGTTTCTACAAGTCCTGAGCTATTACTCGAAATACAGAACTCTATTCACTCCATCTGACTAGAGAATGGTTGATAGCTTCGCCTTGAATAAGTGATAAACCTGTCAAATCCAAAAAAGGTAGGAGAAAAATTAAATCTATTTCCTATCAGAACAGATAGCTAGTTCTAGTCTAGACTTCAAATTGGTTGCACATTTTTCCAGCCTCTCCTGTGGTTGTATTCACTCACTTGTTACACTTTCTTTTCCAATACAGCGACCCTATCTTGGTAGATTACTGGGCAACCAAAAAGAATACAGACAGTCTCAAACTGTTCTAATCAAATCCTTTACCTCTCCAACAAAAGCTTAATAATTATTAAGGACAATTAACATCAATTTTCCATGTATCTATCCCTATCTCTCCATCTTTCCTCTCTCCTTTTGGGAACCTCCAGATACTTTTCCCAAACACCATTTTAGATACCATACTAACTTAGATTCCTATAGGTATTTTTAAATGATCTCATCACATTGTCTCATATGTTTATAACTTTCTTATTTGATCTGAGAATCTGCTAGCTAAAAAAGTAGTTAGTATATCTCTCCACTCTTTGGAAGCAGACAATTAAATAGCACAATAACATCAGAGAGCAGCTGTAAGAAGTTGGGGGAAGGTTTTGGGAAACATGGAAGAAAAACTTCACAGGAATTTCAAGTTAACAAGAAACTTAAACCCAGCAATCCTCCAGGGAGAAAAAATACATCTCAAATCTCTATAGAACAACAACAACAAAAGGCCAATATGTGGTGAAGCGGCAGATGGAATGAAAGCTGACTCTCAAGGCCTCTCTGATTGCATCCTGCAGGAAGACCACCCAAAATGACACAGCAAGTTAAAGTCTTAGTACACATGCATCTTTTTCTACTGCAATACTAAGCACAATAGCACAATTGCATTACCATTCAGCTTGCTCTAGCTTTACAGTGTGTAATAGTTCCAATGCATAAGCCAAGTTTTCTAGCAATACTCCTTTATTAAAACAAGTTGAGTTTTGAATAGTAGGAAGCACATTCTATAGTACTGAAAATAATATTTAAATTGAGAAATCATATTACAAAGGTATGTACAAATAAATTGAAATTATCCTAATTCTTAAGTTATTTATGGAAACCCAATTCCTTTCCTTGTAATAGAAAGAGCAGCCAAGACTTAGAGGTATTTTCTTTCTCTTTACTGGAAAAATATACTATGTGAAAAACTAGTATCACTCAGGTGAAAATAGTAAATCAGCAAATCCCCAAATCTCAACTGTTTTAGAAAGTGACTTAAAAAAAAATAATATCTCATGGGCACATGACAGATAGAGTTTTCATGTATGGTATATTTTAGGGTCTTCTACTCAACAATGTGCTGAGCTGGAGAATAAAGTCCCTCCCAAAAATATGGTCCTTGCCTTCATTGGTTTCCAAGTACAGTGACAGTGCTCCAATTCAACTTCAAACTATGCCTTCATTAAAAAAATCAGTTATACAATTCCTCACATAGCAATAACTTTTAATAAATTTCTTTAGCCTGGTGTGTGCTGCCACTATCTAGTTTTGGGATCTTTGTTAAATCACTTAACTTGCAAGGCTTAATATTCCTCAGGTGGAAAGTAAATGGATTTAATGACATGAACATTGAAGTCTTTTTTTTTTTCTGACTGTTACACTCTAAATTTTAAAGATTTTTTAATGAATTACCTCCTTTGATCTTCAAATCGTCTGCAGAAAGAGAGGTAGAGAATGTGATTTGTGGAAGTGAAGTCGCTAGAGAAATGCCAAGAGGGCTGATACCCAGACCTCTTGTTCAATGACTGAGTGCCCACATGACTCAGGACACATCAGACAACTTGGGGACAGGCTTGCTGCTTGCTACCTTAGTGACATTGGGTAGGTTGTTTCATACTTTTGAGTCTTAGTTTCCTTATCTGTAAAAGTGGAAAATAACCTCACACATCCATAGGATGTTTAACATAAAAGTCCTCACAGCTAACTTTTATCCCATAATAGAAGAAACAGGCAATATATAATCATGTGACATAACAATTTTAACAAGACTGCTGAATTCTCTGTCACTTTGCACCATGTCTAGGACCCAACCTTTCCTTATAACTGACTCCTGAATGCGCTGCACTCACATTTCTCAGCAGAATAGGGGCGTGCTTACAGCCAAGACCAGAACTAGAGATTCAGTGTCTTCTAAACATGGCGATTTTTACCAAACAACCTACTGAAGCCAGAAACTTATAAATTTGCCCTTCTTGGATTATTTCATAGCTTCTTTTCCCATAGCTCATCAACCAAAGAAAACAAGACAAACTTTGTCATTTTTTCTAAGTATGGTAAACCGGGTGATATTGGCAATGCTTACTTGCATTACAATAACTTTTAAAAATGATGATTATTAATTATACATTAACCACAATGTGTCTCTATTCGATGCTCAACCTCTACTCTTTTTAATCTCTTACTTAGTTTCGTTAAAACTTCAGAGTTTAAGTGTTGTTGCTGTAGAAGATTTAAAAACGGCTTACACAATATATTTCTTATCAATGCTTTATTGTTGAAAACAAAATTGAAATTCTCTGGCACATAAAACAATTATTTCTACAAAAGGAAAGCCTACAAATCTTGATAATTTATACAAATAACAGTTTCTCAAAAAATAAAATTTTAATTTAGTAAACTTGTCTTGTGCTCTATATTTTTAGCACTGTCTGCAATAATCCACCATAAATCCCTGAGCGGAGACATTTTTTGATCATGTTCTAACGCCCACCCCCCCTTGCCCCAACCCTCCCCCCGAAGTTGGTCAGTTACTAAGTCCAGCCCTGTAGTGAAAAGTGTCAGGGACATTTAGTTATTAATGATCCGTGCATTTTATGACACAGGCCCAATTATTAACGCTACTTGGGAACTGGTGTCACAAGAAGTGCCTCAACTGTGCATTCAGTGAACCTATTAAGAACCACATCTTTGAAAGGAAGAACAACAACAATAAAAAGATAAAATGTTAAGACTAGAAAGTCATCATAGGTCAATAACTATTTAAATAAATACAAATGTTAGACACTGAATTAATCTCTATAGCCTTATATTAAATTCCTTTTTTTTTTTTGCAATTGCCAATGCACTAAAAGATGAATAATACACTTCAACCCACTATTTTGGTTTGACCACGGGTTTGTTGTTAAATATCATTCTGAAAACACAGTGATTTAGTTATAATTTAACTTTTGGCCCTTCAGTGAAATGTTTACAAAATAATATATATATTACAGAAGGGCTTTCTTATTAATGCCATGAAAAAACCTTTCTCACTACATTTACCCTTCTCACAAAAACACTAATGCCATAGGAACACTACTTTCAATTATTTATCCCACTGTATTCAGATACATAGAAAAACATAAAATATGGAGAAAACATAATATGATGTATTTGCATGTCCAGCTTCTTTTTAATGGAGAGGCTGATCATATATACATGGAGTGTGAAAGGGAAGGAGAAACAGGTAATTTTCAGTTGCAAAGAACTGGCTTAATGCATCAAGTTTTGTTATTCTGCTATAGTAGAATAATAAATAAATAAATATGTAGGGTATAGTATAGCTACTTTCTCTGTGAAGAAGTTGATAACGGACTAGTGTTTTATGAAGTTAATTTTTAGTGGCAAAGTTTGATTGCAAGCCAAAAATGTTCAATAAAAATGTTGTTCTCTACTTAATTTATAGTCTTTTTCTTGTGAAATGATCATTGAAGTAGTTACTAACAGGTAATGAAATAAAATACCAATTTTGCTAGTGAAAAATAGTTTTCAACTGAGAAAAGCACTTGGCAGAAGACCTAGAAACATGCAGGCTAATGCTACACTCTATTGCAGCTTCAAATAAGTTGTTTTTGATGCCTTTTGAGAAGAACAAACTAAGATGAAAATAATTCCTTGAACATTTATCAGCATTGCTGTTTAGGTACCCATTAGAAAGTGATTAACATTCGATACCTACCCTTTCCAAAACACAAAATCACTGGCAAGCATCATCACACACTCCTAAACCAGCAACATCTGAGAAGCACAAAACACCTTCCCTTTTGTCTAATAACCTGTTGGTTAGTTATTGGAACTGCAAGGCTTACAAACTCCTCCCCTGTCCTTTATCCTTATGTAAGCTTGCACATTCTCCAGGAATAGCTATTTTCAAAGGTAATTTCAAAAGAATTAATACAATGAATTCTACTGGGCAGTTTGGGGGAAAATATTGACGATATTAAAATTTAAAAAATGCCTGCCTGACACATATAAGGCCTCCCCAGTCCCTCATACAACTCGAGTGTGAAGTATGGTTAGCTCTACTCTCCATATCCTTTTCAGAACATAAAAAGCAAATGATGTCCAAAAGAATGAAGCCTCTGACATCCAAATCATAAAACATTATGTGCACTGGTCAAGAAACATAGCAGATTCTGACAGATCTTGACACAGTATTAAAAAAAGTGTTCTAAGCTTCAGAAATTGATAAGCAGGCTGTCCCAAACAGGGAAGACAGCAGCGTTAGGACAACCGGCGGCTCACTGGGACTCACACTACGTGTTTATCACTCCCTCGTAACACTTAACCCTAATTGTTTGCCATGCCTGAATGGACACTCTGACTTCCTCTCACAGTGTTTAAGGAACAACATAATTTTGAAATTAGCTTTCAGAAAATGAACAAAATCTGTGACTTACACACCCACCCCTCCCTTTTTAAGAATGCCAAAAGGTTCTGTTTTAAGTGCTCTGGTTTACAGTCTATGGGTAACAATGACATCCTCCAGGAGGTTTCCGGCTTTCCCCTTTTTGGTGTTAACAGCTGTGCCTACAGCAAAGTGGATTCTTCCAGAAGCGGTAGTGACCTCAATGACCTCTGCCCTGGTCTTGAAGTCTAACACCAGCTCTTGTCATAGCACTGCTGGGAAGTTCTGTCTGCTAAGGAAGCCAGCTTTTAAAAATGGAGGAGGATGGGCTTCTGCCTCCTGTGTCAGGTCTTAGAAGTCTTTAAGCCTTGTTTTTCCATGATGTTCCACAGTTTGCGGAGATTGGACTGTGTGATGACATCGTCTGGCTTGAGCTGCAGGGCCCGCAGGTAGTTGGCCTCGGCCTTCTGGAGTCTGCCATTGAGGTGCAGAATGGCTCCCAGGTTCATCAAAGCAGCCGGATACTGCAACAAGAGAAAGAAGGAAAACAATTAGGAGGCCATTTCAAGCTTTCCTTCATGGAAAACAAAAATCTTCATCCACTTATGCAAATAATTCCCTTATGTCTAGAGGCATTTTGTGAAAGCAATTTAGCAATTTATACAAACAGATAAAGATAACTAGGAAGATGGAAAGTTTTCAAACACCTGCTGTGTACTTTGTGCTTTAAAAAGGACAGGCTTCTAGAGAAATAGTATTTTTTCTTTAATGAGAAAGCATAGGTAACATATGAAGATCTAAAAGCCTAATCAGATGGTACTATTTGAGAAAAAAACCTTTACAAGTGATACAATTTCAGATGGAAAGAATTTATAAAAATTTCAATTCAATGACAAGAAATAAAAAATAAGTGGGTAAAGTTGACAAATCCATATCTATTCATTCTTTGTTTTCTCTTCTTAGCAATATCCCAGGCTTTTAACACAAAACAATTAAAATAAACTATGAAATTTTACGGATGTTTTTGGGTAAAAATCCTGAAAAAAATTAAAATGCAACCACTAAAGCCCTTCCCAAACCTGAGTTGTTCAACAAGGCAAAGTCTTTATTTTTAAAAGCCAAACACTGTTTAACCTGTAATGATGAATGTTTACCATAGAGTGAAGTAAAAAATCCAAATAGATAAAATATGGCAGAGAAAAATGAAACCTTTCTAAGAAAAATTTTATATTACTTATTAAAAAGTAGTTAAGTAATTCTCATAGAATTTTCAATAATGCGTAATAATTGCAATACAAAGCTATCACATGTGGAAAAAAGGTTAAAAGTGTTTTTTACATGGCATGAGTTATGTTGCACCAGTTTAATACAAAGGTTTTCATCCCCAAATTCTCAGACATTAGTTAACAACAGCAAAAGTCCCTCCCAAAGGAAAATATATTTTGCTTGCTCTTTATAAATAAGGCTGTTCTGCTCCTGTCCCTGGAACATTCTGGCTAACAGAAAGCAGATAATATTTTGGCAGTTACACAAATGCATATTTCAAATATCAGATAAAATTAAAGTGTTTATGCTATGATTACACTTTCATTTTGCAGATCGTGTCAACTATTAATTGTCCTTCAATTCTGTGTTAAAGTCCGAAATCACAATTATTTTTAAGATTTGGTGTTTTCACAAGACATGCACTTTTCAGCTGAATTCATGTGACTCTACTCTTTACCGTAAAATCAATTATTTCTGAACCAAAAGCAATGCTACAGGGGAGAGTAGAATAGCTAGAATAAATTGACTTGGGGGATTTTGGATTTTTAAGAGATCTGGGTTTGAGTTCCTGTTCAACCACTGTCAATGACCTTGGTGAAATCCCCTAACATATCTGTGCCCTTCCTTCATTTGTGAAATACTGAAATAATATCAACTTTGCATGCTGTTAGATAGATACAGTGAAAAAAATAAACAAATATACATAGCAGAATGCAGGTACAAATTAGACACTCTACAAATATCACGATCAATTTTCCTTATCTCATTTTGCTTGAAGTCTAGCACATACATGTTTGTGATTTTTATGTTGTTGGGCAGTCTTTAAAATTTTGATTTCAATAGCTACATATGTCTCTGGATATAGATACTAAAATTCCCTTAAATCTTCAACTACTGGGCATTATTTTTAAACCTTTCTATATCATTTTCTCTTTTACAAAAATAATGCTGCAAATATAAGCTATTCCTGACCTTCAAAAACCTTTTTGGTCAGGATGACTCCATACTTATCAAGAAAAATACAGATGGTCAACTTCTAATTTTAAACACCGATCCAAATAAACATAGCTCTAAATGACATGTGCAGTGAAAAGCTCCACATTGGAAACTGAAAATACCACCACCTACTCTGTCTTCCTAAAAGAACTTTGTTATCACACCACTGTTATTATCCTGAGTTCCTTGCAGCTCGGACACATTTCTGAATTATGTCCCCTCACAGTGCTTAGCACAACTATCAATAAACAGCCACTAAACTGATGGTGAAGTATGCTCACAGCCTAAATTACTAAAGATGCTAAGTAGATACAATGTTCAGATTCCTGCTATCCTGAGTGGGAAGAGTGGAAATAGGGAGGGAGAACCACTGTTGGAGACCATTCCTTACTATCCAGAAATGGAAGAGGCCCAGTGATGAGGTTGAGAGAAAACAGATGGCTCTGTGGGATAGTCATTATTTCTTGAATCACTTTATTACCAAAGTGTCTGCACCTATAGTGTCTGTATCTATTATTTCAACTCAAAGGGATTATTAAAAACACTCAGAGGTTATGGAGTCAGACTGCCTAGGTTCAAATACCAGCTCTACCACAGAGATGTGGGCACTTGAACAAGTTGGGTGAGGGCTTGTAATCTCAGTTTCCTTTACAAATGGGATGCCAGCATTTTGTTGCTGTAAATATCATATGAGAATACCCACATTATTGTCATTTTCCTTTCCTTTTCCTTATCATTTCAAAAACACAAAGTAGAACCTCCTTGTTAGTGTGCCTGAACAACCACTGAATCTACAAACTGAGGATTTCTGAACTGGCTTCATGTTTACTAGCTTTCTAGCCTTTTTAAGGTTAAACCTGTAAGAGGTAGATGTGAAAATGGATGGTAAAGTCGATCATGCCACATAAATAGACCTCACTATTATTACTAAATTGCAGCCTGAGGCTTCTTTGTCCTTCAAACACTTATGGAGTTACCTACCTGCCATCAAATGATGAAACAAATTTTGTATTTTAATATTAGTCTAAGAAAACTCATCCAGGAAGTTAAATCTGTTCTGATGAATGAGTTCTAAATGCTAATTGTAATGGGGTTTTTGTAATCACTTTAATTTTGCATTATCCACACCAGTGTGTTACTCATTAAACAAAAATAATCATAGTTACCATGGGATAACCGCTCCCAGCAAAGCCCACATATACTCATTAATTGCTTCCCCTAATGGCTAAAAAATATGGAAACTAAAAATGTGAATATTTAAGAATATTATTCAACATATTTAAGCAGCTATACATTTCAGGTTCAGTTATAACATTTTGGTGTAAATATAAATGGCTATTTTAGTAAAATAAAATTTTTTATTTCAAAAACCTACAAATGTGCATTATGTAATGCTTAAAACATCACAATAACTTCTTGAGTGAAGGAAACATGAAATTTATACAGATATGCTAAAATGTGACATATGTAATAAGTATCATCGCCCTAGATAACTGCTTTGAAAGTCAACGTTTATTCTGACATAAAAAATTTCATGTGTTTATTAAAAATTGATGAATAAGACTGGGTATAGACTCTACTTTTTACAACATGGTTGTTTTCTCTCTTCAAAGACAGGGGCTTTATCTTTTAAGCCTGTCATGTCTCCCCTCTACATCTGTGCTAGGGAAGTTTAATGGATGCCCACTGGACTGAATTCCTTCAGTTCTTCTAGCTGAGCACACAGACTATAGTCCAGGGAGTTGCATCAGCATCCCCTGGCAGCTTGACAGAAATGCAGAATTTCAGGCCCTGCCTACTGAATCAGAATTTAAATTTTAACAAGAAACCCAGGTGCCTTGTAAGCTCATTAAAATTTGAGAAGCACTGTTCTAAAGGTAATTTCTAGATCATAGATTATATCATTTCACAGCTTCTGTGAATTGATATTTCCTGTAAGAGCTTATAATGTATAGAACAAAGTATATCGGAGGATAGAACACCTATCCTCCCCCAAAATAGAATTCTTCTCTTGGTCATTCAATTATTTAAGTTAGGAAATGTTCAAATAATCTTTTTTTTTTTAAGCAGAAGCCATAAATGACTAAATGTTATTAGACAGAAGGATAAGGTATGAAAAGCCTTTTGATAACCAAACAAGAACACATAAAGTTTTCTAAACAGACTCAAAGTCTACCTAACTCTAATACTGAAATGCAAAAATTTCAGGTAACTGGCTGTTGGATTACATACTGGTGTCCTTGCTCTCTGCCAGCTGTAGCTCATGGGCTGGGGAAGAGAAACTCAATGACAACTGCTCAGATCTTTCCCTATACACATGGTCTTTTATTAAAGACAACTGATGAAATTTTCAGTATGTTAACCAAAGCAGTCAGTAGCTTGCAGCCCAGTAACATGGGGCTCCTGCTTCTGTACAACAAATGACACCATCTCCTACTTCACAGGCTAGAAAGGAGAACCAGACATTCCTTGTTTCCTTGAAGAGGACAGATGCTTTATATCAAAGGGACTGACTGGCAGCCATACTGAAACAGAAAATGATATATTTTTGATATATATTTTTTAAGTCGCTAGGGATTTCTGCCTTGTTATTTTACTGTGGTCTTTGGCTTATTTCTTCAACTGTGGAGGAAATATGCAAAATTTAAAATAATGGATGTATATTGTGGTGGGGAGAGCAAAGGCAAGATGATGGAGGTCTGATTCTAGTTTAAGGCCCTTGAGACTCTCAAGGAATGCAGCTGAGCTCACAGGGTATTGTGAACACACAGGATTGGAACACAAAATCATTGTTCTGGCCTAAGCTTATCATGTAGGATTGGAAAGAAAATAACAGAAAAGGAATAGTAAGACTATGTGGGGATTTAGGGTTGGGAATCCATGTTTCTACTGGGATCAGGAGTAATGTAGAACTCCGAAAAGACGAACTGAGTGGGTCCCAGAAGAAAACAAAAGAGAAAAGCGTTTGGTTGAGATATTCTATTTAGTCAGGAGTTGGATACCCCTGCAGTAGTTGGGCTCTCTTGTATCCCATTGGTCTCTGTGGCCATTTCCGTTTTATGAAGGATAATCAACAGGCAAGAGGAGTTATGAGAAAGATGAAGACAGAGATAATAGACCAATATTTCTAATTGTTTAAATAAATTTATTTCCATTCAAAGGATTTATTCATGTTGCTAAAATTATCCTGACTTGCATATTTACTGTTGAGTAAACTAAATAACTTTTAAAAAGAGTGACTGAAGTTAGCCTTACCTAGTTATTACTCAATTAATACACAACACATCTTTGGGATATTTTCAAGATAACTACCTTCAACTGTCCTTATGAATATAATTTGCAAACTTAAATGAGTTTGCAGTCTGAACTTTTTGATGGATTCTCACTCTTTTTAAAGTAGCTATCAAATAACTTAAGGAAGGCTGCATACTGGCATTCAACTGTATTCAGTTGAAATTGCTTGCCCAATTGAACTTACTGAAGCAGCAACTGTACCATGATGCTTAAAAATGAATAGTATAAACATTTTAAGAAACATATTAATGAAAAGGCATTTATGCATACATTTAATGGATCTCTTTGTATTTATTTGTGCCTTATACATGGCAGATATTTAATAAATAATTACTAAAGTTTTTAAGATAACCTGTTAAGCTTCAGGAAAAAAAAAAGAATGTTAAATACCTCATTCCTTTCACTTTCAACATCACTCTCCTCCTTTGTTTCATGGGCATGCTTAATGGTTTGATGCAAGGTAGAAACTATATAAATTATCTTGGATTCCTTGCCCCCCCACCCATATACATACTCACATCCAATTGTTAAGTCTTGATAACTTTACAACCAAATCGCTCTTCAATCTGTCTTCGAATTTTATCCTACCCCTTTTGTCCAACTTGGTTCAGGCCCTTATCATCTTTTTCTGGATTACTTAAATAATTCTGACAGAAATAAAAGAATATACAAATAGGTAGCAGTACAGATTGATGGCTGATTGACAAAATGAATAAAGAAACGTATGACTAAAGCCATATGCAGGTTTTTTATTATATTTTAGGCATAAAAAATTTCACAGAATACAACAAACATTGTATACTTGCCTAACAAATATAACTTTATAAATACAACTGAAGTCCCTAAATCTCTCTCCCTATCCTATTCCTGACCATCCCCAGGAGAAAACTACAATCCTGAAATTGGTGCTTAACAGTCCAGTACACATTTCACACTTTTACTATTTGTGTACCCATAGCAAATGTAAATATTATTTATAAATTTTAATTTTATATATTAGGCATCATCCATCCTGGAATGCCATCTTGCCAAACACTCATTTGAAACTTGAAATTTTGTTCAACATTTTATTTTTCAGACTTAGACATCTTGATATATGTAAGATTTGTTCCTTCACATTAATTACACTGAATACCTTCTCTTAATGATGGAATGCAGACTCTTTAAAAGAGGGCTGCCATCAATTCTTGTGCATATGTCTACATATACTTAGGGAAGAGTTTCTAGGAACAGAATTGTGGGGTCACAGGGGATCTTTGACTTTGCTAGCTATTACCAAATTGCTTTTCAAAGCAGTTGTATCAAAATGCATTAATATAACAGGAGTCCCTTTATTCTATATCCTTAATAACACTTGGTATTGTCTAATTTTTAAAGTTTTCTTGAATTGAAAGTTGCAAAAATAGTGTGAACTGGCTATCCCAAATCTGAAAATCTGCAATCTGAAATCCTTCAAAATCTAAAACTGTTTGAATGCAGACATAATGCTCAAAGAAAATGCATTTCAAATTTCAGATTTTCTATTCTCAACTGGTAAAAGTATAATGCAGATATTCCAAAATGTGAAAAAGCTAAAATCTGAGATTGGGATTTCTGGTCCCAAACATTTTGGACAAGGAATACTCAATCTGTATCTTTCTATGCACTTAATTTCTTTTCACTGATTACTAGAGAGGTTAAAAACATTTTCATAAGGTTATAAGCTCTTTATATTTCCTCTTTGGTGACCCACCTGTTCTTAACATTTGTACAAAATAAGATAATAACATAACATCATACAAAATATCACCTACATGGTCATATTTGAAAGGTAGGAACACAGAGCCCCAACTACCTCAAAATTGGTCCTAAATACGACTGCCTACCTTGTTGCTTCCATTGGGAACCAGATAGCCACTACTTCTAAAATGAAAAATCTGTTATAAACAAAACAGAGAATCTTTGATATAAGTTCACTCAAGGTAATGATAGAAATCTGGGCAGCCAGACAGTAGACCTCTGGGAGAGGCAGTGGGATCTCCATGGATGTCTCAACATTAACCATGGTAAATCCTGGATGAATGAATACGGGAGGACAGCAGCTCCTAGCTAGCCAGCATGCAGAATAACCTTTATAGCCTTTCTGTATCCAGAATCCTTGTTTTCTTCTTAGTTCCTTTTCCAGGGACAACAAAAAAATTTAAGATGAACAATATGTTTCATATTTTACCTCTCTTTACTACTCTTCATTTCTACTGGCATCATGTAAATTTAGCATCTCATCCCACTCCTTAACCTCCATCAGCCTCCTGTTATTCTCCCTATCTTCAGTTTCTTTTTATTCCAATCTATCTCCCACCTAATATTTGTCTTTCTAAAACGCAAATCATGTTTCAGAGGTTTTGATTTATGACTATAGAAAAGGATCCAAATTCTTCAGCCAGTACTAAGAAGCCCCATTTTTACCTGACATCCAAAACATTCTCTCAATGTACATTGTGTCTGAGCCACCTGAAACTTCTATTTCTGTCATGGGCTCTTTTGAGCATTCATTCCTTATCGTAGACTGCTCCATTGACAAAGTCCTTCTTCCACCCTCTCTGACAAACTTCTGCTCATTAAAAAAAAAAAAAAAGATTTCAACAATTTCTTATTCATAGCTTACTTCTTTATGTTCCCATAGTGCTGTCTACATGCATTAATTGCTACACTTACCAGAGTGAATTACAGCTACTTGTTATAAGTGTCTATCTTCTTTGCTGGAAGATGAAAAAGCCAGTGAATTTATCCTAATTGTCTTTATAGTACTGGTGCTAAGCTTTGCCATATAAAATAAACTCTCAATGAATGTTTGCTGAAAGAAGACAAATTTGTATGTGCTAGCAGAAAAACCTGATGTAGGAGAGGTAAATTCTATACCAATCTCAATGTAATTTAACACATATTTATTGACCACTTATTATATGTGCTCGGCCAGACAATGGATACGCAGTGAACAAAAGCAATATATATTTTTAGTCTGTATGTAGCTTGAAGTAATTTTAAGTACATACTTGGCATTTACTATAACCTATTAGGTGTAACTTCATTGTCTCATTTATGCCCTTCAGACCGAAAGAGGGAGGTGAAACTGTTATCCATGCATCAATGTAAGCAGTATAGAAGAGGACTGCACAGAGGATGGATTCACTGCCCTTAAGGAGTTTACAGTCCAGTGCATGAAGACAAATTCTACTACTCCAAAGGAAGAATCAGGTGTGTCTACAAAGGAGATACTAAGACTGAGCTGTGGGGGAGAGGGGATATTATTTCCTTACGGGTATAAGAATATTAGACAACAAGAATTGTTAGGTTGCTTCAGGTCTCTTAGACTCCCAGAATGAGAATATGACATGAACTTTTGAAATTGGTGGGTAGCATCAAAATCAATTTGGTACTTTAAAAAACATTTTTAGCAGACTGCTGAGAGCAGAGCCAGGAGTGAAGAGTCGCCCCAATAGAGGGGAGTCAGAATTTCAATTAATTTGGGGATTAAGTTGTCAGCAGTGATAATCATGATGTTAACCCTTCTGGCACCAACCAAAATGAAAAAAATAAGTCCTTACTTAAAATGCAAGATTAATACAATTAAACAAATGATCTTCACAAAAGGCTATCATAAAACAAAACCCCATAAGCAATGCAACACTCCCAATTCAGAAATGATAGTTCTTTGTAGTCTTATTTTGACTACAGTCATATTTTGAATAAATCAAAAAAGATTTACAAAATTGGAGACATAGCAAGGGAAAACACAGAAAATCTAGCAATGGCAAGGCAAATTCTGACAGATCATGGAAATGATTCATTTTGAATCTCAGTTTCAACACAGTATTTGTGCTTTTGAAATGGCTTTGAATAAAACAAATCAGACACAGATGACAACTAAGACAACAATGCTGTATAAAGGGAGTACTTTCAATTTGTCAGAGACACATTTTATCCTGTGTGCTCAATCCTTCCCTCCTACGTCTGCCTCGTCCCAGTGGGTGTTACAAGAATGTTCATTTAACTTTTATGATGGGTGTGATTGTCACAGTGTTGGGTGTTATACATTTCTATGGCTATCAAAATGCCAACAGTTTTGGTTTGGGGGAAGAGCAAACAGTGATTGTAACAGAGCAATTTCAAAGGTGGTAGTTATTTCTAACAGACTTTAAAGTGCATCTACTAACTTAAGAATATTACCCCGGAAATTATTCTTCAGTAAAGACGATCCTATTTTCAAAGCTGGGTTTCTTGATGTCTTTAATGTCACAGGAACATCTTTCACATGACTCAAATGCAAAACCTAGAGAACTGTGAGAGATCATGGCAGACGGGAGGCAGGACTAGATTGCAGCTCTGATTGGACAGACAGAGCAGCCTGTGGAGGATCCATGCTGAATTTTTGCTCCAGAACAACTGCAGGAATAAATCAGGAAATCTGAGAGGACCCACATACCCTCTGAAGGAAGGGGAATGCTCCCGCAGGACACGGGAGACACCCCAAATACTGTGAGTGCCCAAACTGTGGAAGTGGGAAAAGGAGGTCATCCGCCCCCGAACACACACCCCCACTGGCGAAAATGAAAATCTTGATTACGGGAGAAGATTGTGACTTTGCCTGGAGCTGAGTCAATTTAGACAGCTGAGTGAAATACAGGGCTAGAGGAAGCAGCGGAAAAAAGCTCTGTACACTTGCTGGGTTCCGTAGCAAGCCATCTCTGCCTGGCCTCACAGGGGTCCTTCAGGAGGGTGGCCAGAGGCACTGGGAAAAGGCCCCAGGGAGAAGGAAATCTCCAGCTGAAGTTTGTAACAATGTGAACTGATCAGGAAGTCTCCTGGCCAGAACTTGGGGGAGGACATGAATCTAGTGTGCAGACTCCACAGGCGGGGGAAGAAGGAAAGCGACACTTGCTTTCATAGCTGGGAGGTGGGTAGCATGGGGTAAGTTCTCAGCCCTGCCTGCCCACTGCCTGGAAACAGACTCGGCGAAACTTGCTTTCATAGCTGGGAAGCGGGTAGCATGGGGTAAGTTCTCAGCCCTGCTTGGCCACTGCCTGGAAACAGACTCAGTGACACTTGCTTTCACAGCTGGGAAGCGGGTAGCATGGGGTAAGTTCTCAGGCCTGCTGGCCCACTGCCTGGAAACAGACTCGGTGCTGTTGGTGGGGGCATGGTGGGAGTCAGACCGGCCCTTCAGATCGTGTGGGAGCTGGGTGAGGCCTGGGACTGCCAGCTTTCCCCCACTTCCCTGACAACCTGCATGACACAGCAGGGACAATCATAATCCTCCTAAGAACATAACTCCATTGACCTGGGAACCTCATCCCTATCTCCAACAGCAGTCGCAGCAATACCTGCCCAAGGAGAGTGAGCTCAGACACGCCTAGCCCTGCCCCCAACCAATGGTCCTTCCCTACCCACCCTGGTAACTGAAGACAAAGGGTATATACTCTTAAGAGTTCTAGGGCCCCACACACCGCCTGTTCCTCCCCATACTACCACAGCTTATGCTCTCTGGGAAGCGCCACATCCCAGCAGGAGGCCAACCAGCACAAAAAGAGTGCATTAAACCACCAAAGCTAAGAACCCTCAAAGAGTCCATTTCACCCCCCTGCCACCTCCACCAGAACAGGTGCTGGTTTCCACAGCTGAGATACCCACGGATGGTGCACATTATAGGATACCATGCAAACAGCCCTCAGTACCAGCACAGAGCCTGGTAGACTTGCTGGGTGGCTAGATCCAGAAAAGAGGTAACAATCACTACAGCTTGGCTCACAGGAAGCCACATCCATAGGAAAAGGGGGAGAGTATTACATCAAGGGAACACACCATGGGACAAAATAATCTGAACAACAGCCTTAAGCCCTAGACCTTCCCCCTAATAGAGCCTACTCAAATGAGAAGGAACCAGAAAACCAATTCTGGTAATATGACAAAACAAGGTTCTTTAACACACCCCAAAAAATCACACTAGTTCACCAGCAATGGATCCAAACCAAGACGAAATCCCTGATTTACCTGCAAAAGAATTCAGGAGGTTAGTTATTAAGCTAATCAGGGAGGCACCAGAAAAAACGAAGCCCAAAGTAAGGAAATTAACAAAAATGATACAAGAAGTGAAGGGAGAAATATTCACTGAAATAGCATAAGTAAAGAACAATAAAAACTTCAGGAAACAATGGACATACTTATAGAAATGCAAAATGCTCTGGAAAGTCTCAGCAATAGAACTGAACAAGTAGAAGAAAGAAATTCAGAGCTCGAAGACAAGGTCTTCAAATTAACCTAATCCAACAAAGACAAAGAAAAAAGAGTAAGAAAATATGAACAAAGCCTCCAAGAAGTCTGGGATTATGGTAAACAGCCAAACCTAAGAATAATCAGTGTTTTTGAGGAAGAAGATAAATCTAAAAGTTGGGAAAACATATTTGGGGGAATAATCGAGGAAAACTTCCCTGGCCTTGCTAGAGACCCTAGACAACCAAATACAAGAAGCACAAAGAACACCTGGGAAATACATTGCAAACAGATCATCACCTAGGCACACTGTCACCAGGTTATCCAAAGGTAAAGGAAGGAAAGAATCTTAAGAGTTGTGAGACAAATGTACCAGGTAACCTATAAAGGAAAACCTATCAGAGTAACAGCAGATTTCCCAGCAGAAATTCTACAAGCTAGAAGGGCTTGGGGCCCTAGCTTTAGCCTCCTCAAACAAAACAATTCTCAGCTAAGAATTTTGTATCTAGCAAAACTAAGATTCGTCTATGAAGGAAAGATACAGTCTTTTTCAGACAAACAAATGCTGAGAGAATTCACCACTACCAAGCCACCAGTACAAGAACTGCTAAACGGAGATCTAAATCTTGAAACGAATGCTGAAAACACACCAAAACAGAACCTCTTTAAAGCATAAATCTCACAGAACCTATAAAACAAAAATACAAGTTAAACAGCAAAAACAAAAAACAAAAACAAAGTACGCAGGCAACAAATAGCACGATGAATGAAATGGTACCTCATGTCTCAATACTAACGTTGAATGTAAGTGGCCTAAATGCTCCACTTAAAAGATACAGAATTGCAGAATGTTTAAGAATTCACCAGCCAACTATCTGCTGTCTTCAAGAGACTCATGTAACACATCAGGACTCACATAGGTAAAAGGGTAGAAAAAGACATTTGACGCAAATGGACACCAAAAGTGAGCAGGAGGGGCTATTCTTAAATCAGACAAAACAAACTTTAAAGAACAGTAGTTAAATAATACAAAGAGGGACATTACATAATGATAAAAAGCCTTGTCCAACAGAAAAATATCACAATCCTAAACATATATGCACTTACACTGGAGCTCCCACATTTATAAAATGACTACTAGACCTGAGAAATGAGAGAGACAGTAACACAGTAATAGTGGGGGACTTCTATACTCTACTGACAGCACCAGACAGGTCATCAAGACAGAAAGTCAATGAAGAAACAATGGATTTAAACTATACCCTGGAAGAAATGGACTTAACAGATATATACAGAACATTCCATCCAACAACCACAGAATACATTGTATTCAACAGCAGATGGAACTTTCTCCAAGACAGACCATATGATAGCCCACAAAACGAGCCTGAATAAATTTAAGAAAAGTGAAATTATATCATGCACTCTCTCACACCACAGTGGAATAGAACTGGAAATCAACTCCAAAAGGAACCTTCAGAACCATGCAAATACACGGAAATTAAATAACCTGATCCTGAATGATGATTGAGTTAAAAATGAAATAAAGATAAAAATTTAAAAATTCTTCGAACTGAATGACAATAGTGACACAACCTATCAAAATCTCTGGGATACAGCAAAGGTGCTGCTAAGAGGAAAGTTCATAGCCCTAAACATCTATATCAATAGCTCTGAAAGAGCACAGGCAGACAATCTAAGGTCACACCTCAAGGAACTAGAGAAACAAGGACAAACCAAACCGAAACCCAGTAGAAGAAACAACCAAGATCAGAGCAGAACTAAATGAAATTGAAACAAAAAAATCCAAAAGATAAATGAAACAGAACACTGGTTCTTTGAAAAGATATATAAAATCGATAGACCATTAGCAAGATTAACCAAGAAAAAAGAAAATCCAAATAGGCTCAATAAGAAATGAAATAGAAGATATTACAACTGACACTACAGAAATACAAAAGATCATTCAGCGCCACTATGAACACGTTTATGTACATAAACTAGAAAACCTAGAAGAGATGGATAAATTCCTGGAAAGATACAGCTCTCCTAGCTTAAATCAGGAAGAATTAGACACCCTGAACAGATCAATAACAAGCAGTGAGATTGAAATTATAATTAATTACTGACAAAAAAAGTCCAGGTCCAGATGAATTCACATCAGAATTCTACCAGACGTTGAAAGGTTTGGTACCAATCCTATTGACACTAGATAGAGAAAGAGCGAAGCCTCCTTAATTCATTCTATGAAGCCAGTATCACTCTAATACCAAAACCACGAAAGGATATAACCAAAAAAGAAAACTACAGACTGATATCCCTGATGAACACAGATGCTAAAATCCTTAACAAAATACTAGCTAACCGAATCCAACAACATACCAAAAAGATAATTCACTATGATCAAGTCGGTTTCATTTCACGGATGCAGGGATGGTTTAACATATGCAAGTCAATACATGTGACACACCACATAAACAGAATTAAAAACAAAAATCACATGATCATCTTAATAGATGCCGAAAAAGCATTCAACAAAATCCAGCATCGCTTTATGATTAAAACCCTAAGCAAAATCGGCATACAAAGGACATACCTCAATGTAGTAAAAGCCGTCTCTGACGAACCTACAGGCAACATAATATTGAATGGGGAAAAGTTGAAAGCATTCCCTCTAGAGAACTGGAACAAGACAAGGACACCAACTCTCACTGCTCTTCTTTAACACAGTACTGGAAGTCCTAGCCAGAGCAATCAGACAAGAGAAGGAAATAAAAGGGCATCCAAATCGGTAAAGAGGAAGTCAAACTGTCACTGTTTGCTGATGATATGACAGCATACCTAGAAAACCATAAAGACTCCTCTGGAAAGCTCCTAAAACTGATAAAATAATTCAGCAAAGTTTCTGGATACAAAATTAATGTACACAAATCAGTAGCTCTTCTTTACACCAACAGTGACCAAGCTGAGAATCAAATCAAGAACTCAACCTCTTTTACAAAATAAATAAATAAATAAATAAATAAATAAATAAAATACTTAGGAATATACCTAACCAAGGAGGTGAAGGACCTCTACAAAGAAAACTACAAACACTGCTGAAAGAAATCATAGATGACACAAACAAATGGAAATACGTCTCATGCTCATGGATGGGTAGAATCAATATTGTGAAAATGACCATACTGACAAAAGCAATCTACAAATTCAATGCAACCCCATCAAAATACCAACATCATTCTTCACAGAATTAGAAAAAACAAATCTAAAATTCACAGGGAACCAAAAAGGAGCCCACATAGCCAAAGCAAGACAAAGCAAAAAGAACAAATCTGGAGGCATCACATTACCTGATTTCAAACTACACTATAAGGCCATAGTCACCAAAATAGTGTGGTACTGGTATAAAAATAGGCACATAGATCAATGAAACAGAATAACTCAATAAAGTTATTGACTTGCATATGTTAAACCATCCCTGCATCCCTGAAATGAAACCCACTTGATCGTAGTGAATTATCTTTTCGATATGTTGTTAGATTCAGTTAGCTAGTATTTTGTTAAGGATTTTAGCATCTATGTTCCTCAGGGATATCAGTCTGTAGTTTCCTTTTTCGGTTATGTCCTTTCCTGGTTTTGGTATTAGGGTGATGCTGGTTTTATAGAATGAATTAGGGAGGGTTCCCTCTTTCTCTATCTTGTGTCAATGAAACAGACAAAGCAAACAAAAACAAAGTGGGGAAAGAACACCCTGTTCAACAAATGGTGCTGGGATAATTGGCTAGCCACACGTAAGAGAATAAAACTGGATCCTCAACTCTCACCTGACACAAAAATCAACTCAACATGGATAAGGACTTCAACCTAAGACCTGAAAGTATAAAAATTCTAGACGAGAACACCAGGAAAACCCTTCTAGACATTGGTTGAGGCAAGGATTTCATGATCAAGAGCCCAAAAGCAAACACAATAAAAACAAAGATAAATAGCTGGAACTTAATTAAACTAAAGAGCTTTTGCACAGCAAATGTAACAGCAGAGTAAACAGACAACACACAGAGTGGAAGAAAATCTTCACAATCTATACATCTGACAGAGGACCAATATCCAGACTCTACAATGAACTCAAACAAGTGAGTAAGAAAAAAAAATCCCATCAAAAAGTGGGCTAAGGACATGAATAGACAATTCTCAAAAGAAGATACACAAATGGCCAACAAACATAAGAAAAAATGCTCAACATCACTAATGTTCAGGGAAATGCAAATCAAAGCCACAATGAGATACCACCTTACTCTTGCAAGAATGGCCATAGTCAAAAAATCAAAATAGTAGATGTTGGCATGGATGTGATGAATGGGGAACACTTCTACACTGCTGGTGACAATGTAAACTAGTACAACTACTATGGAAAACAGTGTGGAGATTCCTTAAAGAACTAAAAGTACATCTACCATTTGATCCAGCAATCCCACTAGTGGGTATCTACCCAGAGGAAAAGAAATCATTATATGGAAAAGATACTTGCACATGCATGTTTACAGCAGCACAATTTGCAATTGCAAAAACATGGAACCAACCCAAATGCCTATCAATCAACGAGTGGATAAAGAAACTGTGGTATATATATATACACACACACACACAATGGAATACTACTCAGCCATAAAAAGGAAAGAATTAATGGCATTTGCCACAACCTAGATGAGACTGGAGACTATTATTCTAAGTGAAGTAACTCAGGAATGGAAAACCAAACATCATATGTCTCACTCATAAGTGGGAGCTAAGCTATGAGGATGCAAAGGCGTAAGAATGACACAATGGACTTCAGGGACTCAGGAGGAAAGGGTGGGAAGGTGGTGAAGGATAAAAGATTATAAATAGGAAGGCTGAGGCAGGCACATCACGAGGTCAGGAGTTTGAGATCAGCCTGGCAAACACATTGAAAGCCCGTTTCTACTAAAAATACAAAAATTAGCCAGGCATGGTGGCACGTGCCTGTAGTCCCAGCTACTACGGAGGCTGAGGCAGGGTAATTGCTTGAACCTGGGAGGTAGAGGTTGCAGTGAGCCGAGCTCGTGCGACTGCACTCCAGCTTGGGCAACACTGAGACTTGTCTCAAACAACAACAACAACAACAACAACAGAAACTACAATAGGGTACAGTGTATACTGCCCGGGTGATGGTTGCACCAGTATCTCACAAATCACCACTAAAAAACTTACTCATGTAACCAAACACCACCCGTTCCCCAATAACCTATAGAAATAAAAAAAAAAATAATAAAAAAAAGGAAAACCTAGATCCGAGGCCACCTGTTTCACTCAGTTTTTATAATATGCAATCAGTACTCCACCTTAATTTGCAATAAGCATGCAGCTCATCATTTGAAGTAAAACTGCTAAATAAAAGTTCTATATAAGAAGATATCTGATGTCTCAAAGTACATACAGAATACAAAAAGGATAAAAATAAGTAGAATTTAAGAAATTTAGAAAAGAATATGCACAACAGGCAAGCATCATCTATCTCTCTAAAACACCAAGAGCTGGCTGCCCTTACTAATCTAGATAGCTGCTACAAAATCATACAGTATCTTTTTTTCTTTTCCTTTGAACCAAATTCCTTGTCTGTTTCTATTTGAAATATGATTTAAGCAACGTAATTCATTCTACACTTTGTTTGTTTTTAGCATGAAGGGGAAGGAGGAACATGTGCATGCTTTCTCAATCATAATCATATTACACAGAAGGATTTCCAGCTGTACAGCCCATCCAACTGTGTACGTGTGAGGCATGAGTTTAAAAATACATAATACATGACTGCTCATCCCAAGGAATTGGAACCTGTCACTGGAATAATCATGTTGTTGTTAAAATATATTTCACAGATACGTTGAAATTTGAGATTTGCGCTTATAATATTTAAAATCTCAATTGTCATGGAAGATACAAGCAGAGACTCATTTTTTCCCCTAGACATTTTGCTACACAAATGGATCTGATATATATATGTGTACATATTTTTATATATATAAATATACACACATATACATATATACACACATATATCAGATATATACATATATATAAAATGAATGAAGATGGCAAGAAGTATAGACATACTACAGTGTACATGGACATAAGCAAAGACATACTGGGGTAAAGACTCAACAGATGCCACAACAATCAAATTCAGAAGAATGTTTTTAACCTATGTATATCACTTTTCTAATTAATGTCTATGTTTGCCAATAAATAGCTGTCTGATGGAGATCAACTGAGAGATAATAGTTTATATATTGTGGAAATTACAGCTTTTCCTAAATAGGATTTATTAAAAATACTCAGTTTTAAAAATCACGGAAATGAGGATATGAGAGACATCAAATAGTAGATTTAAATGAAAATTTAGGGTTAGGCATACATATTCTAAAGATGGTTTCCCAGTCAGTTCAGGCTGCTGTAACAGAGATTCAAAACTGGGTGGCTTAAACAACAAACACGTGTTTCTCACAGTTCCTGGAGTCTGGAAGTCTGAGATCAGGCTGCTAGCATAGCCTGGTTCTTGGTGAGGATCTTCTTCCTGATTATGTTTTCGCATGGCCTTCCTTGGTGTGTGCAGGCAGAGAAAGACTCCCTGTGTTTCCTCTTACTATTTTTTTTTTACAAGGGATTTACTCGCATCTTGAGCACTCCACCCTCATGACCTAACCTACTCTAATTACCTCCCAAAGGCCCCACCTCCAAATACCATCACATTAGGGATTAGGGTTTCAGTGTATGAATTCTGGAGGAACACAAACATTCAGTCCATAGCAGATGCGTGAGACATTTTTTTTTCATCTTCCAAAGCAGATGGGGACTATGGCATGAACAAGCAGGATTAATGCAGGAGTGGCAATTTCATTCAGAGTAATCACATTTCACCATGACAGTACAAAGCAGTAACTGTCCACTCGCAGAATGAATATGAAGAAGTATGTTTCACTGAGTGAATTCACCACAGCCTTCATGCACACAGCAAATGGAAAGTATTTCGAATGCTCTGAGTTAGGATGACCAGGTCAAACATAAAGGGCAGGAGCACAGCAATTTCTCCAGAAACTATAATCTTTCCAGGGACTAAAAGTAAAATGTAAACATACTGACTGATGCATCGCATTCTATTTGCACTTTTACAGGGCCAAGACTTCGTTGATACATGCCTGGAAAAATAATGATGCGAGGTCTTCACACATAATAATTTCATAAGATATTCCATCAGGGCACACCAAACAAGGTGAAGCCACGCTGTACTCTAAGCCATGACACTTGCCAAGGTGTTATGCCTGTTGAAAATGTAAAAATAAATAAACACGGCTTGTGTGTCTCTAAGCCCATGGCAAATCAATATAGTATTAATGGTAGAACTTCTGCTGCTCACATAGTAAAGGTTCACTTATCGCCCTCAAGATCTCTCCATTCTACTGCACATTTTGCCTTTATTTCTGAGAATATCTGAAATTGCCACAATCGGCCTGCATCTAGCATCTCCTAAGTTAAAGTTTTTATCGATAAGAAGCACATTTTTATCTACAAGGTTTTAAAGACCAGCTCAATGACATTTTCTGAGTAATAGCTTCCAAATTTTTATATAGTTCTGAATTTACATAGTTTTACCTAATCTACCAATGTCTTATCTCTTCTCTGAGCAGCCCTATTTTTGAAAACCTTACGTCCTTACCTTCCTGTCTCCCCTCCTTGTTCTACCTTGTTAATATAAAAAAGGAAGCAAGGAAGTAACCAGCAATCAATAAAGCAATCACACAGACCTAGAGCCCAATCAACTGTTGGCCTCGAAAGTATTTATCACATACTTATTCAACCATACTCACAAATAACAACCAAAACCAAACTTGAAAAAGAAGGCAGAACAAAGTAAATTATTTCAAACCCAATGATTAATTCTCAGATGCCACTCTGATTTCTTTCAGACTCATCTGTAATACCAAGTTGGGGGATCATAATGATTATATGGTATGGGTCAAATACGTTTACAAAATCACAAAATGATGTTTTTACCTACTCAAAAAACATACTTTTGTATTGGCAATGAAACAACCTTGAAATAGCGATCAAATATTTGACTATACTAAAGCTTGGCCACATGTCATCTCTGCCTATGATTCACGTCTGAACAAGCAGAACAAAAACCACTTCTCTAGAAGTACAAGGGGACATCTTTTCAATTCTTTTATGTAAGAAACCAGAGGCAAGATCCTTTTCTGCTATTACACATTATTCTTAAGATAACGTATCTTATGAATACTTTACTATCTAATTAAACTATAGGCCATTTATCTCATAAATGTTTAATGTCCATTGCATATAATAATGAAATCCAATTGCAGTGCCTTGAAATGGCTGATGGAAATTAAGCTATGCTCTAATGCCTATAATTTGACACTTTTATTTACTTCAGTCCAAGACAGAAGTTTAAAAAACTTTGTTAACTTCTTTGGTTCATCTAAGAGATGTAGAAATTAAATAGTAATTTCTTGGAAAATGAGGTCTTGGATGCTAAATGAGCATGCTCTCTTGTAGCAGCAACCTCCAGCAGAGATGCGGGGATGCACGTGGCTAGTCTTCAGGTCTATTCAACTCTAAAACCTGTCCACGAGGGAGGGGAGAGGAAGCAATGGATTGATACATTGAGGTACCTCTTACTATAGAATAAATAAATAGGATTTAGGGGAGCCAAAAAAGAAATTTATAAAAATGGAATAAAAATCAAGTAAGATGAAAATTTTAATAAGAAACTCACTGAAGGAGTCTTTTTTTTAGACAGGGTCTCACTCTGTTACTTAGGCTGGAGTGCAGTGGTGTGATCTTGGCTCACTGCAACCTCCTCCTCCCAGGCTCAAGCAATCCTCCTCCCTCAGCATCCTGAGTAGCTGGGACCACTGGCATGTGCCACCATACCTGGATGTTTTTTTTTTTTGTAGAGACGAGGTTTTGCCATGTTGCCCAGGCTTGAAGGAGCATTTTGTAGACTGTAAATAGTTAAAATGGTGTCTCTCCTGTGGTTCTCTGATTATAATTTTTTAAATAAAACAGAGTATGTCTCATCAATTACACCCAATATTCTTAATTTTTCCTTTTTAAATGTAATTTATTCACTCACTCATTCATTTATGATGTAATTACTCAGTACCTACTGATCCAGCAGCATGTAATAGAGTCAAAAACTCCAGTCTCATGGAGCTTACATTTGTAAGACATAGATAAGAAACAAAAAGAAGTAAAATATGTGACATTTTATATTGTGATACATTTTAACATAAAAACAATAAAAAAAAGAAAGGAAGGGTTTACAGAACATATGGGAGAGGTCAGCAAACTAGTCTGTGGGTCACATCTGGCCCCCTGCTGACCCTTTTGAGTGAAAACCCTCAAAAGAAGAATACATCATAACACATGAAAATTGCATTATATTCAAATTTAAGTGGCCATAAAGATTGGAACATAACCACACTTGATCATATATGTACTGTCTATGACTACTTCTATGCTACAAAAGCAGAGCTGAACATCTGCAACAGAGATCTTATGGCTACAAAGCTTGAAATATTTACTATGTGGCCCATTACAACAAAAGTTTGCTGGACCCTAGTTTAAACATTAAATGGGAAGATCTAGAAAGGTCTTAGGAGAAGATGGCCTTTGAGTGAAGAAGTGAGAAAGTGAGTTGCACAAAGTGCATCATCAGTCATGCCTTAAAAGGGTCACTTTGAGGGATATGTTAAAAGCACATTAATGAAGAAGGAGTAAATTTCAGTATTATAGGTCAGTGGTGATGGTAATGTCTTTTGACCAGGATAGCAGCAGTGGAAGTTGGTTTATAAGACTGGAAGAATGAAGCCATTTATTGCAATGGGAAAGACCATGGGAAGGGAAGGTGTGGGAGGATGATCAGGAATTCAGTTTAGTAGTTTGACAGGCCTCTACATGTGGAGACACTAAGCAGGCATTGGGCAGATGAGTTTGGATTCCAAGAAAAAGACCTGGGTGGGAGATAAAACTGAAAGTCATCAGTGTCTCAATGTCCTTTAACACCATGAGAGAGGGCAAGATCCCTGAGAGTTTGGGTGTGAAGTGGGTTAAAGAGGATTCCCAGGTTAAAGACATTGGATTGATGGAGAAGAACCAGCCAAGTGGGTAAACCACAAGAGGTACCAGAGTTAGGTGGTTGCAAAGGAGGGAAGTTTCTGGAAAGTAAGGGAAAAAACTGTTTCCAGGAGGAATGAGTAATCCTCTGTGTCAAATGCTGCTGACAGGACAAATAAAATTAGAACTGAGAACAAATTAATCTAACGATGCTGAGTGTTGTACTTACTAGTCAAAGTCTAGTAACTTTGATAAGAGCAGTTTTGGTGACATAACATATCTGAGTGGGTTGAAATGAAAATGGAAAGCTATAGAGAAGGAGAGAAATCTATAGAGAAGGAGAGAAGGGGTATCTAGAGGGAGGAATTAGCCTGAGAAGTTTTTTGCTTTTCAATTTTAGTAGAAATAATATATTTAAATGTTGATGGGAAAAATCTGGCAGAGAGGAAACATTTGTTAATACAGGAGAAAGACAGTGACAGAAAGAGAGGAAGTGTAACTGCTGGATTAGTGTCCTGTAGTAGTCAAGACCAAAGGCATCTAGCGAAGAAATGAAGAGGTTGGTTTGAATTGGAAGCACGAATAATTTATCTAGAATAACAGAAGGAAAAGTAACATTACAGATGTTAATAGATGGTTAGACGTGACGATGGAAGCAAGTGGAAGTTCTCTGTGATTACTTCTATATCCTCAGTGACAGAAAAGCAAGGTCGTCAGCTGAGTATAATGACAGGTGAAGATATACTAGAACTTTAAGAGTTGAGAGTAAGGTATGAATAAATGTCTAGAAAAATGTTGAGGTACAATGGTTTAGAAAACTACAGTACAATTGTCACCCATCTTTGAGGACTCACTTGAGGTTACTGATATGGATTTAAAGTGAGTTATTAAATCCATAAAATAAAGAATAAAGAAAAAGTAAAGTGTTTTTCTTTATTCATGCTTCAGGATGCAGGCATGGAATAGGCAGAGATGGATTTAACTGGGTGTTGATTTTTGCCAAGTATATATGATAAGGCAAAAAGAGGCAAAGGAGTAGAGGTTATATAGGTAAGAGAGCAATTATAATGATGGACCTTAGAATTTAATCTAAAAAGGGGTGTGAGTCATAATGTGAAAAACCATGAAACACTGGTGATTTCCATAGACTGTAAGTCCTGGGTGTGGCTGATGCATTTGGGAAGTTGGTACTAGAGGTGGAGATAGTAGTCAAGGAAGGGATGTTTGAAATGAGACCACAGAGGTGTTGCAGAAGAGAAAACCTGGTAAGAGAGCTTTCTTGAGAGACCAAACTTAGTGAAATATTTCAAGAATTGGGGAGTGACTGGTTGATATGGTTTGGATCTGTGTTCCTACCCAGATCCCATGTCTAATTGTAATTCCCAGTGTTGGAGGTAGGGCCTGGTGGGAGGTGACTGGATCATAGGGGCTGATTTTCTCCATGGTACTCTGTCAAAATAGTGAGTGTGTTCTTGTGAAATCTGGTGTGTTTAAAAGTATGTGGCACCTCTCTTTCTCTCTCTTCACCTTCCGCCATAATTGAAGGTTTCCTGAGGCCCCCCCAGAAGCTGAGCAGATGCCAACATGCTTCCTGTATGGCCTGTGAAACTGTGAGCCAATTAAACCTCTTTTCTTTATAAATTACCCAATCTCAGGTATTTCTTTCTAGTAATGCACAAGGAACTAATACACTGGTGATGCAGAGAAAAGACAGCTATAGTCTTTTGGGCATTAGATTCTGGGGAATGAGAGATTATCTGAGAGAACTTGGCCTTTTAGGGAGAACAAATGGAATGGATCTTACGTGAACAGAAGTGAAATGAATAAAGAAAGTGACTGATATTAGTTCTTACTGTACCAAGGAAGAAAATAATACAATTTCATTAACATATTAATAAGAATAAACTTTAGCTAAAATAACTTTTTTAGTAAAGTTAACTTTGAAAGACAATCTTCACTTGTTAGCACCTAACTTTAATCACTGAAGCAGCTGTTACTTATAGTTCGGGGACCTTCACCAAGAAAGCAAACATGGCACCAACAGCATGTCCTAAGATGTTTCTAATAATTGAGTAACACACTTATTAATGTTATTATTGCATTGCTCCAGTGGTCTTAGTGGTGTTGTAGTTCACTTTTTTTTTTTTTTTGAGATGGAGTCTAGCTCTGTCACCCAGGCTGGAGTGCAGTCGCGCGATCTTGGCTTACTGCAACCTCCACCTCCTGGGTTCAAGTGATTCTCCTGCCTCAGCCTCCCGAGTAGCCGGGACTACAGGCGTGTGCCACCACGCCCAACTAATTTTTGTATTTTTAGTAGAGACGGGGGTTTGACATGTTGGCCAGGATGGTCTTGATCTCTTGACCTCATGATCCGCCTGCCTTGGCCTCCTAAAGTTCACGTTTTATAATGTCAATTTTCCCTGTACTTCGGTGGCTAGCTAAAAATAATACTGATCACATTTTTACTTGGTGTCTATTCAGTAGAATTTAATAAATAAAAAATTAATATATAAATCAAGTAAATTAAAGGAACTATGTAATTAATGATTAGTAGTATTACTTTTCATTTAAAGACCGTATTAGTCCATTCTCCCATTGCTATAAAGAACTGAGACTGGGCGATTTATAAAGAACAGAGGCTTAATTGGCTCATGGTTCTATAGGCTGTATAAAAAGCACGGCTGGGGAGGCCTCAGGAAACATAATTATGGCAAGAAGGCGAAGGAGAAGCAGGCATCTCTTACATGGCCAGAGCAGAAGGAAGAAGAGAAGTGGGAGGTTCTACACACTTTTAAACAACCATATTTCCTGACTATCACAGGAACAGCAAGGGGGGAAATCCATCCCCTTGATTCAGTCACCTCCCACCGGGCCCCTCCTCTAACACTGGGAATTCCAATTCAACGTGAGATTTGGGCAGGGACACCAATCCAAATTATATCAAAGACTAAACTTCAAAATTCAGCGTGGTGATTTAAATAGTGATAATCTCTTGTGGGCACGGGGGGTCATAAGGATGGGGCAGAAAAAGACGTGCATAGGTAGATAGAAGTTATCAACAATGATTGGTTTTGGAGTCACATGATATGTTCACAGGTATGAATTTTATGATTTTTTCTTATCCATGTTTACTTACATACACAACTGTTGCTATGGGTTGAAACGGTCCTCTAAATTTCATGTGCTGGAAACTAAATCTCCAAATTAATATGTTGATTGGAGGTGGGGTCTTTGGGAGGTAACTGAGATTAGATAAGGTCTGAATCAAGGTGGGGCTCCCATGAGGGGATTAATGGCTTTTTAAAGAGAAGAAAAGTGACTTGAGCTAGCACATTTCCTCTGTCTCACCAAGTGATACCCCTGCCATGTTATGATGCAGCAAGAAGACCTTCACCAGAAGCCGAGCAGGTACCAGCACCATGCCCTTGGACTTCTCAACTTCCAGAACTGCAAGAAATAAATCTCTTTTCTTTATAAATTACCCAGGTTGTGGTATCCTGTAATAACAACAGAAAATGGACTAAGGCATATGTTACTGTATGAGTTAGATATCTTTGATATCACAAAGATTTACATTTACAAATATTCTATTGTAAGATCATACTTCCACTGAGCTTCCCTGTCAGTATGAGTCCAAAGTCCCACATGCTCAGAGAAAAAGTTCCCCTGAGCCATACATCCTCAGTCAATACATGAACACTGTATTTCTGGCAAGATGCCTATATCATCCTCTGCCCTAACATTAACCACACAAAACATTATCCCTGTCATCAGATTACACAAGGTTTATTTACATTTATATCATTAATTTACTGTTTTGTTTGCACAGCATTTCTTGTCACATCTTAGATTCCCCTTCTGGAGTTATTTTTATTCTATCCGAAGTATATGCTTTAGGGATTTCTTCAGTAAAAGGCTGCCAGTGGCCATATTTTTCAGTTTTTGATTATCTAAAAAGTTCTTATTTCACCATCATTTTGAAAGATAATCTTAAACAATAAGAGAGTATTACAGATATTTTTCTTAACAGCTTAAAGTGACTATTCCATTGTCTTCTATCTTTCACTGTTGTGCATTTAATGTGCTCTTGCTTGACCTGCATGTCTTCATAGGCAAGTTTTCTTTTCTCTCTGGCTGGTTTTAGGTTATCATCTTTGTCTTTGGTATTGCAGTTGACAAACAGTAATTCATGGTAGGCCAAGATATTTCTATGTATTTATTCAACTTGGTGTGTATCTTTTATGTGTGTGTACTGTGCATTTTTTTTTTTTTTTTTTTTGGAGACAGAGTTTTGCTCTTGTTGTCCAGGCTGGAGTGCAATGGCGTGATCTCGGCTCACTGCAACCTCCGCCTCCTGGGTTCAGGTGATTCTCCTGCCTCAGCCTTCTGAGTAGCTGGGATTACAGGGATGCACCACCACGCCCAGCCAATTTTGTATTTTTAGTAAAGATGGGGTTTCACCACATTGGTCAGGCTGGTCTCGAACGCCTGACCTCAGGTGATCTGCCCGCCTTGGCCTCCCAAGCTGTGTATCTTTCAACCACCCTAGAAAATTCCAAGATAGTCACTATTTTATACTTTGTGGCTGTAAATAGACATTAGATCTTTTTACATTGTTTCCTTAACTTCTCTTTCATATTCCTGATTTTCCTTCGCTGTGTGGCCTCCTAAGAAATTTACTCACATATATCTGATATTCTCATTTGTGACTTACCTATTTAATTTAATCATTGAGTTTTGATTTCAACAGTATTTTTCCTTTCAAGATAATTCTATTATGTATTTCTTAAATATTTCATACAACGCTATTCTATATTCTTTTTCTGATAATTTCAGTATCTGTAGGCTTTAGAGGTTTAAACTTTATTTCTGCTGATTCCCATTCATGGTGATTACTTCCTTGGGGTCTTGTGATGTCCGTGTTTTCTTTAACAAATTGCTTGATCTTACTCTAAGGAATTCATCAGGTTTAAATTGTGGGTACTTTTCTCCTAGTAGGATTTGCATCTGCCTTTGCAAAAAGCCAGAGTACTACCACCTAGATATAGTTTGGATATTTGTCCCCACCCCAATCTCATGTTGAAATGTAATCCCCAGTGTTAGAGGTGGGGCCTGGTGGGTGGTGTTTGGGTCGTGGGATGGATCCCTCATGGCTTGGTGTTGTCTTTGTAATAGTGAGTACTTGCAAGATCTGCTTGTTTAAGTGGATGGCACCTCCCCCTCACTCTTTCCTCCTCCTGCTTTCACCATGTGAAGTGCCAACTCCTGCTTCATCTTCTGCTATGAGAAAAAGTTCCTGGAGACCTCCCAAGAAGCTGAGCAGATGCCGGCACCATGCTTCCATACAGCCTGCAGAACTGTCAGCCAATTAAACCTCTTACTTATGAATTAGCCAGTCTCAGGTATTTCTTCATAGCAATGCAAGAATGGCCTAACACAGAAAATTGGTAATAAGGAATGGGGCACTGCTATAAAGGTACCTGAAAATGTGGAAGCAGCTTTGAAACTTGGTAATGGGCAGAGGTTGGAAGAGTTTGGAGGACTCAGAAAAGGACAGGAAGATAAAGGAAAGTTGGGAATTACTTAGAAACTGGTTAAATGGTTGTGACCAAAGTGCTGATGGTAATACGGACCGTGAAGTCCAGGCTGCTGAGGTCTCAGATGCAAATGAGGAACTTATTGGGAACTGGGGCAAAGGTCACCATTGTTATGATGGTACTGTGTCCATGTACTAGAGATCTGTGAAATTTGAACTTCAGAATGATGACCTAGGGTATCTGGCAGAAGAAATTTCTAAGCAGTAAAGTGTTCAAGCAGTGGTCTGGCTGCTTCTAACAGCCTACTCTCTGACACAGGAGTGAAGAAATGACATAAAGTTGGAAGTTACATTTAAAGAGGAAGCAGAGCATAAAAGTTTGGACATTCTGTAGTCTGGCCATGTGGCAGAGAAAGAAAAAGAAAAAGCTTTTTAGGGAGAGAAATTCAAGCAGACTGTGGAGCAACCACTTGCTAGAGGTATTTGCAGAACCAAAATGGAGCCAAATGCTAATATCCAAGATAATGGGGAAAAGAGACCTTCACAGCAGCTCCTCTCACCACAGGCTCATAATTCTAGGAAGAAAGACTGGGTTCAAGAGCCTTGCCCAGGACTCCATTGCCCTGAGCAGCCTTGGGAGACCGCTGCTTGCATCCTGGCAGCTCTGGCTCCAGCTGTTACTCAAAGGGGCCCAGGTACAGCTTAAGCTGCTACTTTGGCAAATGCAAGCTGTAAGTTTTGGCAGCTTCCACATAATGTTAAGCCTGCAGGGAAGCAGAGTTCAGGAGGGAAAGCTTGGCAGCCTGCACCTAGATTTCAGTGGATGTATGAGAAAGCCTGGGTGCCCAGAGAGAAGCCTGCTTTAGGGGTGGGGCCCTTACAGAGAACCTCTACTAGAGACGTGCCAAGGGGAAATGTTGGGTTGGAGCCGCCACATAGAACCCCCCACGGGGCACTGCCTAGTGGAGCTATGGGACAGAGATCATTGCCCTCTAGACCCCAGAATGGTAGATCCACCAGGAGATTGCACTCTGGGCCTCAGAAAGGCACAGGTACTCAAAGACCTGTGAGAACAGCCTCTGGGGCTGAACCCTGCAAAGCCACAGGGGCAGAGCTGCACAAGGCCTTGGGAACTCATCCCTTGCACCAGTGTGCCCTGGATGTGGGACATGCAGTCAAAGGAGATTATTTTGGAGCATTAAGATTTGATCACTGCCCTGCTGGGGTCTGAACTTGCATGGGGCCTGTAGTCCCTTTCATTTGACTGAGTTCTCTTTTTTTGGAATGGGAATGTTTACGCAATGCCTATACCTCCTTTGTACAGAAAACTATACAAGGGAGTAACTACTTGCTTTTTTATTTTACTTGGAAGTAACCAGCTTGTTTTTTATTTTACAGGCTTATTGGTGGAAGAGATTTGACTTATGTCAGATGAGATTATGAACTGTAGACTTTTGAGTTAAGCTGGAATGAGTTAAGATTTTGGGAGACCATTGAGAAGGCATGATTATGTTTTGCAGTGTGAGAAGGACATGAAATTTGGGGGACCCAGAGGCAGAATACTACAGTTTGGATATTTGTCCCACACAAATCTCATGTTGAAATGTAATCCCCAATGTTGGAAGTGGGGCTTGTTGCGAGGTGTTTGGGAAATGGGGGTGGATCCCTCATGGCTTGGTGCTGTCCCTGCAATCGTGTGTACTTGTGACATCTGGTTGTTTAAGTGTGAGGCATCTCCTCCCTCACTCTCACTCTCTCCTGCTCCTGCTTTACCTTCCGAGATCCGAAAAAGCGCCTTGAGGCCTCCTGAGAAGCTGAGCAGATTTTGGTGCCATGCTTCCTGTACAGCCTATAGAACTATGAGCCAATTAAACCTCTTTTCTTTATAAATTATCCAGCCTCAGGCATTTCGTCATAGCAGCAATGCAAGACCAGCCTAACACACACCTGAAATTCCTACATTGGGTCTTGACTCAATATTGGGAGTTACAGGCTCTGCTTCACTATACTGGTGCAGGCACAAAGTTATTAGCCAGCAAGCAGGGCTGCTATTGGACTCTATCCTCAGGATATTGGACCTCCATCCTCAGGTCACTTCTACAGGTGACCCACCACTTAGATCCCAACCTCTAGTTTGCAGTTGTTCTTTTTTCTTTTCCTTCTCTAATGCTGCCAACCCCCTCTTCCTTGCCTTTGGAAAGGTACTTCTTATCTCTTTCTTGAAAGCCCAACAGCATTTCAGAACATTATTCTATCCTCTACCAGAGGAAAGAATCTAGGGGAGAGTATCTTTGTGTATTGCCGTACTGACAGAAGTAATTATAAAAATCATTGAAATTTTGATGATTTTAAGAGTTGGCTTTGGAATAGTTTAGTTTAGTCTATTAACCTAAGGTTGGTCAATGACAATTACGGAACTGCCTCCTGAGTACATCACAGTTCTAAGTTACTGGGAGTAAAAAGGAAAATAGGTCTTACTCTCAAAATGTTTTCAAACTCAAGAGAAGAGAGGAAGTGACACATACAGATAAGCAACATAAACAAAACACAGACAGCTATGAAGCACTTTGACATCCTTCTGGAATGCTATCCACGGTTGGAAATACTCCACTTTGTTTAGCTTACAATTGAGAACCACTATACAACCCACAGTTTATTTATCAGAAGTATCAAACCACAGTTTATTTTTTACTATAAAGAACACTTATCACATGCATGACTGTTTTGCATTTTGATATAATCCCTTTCTGATAATACAGGGAAATTTCATTTTGATACTGTGTTTTCAGCATAGTAATTCTACCTCTTGCCAAGATAAAGTCTAATTTCATCCTCACAAAATGAGAAGGAAGGAATTTGCCTTCCTTTGACTATCCTCTCCCTTTATCATTAAGCAGCAAATTATACAGCTCTATTTGAGCACAGGCACTACTACTTCACAGACTAAATATATTTGTTCCTTTCTTCACTTATAGAAAGACTAAAAAAATAGCAT
This sequence comes from Homo sapiens, assembly GCF_000001405.40. Lineage (NCBI taxonomy): Eukaryota > Metazoa > Chordata > Mammalia > Primates > Hominidae > Homo > Homo sapiens. The sequence goes on along the minus strand of NC_000012.12, from coordinate 83,102,248 downwards.
ATCTTCCTTGCTGCCAGTACTGATATTCACAGGATGAATAAAGGACACATGTGTCAACTTTTCTTGCTATCTATCCAAAACGAAACTTTTTCTGATGTGGGGGCAAATGCATTCCCAGGCATATTTGCACCTTACGGGCCTGAAACTGACAAAAATCTACCCAGTTCCAAGGAGATAATGCCAATCTCTAAACTAGTCACATGTATTACTGTCCATTGCAATATTTTGGAATTATCTTCATGTTAATTTATTACCTGCTTTCCCCATGCAATTTCCCTAGTGAAAACAGTTGGCTGTTAATCTTTAAGCCAGACAAGTCATTTTTATTCTCATGCAATTATTTGTCCAATATGCATTGCATACAAAGCCCCTAGATCTTCCTCTATCTTAGTGGGTCAGAAAGTCTGTCTTCCATTAATTATTTGACAGGTATCTTACATTTGTTTACTACTTTTATATTTTTTGAAGCATATATACTTATACGATCTTAACTGATCCCCATATTGATCCAGAGATCTCTGGACCCTGAAGAATAAAGTTAGTTCTTCAAGGTAACAAAGGCGGTAAGCAGTACTGCTCGGTCCCAAACCCAATTCTTCCCACTCTTTTTCCTTTTCCCTTTCCACTCTATGATTCCAACGTATTATGATGGTGATACAGTAGTAGTTTTCATTTTGATAAACATTGGTGGTGATTCACAATGTTGATCACAAGTATTTGGATAGACTGGATTGACAATATTGTACAACTATAATTTAGGGGCATAATGCTAACTGAAAGACAAAAAGAAAGGCAGACAGAGTTACTGAGAGATGCTGAAAACCTATTTGCACCAACATGAATTTTCTGATTTTTCTGACATGTATTAAAAAGTATTTGGGGTCTATGAAATCATTCTCAGTTTAGCCTTTAGTTTTTGCTTTATGTATTTTAAGAAGGAAAATAAATCAATACTTACTTGAAGAAACACAAAATTTATAGCTTTGCAACTGGCCCATTGCTTACAAACAGTAGGGTTAAAATTGCAATGCTTAGATATTGAAAAACAAAACACTAGTAGTCCAAGAATCCCATCAAGTGCTCAATTGTAATTTTGTCTTTAAATGCAAAATAATGTCACAAGCAATCATGCTAAATGTTTGTGTTACTGTAATTTACTTAATTTAGAAATTTATTTCTCATTTATCAAGTTCTATTGAGTGAAGACATTTAAAATGTGATCAATATTGTTTATAGCTAGCTGCTGAAATATGAGGAAAACAAAGACCATAAAACATGAACTAGAATGCTACTAACACAACCCAATAATAAATAAATGTGTTAATCAGAAGCATTTAGGATGTGTTGTTAGTGCCATGCTTACTTTCTGAAAGAAGCTTCCAGAGGCTTCGTAATAGCTATTTCAGTGTTTATCAGGTCTTATAAATGGGAAGATTATCTTAATCCAGCTCAGTTTTTTTAGTATTTGTTAATGACAAAAATAGTATCTCAGATAAGTAAAACAGAGAATAGGCCCACATACATTCTTTAGAAAGCATTACAACAAGACTTCTCCCAAGCTGTTTTATCTACCTAATTTTACGTTGATCAGACAGATCATTTCTGCTGAAAAAAAAATCTCAGATTATAAGGATATTGATAAACTTATTATCAAATGGGGAGAAACAGTTTCAAAGACATATTTCAAAACAATATATGTATGTCCAAAATGGCAAGTGGGAATAATTCTGGATTGGGATACGAATATCTGAATTTTAATCCTCACTTTACCATTTTCTACCTCTGTGACTTTGGAAAAATTATCTAACATTACCAAGTCACTTTTCTAAATTAAAAAGACAAACAATCAAAAAACAAAAAACAAAAAAAACACAAACAAACAAATAACAAACTGTGAAAATAGTGGCCCAACCTCCCTTATTGGGTATTATGGGGAATAAGTAATAGAGGAGGTACAGAAAAAGCTTAAAAAATTATAAAACTTGAAGGTGACCCAGCGATGTGCTCGCAGGTTGAAAAACTCCGAGAAGGCCCGGAGTGATGGCTTACACCTATAATCCCAGCACTTAGGGAAGCAGAGGCAGGTGGATCATCTGAGGTCAGGAGTTCAAGACCGGCCTGACCAACATGGTGAAACCCCATCTTTACTAAAAATACAAAAATTAGCCAAGCATGGTGGCGGGCGCCGGGAATCCCAGCTACTCGGGAGGCTGAGACAGGAGAATCACTTGAACCTGGGAGGTGGAGGTTGCAGTGAGCCGAGATTGCGCGACTGTACTACATCCAGCCTGGGTGACGGAGAGAGACTCCATCTCAAAAAAAAAAAATTATACAACTTTACAGAGATGTAAGATATTATTTTATAGCATATTATCAAAATAAAAGCTATAATAATTCAGTAGTAATGTGCAAACTTCCAGATGGCACTTCTTTACTGGAATAAAACTAGATCAAGAGTGAGAATACATTATTTGCAAGGGTAAGGTTACCCAAAATTGGAAGAAAAGCAACGTTAAAAAAAAAAGGGTAAAACATAAGTTCTGTTTTGTGATTTTTTTCAAGTGATGAAGAACAAGAATAGGCCTTAGAGAATCTCTTAATTTGGCTTCTTCTCAGGAGGCATCTCAGGAGACATAAACATCCTTGCATGTAACACATATACAAACATATTTCTTAAGCACGAAACTGAAATCTGGCTTATACACTAAAATTTCCTTCCTAATCCTGGAAAAATTTAAACTCTAAGAAAAAGTAAAATATATTAATAATAGCACGGAAGATTCAAAACAGCATATGCTTAAACTTTGGCTCTAAATCACAAGTGTACATTTAAAATGCAAAGTGAGGAGACAGAGAAGATGTTGTGCGCAGTAAGAATTTTATTATACAAAAAAATTAAACGTTACTCATTTGTTTGCCTATGGGTTGTTTCTATTGAGTTTGTAAATTTTCATTACTGGTATAAATCTTTACCCTAAATGCCAAAGAGTAACACCTACTGTGCATGAAGGAAATTAGGCTTTTAATCAAGAAGTTAGGAGCTCCCTAGGAAATAGCTGAAAAAGGAGATTACCTTATATTTCATTCATTTGAAAAGCAGAAAACTCTGAAAAATATTGAATCTTTATAGAATATTGGCATTCAGAAAGTCTGATGATTATGAAGAAAAAGCATTATTTCCCAGCAATAGAAATGGATATCTCTTTCTCTCTCATGCAGCCTAGTATTTCATTAAAAGGCTATGATATATCCAAATTTATCTTAAAAAGAGTCTCCTCAGTGGATATTCAGTTGTTTATATTTTCTTTGCCATTAGAAAAACAGAAGTACACAGAGATGGTATTTAATATCGATTTTCAAGGACAGATTCATGGGGCCAGGGAGAACAGCAGAACATATGGGCAGGAGGAGAATTTCAAAGGAATAGAAGGGTAAAATGCATGAAATCAGAGCATGTTGCACTCAGCATGGATGGCAAGAGATGCTGGGACGTCAGGATGTAATGAGAGTTGCAGTGTATGGGCATGAAGGTGGGGGTCGGGTCCCCCTTGCTCGAGCTTGCTTAAGAGCTCATCTACATATCTGGTTTCCGATAAAACTTGTGTTAGAAACATGACTTTGTTTCTGGCACACAAAAAAGCGTGAAAAGAATTGTTAGCAATGCTATGTCAAAGGGTATTTTTAACAGGAATTTGACAAAACATGTGTTTTGGAAAGATACAGCTTTTGTGACAGGACTGAAGAATAGATTTGAAGGACTGGAGACTTGAGGCAAAGAGAGCAGTTAGGGATCTCTTACAAAATTTCACTCAAGGATTTATGAAACCCTTAGCTAAAGCAGTGAAAAGAGAGATGAAGAGGAAACATTGTTACAGGCCATTTTGTTTTGTTTATCTGATAGAATTTGATGAACTGCTGATTGACAGTGAAGGAAGAGAAAAAAAGCTGAAAGTAATAGATTACTAGCATAGCTGCTGGAGGAAAAAGTAAATGTAATAACTAACATGAAGAGCTCACAAGGCAGAGATGTGCTGGGATGATAGGCTGGAGTCAGTTATTCTGAATATGTCCATTTCTTCCCATCTGTGGGTAGGACCAAACCATCCCCTCTGCAGCATGAGCTACTCCAACAGCCCATTAACTGTCTCTGCTTCCCTGCTTCCAGTTTGTCCCACAAATCCATTCTCCATAGAGTAGCCCTCGACATCTTTGTAAATTGTAAATTAAAGCATTTTACTCTCATGCTCATATTATCTAAGAGGCTTCCCTCTGCACTTAAAATAAAATCCAAAGTGAATCCCATCTACCACTGCCAATCTCTCCAGCCTCAGCTCCTGCACCTCCCTCTCTCTCTCATATGCTACTTCCAACACTGGCATTCTGTCTGCTCCAGGCTTCTTTCCATCTTCTCTTTAGGCCTTCATACACGCTGTTCTTCCTGTGCATGCGCATATATTTGCATGGCTGAATCTTTTCCTGTTCCAGATTAAATCTCGTCATTTAGAGGAGCTAAAGAGTGATTATACATTGTAAAGTATGCCTCCCTCTTTACGTTTTATTTTCTTATGTCTTATAAATATAGCATGCATCATTTGATTATATTTTATATTTTTTGTCTCTCTACCCTCAGAATAAAAATCCTTTTTAATAAATAGAAGGGACTGTACTTACTTTTTTACTGCTCATTCCTAACACCTAGGGCAGTGTTGACAGTGAACAGGTATTCAATAAATATTTGTTAAATGAAAGAATACATGGTGTGTTTGAAGTGGCCCATGGTACAACAATGTGCAAATAGCTAGGAAGCAGTTGTGAGCCCAAGGGAAAAATAAAGCCGGGAGCAAAGAGTTAAATAAATTAGGTACAGTTGAACTATGACTGATTTGTGACTTATAAGTTCAGCTTTCATTTGTGTTTGCATGTGTGAGTGTGTGCTTTTGTGTGTGTGCATATGTTTGAGAAGAACAATTTTCCCTTAATGATTACTTGCAAATAACTTCATTATATCCTTTTCAGGACACAGATGCAAACTAAAACCCATCTCTCCTTGATCTCTAGATGAAAAGCAGCCTGAATTGAGACCCTAGTTCTGCCACTTGTTAGTTGTGTGTTAGTTAGTTTCAGGCAGATCATCTAGCTTCACATAATCACTCAACAAGTATTTATTCAGCACTTACCATGGACAGACACTGGACCACATGTAAAGTATGTAATGCTGAAATAGAAAAACATGGACCCTACCCTCATTAAGCTCTTCTGAGAGTAACGAATAATCAAATAATCATACAAATATATAAAGATTAATTATGATAAGAACTATGAATGTAAGGCAAAGTGTAGGGTGCAACTAGAATTGAGGGAAGACTTCCCTAGAAAATAATTGTTGAGATCAGATGAATGAGTAGAAACTAATAGGTGAGGAAGGCAGAGGTAAAGGTTCAAAGTCCTGAGTTGGAACTAAGCATGGCATGTTTGATATGGTTTGGCTGTATCCCCACCCAAATCTCATCTGGAATTTTAGCTCCCATAATTCCCTTGTGTTGTGGGAGGGGTCCTGGTGGGAGGTAACTGAGTCTTTCTCCTGCTGTTCTAGTGATAGTGAATAGGTCTCATGAGATCTGATGGTTTTATAAAGAGGAGTTCCCTTGCACATGATCTCTCATTTCTCTCTTGTCTGCCACCATGTAAGATGTGCCTTTTGCCTTCTGCCATGATTGTGAAGCCTCCCCAGCCATGTGGAACTGTCCAAATTAACTGTCCATTAAAGCTCCTTTTCTTTATAAATTACCCTGTCTCAGGTATGTCTTTATAAGCAGCATGAAATCACACGAATACAATGTCCAAGATGGATAGAAAACCACACTGATGAGTGATAACAGAATAAAGCAAACAGAAATGTGAGATGTGATGGCAAAGATCAGCTAAGACCAGATCATGCAGGGCCTAAAGGCCAAGTGAAGGACTTCAGTGAATGAAGGAGACCCTACGTGCTGCCATTCACTGGTAGCTTCATATTTCTCACACTGATAATACCACATATATTTTGGTGTATGATTATGGCAAACTTCCTGAATGTGGCAGAAAACATATTTCAAACTGTGGCTCTAGAAATTATAAACAAACTATACACTCTGCCAGATATGTAGAAGGCATATTTGAATAATCTGTGAAGTGCCTGTAAAGTGAATTGAATTCAAGTAATCTGTTTGCATTGGTTCAAAAGGGTAAATCTTTTACATTTGCAAGGAGTTTCTCCTATTCACATACATGCTCACAATGTGAAATTTTTATAATAGTAAGAAACTACAAGTTCTGACTTCAGATCTAGAAGCAGTCTTCCTCATCTGAGCTTAAACTTCCATTTCTAATGCTGAAGATAAAAGATCTTGTTAAGCAAATTAATATTGTGAAGAGGGTTTCCTGGAGGCCTTGGAGGCATATTTAACCTAATTACAGGGCCAACTACTTTATAATAGATGGCTTACATGCAAATGGAAGTTACTAAATATAAATCAGTTTGTTCATTACAGTGATCTAGTAAGGCTCAGAAACATGTTATCATTAGGTAACTCACTGTGATAAACTGGTAAAGCTACAGTTTATTAATTCATTCTTTCACTCACTCAACAAACCTGCTCCTTGAGAGTCTTTCCCCGTCTCGGGATATAGCAACTCTATCCTTCTGAAAGTTGCTCAGGCCAAAAAACATAAAATTTTGCGATGGCTCATGCCTGTAATCCCAGCACTTTGGGAGGCCGAGGCGGGTGGATCATGAGGTCAGGAGACCAAGACCATCCTGGCTAACACAGTGAAACACCATCTCTAATAAAAATACAAAAAATTAGCTGGGCATGGTGGCGGGCACCTGTAGTCCCAGCTACTTGGGAGGCTGAGGCAGGAGAATGGCGTGAACCCGGGAGGCAGAGCTTGCAGTGAGCCGAGATCACGCCACTGCACTCCAGCCTGGGCGACAAAGCGAGACTCCATCTCAAAAAAACAAAAAAAACAAAAAAAAAAACAAAAAAAAAAACCATGAAATTTTGGCTTTTCTCTTTCCCTCATATCCCACATCAAACTTAAGCCACCCAATACTGCAGACTCCAGCTTAAACACATGGACACATGCACACACACAATTCTCCAACCTCTTGAATAATTCCCTTGTAAGCTTCCCCAACTGGCACTAATGTGCCATGTTTTTTAAGTGTTTGTAGATCACAGAATTTCCTAGTATCTCTTTATGAACTTTATGTTTAGAGCATCTATTTTAAGTGTTCTGAGTTCTATCCGGTGACTTTAAAAAGTAGGCTTTCTTTGTATCTCCATCCCCGAACCCTCCTCTAATCTTCAGTTGCATGACACGCTTCCAGGATACCCAATAATCAACTTTGACACATTTTCTTTCCCATCAGATATGTTTGACCTCCAAGATTCCTAATCTAAATAACTAGTACCAGAACCTACTTAGTCGCCTAAGCTAGAAACTTCTCTCTCTTCCTCACTTCCTTGTCCCTGTTAAGGAATTACCAAGCACTGTCCATTTTATCTCCACTTTATCTCCTAAATACTTTTCAAATATACCTTTTCTTCCCTCCTGTACTTACTACTGCCCTAGTTCAAGTCTTTTTTCACCTGGAATACTGAAGTAGTATTGGTCTTTCTTCGCCCAACCCGTGTCCACAAAATTCATCCTCTACAATGCAAATGGAACAAATATCTCTCAATTGTATTACTTTCTTTCTGACCACGAAAGGATCCCCTTAGTGTGGCAGGTGGGGCTTTTGATAATCTCGCCGCTGATTTGCATGGTTTAGCCTCTTCACTTATCACTATAGATCTCAAGATTTATATTCTGACAATATAGAGTGGCTGTCATTTCCTGAACACACCACAGTATTGTCTACATCTTCCTTCAAAAGTGGAAATGCTCCCCAGAGCAGGTATTGCTTGGTTAAACACTATTCCTCTTCCAAGGCTCAGCCAAGGCAATTCTCCTCTCCTAGGACATCTTCTCTGGCCTTTTCAACCTTCTCAACTGACTGGCCTAACCATACTTGGTGCCCCCAGGGCATACGCGGATGTTGGATCTACAGGACTGCATTATCTACTTCTATGTAAAGAAATGTTTTTCCCTTTCACAAAACTGTGTGCTCCTCAAAGGCAGACACCACAGCTCTTCTATCAGGACACCCCATTTTCCCTGAATGGTGCCTGGCATTGGCACACTCATTTACTGAACAGCCAAGTCTACATTAGTTCCCTCCATTCAACATTCTCATAGCAATATGTATATATGTTTTTAGCCCTCAGTATGGTTCATATTTCTTTGATTATTAATTGTTGTCTCTTTCCCTGTCACTAGGTTCAAAAGTCCATGAAGGCAAGTAGGACTTCTTTAACTCTTAAAGTCCCATTTCCTAGAAGAATGTATGGCTCATAATTGGTACCCAATAAGTATTTACTGATTGAACAGAGGAAAAAAATTCATCTTCATCTTTGAAACATAAGACAGTTCTGTTCTCTTCTCTCTACTGTTGGATTTAGGTAGCTTATTAGCTCTCTTCATTTCCTAGACCTTAATTTACTTCCTGTGCTGTTCAAGAGAAGAGCCCACAAGGAAAGCTTCCCCTGTACAGATTCAGCAGGGGATTACCATACCAGGTATTGCTCTAGACTCTCCCAGAAACAAACCCAACAATAAGCTGACAACTTACTTAACACACAGAAAAACGTGTGAAATAAGAATTAGTGCCTTTTATTGCCTATTTTGTACAACACATTTGGGAAATTCATTCACAGTGCTGTTTCAATCACTGAAACCAGCAGTTTCAGCTTTTGGGCACAAAAGAAACGGAAAAGTCTAGAAACATCTGGAGGGTTGTGTTTTACCTTTTTCTCCCTCACTTTGTTCTTTTTTCTTTTTTGGTCAAGTTCAGACAAGGGCAGAACATGTAAAAATGTAATTTTTAAATACTACTTTATAGACTTGGTGACAAGAAATATTGCTGTGCATCTTATGTGTGAAAGAATTTTCTTTTCTAGTGTTTCATTATTCTTTATGTCGTAGACTAGTCCACATGCTTCTAAGGGAGGAGAGACGTTGATAGGGAAACATGTGAATGTGTGCATGCACATACATGTGCATGCACACACACACAGAGTAATGTCCTGAATGGGTCATAGAATTATTTGCATATCCTGCAAGGGAGAATGTGGGGATCTTTCAGAGAAAAACTATTGGAGAGCGAGCCCTTTGACACACAGTGATATTTAAATACTGAACACACGTTTCAAACATGTGGCTACTTTACCACCAGTAAATTTCAAGACCGCTTTCAAATACCTATTTGCTTAACCACAGAGGGAAGAATCCTTCCTGCTTTTGTTCAGCTTTGCCGCTGGTTTATTTCTCAAGACAAAGGACACCCAATAATTTGCATGTGTCTCTTTACAGCTGTGGTAAATCTAACTTGACACTATTTGCTAGAGGGGTGCCTGATAAGAGACAAATGATAAAACATTCCCTTTTAGTCATGGAAACAGCAAGAACATAGATGGTATTTCTATTTGATTGAACTACGCAAAACAACCTATTATACACAGAAACTTGTATTTAGAAAGGTAAGAGTAAATAATGAGAATAATATAGATAATATGGTGGAGACTGCTGATTGGTTCCCCAATACAATCTGGTTTCCTTTTCTTTCTGGGTACATGGCTGCCAGCTAGATGCAATATTTCCTAGTGTCTCTTGAGGCTAGATTCAGGGGCATAATTATATTCTCACCAATGAAACGTGACCTGAATGGATATGTGTACCTTCCATAAAAGGAAACTCTTACCCTGAACTTCCTTTCTTTTGTTTTCCAACACACTGGGACAGACATGCTTGCAATCAGCTGTGATCATGCAGAAGAGGCCAATGCTCTAAGGGGGGCAGGATGCCAACATGGTAGGAGGAGATCTTTAAGCTCTATGTGAGGCTGGGAGCTGCTGGGCCTAGCCTTTGTGTGGGAGGAACACTGCAAAAGCACACCTTTTGGGAGAAGGCAGGATTATCTCTCTAACACAATGGCATCCTGGAGGCCAGGAAGAGAGTAAGAGGCCAGTTAGGGATACCCAGTGAGAAGAAGCACACAACTATTTGTTGTTTCAGAAGAATGTTAATAGTTTCCATTTCTCCCTTCCCCTGAAAAATGATATGTACACATTGGTACTTACTCTCTCACCCCCTTCCTCTTTGTGCACATATGCCAATTGTGTTTAACTACAGGGATAAATCTACAACTTGCATTTTCACTAATCACATATCTATTTCCAGATGAAAGCTTAAAAGAAGGGTGAGTGCTTCTTAATAGCTGTAACACAATCTCAATATGGACTCCATCTGGAAACCATAAAAGAATAAATTCCATATGAATTAAAAATCTAACTTAACAAAATCTCAGTGTGAGGGAGGCCTTCTCAAACAAGACAGGTAACACAAATGCCATAGTAGAAAAGACAGAGATCTTAATACAGTAACAAAACTCACTAAAAAATGTGCAAAAGATATGAAAATCAAGTCTCACAGAAAATGACAAATGATAATACATACATAAATGAAAATACCTGTTATTACCACAGTAGTAGCCAAAAAGATGTAACTTGAAACAGTAAGATAGCAACTTTAATTCTTCAGGTCAATAATAACATAAAAAATGGACATTATTCAAATTCAGCAATTGTGCCAGTGAGAATGTGAACTGCTATGCTTTTTGGAAAATAATCTGGCAGTATAGCAACTATTAAGATTTTAAAATGTTCATCTTTGACTCCCCAATCATAATTTTGGAAATTTATCTTAGAGAAGTAAAAAAATATGTAAGGAAATATGCAAAAGGAGACTTTCTGCAGCACTGTTATAACAGTAGTTTGGGGAAAAAACAAATAAATGAAATAAATATTTATTTATAGAGTAAAATTTGACAAAATGGTGATAATATCTTGGGTAAGTTTTTTTCTTCTTCGAAATCATCTTTGGTTATGCTTCACCATCTTAAAATGTTTAGTTCAATGCCAAAGACTACTGTCACCTGTGCAAAAGGGAGTTAAAGAAGGGGATTTGGGGGCAAAGCACAGGAGGAGAACAGCATGAAGTGAGGGCAAAGTATGATGTGCTGGGCTTTAGAACAAAGCACGTTTAGACAGAGGAAGGCTGGTTGCAGTGATTAACAAACCACCCAGACACTTAAGTAGAACATACAGCTATTTTTTATGGATACCCTAAAATTATGTAAGTGGTAATGTTCAGCTACTGAAATTTATATATTGAAAGCAATGTGAAATTGACAGTCACAGTATGTTAAGGCCCCGGGCTATCTCGTTTATGCCTGATATGGCTGGATGTATTTGTTGATTTATGAACAGTTCAATGTCTGGAGTGCTGGTGTAAGAGGAATCTGACAAGTGTGAACTTAATTCAGGAGAGTGATGTAGCTAGAATTACACTTTAGAAATATCACTGTGCAGCAATCCAGGAAATGGATCTAAGAAGGAAGCAGGCAACTGTGCAATGGTAGGAGCATGGAAAGGGCCAATACAAAGGCAATGCAGCAAAGATGAGGAGGGGGAAGACAGATTTGAGAAATGAGAGGTAGAGTGCCTAGCAAAATGAAGGACTTAGGGCTGCTTTTAAGTATCTTGCTTCAGTGTCTGGACAGATATGGTGCCATTCATAAACTCTCGGAATTCAGGAGAAAGAGCTGATCATAGAAAATCATGTTAACCAAAAAGGTTAACTTTATGCAAAGACTTGTGATATGTCAGCTGCATGACTCTCAATGCATAACAATGGAAACAGAACCTTCAATATTAAATTACAGCAAATGAGTTTTCTCTCTAAAGGGCATGAATGTGACACTCTTAGCAGGATATGATGTTAAAATAGAGTACTGTGGTGATTATATTTCATTTGATTTCTCTAACTGTAATTGGTTTCTTTCTTTTCTCCTTCACTCAGCACATGGATTTATGTAATGTCTTCAAGACACAAACTAAATCTAGGAAAGTATATCTACATCTAATCTTCCCTTTCTAAAGCTTCTGAAAATTAGATATGTTAATGCCACACTTAAAACATCCAAACTACAGTTAACAATCTCATGGAATATTATGACTGTCCATACCCTTTCTGACCTCATTATTAAGGATTTGGTGTGAAAATAAAGACAGAAAAAATGTTAAATGTGGGAACTGGAAGACACTTGCCTTTTCTATCTGCTGTAACGACTCAAGTTGGAGCCCATAAGCTCCTGCAAAATGCAATTATAGGATATATGCACTGAATTCTGCAAAATATAAGGAGTACAAAGAGCACGTGAAGAAGGACAAAAATGAGATTAAAATAGTTTTTTTTTTTTTGTTTTTTGTTTTTTGTTTTTTTTGCTATTATCAAGCCAATGTACATGACTGAAGACCCTGAGTCAGCATTGTCTACAAAAAGGGCATGGCTTATGCGAGATCCACATTTGGAGCTTTGAGAATCTCCTGTTGCTCACCACTGTCCAATGCTTCAAACTGAAATTCTCTCCATGAGACTATAAATATTCTAAAAATTAGTACATGGCTTATGTTTTTGTTCTTACACTCCCTACCTAGGCCTCATGCTGGCTTAAGAGCAGCCTATTACTATTTGTTTGGTTTAGTTTCGGGGTACTTATGGTACCCTGGTGACTACTTAGTTTGTGTAAAGGTGCATAAAAAATATAAAAATGTGTGTGAATTAGTTAACACCTGAAACACCATAAAACTAATAATAGCCATAGTAGCATAAAGCTAATAAATGCAATAATTATAGTGACATTTATTGAGTGTTTACTATGTGCCGTTCAGTTTTCTTGAATAATTCTCACACCAACCCCATGCAATGGATATAATGAAGAAATCAAGTTAATTTGTGTAAAATAACACTTAGCTTGCTATAGCAGAATAAAAGCAAACATTTTAGAGTTTTATAAAATAGTACAAACGAACGGATGCTCCAAAAAAGCATAAGTTAGGAAGTTGTAGGAAAACAGCCTATTGCCTGGCAAGGGTGATGCCATCTTGAAGTGAAACCACCATGATGACCGATATTTGACTCCTACAAACCAAAGTGTTCTGCAGCAAGGTCTTTAAACAATGCTGGTAGCATAGTTTATAAAGGTGCTTATTTAGTTTCCCCCGTGGTCATGATTTTGGCAAGGAAGTATGAGATATGACCAGCTGCACAAGCCTTTGCCCTAAATATTTGCTAACTAAAAAGGTATTTTCTGGAGGGTGGATTCATGCATCCTATATCTCATGGATGCCTGAGATACTGCTTCTAAGTCCCTAATAAATATTTCTTTCTGAGAAACTGGACTCATCAGCCTCTTTCTTCAGCCCCTCAGCTCCCTTGACTTTTGGGCACAGGTGTGTATATACCTGCTCAACCCGGAAGAGAAGTCTTGCCATTTCAAATGCTTTTATTATTACTATATCTGTTCTGATGATCTGTGGTCAGTGATCTTTGATGTTATTACTGGAATTCCTTTGGGATGCCCATATAACAGAGTAAATATATTCCATAAATGTTGTGTGTGCTCTGACTGCTCAATAGACTGGCTGTTACTCCATCTTTCTCCTTCTCCTCGGGCCTCCCCATTCCTAGAGACACAACAATATTGAAATTAGGCCAATTAATAATCCTCTTTTGGTCTCTAAGTGTTCAAGTAAAAAGAAGAGTTGCACATCTCTCGTTATAAAAGAAAAGCTGGAAATAATTAGGCTCAGTGAGGAAGGCCTATCAAAAGGCAAGACAGGCCAAAAGCTCTGTGTCCTGTATCAAATAGTTAGCAAAGTTGTAAATGCAAAGGAAACTCCAGTGAACACACAAATGATAAGGAAGTGAAACAGCCTTATTGCTGATACAAAAAAAAGATGTAATTGTCTGGACAGAAGATCAAACCAGCTGGAAAATTCCCTTAAGCCAAAGCTTAATCAAGAACAAGCCCCTAACTCTCTTTAATTCTATGAAGGCTAAAAGATAAGAAAGCTACAGAAGAAAAGTCTGAAGCTAGCAGAGGTTTGTTCATGGAATTTAAAGAAAGGTTCATCTCTATAATATAAAAATGCCAGGTGAGGCTACTAGTGCTGGTACAGAAGCTGCAGCAAGTTATCTTGAAGATCTAGCTAAGATCATTGATGGATATGGCTGTACTAAACAAATTTTCTGTGTAAATGAAATAGCCTTCTATTGGAAGGAGACTCCATCTAGGACTTTCATAGCCAGAGAGAAGTCACTGCCTGGCTTCAAAGCTTCAAGGACAGACTGTGTGTCTTGTGAGGGGCTAATGCAACTGGTGACCTTAAGTTGATGCCAGTGCTCACTGATTATTCCAAAACTCCTAGGGCCCTTACAAATTACACTAAATCTCCTCTTGTGCTCTATAAATGGAATAACAAAGTCTGGTGGTGACAGCACATCTGTTTACACTATGGCCTACTGAATATTTTAAGTGCACTGTTCAGACCTACTGCTCAGATAAAAAGATTCCTTTCAAAATATTACAGCTCACTGACAATGCACCTGGCCACCCAAGAGCTCCAATGAAGATGCACAAGGAAATTAACGTTGTTTACCTTTCTGTAACACAATATCCATTCTGCAGCCATGGATCGAAGAGCAATTTCAAATTTCAAGTGTTATTACTTAAGAAATACATTTTTAAGGCTATAGCTACTACAGATAGTGATTCCTCTGATGGATCTGGGCAAAGTAAAACCTTCTGGAAAGGATTCACCATTCCAGATGCCATTCACAACATTCATGATTCATGGGAAGAGGTCAAAATATCAACCTTAACAAGAGTTAGGAAGAAGTTAATTCCAACCCTCATGGATGACTTCGAGGGGTCAAAATTTCAGTGGAGGAGGAACTGCAGAAATGGTAAAAAGAACAAGAGAATTAGAATTAGAACTGGACCCTGAAGATGTAATTGAATTATTATAAGCCCAGGAAAAAACTTGAATGGATGAGGAGTTGCTTCTGATGGATGAGCAAATAAAGTGGTTTCTTAACATGAAATCTGTTCCCGGGGAAGATGCTGTAAACACTGCTGATATGATAACAAAGGACTTAGAATATAACATAAATTTATTTGACAAAGCAGTGGAGCAGTTTAAGAGGACTGACTCAAATATTAAATGAAGTTCTACTGTTGGTAAAATGCTATCAAACAGCATTGCATGCTACAGAGAAATCTTTTGTGAAAGGAAGAATTAATCCATGCAGCAAACTTCATTGTTGTCTTATTTGAAGAAACTGCCACAGCCAGCCCAGCCTTCAGCAAATATCACCCTGATGGGTCAGCAGCTATTAATGTGAGCCAAGATGCTTTACCAGCAAAAAAAGATTACTACTATCTGAAAGCTCAGATGACCGTTAGCATTTTTTAGTAATAAAATGTTTTTTATTTAAGGTATGTATATTGTTTTCTTAAACATCATGTTTATTGAACACTTAATAGATGACTGTATGGTATAAACATGTTTTATGTTTATACCATAAACATAAAATCAAAACACCAGGAAATCAAAACACTTGTGTGACTCTGTTGTGATATTTGCTCTACTGCAGTGGTCTGAAAGTGAACTTGCCATATCTTTGAGGCATTTTTATGCTGTTAATTAATACCTCACTGGACAGATGAGGAAACTGAAACACAGAGAGTCTAAGTCGATGCCCAAGGTCACACAGCAGTTTGTCTGGAACTGGGTGACAGAACCAACGCCCATCAAGAACAGAATGCTGTGCATTAAACCAGAGGTCCTCAATCTTAACTGCACATTAGAATCACCTGAAGAGCTTTACAAAAAGGATCCTGGGCTCTGTCTTTGACCAATTAAAATCAAAGTGTCTCCATATGGGAAACGAGGAGTGCCTCTGCCCGGCCGCCCCACTGTCTGAGAAGCGAGGAACACCTCTGCCCGGCCACTGCGCCATAGGGAAGTAAGGAGCGCCTCTGCCTGGCCGCCCCACTGTCTGGGAAGTGAGGAGCACCTCTGCCCGGCCACCGTGCAACCCTCCAGGTGTGAAGTGGCAGCCTTGTGTGTGATTTTTCTACCCTCCCCAAGTTGGCATTTTCAACAGTAAAGTTTACTTTTCAATTAAAAAAAAAAAAAGAAAACAATCAGAGTGTCTGATAAGACTTAGGTCTCAATAGGCTAAAAGTTCCCTAGGCAATTCGTGATGTGCAGCCAAGGTTGAGAATCACTTTATTACACAAAGGCAAGACTACTTTTTATATTCCCAACAAATAACATTTGTGATCAAGGTCCATGACAGGAGATAGATTTAAAAATCAGCAGTAAATAATAGAACTATACCACTATTGCCTTTACTGTGGTAGGAAATTTATTAGCATTTATTGTAAGCAAGAAAATTATAGAAAACTGAAAACAAAGAGTCCCAGAGTGGATGTAGCCTTGAGTTTATTTAATGAATGTCAAATATGACTTTCTTATCAGTCTTAATTGGATAGTAAATTCACCCTATTATTTCCACATACAGTTCAAGAATACCATGTTGGGAAAGGCCTTAAAAGATCTGTAAGAAATTGAGCTCAGATGGTTAATTCTCAAATGTCAATATTTTTCTGTGGGTACTATTTTTCATGGCACTTTATTTTTGATAGCACAGAGGGCAATGTTTTCAAGGCAAAAGAAATATTACTCTCCATACAAGTGAATATACACCACTATTTCCCCATTTTATAAGCTGGGTTTCAAAAACAAATGAAATCCGAAAGAAAAATCTTGGATGTAAAATGGTTTGTAGCATGATGAAAACTGTCTCTGACTGCAATTAAAAAACTATGCCCGTTCTCTCTGGGACAAATAAAAAGGCTATGAGAAAAAGGTAAGTCAGATAAAGGGTAATGCTTGGTAAGTCTTATCTGTCACGGGAAGTCAGAACAAACATTGATTTCATCAACACCTTTTCTCAGAGGCATAGTTAGCAAAATGTAACCAAACTCCTTGATATTTCCCCCCTTATTTTAAAATTCTTCAGCCAAAGGGACTCACAGAACAAACAGCAAATAGAAATTGCAGAGAGGATTAAAATAGAGAGCTCTTCGCCCATGATGGAGAGGGTTCAATGACCCCATTAAAGATAAAAATCACAACCAACCCCTACATAAGAGGTGCAGTCAACACTCTGGACCTTGCTTTACTTACCCAATAGATCCACGACTAGGCTAGCTGCACTGACAGCACAAGTTCTGGAAAAAATACTCTCCCCAGAAAGCATGCAGGCTTAGCCAATTTGTTATTCACATCTTTAAAATTATTCCTCCACCATAGTCAGATTTCTAAAAGTGCAGGGTATTTCTCTTAGTCTTATGGTTGACACAAAATCACTGATTTATAGAGTTGTGCCTTGTCCTGTTAGGTGCTAGGCACACTGTCCCCCTTCAGTGTAGGTGCCTTGCCAGTAATATTTGTCATTTCCTCCTCCACTGGTGTTTTCCTCTTATTTTGGCTCCAAATATCAAGTAGGTCATCCACAGACAATAGCACAGGAAAACATGTTTTGAATTTTAGTCTTTTTTCCTCTTCTTATAAAATTGACTAATGATAGGAAAACTTTCTGGCTCATTATTCGTATCCTAAAATTTTTCACATACCTTTGTTTTCAGCATTGAAATGTTTCCATCATCATTATTATCTTTTTTTAAAAGAAATCTTATATAGGGCAAATCACCTGTTGAGTGAGACAGATGTCATTTTGGGGTTTTCTTTGAAAACGACTGGCAAGTTTTTAATAAAAACTGAGGGAAATAAAAAGCTTCTACCTTTATTATGTAAGTTATGTTTTTAAAAGTAATATAATAGGGGGGATAAAAAATATGTATGCCATTAGGCCAAGCAAAGTTAAAGGGTTATACAGCTTTTCTATATTATATGTGCATTCTATTTAGCATTAAAAACTCTATAATAGCTGTCCCAAAGATTTGTATCCATGTATTCCATTACATGTGTTGTTACTTCTACTATGGGCTGTGTTTCAGAATCTGAATTTATAAACACTTAACAGGAGCTCAAACTATCTGAGTGATTCTGAATTTCAGGAGTATGAATTCATTCAAAATTAAATAGAGCTCCTAGTTCACTGTGACCACCATCTCCTCATACTCACACAGAGAGATGGGGAGAACCAAAAGACCCAGAGGATACGTGTCGGGGGTAAAAAGAGAAGATTTCTAGGTTCTCCATTCAGCAAGAGTTAAAAGTCGACATTATCTTTGAAAGTCTCTTAAAAATCACTTGAATTTCCCCTTGAAATAAACCTTGAAGTACAGCCTCTCAATGTGCTCTTGGCAGTCAGTTTTGTTGTGTTTTGATTTTATTTCCAACACTGTAAAAGACTGCTGTCTTGTGCTGAGCATCCCATGTTGTGGTTGGCTTGCATTTAGAGCCCTAGTTTTATTGAGGGGAGTGGAGGATGTAATTTTAACATGTTTAAAATGTTAGAACCACACTCAGTGCTGCAAGATGTCCACCCTACGAAAGCACAAGAAGTTGGCACAGAGAGGACAACAGCTTCATACAAATTCCTTCACAATATTGACTGAGAATCTTTAGGCACCAGTCTACGCGCTCGGGAAAGCAAGGTGAGAAGAACCAAGTACCTGCCATCACAGAATTCATGTTCTAGAGAGGGGAGGCAGATAACACAAATATGTAAAGAAATACACAGACCGTAGATGGGAATAAGCACCAGGGAGAAAAAGTACAGCAGAAAAAGAGAGGGAGTGCTGGGGATGCAAAGTCTCAATGATAGGAGATGCTATTTGAGCAGGTATTTAAGTTACTGCCCGAGCAAGCCACATTGTTTCTTGGAGAAAAAGCATGGCAATTTTAGAAAAAGCAAGTATAAATGCCCTAAGGAAGAAGTATGTTTGAACCAGAGACAGATAATGCCAATCTGCTCATTGTCTATGTAGCTTGGCAGGCGGAACTGACTTCTTTAAAATTCATTCTGTTTGAATAATATACAGACAAATTCCTGTAATGTAAATAATTAAGCACTTCACTTCC
Source organism: Homo sapiens (assembly GCF_000001405.40). Classification (NCBI taxonomy): domain Eukaryota; kingdom Metazoa; phylum Chordata; class Mammalia; order Primates; family Hominidae; genus Homo; species Homo sapiens. The sequence continues at coordinate 83,083,145 of NC_000012.12, read as the reverse complement.
TATGGGCCAGGCAGCATTCTAAATGCTTTCTATGGGTTACCCATTCCCGTAAAAAGCCCTCTGAGTTAATTATCATATTACCACCTCCTTTTACAGAGTGGATGAATGAAATCTAGGAATGTTATGCAGCAGGCAGAAGATCCCAGACCCAGAAGTAGATGAAGCCCCGTTTACTGTTTAACCCTTTTGATTCCAGAGCCTAAACTGCTAAGCGGTATTGCCTACCAGGACATGTGAATATGACATAATTCCACTGGAAGTTCACTGTATAAAATGCTCTTCCAAATAGGGACGTCACTGAGGCATGCTATTTATAGCAACACCAAGTAAACAGACAAATCCTATGTGCTCCACATGTCTCTATAAATTTAGGAAGGCAAAACCCAAAAACCCAGTTTCTTTGTGAAGTGTTATGCTGGGAGTGAACAGCTTTTTTATATGCTGCCATATCATGAACAGAATACAGCACATACTTATTTAATAAATTTGATGCTGTTATTGTACACAGAATACATTTCATGATTAAGATTTATACTTTTGAGATATAGCATACACAGGCTAACCTATGGCTATTACTGAAAATATAGTATTAAATAAAAACTTGATATATACCTGAAAGCACAGTCTATATTGTCAAGGATAGTATAACTCTCTGCACGAGTACTTTATCAAAACATTTAGTTCAAAATGGGCTTTAAGGACTTGCACTTTGATTGTCAAACTTTAGGGACGGTGTGTATCATAATGTTTTGTATGGATTAATCCCATGGTCCTTCCTTAAGGGACTCTGACTTGTCTAAGAACATCACAAATACCCATCTGGCAGAATTCTGGTTCTTCTCAGAGCCTAGCATGTGTTAGCACACTTTAAATGATACAGCACACATGTTTGGGGAGGTAACACATTTGCATTAAAGCAGAGCTGAAAATTCAAATGATGTTTTAAAAAGAATTGAGTCATATGACATCTTCAAGCTATAGTTTCTACTACATAAACATCATCATATTCAGCAGCTTCAATGTAGATGAAAGAAATACTACAATCGAACAAATTAATATTAAGGGCTAAAAGTAAATATTATAAATTCTGAATTACCCAGTAAAAGCTTTTTGTTATAATACTCTAATAATAAAATTTCATTAAAGCCATTTAAATTTTTTTTAGAGATAGGGTCTCACTCTGTTGCCCAGGATGGAGTACAGTGGTGTGATCATAGTTCACTGTACCCTCTAACTACATCACCACACCTGGCTATTTTTTTTATTTTTTGTAACAACAGGGTCTTGTTACATTGCCCAGGATGGTCTCGAACCCTTGGACCCCAGTGATGCTCCTGCCTCGGCCTCCCAAAGTGCTAGGATTATAGGCATGAGCCACTGCGCCCAGCCCAATTTAGCATATTTCTAAGTAGATTATTTTTTTCCTTCTCAGGAAATTTTCTTAAAGGTGAATGTATGTTGCTTTATCTATATGTAGGGGAATTTTAGATTCCTGTGTATTTAAACATTTTGTACCAGATTTGAAATCACAAAATCTGTACTATATGAACTTTTTCTCAAACATCTCTCTAGATTTATCAAAATAAACATATATAGTAGAAATAAAATCTGATGTGATGCATCCAGATCATTCTCCCATCTCTCATTTTATTTGGTAATAAAAAGGATTCCCAAACAAACGGCCAGGCAAGTGAGTGAGAATCTGTTATTGAAAGTATCTGGCTTCCAAATCGTAAGCCAACATTTCACTACATCATTTAGCTTGCTTCAGTTTTGCTGAGGGCTTGTTAAAGAAAAGGAAATAAATTATTTTTATAAAAATGTGACAAGCATATTTAGCATAATAATGAGTCAGGCCAGAGCAAAGTAATCACATGTTACATGCAATAAGAAATAATAATTTTACTCTTTGGTATGTTTCTTGAAGTTCCTAAATAGTCTTTGAAGATACAACATGAGAAGGTGACTGAGTTCTTGCATTTTCAGACATTGTTGCATAAGCTGTTGAAGATGCAAACTTTACAGACTTATAATCTTGATAAAATACTCATAAAAATGATGTAACAATTAAAGGCTAAGACTTTTGGTCATGATATAAGCCCATTTACTGTCTCTGAGAGGATAGGGACCACAACACCACTATTTCTCATTATATCCACAGGGCTTGTTTTAGCAACTGACATATATTTGACACTCTGCTTGTGTGGCTTTAAAGTCTGTGTCATTTCACTTTTCCAGTGTTGTTTCTCCAACTGGAATCCATAGACCATGTGGTGGGGGATGGGTTATAGGCATATATTCAAGGGTCTGTGAATTAACCTCAAGAATTTGTCAGTTTTGAAGAACAGCACTTCTCCACTCTAATGATTAATGATTAGATACTCTGGACAATTTGGATCACTATATTTTAGACAAGAACTGTCCAGTGATCTCAGTGCCCTGGGTTTTATTTATAATGGTGATTGTACTTTTGGTAGGTAATGTTACACATGAAGTAGGGAGTTTAGACACAGGTTCAAAAACCCGGCTGCCTGGGGTTTGCATTCTGTTTCTGCCACTAGCTGTGGCAAACTGCATTACCTGTTTCTCCATCTATAAAAACTGGGGAGACTTTTAATGTTTAATCGGTGCAGATGCTGTTAGGCTGACACTTCATAATTTTTTAAATTACAATTTTATGGTATCCAACATTATCGTGTTTATTCTACAAATTACAGATATAAAAATCTTAGCTAATCATTCATTACACACACACACACAGAGAGAGAGAGAGAGAGAGAAAGGTGAATCTGTAGTAGTGGTTTAAATACACATTATCAGTTTTGACCCTCTCAAGACTATGATTCCCATTTAAGTGAACATTTGTTTATATATCACTGTGTAAAAAAGATTCCTAACTTTTAAACATGGAGATACAGTTTATACAAATTCAAGTGTAATCATAATAGGTTTAAAGTAATGATGTGGTACTATAGTGCTGAGGGTATAATCCATCATCTGTTCTTCATTAAAGTTCACCAGCTGGAGAAAACTGTTGGGAGTTACTGTGTCAATCAGTATACTGGAAAATAAAATGATAATGTTGTACTATGCAATGAAGGGAAAACTAAGCACACGCACATGTTTCTAGTAAAGTTTTCCAAGGCTAATTAAAGTACAGAATCTTCCTTTGGTAGCAAAATAATTCCATCCTCAAGGCCTAAGGAATCTATTTCTCTCAATTTTAGCCTAAAGAACTATATAAAAAATTATGCAGAATGTACAGAATGGTAACTCAATATAGGTAAGAAATTATAAATTCTAAATAATCTCTTTTCTGTTAAGAAAGCAAATAAATTAAGATATATGTCCATGTATTTTGGATTTGTTGTTTAGGTAGAGTGACCTACAGAAATGCATTTTAAAACCTTTTTGGTCTTTCAATATTTGTATGTTGACACTTTCCAAATAGTTTCTATAACTTCTGGTATTATTTTAAAAGTGTATCCAATCATGAGTGAGGAAGTATGAATGCCTATGATATATTTATTCGTTATTGCTGGTCTGTCTAATTTGCTGATAGTTTCATAGTGTACCCGTGGTTACAAGTAAAAGCAAACAGTTGTAGAAGGTAAAATCTATTATAACAAAAATACAATAAATGGTTTAACAATTTGGGAAATGATACTTGAACTCTGTTGAGAAAAAGGGAAAGCAGCCATTGGTTCCTGGAATTATAGTGGAAAATGCACTATCTATTTAAAAGAAATAATTTGTCTCACAAAAACTAAATTCTTATATTGGGAGAATTATTAGGTTTGTTTTAGTGAGTTTTATTAGAATCCTTATGCTATAAACAACAAGTGAAAATTATAAATATAATCAAGAAATAAACTGCAGTATGAGTGTAGGTTCCATAGGGGAAGATCTACTATCTCTTACATGATTAAACACTTAAGTAGATAATGATAAATCAACTTGGACTGATGAATAAGAAAAAAAAATAACTGATAGAAGTAGCAGTAATGTTCTAAATGTATCCATCCTAGAACTTGTTGAGACCTGTTCTCATCTCTTCCTGTGATCTAAGCAATTAATTTTTTGTAGTTATTAATTGTATTAGTAGCTTATACATATATATTTTGTAAATCATGCTAATGATTTTTTTTTCAAAATTGCTTCTCTCTTTAAAAGTCAGCATTCCTAAGCTGAACAATTTACTTTCCAAATAAAACTAATGTAGTGTAAAGGATCATTTCTAATTATTTCTTATTACAAGGTCTCTAATGTCACCATATTTGCCCTCCTTAGCCTGTTATTTACTCTTCAAAAAGGAAATGTAAATATGTTGTAAAGCAGCATCTCAGAGTCATTTCAGTATAGATCATTAAAGAAAGTGACAGAATAAAAGAGTGAAGATAAAAACCATATGAGAGCTGGTCAAACATAAATGTAAATATAAATTAAGAATACTTAAAACATAGAATTATATATAGTTAAGAAACTGAATTCTCTATAGTTTTACTTTTTGGTATCACCAAAAATGCAGGTTCACTATTACTTACAAAACTATGAATACTGCTCCACAGCAGATATTTGTTGGCATTTGGTATCTAAGAAAATAATAGCTGTTTATACGACAAAAACTGAAAAATTTTGCAGCACATATTTTTTCCCTCTTGATGATGTCAGTCTTCTCGGTTCTCTTCTCAGGCTTATCAAACATGATGTTATGGCAATATATTTAATCAAATCCTTCTCAAGGAATAAAGAGCAGCTGTTGATTCCCACATTTCCCAAGGAATAAGGAGCTTAACAGTATAACAACCCAGTCTAAGAAAATTAATGTCATCCAGGATGACAAAGTCTCTCTTTGACCAAACTTTAGACAGCCTCCTCTAAGCCTTTATACAGAGGACTAGGCCTCATCCTTGAGTCTTGTCATCAGCCTGGCTAGTTCAGTTGCCGCAAAAATTATGCTAAGTCAGTTTAGCAAGAATCCCCCCACCCTCGATATCTGATCACCTTTGTTTGTCTTATCAAATTTCTCATCCCCCACCTTTTGATATCCGATCACCTGGCCTACCTTCAGTGAGAGCCCTGCTAAGTCAGTTCAGCAAGAATTCTCCTACCCTTGATGTTGTCCCTTAGAAATTTTCCATTCACTGATCTCACTCACTGTGCTAGTTAGGTATTGTGGGGGGGAGGAAAAATATATTTTCCTTCCACCCATCTTAGGTTCTTTGGCTGAGGCCCCTGTTAAAAAAAAAAAAAAAAAAAAAAAAAGACAGATTGTCTGGGCATGGTGGCTCACACCTGTAATCCCAGCATTTTGGGAGGCCGAAGTAGGTGGATCACGAGGTAAAGAGATCAAGATCATCCTGGCCAATGTGGTGAAACCCTGTCTCTACTAAAAATACAAAAATTAGCTGGGCGTGGTGGCGTGTGCCGGTAGTCCCAGCTGCTTGGGAGGCTGAGGCAGGAGAATCGCTTGAACTCGGGAGGCAGAGGATGCAGTGAGCTGAGATGGCACCACTGCACTCCAGCCTAGGCAACAGAGTGAGACTCTGTTTCAAAAAATAAAATAAAAAAAAAGACACATTAACAAGGTAAAAAAAAATTAGGTAATAATTCATAACACACATAAGAATTTAACATAAGTTTTACATAATATGACAGCCTTCATATAGAATTGAAGACATCCTTATAAACCTGAGTGTGTTTTATGGTAGGTTTGATGAAAATTAGAAAGTTGTAGAGAAATACGATAGGACAAAGGGATATGAGCTAAGTGTAAGACACTAGGGGAGAACCGGGCAAGGTCTGTTTGTTCGGGTTCCTCTTGGTTTCACTTCACCTTTGGAGATAAGAAAGTGCCTATCCTCCAGGCATAGCACGGGCACCACTCCCATGAGTGTCTTATGGCTGCCGCAGTGGAAGTTCAGACAGTCCTTCCTGCACATGCCATTTCTCAAATTCCTTCAGCTTAAACAACGTCAATATGCCAAGATACCATATTTGGGGTAGCATTTTCTGAACTCTTTCACTATAAATTCCCAGCTGTCTTTGCTATAGAGTTGAGCCTAATCTCTCTCCCCTATCACAATAGTCTTGACCCCTCTCATAACAGTCTTTAATAAAATCTCCTTTCCATTTAAAAAGTCTTAGAATATTTCTTCTTTAACAAGGACATGGAACTTTCAATAGAAATTAATCTATCAATCTATTAATTTTCATGATGTGCCTAATGTTTATTTGTCTTTAGGATAAGGTATAATATGATTTATCTGTAAATATAGATTGGAGTTCAGATAGTTAATAAGGGGTTAGGAGTACAGGAAAGGTAAAGAAGCAGAAAAAGAGGGTGTTACAGGGAGAATTAGAAGCAGGAGGGAGAGAACAAAGACTTAGACATGTAAGCAACTTTAGTTTAATGTTTCAGTGTATATTTAGAAAAGCATAAATACCTGTAAAATAATAGAAACGGAGGAAGCTGGCTATGGGAACAACCAAGGAGAATTATAAGAAATGTGGTGACCGGCGATGGGGGAAGGGCATAGCCCTCTGAAGTTGACAGCCACTAGTCACCCAAACTGATACTCCCAGGTAGGAATGTGGGTCAGTGTGGTTACATCAGCTGTAATTTCAAAGAAGTCAGGAATCTGGTTTCTTTGGAGTAGAGACTAACTGTAATTTTAGTGTGTGGTCCCAGTTTGAACAATTATAGCTATAACTCCATGCAAAAGATACCCCCACAAAGAAATGTGAGTAAAAAGAAATATGTTGGAATCAGAGAACATAATTAAGTGAAATTTCCCAAAGGTTTTGATGTTCCCCAAACTACAGTACTGAAGCTGATTTTCTTTATAGCCAAGAGCTACTTACGTTCCTGCTATGCCTCAACTCCCTTGATCTTTCTGGTTGTGAATCTAAAACACACATATATACAGAGAGTACACAAATATATATTGAAAAAATATTGTTTAAAAATGATTGCATGTAGATTGTGATGAATAACAATACCCCAAGCCTGGAAAAACTGTAAATTCAGTTTAGGTCAGTGCGACAATCTGACCCCAGTCTAGGCTGCAACTTGCCCACGCCAACAGTTAGTAAACAAGGGAGTTGTATTCACTATCCTTGTCTTCTAAGCATGGAAACTTACACAATTTGAGAAAGAGAAGAAAAGCAGTAAACACTTCAGAAATACATTTTTTTCTGATTTGTCAATCTGCAAAACAGAAGTACAACACAAAGCAATTAAAATGTCAGAAGAGAGAAGTCAATGCACCACAAGCTAGACTTGTAACCTGTCAGAAGAAAATAACTGCAGCATACTGCAGCATGAACATAATTTGGAAAAGACATCTAGAGTAGAAAGGAGTTTGAAGACAGATGTGGGCAGGATGGGACTAAAATTGATCCTGACTTAACTGAAGCTGTCAGGGAAATGAACATCTATCTTGCTGGAATTAGGTACTTAATTTCTACTGACATGGCAAAAAATATATGTAATAACAATGTGATGAAGCCTATCTATGAACTGAAGTAGAATATGTATTTGAGGAGCTAATTTGGGTAAGTGTGAATAAACCTAAGATCAAAGGTCTTGTTTCAATGATATCTGGTTGCAATTAATAAAAACAGATAAAACGTGGGGGAAAACTAATAACTTCTCTTGATTGAAACCTATTTTGGGGGGAGGGGTGTGTCTGTCAATTTACCTCACATCATTTGCTAACTATAAAATATACAGATGGACAAGAGATCATCATGGAGGATGGGAGGCAGGACTAGATTGCAGCTCCAGACAGAGCAGCTTGCGGAGGTTTGAGCTGTGAATTTTAGCTCCAGATCAACTCCAAGAACAATCCAGCAATCCTGAGAGGACCCACAGACCCTTTGAAGGAAGTGGACTGCTCCTGAAGGCCCTGGGAGACACCCCAAGTACTGTGAGTGCCCCAACTGTGGAAGTAGGAAAGGGAGACCCTCCTCTCCTGACACACACCCCCACTGGAGAAGCTGAAAGTCTGTTTGAGGGAGGAATTTCTGGCTTTACCTGGAACTGAGTCAATTTAGAGAGCTGAGTGAAATACAGGGGTAGAGGAAGCAGCAGAAAGGCCCTGGGAGCTCGCTCGGTCCCCAAGCAGGCCATTCCTGCCTGACACCACAGGGATCCATCAGGAGGGTGGCCAGAGGAGCAGGGGGTAAAACTCCACAGGGAGAAGGAAATCTCTAGCTGAACTTTGTAACTACCTGAATGGGGCATGAAGCCTCCCGGCCTGAACTTAGCGGGGAGCTTAGGGGAGAGCGCAAATCCAGTGTGCAGACTCCAAAGGCGGGGGAAGAACCAAACCTTTTCCTTCACAGCTGGGAGGTGGGTAGCCTGGGGCAAGTTTTCAAGACCTCACGCCCTCCACCTGGAAACAGACACAGACTCTGGGCTGTTTAGTGTGCATGGGTGGGTAGCTGGGGGGCACAATGGGAGTGAGACCAGCCCTTTGGTTTGTATGGGACCTGGGTGAGGCCTGTGACTGCTGGCTTTCCTCCAATTCCCTGACAACCACATGACTCAGCAAAGGCAGCCATGATCCTCCTAGGTACACAACTCCAGGGACCTGGGACTCTAACCCCATCCCCTAGAGCAGCTGCAGCAAGACCCACCCAAGGAGAGTCTGGGCTCAGACACGCCTAGCCCTGCCCCCACTTGATGGTCCCAGCAGGAGACCAACCAGCACAAAAAGAGTGCATTAAACCACCAAAGCTAAGAACCCTCAAAGAGTCCATTTCACCTCCACCAGAACAGGTGCTGGTATCCACGGCTGAGAGACCCACAGATGGTTCACATCATATGACGCTGTGCAGACAACCCCCAGTACCAGCACGGAGCCTGGTAGACTGCTGGGTGGCTAGATCCTGAAGAGAGACAACAATCACTGCAGTTTGGCTCCCAGGAAGCCACATCCATAGGAAAAGGGGGAGGAGTACTACATCAAGCGAACACCACGTGGTACAAAAGAATCTGAACAGCCTTCAGCTCTAGGCATTCCCTGTCACAGAGCATACCAAAATGAGAAGGAACCAAAAACCAACCCTGGTAATACGCCTAAACAAGGCTCTTAAACACCCCTCAAAAATCACACTAGTTCACTAGCAATGGATCCAAACCAAGAAGAAATCCTTGATTTACCTGAAAAAGAATCCAGGAGGTTAGTTATTAAGCCAATCAGGGAGGCACCAGAGAAAGACAAAGCACAATGCAAGGAAATCCAAAAACTGATATAAGAATTGAAAGGAGAAATATTCAAGGAAACAGAACAGCAGAAAGAAAAAACAATCAAAAACTCAGGAAATTATAGACATACTTTTAGAAATGAAAAATGCTCTGGAAATTCTCAGCAATAAAATTGAACAAGTAGAAGAAGGAAATTCAGAGCTCAAAGACAAGGTCTTCAAATTAACCCAATCAAAGACAAAGAAAAAGGAATAAAAATATATGAACAAAGGCTCCAAAAAGTCTGGGATTATGTTAAATGACCAAACTTAAGAATAATTGGTGTTCCTGAGGAAGAAGACAATTCTAAAAGCTTGGAAAACATATTTGGGGAAATAATCAAGGAAAACTTCCCTGGCCTTGCTAGAGACCTAGACATTCAAATACAAGAAACACAAAGAACACCTGGAAAATTCATTGCAAAAAGATTTTCACCTAGACACATTGTCATCAGGTTATCCAAAGTTAAGACAAAGGAAAGATTCTTAAGTGCTATGAGACAGAAGCACCAGGTAACCTATGAAGGAAAGCTTATCAGATTAACAGCAGATTTCTGAGCAGAAACCCTATAAGCTAGAAGGGCTTGGGGCCCTATCTTCAGCCTCCTCAAACAAAACAATTATCAGCCAAGAATTTTGTATCCAGCAAAACTAAGCATCATATGAAGGAAAGATAGTCTTTTTCAGACAAATGCTGAGAGAATACACATTACCAACCTACCACTACAAGAACTGCTAAAAGGAGCTCTAAATCTTGAAAAGAATCCTGGAAACACATCAAAACACAGGATCTATGAAACAAAAATACATGTTAAAAAGCAAAAACAAAAAAATAAAAAAAAAACCAAAGTACACAGGCAACAAAGAGCACTATGAATGCAATGGTACCTCACATTTCAACATTAACATAGAATGTAAATGACCTAAATGCTCTCCTTAAAAGAACCACAGAATGGATAAGAACTCACCAACCATCTGCTGCCTCAGGAGACTACTTAACATATAAGGACTCACATAAACTTAAAGCGGTGAAAAAAGGCATTTCATGAGAATGGGCAACAAAAAATGAGCAGGGGTAGCAATATTTATATCAGACAAAACAAATTTTAAAGCAACAGCAGTTAAAAGAGACAAAGAGGGACATTATATAATGGTAAAAGGCCTTGTCCACCAGGAAAATACCACAATCCTAAACATATACACACCTAACACTGGAGCTCCCAAATTTATAAAACAATTACTAATAGACTAAGAAATTAGACAATAACATAGTAATAGTGGGGGACTTCAATACTCCACTGACAGCACTAGACAGATCATCAAGACAGAAAGTCAACAAAGAAACCATGCATTTAAACTATACCTTGACACAAATGGACTTAACAGATATATACAGAACATTACATCCAACAACTGTAGAATACACATTCTATTCAACAGCTCATGGAACTTTCTCCAAAACAGACCATATGATAGGCCACAAAACGAGCCTCAATAAATTTAAGAAAATTGAAATTATATCAAGCACTCTCTCATACCATAGTGGAATAAAGCCGGAAATCAACTCCAAAAGGAACCTTCAGAACCATGCAAATATAGAAATTAAAAACTTGCTCCTGAATGAGCACTGGGTCAAAAACAAAATCAAGATGGAAATTTAAAAATTCTTTGAACTGAACGACAATAATGACAACCTATCAAAACCTCAGGGATACAGCAAAAGCAGCGCTAAGAGGAAAGTTCACAGCCCTAAGCGCCTACATCAAAGAGACTGAAAGAGCACAAATTGACAATCTAAGGTCACACCTCGAGGAATTAGAGAAACAAGAACAAACCAAATCCAAACCCAGCAGAAGAAAGGAAATTACCAAGATCAGAGCTGAACTAAATGAAATTGAAACAATAAAACAATAGAAAAGATAAATGAAACAGAATGCTGGTTCTTTGAAAAGATAAATACAATTGATAGACCTTTAGCAAGATTAACCAAGAAAAGAACAGAGAAAATCCAAATAACCTCACTAAGAAAACGAAACAGGAGCTATTACAACTGACACCACCGAAAATACAAGAGATCATACAAGGCTACTATGAACACCTTGACACATATAAATTAGAAAACCTAGAAGAGATGGATAAATTCCGGGAAAGATACAACCCTCCTAGCTTAAATCAGGAAGAATTAGATACCCTAAACAGACCAATAACAAGCAGCGAGATTAAAATGGTAATTAAAAAATTACCAAAAACAACAACAAAAATATCCAGGACCAGACAGATTCACAGCAGAATTCTACCAGACATTAAAAGAAGAATTGGTACCAATCCTTTTGAAACTATTCTACAAGTCAGGTAAAGAAGGAACCCTTATGAAGCCAGCATAACCCTAATACCAAAACCAGGAAAGGACATAACCAGAGAAGAAAACTACAGACCAGGCCAGGCACAGTGGCTCACGCCTGTAATCCCAGCACTTTGGGAGGCCAAGGCGGGTGGATCACGAGGTCAGGAGATTGAGACCATCCTGGCTAAAACAGTGAAACCCCGTCTCCACTAAAAAATACAAAAAAAATTAGCCGGGCATGGTAGCAGTTGCCTGTAGTCCCAGCTACTCAGGAGGCTGAGGCAGGAGAATGGCGTGAACCCAGGAGGTGGAGCTTGCAGTGAGCCGAGATAGCGCCACTGCACTCCAGTCTAGGCGACAGAGCGAGACTCCGTCTCAAAAAAAAAAACAAAAAAAAAAACAACTACAGACCAATATTCTTGATGACTATTGATATTAAAATCTTTAACAAAATACTAGCTAACTGAATCCAACAACATATAAAAAAGATAATCCACCATGATCGAGTGCATTTCATAGCAGGGATGCAGGAATGGTTTAACATACATAAGTCAATAAATGTAATACACCACATAAACAGAATTGAAAACAAAAATCACGTGATTATCTCAATAGATGCAGAAAAAGCATTCGACAAAATCCAGCATCACTTCATGATTAAAACTCTCAGCAAATCGGCATACAAGGGATGTACCCTGTGTAATAAAAGCCATCTATGACAAACCTACAGCCAACATAATACTGAATGGGGAAAAGTTGAAAGCATTCCCTCTGAGAACTGGAACAAGACAAGGATGCCCACTCTCACCACTACTCTTCAACACAGTACTGGAAGTCCTAGCCATAACAATCAGACAAGAGAAAGAAATAAGGGGCATCCAAATCGGTAAAGAGGAAGTCAAACTGTCACTGTTTACTGAGGATATAATCATTTACTTTGAAAACACTAAGGACTCCTCTGGAAAGCTCCTAGAACTAATAAAAGAATTCAGCAAAGTTTCTGGATATAAAATTAATGTACAAAAATTAGTAGCTCTTCTATACACCAACAGCAACCAAGCAAAGAATCAAATCAAGAACTCAACTCCTTTTACAATAGCTGCAAAAAAAAAAATAATAAAATACTTAGGAATACATCTAACCAAAGAGTTAAAAGACCTCTAAAGGAAAACTACAAAACACTGCTGAAAGAAATCACAGATGAAACAAACAAATGGAAACACATTCCATGCTCATGGATGGGTAGAATCAATATTGTGAAAATGACCATACTGCCAAAAGCAATCAAAAAATTAAATGCAATCCCCATCAAAATACCACCATCCTTCTTCACAGAATTAGAAATAAACAATTCTAAAATTCATAGGGAACCAAAAAAGAGCCTGCACAGCCAAAGCAAGACTAAGTAAAAAGAACAAACCTAGAGGCATTATACTACCTGATTTCAAACTATACTCTAAGGCCACAGACACCAAAACAGCCTGGTACTGGTATAAAGATAGGCACACACACCAATGGAACAGAATAGAGAACCCAGAAATAAACCCAAACACAGCCAATTGATCTTCGACAAAGCAAACAAAAACATAAAGTGGGGAAAGGACACCCTTTTCAACAAATGGTGCTGGGATAATTGGCTAGCCACATGTGGGAGAATGAAACTGGATCCTTATCTCTCACCTTACCCAAAAATCTACTCAAGATGGATTAAGGACTTAAACCTAAGACCTGAAACTATAAAAAATCCTAAAAGATAATATTGAAAAAAAAAACCCTTCTAGGCAAGGATTTCATGACCAATAACCCAAAAGCAAATGCAATAAAAATAAAGATAAATAGCTGGGACCTAATTAAACTAAAGAGCTTTTTTGCACAGCAAAAGAAACAGTCAGCAGAGTAAACAGATGATCCACAGAGTGGGAGAAAATCTGCACAATCTATACATCTCGCCAGGGACTAATATCCAGAATCTACAACAAACTCAAATCAGTAAGAAAAAATCAAACAATCCCATCAAAAAATGGGCTAAGGACATGAATAGACAGTTCTCAAAAGAAGATATACAAATGGCCAACAAACATATGAAAACATGCTCAACATCATTAATGATCAGGAAAATGCAAATCAAAACCATACTGCAACACCACCTTACTCCTGCAAGAATGGCCATAATCAAGAAATCAAAATATAGTAGATGCTGGCATGGATGTGATGAACAGGGAACATTTCTACACTGCTGGTGGGAATGTAAACTAGTACAACTACTATGGAAAATGGTGTGGAGAGTCCTTAAAGAACTAAAAGTAGAACTACCATTTGATCTAGCAGTCCCACTACTGGGTATCTACCCAGAGTAAAATAAATCATTATCTGAAAAAGGTATGTTTATAGTGGCACAATTCACAATAGCAAAATTTTGGACCCAACCCAAATGCCCATCAATCAACGAGTGGATAAATAAACTGTGGTATATGTATATGATGGAATACTACACAGCCATAAAAACAAATGAATTAACAGCATTTGCGGTGACTTGGATGAGACTGGAGACTATTATTCTAAGTGAAGTAACTCAGGAATGGAAAACCAAACATCGTATGTTCTCAATGATATGTGGGAGCTAAGTTATGAGGACGCAAAGGCATAAGAATGATACAATGGACCTTGGGAACTTGTGGGGAAGAGTGGGAGGGGGGCGAGGGATAAAAGACTACAAATATGGTGCAGTGTACACTGCTCGGATGATGGGTTCACCAAAATCTCACAAATCACCACTAAAGTACTCATGTAACCAAATACTGCCTGTACCCCAACTTATGGAAAAATAAATAATAAATAAAAAAATAAACAAAATATATGGATGTATTTGTAACTGAAAAAACCAGTCAAAGTGAAATATATATGTGCAGTATTAAAACATATTTTACTCATAAAGTCAATCTGGTGATTGTGGGATCCACATAAAATCAATGCCTAAAAGTCAGGAGACATATGGTATGTAGTATTCCCACATCACAGAAGCTTGTGGAAAGTTTTGGGAGAGACCATGTGGTTCCTCCCCCATTTACAAGCAGAAATGTGGTTTAACTGCTTCCCAGACAAATTATTATTAATCTTGTCATTTTTTTCCAACAACATAATAATCCTTTATATGTTAAAATCTGAATCTGTCCCATTAAACTTGGTTTTATGTTTTTTTGTTCTAATTAGGGTTGAACAATATCTTTCCCATTAGAACATACATATATAGGTGGGAAATTTTATATCCTTTCAATTAATAATAGCTCAATTAAATAATCTTTTCCCCCAGAGCTCAGTCTTAGTGGTTATTTCCACTCCACAGTCATTCCCCTACTACCATATTCACTATAAAAATGATAGTCAAATTGAAAGTAATACATTACAGAATATGTGGACTACCTCATAACACAGCTGCTTTTTGTCAATAAGCTCATTTATTTGATTCTTCTCTTTCCATGTTTCTCAGTTTAATCTTTTGACATATAATCATTGCTAAAGAGCCCAAATGGATAACACTGGCTTTGATTTTATAATAATGTTCTGAAATAATTTATGTTCTAAGTACCTGGGAAAGACATAATGCATATATGAAGTTCTCTATTGATAACATAATCCTTGAAAGATATTCTCCTTTTAATTCATATATACTAAATACACATGGAATATTTATAAAATATTCTAAATATTAGAAATGCAAAATGCAAATACAACAGTTAGCATATAAATCAGAGAGCTGAGTCCAAACTAGAAGTAATCTACCAGTGATCACCAAAAAAATGTGTCCTCATTGGTACTTATTTATTCCATGTAGATAGTACAGGCCTGCATCAAATATTACCTACTGTGCTCCTCAGAACATGCAGTTGTCCATGAGTCTTTAACATAAAATTCTATCCTTTCTTCCCCCACAGGATTAGCAGATAACCAAATGACCATAACTTAAATAATTTACTACCTAAAGTTACCTCCCCTCTATTTCTAGTTTTGTTTTCCCCTCTGTATCTTCACAGTCTCCTTTTTCTTCTTCAGTCACTGGGGAGGAAGCAACCCTTAAATATCTCTGATATTTCCTTTGCACCCCCCACTCACCTTGGACACATTTTCAGTCTCATATTCACATGCACACACACATTTTTAGTATCCTATTTAACACACAGACACAAACATCTCAACATGTATCTTTAATTTGTAATAAATTCAAATATTTATTTCCAAACATCATTACTGCATAAGTCTTACACCACCCACTTCCAATTCTTCATCTCCTTAACTGCTCACATCACTTATGTGAAACTGCACTCCCAAAGGGCACAAATATCCTTACTCTCAGAAGTTGATGGATTTTTTCTGTCCTTGTTTTTCTTTTTTTTACAGCAGGGTTCCCTGCTCATTAACTTTGGTTTCTATGCCCTGTCACTGTCTTGGCTGCCTTCCTTATTCGAAATTTAAAATGTAGAAATTCCCAAATGCCTGAAATTGATTCTCTTCTCTTTTGTATATTCCCTCCATTGTTGATGTTACCCAATTCTTTGGTACCATTTCCTTTTTGCAAATGACTCCCACATCTCTATCCCTAACTATGGCCTTTCTTCTAACTCCTTCCTTGATAGGAATGCCCCATGAGAATATTAGAATAAGCAAATTCTCTCACTCAGAATTTGCTCAGTCTAAACATTTGGTTCTTAGAATAAAGCCCTCTGATTACAATTTTTTTATATTTGTGGTATTTCTTTTCTTCTAGGTTACCTAAAATCAAAATTTTGGAACATATATGGTGGCCAACTAATTATCTTAATCAGATCTTTTGAAATAATCTATTGCTTAATTTATCTTTATGTTATTTTCCATTCCTCTCAATTTCTGTACTTTAGTTTCACTACCTTATGCCTATACTATTACCATGACCTTTTATTTAGTTTTCCCAAGGCTGTATCTCCCAACTCTATTTCCTCAAACACAACTGACATTTTTCAATTCATCATATAAATCGCCACTCTAAATTACTATTTTCATTATGTCACTTTGCTTAATAACATTTTAAAATACAAACTCCACATTTTTAGTATGGTATCCACTACCTTTCATGTAGTTTTATGCTAGTTTCCATTTCTATCTTCCCCTATACCCTTCCTTTCCATACCCTCCCCTTGCCCTAGTTCATGTGTATAGTTCTCCCTGCCAGAATTCTCTCCTTGTTCTTGCTAAAATCCTTACTTATAAGCATCCTATCATTTCAACCTTCTTTTAGCTTGTCAACTGTGACTCAGTGCCTCTTCAGCTCAATCCAGCTGAATGTCATTTCTCTCTCCTGTGCGCTTTGCTTACACCTAGCTCATGTGTCTCACAAAGCACTTATTAGATGCCATTATTTACTGCCCTGATGTTTGAGGATTGAAATTCCGGTGTTCTCTCCTCTACTCCCTCCCCACATTAGATTGTACATTTCTTAAGGACAAGGTTAATTTTTCATAACTTTCAAATCCTACTACATTTGGCACAGTCTTACATAAAGCTGGAACTTGATAAAAAATAAGTTGAATAAATTCATACTAAAAACAATTACATTCCCCAAAATACAAGATGTACAGATCTATCATTGGTAATTACCCTCTTCTAATTCTAGAGTTTACTAAAAGCCAAGTAAAAGCAGGTGACTTTGTAGTATGCAAATTTCCCATTCTTCACATTAACCATTTTTTAAAAATCCATAAGTTAATGCAGAATTTGGCTTAATTCCCACAGGAAGAACAAAGCAGTTTCATTTAATATCCCCTCTAGTCCTTGAGAGTCAGCATTTTTTCATGCCCATTAGTGAGAGAGAAGACAGAGAAGACTGTTGTCTATTTAAAGTAACCTCCAAAGAAAGGTCAATTTATTTAAAACCAAAAAAAAATTAAAACTAAAAAAACTTAAAATGGCAATTTCGGTAAGGAGTTTTCCTATTATAGAAACATGTTTTAATGTATTATAAGGTTTAATTTTAGGACAATCAGCCCCAAAAATCAAGTAAATAAAATTTTAAAATGGTAATGGTATCATTTTGTAATAAATAGACTTCTCTAACTATGTATTTTGGTAAACAACAAGGTATTAAACATCTCTGATAAAGAGACAGTATCAGAATATAAAACTTATTTTGTGCCTGTTAATTTAGACATCTTTCATTATTTTAGTATTTGATCACTGGAATTCTTCATATATAAAATGATGCAAAAATACATTTAACAATTTCAAAGTAAATTATGTGGAAAATATGGCTTTCATATCATAGAAAAAATAAAGAAATTCATCATGGGACATATTGAAGAAATGGAATAGGTATTTTATTAAGAAAGAATATCCTACAGACAATCAGCAAGCTATTTAATGTGACTGTAATGAAGGTTGCAGCTTCATATTTTACTTTGTATAGTAGTGACCTGACATGAACATTGCAGAAACATTCACAGAATCTCCCACATACAGCTACAGATTTTTACCCTCTCAGGGGTACTTAAAAATAGAAGAAAATGCTTTAGAAGAAAAATTAAGAGTAAGATTAGATTACTGTGTAGGGGATAAAACTAGAAAAGACAATGGAACTATTTAAATAGAAGACGGCAGTTGAAGTCTGTTCGCTATGCTATCATATAGGCAGGTAACAAATTAAGTTAAAAGCAGAGAAATAACAAAGAATGTTTTTTATGAATAAAGGTAATAAACAGCTATGAACAGGATAAATGTTAAATGAATGCTTTAAATCAGATCAGATGTGTCATTGCTAATAAATCATTACACGGTTATTGTTTAAATAGGTCTCTTCATTTCAGAACAGAAATTTATATTACTATCTTGTCTGATCTTGGAAGCTAAGCAGGGTTGGGCTGGTTAGTACTTAGATGGGAGAAATTTATATTATTGCCATGGTTGTATTTTATCACTGTTTCCTCTGTGCTGTGGTGTTTTACTCACCTAGACCACATACTGTAAGTCAAAACACAATTCTGAAAATAGATTAGGAAAAAACCACATCTGTTGATCCATCAATGGTAACATCATTTATTTACTGTTAAATATGAACATTTTATTCTATCCCATCCATTTAAAAAGTATTGTTGCCAGATAAGGAAAGTATCATTTGAATAAACATATTTTCAAAGGCAGTCTGGAGTGGTTTTATGAAGAAACATTTTGAGGGTTCAGAAAAAAAGGGCTTTGAGTTGGAGATTAAATACTGATTTTATGATTTGGTTAGTCTTTTAAAATTAACTATTTCACAAATCAGACTCAAGTCTTGTAGTATCCAAGTGTCTTTCATTTTTTAGTTCAGGTCAGATAGCTCAGGTAGTTCTTCTCTCAAGAATCCATTGTAATATGCTGAAGATGGTCATTTGACCAACCACTTGACCAAAAATCAACATGATACTCAAGTGACTAGTACTCAAAAAACAATTGCATTTAACTATCATGAATTATGTATATTCACAGCATTCTATTAATGTGAAGGCAATAAAAAAAAAAGAAAAACTCTGATCTCTGCCTTTAATGAAGTTGTAATAATAAGACTTCAAATTCAACCCTTTTCCTAGAAATACTACACAAAGCTGCCCAACTAGGGCATTTACAAAACCATGCCTAGTGCATGCCACCCCGTTCCCTGCTGTAACTCTTAACCCACTTGTGCTGCTCCAGCTTTCTCCAAAGCACTTATCACTGTCTGACATACTAGCTCCTTCTCCTCAGACTAGATTGTAGCTCCTAACCATTTTGTTCACTGCTGTATAGCCACTGCCTAAAGTAATACCTGGTACTCTGTAAATATTACTGAATAAATAAAATGACTATCATTATTTAGGTTTTCCAAATTTCTGGCTTGCCTTTCCTCTCTAAGATATTTTCCACCAAGCTTTCTCTTATGTATTCAGTGACCTGGGTTACAGTGTGATTCCATTTAGTTTGGATGGTGGGTGAGTTATTAACTTCTCAGCCCTTCCACAGAATAGGGATCACAAAGGTATCTGTGGGTTGTTGTGAGAAATGAAGTACTTAGCACAGTGCTTAGCACATAATAATAAGTGCTCAATAAATTTTAGCTGTCATTGTTCTTAACATATGATTATTAAGTTATTTTCTTCTGTTGCAAACTGCCTATCAATTCTTGAAACATCTCATAATTAATGTGACAGCATTCAGAATAGCCACCCAAAGTATGGTTCCTTGTAATACTTAGTATTTTAAGCTGAAAAAAAAAACAAAACTGCAGAAGAAGGAGGGTTATTTTATAACTTTCTCCCTCCCTTCTCCCCTGTGGTAGGTAATAAGACCCTCATTAACACTTTATCTCTGAATACACAGGGAAAAAGAGAAGAAGAACAAACAGGACTTTCTAAGTTCCTCCCAACTGATTACCATGAGATCATAACCTTTTGTCTTCTAATCATACTTCTGCATGATGTCTATAAAAAATATTTTCCTGGGTCATCATTTCTGAAGGCTCCCATATCAGGTAAAATGTATATTAAATACATTTGTATGCTTTTCTATTGTTAATCTCTCTTTTGTTTTAGGGGTCTCAGCCATGAGCCTTAGGATGCTTAAGAAAAAGATATGTTTTTTTGCCCCTACAAATAAAACTTCGAGGCGTTGAGATTCAGGGCTAAGGTTGCAAGTGGATGAATCTCCTGAAAAGAAAAATAGCTACCTCCCACATAGGTCTCTTTCAGGGAACATTAATCCTCCTCTTTGTGCTCCCAGAAGACTGTATATACCTCTGTATAAGAATCACTACACTGTATTTCAATTAGTTGATTGTGTTCAGTCTTGTCTGCTACACTGTGTGGTCCTTTAAGATACAAAATCTCTGTATTCTACCACAAAGCAGGCACTCTATAGATGCTTGCCCAATGGATGAGTTACTATAAAGAAATGAGACTGATCCCATTATTTGCACTCACATCACATGTGCACTTTCATTACTGTTACAAAATTACATTTCCCAATAGATGGTCTTGATGTGAAGAACAGGGTAGAAGATTTTAGCATTGGTGAGAGATGCAGAAGGTATATGAAAATAAAAGCAATGTGTTGGAGTTCAGAGATGTGTTGCAAATAAAACATGCTTAGAAGACCGAGGCAAAACCAGTTCTTATTTTCTTATAGATGGTTACTCTATTTCAATAGAAAAGATCTAATTTATATCCATCTTACTTTATAGAAGCATGATTACCCAGAGAAAAATTGTAATAAAAACATTCTTGATAAAGTTGAAAAGCACAGTTATTAGAAATGAGGGCTGTGGAATAGAAAAGAGGCATACAGCTTGAGGTCTGACTATATATGAGAATCAAACAATAATAGGTATTTAATGCCACAGCCAAAAAACCCTTCAAGGAATTGATTTTAAAAGTTATCCAAATACAAAGTATTTAGAGTGATGCCAAAGCCGGTGTTCAAGTGATAAAAATCTTATGTTGCTTTATACAGGCTAGAAGACAGCAAATCTACCTCTAGAAAAAGAAGCTTGAGGCCGGCAGATTTTACTGTTGAATTAGCTGTTTAGTAGGTATTCAAAATAAGAGCTCAGAGAGAGAAAGGGAGAAAGAAAAAACAAAACAAAACAAAACAAAAAACAAAAAACCAGTATCATGATGCTTCTTACACCTATCATATGCTTGGAGTCTATCCCTCTGAAAATGTTTCTCATTAGGGAAGTACTTACATTAGGCCTCAGCCTGGCTGCCAGATCATAATACTTCTCAGCTGCTTCATTGAGGCTAGCCTGTCTGTAAAAGAAAAAATAAAATAAAACTATATCATATATTTTAGAATTACAAATAGGATCACTGTGCAGTAAAATAATGTTAATTTTTAAAAAAATTCTGGTCACACCAAACAATAAATTGCCCAAGCAGAAAAAGACTTAAAAATTGAGTGTTTGCATTGCACTTGTTAATGTATTTAAGGCATTATAAATAGTATCTTAACATAATCCTATTCAGCGGGTGTTATTTCACATTTACATATTAGGAATTAGAAAAGTTATCCTACTTTTCCATGCAAAACTAGGTAATATATTATAGTGGTGGGGTTCTCCAGCATCAACATGATACCCCAGAAAAATCTCAATTTTAAAAATAAATTGTCAAAATTAGTAATTATTGCTTTCGTTTTATAAAAACAGTAAAGATCTGCAGGACTTTCAAAATTCCACATCTGTCTAGAAAGACACTTTCTTTCCAGTATGGAGGGAACTTTCCATGTTTTCCTGTGTAGTTAACAGAAAAAATAAAAAGTCCAGATTATGTGTCCCCTTGGACTTTGGACACCAGGGTTATAGCACATGACTTAACCTCAGCTAAATGGATGTTCTCGTTACTTAGGACTTTCATTCCTAAGTGACAGAAAGATGAAAGCAAGGCCAGAATTCATTCGCAATGGTAGAAGCAATGGGACTATTTACTAGCCAGACTCTTCCTGTAAAGAACTGCTTTTGTATATCTCACTTCTGGGCCACTGAGGCTACCTTGTTTCCTGCCGATTTAAGCCTTCCAGCTTACAGTGAATTCTGTAGCTCCCATAGCCTTCAAATAGCTACAGTCAGTTTCTCTTGCTCACAGCCAAATCCTGTTAGTAGCGCAACTGACTTGTACAAATAAGATGTGCACTGAAATTTACAGACAGATTTGTTCACTGCCTATTCCTGTGATTCACAGAAAAGACCTAGGTTCACCCAACTCATTACCAGAAGCAGGGTTCTAAGGAAGTCCAGCCAGTCGTTCTTTAATATACAATATATTTTTTGATCATATCGTGCTGCTTCAGAAGACCTTCTAAGATGGCAGGTAATAAGATCTAAGAAGCTTGCGGAGGTTGAGCTGGAATCTGGTGACAATATTTGAAGGGTACAGAAAAAATGCTACAGGAAAATGCCAAATTCAATTTCAGATGATGTATATAGCATATCTATGATGTGACAATAATGGTAAATGGCTGGGGGTCCTGCAGTTAAAATGGAGTGGTGTTCTCTTGAAGCTGTGATGTAAAGAAGCTATTGAGACAAGAAGATGACAGGAAAAGGATGAAGAGAACACAAAAATTAACTTTCTCAATTAGAAAAACATATTCAAGTTTTAAAAGAGAAGGTTAACTAGCCATATCTATAAAAGTGAATTTGTACTTTGGTCAAGCCAAATACAAACTATAAAAACATACCCCATGCAACCATATAAATTATGGAAATAACTGAAGATAACATCTCTCTGGAGTGTAGGACATATTTTTCTAATTTTTCAATGAAAAATAATTAAAAACACTGCTATTTTTAATAGAGGTTATAAAGAAAGTAAAAACCCTTGACCTAAGGCTCTACTGGACCCATGACATGTTACAACGTGCTGTTGCAATTTATATTCTCATAAATGTTAAAGCTCAATTTCAATGTCAAGAGAAGTACTTTAGTTTGGTAGGAAACAGTAAAAATTCCCTCACTAGGGTATTTAATAAAGGTTCCCTCCACCAAATTATAGAATCAATTTGGTACAGATTCATTTGGAAATCTGAACCAGAATTCATTAGGTCATGCCCTGGAAAGGTTTTCTCCCGAGGAAAATAAAAGGCATGCAGGTAGGAAATTGGAGTAACTTAATACTACAAAGAAGTCAGTTACTTTGAAGTGAGATCAACCAATAGATAGATGCCCAACATGGAAAGTATAGCTACTATTAATATTCATCTTTATGGACATTTAATAATGAGGTAGATAAGGATCAAAAGAGAAACTGGGGAATCCATCAGATAAAATGCCTTGAAAATAATAATAAACTTAATTTTTAAAAGGTTTTACTGCCCCCCAAAATGGTTATTAGTTTTTAAAGTCTTCGTATTATTCAGTGCTTTAGTTCTCAAAGGAAATATCTAGGTTAGAAAACTTAATTTCTTAAGCTAGAAGTAGAATTGATGAAATTCTGATGAGGTGGGAAAAAAACCCCACTAGGATTTACTATATATGTCATATAACTACACAAATTAATTTTCCCTCTAGGACCTTGCTTCTAATATTAAACAGTCTTTATAAACTACTAATCAGCATGTGTTTATGGCAGAACATGGAAAACTGTAGGGAAAAGAATACGTCAGTTGTACCCACGGAATGCTCATTTATATCCTCATTTTATTCTCTAGACAAAGGAGAATAACTCATGAGGAAGTGTCCAATGCCCATTTTACAGTGTTTGCTGTATTTCATACACGGCTCTGCACACAGCATCCTGGGAGCACTTAATAAATCTTAACTGTAGGGATGATTGAATCATTAATCAATATTTGAAAAGTAAAGAATTTAGCAGTATTCTGCCAGTTGCTTAGAGATTCTACTAAATATTGTCAAGAACTTCAACCATAACGTTGTTAGGGACTGATCGCAGGACTCAGGTTCCCGAGACTATTAAAGCAGACAATAAAATAACACTTCCTGCATACTCGTATCCCTTCTTCCTTCCCTATTTCTTTTTTGGGACAGAAAATTTCTAAATCCTCTATCCAGGAATAGATTATTTCATTTACCAGTTACAATACCACCATGAAGCAATTATTATTATTAACCACATTTTAAAAACGAGGATAATGCAAAAACAGTGCCAGATACCCACTTTCTTACTTCCTGAAATATCTCATTTTTAAAAGCTCACAATTAGATATAGTGGAAACTTTTCCCAAGTGTCCAAGTATTAAGAGAAGGCTTTGAAGGTGAGTGAAGAGGAAAGCAGTGGCTCTGCAAGAAATCTTGCTGGCCAGATGTAAACAACTTTGCATTCTGACCAAAACACACTTTACAAAGCCAGGAGTGAGGTAGTGAGAAGGAAAAATCATTCATACCAGGAACCCACAATGGATCCAGATGGGCAACTTGCTCCGTTTAACATGCCACCCTAGGAGTCAACATTGTTATGTCACATATCTGGAGCATTAAATATTTAATCCCTATGCCAACAATAGACAACAACTGGAGACTCAGACGGAGGCTCCTTTCTCATTACCAACTCCTACCTATCATAGCTGTTGGGACCTCCCACTCTTCACATTACCTCTGGTCTCTCAGGGCCAGGAAGGGTAAGGAAGAAGAAAAAAGTCCACACAGTATTTGTGAACTGGACTAGGAAGTAAACCCTGAATTCCCAAGAAATCACTGGAGTGAGTTGATTATATTTTAAGTCTTTAGATTCAGGGTTTTTTGTTTTGTTGGTTGGTTTTGTTTTTTTACCATCAGTGAAAATATACTCTCAGATCGAAAGCAAACAGACAATAACAAAACTCATAAACAAATTTCATCATTTGCGTACTGCGGAATTCCATTTTTGTACATGGGACTATAAAATTTGCATCTGTTAAATATATATATTTCTTATATCTAATTCCACTCCCTGGTGTTATTTTAGAAAAGTATATTTTGGAACACATGTTTATGGCCCAACAGTCTTATAAAGAAAGATGTAAAGAGAAAGTTGGGAATCAATAATGTAATAGAATAACTTAATATACCCTATGAAATGTTTGAAGCGAATCTGATTAAAAGAACCACTTACGATTAACCACATTTTTATGTATTCTGTGAGAATTATAAAACTGCTAAATTTAAAATTTCTTCTTTAGAAATATAAATAATAAAAACTAGTGGCATTTAGAAGTAAAACTCTCTAACTACAATTATTGATAGTTGTGAATTGTCAATTTGAATTAAAAATTAATATAAAAACCACGGATACATACAAAAGATAATATTTCAGTAAAGTCTTGGTAATTATTTTCAAGAATAGCTTATGAGCATTTTTTTTTAACTGGAGAGAGATTGTTGTTCATGTAACATAAAAACAGAGGAAATTAGCTGGGTTCTCCTGGATTCTTGCCAGGCTCTGATGCTTAGTTTTAAGTTACTCAAAGCAGTACTAAATTTTAATTCTAGTTGATATGTTATACAGTAGGAACAGAAGTAGAACTGAAATAATCAAAGACATAAAAATGTACAGAAGATCTTAAAATAGTGAAACCAGAGTCATACATATGTAAAAACAATGGAGCAGAAAAGATCCTTGCAATGAAACTTCTACAATAAATTGTTTATGACCATTAAGCCTTCTTAGATGAAAACTTCTCTGTCAAGACACTGAAAATGGCTTCTGAATTTTAAAGGAAAAGAGTAGAGCGGTAAAGAAAAAGTGTAGCAATAAGAAGAAAAAACTACGCTGACAATATAATTTTTTAAAAAGTCCCTCTGAGAAATTCCTTGATGCCCCATGACAGTTTAAGACTATTCTTTCACGGCCTCAAACTGTTCGGGGGCTGCTAAGGGCAGAGTTAAACCCATATCTAGAAAGATTATATAATTATGTGTAGTGGGAAAAATTAAAAGAGAGGGTATGTGTATCGGCAATGTCAACTGTTATATTCACATGTAGTAAATTACCACTTAGGTTCAAGGTGTAATGTTTGGATAAGGAGAAGGAATTGCAATGGGTGAAAGAGAAATGGCAGGATAGAACTTGCCTGAAGTGGTGGTCCAAGAATCAACGTTCTAAGCTTCTCCTGGGATTTCCTAGAAGCGTAAAATCACAAGTACTACCCCAATCTACTAAATCATAGCATGCATTTTAACAACATTCCCCAGGTGTTCACTTGCATGTTAATACCGGAAAGGCACAGGGTTGAAAGACGCCCACCTTCAACCTCATCTGCCACCCCACTTTGCTCTGAAGACCCTATGGTCCATTACAGCATGGTTGAAATAAGAGCCTTGTGATTGTAAATTGGAAGTAAAATATAACTTATAATTGAAAAATCCAGTGACTTTCGCGTGGTTTTGGTAAGTTTGGAAGTGTTAAGGAAGAAAATGTATGGTCCAGAGGGCGCTGGAAATATATACACACATCCCCAAGATACACACACGTAAGCACACACAATCTGATTTGTGAAAACAATTTGATTCTGTTTTTTTTCTCATTTAAGAATTTAAATTTTATGTGACTTCCAGTAGAATGTATAAAGAAGTTAGCGTTTCTAAATTTTATGTTTTCAATATATTGATTACATAATATTCTGTGATTTGAATATAAAAATTAAAAGATAATGATTCTTTCTCATATATTCACTCTGCTCTCTAGAAATTAGGGAAGAAATTAGAACCAGTTGGTATGGTAGAGTTTTGCTATTTTTACTACCTTTGGGGAACAGTGATAGTTTCCACCCTTAGGCCTAGAAAAAAGGAAAGTGCACACGTCTCAGCTGCATGCGTGACCCACATCAGAGACTAAATCATGATGATACTTCTAAAAATGTTAATATCTCTTTGAGAATACAAAGTTGGAGTTCTCCAATGACTCTGTCTACTTTACAAAATTTATTATAAAAGTATAATTTAATAATATTGGAAAGCCCTCACTACTGAGCATTTATTTACACATTCCACAATCTGTTACTCTGTAAATTGTTTTCTCTATCAATAAAGTCAAGAATCATAGCATGTAAGCCATCAGTCAGGTGTAAAATATAAGGGAGCCAATGTGACAAAGTAAAAACAGTATCATACTACATTAAGCCTTAACCCCTGCTTTACCAGTGGTAAATACAGAGAAGAGTATTGACTTTGAGTCTCAGTATGCTCATCTATAAGATAGGAAGATTTATAACGTTTACTTCACAGATGTACACTCAGAGGTAACAGAGTGACAGACATAAAAGCAAAGTATAGTGCCAGGCAGACAGAAGATGTTTGAACAAATGCTACTTTTATCCCTTACCCTGTAAGTAGATTAAACACACACACATACACACACACACACACACACACACACACCCCTTCCACTAGAGCCTATGAATGCTGTAAACCATGTAAAGTTTGTTTTTAGTCCCTCTATATTTCCTCTCAGATATCAAGTATCTTCATGTACTCTCCAGCTTCCAGTTCTTTGGAAAAGCTGAATAAATCCATTCACGGAAAATGTTTCTAATAGAATAAATGATTCAATAGTTTCTTCTCATAACGCTATAGATATAACTCTACTGTGTTCTAGCATTTTAAATTCCTTTATTTTCCTTTAATGATAACCAATCTGCTTTTTTATGCTCTCATCTGGAAGCATCTAGTAACTTTTCACTTTGTTTGAAGTACTAAAAATGTCACCATGTATTGTCAACATTCTTTATGAGAGGCCACTCAACATCTGTGATCATCTTCCCTATGAATACAATTGGTAATCAGCCAGAACAAGGATCCCACATTCTCAAGCAAGGCAGAAGCCAGAAATTCACTGATCTTCTAACTTTCGTTTAGCACAGGACTCAGTTTCCACTCATCAGATGCAATCTCAAGAGAATGGAATTCAGAGGTAAGCATAATGGGAAGCAGCTAGGCCCAGGAGAATCATCTTCTAATAAATGTGATGCACACTCTGCTGGGTTCCTTGTGGGTGATGGTGGCACAGCTCCTGAACTGTAAAAGCTGCTGAGCCCAAGGGAATTCTGGGTGGTTGGGAATTATTCCTAGCTGTGTAGAGTAGAGCTCCCAACCCCACTGGTAGAGTCTGTAGGTTATAGAACACTCTTTAGAAAATCTTGTTGCTGCACAAAATAGCAAGAATGATTCTTTAGTACACAACTAAAAGCTGGTCTTTACATGAAAACAGCTTAGAAACAAACCATTTTCATTGATTTTGCCTTCATTATGATGAATGAAGATCATCCTATTTTGGAAATTTTCTCTATCTCTGGATAATTCTTTATCTACTCTATGCTCTTTTTCAGAAAATTCTGTTCTTATTAACATTTACATATACACAAATAAAATTATATATAGCATATATGCTATATAAAACTACATGCACAAATATACAGTATGTAATTATATATGCATATTTATACATAAATAAAACTATCATATGTATACTATATATATAAATGACATATAATTATATACACATATATAATTATGAGCATATATAGTATGTGGAACTATACAAACATATATATAATTACAAGTGTAATTACTTATAATTATGCATGTGAGTTCCCAATCTATCCTCCAATCTTTTATTCAGTCACCATTTTCATGTTTTTAGTATTTTGCATCAATTTCTGGGGAAATATTTATAGCTTCTAGTTAAATTATTAGCTCATTAATTGTACACTACCTCCATTGCTGTTATACATTCAGAGACCCTATTAATCTCTTAGTAATCTTTTCCCGACATTATAATGTTCCTATTTCTACTTACCTATTTCTTTGCACAGACATATTTTGTATCAGCTAAGTTAGGTTATACTTTGGGAATAAATACCTTCTAAGTCTCACTGAATTAAGACAACAAAGTTTACTTCTCACTCATTGAACCTATCCAGCGCAGGTGAGGAGGGAGGTTTGTCTCTCTTTCGTCACTTAGGGATCTACATTTCCACAATTTCTAAGTCAGAGAAAGGGAAAAGCACTGAGTCTTAGAGCTTTGGCTCAAAAATGCCATACATCACATTCACATACATTCATTGACAAATAAGAGGCATGCAGGACTTCAGCTTCAAGGAAGGCAGGAAAGTGCAATCCTACTGTGGTTCTCTAAAACAAAGGGCCAAGCAAACTTTCTGAATGACATTAATACTACTTCCACCTCAGAGTGTTCTGGTGAAGCACTTTGATGACAGGAATTTAGAGACCCTCTAAGAGGCTCTTATGTTTTTAATGTAAACCTGCTTCACTGAGGCCCTTTATTTTGATACCTCTGACTTGTCATTCTTATCTGAACTGCCAAATTGAATAATATATTTCAAAACTTTATATTAGCTTATTCTACAGAGAAAGATCTTTGTCCATTTCTGGTGGCTGGAATGGGTCTATTGGAAATTTCTCAAATTTCAAACCTCTTGAAGGTCCCAGTAAGATAAAGATTTGCCCCTTGATGGCTGGCCTCAGGATCTCACTTCTTCCAATCTAATCTCATTCAGATGGAATGACAATTTTTTTCTTTTTGCTACATTTGTAATGAGCAGCTCCCGCTCCCCCTCCCCCCATTTATAGATTCTTTTGGTCATTACATTGGAAATTTGCCAAGAAAAGGTAAGTTAAATCAGTATGTTCAAACCTTTTCTTGAACTATAACTTTCCCTAAATTGCTGATTTGGGATAGTGGGTAAACCACTTATCTAGCGAACCAAGTGAGACACAACCAGGAGACACCCAGTCTCTCTCACACCCAAATGGTCACTAAACCCTGTCAATTTTGTCTCCTAAATATCTCTCAAAAGGACATAGTTCCTGAGAAAAGAATATCAAACTTAATTTAGAACTATGTGGCATCACCCCCAGGAGAAAATTTACATGTAACATTAAATAAGCAAAATTTTGATAACTGACCATTTTGACAAAAGCATATTCAAGGGGAAACCAGTAACCTTTCTTACTCCTTTAGGCAAACAAAGCCCTGAATGTTCTCAACTGATAAGAAAACAGACTGGTATTCAGCTTGACAGCAAGCACTACAGAAATGCTTGAATTTGACAGAGGTGAAAAACAGAAAAGCTAAGTAAAAACATTCACGAAGACTGCCATCCAGTTGAGTAGGAGAAAGTCAGGCTGCTGTGGTCACTCTTGCAGTCAATATAGGAGGGCACCGACTGACTGCAACTTAATGATGGATGCAGACCAGAGAAAGCCGGAGAGGAGGTTCTGAAAATAAATCCTAAAGATTTCCTCACTGCCAGTATATAACAAAAACTTTCCACTGGTTTCTAGCACTAAGGCAACTAAGAAAAAATCATAAGTGATGTCTTTAACAAGGACTTTATTTTGTAATACACTTATAATGGGTTTCTATTGGTAGACCTTGAATTTCAGACATGGATTTAATATGTAGCAAAATGCCTTGTTGATAAAAGTATCTGTTATTATCAAGATGAATTTGCCTGTCTGTATTTGTGCTTTCCCATTCTTGCAAATTGTTTATTGTGGCTGAAAGCATAGTGTTTTATTCATGAGGAACAAAAAGTCCTTATCTCTGTAACAGTACCTAACCTTGTCACACAAATTGAGGTGTCTTTTAAAAATTATCTTTGCATTGAAGGCTCTTGCAGATTGGTTTCAGTTTATTTTATAAATATACCAATAGTCAATTGAATCCTGATTTCCCTTTGTAGGTGTCAGCTTTCTTGAGTTCATCACAAAACAAGTACTTTAGGGATGCTAACATGAATGTTGAATTATGACATTCAACTAAAATGTCTCTGTATTATTTTTTATAACTACAGGTGAATCTACAATCATCTTAAAAGCTAAAAAAAATAGTCCTTCTACTTTTTTCAAATGTCCTCATTTTAAAAATTGGATGTCACCATCCAATTGTGAACCAACTTCTCTGTTATTATTCTTTCCTTGTAAGAGTAATCTATGTAATTATAAATCTATCCCTGGAAGCCACGCACAGAGATGACAGTATAGAAGTCATTTAATGAAGCATTTAAGTAGGGATTTAATGAAGTGATATTCAAGTAAGAATATGGGAGGAGTTACATGTACATATATATATAACTAACATGACAAATAATGCTTTTTAAACAACGATATAAATCATTTGATTAAAACCAGTTAAAAACATCCTCCTTTAATCTAAAGAACCATTTATGGATGTACTGACTTTCTTTATATTCACACACAAAAAAACCTGATAATCTGGCCTTATATTTTAGTTTTTTTGCTCTCATTGTAATTAGCCTTTGTAATAGTCTTCTGAAAACAGAAGAATTAAAAGTTAAAAAAAATGTATTGTTTCATGACAAAGCAATAGTGTTGATTACAGGGCTATTTTGAGAATTTCATGGGCCTTAAGTATACTTGTATTTGATAATCCTCTCCACTATTAAACATTAAAATGTATCCACATGCCACAGTCAATATAATTAACATAAAAACACAAATATTGAGATGCAGTTTACTGACATAATGTTTTGCTTTGGAGACATTTAATTAGACATGTATTATATTCCATTTTGCAGTTTCCTTTTTGTATTTTATGACTAGTAGTTTTTAGAGGGAAGGGAAAGGAGGTCGCAGTAATTTTCAGAAAGTCCTAAAAACTCATATGCCCTACACATGGTGCACATAGACCAGGGGAGTCCAATCTTTTGGCTTCCCTGGGCCACATTGGAAGAAGAATTGTCTTGGGGCCACACATAAAATACAGTAACACTAATAATAGCTGATGAGCTTAAAAAAAAAAGAAAGAAAAAGCAAAGCACCTCATAATAATGTTTAAAGAAAGTTTATGAATTTGCATTGGAATGCATTCAAAGCTGTCCTGGATCACATGTGGCCCGTGGGCCACCGGCTGGATAAGCTTGAATAGCCTATAATGAATACAATATTTCTAATTTTTTACATAGTTAAGCAGCGTGATTGACTCACATTGAGAATGTGGAATAAGGTGTATGATGGGAAAATTCGTATAATTAATTACCCTCTCAAAGCCTAGGCTTTGAGGCACAGCAGCAAAAAAACTAACCTGAGCATGTGGGCAGCATTGAAGACAACATCAAACTCTGTGCTGTCTAGTTCAGCTGCTTTTTTTGCCATCTCAGCTGCTTCTATGAGACGAGCTTCTTCCAGAAGAAACTGACCTGAAAAGTATAAAAACCAGTGAGCTTCAACTCAGAAAATCCCATGAAACAATAAAGCTGTTATTAAAGAAAAATAAGTACAGTGGTAAAGGTGATTTGAAGCTAAGATTTAATAACATACTCATTATTTAGAGATTATTTATATGCTTTTTGCTTAACTATGGAACATTTCAAGGTTTCTATTTGCTAACTTAAACATTTTTTTTTCTTAAAAAGAAATCGTCTATAGACTATTCAGCAAGATATATGATGAATAAATTTAAAGCTATATTACAAATATGAGTTGAGCTGATTTCCATTGTTATTACATTAATTAGCTCCTGTCTCTGACGCATATGTACAAACAGGTATATTCATATTGATGAATATGCATTTCTCATATTTAATATTAAATTACTGATAAACATAGGAAGGTAGATTAAGCATTAATTTACTCAATTAGATTTAATAATAATTATGGAATAAATATTAACAAGTTCAGATTTGTGAGATTACTTTCAGGTTAGCTTTACAAGGTTAGAATTACTGCAGACAGAGTCACAGAACTCTTTCAACTGTACCTCAAAAATTATTATATAATGCTATCCCAGAAACATATTGTGAGGGTAAAGAAAACAAAAGTTAGGCCCAATTTTAATGCCATAAATATACAGACAGAGACAATAGGCCACTTTTTTAATTGAGATTGAACAGTAACGGTAGTAATGCTAAGCCTTATCTGATACGGATATTCAAATAAAAACCAAATTAAAGGATGACAAACATACGCTGAAGCCATCCATATAGTTTCCAGGTTTTTCAAGTTGTGGTATAATTATTATCTCTTCCTGTTTGAGGTTTCATGTTTGTTTAAAGTTCAAGAATTTAAAAGTACTAAAAATAGTTATAAAAATGATTAAGTTCTGAGTTGCACACAAAAACATAAAACTTTGAAAATGTCAAGAAGACATATACACAGCCAACAAGCATGTGAAAAAATGCTCAATATCCCTAATCATTAGAGAAATGCAAATCAAAACCACAATGAGATACCATCTCACACCAGTCAGAATGGCTATTATTAAAAAGTCAAAAAATAACAGATGCTGGCAAGGTTGCAGAGAAAAGGGAAGGCTTATACACTACTGGTGGGAATGCAAACTAGTTCAGCTTCTGTGGAAAGCAGTATGCTGATTTCTCAAAGAACTTAAAGCAGAATTACCATTTTACACAGCAATCCCATTATTGTGTACATACGCGAAATAATAGAAATCGTTCTATCATAGACACATGCATGTATATGTTTATTGTTAACAGTAGTCACAATAGCAAAGACGTGGAATTAACCTAAATGCTCATCAATGGTAGAATGGATAAAGAAAATGTGGTATACACACACCATGGAATACTATGCAGCCACAAAAAAGAATGAGATCATGTCCTCTGCAGTAACCTGGGTGGAACTGGAGGCCATAATCTGAAGCAAACTAACACAGGAACAGAAAACCAAACACCACCATGTTCTCACTTATAAGTGGGAGCTAAACATTGAGTACATGTGGACACAAAAAGGGAACAATGGACACGAGGAGCTACTTGAGGGTGGAAGTTGGGAGGGGGCAGATCAAAAAACTGCCCCTTGGGTACTATACTTATTACTAGAGTGATAAAATAATCTGTCCACCAAGCCCTTGTGACACACAATTTACCTACATAGCAAACCTGCACGTGTATCCCACACGTGTATCATGCATGTGTAACCTGTACGTGAACCTAAAATAAAAGGGAAAGATAAAAACAAAAAAAATAAAAATGCTAAATGCTCTCTGGTGGCCAAAGAGCCCATTATTTACTGTTTATTTAATGAATATTACAAATTGTCTTCCAACGCAAAAGACCATTTCTTCAATAAAAAAGAAATACCTCTATTTTAAGGATTTAAAATAAACCATAGCTGGCTGGACGCAGTGGCTCACGCCTGTAATCCCAGCACTTTGGGAGGCCAAGGCAGGTGGATCACCAGAGGTCTGGAGTTCGAGACCAGCCTGGCCAACATGGTGAAAGCCAGTCTCTATTAAAAATACAAAAATTAGCCAGGCACAGTGGTGGGTGCCTGCAGTCCCAGCTACTAGGGTGTCCGAGGCAGGAGAATTGCTTGAACCCGGGAGGCGGAGGTTGCAGTGAGCTGAGATTGCGCCACTGCACTTCAGCCTGGGCGACAGAGTGAGACCTTGTCATTCATTCATAAATAAATAAATAAATGCCACTGCTTGCATTTAAGTATTTCTAAACTTCAGTTAGTAAACAATGCTGAGTAAAGGTAAGCCTACGATTATAAAGACTTTCTGTTTTTTTCAAAAGCAAGTGACAAAATTTTAAGACTAAGACTTGGAGATCACTCATCTATTTCTACAAAAAGTTTCATATCACTTTCTTAGTTTGTCGCCTAACATTCTGTGGCTTTCTTATCTCCCAGAACAAATAAACACTAATTCTTGGGTTAGAAAATTAAGAAAACAGAATTATAAATAAGTTACATTTATAAATAAAAAACACATTACTTATGAAATACTTGTATATGCTAACTCTACAGATACAGATATGAAATGAAATTTAAATATATGGTGCTTTTTTATATAACAGTAAAATAAGAATCAGATAATCTGTGGCATAATGAAATATTCTTATCTCCTCATATATAGCTTCATAAAGATTGCCAGGCTAACCCCATCCTTCAGTCAGTTATAGTTATTATAAACTGCTTTTTAAATTAAAACACAATATTAATTACTACTTGTATTCAAAACATAATATTTAAGCAAACGCATTAATACATTATGTGGTATTCAAACAAAGGATAATGTAGGAAATTATTAATTGTTCTTTTCCTTTACAGGCAGCTATTAACTCTGAAATGTAATCTATATTAATAGTTAGAAAAATGTAACAATTAAGTAATGATACCCATAACAAGGGGTCCCTTTACAAGCAATGTCCAGGGCAAAGCCTTCGAAGCTTTAGCAATGCCAAATGCATCTTTGCTGTTCAACAACAAAAAAGGAAATATTGTTAATTTTGTAAAATCAAATTAACTATTTTTATCATCATTTAGTAATATTTCTTTATGTTTTAAATTAGCTTTGCCATGCAACATGTGCTTTGTAAACAATTTCCAAAAACTACATGGAACATATAATTTTTAGTAGGGTAAATGGTGACAGAAAAAAATTCCGATATGATCATTTTATAACTGCAAAATTCATTCACCATATTAATATTCAGAAAAACAATATCACAACACATCAGTTAGATATCTGGATATTTTCCTCTATTCTCTTCTCAACAGGCCACAAATCTCAATAGTCCCACATTAGTGTTCTGCTATGTGATAAAGGCACAGAATATTATGGAATGTGAATCATCTGGCTGGTATTTTTTAAACTGAATTTGAATATTTCAAACAAAAGTGAAAGTAAATTATTATTCTGCTACATTACATTGAAATATAGCCGAGAACTGATGGAAAATAGAGCAATAAACATTTCGAATACATAGAACTTGTGTTTGTACAGGGAAACAAAGAATAGTAGGTTTCTTCCTAAGAACTACTCAAAGAACCTAAAGTGATATGTTATTGGGGCAACAATAAGAAACAAAATTTTCCCTTGCCCCTCTGGAATACTTTACCTCACATCACCCCTCTCCCATCAGCTTTATCTATTACCACTTCCACCAGACACTAGCCCCTTCAAACTATTAATTGGGCTTCCCATAGTGGAACCTACTGCTTCCCATCTTTGTCTGGAACTTGCAGCCACTAAGATCTCTCAGCCTCTAAGTTTGTCCCATCCCAATCTCCAGTTCTGTCTGGCCTACCTATTGTAAAAAGATAGCTTTCATTTTTATGCCCAAAACATTTCCTTCTTAGTGACGCCTTCTTAGACCAGTTTCCAACAATGTTAGGATTGCTTATGATTTAGGTTCACTGAAATATAATTTACCAACTAAATTAGAGCACCTAGAAGAGTAAAAGGAGTATTAATTATGCTGAAGCAATGGTGGAAATCAGAATTGTCCCAATATGGTCACCCCACTTTTAGTACATGTGGCAGAATGTGGATCTCGGTCCTCTCATCTTCATCACTACTGGGAACTGAACTATTTGTACAATAAGGCATTGAATCGCTGCTAGCAGAAGTAATAAATATGGCAAGAAAGACAGGTGCTCTTCCCTGAAGAATTACCGTTAAGCCCATCAAGACAGAGACAAGCCCCAAGTTTCAGTGAGTAGGAACAGCTAATGAGGCTCAGGTAGTGCAGGTATACTACAAGGTAGAGCCAGGACTAAAGGAAAGAGAAACTCGATTACGGCAGGCACTTTGGAGAGTCTGTCTAGACTGATGGATTCTACAGGGCCTGCAAAGTTACCTTTTTCATTAGTCTCTAGCTTTAGAGCACAACAGAATGACCTGGAGGACTTGAACTAAAATAGAGAGCAAGGCACCAACCGCAGAATTTCAGATTCAGTGGGTTTGGGATAGTGCCTGAGATTTGCATTTTTAACAAGTTCCCTGGTGATGCTGATGCTGCCAGTTCAGTGTCCATACTTTGAGAATCAGTGTCTTATGGGAAAAACAAAATAAATGTTTTTCACCATACTCTGGACACTGATGACATCTGGGATTAGCTAGCAGGCTGAGCTCTTCTGGTAATCATTTGCATCTGGCATTGTGGCGAATCCGTATGGGTCTACAGCAACCTCAGTTCTTGCCTCCTGAGAAGAATGAATTCGACAGAGGGGGATAAGGCAGAAGGAGATACCGAGGCATGTTTTAGAGCAGAAGTGACAGTTTAGTAAAAAGCTTTAGAACAGTAATAAAAGGCAGGAAAGTACACTTGGGAGAGGGCTAAGTGGGTGACTTGAAAGGCAAGTGTGAGGCTTGACCTTTTGACTTGGGGTTTTATAGGCTGGCATACTTCTGGGGTGATATGTTACTTCTCCCCACTCGCACAACTCCTGAGATCTTATCAGGAAGGTGCTGAGCATCACTTTCAGGTGTTTTCTGTCTATTAGGAACCAGCTTTCCCTTGTGCCACCTGTGAACAATTATTACTTTAGAGAAACAGTTAAAAACTGCCTGATCATCTCCTGATGGTCGCCAGACACTCCTGGTGTGTGTGTGTGTGTGTGTGTGTGCGTGTGTGTGTGTGTGTGTGAAGGAGCCCTTTCCTGCCCTATAAGCGACCAGCTATCTATAACAGCATTGTCTTCCCTAATTATGGGGCATAATGACTAGTTTACACATATGTGTATAGATAGATACATGTATATAAATAAGACATTCATTGAATATCAGTTTACTTTCTAAAAGTCATTAAAATAAGGAAAGGTAAAAGTTTTATCCTTCACAGGGAACAACAGATTTCTGAGAAACCACTTCTTTTTCATATACAGCAAACACATTCTATGATTTGATAACTGAGTCGAATTACAAATTAAAAAAGCACAAACAGCGTAAGTAAAATTTATTTTGTTCTCATGTGTGTACTGTTGCTACTACACTTCATTTCTTTGGTTGTAATTTGTCTTACCCAAGCTTATTATCATCTTAATTATCACAAATTACAGGGAGAAAAAAATGAAAAAAATGAGATGAGAAATTATTTTTTAAAGTAATTTGAGTAGGGAAAACCAGATGATATAAAATAAGGAAGCATTCTCTAGAGATCCAGAGACAAAGAGCATAAAATCTCCTCATGGGCTAAAGTGGGAAAAGGGAAAGAGCAATTGTTTTGTATTGAACTGTTTCAACATCAGAGTAATACCATTTCTTCTCTGGACAATTCTCTCACTGAACCATTTAAAGTACTCAGTAGATTTTTACCAACATTTCAATATGACAAGCTTGTGAAGACCAATCTTTCGTTAATTCCTGGATTTAAAAAGCTGTCTGCAATGCAGAAATCCATAAAAATGTAAGCTGGCCTTAAGCCATAGGCTCAAATCCTGCTTTGTAAAAATTCTACATATAAACTCCCTAGATTAATTGTGACTGGCATTTTTTACTAAAATATTATAAAAATTCACTCAGGATCAATGCAACTAAAGAGCTAAAACAATCTGCAATAGGTGTCATGATACAATTCTCTTTAGAAAAGAATCATTCATATGTAGCTTTAAAACTGTTCAAAATCAAATAAAAATCTTTTTTATAAAACAACTAGAAAACAGCATTTGCATTAAAGTGGTTGTCCTTGGAAGATGACATTTGATCACAGAAATGTGTCCAGAATCATCTGAACTCTAGTGATACCTTTCTGTCTCAAGCCACCACATCACCCTGGATGACAGCAATAACCTCCTAAATAGTGCCCATACTTCTATCCAGAGGGTGTTCTCAAAACGGCAGTCTGAGTGATCTTGGTAAAATGGAAATCGGATTGTTATTCTACAGCTGATTCAAGAACCCTTACACTGGCCTACACAGCTTGCTATGATCAGCACAGGTTCTTCCCCACCCTCTCTTACTGTTCCTGTAATACATCAGAGGAACAATGGCTCCTGGTTCAGAGTCTTTTCACTCACTATTTCCTCTACCTGCAATGTTCTTTCCCCAGATATCCCAGTGGTCTTCTCTCTTACTTATTGGCACACTTTGGAGATTTAATAAATGTATGTTCAATGAAAGGACTGAACCAACTAATATTAATAATATCTCTATGTGGCTCTCATCTTCAAGAGCAAGCTAGAACCTATCCAGCATTTATCACCAGAAATTTTCCTATTCATATTTCCATATCTTGCAGTGATCTTAGGCAGAGGTGCAGTAAACGGCCACACATGCTTCCCAAAGGTACCATTCACAGTGAAGTTTCTATGAATGGCGGTTTCTGGATTTGAGCAACATGGTGGCTCTGATATTAGGACTCTGAATTTCCCTTGGAAAACACAAAAAATCCAGATATCAATCATACCTTCAAATATATTTTAATTTCGGAACAATTCAAACTATGCAATTTGTCTACTAATACCTATTATATGCTATTGTATTGTGAAATAAATTCAACAGACTGTGAACAGAAGAGGAAATAATCTGAAAACAGAAGATAGTTTCTTTCATAGGTTAATATACCCCCCAAATTAATATTGTGTCTACTATACACAAAATATAGTAGTACTTGCAGTGGGCATACAAAGATAAACACAATATTTATCCTTGAAGAAGTTCCATTTTATTAGAGGAGAGAGGAGATTACAGAGATAGTTTCACACCAAAACTCATCTAAACTTGAAAAGGAGGTGTGAGGTATCACAGGCTGAATGCATCATTTCTATTTCTGAATGGAGGTAATTTTGGTTTGGTTTTGTTCCACCAGCAGCTGGATCATGAAACAGAACATTGCCAGCATCCCGGAAGCAACTATCTGTACCTGCGGACTTTTTCAAAGATTCTGATGATTAGAAATGGGGAAAAGCCAAGATGGAAGTAATTGGGCTAACTGGTTTTAGTCACATCTAGTGGTAACAAGATGAGTGCATAAAAGGGAATTGAAGCAAGTCACTTATGGGGTGTTTCTACTAGAAGAGGGTAGTAACACACTCCTGGTAAGAGAGGGTTGATGATAACACAGCAGTCAGGTTTTAGACTAGCTGTAGGTAGGGGATACTACTAAAGAGTGGTAGCTTGTTAACACTAATTCTCTGAGATAATTAAAAATACAGAGGGGGTTCTTCTCTTTCTGCCTCTCTGAAAGGAGCCTTGCTGAGTGTCTTTTTCTGAGTCACCATGGCATTTCAAATATGCTTTCGCTCTTTCAGACTAATCTCTCTAGCCTTCCCTTTATTCGTTTTGTTGCTTTGTGTTTTTATGTCCTTGGCAGCCTAAGTTAGTAAATGCTGGTTTTCGTGAGACAGGCCTAATGTGATAAATGTGCCACAGTTACCGGCCAAGAAAACAGGTGGCTGGTGAACAAGGAAAAGATACCCAAGAGATCAATCTGGACTGCTTATTGTGAGACTGGGAGGCCCTGGATTTGTTCCTAAGTGAACACGAGACCAAGTATTTGTCCTGATTTGGACAGGTGGCAAGGAAGGTGTCTAGTGTGAAGAAGATTAGAGAAACAGAAGGCCAGGGCCCTGTGCTCAACTGGAAAGGAGGTCAGGAAGGTTTGAAGTACTTTACTGAATTTATTTCTCCCCTGACTCTTTGCAAAAGGGTTATGAAATGCCAGAAAACCACTGAGGGAGTTATGATGACTGTCTGACAGGGTGTGGGAATTTCTGCCGGCTAAGAAGAAGCGGGGAGACTGGGGAGGAGGCGAGAAGCTATAAGGGAGAGAGAAGGAATCGGGGGAGGGACAAGGAATGGAAGGTAACACAATTTCATCATAGGTTTAAGTAACACACAGATTCAACAGGGATCAAGAATGCTTCAAAAGAGAAAGTAAGTTCATGATGGGCTTCAAACTATCTTCAGGGTTTTATCACTTAAAGAGGAAGAGAAGGATGCAACTAGACGAGGAATACAACCTCATTAGAGATCCAGAGGTGAGCAGCCTCATTTATAGAATGGGGTGCATTCTTACACTAGGGAGTTGTAAGGAAAGAGATGAGGTAGACAAGAGGACTCAAACACATTTTCTGAGTAACTAAAGAAAGGAGCCCGCTCCTCTGAGACTGAGTTAGAGCAGTAATGAGAATGGAGAGAGGCAGCTCAAAGAGCCCAAACATCCTTTTCCTAGGAGAGCTCCAGGTCTTCTCAGTGTGCTCCCACACCATCTCAATGGGCTTTTCTGAGATATTCATTTCAAGATGTGTCAAGCAAAGCACAGAATAGTTAATAGCAGGGCACACAAGCTTTGAGAGCAATTGTTTTAATTAAGGCAGAAGAATAAATTGCAAACAAGAACCTCAAAGTGGATTTGCTTGCCAAGTCAAAATAGGTAAGACTGGAGAAACTGTTTCTCTCCCTGCCCCACCAATGTGTTTGTGTGTGTGTATTCAATTTATCTTCACACAACACAAACTTCATAGACACTACAGAGTTCTCCAAGATGAGCCATGTTGAGATTTGTAGCTACAGAGAAAAGCCCCTGTGATTTACCCAGTTAAGTGAGCGTGTACTTACGGAAATAATGGAATAATGGAAACAATCCATTAATTTTCCCTTAAAGAACTGTTTAGACTGTTGAGCACAATGTCTACTCTCTTATTTGTAAGGTTACCTATAATCTTCCATCCTCCTGCAATTATCCCCTTTCTCTGATCTTTTTGTTTACATGTAAAGAGGTTTACAGTCCTCTTTTTCTTAATCCTAGGTTTTTACTGTGTCTCTTCTTCCCTTAATTTGTCCCTTTATTTATATACCTTATTCAAAATTTTTTTCATATTTTTAATCATTCTCCAGGATATTGTTTTTATTATAATTTTAAAATAATAAATGCCCATTGTCACAATTCACTGAGCATTTATTATGTGCTAGTTACTTTATAAAACCGTAAATAAATCCTTACAACTTTAGGCCATAGTAATCCTCTCTAGATTATGACACTGAGGAGCAGAGAGTGCAGCACAAGTCACCTCATGCTCAAGGAGATAATCTGCAGTAGGGCTGGGTGTGCCTTGTTCCAAATCCATGTCACTGTTTAAAATCTATGGCATTGTCTACTCCCTACATCTACATCTTAATTCAATTCTTATCATCTTGCTTTTGTGGCTTCTAGAGTCCTATACAAAGACAGATTGAAAAGAATGTATGCTAATTTTACATAACTATACGTCGCCTTAGCAAAGCATGACCTAGTTATAAACACTTTTTTTTAAAGTGGATTCTATTTCCATACACAAAAAAAGGGGGCACAGATGAGAAAAGGGAAGTTGAAAACTAACCAAAGGCCAGTCTTCCCTTCTTTATTCATTTTTGTATTGAAAAATGTTGATTGACCTGGTGCGGTGGCTCATGCCTGTAATCCCAGCACTTTGGGAGGCTGAGGCAGGCAGATCACGAGGTCAAGAGATCGAGACCATCCTGGCTAACACGGTGATCCCCTGTCTCTACTAAATTACAAAAAAATTAGCCGGGCGTGGTGGCGGGCACCTGTAGTCCCAGCTACTCAGGAGACTGAGGCAGGAGAATGGCATGAACCCGGGAGGCAGAGCTTGCGTGAGCAGAGATAGTGCCACTGCGCTTCAGCCTGGGCGACTGAGCGAGACTCCGTCTCAAAAGAAAAAAAAAAAAAAAAAAAGAAAAGGACAGAAAAAAAGTTGATTGACCAGCCTTCCTAGGTGAAGCACTGTGGTCAGGGCTGGAACCCTGCAGCAAGGCCACTCTGGTTATTGTCTTGATTCTTTGGTTTTGAGTTACAGTTTCTTCACTTTTCACATCTGTACAATCTCACTGAGTTATTAGAAGGAACAAGTGAGATAGTGTAAATAACACCATGTAGGGTGAGGTCTGGTGCCTTGCCTCCCCCTTTTCTTTTTACTAACTTCTCCATGAGCTCCTTTCCGGTTCTCAAGCTGCCCTTCCTCCCTGGGGCCTTCAAGAACACAATGATCAGAGCTCCCTGGATTTCTTCACCAGCAGTCCTCCATAATATCAGCAATCTGGCTCTGGGTCTGTGTCACCACTGGAGACCCACAAGGCTCACATTTAGTAAGAGCATATCTTTGAAAGAACAAGGATATTGTGAGCTGGGGTGTCAGAAGAGGCTCAAATTCTTGCTCTGCCAACTTACTAGTCATAGGGACTTCAATGTGCCACTTAAACTATTGGAACCTTAAATCTTATATCCGTAAAATAGGGGTAATGTTATTTCTGCACAGGACTCAGGAACTGACAAAAATATGCAGAAAAGTGCCCAGTGCTTGGTCAGGAATGTAATTGTTAAACACTGAGCTTCAGTCATAACAGCACTAGCATTAATGAGCACATATGTGCCCAGCATGATGCCAAGCTCTTTATTTTCTGCAAATTTTCATAACTCTGGAGTAAGGACACACCATATTACTTGAATTGATTTAATCATCCTAATATTGTGAAGCATTTTGCAATCCTATAGTATACTTTACAACACAGTTTCATTTCTTTCTCGTTTTTTGGAAGAGCTATAATAAAACTTTGTGGGTGAGAAATGACATCACCATAGAATGTCATCATACCATCTTAGCATGGTCTTATAATTCTATACGTTGACATAAGAGATGATAACATTGCAGTATAGCACAAATGGCCCTGTAAAGAATTTATCTACTATTAACTGGCATTGAAACCTTGGGTAATAAACTCCAAAGTCACTGCTTGATGACGTCACTCTCCTCATCTGTAAAATAAACATAATCATGTACCCTCCCCATCTCACTGTGGGAATTAAATGAGATGCTATATGTGAATTTCTCAGGCCACAAAAGTACTCAGTAAATGTACTATTATATTATGAATTCATCAAATATATAATATATATTTGTCAAATATATAATATATTCATCAAATATCATATTTGAATATTTCATAATGGAAATATTATATGTAATAGACTCCATGCAAGTGATCTTTCTCTACTTTATTCCTTTCTTAAGTTTTATGTCTTGAAAGTTTACATGTTGAGTTCTATTCAATAATTATGGATAATTGGTTGGTTACCATAATTATCCTGCTATCTACTTGAACAATAGATTAAGATGCTTGTTCTTGGCCAGGCGTGGTGGCTTACGCCTGTAATCCTAGCACTTTGGGAGGCCAAGGCAGGTGGATCACCTGAGGTCAGGAGTTCGAGAACAGCCTGGCCAAACATGGGAAAACCTTGTCTCTACTAAAAATACAAAAATTAGCCGGGCATGGTGGCGGGTGCCTATAATACCGGCTATTCGG
The DNA here is from genome assembly GCF_000001405.40 of Homo sapiens. Taxonomy (NCBI): domain Eukaryota; kingdom Metazoa; phylum Chordata; class Mammalia; order Primates; family Hominidae; genus Homo; species Homo sapiens. The sequence goes on along the minus strand of NC_000012.12, from coordinate 83,039,054 downwards.
GAAGCTAAGGCTGGAGAATCGCTTGAACCCGGGGGGCAGAGGTTGCAGAGAGCTGAGATCGCGCCACTGCACTCCAGCCTATGCAACAAGAGTGAGACTCCATCTCAAAAAAAAAAAAAAAAAAAAACCAAGGTGCTTGTTCTTTCATATTTTATTAAAGTATTTGTCCTTCATAAAAGTAACGTGCTCATTATAGAAAATTTAAAATAGAAAACATTAAGCCTTCCGAACAAAGGAAAACAAAAGGGTGCATGTCTAAAAAGCTAATACATCCATTCTAAACATTCTGATATTTTAAAAAGTTTGTTTTGCTTTCTAATGACATAGTTATTTTGTAGAATTTATTCATACTCCATGTATAATTTTTATTTTTTTCACCTAACATAATAACATAGGCAGTTGTCTCATTATTATGTATCTTTCATAACCTTAATTTTGGATTTATAAGATTTCATCAAATGGAAATAATCCCATTTGATTGAGCTATCTCCCTTTTTCAGATATTTAGATCAGATATTTCAGATATATGCTTTCCCATTTTACCTGTAACAAATAGCAAAGTCAAGGCTCAATTACTATCTTTGCTGATAATCTTAAACATTAAAAAAACTTTATTTCCTTAAGATAAATTATCAAGAGAGAATTATTGAGAATATGTGTTAGAGCAGCTTGAGGGAATTCGTTATAATTTATATTTTAATTCCCTTGATTTCCAATGAGATTGTATGTTTACCTAACTTTTTTTTTGAGTATATATATATATTTTTATTATACTTTAAGTTTTAGGGTACATGTGCACAACGTGCAGGTTAGTTACATACGTATACATGTGCCATGTTGGTGTGCTGCACCCATTAACTCGTCATTTAACATTAGGTATATCTCCTAATGCTATCCCTCCCCCCTCCCCCCACCCCACAGCAGGTCCCGGTGTGTGATGTTCCCCTTCCTGTGTCCATGTGTTCTCATTGTTCAATTCCTACCTATGAGTGAGAACATGTGGTGTTTGGTTTTTTGTCCTTGCGATAGTTTGCTGAGAATGATGGTTACCTAACTTTTAAAACCGGTTGTATCATTTGTTCCTATCTCTTGTTCTTTATATTCTATTTTCCTTGTAGTTGTATAGTTTCTCATCTCTCAAGTAGATTGATCTTTTATTTTTTGCCTTTAAAGAAATTATTCTTTAACGGTTTATTGTCTTTTTATCATATTACTTTTCAGAAACATATTAGTGCTTTAATTTTTCCTTAATTCTTTGCTTTTAAGCTAAAACCATTTCCTGTTCCCATTTTAGTTATGGGAAAGTTTCAATTATAAAAGCCTTTGGAAAGTATCTTATGTAAAATACACGAAGGTATGAAGATTAAATTGTATTAATTTATTAGATACATTTTAATAATGGGGATTTAGAAATAAAAAAATCACAAGTGAGAAATGAAATAGTTTGGAACAACCTTTAGGAAAACCTTAATTTAATTACATATCTGTGTATTGCTGATGCTCTTCTTAGAGCATTAAAGGGACACTAAACATTGATTTTTTTAAAAAACATGGTTTGGTCTTAAGTATTAAACGTAATTGTAATCTCAATGTAATTTTGCAAAGACTCAAAATCTATTTTCATTTTTAATTAAGGCAATATTATTTGGTTCATTATGTAATTAAAAAATTCCTCTGGCTGTTTTTAAAGTGACTAAAAATGAAAGGATAAAACATAGCCTCAGTCCATTACCATCTTCTAAGTAGCTTTAGTTATGAATAATAAAAAATAATACAGGCCACTCACCAATTCAACTCATTACATATTTCAAGCCTCTACTTTCAGTGCTCAGTGTTGAAAGACCAAACCTATTATTTTAACACTGTCCTCCAGAGCCTACTTTTAAAAGTGAAACAAATAATATATGAACTATCTGCTACGGTTTGGATATGGTTTGCCTGTTCCTACCAAAGCTCATGTTGAAATTTGATCCTCAATATGGTGATGATGGTAGGTGGGGCCTATAGGAAGGTGTCTGGGTCATGAGGGTGGACCCCTCCTGAATGGCTTGGTGCCCTTATAGTGGTAGTGAGTTCTCTGGTGAGACTGGATTAGTTCTTATGACTATGGATTAGTTCCCATGAGAGTGAGTTCTTATAAAGCCTGGATGCCCCTTGGGTTCTCTCTCTTCTTATGTCTCTTGTTCCCCTTTGACCTTCTTCCACCAAGTTATGAGGTAGAAAAAAGCCCTCACCAGAAGCAAAGGCAATGCCCTTGAATTTTCCAGCCTGCAGACATAAATAAACCTCTTTTCTTTATAAATTACCCAGTCTCAGGTATTCTGTTATAGCAACACAAAATGGACTAGGACACCATCCTAGAGAAAAACAGAGTATAATAATAACAGTAGAAAGTTCCGGATTTAAAAGTTGAAAGAGCTGGGCTTTTCAAGTTCTTCCTCCACTAAACACATTGAACATTTCTGAAATAGGAAGTCACTTAAAAATTCTGAACTTCCATTTTCTCAGTCAAATGTAATTAGGATCTATTCCTACCTCACAGGGGTTGGATGATGAAGCAAAAAAAAAAAAAAAAAGACTCGGGGACAAGAAAACATAAGATAGATGGCAAAGTGCTTAATAAATGTACAGTAGTAGCATTCTAAAACTGATAATAGAGCCAAATAATAATAATACAGATAATTATAATTTTAAAAAATCTATACTTTTCTATGAGCTCACAAGCAAGAAAGATGGATTTTTTAAACTAATTAAACTACTATTTTTACAATTTGTGTCTCCTTCCCAGTTTGTAAGATTTGCTAGAGCTGGTCTTATTCTCTACTGTGTCCCTATATCTAGCATAGTGCTGGATAAATACTGAGCAGGAGGCTAAAAGTAAGAGGCTTAGGACTCATCACTACACAGCTGAACCCTTGGAAATGAATTATGTCACCATTATCAATAACAAATATAATGGGGCCATAGCTTTTTAGAAACTCACTGTTAATAGGAAGACAGGAAAAGAAGAAACTGTTCGAGTTGTATATAAGAGTATTTTTCTTCAGTAGCATTACAATCTCCTCCCTTCTAACTTTTCACACATCAGTCCTCAATATTTCATGAATTCCCCATGTGCCAAAATTTATATACAGTAGGTACCTCATAACAAATGTTCATTGATTTAAATTGTTTCAATTGACACCAAATTTACTACTATGCACCTACACTAAAGGTTTATAATGTATTCTATCTGAAACAATGGTTTTTCTAGTCATTTTTAAAGAGACTTCTCGTCTTGACCTTCATTCTTTTGGAGAGTACAGGGGAATTCACAGAGAATCCCTTGAATTACAGGCCCACATGAGACACCAAGGCACCAAATCCTCACCTTTGAGATTTATAAACTGAATTCAATAAAGACTTTATATAATTTGCTTCACATGGACATGGAATACTTGACAACATACAAATACACAATGTTGTATTATTACTTATACCATAGCTTGAAACCTATTTTCTACGCATTCCTTAAAATTTTGATAAAAGAGCTGTGAGAAATTGGGTATATGTTACAAACAACAAGAAATCGGAGTACTAGAAAACATTTTTGGAGTCCATGTCAATCTTTCACTTTTCAGATAAGAAATCTGAATCCCAGAGACTATAGGTACCACACAGCACAACCTTTAACCAACTGACTGAACTAACTGTATAAACCTGCCTAGCTTGCTTTCTTTCTTGCAAGCCAATCTGAAAAAAATTTTAAAAAGGCAATATGCAATGCAATCTCTTCCCCCGAACAAAACTAGTGGATACAAAAACACAAGTAACTGATAGCATTTTAAAATATTGCCTTCTAATCACCATTGCTGCAAATATAAATTAATATAATTCCTTCTGTCTAATCCCAACTGGATGGTATTTTCCAAGTCACTTGGAAGTTCACTAACAAGCAAATCAGAACCACAAAATCACACAAGAGAGTGGATTTCCCATACAAAACTCACTCACTCTGGCACTTTCATTGGCATTTGCAAAAGCATTTTAAAAAGACTCAAAACACATATATTTCATTTAAACATTTATTTTTAAGTTGAGGAAGTGTTATTATTCATTCAATCTGTTGGCATAACAATCTAAGAATATCTATAACCAGCAAGTTGGCAAGGAACTGATACGAGAATCATAGTACGTATTTTCTTAAACAAGAAATAAAAATTCAAATAGAACATCTTTTCAGGCAATTTTGTAATCCAGATCCAATTCTAGAATGGAGGATATTCCTAACTGAGCTCAATATACATTGCACATTACTGTGTAAACAGCAATATAGTAGATATATTGATGATACAAAAATGGAAAACACACCATCCCTACTCTTATGTTAGAATCTTCTAAAGGAAGTAAACAAACAATTTCAGTATAAATATTTACATTCCCACAACTACTTCCAAGTCCAAACCACCATCATCTCTTGATGAAAACATTGCAACAACTATCTACAGAGTTTCCCTTGTTCTATTCTGACCTTTCTCTAGTCCTGTCTTCTCCACATGGTCCCTTCCGGTACACTCAGAATACAATGCAAAACTCCTTATCTCAGTCTCCAAGTCCCTATGGGCTCTACTTCTGGTTCCTCTGTGGCCTCCCTTCCTCCCATTTTCCTACCTAGTTCGATGGGATCCAGTCACATTAGGTTTTTTTTTCTCTGCTGTGAACACAAGCTTAATATTGTCTTGGACCTTTGAACTTTCTCTTTCTTCTGTATGAACGTAGCCCTTTAATAGTTGGATTAACATAGAGATTTCAAATATCATATTCTCAAAGATGCTTTATCTGACTACCTTGTTTCAAGGAGTATCCAACTTCCTACCTCATCACCTTCTAAAGATGACATCCTGTTTATTTCCTATACAGTATTACTTTCTGAACACAGAACAGTGTGGTTGCACCTAGTAGATACACTGTATAAATATTAAAATTATCAAAAAACATTCTCTATGAACTTTAAGCTAAGTCATGACATGAATTTGAGTTCTAAAACTGTGCACAGCAGGGCCTACTGATTGAAAATATCTACCTATGTCTCTATTTGCCAATATTTTGGGGAAAAAAAAAGCAAACCCCCAAAAATAAAACCACAAAAACCCCAAACCAGGATATATATACATATATATATATATACACACACATATATATATATACACATACACATATATATATACACATACATATATATACACACACACACACACACACACATATATGTGTATATATATATATATTTATATGGTTTTTTTGTTTATTTATTTATTTTTTTTGAGACAAGAGTCTTGCTCTCTCACCCAGGCTGGAGTGCAGTGGTGCGATCTTGGCTCACTGCAACTTCTGCCTCCCGGGTTCAAGTGATTCTCCTGCCTCAGCCTCCTGAGTAGCTGGGATTACAGGCATGCACCACCACGCCTAGCTAATTTTTGTATTTTTAGTAGAGACGGGGTTTCTCCATGTTGGTCAGGCTGGTCTCAAACTCCTGACCTAGTGATCTGCCCGCCTCGGCCTCCCAAAGTGCTGGGATTGCAGGCGTGAGCCGCCGTGCCCGAACTCAGAATATATTTTATGGAAGAAAAAGCATGACAGTAATCAAGGAATCCAGAACTTACCTGTAATTAACTTGAGCAAGTCAACTTCATTTCTCTAGGCTTCAATCTTATTTGTTCAACAGACAGGTTATATTACATAATTTTAACAGAACTTTACAGTTCCAGTTCTAAAATTCAATCCTTTGAAATAGATCCCTCTAAAAGAAAATCATTAAGATTCTCTTAAATTTTCATGTTTTATAATCTGAGCACAGTGAGCAAAGAATCTCACGCACTCAATTATGGCCTTCTCATCTGTTTGTAGATTATTTTGCCCTAACTACTACTCCTTTTTGGAACCTCATTTTGAGTTCTTTCTATTACCAACTCCAAAGTAGGAGAAAATATTGAAACTTATAAAATTTCATAAAATACCTAACATTATGTTTCATAAAATTATATTTAATTATACAGTCATTCCTCCTTTAGAAAATAAAATACTTCTTATAATGTATGTATGCCAAAATACTTAAAACAATCCAAGGGTTCTAAGAAGAATTGGTTTTTACACATGCATTTAAAGACATTTGTTATCACTGCTTTCCAAATACCACACAAAATAAAAAGTTTGTAGGCTGGGCGCAGTGGCTCACGCCTCTAACCCCAGCAATTTGGGAGGCCAAAGCAGGTGGATCACCTGAGGTCAGGAGTTTGAGACCAGCCTGGCCAACATGGTGAAACCCTATCTCTACTAAAAATAAAAAAAAATAAAAAATAAAAAATTAGCTGGGCATGGTGGTGGGTGCCTGTAATCCCAGCTATTTGTGAGGCTGAGGCAGGACAATCGCTTGAACCTAGGAGGTGGAGGTTGCAGTGAGCCGAGATCGTGCCATTGCACACCAGCCTGGGCAGCAAGAGTGAAATTCCATCTAAAAAAATTAAAAAAAAAATTTTTTTTGTAGAACTTTCTGTTTAAATCCAAAAATTTTTCATGGGAGAAATACCCGCTACTATCACCACTGGAAAAAAATATTTTAGGAGTATGATGTAATGTAAAACTCACAATACTTTTTTTTATAAGTAGAAGATGGATATAACCAGATTAATAAGGGGGCCAACTTTTAAAATTAATAAAATAGTGAAATTGCAGTTCAAAAGGAGCAATGATACTGTTTAAAGAAATGGATTGTGACAAACCTATATATATATATATATATATATATATATATATATATAAAATATTCTCTATAATATTATAGGAAACAAGTTTAGAAGATGCAGTAAGTAGAATCAGTATGAGGCAAATGAAATGCAGACAGCAGATAGTGGGAAAAAAAAACCTCCTATTTTATAACATGCAATGACAGGCAGCCTTTTAGCACTCAGGGAAAATCACCATGGAACGACATTCATGGACAGTTGAGGTACCCAAAAATACTAGGCATGAGAAAATCCTGAAGTACTTCATATAGGAAAACCTATAAAAATAAAAATAAATTCTGCAGCAAACTTAAATTAGTTGACTACTATTTTAACATGGCATTACAGCTGCATTGTGAAACAAAATCAGGAGTTGTACCATCCCGCATTAATGCTGGGAAGATAATGCACTGCAACCCTAGGTTTGTAAACATAGACACACAATAACATAAAGTAAAAAATGGATTTGTGGTTATTTGAGTATCTCCATTATTTTATTATTTCCATTCTTCTACACTTGCAGCCTGTCACTGATTTATTTTTATTAGCTGGAAACTGGGAGAAGGAATTAAATATTCTACTAGTATATTGGTTTTATTTCCTTATATTTAATTTCTGTCCACTTTTAAGTTTACTACTTGATAGTCATTAATACATCAAAGCCAACAGTGATCAAAAAACCACATTTTCCCCCCAAGGGATCAGCCAAAGTAAATGCTTTTTGGCTCCCTAAAAGAAATTCCAACTGCAAATCTGGTAGAAATAAGCACATCTTACACAATATCAAACCAGCTATATACTTTGCCTCACTAAACACATGATCACTACTAATGACAGAGCAGAGTGTGACAGAGTTGTTATGTAGCCTCATTCTAGACTGATTAAGGCCAAGGCTAAACGAAATGAGACAGCCATCCTTTGCACCCTTTACAGCTTATCCTTGGCCTCAATATTTGGCATTTACAGGCTAGTGTACATCCATATCTTCCAGAAAGCAAGACTTTTGAGGCCAAAATGTAAACTTCTAAAACTTCAAAATGACATGCTCAATGAGCAATACGTTATCACTTAGAATGAAAAGAAGCAAATGTTGTATTATAAAGTATGCATAAGGCAAGGAGCTAGATGCTTTCCTGATGAGATCTCATTTAAACTCCACACTGAACTTGAAAAAAAACAACTGTGTAATGCCATCCCTGTTAAAATCCTATTAAAATTACTAAAGGAAAATATAATGCACAGCCCGTCTAATAGGACTGTTTTGAATGAGAAGGTAGGAATATAGCATGAGGCTAAATCTGCAATAACAAAGTCCATCTCCTCTTAAAATGTTCTTTGCCAGCAAAGCCTAGATCTCATATCAACATTAATAGTAAATGTGGGGGACATGGAAAAAAAACTATCAACCACTCACCATAATGCATGTAACAGTTTCCTTTGGTGGGATCCAGCTCAATAGCCTTCAAGAAGAGCTTTTCAGCCTCACTCTTACGACCCTTGAAAAACAGAGAAAATGGATGATTCAGGAACAGATCATGAGGGATTCTTCACTGCCTGGGCCTAACTGAAGTAGCCAAATGTCTACTTGGTAATCATCATAGGAAAGGAAAAAAAAAATTTTTGTTTTTATCTATGTGAGGATGATCAAGGAAAAAGTGTTGAGAGAGAACACTGAGGTCTGAACCCTGGAAGGCATGAAGAATATATAACAGAAGATGAGAATGGCCCACCAAAAAGATCAGGCCAGGAAAGCAAGAGACAAGGTTGAAAAACAAAAAAGGTCTCACAGAAACCAGAAAGACAAGACAGTTTTAAAGAAACATTATTGTCATTTTCTATTTTATTTTCTCCCTTTCATTTGCTTCCTCTTCATTCCTTCTTTTTCCTTGTAAAGAACTGTGGCCATTTTAAATTTTGAGATGACAGGCATCTCAAAATACCTAACATTATATTTCATCAAATTATATTGAATTACACAGTCATTCCTCCTTTAGAAAATAATAATACTTCTTATAATGTATGTATGCCAAAAATACTTAAAACAATCCAAGGGTACTAAGAAGAGTGTGACAGAATTGTTATGTAACCTCATTCTAGACTGATTAAGGCCAAGGCTAAACGAAATGAGACAGCCATCCTTTGCACCCTTTACAGCTTATCCTTGGCCTCAACATTTGGCATTTACAGGCCAAATATTTACAGGCCTGTAATGAAAAATATTACAGGCCAAATATTTACAGGCCATTTATGAAAAAAAGAAGTCACAATTTGGTGAATCTCAAGCAGCTATTTATCCTTGCTGCAATCACTCAGGACTAAAATTCTGCTAATCCAGGATTTAATCTAAAGCTAGGTCACTTTCTTTGTTGTAGTTTTAAGTAAATATTACCATCATACGCACAAGGAAAATAAGCAAAAAACAGGGGTGAACGTTTACATACAACAAATTGATTTTTCATTAAAGAATACCACAGTCGAAACAGATTCTAAAAGTATACATTCTTCACCTAGTTATTGCCTCTGAACCACAGTTACCTCCATTGTAACACAGAAGGATGGCACAAGATAGGAGAACAACCCTAATAAGCACTTGCCTGGAGCAGTTCTATCTTGTTTGGCATGGCTGGGATGAAGATATATGGTGACTATGAAGGGTAGTAAGGCACTGGGTGGTGTCCAAAGCCACAGACCATGGTAAAGACAAATGACCTTACCTGCCTGCTCCTAATTTATATACTCTCTACCCACATAAACTTCAGGCAATGTTTTTTTCTTACTTTGAGTATATTTTTAAAACTATTGTTATGAAGACCAATTTTCTAAAGTTAGAGGTATATAATTAACCTAATTTGCTACACTAGGGGTGTCTAATCTTTTGGCTTCCCTGGGCCACATTGGAAGAAGAATTGTCTTGGGCCAGACATAAAATACACTAACACTAATGATAGCTGATCAGTTTTTTTTTAAAAAGGTTCATGCATAACTGTCATAATGTTTTAAGAAAGCTTATGAATTTGTGTTGGGTTGCATTCAAAGCTGTCCTGGGCCACATGCTGTCTGCAGGCTGTGGGTTGGACAACTTGTGCTACATGGTACGCAGCTTTGACTCTTTTCTCCATACTCCCTCTCCTTTTGTTCATTCCGTCATTAAAAACAAAACAAAACAAAACAAAACAAAAAACTCATTGTTGCTACATCCTTCATTAACTCATTATTCTAGTAGCTAGGACATAACCTAATGTCTCTACTACCTATAGCTAGTGATAAGCAAATGATCAGACAACAGACTTCCTCATTTCTTCTATCAATTTAGTAATGCTACTCTATTCAGTAACTCCTCGTTAAATCACAAGTCTTGTCAAATAGCAGTAATTAAAAATTTTAAATTCCCTGCAATGTTTCCCACATTTTAACTTCAAAGGAAAGCACAGACAGAATGTTTCCTATACATACACTTGATAAAGTTAAAAATAAGAAGAATTAGCAAGTATCTTACCGATTAGGTTTCTCTAAATGATTTAGTAACTGTAACAAATCAGGCAGCCTAATGTATGAATTAGGAGTACAGATTCTAGGGAAGCAGAACAGCTCCCACACTTGTTTAGCTATGTGACCCTTGGAAAATTATTTCAACTTGTAACTATAATTTCTTTAATAAAAAAAAAAGAGGACAGGCAGAGCATGTGATTTTTAGAGCAATGCGACTATTTCATCTGATACAGTAATGGTGGATACGTGCCATTAAGCACTTGCCCAAATTCATAGAACACACAACACAAAAGAGCGAACTGCAATATAAACTATAGACTCATCAACTGTAACAAATCTACGACACCAGAGTAAGTTGATCATAATAGGGGAAACTGTGTATCTGGGGTTGTGGGAAGGTGAGGAGGTTTATGGGAACACTCTGTACTTTCTGCTCAATTTTTAATAACCTAAAACTACTTTAAAATAGTCTTAATTTTTAAAAAGGATAACAAAACCTATCTCCTAGGATTTCTGATTTATCTGATGTGATACATGTAAATTAACTATTATACTACCTACGTATATGTTTGTAATAAATGTTAACTGTTACTTTATATGTATATACACACACACATATATATATTCGACAGTGTGCAAAAAATGCAGTTATAAATGACAAATAATGTATTTTGTTTTATACACAGCCCCCAAAACACATGGTCATCTGACAAAATCATCACTAGAAAGCAATATACAAAGAATTTGCAAAAAATGATACTTTAAGAAAAAAGATGTAAAATGAAAGCTATCATCAGTAAAGCACTGTCTATACAAATGTCATATGCAAAGATTTAAAAAAGAAGCTTCCACTTAAGTTTTAAGAACAGAAAAGAAGGAACTGGCTCTTTTATCAATGTCACAGTAAACAGGGTAGTAAAATCTCTCTGTATAGTCCATTGGCAAAACAATATTATGAAATTTTAAAAACATGCAGCAAAACTCAAAGGACAGTACCCTCTTGTTGCTCAGTGGACCAAATTTTTAAATGCAATGAGTCTCATGCTTTCCTAGATGCAAAATAAACACGTTGAAGGTGAGAACATTCTTTCTAGGGGGAGACACTGTGCCATCACACAAAAACTCATCTTTCTGCTTTGACCACTATTTATTTAGCCAAGTGCCAAATGATAAAGAGGAAAAGACAGTTCTCAGGAGAGTACAGTAAGCCGTCACTTAATGTGGTCAGTCGGTTCTTGGAAACATCAACTACAAGTGAAATGACATATGACGAAATCATTTTTTTTTCCTCATCAGCATTATAACAACACAACATCAAACAAAACAATGTTATTTCAAGGACCTGCTGTACATCCTTTTGCTTTGTTAAAGTTGCAGCATCCAATAATCTATCAACTACGTTAAGTGATGACTTGCTGTAAATAAAATTAAAAGTCAACCAAATTCATAAGCCAACCAGGGATAAAGGTTGCTGGTTTGTAGGAGGGAAGCATGAGGAAGAAGAGGTAATATGATGTTTAATCAAATTTACTATTTCAACTGTTACTGTTCTAGAGGGTTGGCAGTTAAAGTGAAGAAAAAGTCATTTCTCAGCAGATTTTTCCTGGTGTCTTTTATGTTATGTCAGCATTCGGCACAAACAAGCATTATTCCTCATTTTGTTTACTGGTTGACATGTCTGAACACATGTACTGGTTCAGAAACGAAGAAAAACGGACTGTATTGAGTATTAAAAACAACCAGTATTTATTAAACTCATGAACAAAAAAAAACCACCATCCCAATTAGGAGAGTGCCTGGTCAGGTCCACTCGGATTGGCAGCAATAAAACATATAAATGTAAGAGAAATATTCAGTAAAATTTGTTTAGCCTAATCTATATCATGGGATCAGTATTAAGCTAATTGATTTTGTTTTCTTAGCTAAACTGGATGCCACTACCACTGTTCAGCTCAGGTGCGCAGCTGAGTGGATGTACAAGGCAAGCAGCATCTCTCCCAATCACTGATCAATGGTTTATCTAACCACAAAATACACAAATATAAAAATACACACGTATTTTCACACACACACACACACACACACACACACACACACACTCCTTCAATCATTTCTAAAACTCCCCTTAGAGCAAGGAGGAATATTAAATATGAGATAATTAGACTATTATGGCTTCAGCTTAAATTGTTTTATTTTTAAAAAGTAAACTATACTCAAATATTTGTCCCTTATCTTTAGTGACAAATTATTTATTACATCAACTACCCAACTCTGTAGTGTGTCTTGATAACCACAACTCTGAAATATTTTACTAAATGACACCTGAAGGCACCAAGACCTTACATTGTTGCATTGCATTATGATTTTGAGTGTTTATGTAAATATGTATATATATTTTTGTATATTTAAAGATGTAAATTTTAATATTTCAATTTATAATAAGAAATATGTGTATTTTGGTCTTCATCCCCAGTTCCTGGTAGAGAACTTCTAAAATCCTTGTAATTTCTTGAGCCATAGGGGTACTAGGAGAATCTTCTGCTCTAATATTTCGTCTTTTACCCTAGTTTCCTGATACATAGCTTCTAATTCTTTGAAATTGCCTAAAAGGAGTGTCTTTTGTTCTTATGAGGCAAATCTTTATAGGCTCCTGGATGGGGGCTGGTCACCAGGAAGATCAAGCCATGATTAGAAACTTGGAATTTTCAGCTCCACCCCTTCCCACAATTCTCCGGGAAGAGGAGAAGGGATGGAGGCTGAGTTAATAATTGATTAGGCCTACATGAAGAAACCTCCATAAATATCCCTGAATTACAGGATTTGGAAAGCTTCTGCATTGGTGAATAAGAACATGTCTATACCCCAGTAGGGTGGCACACCTCAATTCCAGCAGGGCAGAAGTTCCTATGCTGAGGATGTTTCCAAACCTCCCCAAGTGTATCTCTTTATCTGGCTGTTCAATTGTATCCTTTAAAATATCCTCTGTAATAATTTGGCAATAGTAAGTCATCTGTTTTCCTGGGTTCTGTGAGTTACACTAGCAAACTGGACCCAGGAAGAGGGTCATGGGAACCTCCAATTTGTAGTCATGTTGTATAGAAGTTTGTGGGTAACCTGGAAACCTACAACTTGGATTGGCACCTAAAGTGGGGCAGCAGTTTTGTGAGACTGAGTCCTTAACCTGTGAGGTCTGCACTAACTCTGTTTAGTGTCAGAATTTAATAGTAGGGCATCCTGTTGGTGTCTGCGGGACAACGGCTTGGTTTGTGGTAACTTTGATGATTGGTTTGTGCGGAATTCCCGCAATGACACTTGTGTCAGAAGTGTTTTAGGTTGAGAGTATAATAGGAGAAAATAATGTTTTTCTACTATACATAAATATAAATATATAATACATTTATATGTAAATATATATAATACATTTATGTATAAATATACATATATATACTTTTTCCCCTAATGTAAATAGTGCATTAATCGTGTTCTATAAACTAACACAAATCTTTACCTTTTCTTCTATAGCCATCCAAGTATTCCATAAATACAATAACCAGTCAACATATAAATAGGCTACTATGATTTCTTTTCTTTTCTTTTTTTTTTTGAGACAGAGTTCCAAGAGCTTCACTCTGTCACCCAGGCTGGAGTGCAGTAGTGCAATCTCAGCTTACTGCAACCTCTGTCTCCTGGGTTCGAGCCATTCTCATGCCTCAGCCTCCAGAGAAGCTGTCACTAGAGCATGCACCACCACACCCGGCTAATTTTTGTATTTTTTAGTAGACACGGGGTTTCACCATGTTGGCCAGGCTAGTCTCGAACTGCTGGCCTCAAGTGATCCAGCTGCCGTGGCCTCCCAAAGTGGTGGGATTACAAGTGTGAGCCACCATGTATGGCCCTATTTTCTTTATATAACTTAATAGTTTATAGTTACTACTTAATTACTTATTTACATGTTATTAGTAAATTACAGAGCGGTGAACAAAGTAGTAACTTCTCCATTTCATATCTGGAAAATGTCATACCAGCTAAGGTTTCTAAAATGATAAAAATAGTTCTTCTGAACTAGCTCACATGCTGAAACAAATATTTGTATCTTAATTGGTGATTACCTATACCTTCAGCATCAGTAGGAATATCAACTAGAACAAAATCAAGAACAAACCAGAGAACTTCATTTCAGTGGCCCTACTCTTTATTTAGAGGCTGCTTCAAGTCTGGGGAAGGAACAGTCTCTTAAGTAGTGTGTTCTAGCAGCCACTTCCATATGTCTGGTGTTTACTCTTTGGGAATTTCTTACAATAGTGAGTGTCTGTTATTTTTCACAACCAATGCAAATCACATTTTCATTTCACATTCAAATGTTATCTCTATACCAATAACAAATATGAAAGGGAAGCAGCTGATAAAACAGGTCCAAAAGCTTATGTGTAGTTTGAAAAATATGTTGTTTAACCATGCATTATAGTTAAATGAGTGTAAAAAGTAATTTGTGATGACCATCATTTACAAATAAAAGGAACATTATTTGATAGTTTAAAATTTTTTAAAAAAATTTTGATACAAATATTTGTACATATTTATGTGTTACATGTGACATTCTGTTACATGTGATATTCCATATAATGACCAAGTCAGAGTGTGTTGAGGTGGGGTGTCCATCAACTTGAGTATTAATACTCATCATTTCTACATGCTGAAAACATTTCAAATCCTCTCTTCTAGCTCTTCTGAACTATACAATACATTGATGTTAAGTACAGTCACCATATTCTGCTATAGAACATTACAACATCATAAATAGAAATGACAGAATAAAGCTACCTGATACAGAAATGATCTGGCTGAACAGTTAACTGATATTAATGTTTGTCCTCCCTGAATTGTCATCCAAGTCCCACTTTCTATAAATATCTGGTCTTCTGTGCCCTCTCTTCCTAAACATCCTAAAGCAGAGGCTGGCTGAAATATACTTATAGTGTCATAGGACTTAAGCTCATTGAAAAATTGTATCAAGTGACACCAAGGGCAGCTAGAGGTCAAAGTGAGTGCTTCACACTGTTCAAGGACAACATCCAGAATAGGCGAAGAGACCTCACAAGGGAGGAATGATTCCATGGTATTATGCCCAGGACAAGGCTGGACTCCAGAGCCAGAACTGTCATCCTGAGCAAAGCTTCCCTGAAGCCCATCCTCAGTGCCACTGCAGAGCCATCAGGCTGTAAGGTGGTGTCAGCTCAGATCAGATGGCCAGGACAGCCTCCCTCCTAGTTTTGTGAGCACCATTATGCTTCCCAGTTTTAGGTTAACCCCTGGGAAAGGAGGAGGTCACAAAACTGGCTGAAGTTAAATGGCTGACCAAGTGGGAATAAAAGACTGCAACAGACTGAGTTTCACTCCAAGATAAAGAAGTGGATCATCACACTCAGCTGCCTTTCCAGCCTGGGAGCCAGATATGTTACATGAGCAAAGGGCACATAGGAATAGTTTGCAAATACCAAAAAATAATGGTCAGAATTTCTAAAGAAACATGTATTCGGTTTACCTAAAATGCAAATTGATACAAGGAGATGTTATTCATCTATTAAAAAATTTCCCAAATAAAGAGAGAATTCAATATTCCTGAGGGTTCATAAAAACAGGTGTTCATATGACACGCTATTAAAATACGGTAATATGTAACAAAAACATCCTGGGGGAAATTTGACACATATGAAAAGCATTAAATCACAGACACACTAGCCAACTGATTCTATTTCTACCTATTTGTCCTAAGAAAATACCTTTAAATACAAAGAAGTTGCTATTCATTTTTATTATAATATTGTTCATACGAACTCAATGTCCGCTAGCATGAACTTGAGTAGCCAAAAATCATTTCAATGAAATACAATGTTTCTACTAAAATGATTGTGCAGAAAATTATCTAAACCACAAAAGTTCTTCAAGATCCAGTGCTAAATGAAATAAGCAGGCTGTAAATTATAGTTTATAACCTAATAACATTTTCTTAATTGCACCATCTGTATAATTGGCTCATTTTACTGTAGGGATTTCAAAGGTGAATAAAAAGATTAGTCACTGGATCTTTTGAGACTGATGAGAAGAGAAGAAGACATCTAGTGTAGACTGTTAAAAAAATGTACTACGCTAATGGTCAAAGTAAGTACCTCAAGAACACAGTACATCTAAGTACTGAGAAATGAAAGAGAAGGCTTCAGAGATGTGATGTTTCACTCTATAAAAATGGATTAAGTTCCTGCTATGTGATAGGCTCGGTTCCAGGCCTTGGTAATCAAGACAAAGTTCCTTCCCTGGTGCAGCTCACATTTTAGTGGTGGAATCCTTAGTTTACACATGAGTAGGTAACACTGTCAGTCTTCAGTGCTTTGTGAAAAATAATGCGGAAGAGAGCAATGCACAACTGGGGCGGGGGGAGGGGGGAGGGTTATGTGTGATAAAGTGACAAAGGAAGGCCTTTAGTGATATTTGAAGAGTAACCTAAGGGAGTAGGCAGGGCAGGCAAAGATCTGACATGTTTGGAGTCTTTGGGCCTATCAAGGAAAACATCACAGCAGCAGTTGAGCAAATCCCATAAAAAATTGTGAGTCAGGAGTATGACAGGAGGGACCAGACTGTGCAGGGCCTAGTGGGTTCTGTAAGGAGCATGAAATTAGTCTTTTTTCTTTTCTTTTCTTCTTCTTTTTTTTTTGGTAGTGAAAATTCATTTCAATTTGAATGCCACATGTTGCTTTTACTCATATTGTTTTCTTAGGTGTTAACCAAGAAAGGGTTGAACAGCCTCTGGGAACTGTGCAAATATGGAACACTTCATGAATTTATGTGACGTCCTTGTACAAGAGCCATCAAATCTCTGTGTCCTTTCCCTTTTAGTGTATATGCTGCTGTATTGAGCCCTGGAGTGTCTTTTGAAGAGGAAGGAACATCATGGAGGATTCGAAATAGAGGCACAATATGATCTCACTTATAAATTTTAGAAAACACCCTAGATTTTGGGTGGAAAACTGTCTGTAGGGAGACCTCTTAGAAGGTTAATACTCCACAGCTTAAACAAAAGTGACAGCAGTGGAAGTAATGAGAAATGAGTAGATTCAGGATCTCTTTCAAAGACAAGTGGCCAGTGGATCAGGTGTGGATATAATGGAAAAAGAAGAGTCAAAGATGACTCTACATTAAAAAAAAATTTTTTTTATAGATGGGGTCTCACTCTGTTGCCTAGGCTGGAGTGTAGTGGCATGATTATAGCTCACTGCAACCTTAAAATCCAGGGTTCAAGTGACCCTCCCGACTCAGCTTCCCAAGTCGCTTGGACTACAGGTGCACACCACTATGCCCATCTAGTTTGACTTCACAAATTTTCACTTGCTGTACATGGGTGAATGCAGGTATCATTTATTCACATGGGAAAGACTGTATGAAAGCAAGTGTTGATAGGAAGGTGCCTATGTAGTGGAGTGATAGAGTTCTGTGTGATTGAGATGCTAGGATAAAAGAGTGTGGAAGAAATTCAGAAACACCGACTAGATAGGGTGCCATAGGCCGAGAATTGGCAAGACATAAGAATACTGGAAATCGGATACCTTGCAATGAGAAGAAAGCAAAAGAAAAAGACTTGCAAGAATGCCAAGGGGGGAAAATGGGAAAAGCAACAGCAAAAAACTTACCCACTTACATTTTAATCATGTTTTCAATTAAAAAATATAATAAAAAGAATTATAAAAAGTAAACATACAGGACCATTTTAAATAACCATTCAAATTATAAGTAACTCACCTTTCATAAATATGTATTTAAATACCTGAGATTCTTATAATTCAAACTGAGCTGTTGCTTTCTACACAGCTTTGACATTATGAGTAAAAAAAGATAGATTTTAAGGTATAAACACAACATGGTTGACTTCTATGAATATTACATAAATGAAGGTGTTTAGCTTACTCAGACTTCCTGTAATGTTACCATTTTAATTTCCTTTCTACATCTGTTCACTTGTATATTTTCCCTTCTAACTTAAAGGAGTCACCCACACATACTGCAGTAACATTTCAGTGGAGATAATTTGATAGGTTACAATCACATCTTAAACTCCACCTGAGAAAATTACTTAGGTTGCTATATTGGTATCCTGACACTAAGCTCAAAGTAGAGGGAAAACCAACATCTTATCATAAGGGTTATCCATCCATAATCTCAGTTGATGAAAACAGTATTCAGACATTTCATTACAACATCTAAGGAAGCTAAGGTGAAGCAAGTAGAAATTATGTTTGAATTAAATTTACAATAAAGTTACAGGTAAATACAAGTATATCCTAAAATTTCATTTTTAAATTATGCAAATCATTTTAAATATTAAAATATGCTGTTTTCAGACTTTAGAATTATGCATAGAATTTACCTCTGAATTACAAACCAAAGTGTCTGCTTTTAATTAAAACAATGAAATTTCCACAATACATTAAATGTATTCATTGATTCCTTTCATTCCGATGAATATTTGTTGGGCACCTACCATGTGCCCAGTGCTGTGTTGAGCCCTAGAATGAAAATGGTGATTTGGAGCACACACAACTCCTGCCCTAACGAAGCACGAAAAACTTCCGGTGCTAAGAGTATGACAAACACAATCGATGGCCATTTGACCTATAACAGTTGGTCTGATTTAGTGGAAATACTCAAGGAAGGTTTCCAAAGAATTGATGCTTGATCTAAAAATCAAAATATTTGTATGATTAGCTAATTGAAGCAGAAACAAAAGTATTCTAAGTAGAGGCACAGCAAAGGTAAAATATCTGTGGCAGAAAAACAAAAACACTGTGTGAAGCCCAGGTTGAGTGAGGCAGAGGGGAGTGAAGGCGAACCATACAAAAAAGTGAAAATGCAGGCAAGAGCAGGGCATACCTGGCTTATCAGTCATACTAAGATGCTAGCCGCTGTTTTATGAATATCACTCTGAGGGTACTGAGGATAAGAGAGTGGAATGGGAGCAGAAGGCACGTAGAGAAGTGGCAACGAAAGGAAGATTAGTGGACTGACATGAGAGAAATTTATTTGTATAAATTCAGACAGAATAATGTGGATAGAACAGAGATAATGCAAAGAGGTGGATGGAGTAGCAAGGGTGACCCTAAGTTTTTGGACCAAAACCGAAGAGAAGATAGTAAATAATGGAAGAAAGCCAAGTTTAGTGGGTAGGATTATAAGCTTAGTTTTGAGAATTGTTGAGATTGGCCTACTTTTGAGATAGCTGAGATGTCAAGGGTGTGGTTTACCAGGCTGAATCAAGAGGTTGACAGTAAAGTGAAACAGGGTCTCAAGAAAACAGCAGTAGTTGATTGTGTCTAATGCTGAAAAACATCCACTAGATTTCATAACATGATCACTGGTAACTGCAGGAAGGTATGTTTAACAGGTATGGAAGCCAGAAGAAGTGGGTGTTATTTGGGGAGCGGTGGGTAAGGAAATGGATAGAACAATTACAGACAACTGCCAACATACCTGGCTGTGAAGGAAAGAGGAGCAGCAGTGTCAGCAGAAGGAGAGGAGACACAATGAGGGTTTTTAAAAAATAACATAAAACATAAATGATAAGGGGGCATAAAAATTAATGTGTATGTTTTTTTTTTTTAGTTTAGTTTAAAATTAGAAGAGGAAATAACCCCAAAATCTATTTGTCTTAGATAACTTGCCAACTATGGCCATGACCAAATTAAGCCTGCCCAGAATTCTTTAAGCTGAGTCTTTTTCCTCCTGGGTGCTCTAACAACACTTGATTCCTACTTTTGTTGTGACACTTACCATATGTACTCTAATTACCATTTGTAATCTCTTTTGCTCATTGTAAACCAATTTAGTAGAATTGTTTAATCAACACTTATCCAAGGACCAGATGCGTAGTAGGTGGTCAAAGATGCACGAAGAATGCTAAACATCTTGCAAAAGCAAACACTCAAAACACTTTTCTTAAATGCGTACTCTCCTTATGAAGTGTTGTTGCCTAAATGATGGATGGCATAGTTTCCGTGGTAAATCTGACTAAATCTTGAGACCTGAGTGATACTCAGAGCTTCATGCCATTGCCATAATTGGTAACACCTCCTCCTCATAAGGGAAAAAAAAAAAACCCGCAAATTTTATTAGCATTCTATGATGCATAAGATGACACCAAAAGTTCATGAAAAACTGGTTTCCAATAGGAAACTTTACTTTAGATGGATAAAGTGGTCAATGTGATCTCCATTTAGGGAATTAGTGCAATTAGAAAACCCTGAAATATTAGCTATTAGCCATGACTCCAACCATTCAGCTGTAACTACAATGGGTGTTTCTCATTTGTTATCACCAGCACTATAAGCATTCACTGGATAATTCCTTCCAAACTGCTTAGCGATAGCATGAGAAGTGCTATGCTGTTTGGCTCCCAAACGGGAGGCCTGAGCTCACAAAACGGAGTTGACACTTGTACTGCAGAAGTTTAAACCCTGTGGGGATGGTAAGAAAAGCTGTCTTGTGAGAGTGAAAAGGCAGGAGCCTAAACAACAGCTGTTTTGCAGCTGGGTCACAAAGGAGAGCTAGAAATCCCTTGACACCATAAAAGGTAGCGGATGATGGGAAGGCAACCACAGTGCCTCCATTTGTCACTGGCAGGGTGCCACTTGCTGCTCTCAAATCCAAATGCTCTTGTAAGAGGATAAAACCAGATGTAAATAATTCTCTAATTTTATATATATATATATACATACACACACACAATATATATATACTATATATATATTATATATATGAGGAAGCTTCAGCTATTAAGAACATAGAGGTTTAATTTATTTAGACACTAAATTCTCTGATGATTTACCAGTGTACTGAAGACAGCATTGGATTTAATAACTGAAACCTAAGTTCTAGTCCGGTTCTGACACCGTAAAGATAAACAGTCATGAAAAGCCACTGATCTGAATAAGTTTTTTTTTTTTTTTCAGTTATAAATCCAAGGATCTGGGTTAACTGAACATGACTGGTTGCAATTCAAAAATGGAATTCAATTCAGGGGAGGTGGTTAAACATTTAGATTAAAGAAAAAGTAACTTCTTAATTCATGTCATTCTCTCTTGTTTCCACTGCTTTCCAGTCTACCATGCGGTAAAGGAATCAGCTCTTCTTCCCAGGCCCACTCAGCGGACACTAAGACTGGGGAAAGCAGTGAGACCTAAAATCAACTGTGTAGTTCACATTCTGTACTAATGAATGAAATTAAACAGAGGAGGGATAAATTAACATTTATCTTCCGAAAGCAGTTTCAAGGTAACGGTGCACATCAAAGGTAGAGTATCTCAGAAAGGTTCTTAAGTGAACTAGGCCACATATGTACTGAAAGTCTAAATTGTTCTTCTAAGTAATTCTGGTTTGCCTGAAACTGCTCTGTCTATGCCCACTGTTTCAATGTATTTATAACAGCACCCCCTTCCTGGTTTGGACAAAAGTCTACAGTTACCCTAATTCCTGTTTCTCTCTCACAATAATTCACAATTAGATGAGTCAAATGATGGCTTCATGACACTGCCATGTCCCACAAGATGAAACCACTAGGCTCCATTAGCAACATCAGTGAGGTCTTACTGTGACCTCAGCTGTCCATTCCCTAAGACACTCTTAACAAAGAGAGCATTAACAAAGATATCCTTTCAGAGCCGGAGACCATGGGAATTTGCTAGGCATAATTAAGTTTCCATTCATCTTCTCCACTTACCAAAACACATTTTTCCAGGGGCCTGTTGTCACAGCACACTGCAATTCTACTTTTTCCTTGGAGGTTATATAGTAAGAACAGAAATATTATAGAGCAGCTTACTATGCATCAGGCGCTATTCTAAGTACTTCAGATGTATGGTCACATTACATCCCCATAAAAAGCCCTAAAATACTATTATAATCCTGGTTTTACAAAAGAAGAAAGCGAGGCACAGAGAGGTTAAGTACCTTGCCCAGGTACAGAAGCTTGATTTGGCAGAGCTGGGATTCACACAGAAACTATCTGGCTTCACAGTTCATGCTATTACATTGTAGACATGTTCCAGAAGTTCACTACCAGGAATCATTATGTTATTTAACAACTAACTTTATAGCTTAAAGACAAAGTCATGCATCCACCCATTCCTTATCATGTATTTAGAGAGTACCTACTATATGCCTGGCATTGTGTGCAGCACTGGATAGGAAAAGATAAACTGGGGTAATTCCTACTCTTACACATGGTGTAACATCATGCCAACTCCAGAGGTAGGCCCTTATCAAATTGAAGATTATACTTAAAAGAACTCTTGTTACACAAGTGCACAGTAAGTACATAAGGAGAAAACAGAAAGCAGGACTTCTATTCTGCATGAGTGAGTCAGGGGAGGTTTGAAAAAAGAGTAGGCATACTTACGCTGACTCACAGATGGAGGAAAAATTGGCCAGGCATCAAAGCAAAGGGCTATCTAGTCAGTCCAAGTGCTGGTGGCTTAAAATTTCTCTTTAGAAGATCCAAATTAAGAAAATTATTTAGAAATTCTGCTTAATGGAAAATTTTTCTTAATTTAACACTAGTTAAAAGGACCAGCAGCTTACAAATGTTAATTTGATACCAATCAACTCAAAACACATTTTTTGACCAAACAGGGTTATGTAACAACTAAACTTTATCAGATTTCTACTTCCTGCCAGGCTAAAGATTCTTGAGTCACCTTCTGCGAACAATAATTTTCTGTGACTTACAAATAAAGAAAGATCTATAGAAAACAGCAATGTTTAGTAAGCAATACTCATTCACTTTCGCTTCTAGAGTGTGAAGTGACTAGCAGTGGTGCATATTAAGATTACAGAAACCTTTAAACTAGGTGGAAAGGGGAAAACACGCACAAATGGCCAGAACCTGGCACATGACCAGCAGAACAAGTCTGTATGTATAAATACAAGCGACAAGCGTATCGCCGGACTGGACCATTCCCAAGTCCCAGCATTACAGTGTGCTAGTGGAAGCACACACATGTGTTTTGGCATTATTACAAAATGAAATTCTCTTTCTTTCTTTCTGACAGTGAGAGAAAATGTGTAATTTCACAAGAAAATGTGGGCCACTTACAGGAAAACATGGAGTACAGAGGTGACATGGTGAGGTAGAACAGAAAGTCTCAACTTCTTTGCCTCTATATAGACAATTTAACAGTAGTTCAGCTCAGAGCTAAATTACCACTGTCAACATCAAAGACACTCTTGACCTTAGAAGGAAAAAATGTGTGATGTGAGCTGCACAGGACTCGCTAAACATCAACCTCCTGAATGCTCTTCATCACATTGTGCAGATTAATTGTCACCTGATTTGGCAGGTTTATCTTTGAGATGCAAGAAGGACTGAACAGACACTCCCAATCATCAGAGAATTTTCACCAAAGCAATTCAAAGGTATATAGGATGGCAGTTTAGTCAATTTGACATCATTCCTTGCACAACAACTGCTATAAATACAGTGCAAGCTTTGGAAGAAATATGTTGACCTGCTCAGCTTCTCAAAATGGTATTCGTGTACACATTGGGGTATGTAGTGTCATGCCATGGAAAACCCCAACATGGAGCTTGGAAGAGTTGAGGGATTATCTATGATACTAAATTATTAAATTATCTAAAGTAATTTCTATTTTAAAACAAGCATTGATATGTTATAAAAAGAGAAGCAGTCACATAGAGGAAAGAATACAGCCTTGGGAATCAGACATGAGCTTGATTATCTCGTGAAGGTTGATCCCTAGAAAAGCGGGACTACTTGGGCAAGTTACTTAAAATCTCCAGAAATTCAATTCTTTACAGGGATAATATCATACCTCTCAATGAGACTGTGACAAAGATAGCACACGTAAAGCTCTGACAACAGTGCATGTTACAGAGTAAGTGCTCAGTAAATGCTAGCTATTATGATCTTTGTGTTATAGGGATAGCAGTAGCTAAATCTTAAGAGATTAAATAAGGTAACATATATTTAAGAAGTGCAGTACAATAATACATTGTGAACACTCAAAAAAAAAAAGTTCTCTTCTTAACTAGACCTTTTATACCTAAATCTATTTACTCAGAGGCAAACCATAGATGTACATGGTTATTTTAGTTGTATTTAAAATAGCATTCCAGGACTGGCTCATGCCTGTAATCCCAGAACTTTGGGAGGCTGAGAGGGGCAGATCACTTGAACCCAGGAGTTTGGAACCAGCCTGGGCAACATGTGAAACCCTGTCTCTACTAAAAATACAAAAATTAGCCGGGTGTGGTGGCGGACGCCTGTAGTCCCAGCTACTCGGGAGGCTGAGGCAGGAGAATCACTTGAAGCGGGGAGGCGGAGGTTGCATGAGCTGAGATCACGCCACTGCACTCCAGCCTGGCAACAAGAGCAAAACTCCATCTCAAAACAAAACAAAAACCAAAAAACAAAAATTAGCTGGGCGTGGTGGCAGATGCCTGTTGTCCCAGCTACTCAGGAGGCTGGAGTGGGAGAATCACTTGAGTGCAGAAGGCAGAGGTTACGGTGAGAGGAGATGGAGCCTCTACACTCCAGCCTGGGTGACAGAGCCAGATGCTGTCTCAAAAATAATAATAAAACAAAATAAAAAAATAGTATTCTTATAATGCTTCTACACAAATAACTTTGTAATCTAAAAGAACTTCATTATCAACCAAATTGTCACTTGTTTTGGAATGTCTTAGAAAAACATAGGCAAAATTTGCCTTAGAGTTCAGTGAATTTGAAGAAAAGACAAAACAGAGACCAATGCTCAACACTGAAGTTACACTTAGAAGAATGTAGGGCTTTTTTGATCAAACTGGAAAACTCATGTATATACTGGAGACAGTTTAAGAATACATCGCCCACCTCGCCCTAGAAATATGTATTTTCCAAAAGGTCCACTGTCTCTTCGAAATACTGACATGATTTAGCAAGCTCAGGTTGAAATACTCAGCAGGGCTCAAGCTGCTATGAATCTCAAAATTATAAGGAAGTTGGAGAATTTCAGTTGACTTCGAATATTGCAGTATACAAATACCTGCTATTTCACAGAAGCAAAATTAGGTTACTCAAAATACTATTTTATTCAAATCAGTCATATTTCACATCTCTTTCCTCAAATTAAATGGCTACAGATGAGTATGTTAACATTTCCTTATTTTGTTTTTAGGAATATAACAATACAATAAAAAGTACTGAATAGGCAATGGAGGGAAAAATAAAGTCCACAAAAAATGCAAAGAAGGCATTATATCCAGCAGATAGCTTCTGTACTGAAAGATAAGCAAGAAAGAGTAGAAAAGGCAGTTTTAAGTATTGCTAGCCTAGGTGGATTAATGATCAAATGAAGTTAGAAAAATATGAGTAGAATAAGCTATGTGCCTAAAGAAGGGCCACTTAAATAAATCATATCATCTCTAAAAAAGATTTCATATAACTGTACATATTCATTCTTTTGGAGAATGTCATTTCAGATTTAGATGTTTTAAAATAATAATAACTAATCGATTAATTTCATAAATGTTTGGATATCTACAATATCATTATTAAAAAATCCTCACATTTCCAAATAAAGATTTCTCAAATGTCTTTTACTACAGTAGTTATTTTAATATTTGTAATAATTAGTATTACAAATTAAGTGATATTATGTTAAGCAGAAGTTAGTAATTTCTAAGATCAGAATGAACTTCAGCAAAACTACAGCAAAACTCTAAAAAGAAAAGCTTGCTTCTTCTATAATCTTTTTCAGTGTAAATTCAACCCAATCACTTCATGTGGAAAATATTTCACATTAATCTCCATCCTGTCACATTTATGTAAAGCCGATTCTTCAGCTGAAATACATAAATATTATAATCCCTATAAATGATCACATTATTTCTAGCTGCCATAATTCATACCTAATAAAACAACAGAGGATTATCTGTATTCTGTTATACCTGTCAGAAGAATACTGTACATACTCATTAACATCACGACCACTGTTCATGAAATTCTACAAATTCCCTCTGAAGTGAATGGCTTATATTACACACTTTGCTGAGATTCCCATTCCAAGACTATCAGAGCAAAACACATGGCCAGAAGATCATACTCTTCTATGTTATCAAGTGAATAAAAAATGAATATATAAATTTTGTGTTTTTTCATGCCTATATTCCCAAAATAATTGTTTCTATATTCATAGGACTACCATGTTATTTTACTGAGACAAAGATAATAAAGAAATTATTTTACATGTAAACATGTTGTTATCCAACTATTTGACTCTTTAAATTCAGCCTTCAATCCCTTCTTAATGCTGAGGACTTCTGCCAACAGAATTTAACCAACAGAATGAAATAAAAAGATATCTTCTACAGACTCTTACTTACTTTAACCCACTTAAAGCATCATTTTTTCTTTTTTTGTCTAATTAGTTGTGTAAAACTTCACCTTTGCCATTTATCCCTTCAAACTTTTAATATTTATTTTTTTCTTCTCTCATTTTTTTGTCCACCATGTAACACTAAAATGATGTATTTTGTTCAACAAATACTTACTGCTATTTAAGGTCTCCTCTCAGCATAAAAAATAAGTAAGACCAAGCTGATACACTAGACTAGCTTTCATTCTAGTGAGTAAGATAGACATGATAATAGTTAATAATAAGAGAGAGTAGGTGACCTATTTACTCTCATGAGAGCACAGATAACAGAAAAATTAACTTAGGGAAGGACAGTGATGTGTCAGTGAGTGTTACGGCCTGACTGAAAGCTTCATGTGAATTGGGCCAATCCTTGCTTTAGAATCATTTCACCTGCATTCATTCAACAAGTATTTATTGAACAATTATGCACTAAAAACCAAGCTAGTAACAATAATGAACATGGTATCTACTTTCATTATCTAAAAAAATAAGCAATATTTATTAATGTGTTACAATTCAGTATCATGTAGTTATTCATATGCAATAAGAAGCCTGGAAGAATTTGAAGGCTACCTGGAAGAATGAGGAACTATTTTATGAAAGAGAAAGTGTTTTAGATTAAGTTGTATAGTTCGGTAGGACTTTGCTAAGTGGAGAGGCAAGAAAAAGATATTATAGACCAAGGCAGCACCAAGTTTGGAAAAGACAAAGAATGAGTGAATGGAACATACTTAGGGAGTTACTGTAAGTTTAATACTGTGGGCAATGATGGTTGATAAGGCTGAACGAGTACAGTTATGGTCAAATAATTAGCAATGTTCCATGCCATACAAAGACATAAATAACAATGATAACAATAATATCATTCTTACTGCTAATGGTTAACGACTATCAAGTCCTTACAATATGTTGACCAGACATTGTTCTAAGTGCCTTATGTTCATGTATGGACTCATTTAACTGCTCAACAAGAAAATGCTTTTTCCCTCATTTTACAGACAAAAAGGATGAGATAAAGAGAAGTTAAATAACTTGCCCCAAATCACAGAGCTAATAAGTAGTTGAACAAGCCAGGCAGTCTAGAACTAGCGTTCATATAAGTGCAGCCACCCTAAAATGATGGAGTCCTAATGGAAAAGGAAGTCAGGCTTTATGATCAAATATATTTTTATAAACAACTAATTCTATACTTTTGAAATATTAGACATCGTCAGGCCGGGCGCAGTGGCTCATGCCTGTAATCCCAACACTTTGGGATGCCGACGTGGGTGGATTACCTGAGGTCAGGAGTTCAAGATCACCCTGGCCAACATGGCAAAACCCCATCTCTACTAAAAACCCAAAAATTAGCTGGGCATGGAGTCACACATCTGTAATCCCAGCTACTCAGGAGGCTGAGACAGGATAATCACTTGAACCTGGGAGGTGGAGGTTGCAGTGAGCTGAGATCGCACCATTGCACTCCAGCCTGGGTGACAAGAGTGAAACTCCATTTCTAAATAAATAAATAAATAAATAATAAAACATCAATCAAGCGTTTACTACATACAATACACATTATGCCTTGTGCGATGGGAAAATAAAAATATATGGCATATCTCACGAATATCGGTGGTTCCTGATATATTAAGATACAGATTTAGACACAGACATAGATTTGTTACTGAAATGACAGGGGTTTGGTCTAGATCCTGTTGCTTGATGCACAGCAAGCCAATTACTGAGACAATGACTATCACCAGGGAAGAAGGCTTTATTTGGGTGCCATAGCTGAGGAGATGGGAGATTAGTCTCAAATTCATCTCCCTGACCAGCTAAAATCAGGTGTTTATATAGCAGGGAAGAAATGTAAATACATGCAGGTAAACAGGAATGTGGGAGGGCTAAGGAAGAGGAGAGCTGGTCAACAGGAAGCAGGCTGCTGCTCAGGCAATCATGATGGGTGAGAGGTCTGGCGTCTCACTGATCAGATGAGATGATGTGGTGAGTTTCAGTTCCTTGATACAATCTGGGAGGCCTGATGGCTGGTTTCTTGAGAAAGGAACTCAGACAAGATAAACAAGTTTTAAGAATGGGAGGGTCAATCTCTATGTTTATTCAAACAAAATCATAAATATCAGATATATGGGACAATTGAACTGGTTTCAGATTGAGATAAAAAAATAGATATAGAGAGAGTATGTTTATACAATATTAGCAGCTCCAATGTTGTATTACAAGGGTCCCCAACCCCCAGGCCATGGACAGGTCCCAGTTCATGGCCTGTTTGGAACCAGGCTGCACAGCAGGAGGTGAGTGGTGTGTGAATGAGCGAAACTTCATCCGTATTTACAGCTGCTCCCCATCACTCACATTACTACTTGAGCTCCATCTCCTGTCAGATCAGTGGCAGCATTAGATTCTCACAGGAACACAAAACCCTGTTGTGAACTGCACTGTGAGGGATCTAGGTTGTGTACTCCTTATGAAAATCTAATGCTTGTTTATCTGAGGTGGAAGAGTCTAATCCCAAAATCGTCCCTCCCAAGTCCCTATCTTCTACCCAGTCCATGGAAACATTGTCTTCCATTAAACTGGTCCCTGGTGCCAAAAAGGATGGGGGCCACTGTTATATTAGACAACCTAGAGTAAGTACTATAAGAGGGGTTGAAAGTGTCTCAAGAGTACAAAGAAGGCAGAGATTAGTTCTCGCAGTGTTTTTTTGGGGGAAAAAGGAAATCTAAATTGTCATAAAAATTGCATCACTCCTATTTTTACAAGAAAGAACTAGACAAACTGGAAATCAATGATTTTTCTGAGATCTATCAGAGAACTGAGTTTGAAAGGCAAGCCACCACCCTACAATGTGGAGAGAAAGGAGATTCTAGAGAATCATAGTGGAGACCTGCTTTTCTGACGCAGAAGCAAATCGAGCCAAAAATCTCATAGGCACACTTACACAGTAATTTTGACAACTTGCTGGAGGCTGAGGGTAGACTATCAGGAGAAAGAGAAACCCTGAGGACCACAGTCTTAGGGGGTACTCAACCATCACCTTTCAGGAACCGGACTAAGTTTTCATAGTGAAGAACAAAAAAAGATCCCCCACTCTCCTGGTGATGGCAGGGGAAGTAGAAGACTCATCCCTGTGAAATACATCCAGAGCCTCCTTAATAACAGAGGCCTATTCTCCAGGGTAAAAGATGTTACCAGAGCCTTCCCCAGAGCTTTGGGTAAAGACACTCCTCTCAATTAATCTATTCACTTTGTCTCACCTAATGTTAGGAGTTACACAAGTAGAATAACTCATGAAGGTCACAGGACACAGACACAGGCCCATCCATTCAAAGACTGAGATGTAACTGACTAATGACAGAATGTTCCTCCTCCCTCATACTTCACCACCACAACAGCTGGCCTTCTGTATAATAGTGGACTACAAGTGAAAGAGTCTCAAGACAGCATCTCTCAGAGAAAGAGTACTAAGGGAAACCTAAGGGCAAGAGAGGAGACAATCAGAACGGAAGAGAAATTTGAAGCCTCTAGCAGCTGTAGCTACAACAAACACTAAACGAGGCCCAGTTCACAGCCAGATTAATACCAGTTCTCACATTAGAGGCTGCGTATTTCATTTTCTACTACCCAATTCAACATGTCCTGCATTCATCAAAAAAACATGAGACATGGCAAAAGATTAGAAAAACAAAGTCCAAAGACACAAAGCAAGCATCAAAACCAGACTTACATGTTGGAATATGAAACAAATTTTGGAATTGACAGAGAACTTACAATAACTATAATTAATATGTTAAGTGCTCTAATGGAAAAAGTAAACAACATGCAAGAACAGATGCATGTTCTTAGAACCACTCTAACAAAAGTAAAGAATGCCTTTGATGGGCTCATTAGAAGACCCAGGATGGCTAAGGAAAGAATCAGTGAGCTTGACGAAGGGTCAACAGAAACTTCTAAATGGACGTGCAATGAATAAAGGAATGAAAAGTACAGAATATCAAAGAACTGTGCAAAAATTTCAATATATGTGACATATGGGCAATTGGAATATCAGAAGGAGAAGAAAAATAGAGCTAATGTTATAATGATTGAGGGCGTTCCCAAATTAATGAAAGATACAAAACCAGAGATTCAAAAAACTCAAAGGCCACCAATAAGATACATTCCAAAAATACTAAACCTATGCATATTATTAGGTTGGTGCAAAAGTAACTGTGGTTCTTGCCATTACTTTCAATGGCAAATCTGCAATTACTTTTGCTCCAACCTAATATATTCAAACTTGTAGGAAGACAAGGAGAAAATCTTGAAAGAAGTCCAAACAGGGGGGAAAAAATCACCTTACCTATGGATAAGGTTGCGAATTACAGTGAACTTCTGATCAAAAACCATCAAGCAAGAAGAGAGTAGAGTAAAATATTCAAAACACTGAAAAACAACCCCACAAATCTAGAATTTTATATCCAGTGAAACTATCCTTTAAAAATGAAGCAGAACTATAAACTTTCTAGATACAAAACCTGAGGGAATTTATTATGAGCAGACTTTCCCATAAGAAATCCTACAAGATTTTCTTCAGGCAGAAGGAAAATGATATCAGAGACTTGGATCTATATTAAAAAATGAAGAGGGTTATAGAAAGAATAAATGAAGGTAAATAAAATATTTGTCTTTTTCTGAGCTTATCTAAATAACTGTTTAATGTAACAATAGTAATAATTAATTAGATGATTACAGCATATAGGTAAGTAGAATGAGTGACAGAGATGTCATAAAGGACAGGAGGGAGGAATTGTGAATACTCCGTAAGGTAATTGTACGCACATCAAGCAGTTTAATGTCACTTAAAGGTATACTTAGTATAAAGTGTCCATCACAAACTCCAGGGCAACCACCATGAAAATTTTTAAAGAAATATAATTGATACACTAGGAGAGGAAATAAAATCATATTAAATGCTCAATTAAAACGTAAGAAGAACGAAATACAATGCAGCAAAAGCAGTCCTAAGACTGAAGTTTAAGTGATAAGTGTGTACATTACAAAAGAACAAAGAGCTCATATCAACAACCTACCTTTATACCTCAAGAAACTAGATAAAGAAGAAGAAACTAAGTCCAAAGTCAGCAGAAGGAAGGAAACAATAAAGATTAGAACAGAAATAAATGAAAGAGAGAATAGAAAAACAATAGAAAAATAACAACAACACTGAGAGTTCGAATTTTTTTTTTCAATTCTAAATTTTCTGGGTTTTTTTCTATTATACTTTAAGTTCTAGGGTACATGTGCACAATGTGCAGGTTTGTTACATAGGTTTGTTACATACATGTGCCATGGTGGTTTGCAGCACCCATCAACTCGTCATTTACATTAGGTATTTCTCTTAATGCTATCCCTCCCCCAGCCCCCGACCCCATGACAGGCCCTGCCCTGTGTCCAAGTGTTCTCATTGTTCAATTCCCACCTATGAGTGAGAACGAACATGCAGTGTTTGGTTTTCTGTCCTTGTGATAGTTTGCTGAGAATGATGGTTTCCAGCTTTATCCATATCCCTGCAAAGGACATGAACTCATCTTTTTATGGCTGCATAGCATTCCATGGTATATATGTGCCACATTTTCTTAATCCAGTCTATCATTGATGGACATTTGGGTTGGTTCCAAGTCTTTGCTATTGTGAATAGTCCCACAATAAACATACGTGTGTGCATGTGTCTTTATAGCAGCATGATTTATAATCCTTTTGCTATATACCCAGTAATGGGATTGCTGGGTCAAATGGTATTTCTAGTTCTAGATCCTTGAGGAATCGCCACAATGTCTTCCACAATGGAAAGTTCGGTTTTTTAAAGGTAAATTCAGCAAATTCTTAACCAGACTAAGAAAAAAGAAAGAAGATTCGAATAACAAAAATCAGAAATGAAAGAGGAAACGTTACAACTGATAGCAAAGAAATAAAAAGTATCCTAAGAAGAGGAGGGAAAAGAGGGCCAAGTAGACACACCCAGGAAGAGCCTCTCCAAGCGAGTGAGACCAAAATATGGAGCAAATCAACATACTTCAAGACAGATCTTTTGGGAGAAAACACTAAGAGTTGACAGAGAGGCAACGCAGGCACCAAGGCTAAAGAGAGAGGAAACTAAGAGCACTGCATGGGATGGCCGACCTACAGGAAGGACTCCTTGGCCCTGAATGGCTCCTAAGGAAGTGGTAAGTGAGGAACCTGTAGAGAAACCCACACTTACCATGGACTTCTGGGATCCTGGCTGCACAAGATGCCACCACCCCTACAGACAGTTGAGCTGGTAGGGGGGACTGCCCAGAGAGTAGACAGAGACCAAACTTGAGCATGTGTAAAGCCCAGGGGGTTTTTGCATGGGGACAGCTGCAACAAAATATGGTAATAGGCATCGATATCCAAGGGTTCTCCATGCTCCTCTGCATGGCTCTTAACTTTGCTGAATGGACTGGGAGAGAACAGGGCTGTCTTTCCTAAGATATCAAGGTGTGTCAGATCTGCACATCTGCCTGTGCACTGACCCCTCCTGGGGTTCCCTGCTTGGCTGCTTGCACAGGAGCAGGCATACTGCTTTGAGTGCTTTGCTAGTGGCCTGGGAGCAACCCCACCCTGGGGCAATTCCCCGCCAAAACCCCCTGCCTCCACCAAGCACAGCTGGTGCTCGATCTCAAAGGGTCAGAGGACAAGGCTGCTGGCCCAGTAGGTCCCAAGTCCCCAGGGTCAGAGCACGTAGATCCAGAATGCAGAGCTGAGATTTGTGGTTGGAGCAGGGTAAGAGCCGTCACTCTCAGAGCATGGGGAAGAGTGAAGCGGGGGTTCAAGGGCACGGCACCAGTGATTGCAGCAGGCTCCCCTAAGGTCCAATAACGTATATGATAAGGGGGTCATCTCTTCTCTCCCATCTCCCCCACCACAGAGCACTACTGCAAAGGTGCTGAATCACAAAAGAGGTGCTAGGCTAGGAGCCAATCGGCCAGCCATTACTCTTTTTTTTTTTTTTTTTTTGGAGACCAGAGTCTCCTTGCGTTTCCCAGGCTGGAGTGCGGTGGCGCAGTCTCGGCTCATTGCATTCTCTGCCTCCTAGGCCCTTTTTTCTTTTCTCTCTCTCCCCTTTTTTTTTTTTTTTTTTAATAAGACAAAGTCTAGCTCTATCGCCCAGGCCGGAGTGCAATGGTGCAATCTGGGCTCACTACAACCTCCGCCTCCCGAGTTCAAGTGATTCTCCTGCCACAGCCTCTGGAGTAGCTGGGATTACAGGCGCACACCACCATACTTGGCTAATTTTTGTATTTTTAGTAGAGACAGTGTTTCACCATATTGGCCACTCGGCTGTTTTTTGTATTTTTAGTAGAGACAGTGTTTTACCATGTTGGCCAGGCTGGTCACGAAGTCCTGACCTCAAGTGATCCGCCCTCCTCAGCTTCCCAAATTGATCTGCCTGCCTTGGCCTCCCAAAGTGCTGGAATTACAGGCGTGAGCCACCACTCCCTGCTTCGCGCCTGCCAGCCATGACTCTTAAGCACCATCTACTGGATTGGAACTTGAATTACACCGCCCTACCCCTACTCAAAAAAAAAAAAAAAAAAAAAAAAAAAAAAAAAAAAAAAAAAAAATTCGGCCAGTATACACTGCCTGTGAAACAAAATGCAGGAATCTTTCCACAAATAAAGATCCCGTGCAGAGCCATGGCCTTCTGTTAGGACCCAGAATTGAAGCCAAATGAATAGATACATATCTCACAGTCAAACCCTTAAGATAAATAAAGAATATAAAAATAAAAAGTCCCACCCAAATGACAGCAAATTCTAAAACAGATAAAGGAACACCAGCCCTCTCAGATGAGAAAGAATCAGCACAAGAACTCTGGCAATTCAAAAAGTCTAAGTGTCTCCTTACCTCCAAATGATCTCACTAGTTTCCCAGAAATGCTTCTTAGCCAGATTGACATGGCTGAAATGACAGATGTACAATTTAGAAATTTGGATGGCAAGGAAACTCAATGAGATCTAGAAGAAAGTCACAACACACTCCAAAGAATCCAGGGAATCCAGTAAAATGATCCAAGAATTGAAAGATGCAATAGCCATTTTAAGAAAGAACTAAACCAAAAAACTGGAAAAGTTCTGGAAGTGAAAAATTCACAAGGAATGTCATAATACGGTTGGAGGCATTAACAACACAACAGGGCAAGCTGAGCAAAGAATCTCAGAGCTCAAAGACTAATTATTTGAATCAATGCAGAAAGACAAAAAAGAGAATAAAGAATAAGAAAAATGATTAAATCTCCAAGAAATATAGGCTTATGTAAAGAGATCAAAACTGCAATTCACTGGCATTCCTGAGAGAGAAGGAGAGAGGGTAAGCAACTTATAAAACATATTTGAGGATATGTAAGAGTTCACGAAAATTTTCCCAATCTTACTAGAGAGGTCAACATGCAAATTCAAGAAAATCAGAGAATTCCTGCAAGATAATATAAAAAATAAGCACCCCCAAGACACAGTCATCAGGTTCTACAAGGTCAATGAAAAAGAAAATATCTTAAAGGCAACTGGACTTGTCAGCAGTAACGTTACAAGCCAGAAGAGATTGGGGACCTATTTTCAGCATCCTTAAAGAAATGAAATTCCAACCAAGAATTTCATGTCCCACCAAACTAAACTTCATAAATGGAGGAGAAATAAAATCCTTCTCAGCCATGTAAATACTAAAGGAATTCATTACCACTAGACCAGCATTAAAAGAGGTCTCTAAGGGAGTACTAAACATGGAGATGGAAGAACAATACCTGTTGCCATAAAAACTCTATTAAGCACATAGCCCACAGATATGATATAACAACTATACAATCAAGTCTACATAAAACAGCTAATAACACAATGATAGGACTAAAATCTCACATATGAATATTAATCCTGAATGTAAATGATCTAAACACCCCCACGTAAGAGGCATAGAAAGGCAAGTTACATTAAAAAATCAAGACCCAATTGCTGTTTTCAAGAGATCTGTTTCACAGGTATCAACACCCACAGGCTCAAAGTAAAGGGATCAAGAAAGACCTGTCTGACAAAGGGATAGGAAAAAAAAGAGATGAGGTCATTATTCTCATATCAGATAAAACAGACGTTAAACCAACAACAGCCAAAAAGGACAAGGAAGGGTATTATATGATGATGAAAGTTTCAATTCAACAAAAAGACTTAACTATCCTAAATATATACATAGCAAATATTAGAGCACACAGATTTATAAAGCAAGTTCTTCTGCAGTGATGAAAAGACTTAAGGCAGCCATATAGTATAGTGGGAGGCTTTAACTCCCCACTGACAGCGTTAGACAGATCATTAAGGCAGAAAACTAAAAAACAAAACAAAACAAAAAAACCTAGGCCTAAACTTGACACTTCAATAACTGGATCTAATAGACATCTGTAGAATATTACACCCAACAACCACAGAATATATAATCTTCTCATCTGCACATAGAACATACTCTAAGAGCGACCAGATGCACAGCCATACACAAGTCTCAATAAATTTAAAAAAAAAAATCAAAATCTTACCAAACACACTCTCAGACCACAGTGCAATAAAAATAGAAATCAATACCAAGAAGGTCACTCAAAACCAATCAATTACATGGAAATTAAAGAACTTGTTTCTGAATGACTTTTGGGTAAACAACAAAATTAAGACAGAAATAAAAAATTGAAATAAGTGACAACAGATGCAGCATACCATAATTTTTGGGATGAAAAAGCAATGTTAAGAGGAAAGTTTACAGTGCTAAATGCCTATATCAAGAAGGTACAAAGATGTCAAATTCAAAATCTAACATCGCACCTACAGGAACTGGAAAAGAAGGAAGAAACCAACCACAAAGCTAAATTGAGTCACAAAAATCCATACAAATTATCAGTGAAACAAACAACTGGTTTTTTGAAAGAATAAACAAAGTTGATAGATCATAGCTAGATTAACAAAGAAAAAAAGACAGAGAAGATGCAAATAAGCATAATCAGACATAACAAAGATGACATTACAACCAATCCCACAGAAATAGGAAAGATCCTTCAAAATTACTATGAAATCTAGAGGAAATGGATAAATTCCTGGAGACACACAATTTTCAAGATTTAACCATGAAGAAATTGAAACTCTGAAGAGATCAATAATGAGTTTTGAAATTGAATCAGTAATAAAAAAACCTAACCACCAAAAAAGATTTCCACTGGATGGATTCACAGACAATTCTGTTGGATGTACAAAGAGCTGGCACCAATCCTACTGAATCTATCCCAAAAAACTGAGGAGAAAGAATTCCTTCCTAACTCATTCTATGAAGCCAGCATCATTCTGATACGAAAAGCAGGCAGAGACACAACAAAAAAGAAAACTTCGAGTCAATAATGCTCAAAACTCTGTCTTTTTTTTCTTTGTTAATCTAGCTACGATCTATCAACTTTGTTTATTCTAACAGTGATATGAATAATGAAATTAAGGCTGAGGTGGTCTCAGATGGAGATGAGGAACTTGTTGGGAACTGGAACAAAGGTGGCTCTTGTTATGTTTCAGCAGAGACTGATGGTATTTTGCCCTTGCCCTAGAGATCTGTGAAACTTTGAACTTGAGAGAGATGACTTCGGGTATCTGGTGGAAGACATTACTTTTTCTTTTTCTTTTTTTTTTTTTTTTTTTGAGACAGAGTTTTGTTCTTTTTGCCCAGGCTGGAGTGCAATGGCATGATCTCGGCTCACGGCAACCTCCGCCTCCCAGGTTCAAGCGATTCTCCTGCCTCAGCCTCCCAAGTAGCTGAGATTACAAGCATGCGCCACCAAGCCCAGCTAATTTTGTTTTTAGTAGAGACGGGGTTACTCCATGTCGGTCAGGTTAGTCTTGAACTCCCCACCTGAGGTGACCCACCCACCTCGGCCTCCCAAAGTGCTACGATTACAGGCATTACCCACCGTGCTGGGCCCTAAGGTGGAAGACATTTCTAAGTAGCAAAGCATTAAAGAGATGACTTGGGTGCTGTTAAAGGCATTCAGTTTTATAAGGGAAGCAGAGCGTAAAAGTTTGGAAAATTTGCGAGCTAACAATGCAATAGAAAAGAAAATCCTATTTTCTGAGGAGAAACTAAAGCCTGCTCCAGGAATTGGCATAAGTAACGAGGAGCCGAATGTTAATCACCAAGACAATGGGAAAAATGTCTTCAGGGCGTGTCAGAGACCTTTGTGGCAGCCCCTCCCGTCACAGGCCCGGAGATTTAGAAGGAAAAAGTGGTTTTGTGAGTCCGGCCCAGGGTCCCTGTGCTGTGTACAGCCTAGGAAGTTGGTGTCCTATGTCCTATCCCTCCAGCCATGACTAAAATGAGCCAAGGTACAGCTGGAGGCTGTTGCTTCAGTGGGTGGAAGCCCCATGCCTTGGCAGCTTCCATGTGGTGTTGAGCCTGCAGGTGCACGGAAGTCAAGAATTAAGGTTTGGGAACCTCCACCTAGATTTCAGAAGATGTATGTAAATGCCTGGATGACCAGGCAAAAATTTGTTGCATGGGTGGAGCCCTCATGAAGGACCTCTGCTAGGGCAGTGCAGAAGAGAAATGTGGGGTCAGAGTCCCCATAGAGTCCCCACTGGGGCTCCACCGGGAGCTGTGAGAAGAGGGCCACAGTCCTCCAGACCCCAGAATGGTAGATCCACTGACAGCTTGCACCATGCACCTGGAAAGGCCACAGACACACAACACCAGCCCATGAAAGCAGCCAAGAGGAGGGCTATACCCTGCAGTCACACGGGTGGAGCTGCCCAAGACCAGAGGAACCCACATCTTGCATCAGCATGACCTGGATGTGAGACATAGATTCAAAGGAGATCATTATGGAGCTTTAGGATTTGACTGCCCTGGCAAGGTGCGGTGGCTCATGCCTGTAATCCCAGCACTTTGGGAGGCTGAGGAGGGCGGATCATGGGCTCAGGAGATCGAGACCATCCTGGCTAACACAGTGAAACCCCATCTCTACTAAAAATACAAAAAATTTGCTAGGCATGGTGGCATACACCTGTAGTCCCAGCTACTTGGGAGGCTGAGGCAGGAGAATTGCTTGAACTAGGGAGGTGGAGGTTGCAGTGAGCCAAGATCATGCCACTGCACTCCAGCCTGGGCGACAGAGCGAGAATCTGCCTCAAAAAAAAAAATTGACTGCCCCCACTGGATTTTGGACTTGTGTGTGCCTGTAGCCACTTTGTTTTGGACAATTTCTCCCATTTGGAATGGCTGTATTTACCTAATGCTTGTATCCTCATTTTATCTAGGAATTAACTAACTTGCTTTTGATTTTAAAGGCTCATAGGTGGAAGGGACGTGCCTTGTCTCAGATGAGACTTTGGACTGTGAACTTTTAAGTTAATGCTGAAATGAGTTAAGACTTTGGGAGACTGTTGGGAAGGCATGATTGGTTTTGAAATGTGAAGACATGAGATTTGGGAGGGTTCAGGGGCAGAATGATATGGTTTGGCTCTGTGTCCCCATCCAAATCTCATCTTGTAGCTCCCATAATTCCCACATATTGTGGAAGGGACCTGGTGAGAGATAACTGAATCATGCTGGTGGGTCTTTCCCATGCTGTTCTCGTGATGGTGGGTAAGTCTCATGAGATATGATGGTTTTAAAAACGGGAGTTTCCCTGCACAAGCATTCTCTCTCTCTCTCTCTCTTTGCCTGCTGACATCTATGTAAAATGTGACTTGCTCCTTTTTGCCTTCCGCCATGATTTTGTGGCCTCCCCAGCCATGTGGAACTATAAGTCCATTAAACCTCTTTCTTTTGTAAATTGCCCAGTCTTGGGAGTGTCTTTATCAGCAGCGTGAAAACGGAATACACTGAGTGTCTTTACAATGGGGAACTCTGACAAAAACTACCTCAAGCCATGTTATCAAGTTTAGCATAAACAATGATAAGTCACATCGCTAATAGATATCCTTGATATCATGAGGATGATAATTTACCT
Organism: Homo sapiens; assembly: GCF_000001405.40. NCBI lineage: Eukaryota > Metazoa > Chordata > Mammalia > Primates > Hominidae > Homo > Homo sapiens. The sequence goes on along the minus strand of NC_000012.12, from coordinate 82,999,329 downwards.
CTGGTGGTTTTCCTCCCAAACCCCATAGTCTAAGTCTAATCGTGACAAAATATCAGCCAAATACCAACTGAGGAACATTCTACAAAATATATGACCTTTACTCCTCAAAATTGTCAAGGTCATCATAATAAAAATAAGTCTGAGAAACTGTCACAGCAAGAGGAGCCTAAGGAGACATGACTACTAAATGTAACGTGGTTTCCTAAATGGGATCCTGGAACAACAGAAGGACATGAAGGAAAAACTGAAGAAATCTGGATAAAATATGGACTTTAGTTGATAACAATATATCTATGTTGGCACATTAATTGTGACAACTGTATCATACTAATGTATTATATTAATAATAGGGGAAACTGAGTGTGGGAATATGAGAACTCTCTGTACTAACTTCAATTCTGTAATCAAACTATTCTAAAATAAATATTTATTAAAAATTAATTGCATTAAAAAGTCTATCAGAAGTGCCATAAAATTATAGCCTTTGTTTTATCTGAGTTAAAAATACATAGGTGCCTCATATTTTTTTTCATGTTGGAATAGTTTGCAACACAAATAAATTCATAAGATAAAACTTAAAAAAAGATTATGACTCAAACTGCTAAATGTGGAGGGTGAGAGCATCCCAGTTAAAGGAAAAATCTCAAAGTCATAACTGCTTCCTCTGATGTATTATTCTGTATAGGATATAAGTAACAACATTTGCCAGAGATATGTGAGGAAAAGATTTTAAATACTGGAATCACCAAATGCTGTTTCTATTTGAGAAATGGAAAATAATTACAATTTGCTTAAGATCACAAATTAATAAAGTCAATTTCCTCTTTCAAACTTATGACTGGTTTTGTAAGCATGAAAAAAAGTTGTTTTTGTTTTTTTTAACTAGTATTCTGAAAATTACATATACATCCTTAAATGCATTAAAACATTATCAACTAGTAGTTCAACTCTTTTCTTTTGGATTCATCTAGACAAATGGCTATTTTCTGCATAGCTCTAGCCTCGATGTTAATAAGAAATCTTTCTCTTTCAAAATGTTGACCTCATTGGCACTTCCATGCTGATTTCCTGGAGCTCTCCTATTATCTCCGTCCACCCATCATATCAATCATAGAGGAGAGCAATGAATCACACTCTTTTTTAGTAAGTTTTCCAATGCTAAACACTGACAGCACACTTGACAGTAATAAATTACTGAGTAAGCAACAGCTCAGGTGTTCTGTCACCAACTCAAGGTCTACCAGTTTACCAGGTAAATAGTAGTTTCTTTCACTTATGTTTATTTCTAAAACTTTTGTATTCTGCATGACTGCTCCCTTTCAGTTTGGTATCTTATAAAATTCTCCAAAGTACATTTGGCAGAATACTGTTATCTTGGGATAAATGGATTCAACTTGAAAAAACCTGTTTCATATGATGAATAAGCTAAATAGGGCTTTAAATACAAAGAAGACTTTCAGAGCCTTTAATGGATATAATATATACATATTTTAAGAATGAAATATAGTATGTATCTTTCCTCACACTAATTTGGCTACTGGATTTTTTTTTCAAAGGACATCTAGAAGTATTATATTACGTGGAATATATTTTGGAAATGGATTTTGTACATTTTAGGAATACTGCTTTGATAATTCCTATCAAAGCAAAAATGGCAGCAGTAAAATAATGGCAGTAGTAAAATCTTCTTGGCATTCTTAAATTTCAGCATATTTGAAATTCTTCTTTTTATTCTTACTTAAAAGCAATCCTTGCTATGTAGCATTACTTGTTGAGTCAGCTTTGCTAATGTTTACAGTCAAAGCAAATATATAAAGGTAAAAATGCAGTTACATATGCCTACATAAATACAGACATACATAACTATATATAAAAATATTATAGTTCTCTCTCTCTGTGTGTATATATATATATATACACATATATATATACACATATATATATACACATATATATATATACACATATATATATATATATACACACACACACACACACACACACAGACACACACACACACACAGTCCAGGCAAATGTGTAAAAGCAAAGTTATATACACCTATATAAATATAGACGTATATAACTATACATAACTATATATATATATAGAGAGAGAGAGAGAGGGAGAGGGGGAGGGAGAGGGGGAGGGGTGGGAGAGAGAGAGAGAGAGAGGGAAGTATCAAAATGATGAGGGAGTCAGGATGGAAGAGTCCTCTTCCATATCAGCAGAGAGAGAGTGGAGTGATTACCACTTTGGCAAATGTGTACCCTAGGTAGAAAAGGGGAAGACAGACACCCTCAGGAAAACATCTTGAGCCAAAGCAATAGATTGAAACTTAATCCTTTACTTCTGCTGATGTAACCTCTTTGAGATATACAAGGAAATCTTACAACATAAGGTCATAGGCTTCGGATCAAGTAATTTTCTGCTTTAAGTGAGTAAATTTCTGATTCAAGCAGACAGAAAGTCTATTTCTCTTTTAGCTATTGCTATTTCATCTCAAAAGATGAGAAATAGAAAAACCTATAAAATAGATGATATCTTCAGGTTTCATCTTTCAGAGACAAAAATTTCTTGGTGATGTTACCTCTAAAAACCACAATACTTATTTCTCCATTATATGACATCATTATATATGGCTTTATACAACAGTCAGTGCCCAGTGTAAACTCTATGCCATACAGCTAATGTCAAACTGACAAAAGAGTCCTACTTACACATGAGTCATTCTGCATATTGAGGTCTTCTACCACAGGTACTGTTATTGCCATGCAGACTGAATTACAGTATATGCTCAAGAATGTACCTCATCCTGTCACTTTTGACAAAGAGCCTCAATTATGTTGTACAAATGAGAGTCCTGCAATTTTAAGCCTTTTAAAAGAATTATGCCTTCCACTGTGAGAAGAAATCAATTACTAGGCAGGTAAGTGCTCAGGTGCTCTGGCTTCAATCCAACATTCTACCAGTTAAATGTTTACCAGATAAAGGTCAAGCCAATTCACTCAGGTCTCCCATGCCCTTCACCCTCACCCCTTTCAGTGTGGAGTATAATAATGGTTCCTTCAAAACTTCACATTTGAGGAAAACTATATACATCACATTCAAATTAAAAACTCAGCTGTAAACTCCACTGTCACTATTTTCTATCACAAATACAAATACTTAAATCTTTTTTACCAGTAGCTATGTTAAAATTCTTTTCATTTAAAAATATACACAGAAAATGCATTTTCCTTTCAGAACTGTATTAGAAGAAAAATCTAAAAACTGAATGAAGGTTTCTTTTCAAAATGTTTTTATGCATTTTGAAGTCAGGCATTTATGTACATGAGATACCACATATGTATATTTTAGCATAATAACCAAAAAGCTAAAGAGCAATTTTAAAGGGCTGGTGTGGTGGCTCACAACTTTCATACCAGTCCCTTGGGGGATTCAAGGAAGGAGGACAGCTTGAGCCAAGGAGGTGTGGACCACTACACTTCAGCTCCGGTGACAGAGCAAGACCCTGTCTCAAAAACAAACAAACAAAGCAATTTAAATAGTACTGCTTTCAGAAAACAGGAGGGAGCCACCTCACAAAACAATCCACCTTATATGTAATATTTAATTCTTCATAAGATGAAGAAAACAAGAGATGAGGATTTATTTAATATATCAAGGGATATATGAAATGAATAAGAAGCTCAGAACTTGGGAAAAATGTGAAGCTGACCCCAGAATTAACTGTGTTTGAAGCAAGTACAATTTTACTAAAAACTAAGGATACACTCCATAGCTCTGCAGGCTTCATGCTTCAGGTTGCTGAGCCTCATGAGCCTCAAATGTAACATAGGTAAACATAAGGGGAAATCACAAAAACCTTATGAACTTGTGAACATGTTCATGGCCAGGCAGGTTTTGAACCAATTTATGAGTCTGCAAAAACGAAGACCTTCACATCTTAGAACAGATGTGGCATCGTTTATGTGCGTGTGTGTGTGTGTGTATGTGTGTGTGTATAACCAAATGCCACAAGGAAAAAATACATTTCCTTTTGTAAAAGCATTGGCCCAACTACTTGAGAAGAAATATGTTTCTAAAAATGTATATTGTCTGTACCATCACTCCTAAGAGTCAACATAGGCTTAGACCAGATGCTGTTTTAACAAGGAGCGATACTCAAATGTTCTACTTGATATATTATTAGAAAAAAATTACCAAGCAAGGGAAACATAAAGCATAAACTAAAAAGTTTAACTCATGTGAAAATGTTTTTATGCTTTATTATGTGATAGGAGAGTCAATATGATGTAGCAGAAAGAATAACAAGCTGGAAGCTATGAAGTCAAGTATCATAGAGTATCAATGGGGCTTATTTAACAAATGAAAGCTATAAAATGGGGGGCGGGGGGTGGAATCTTCCAAGTGGTATGGGATCCTGTGCCTATAATAAAAATTAAAGGGTAAGGTAATACAATGAATGTACCTACATAATTGTGCTTTCTGAAACAAAAACGATTTCCACCAGTCACTAGTATGGTAGACTGACTTTTATTGTGAATTTCACCTAAATAAAATACACGGAGGCCAAGGGAATGCTGTTAGTCTTTGTACCACCACTGCTTATTAGACAGAAAGAGACAAAGTTCAGGCTCAACAAAAATGTGTATCCAATGCAAGTTTTTATACAGGACTGCCTTTTTTTTTTTTTTTTAGTTCTGTAAGAAAGCCAAGCTATATTTAAAAAGCATGTCACTTCTCCATCTATATGCCTCCAGTAATATGGAATATCAGAGTACTAGGGATTATGAGGGCTTGAACCAGCTGGCTATTTATATTGCATTAAATGACGATGATAGATCAGATACAGAAACCAAACAGACAAGTTAAATAACAACAATAAATGTGTGAGACGGGCACGGTAGCTCATGCCTGTTGTAATCCCAGCATTTTGGGAGGCCGAGGTGGGCAGATGACTTGAGACCAGCCTGGCCAACATGGCGGAACCACAGCTTTACTAAAATTATCCGGGCCCGGTAGCGGGCACCTGTAGTCCCAGCTACTTCAGAGGCTGAGGCACGAGAATTGCTTGAGCCAAGTGAGAATTCCAGTGAGCCAAGACCGTGCCACTGCACTCCAGCCTGGGGCGATACAGCGAGACCCCTGTCTCAAAAATATAAAAAATAAAATTTTAAAAATGTGTGGACCCCTGGGGAGTTAATAAAAAATTACAAATGGGCTTAGATAGCAGGAACAGAAACAGGGGTAGAGGGCAAATGTTATGAGAAATGAGGTCAACCCCAAATGGCTCACTAGCACCCAAGCACCCTGTTACATGCACGCTGCTCACAGCACCCCCTGGACCCAAGCATCCTGTCTGCAAGCATTCAGCCTAAAGCAGCACAGCCTTATAAAACTCCCATCTAGCCCCTACCTCTTTGCAAATAGCAGACAGCCTTCCCTCCGCTGTCTTGCCCATTGCTCCCTTGCAATGTATCTCCCCCGTTTCTCTAAATAAATCTGTCTTTCTACACTCATTAATGTCTTGGTAAATTCCTTTACCACCCGCACGCCAGCCTCAGAGAGTCGCTGACTATGACAAAATGTAAGTTACCTTAAAAGCAATATACAATTGACCCTTGAACAATGTGAGGGTTAGAGCGGCCAGCCCTCATGCAGGTGAAAATGTACATATAACTTTTGACTCCTCCAAAACTTAACTAATAATATAATAATAGCCTGTGTTTGTGTGCATAAATTTTGATAAATTTTAACTTTTTATAATAGACTTGTGTATATCTTATAGCAGTAAATGATGGACTAGTATCTACGTATATTTTATGTATTTATGACACATCTAACTTTAAAAAAAGTTATTCAATATATCTAGGCTATGAAGTTTGTCTGCCTGTTTTTTTAAATTGTTGCAAATCTCCAAAAAATTTTCCAATGTATTTATTGAAAAAAAAAAACTGTGTATAAGTAGACCTGCACAGTTCAAACTTGTGTTGTTCAAGGGTCAACTAATCTTACTTGTTTTGAAATAAATAAATAAAAAGCTGGCCTGGAGCAGTGGCTCACGCCTGTAACCCCAGCACTTTGGGAGGCCAAAGTGGGCAGATCATGAGGTCAGGAGTTCGAGACCAGCCTGGGCAATATGGTGAAACCCCATCCCTATTAAAAATACAAAAATTAGCCAGGCGTGGTGGCATGCACCTGTAGTCTCAGGTATTCGGGAGGCTGAGGCAGAAGAATCGCCTGAATCCGGGAGGCAGAGGTTGCAGTGAGCCGAAATCGTGCCACTGCACTCCAGCCTGGGTGACAGAGTGAGAATCCATCTCAAAAATAAATAAATAAATAATAAAAAACAAAGCAGCATATATATGTAGATATAGCTGAAATTATCTCATGTGGCCTTTAATGCCACATTAGTGGCATACTCAAAAGAATTTGAGTATTTTAATTTTTATTGCTCCTGAGACTATCAGGCAAAAGAAATAGCTCTAATGATGATTTCTACTAAGTGACATACAAAAGTTGAATCAAAGCCTGAGAGATTTTGGAGATTCCTGTGTCACTTAGTGACAGCAAGTAGAATAATCATAAGACTGATACTAGAAAACAAATGCATATTTGGAGTGGAAGGGAGATCCTTAAAAATGAACTATCAGATTCATTATGCTTCAGAGTAAAAATAATACAATGATAACTCTATTAGCTCCAGACTGATAAATCATAACGTTCAGGTACAGCAACTTCATATAAAGGCTTAGCTGAATATATTGTGGTGATTAAACTTCCTTCTATATTTTCATCCAATATTTCAGTAGCATGATATATGTGATATTATGTCTTCACTTTTTCATAGAATAAATTTAGCAACTTGAATTATATATACCCATAATAATTACTCAATCAGATTAACAGGAAAAATTACCATTTGTTCTGAACTAGCTCCAATCTAAACATGTCTGTGCAGTAATTATAATAAATAAACAAACAAACAAAAAAACCCAAATATTGGTCAGCTTCCAAAATGAAGGTAACTCTTCTCTGGAGAGGGTCAAATGAATGAAAAAGAAGTCTTAGCTCTAAATAATAATAGCAAAAGGCCCATGGAAACACACTGCATTACATTTCCAGATAAACTACACTGACACCATTTCAGCCTGGGGTATGGGACTTTTCTGTGGAACCTCCACTACTTCCACAACTGGAGTTTTATGTAGCCTAATTAACTTTGGCTAGACACAGGAGTCTGGCTCAGTGCTCTCATGCCGTAGCCAAAATAAAGGTTTTCTGTATCAAGAATTACTGTCAGAGTCTCCAATATCCTTCCTTCTCTCCTACTAACCTGAATCTGGAAAATAAGCTAACAGCCAAGTAACTTTTACTACAATTTAAGTCAATATTAATTTTATTGGCTCACAAAACTGAAAAATATTTGGCTTAAATAAAAAGGACAAAAAGAAACGAAGTAAGCATGCGCACACAACTACAGAACCCACACAACTTTAGAAACAGCTATAAAACCATCTGAAATACCATATTAATGGAAATGTTATTCCTTCTTTTCTCTCTTTTAGCATGCCCAATTTTAAATTCATGGCACTTGCCCTAGGTAACAAAGTTCAAACAAGGAATAAATCACAATTTTAAGCAGAGCAATTCAAACTCATCTTGTGTTTAGTATTTTAATTGGACATGACATTGGTATGAAATTTCCATATATTTTAAAGAGATGTCACTTGGGTCCAACTATATTTAAACATGGAGGCTACAATGACTCTAATACAAAACTATTCCCCAGGATACCCCGAAATTTTTGTATTAGAAGTATAATGTAGGATATAAAATTGTCAGTAGCCTAAAACTGAAGTCTTATGTTCATGACCTATCATGCCTAATAATAAAATTCTGTTTAACCACTCAAATTAAACTAGTATCCAAAGATAGTTTCTAAAAATAAGTTATAAAAAGAGGATGGGGGAATAAGTAGTTATTGAGTAACTAAATAACTTGTAACTTACTAAGTAACAAGGTAGTCAAGTTATTTTTCCAATCTCCAATCAGTTTAATCACATACACCAAATGGGAAAAAAAAACTCCACACTTAAAATTATTTAATGTGGACAGAAAATTAATGGCAGTTCAGAAAACCTTGAAGTTATATTCAATTCTACTGTTTAGTAGTGAAATGACTTTTGAGGATGTTCCTCAAACCTTTGAAGCTCAGATTCTTCATTTATAAAAAGGGGATAATACTCCCTAAGGGTTGTTATCAAGCTTCTATTAAATATCACATGTCAAGCACAGGCACTGAAGAGATGCACGCCCCTCTTGTGCCCATCTCCCCATCTAGGATTTTGGAAGATTACTGTGTGTTCACTCTATAATCATGCCACCCTCATTCATTTTTTTTCAGCACAGATCACTGAGGATTAAAGCAATACCTAGCTTGAAGAAATAAGTCTCAATATATGTGTTGACCAAATGAAGGGATTAATGAGGGAATGAGTACTGGAGGGGAGGGAGGGAACAAAAACATTTAAAAGCCATGTCCCCAGCCCTTAAATAACTTATAAAGGAAAAGGCACATGGGTACAGGGATAGTAACTAATACATTGAAATGGCAGGTACTGAAGAAATAAAAAGTAAAGACTCACCCCCTGCCCCATATCTAGTGTCAAAAAACAGACACATATGTATGTGTCATTCTATTTGGAAGTGTCCTACTATGAAGATACTGAGACCGGTACTAATGAAGTATAGAGAAAAAACAAAAAAGGAACTGCTTAAGAAAGTCAGGCAAGACTTCACGGAAGAAATAAAATCTGAACAGGCAAAGAGAGGAAAAGGACATTTTTGGCAGAAAAATAAAAGAGGATTTGATCTATAAAATGTGCCAAAGCATTCTGGGAAACCTTAAATCCGTTTGAACTTTTCTAAATTCTGTAAATATTACACAAATTCTTAAAGACAAACTTTAAAAAAAGTACTGAGTGAATCATTCCACTGACTGTAATAAAAGTACTAATAATCAATATTTTTCTAATATATCTTGTAAACATATAAGTCTTATATAAAATCCTACTCTCCAGTCTAAGTCTAATATAGTTGCATTTCATTTTTACATATTTTCCCTTCGGCCAGTTTTGATTAAAGAGTGAAAACACCACTCAATTTCTATTCCTCTTCTCTTGAAACTAGCAGCCAATTCCATTTTATAATATATTTAAAGCATTCAGAAGTCAAAATGTGTGGTATTTTCTACCTTTGCAAATTCTATGTTAAGCCAGTGGGCTGTTACCAGGCCAAGAAACCCCAAATTAGACAAAAGCTATCCATAGGGATCAGAAATTTGCCAAATGTCATAATTTAGAAAGAAGCTGTTAAAGATGGTTGTGGGGTTTTGGCACTGTGAGTTTAAGCCATTCCATAATAGGGTTTGTATTTCATCTAATCAGCAAGTCGGAAACTATAAAAGTCTTGGTGGGGGGGATTAAAAATTTGGATTGTAGTATAGGAGTCTTTCCTTTCCTTCCATATGGTTTGGTAAATTAAAACTTCTAAATCTGAAAAAAAAAAAAGCCTCCTGAAAAGAATAAAACAGCCTTTAAAATCATATTTTTGGTACAGGAAGCCTAAGTAGTCAGGCTTGAAAAATTTTTTTAGAAAGGTCACATGGTTTCTATATCGAGTGCCATGGTCTAAGCATATACAGAATCATGGAAATTTAAGTTTAATTTTTTTTTCTTTTCTAACTTTTTTTTGGGGGGGGTGCAGGTGGGCAATGAATTAGACATCTGAAACTTTTAGATTTTTTTTTAAAGGTGGCCATTTATCAATCTAGCTTAGGTATATTAATTTAATACTTATGTGGAGTTGTGTGAATCACCACACATCACACAGAATCATCAGTACAGAAATGGGAAAAGGTTTTCTTAGGGTAAAACAACTTTTCCCAGGTGATTAAACTAGAAGTATCTGTAAATAGCAGAAACAGAGATGGTAATCTTCAATTCTTAGTTATTGTTCTTTCCCTTCCTTTGTTCTTTCTCTGCCATTTGGACCCCATATTGATTTCTTTCATAATTCCCTCTTTTACATTCTTTTATGTCCTCATTTTTTGTTTGCATATAAGATGATTTCATTACCTTTATTCTCCTATCTTCCAAATGAAAATCATGTTGCTATCATACCTTTAAATTCTATAAGCTCTTTCTTGCTTTTTTTGGTTTCTTTTTTTCTTGACATCCTGCTTCATAAAATGCTGTATGTTTCTGTCTCTTTCTAAGGATTATTATTCTTTTAAAGATGTCTTCTGATTTAGAGTTCCTTCTCCTAATAATTTGTTTTAGTTCCAGTCTTTTTAATTTGTGTCTTTCCTGATATGACTGATGATCCTTGGTTACCCATTGATGTTTAAGAATGAGTTAATTAATAAAAGCTGAATCGAATTCCTAAGGCACAGACAGGCATTCTAGATGGAATAGATTCACTGTGCTCTGTCTGGTTTGGGAGCCAGTCATTTACAGGGGACCTCTAAATGTAGGTATTTGAAAACCTTTTCCTTACTGTGATTTAGTTTCCCTGGATCAGAATTCAACAATTTGAGAGGTAAGGTGTAAGCAAAAAGGGTGGGCTGGAGGAAAGGGGGTAAACTCTGTGTTGCTGGTATTCTGCATGGGATAGGGGAGGGGTATTAAGGATCTGAGTACTCCATGGGAAGACCCTCAATCAGTCCTCTTTTCACTCCCCTCCTCATTCTGCCTTCAACTGTGCAAGCTGTTCTTGAATCTTGAACTTCTCTTTATTTACTTGTTCTACCTCTTAAGGGCCCCTTTCCCTTGCCTTGAAGGCAGGTGCCTAGTTGCTGGCATTTGTGGGCAAAGGGGAGAGACCTGAATACTCCATTCATTGGCTGCAATTTACTACCCCATTTTATGTCCCTTAACTGACTCTTTTCTGTGTCAGCTGCCTCCATGTCTTGAGCCTCTCCAGGTTTCTTTGATGTAAGCCAGATTTCTTTTCATTGTTATCCCATTCCAAAGTTTATTTAGATTTTCATTTCCTTCTCCCAGGCAAGTCAGTTATAATACTTCCAACTGCTTTCTGAGTTGCAAAAATCAGCTGTATCTCTTATCCACTGAAATCTCTCTTCCCATTCCTATTGTTCCTGTATAGTATTCCCTTAATATTTTATTCATTAAAAGCTTAGTCTGATTTGCCCACATCATCACCAATTTCTTTGCCCAGTACTTTTATGCACCTCACTCCAGCATTCCTTCTAGATTTGTGTTCTCTTGAAGAACATCTCCAGTAACTTCTTCAGCAAAAGTTTTTAGTAGACTAAATTTTATTTAATTTATTGGCTTCGGAATTCCAGGGTCATGTAGGTAAATTCAAAACCCAAAGCTTGGTAAAGAAAGGACAGGAGCAACAAATTCCCAGCAGATACTTTGTTCACTCCCCATCCAGATCCCATTCTGAGATAGGCAAATATTCACGCTGCCTTCTTATACTTGTGGACAAACTTATGTTGTCCTTTCAAGGCAGGTAAGAATTTCCCTGCCTTATTTAGGCATTTAATTCCTGCTCTTCCATTGGCCCAAAGCGTTGTTTCCTATTCTAGAAATAATGAAAACAAACAAACAAAAACCACCTTCTCACTGGTTTCCACAATCAGTAAATAATCCCAGATGAGCTGCAGGACCTGCCTGCTGTTCACTGCTCTGGTATTCAGTTACCACTTCATTTCTAGCTCCTAGGAACTTCTCTTACTACTCATGCTCAGTTTAGTGTTAAAAACATATCTGTTATATTTTATTAAGTAGATCTAAATATTTTTAGTGGGATGTTTTCTGGTTACTTAGTCTACCTATATGATTTCTTTTTTTTTTTTCTCTTTTTTTTTTTTTTTTGAGATGGAGTCTCTGTTGCCCAGGCTGGAGTGTAGTAGCATGATCTCGGCTCACCGCAACCTTGGCCTTCTGGGTTCAAGCGATTTTCCTGCCTCAGCCACCTGAGTAGCTGGGATAACAGGGACGCATTACCACCCTTGGCTAATTTTTGTATTTTTAGTAGAGACGGAGTTTCGCCGTGTTGGCCAGGCTGGTCTTGAACTCCTGACCTCAGGTGATCTGCCTGCCTCGGCCCCCTAAAGCGTTACATGATTTCTTGAAGAGTATTTTAGTGGTATTTTAGAATGGATATTTGACAATTATAAGTGTTATCTACCATCTTCTGTGGAAAGTAAAATGTTATTATTTTTGAAGTAACACAAAAATACTTTTCAATGAATTCACTTAGGAATCACCTTCCTGATCATTTGCTCTATGTTTTTCTAATATTCATTTATTTTTATTAATATTGAAGAGAGATTAGGTACTATAACTAAAATAATACAGATATTTGATTCAGACTAAGATTGAAGCCTAGTTCTATCACCTATTGTCTATGTGAGCTCAGAAAACTTAAACTTTTAAACTATTCACTATTGTGTAAAATAAAGACATTACTATTACTTTGAAATATATGAAATTACCATTTTTATAGGTCATAGTGGTACAATACTAGTAATTTTTTATGCTCCATACTCATGTCACTTTCGTGAAATGGTGGCCTCCAAGGGTGCTTGTCACATAGTAAGAGGCCATCAGATAGCCTCCCTTCTCTTACAGAATGATTTTAATTAGAAGGAATTTCAGCACACAGAATTTTATACAATGTTGGCTATTTATAAGAATCAGATTTAGTTCTAAGTATAGCCAATTTGGGGCTAACACTGGTTTGTAGAACATAATATTTATGCAAATATGATTATTAGAACAAATTCATTATGTAATTCCATATTTGGGATTCTCCATTTATATTTTTCAAAGTTACATCAACGATCATGGCATCTCACATCTGTTTGTTTTGTTTTTTTAATTTTTTAATTCTTTTAAACATTTTCTATAGGTGCATATATTTATGGGATACAGGAGATGTTTTGATACAGGGATGATACGGACATCTCACATCTTATCTAGACCAAGATGTAAGATACAGACATCTCACATATTATCTAGATCAAGATGTAAGATACAGACATCTCACATCTTATCTAGACCAAACCTCATAGGCAAAGTAACACATTTTTCTATATTTTCTGTACAGGGTTCAAAGTTAGTATCACCACCATTGCATCCCTAATAGCTTAGATAACTGGCTGTAAAACAGTACCTCAAACCCATCTATCCCGGTCTGCATGGAGAAAACCAAGTTTTAAAGACCAAGGAAGGCGGTTACTCACTGTTAGAGCTAGCAGCTTCCCATAGGTGAGATGAGCAGGGATGTGGTCAGTCTTGGATCTCAGTGATTCCATATACCAATGCTCTGCTTCGGGGAGTTTGCTTAAACGCATATATGCTTCACCTGGAAAGAGAATTAATCATGAAGGTCAAAGGGAGGATACAGCTTTTCCACATTATTTGCAACAGCATCATCATCATCATCATCATACTGCGTGGAATTTCAGATGCTGTGGGAAGTACTTTCATTCATGTTCTCATCTGATTCCCAAAGAAGTCATCATGATTCCCATTTTACAGATGAAAAATCATGTGTTTGGAAAATGAAGTAAAATGGCTCAAGTAAAAAATTTAATAAGTAGTAAAGCTTTGATTTTTAACATAGAACATCTGATTCCCAGACATATGTCCTTTATCATCATTTCTTTTCCTTTTTGAGAGCTATGTTTGTTCTTTATTCTTTTGTTCTTTTTTATTCATATTCATTTATTCCTTTAGAAATTCAAGTATTTATAGAATAACCAAGTGGAAAGCCTTATAAAGGAACTATAAGAAAAAAGTGTGAGATCCTATCCACAAATGACTTACCTTTTTGAGAAAGAGTAATTGAAAGAGTTAAAAATATATTTAGATTAAACACTGCTGCTAATTTCTTTAAAGAAACTATTTGAATTTTATATGTTAACAAGTAAATTAAGGCCAGGATAGGGGGCTCATGCCTGTAATCCCAGCACTTAGGGAGGCCAAGGCAGGCGGATAGCTTGAGTCTAGGAATTAGAGACCAGCCTGGGCAACATGGTGAAACTCCATCTCTGAAAAAAAATTAGGTGGGTGTGGTGTCATGCAGGTGTAGACTCAGCTACTCAGGAGACTGAGGCAGGAGGATCACCTGAGCCGGGGAGATCAAGGCTACGGTGAGCCCTGATCGCACGACTGCACTCAAGCCTGGGTGAAAGAGTGACACCCTGTCTCAAACAAAAAAAATTATTTTAATTAAATAATTAAAATTATGATTAATAAAATTAACTAAATAAATTTTACCAGTTTCATTTGGAAAATCCAATAAACAGATGACAATTATTAAGCATGCCCAGCACTACATACAACATGAGTGTGAGGCATTTTGGCCACGAGTCATTACTCTAATAATATATATTTTAGCTACCAAACAGCATTTCACTAACAGCAGAGCAGGATAAAAAAGTTGGAAATAAAGCCAAAAGTATACCAGCTGCCTATGAATTATCATTCCCCTTTCCCTTATGTGATTATATGGTGAACAAAATATTCAACTGATGCAACAATTGTATTTAAGATAATTTATATATTTAAGTTAAATATTGTAGTTTTACTAAGCACTGCAAATGTAGAGACACTATTCAGTTTCTGAGACCAAGCAGTAAACTGGTGACTTGCATTATCTTCCAGACAGACCTTTATATATAAGCATAAGTAATCATAATCATGACAGCTTTTTCTTTTAGAGGCGTAATCAGAGGCTTTTTGTAAATGAATTGCCCACATTGGATGTATAGTTTTTGCTTCAAAGGAAGAACTCATTCCTTTTTGTTTTAATCATATTCAACTTGTATTACTATGGCATTGTAAATACGAATATGTTTGATGAAGTGAATTGGTTTGAGTCTCTTGATCTTTTGAATGCCCTTTGCTTTGCTGGATAGTGAAAAATATTGGTGACAAATAATACATAGTATGCATAAAAATACACATTTTTACCCACTCACACATATCTATGTGTTTCTAGTTCGATGAACACTCCTTAAACTATATTATCATAAAAATGATAGTTGAAAAATGTTTGATTTTTTTCCCTCAAAGTTTAAAACATATCTGCACTTAAGAAGTTGGTGAAATTAAATTATATGTCTAAGGAAAGACAAAAGAAATACTGAAGCAAAGATGAAAGACTGGAATAAAATACACAAAAATGCTTGTAGTTGTTAAAATGATAGATTAGAAATTGTTTTTTTAATTTCCATAAATTTCTATAATAATTTTGTTTTTATTTTCATATCTCTATAAAAACTAACATGCTGTCAGATGGATTTTTTCTTGCCACATTGAACTAACAAATGTTTCAAATAAAGGAAATAATAATTTGTACTAGGAAAAGTGAATCACTTCATATTAAAACACTATATATAATTTATATAACAGAAAAGATACACAAGCCCTAAAATACTGAACAATGTAAAGCAATTAATGAGAAAACATATCCACATATTTATCTCTTAAACGGATTATAAAGCCAGATGGAATATGGGCCTAAATTACAGGTCCCATACAAAATCAAACTGAAATTCACTTTGGATCTTCAAGTGCTTATAGGCCAGTTTAAAAAAGTTGTACAACCATTGTATTTAATATAGCTTCTACTTTTCATATAAAAATTTAATTGATTTTTAGAATAACACTAGGTCTTCTGTACAGAAAAAGAGTGTGAAGATAAGCCCAATTCCTGAGCACTTCTGAAATACAAATCTTCATTATTTTGTTAATATTTAAAATTTATTTCAGAAAGTATACTTGCTTTTTTTTCCAAGTCAGAAAGTTATCATTATTAAAATCTATTTTAAATACTATTAATTTGCTCAATAATTAATGACTGGTCCATTTTTTTCAGTAAGAACTTCTAAGCAACTTAATAATTTGTAAAGCTTTGAGATAAGAAAATATTAAAGGGCTATAAATGAGTAATGTAATATATCATGCATCTTGGCAAGTATATGAAAACTGATAAATAGACTACTCTGGTACCACTTATTACAACTTTGAAGAACTTCATGTAACCATTCATTGTGTCTTAATAATAACAATGATGACTATGATAATAATAATTGAGTGTTTACTATGGATTACAGTAACAAGTTACAGGTGACAAATGTCTGACTTATGTTCACCCACTCCTCTTACTCCACACATTTGGGCATGTAGAAATTTTTCTCAGCCTCCCTAAGTGGCCTTAACACATTGCCCCATTCAACCACTACCAATTGATCAAAGTAGGTTTGCAAGATGAAACAGTTTTTCAATTTCTATAATAGTTGCTTTATAAACGTATCTCATTGCTTACCAAGGAATGTCACTATTTGGATTTTAAAGATGGAAAAAATTGAGAAGCAGTGTGGCTAAATTATACACTCAAAAATCATGAATATGTAACATGGTAAAACTGCAATTTAAACTCAGGGCTACCTGACCTTAACTCATTGATTGCCTTCACTAGCTAATAGAAAATAGTCATAAACTTTCCAAATCCCCAGCTCAGGTGAGAATTATGCTCTCTGTTTCTCACTCATAGAAAATCATTTTCTAGCTTGTGATCCATCAGCCAGCCCATTCATTTCACTTTGCCTTGGGCTTATCTATTGAATTAAGAGAATAAGGAAGAGCAATGGTAATCTATGACTGACCTTTAAAACTGCTTTCTACGCATATGTAATTCAATTCTTAAGAGGGAAATATGTAACACTTTAGTTCTAAGTCTAGAATATGTACTTTAGTTCTAAGGCTAACTTAACACAAAAAGGGTGTATATAAATGGTAATAAAATCAAGATGCAAAACCTAAAATGCAAAAAAAAAAAAAGATTATGGATAAATTAAATATGTTAAAAAAAGGTAACTCAATAAAGATTTAAGCAACAAACACTATAAGAACAAGTACTTGCTACATTCCTGACACTGGCAAGGTTAAGAGCTTTACATTTCTCATTTCCAATCCTTGATAGAGGGTGGAATACCCATTTTATGAATGAAGACAAAGGCTCAGGAATGATTGGTGACTTGCACAAGGACAGTTAATAATCCTATCCAAAAATGATTAAATGGCTTCCCATCGCATCAAGCTGCCTGCCATATAAAATTTATTATTTACTGAGTACCTACTAACATCTTAAATATAATATTTTCTACCTTTACATTATCCCTACACTGTTATTATCAGTCTCATTTTACAAAATGAACTGACTATGCTTCAGAGAGCTTAACAAACTCACTCAAGATTTAAAAAAAAAAAAAAGCAAATGTCAAATTCAGGATTCAGATTAGAGTTTTCTCTGGCTCTTTCCACTATACCATTCTACACAAATACTATCAAAAGTCTTCAGAGAGGGAATAAAACATTTAATAACTGGAAAAAGTACCATCAGTGCATTTAGTTTTAGGACAGAGTGGTATATATGGGATTCTACAAGCTTGGTTAAAGTGCTGAAATCATAAAAATTCCATAAAGGAAATGGCCACAGGAAAAGAAAGTTCAATAAATTCAATAAGGAAGGAAACGAAGACACTTGGTCGGGAATAGGACAGGAGATAAAGGTTAAGTCATATTCTCTGGTACCGTAATTTTTCTTAACTTACAATAATAGAAAAAAACGTTTATGGTGCCCAGGAGGAAAGAAACAACGATGACTATTTTCCTTTCTCATTCTGTAAGAAATGACATAATAAAGGTACTTTCATAAGAATGAGAAGATTTGCTGTGCGATGATAGAATGATCAGGTTCATCACCCAGATTTATTTCCATTTCACTCACAGACAAAAGGAATTTGGATGTCTCCAGGCTGGCTTCAGGCAGACATAAACCAGTTTCAGATGTAGAACAAATAATGTCACTCTCTCTCCCTAAAAAGCCCCAGGTCTAAATAACCCAGGCAAAGGCTAACTCCTTAAGGAAAGAATGTTGGGTTGTTGATGATGTAATAGTCTACATCTCACTGACTCTTATGTTTCAAATTACTGGACAGCTCCTGCTTGCAGATAAAGAATAGAGCATTTAGTGGGAATTATTATTAAGACAGTATAGATTTCCTAATTTTTAAAGAAACCTATGTGACCACTGTTAAGAAAAGAAGACAAAAGTAATTATCCCTTCCTCAACTCCTACAGTAATTGTTAAATGCCTTCTTAAAAAACTCTTGAACATATATCTTGCACATCAATCCAGGTTAACCAACACGAACAATGCATATGATGGTATACATAAAGGTTAAGTAGATTATCATTTGTTCCTACTTACAATCTAGCGACAAAGAAATAATTTATCAGTGTTCCCCAAAGTTTGCTTGTAGGTGCAAATGAAACAAAAACAACAAAAACCTTTTGAAAAATGTGGGGTATGTATGAATTTGATTTAATCTGTGTTAAAAATGTAGTAACATAGACATCGTGCTTCAGAATGAAGAAAAATATTAAGTGAGTGACACCTCAGATAGTAAGTGGCTATGGGCAAAATTATGACACAGATAGAGTGATGCGTACGTGACTGACATGCGGACAACAAATTGCATATGCCAAGCTATAACTCAAAAAATTATACACGTTTTAGAACTTTCTTTATTAAAAAGCTGCCAGACAAGCTCATGGGGGGAAAAGCCTATTTTTCTAAAGGACTCACACAAATTATAATTTTTTTTTTCTAGTCTCTAAAGAACAGGGACACTTACAAAATGGTCCCAACTGATTTCTTGCAGGCTTCCAGCCCCTAATACACTGAAAGCATCTCATTGCCAGTACTGCTAATTTTAGGATGCTTTGCTGGAAAAGCAGGCATTTTTATCTTAATCTACCTAATTTCTAGTCTCTCCATGGAGTTTGAGAACTTAGCTGGTTGCTAAGGTATTCATTCCATTTTTAAGTAATGCTTATTTTCCTTCTAAGATATCAGGTTTATTTTTGGTGATTTTTATAATGAATTTATTTTATGTGCTGGTCATTTTTCTTTTAATGAGCACTTTTAGCAATTTTAAGGTTTGCTATGATAAGTTCCCTTTTATAGGTTACTTTTAATTTGTTCCTTAGGAACTAATTTGGCAACATAATTTTAAAATAAATTCACTTTAATTAATTGATTGATGAATTTGGTTTATCTACCTATTGAAATTATTCATAATTATGACCCAGCACCGAGTTACGAATTACATACCAAAATAACAAGACGGTTATAGAACATCAAGAAGATTTAACTCAAATAAGACTACCTCAAGACATGTCATAATCAAATTCCCAAAGGTCAAAGATAAAGCAGCAAGAGAAAATAAACAAATAACATACAATGGAGCTCTAATATGTGAGGCAGCAGACTTTTCAGTGGAGGCAGGGAGGGCATGACATATTCAAAGTGCTGAAGGAAAACAAACAAACAAATTTGTATCCTAGAATAGTGGATCCAGTGAAAATATCCTTCAAACATGAAGGAGAAATAGACTGTCCCAGACAAAAGCTGAGAGATTTAATCAATACCAGACTTGTCCTACAAGAAATGCTAAAGGGAGTCCTTCAATCTGAAAGAAAATGACCTTTATAAGCAATAAGAAATCATTTGAAAGTACAAAACTCACTGGTAGTAGTAAGTATGGAGAAAAACACAGAATATTATAAAATTGCAATTGTGGTACATAATTAGGTGGTACATAATTACTCATATCTTGAGTTGAAAGATTGAAAAATGAACCAATCAAAACAAATAACTACAACAACTATTCGAGACATGCACAGTATAAGAAATAAACAGAAAGAATTAAAAGTTAAAAAGCAGGAGGGTGAAATTTAAAGTGTAGAGTTATTCATTTTCTATTTTCTTGTTTATTAATCTTTTTCTCTCAGTGATAAGTTGTCATCAGTTTAAAATAATGGGTTATGAAATATTATTTGCAAGCTTCATTATAACCTTAAACTAAAATCATATAAAAGATGTACAAAAAATAAAAAGCAAGAAATTAAAACATACAACCAGAGAAAATCACCTTCACTAAAAGACAGGAAGGAAGTAAAGAAAGAAGACCACAAAATGACCAGCAAACAACAAAATGTCAAGAGTAAGTCATTATTTATAAATTATAATATTGAATATAAATGGACTAAATTCTCCAATAAAAACATTGAGTGGCTAAATAAAAAGAAAAAAAAGACCTAACAATCTGTTGCATACAAGAAACACACTTTACCTATAAAGACACACATAGACTGAAAATAAAGGGATGGAAAAAGATATTCCACACAAATGGAAAGCAAAAAAAAGCAGAAGTAGCTATACTTACACCAGACAAAACAGATTTCAAGACAGAAACTATAAAAAGAGACAAGGAGGGTCATTATATAACCACACATGTGTCAATTCAGCAAGAGGATATAACAATTGTAAATATATACGCACCCAACTCTGGAGAACCCAGATATATAAACCAAGTATTATTAGGGCTAGAGAGATAGACCCCAATACAATAATAGCTGAAGGCTTCAAACCTAATTTTCTGCATCGGGCAGATCATCCAAATAGAAAGTCAACAAAGAAAGACGACTTAATTGGCACTATAGAGCAAATGGATCTAATAGATATTTACAGAACATTTCTTGCAATGGCTGCAGAATACACATTTTTCACCGCAGCACATGGATCATTTTCAAGAATAGACCACATATTATGCCACAAAGCAGTCTTAGAAAAACTAAAAAAACCTTAAATTATATCAAGTATATTCTCTGATCACAATGGAATAAAACTAGAAATCAATAACGAGAGAAATTTTGAAAACTACACACACACACACGGAAATTAAACATATATACCAAAATAGTATTTTAGATGGATTGGTTTTGAATTCTTATTTTGCCATTAATAGCTGTATGTTTTAGAAAAATGAGTGATTTTAAAGGTCCTCAGTTTTATCATTTACAACATGAAGGGCTAAGAATAAATAACTCCATAATCTCCAAAATGGATAATCATTTGTAGGTTCACCAGTGCTCAGATATTTATATACATTCATTTCATAAAGAGGTAAAAATATCCTAGTTTAAAATATCCTGCCTCATTCTTAATTTTTAGTTGATCTATTCAAGATTGGCTGCATCTAGATCAAGTCTTGGTTATTCCATTTAATAGTTATAACTCTGTTTTCTAATTATAAACATTATACCTGTTCATTGAAGAAAGTCTGAAAGATCATAATTTTATAAGACTGAAAGAATTATATCACCCATAGATAGCCACTGGCAAATTTTTATGTTTTCTCCAAGAATTTGAATTACATATTGAAAAAAATCAATTATATAGTAAAATATTTTGCTAGTTTTAAGCATCTAGGTTCCTTCCAGTGTTTTGTTATTTTAAATAAAACTATGCCAATTTTCCCAAAATTCAGTTTTCTCATTCGAAATCAGTATTCAGTTTGTTGTCTATTCAAATTCCCCTCCCAACATTTTATGTAAGTACTGCACTTCTGCAATTATCATTGTATTTTTTAATTATCTTTTTAAAACACAACTCTTATTATAACCTCAAAATAAATGTATAGAAGGAGAATTCTTGGACTATCTTTTATACAAAATATTATTAAAGTATCTTTTATACACAAAACATTTTCTATATCATGGAGATATGTATCATTTTCTAATTATATAGTTTCATTATTAAAATGAACTATGTATTCCACATGAAATATACTTTGCTATGTGGTATGAGACAAGTATCTGATGTTATTCTTTCCCAAAGATTTACTCAATTGTCTAGATCAACTATTATACAAATTTCCTTCCCTGACCAATATTTAATTTTACATTTATTATCTACAACAACCTTAAATAATTTGTTATTATTTCCAGGGTCTCCACTTTGTCCTATTGGTCTGGTTTTCTTTTCTCATGGGTACAATATCACTCTAATCACTTCATCTAATATTTGAGTATCTAGTAGAACAAACAAGTCTTAAACTTTATTATTCATTAAGACTTTCTTGGCTATATTTCACTGTTTTAGAATCATTTTGTCAAGTTTTTGATAAAATTCTTTTCAGAATGTTTATTGCTATTAAATTAAAATCTATAAATAAATTTGAGAAAAAGAGAATTTTTACAAAATTGAGTTTCCCCATTCGAGAATAGTATTCAATTCTTGATTTATTCAAACTCCCTCTCCCACTTTTTATGTACTTACGGAACCTAGCTAGGTAAGCAATTATAATCTTTCTGCTACAAAACCAGACTATGAGATGCATGGAAGCAGACACACAATCTTTTATATATTTTTCTGTCTTCAACCTAAGTCCAGAAAGCTTTGGCTCCAGAGAGTACTCGATAAATAGCTGACAAATACCTGATCACATTATGTATCTACTTGAATTTAGATGTTACATTTTTTTACGAAGTATGCCCTTGAAGAGAAATTTCCAGATAATTCTTTTTTTCTAGAACCTGCAGTCCGATGATCATTTTTTACTTCACAGTGTTGAGAAGCATTAGAAACACTACTAGAAACATTAGCGAGTCTCCCTTTTAAAAATACATTTATGCTACAAACCTGGTGTAACTTTTAGCAGTCAAATTTTGTGAATCTTTTGTATCTCCATCCCAATATTTTTGTCATCTTATTCTTATAAAAATAACACCCTCTAGTTGCCCCAGATATATTGCTTCTGATTGGAAATCCTTTAGCGGCTACAGTACAGTAGTATTGAAAGTAAAATGTAATATTATCCAAGTCTTAATTTGAGAAAAGTTAGGAAAAGATTCAATATACAACTCTTCAAGTCCTATAGCATTAAACTTAAGGGGAAACTCTTGAAGTCTGAAAGTGTAGTTTTGAAGCAAACACAGGAAAGACATGGAAAAAAATATGTGTTTCATTAAGGAATAACATCAATTGTTAAGAAGTAGGTTCAACTTCAGTGAAACTTTTACAAGTTCCTAATTTCTAATATAAGGTCATATACCAGAAACATCTGATGTTCCATCAAACTTCAACTTGAAAAAAAGCCAGAAGCCTGTGTAAATATTTCTCTATTTACAACTAGGGATCCTGAAGTTCTCCGGGCTAATCAATTTCCTTTATATTTTCAAGGAAATAAATCACTAAAATAATCAATCCACAAATGTCAAAGCCAATTCTATTAAATGCTCAGAATTTTCAAAAAGTATAGAGTGAGATTGTGTGTGTGCATGTGCACGTGTGAGTGTGGTGTGTGTGCATATTCACGAGTATGTTGGGGACAGGTGAGGATCTTTTCCCCAAAAATATAATACTGTCTTCAGGAAAATTAAAATGGAGTCAATAAAATGGCTTAATAAAACTGAGATAATTAGTAAACACTAAAAACATGCAAAGAAGTGCTAAATAGCATTATTTTTTTTTTAAAAAAAAGTTTATACCAGAGAAAGGAAAAAAGAATGCATGAATACTGTACTAGCCTGGAAAGAACAAATGAAAATAGTATTCAGAGAAACAGGAGTTGTATAGCTGCAGGAAAACGATAAAAGAAAAAGCACTCTCCTATGAGTCAAAAGAGTGTAATGGAAGCCTTTTCAACTCCACACAGATCCTTTTAGGAATACATTTCATGTGTACTCCTGAGTCAAGCACTATATCTCCATAATAGGCAATGAATAATTTATTTATATTATAAATTGCTATATTAATGTTAATTACTAAGGCATAGCACACATTGAAAAATTCATCCAACTTTTAATGAATACTTGAGAATAAGATTCTATAATAATCCACAAAAATCCCGTTCCCATAATTAACATGTTGGCAAAAATAATGCAATCCGGAACAAAACTCTGCATGTTCTATTTTCATTCTTTGTTTAATTTGAATATGGCAACAGTTATTGCTTCTCAGCCTTTTGGCTAAGATCAAGTGAATATGGTGATGGCTTCTATCAGTGTAGATAAAATTAAAACTAAATGACAGCTCATTGGAAGAGTTAAATGAGATTTTTATGTAGAAAACAATTTTCCCTTACTTACTGGGAAAATCAGACTTGAGTACACAGCAAAATACATACAATTAGTAATGCACTGAATTTTCAACTTAATTTATATTTCATGCGTTAAGGCTCTGAACACAATACCCCAAAATATGGCACTTTGGCATGCTAAATGCTTTGAACTAAAAGATATTAGGCCGACAAAGCCTTCTAGTATCATGGAAACAAAGCCTTTCTGAACTCCTCCTGTTCTCCTGTCTCCCACCTCTCTGTCTTCCCTGAAACAAGTCATAGATAGATACTCTTCCCTAAGTGAATCACAGAAATTAGAACTCTTCTCTCCCACAGCAGGGCATAAAATCTAGAAAGGTCACTCTCTCTCTCTCCCGTCTCCCTTGAAGATCCTCTTTCCAAAGGGGTGCTGCACCATACCTTGAGGGAAGGAATGCTACAAAGAGAGGCCGAAAAGAATCTGAACAGACAGGTCTTGCTGGGGTTCGCCACTCAGTGGATTACACTAGATCGTACCCTTTTGTCCAATCACATTTCTACAAGGCTGTCCATGCTTCATCAAACCTATGCATGAAATAGATGATTTTCTCTAGGTCTTTCACCTTCATTTCCAAAGCCTCCTCTGTCAGGTAAAACTTTCATTAAATAAATTCATTATGCTTTTGTCAAGTTAACCTGTCTTGTTATAGGAGTCTTGGCCATGACCCTTATGATGACTGAGGATAGGTATCACATCTTTCTACCCCTACAGTTGCCTATTCTAAATATGTGTAAGAATATCTTCTCATTTCCTTGACACTGATTTTCAAGATTGTATCCTTCACACAAAATTATCTTCTTCCACATGACTATGTCTATTTCATCTAACTGATGTCATTGTCAGCATCATTTAGAATGTTAAGATTTTTAAATCCAATTAATGAATTTTCCAGGTGTAACATAAAATCACAATTTTCTAAATAAAATCCAACCTGTATTTGCTACTGAGTAAAAGTTTTACTCCACATGTATTGTCCCAATTAAAGATTACAATACATACTTTTTTTTCATTTATTTATATTAAAGTCTCAGAAAACAGTTGTGTGTGTCCACGGGCGTGGGTATGTAGAGATGGAGTCTCTCCATGTTGACCAGGCTGGTCTCGAACTCCTGGGCTCAAGCAATCCTCTCACCTCAGCCTCCCATGGTGCTGGGATTACAGGCATGAGCCACTGTGCCCAGCCTTAAAACAGATTTTTTTGAACAGAACACATTGAAACTATTTGGGAATCAGAGAATAAGGAAGATATAATTAGGTATTAATTTGAGTATATTTGTACCCTTATAATTCAATTTAAATATAAAGTTTTTAAGCTTTGATCTTTTTCTTTACCACAAATCTGGCAGGAGGATGAATTAATGTAACAGGTGGGCTCTTGTGGTTTTAATAGCAATGAAATATAATCAACTGTCTCATATCCTATTTCCAGGAAAGCAAGTGACATTTAGACCTACACATGATCCTTAGGCAATCCTACTATAGGCATTAAAGTGTTCAGACTCCCCGTAGGGGCTATATATCTTCTGGCCCTGGGTTTAATTGAAACTTTAAACAAAATATATTACCTACTTAATGCAGCTGAACTGGATGCTAGCCTTTGTAGTGTATAGACTAATGCCTAGCAAATTAGCGTCTGTAACCATAGTACATAATGTAGAGTTTATATACGGTGTAAAATGTAGAAAAATATATTTTAAAAACTGCACTTTTTTAAGAGAAACTTTTAGGAGAAAAAATTATAGTTTTTTGCTCATAAATTTCATATATTCATTATTTTTGATACATAGCCAAACATTCATGATTTCCTTATCTTATTGACTACATAATCTTCAAAGTATACTTCTAAAATTTCTCAAGTCTATATTTTGCCTTTCTGGACTGGCGAACTCTATATACCAGGCATTGGTCTCCTGGTTGTATCCTTTCTGATAATGGAAAAACGAAATGAAATAAAGAGACTTATCTTAAAAATTAGAGGTTCATATTCTTTTTGGATTTCATAGATTAATGACTAATCCAGTTATATGGTCATATTCATATTCGTAGGATTGCCTCATTGATTTTCAAGAGTGCCAATGGAAGCAATCATAGGAAAATCGCCAGAACTCAAAATAGGGGAAGCAGGTGGTATAAAAAGCTTAACGCTACTGGAGTGTTAATGCTTCCACACTTGAAAGATGTGAAAGTTCAAATCTCATACAGTTAAAAACCATCTCTTTCACAGTCAGCATGCTAAATGCCTTGAGCAATCCACTTAAGAACAACTAAACACAGGAGAAAACATTAAGCATATAAACCATCATGTCAAAAATTTACTCTGAATATCCCCACTTTAAATATATTCCGAAACAAGGTGAGGTAAACACACATGCACATACACACACAGAAGAATCCAACAAAAATAAATGATTCAGTTAAACACAAGCCACACAGAAGGCTGAGAAAGAAACAGACTTCCTTTATGCTCCTTCTGCTGACTGAACTCACAACATAATGTACAGACCTAAAGTAGAATTTGAATTTACGAGCGAGAACATTTGCATTGTTTTCAGAAGGTGATTTGTCAGTTCTTCTCACCTAAATAATAGTTTAAAAAACTAAACATCACTTGTAGCTATTTATGACACTTAACTCTTCCATACCACAAGTTTCTTTCTCAAAAATACAATTCTAAAATTCACACAAGCTTTTTATACAAAAAATTGCTCTAATAAATTCATTTTTGTTTCCTATTCATTGTTTTTCTCCCTCGTTCTCTGTGAACAGCCCAATAAACTTGGGAAAATATCTCATAATTAAAGAGCTACTGTAAAGAATTACAAATTAAATCAAAATGTTCCTCTTTATTGAAGATATGGGAAAAAACATTTTTTCAATTTCAAATCTGTGTAAGTAAAAGGTTTATTAGATGAAGGATGATGGAGGAAAATACATTTTCCAATATTGAGCTGGGACTGAAAACTAAAAGGGATATATAAAACAAGAGATTATCATAAGAGAATCAGAACAGTATGATGAAAATAAAGGCAAATAAGATAATAAAAAGCAATGGGCCATTATCACACATTTCTCCTGGAAAAAAGAATCTCTCCCTAAGATAAATGCATATTGCTCATCATAAACACACTTTTCAGAGAACAGGAAATTATGAATATGTATTTCTTAAGTATCACATAAGAAATTAAAAAGGTTGAGTTTCTCTTGTTTGTTTTCTTTGGTCTAGTCAGCATAGCATAGCCTATATAGCTACAGACAAAATATTTTCAAGGTTAGAGTAATAGTATTCCATTTTATTTATAGGCATTTAATTATTACAGAGAGGCCCTAAAGAGCTCTGGACCAACTGTGAAATCTCCCAGAAAGTTCTTTGAGAGAAGGAACTAGATTAACTATTTACATTTCATATGTCTGCTGCCTCTGTGCTGTCCCAGCACTTATGACTTAATTTTTTTTTTTTTTGCATACAGAGGTTATTCTAAACAGTTATTATAGACTGAAATGACAAGACAGTTACCCTAGGCTCTCTCTTACTCCGTATAATACATTATGCCCTTTTGTTCTCGAGATATATTACCATGATGAAATGATGTAAATTGCTTGTATAATTAAACCCAACAATTACTCTGCATTGAGAAAGCCAAGTCATTTTATTTTAAATAGTAAATAGGCGTAAAACGACCTCTGGGATTGGAAGAGCTCAAACAGATAAAAATAATTGGACACTGCAGCCTAATTTAGTTTCCTATAATCCCTTAGGATTATTCAAAAGCAATGCTTAAGTAGAGATAATAGGAGTAAGAAACAATTATAAAAAAAGAAAAGAGAAACTCAGAGTGTTCAGAAATCATCCTGCATTAAAAAAATTTTAAGTATCCAGTATATTCAATGTACTTTGCAGCTGTTTCATTCTTTATAGTAAAACTGTAGAGGTTTTTATATATTTAATTTTTGCTAATTTTTAAGTGCAAAGGAAAACTATTTTGACATAGTAAAAAATATGATAGTTTAGGTAACACAGAAGGACTAAGCAGAAAAAGCATTTGGATTCAAGTCAAGAAACTATACTCCTGGTTCTAATACAAACTGTAAATCTGAACTTTGTAAGATTTGGGGGAGTGCTAATTTTTATCTTATTAAAGAGATTATTTTATAAGGGTTTTTAAGATATGAGTCTTCCATCTTTAACATTCTATGATTCTAAAATACATCTGTAACTTCAGAAGAAGAGAAACTGAGATCCAATAAATGCCTCTGAGCAATAGAATACAGAATAATTTTGGTTAGGTCTAGATGAAAAATAAATCATGACAGAAAAAGAAAAAAACTCTAACCTACATAGGACAATCTTAATTTGGAGGAAGCACTCTATTAATGAAACCAAGTTAGGTTAATATAGCTAATGGTAAGAGAAGGATTTTGACTGCAGTTACTGAGAGAAAAAGGGAAGTGAGCCTGGAGAGAAAATACAGTAATTCCAAATAGGATAGAACTAAACAGAATCTCCACTGAACTGTGGTGACTACCAAGGCCATAATGATGACAAAAATCTTGTCTATGAAGTAGTCATATCCACATTGCTAAATACAAAAACAGTGACAGAGAATACAATCAACTTTTGGAGTTTAAAAGCCTAAGGAGGCCGGGCGCGGTGGCTCACGCCTGTAATGCCAGCACTTTGGGAGGCCGAGGCGGGTGGATCATGAGGTCAGGAGATCGAGACCATCCTGGCTAACAAGGTGAAACCCCGTCTCTACTAAAAATACAAAAAAAATTAGCCGGGCGCGGTGGCGGGCGCCTGTAGTCCCAGCTACTCGGGAGGCTGAGGCAGGAGAATGGCGTGAACCCGGGAAGCGGAGCTTGCAGTGAGGCGAGATTGCGCCACTGCAGTCCGCAGTCCCGCCTGGGCGACAGAGCGAGACTCCGTCTCAAAAAGCCTAAGGAAATGATGATAATTACAATGGAAAGTCCCGTTATAAAACACTTACTAGGTTAAGTAGTTGGACCAATATGTTTTACCTTTTTTATCACTTTAATCAATCCTCACACTGATACTACTATTACCAAAATCTTATAAAAGGGAAACTGAGGCTTCTTTTAAGTAATTTGCCCAAGGATGCTCAGGGAGAAAGTATCAAAGCCATAATTTGAACCGAGGGTATCTGACTTCAGGGACTACCTTATGGTGAATCTCAATTTAATCTAACCTGTTTTCTCAAGTGGAAATGAGGTCCACAGAATTAAGTCACACAACTGGCTAGGAGCAATTTAACACATATTTTGTGATTTGTTCTCTTAATATTTCATGTATTCTCATATCTTCCTAATTATATGCACCTAAGTAAAATTTTAGCTTTTGTTTATAAAATACTATTTATTATCTGTTTATGTTTTTTATGTATGTTTGTAATTCACCTAATTCAGGATGGGAAGGTGTCCTCAATTATTGTTACTCAAACATCTTGGTCCTATGAAATTGAAGAGGATAAATGAGAATAGGCTTTTAAACATTTAAAAAAACTACTTATAAGCTGCCATAATAAAATAAATGAATAGTTTTAAAATATGGAAAATTTAAGTTGGGGAATTAATCAAACTTGTTATTTTCTATTAATACAGAAACAGGAAAAACACATTCACTTGGCATTCAGGATAAGTCGATTGGCATGTGGCATAAGGTATATAGCATGTTTTTCATAAAATGTTCAAGGGGAGATTAAAATCAAAGGACTAGAGTGTTTTTTAACAAAAGCAACTGCAGTGAATTTAGTACTACACTAATAATCACATTAAAATATAATTGTATTTTTTCACGCACACTCCTTTATTTCTCCTAACCTCTAAACAAAAGAAAAAAATAGAATGGGAAAAAATATAATGCTTGTATATCTATACACAAGTGCTTGGGGGTAGTGGTTGTGAAGGGGTAAATGACACATGAGAAAAATGAACACTTACAGGCTAAATCTAGCCAGACATTATAATCCTTCACTGATCCCTAAAGGGCACTAATAATATGTAAATGTGTGAATTAGAAAACACATTCAAGGCTGTTGATAAACTTGATAGGATAATCAGCACACGCTGACAGACTAATGAAACTGATGAACTGATAGGGCAGCTTATCTCCTGGGTCATTTTTTTTCTTGTCAAATGGAGGCTAATCAAAATGTATTAGGAGCTAGAGCCAACACTTGGGGTATTTAACCCATTTTGATTAGGAGGTGAATTCACTCTCTGAGAAAATTATAGTTTCCCGAATAACTGAAACTATAAAACTTGATTGGCTAGCAGACCTTCACATAAAATTAAATAGAAGGCAGCCACCATAATCGTAGAAAAAATCTGGAATGTTAAATATTAAGACCCTCCCTTTAAAAATTGTTAGGGTGCTTTTCAGAGTCTGGACAAAGCAACCATCTCCTTCTCTAATGGAAAATGAGACAAAAGATTAAGCAATAACCCCCAGGGACACACTTATCTTTTGCTGCCTGTGTGAGCTGAGCATCTGTGTAACCATATGAGAGACAGATCCCAAGGTACTGGCTGAATTTTCAAATTTATTCACATAAAATAATTGAATGAATTTCTGAAATAGCTAACTCTAGTGAACATCATCACCACTTTCCATTAACAACAACAACAAAATACTACATGCAGTCTGTTGCCAAGAATCTTAGACACCTATCCTAATTTGAAGAAAAATGTCTTATTTGATAAGTGAGGAAAACTGGGAATAAGGCCTTGGAAGCACTAGAATTAAGAATAAAATAATAAGTTAAACCAAAGCTAGAGAAAGCAACTCTTTCAGCATTTATTTTGACACAAAAACATCTACCATTAAAATAAAAAAGTTAATTCAACTCATAAATCTACATATCCTAAGCGCATGCTTTATGGACATGTATATTTTATTCATATAGACAGATTGATGGTGAAATGCTGAATAATAAAAGGCATTGTTTTAATTTATAAAAATTTAATGGCAAGAATATATTTAATGAAGCTAAATTTTACCTTTTAGTAATTATACCAAAGAGGAAAAAAGTGACAATTAAAAAACACTCCAGTGTGCTGTTTAATATGATATTCAATCACTCCACAGGCAAATTGAGGGTGAGATTCCCAGAGACATGGAATAAATATTTTAACCTCTTCCAAATAATTTTATTTTTCTGTTTACTGTCTAGTACTCCAGCCTATCTCTAAACTATTTCTAAATGTTCTGTCCTTTGTAAAAAAGAGAACGTGAGTGTTCTTACCAGGTGTGTATTTTGTAGTTTGGGAGAGGTTTGGGATTTTTTTCTGTGCTCAAGACATATAGCTACTATTAAATTCCTCAAATATAGAATGTAGAAGTGTACAATAATCCTGGAGATTATATAGTCTAATCTCATTTATTTTATATGCATGAGAGAGGACTAGAAATATTAAACAACTTAAGCAGGTTTAATGAAAAGGGAAAATTTGACTTTACAATTTATGCTTTGGAAAAAAAGAAATATTTGATTTGAGGACAAAATGCTTCTCTTCTCTTTATTATCTCCAAGCAGCAATATTAATTAGTCATTAGGCCACCTTACTTTAGGGATTTTTTTCCAAGTGTCATATGCTGAATATGTGGTTTGCAGGGGTAACCATCATCAAACAGCTGTAGTAACAATTTACTACAAGGCAGACAAGGATCAATCACAGATGATAGATATTTTATTATAATTTCTCATTCTTGACCTCTTATAATCAGAAAAATCCATGGCCTAGACTTACATACTTTCTGATTAATAAGAATTAGGCAATTTTTCAACATAAAACATAGAATAATTGTTGTAGCATATCTATTGTCTGCATAATCTTGTTTTTATTATTAATATTACTCTGAATTTAAAATTAAATTTTAATAAAAATTATGAATTTGATACACTTACTAAAATTAATGTATACTTTATTACTATTATTGAAAAATTACATATATATAGCTTATTTATTTCTACAGTCTCTAGAGTCTAGCTAATATTCCATACCCAGATGTTTTTGAGAGTCCCTTGCAATAATTCTGGGATATGACCAAGGTGTTGGGAATCGCTGCTTTAATGCATTTATTTGTCATGTCAGAATAAATATGCTCTGTCAGAATTTGAGTATGATGCCAGATTGTGAACGTTTCTTTTGTGAGGATTAATATGATTTATTAGAATTCCATTAAACACGAACATGGGTTCCTGTTTCTCCACAGGTCCCTGAAATATCAATTTAAAAGTGTTAATGTTTTACTTACCCATCATGTTGTACAAGCTCTGTGGGGCAAACTGCCTTGGCATTTTCTGAATTGCTTCCTTGTATACACTAAGGGCTTCCTAATTTATAAAACAAAAAAAATAGATAAATCATCAATAAAGTGCAGGGATCGTCACTGAAAATAAGATAATAACTTTCTTCCAAAGTTAAAACCATCCACTGCTATTTCTAAATGGTTCACTAGAGGAAAATAATTGAACTGTCCTTTTGTGGCATACTATCTCAATTCCACCAATGAAAACACTCAGCCCAGTCAGTGAAGAATGCCATAGCTTAACGAGGCATCGAATGTTGGCAATGCTCTTTTAATACAAATTTTCTAGTTCATGCAGATTACTCAACTAAAAAACCAAAAAAACTATATATATATACATATTTGAAAGTTACCCATTAGTCATCTAAAGTGCATAATTACTTTAAGTCAGGAAACCTGGTAGGATCTAATATAATGTCAGCTAACAAATCTTCCAGCTCTTGAAACCCACAGAAATTACTAAATGCAATTATTTTAAAAGTTGTATCTCCATCCTTATAGTATAGTTTTAATACATTGCATAAGAGTACGTGAGTGGGAGGGCAGGGGAAAGCAGTTTGAAGGGGAGAGAGGGGCAATAAGGAACTCATGCAGGCATGGCTTCCTGTCAGAGGAAGGGAGGACTAGTCTGGGTCACCTCCTAACTTACTGTGCAACATCCTGTTACACCACTGTTTCTTTTCCCTCAGTTAAGAAATAATAAAATTACATTTTATTTCATAATAGTTTTTTAAAGAATTAAGAGAAATGGGTGGCATTTATATCAAATCACTTCCTTAAAGTACAAAGAATATATTTTTTAAAATATCAAACACTGGGCATAGGGTAACAATTCTAGAAACTGTGTCTTGGGTCATCAAACCAAAGAAATGGTGAGCAAAGAAGCTCGAGAAACATTACATGTTATTTCCCCATTCTTGAATAGTCACAATACATATTGACATACCATAATTGCTCTGAGAAACTCACAGGAAAGAAATCTATTAAATTTTTATTTAGCAGAAGCTTTTTCTAAACAAATTTGATCAAAAAACCATTCCAATGTCATCATGTATTAGTTTCTCAAAGGACAATAGTTTAACGTGTATACATATTAGTTGTTCAAAGGACATAGGCTCAAAGGAGGCTGTAGGTTACAAACCACTGAGACTGGATCAGAACAAGGGGGAGGGAAAAGGACAGAGAGGCATTGGCCAGACCTCATAGTGTCCCTGCTCATGATACAGCTTTCCTAGGTTGTACAAACAACTGGTAACAGAGCTCTTGTGTGCATGAGGGTCCTTTAGGTTTTCATCTGGGATCTCCGAACACTTTAAGAATGTCCGTCGGGCTTCTTCCGTCCTTCCTTGGTTCATTAGAATAATACCGGTATTTAAATATGCAGCTGAGGGGGAAAAGTGGAAACAAAAGTGTGAGAAGATGATATACACTTGAATAAAATAAAGTTTTCTTTGTTTCAATTTGGTTTCTATGGTTTAGTGCTCATTAAAAAAGAAAAAAATACTTATGACACAAATACTCATGGGATCAATAATGGTAGTGAAACTGCAAATATCACTGCAGAACATATGAAATAGTGTCTGCCAGCAAGAAATTCCAAATATTTTAAGCTTAAAATATAGTTGAGTAAAAGTTATAGCTATCATAATTTTTTAATGATCAATGGACATTAAAGTATGATGCAATTGAGATATAATTGTTAGAGGTTCATAATCTGATTAGCGAGTATTCAGAAATAAGAGCACCAAGTGTTTTCTCAGTGAGGCTGTAAATTAGAGTTAATTTTCAAATATGGAAAGAGGTATAAAAAAATAAACACTTGAGTATTACTTACAAGCCAGGGTAGGCCTGCTCCCAATGGCCAATTTATAATAATGTAGTGCTTCTGCAAACCTGCTGTTCTCCTGGAGAAGTAGCCCTCTGCATGAGGAAAACAGAAATTTAGAGAAAGGACTGTATTATTATATATAAAACCACAAATTTTTATTTTATATTCCAAAAATAAAAATGGTTAACAGCACAGTAAAAATGCTAACCTGGTAATATAAAAATAAATTCTAAATATAAGGAAATGATTCCTCAGGAGGGAAAATACTGGATAGGTATCCGTTGCATTTGTGCTGCATTAGAAAGTATTAGGAGGTATTTTCTAAAAGCCTTTTACCACCACTGAACTTTCCCCTTTTCTAGCTGTCTTTTCTCTCCCACTAGAATTACTAACCACCTGGTTTTCTTCTTGGAGCATGCACATTTTCCCATCACTTCGGAAATGAAGCTTGCCTAAGGCAGTGAGATATGTATATGTGGAAACATGAGATGCCTCTCTCACTAGCTGTGTTGCTTGGGAAATATTGGTGCTTGGCTGCCTGAAAGGCAAAAGGTAGTCTGGCTCAATAGCAAAAAGAGAGTCACAGTTTAATCAGACGCCAAAAAAGAACAACAACAAAAAAGACTGAAGGCTATCAACATCACCCTTTTCTTGATATTTGGATTTAGTTGAATAAGACTGGATTTCGGAACACTATGCAAATTTCAGTTCACTGTTCTGAAAAACATCTTTCTCTGCAGACCCCAAGATTCCATAGGCTTTCTTAGAAGGCTCTAAGGTAGTAACTGCATGTAATATCTCAGCCATGCCAGAACCCACCCTCATGACCGAATGAAATCAATTACAGGCATGTCTATGAAAACAAGGTGTTGGAGAATTGAACTAAGTTCAAAAAGCTCGCACAGAGGGCTTTTTGGCCTATCCCCATTCTCTTGTAATCAGTTAAGTATCTTACAGACATTCCGCACATCTATTGAGCCTGAATACTGCTGTTATCATCTCAAATTGCAGATTCAACTTGGCAGCTGCTGAGGTCTGTGAAAGGCTGGTAAAAGGGAGGTCAGAGAAAAGAGAAGACTACTAATAAAAACTTATTCTGTTAAGCATTTTAAAATACATTATTTAATGAGCATCTTGGTAAAATATTTAAAATTAAAGAATGCTCACTTGTGTCAAAAGCATATATTAAAAACTTCATTATTTCTCATAGTTGCTACAAAGTCATCTGAATAAAGAATTCCCAAACACAATAAGATCACTTTCACATATATATATATATATATATATATATATATATATATATATATATATATATATATATATGAAAATCTGGACAACAGTTAATCTGATCATGAAATTAATATGCTGTGCTGTGAAGTGTTCTTGTCTGCTGCTAGGAACAAGAGAGAATAAAGCTTCCTGCAGTAGTTAAGCATTTGTGGAAATGGTCAGTTTTATTCAAACATGGGTAAAATTGATAAAGAGGATGAAAAAATTTTTAAAAAGGAATAATACTCTTTATGACAATAATTTTATTGACATAATGCTTTCCCATTAATTAAACTCATACATATTAGCTAACTTCTGAAACTTTTCTACAACCTTAAATGTCTTCATGGCTTTGCTTTAAAATTCAGATAAAGAAAAAAAAAATTCAGATAAAGAGGTGCATCTCCCTTGATAGAAGGGTAAGTGCACCAGGGGAGAAATACCATCTAGATATTTAATTCTATTTTTTCTAGCTTCTTTAGAAATTAAAATCCTTCAATCAACCCCTCTTTGTCCAATATCTTCAGCTGCTTTTATCATACGGTTTTCTTTTCTTAAGAACACAAAAATGTTCGTGTACCTCTTAGACATAGGAGAAGAAAACACCCGTATAACCTGTATTCATTCTTGTATCCACCTCTAACTATTGCTTATGATCGTTCTTCCCTTCAAAGCCAGATTTTCTTTAAGAATGGTCTGTGGTGTATATGACCAATGCCCCAATCCCATTTACCCCTAAATCCTGTTTAGATTCTCTTCCCAGAATTCCCCTGAAATGTCCTATTAAATTTCTACCAATCATCAAACCCTCAAAATAGTGCACCTATGTGAAACTCCACTCAACTACTACACTTCAGACTACTGAATTCACCTTCCTTCCTGAAACTCTGTATTTCCTGGGCTCCTGGGAGACCAGTCTCTTCTTGAGACCCTCCTACACAGAATGAAAAAGAAAATGTCTCTTTATTCATGAACTCCTTTAAAAGGAGTTGGTGTTTTACAGGATTTTGTACTTGTCTCTAGGAATAAATACAGTCTCTGTGGATAACTACAGTCTCTGCATGACATAATGCATAAATGTGGCTCATGTACATGCTGACTGCTCACAATTTTGAAAAAATGATCTCCCTCCTGACATCCAGATCTGCTTTCAAAAGCTGATTGAGCCACATCAAGGTAGAGGCTCACTGAAATTTCAAAATCAATACATCCAAAATATGAAATCAGTATCTCCCACCTAAAAATAAATAAATGAAATAAATAAAATAGGGAAAAAATCTTTGTAATTAACACAGTCATTCACTCCAGTTGCTAAAATGAGAAACCTGATTATCACTCTTAGGTCTTCACTTATCTTCACAATTCCATGTTTTGTCTACTAAGCCCACCTATTCTTATTTTCTAAGGCTCTTTACTCTGCCCATCAAGGTTTATCTTTATGCTTCTGTCAGAGCCCTTTTTATCTTTTCTGTCACCTGAATGATGGCAATAGCCCACTAATTAGTCTCCACATAATTACATTCCTAAAGGGCAAACATGCTATTAGGCTAGATGGAATGAACATGAAGGGAATGAGCACATATCTCTGACAATGTACCTAAAGCCCAAAATCATTGAAAACTGATGTACTTAGCCTCCTGGGATTCCAATGCTGATAGACTATATTCCTGTCATTATCCAATTCATAAAATATACAAAGAAGAAAAAAATGATAAATAGTATAATAACCACACTAGGACAACCCTGTTCTGCCTGCCTTATTCTTGTGGGGAGGGGCCGGATCCTAGTCACTCAGAGGAATTCAGCAAGTCATTTCCAGGAATATATATATACTGTGAGTCTTTGAATTAGAATATCATCGTCCTCTACATAATCTGAATAAAGTTAGCAATAGAGTGAGTCTAAGATAGATGACTATTGTGACTGATTTCTTATGGGCTAAGTAAGGATTTAATTGAGCATTAACTATGCCCAAGAATGGATGCTGCAAATGTGAACAAGACAGAGTTGCACTTGCCTATGGATGCAAAATCTACTGAGGGAGACAAATAAGAAAACAAATGGTGTAGAAAATTACTGTACTGGAGGACAGAGGACCAACATTACCCAGCCCAGGAATGGATAAGGAAAGGTCTGGAGTCCAAATAGGACTGGAGACTGCCAGTAGGCAGACGCTGAAAGCACCCCACAGTAAAAAGAGTTATCAGCTCCACATTACAAAGGGAAAAAGAGAGGCTCAGAGAATTAACCAACTCCCTCTAGTTATTATGATTAATAAGAGGCAAAGCCAGAATTAGAACAGTTTCCGATACTAAATCTCATGCTCTTTCTAGAAGGAAAAGAGAAAAGAGATGAAATACTTCAATTCCAGGTACATGTGTACTCGGTTATGTTTCTTTTTGCTGTAAAACTTGCCGAATTTTATATAATGTTAATTTGTGTTGATACACTGAAAAGGAGTCAAGTGCCATTTTGGAAGTTCTGGATAAATTTGGGCCAATTCTAGCACTGTTATGACTAGGGTTCTGTTAGTGTTATTTTCTAGATTGAGAAAACCCTTTTTTATTTTACTGATAACATGATAAACAGAAATCCTTCATGTTACAATAGTTACAATAATAATAATAATAATAATAATAATAATAATAATAATAGTGGCAGAGAAACTTATTCAGCACTTAGAATATATGGAGCATTTTACATATATTACTTTATTATTCAACAATAATCTTAAGAGGTAGGATATTATTACTTTCTTCATTTTGCACATAACGAACCTTGGGCAAGAAAAGTTAAGTAACATACCTAAGGTCAAACAACAGGTAAGAAGGTGCCAAAATTCAAACCTAATAGTCTGGATATACATGAGGACCTGTAATTTAATAAATCATTCATACTAAAGGCTTTTTATGACTTTTCATGACTGTTTAAAAATGACATAGTTTGTTTACATGCAGATCATGTCCAAATCTTCTGGTTTCTATATGAAAAACAGGAACACATTATACATTTTTTTTAAATTAAAAAAACCTGATACCTATATATTTGTTAAAATTTTTTTTAGATTCAAGGGGTTCATGTACAGGTTTCTTACATGTATATATTGCATGATGCTGTGGTTTCCGGTACAACTGATCCCATCACCCAGGTACTGAGCATAGTACCACTTAGTTAATTTTTCAACCATTGCTCCCCTTCCTCCTTTCCTCCCTCCCTCTCTGCTTTAGTAATCCCCAGTGTCTTTTATTGCCATCTTATGGCCATGAATATCCAATATTTAGTTGCCACTTCCAAGTGAAAACATGCAGTATTTGGTTTTCTGTTCCTGCATTAATCTCCTTAGGATAATGGCCTCCAGCTGCAGCCATGTTACAGCAAAATACATAATTATATACTTTTTATGGCTGTGTAGTATTCCCTGGTGATTTACCCCCTTTTCTTTACCCAGTCCATCATTAACAGAACCTAGATTGATTCCACAGCTTTGTTATTTTGACTAGTGCTGCAATGAACATGTGAGTGCATGTGTC
Source organism: Homo sapiens (assembly GCF_000001405.40). Taxonomy (NCBI): domain Eukaryota; kingdom Metazoa; phylum Chordata; class Mammalia; order Primates; family Hominidae; genus Homo; species Homo sapiens. The sequence goes on along the minus strand of NC_000012.12, from coordinate 82,960,316 downwards.
TTTTTGATTGAATGAGTTATTTTCCTCTGGGTACATACCCAGTAACAGGACTGCTGGGTCAAATGGTAGTTCTGTTTTAAGTTCTTCGAGAAATCTCCACACTGTTTTTATAAGTATTCCCTTTTCTTCATTGTCTCACCAGCACCTATTGTTTTTTTGACTTTTTAAATAATAGCATTCTGACTGGTGTGAGATGGTATCTCACTGTGGTTTTGATTTGCATTTCTCTGATGATGAGTGATGTCGAGCATTTTTTATGTTTGTTGGCAGCTTTCATGTCTTCTTTTGAAGTGTCTGCTCATATCTTTCTTTTTTTTGTTTTTAATGGTGTTGTCTTTTGCTTGTACAATTATTGACATTCCTCATAGATTCTGGATATTAGACCTCTGTTGGATGCATAGTGTGCAAACATCTCTCATTTTGTAGGCTGTCTGTTTACTCTGTTGATAGTTTCTTTTGCTATGCTGAAGCTCTTTACTGTAATTAGGTGCTGCTTGTTAATTTTTGTTTTTGTTGCAATGTCTTCTGAGGACTTGGTCAGAAATTCTTTCCCAAGGCTTATGGTCAGAATGGTGTCTCTTAGGTTTCCTTCTAGGATTCTTAACACTTTGAGGACTTACACTTAAATCTTTAATCCATCTTGAGTTAATTTTTTATATATGGTGAAAAGGAGGGATCCAATTTGATTTCATGCATATGGCTAGCCAGCTATCCCAGCATTATTTACTGAACAGCAAATCCTTTTCTCATTGCTTACTTTGGTCAAATTTGTCGAAGGTCAGATAGCTGTAGATGTGAGACTTTATTTCTGGATTCCAGGTTCTGTTCCACTGGTCTATGTGTCTGATTTTGTATCAGTACCATGCTGTTTTGGTTATGGCAGCCTTATAGTAGAGTTTCAGGTTGAATAATGCAATGCCTCTGGGTTTGTTCTTTTTGCTTAGAATTACTTTGGCTATTCAGGCTCTTTTCTGGTTCCATATATTAGAATAGTGTTTTTCTAATTCTGTGAAAACTGACATTGGTAGTTTGATAGAAATAGCACTGAATCTGTAAATTGCTTTGGGCAGTATGACCATTTTAATGATATTGATTCTTCCAACTCATAAGCATGGAATGTTTTTCCATAGTTTGTGTCATCTGTGATTTCCTTCAGCAGTGTTTGGTAGTTTTACTTGTAGAGAACTTTCACCTCCTTGGTTAGAAATATTCCTATATTTTTGTGTGTGTATATGGCTATTGTAAATGGGATTGCATTCTTTATTTCCCTCTCAGCTTGAATATTATTCATGTACAGAAATGCTACTGACTGTTTTACATCAATTTTTGTATCATGAAACTTTATTGAAGTCATTTATCAGTTCCAGTAGCCTTTTGGCAGAGTCTTTAGGGTTTTCTGAGTATAGATTAATGCTATCAGTAAAGAGTTAGTTTGACTGCTTTTCCTATTTGGAGGCCTTTTATTTCTTTCTCTTGCCTAACTGGTCTGGCTAGGAGTTCCAGTACTATGTTGAATAGGAGTGGTGAGAGTCGGCATCTTTTCTTATTCCAGTTCTCAAAGAGAATGCTTCCAGTTTTTGTCCACTTAGTATGATGTTGGCTGTGGGTGTGTCAAAGATGGCTCTTAATATGTTGAGGTTTGTTCCCTCAATGTCTAGTTTCTTGAGGGTTTTATTATAAAGGGCTGATAAATTTTATTGGAAGTTTTTTCTGCATATACTGAGATAATCATATAATTCTTGTTTTTAATTTTACTTATGTGGCGAATCACATTTTTTTGATTTGCACATGTTGAACCAACCTTGCATCCCAGGAATGAAGCCTACTTGATCATGGCGACTTACCTTTTTAATGTACTGCACAATTCAGTTTACTAGTATTTTACTGAAGATTTTTGTGTCTATGTTCATTAGGGATATTGGTCAGTAGTTTTTTTGTTTTTTTTGTTTTTTTTTTTTTTTTGAGACAGACTCTTGCTCTGTCACCTAGGCTGGAGTATAGTGGTGTGATCATAACTCACAGAAGCCTTGATTTTCCAGGCTCAAGCGATTCTCCTGCCTCAGTAGCTGGGGCTACAGGTGTGCGCTACCACACCTGGGTAAACTTTTTGATTTTTAGTAGAGATGAGGTCTAGCTGTATTGTTCAGGCTTGTCTTGAACAACTGAGGGCAAGTGATCCTCTCACCTTGGCTTGCCAATGTATTGAGATTACAGGCATGAGCCGTTGTGCCCAGCCTGGTTTTCTTCCTTGTGTCTTTGCCAGGTTTTGGTATCAGGGTGATGCTGGCTTCATAGAATGAGTCAGGGAGGGGTCCGACCTCCTTGATTTTTTGGGATAGTTTTAGCAGAATTAGTACCAGTTCTTTGTACATCTGGTAGAATTCAGCTGTGACTCTATCTGGTCCAGATCTATTTGGTAGGTAAGTTTTTGTTTTTTGTGTTTTTCTTTTTTTTAATTACTGACTCAGTTTCCAAAGTCAGTATTAGTCTGTTCAGGTTTTTATTTCTTCCAGGTTCAATCTTGTGAAACTGTGTGTTTCCAGGAATTTATCCATTTCCTCTGGATTTTCTAGTTTGCGTGCATAGAAGTGTTCATAATAGTCTCTGAGGATCTTTTATATTTCTTTGTACTTATTTGTATTCTGCACCAACCTAATATCGTCCCTCTTTTTTTCTTTGTTAATCTTGATAGTGGTCTATAGATCTTCTTTATCCTTTAAAAAAACCAACTTTTGGGTTCATTGATTCTTTTAGATTTTGGGGTCTCAAATTCATTCAGTTCTGTTTTGACTTTTGTTATTTCCTTTCTTCTTCTGCCTTTGCAGTTAGCTTGCTCATGTTTTTCTAGTTTAGGTTTGATGTTAGATCATTAATTTAAAATCTTCCTAGCCTTTTGAGGTAGGCATTTGGGACTATGAACTTTCTCTTAACACGGCTTTTGCTGTATCCCAGAGACTTTAGTATGTTGCATCTTTGTTTTCATTTACTTAAAAAAATTTTGATTTCTGTTTTAATTTCGTTGTTTACCCAAAAGTCATTCAGGAGCAAGTTGCTCAATTTCCATGTAATACTGTGGTTTTGAGAGATCTCCTAGGTAATGATTTTTATTTTTATTCCAAGAGTGGTCCAAGAGTGTGGGTGGTATGATTTCAGTTTTGTTTTTAATTTAGTGAGATTTGCTTTATGGCCAAGCATGTAGTCGATCTTGGGTGATGTTCCATGTACAGATGAGAAGAATGTATATTGGGTGGTTTATTGGTAGCGTATTCTATAGATATCTATCAGTCCAGTTGGTCCAGTGTTGAATCTAAGTCCAGAATTTATTAGTTTTCTGCCTCAATGATCTGTCTAACATTGTCAGTGGGGTGTTGAAGTCCCCCACTATTATTGTGTGGCTATGTCTTTTTGTAGGTCTCAAAGTACTTGTTTCATGAATATGGGTGTTCCAATGTGGAATGCATACATATTTAGGATAGTTAAGTCTTCTTGTTGAACACTTTACATTATGGAATGCGCTTCTTTGTACTTTTTTTACTTATGCTCATTTAAAGTCTGTTTTACCTGGCCAGGTGCAGTGGCTCATCCCTGTAATCCTAGTATTTTGGGAGGCAAAGGCGGGCGGATCACCTGAGGTCAGGAGTTCAATACCAGTCTGGTCAACATGGTTAAACTCCATCTCTACTAAAAATACAAAAATTAGCCAGACATGGTCGTGGGCACCTGTAATCCCAGCTACTTGGGAGGGAGGCTGAGGCAGGAGAATCACTTGAACATGGGAGATGGAGGGTGCAGTGAGCTGAGATCATACTATTGTACTCTAGCCTGGGTGACATTGACTCTGTCTCAAACAAATAAATGAAGTAAGTCTGTTTTATCTGATGGAAGAATAGTGACTCTTGCTCTTTTTTGTTTTCTGTCTGCATACTACATCTTTCTCCAACCCTTTACTATGAGCCTGTGGGTGTCATATTATGTGTGAGATGTTTCTCTTGAAGACAGCAGACATATATATATATATATTTTTCATTCCACTTGGTACTCTGTGCCTAAGTGAAGCATTTAGACCACTTACATTAATGATTAATATTAATATGTGAGGTTTTGATCCTATCATGAAGTTACTAGTTTGTTGCTTTGTAGTTTCTATTGTGTGGTTGTTTTATAGGGTCTGTGGGCTATATACTTAAGTGTGTTTTTGGTAGCAGTTATCATTATTTTGTTTCCATGTTTACAACTCAAGGATTTCACATAAGGTTGATACAGTGGAAGAACGTATTTTAATGTGGCAGTAAGTCCATATCATACGGAGTTGCCTGAAAATTAAGAAAACTGGCCCATGCTATATATTAATGTGAATTTAAAGTGCCTTTTGGGGGAGAAATTGAAAAAAAAATATTTCCAGTCTCTTAAATTATAAGTAATAGGGTCAATTTTATGTATCCATGTGTAGGTGGGTATTATTACAGCATTTTTAAAATAATATTTTACTTCTCAGATTTCTCCTCTAATGATTTATCTTTTAGAACAACAGACAATGAAATTAAGCAGACAGTGATGAAAAAATAATTGGGGAAAGAGAAATAATCAGTATTTGTTTTGGTCAAAGAAAGAAAATACACCTGGAGATATGAACTACTACTATTTCTAAGACCTAAATTCTAGAAAATCATGTTACTAAAAAAAGAAAAATAACAAAATGTTGTCTTTTAAATCCTTTTAGCTCTTTTTTTCCCCTGATCATCATCACATGTTCTAGTAATACTGCATGTGTAGTATTTCTTTTCCCTAGGAACATTTTGCCCATCTTTTCTCCCATCTCCCCTAACAACCCTGTCTTTGTCTAAGATAATATTTTATGAAATCACAATAATCTGGACACTTGATTAATAAAGAACAGTCAAACCCACAATAACAGTGGATTGGACAGAGCTGAACGCAAACATTAAATGTAAATAGGCATATGGGTCCCTAGGTGATCCTAAACATTGACAGAGAAAGAAGAGGAACATTTATTTAGCACAGTGATCCTCAATCAGGACTGACTTCCTCCCACCCCAGGGGATATTTGGCAATGTCTGGACACATTTATGCTTGTCACAACTTGGGGAATGTAACTGGCATTTAGTGGGTAGAGTCCAGGAATGCTTTTAAACATCTTACAAGGCACAGAACAGCCTTCCACAGCAAAGAATAACCTAGCCCAAAATGTCAACAGCACTAAAGTTGAAAAACCCTGATTAGAATTTCATATCAACTAACTACAATACATTTCTTCAGAAAATAAAGCCCTGTGTCTCTTCTAATCACACACACCAACTATACAAGAAGATATACTACAGAAAAGCAAATTAAAAGGATTACATTATTTTTCATTAAAAAGTCTAACCTACCATTTCTATTTTCACAAAGGTAAAAGAAAAATTAAATTTTCTAAAAATTAAACAGAAAAGCACACCCTTTCCTACTTCTGACAATACATCTGACCAAATTGTCAGTGTCTCTTTGTAGTAAGACTGCCCTCTAGATAGAACTATCAAAACATCCAAATCCTTAAGTAAAGTGGCCTTTCGCCTCTTGTTCTAACAAAGGTCTTAAAAAGTGGTTGAAATCTGAGAGGTTCAAGTGTGGATATGAATAAAGCACATTAGGAGATGAAAGTATGCTTTTCAAGAGTACATATTTCAGTAACACAGCTGATGTCCCTGCAACACGCAAGGGAAACAGGATTCTGCTTAACATGGAATCACATACCTTCAAAACCAGGGAAATACTGAAGGATAAACAGTTTCTTTCTTGCTTTGATTTCATTAAAGTGCAATGTGCAGCACTCTTAACAATACACTAAACATTGACAAGGAGCTTACCAAATAATGAATAAATAATTTTTCAGTGAATTGTCTCACAGTGAAGACAGACAAGCAAACAATCACAATACTGTGTAGAGAGGGTCATGATAAAATGTAAGGTGTTTTGGGAACCCATGAAAGGAACACCTACCCAAGAGAACAGGTGAGGTGAAGTTCCTAGAGAAGACGAGAAAAAAAAGGACCAAGTCAGGAATGCCGACAAGAGCATTCCAGACAGATCAAGCCATGTGTACGAAAACTCAAGAGTTACAGAGGATAGCATTTTTCACCTAACAATAGCAATAATAACAGGCTTCATGAAAATAAAATGACAAAATCTATGTAGGAAGCATCTGGGAAACTAAAAAACTAAGACAAATGAAAATTAGGACTATATTACCAAGAATGAGTTTCAGTAATAAATAGTCTGGCTATTCCCTGGACAAAAAAAATAATAATCAAAATAAGTCAGATAACAATGTTTATAGGCAATGATTCACAAAATATTTTTAATACCCAGTTATTTAAGAAGTATGTTCATTTTAAACTAAAAGATGTTTCTGAATTTCATTTCGTTTGATTGTCCTTTAACACACATAAGGACTATGAAACTAAGGGTTTTTTTTTTTTCTCAGAGATAAAACATAAATTTTAGATACTCACATTTTTTCCTAAGGTTTTTTATGCATTTGAAATTTGCAAACTGAAATGAACCAACATTGGTTGCAGTCATATTTGAACTTTGCATTAATCCAAATTTCCTAATCAAATTTGCTTATTTAGCTAATGGCTTTAGTAATGAGATTTTACATAACTTAATTGTTAAATGTGATTACACAGACACATTTGCTCACTTTTTTCCCAAGAATTATGCTTAGTTTTAAGCAACATTTATAATATGACACTTGGAAAAATAAATCTTTAATCTCTATCATTCAACAGGACTGATAATTTAATAGCACGGTACACTCATGAAACACAAATGCTCCCAAATCTTGTTTGATAAAATAGATATGAGTCAAAATTCTCAAGTGACTACACTGGCAATAAAAGGAATTAAATTCAAAATCCTTTTTAAATTCACTTACTGTAAATAAGTCGCTACTACTTGAATTAATTACAGTAATTCCAAAATTTAGAGAGACACAAGAGCTTAGGAATTAAGTAACTAATATGCACTAGCCACTGTGTTGGAACTGAAAACATAAAAAGAACCACGATCAAACATGCAGCCAGGTTTGGTCATGTCACGAGCAGCACAAGAATCCTGCATTGCTTTAGGAAATCACCTGAAAGGAGCGCACTTCCTCCCTTACCCCACCTCTTTGCTGCTAGCTGTAAGGCAGAAGTCCTGTGTTGAGGGAGGTAGTGGTCAAACCAAAACTAACACACAAGTCCTGGAAACTAAGCCCTTTATAAAACTGTCCAACCAGCAAGGACTGCACATCTCTGGACTCCCTTTTTAAAAGACAGATTTAAAAAATGTGTAACTGGTTTAAGCTACTGTTATTTTGGGTTTCTTATCACTTGACAACCAACCTCTTCCCAACTGACAAAATGCCATATGCATTATTCGTGTTTTTAAAAATGTATAATGCTGCCGGGCGTGGTGGCTCATGGCTGTAATCCCAGCACTTTGGGAGGCCGAGGTGGGTGGATCACCTGAGGTCAGGAGTTCGAGACCAGCCTGGCCAACATGGTGAAACCTCGTCTCTACTAAAAACAAACAAACAAACAAAAAAACACCACACACAAAAATTAGCAGGGCATGGTGGCATGCGCTTGTAGTTCCAGCTACTAGGGAGGCTGAGGCAGGAGAATCATTTGAACCCAGGAGTCAGAGGCTGCAGTGAGCCAAGATTGCACCACTGGACTTGAGTCTGGGCAACAGAGCAAGACTCCATCTCAAAAAGACAAACCATATATACATATGTGTGTGTGTGTGTGTGTCTGTGTGTGTATGTATATATAAAGTTATAAAATATGTAACATCAAATATAGCGCTCATAGAGAAATTTTAATAAAAACTTCATTTAATTACATTCAAATAAATACAAAGTATGAGTTGTCTGGTTTTGAGTGATAACCAGATTAGACAACTGCCAAGAATAAAACTTGGAATTAAAATATTTAATTAAAATTAAATAATTTAAGAATGTAATAGGTGTATGAAATTGGAACTCTTAAATTAAGTTCCTAGACATCAGAGTGGTCACAGATATCAGTTTGTCCAAAAGAACAATGACATTAGTAGTATTTTTTTAAGGCATATGAATCCTTTTCATATCCAAATACTAGAAAGAGGTGAACTCAGAAATTTTTAAGTAGAATAGAAACAGGTAGGATTTTCATCTCAGAAAAAAAAGTTCAGTGAGATATAAGTTATTGAATCTGAGCTCCGCGGGAGATACCAGAGACAAAGCTATAGTTTCTGGTCTCATGAAGCACTTCTGTGACTTTTAGGTTATCTTAGGATAGCAGACTTTGTATTCGAGGACCAAGCAAAAGAATTCTCATTACTCATATTTTTTTTTCTCAAATCATATACTCTATTTCTCTCCCTTTCTCTTTTCCTTAATTAAACTATGTTAAATACTGGTTAAAAATGACATTTTAACTAAGAGTGTTTTGGATAGAAAAGCACTAATAGAGGATGCAAATGTAAATGACCGACTTTCTTTAAAACACGTACTTTCGAGTTATTAGAAAAATGCTTAACACACTTGCTGTGAAAGGCATAATTGAATACATATTTTAAAATACTGCTACGTTATTCTATGTGATTTTTGCATATCATATGTACTGTGAGCAAAATTAAAAGATGTACCCTTCTTTAAAAGGTTAAATTCCAGCTGGGCGCAGTGGCTCACACCTGTAATCTTAGCACTTTGGGAGGCCGAGGCGGGAGGATTGCCTGAGCTCAGGAGTTCGAGACTAGCCTAGGCAATCTGGTGAAACCCTATCTCTACTAAAACACAAAAACAAAAAAAGAAAACAAAACAACAACAACAAAATAGCTGGGCGTGGCGGCATGTGCCTGTAGTCCCAGCTATTCAGGAGGCTGAGGCAGGAGAACTGCTTGAACCCGGGAAGTGGAGATTGCAGTGAGCCGAGATTGTGCCACTGCACTCCAGCCTAGCGACAGAGCGAGACTCCATTTCAAAAAAAAAAGTTAAATTCCACTGGGAAGGGTATTGAACTAGTTGTTTCCCTGCTCTATACTTTCATTGAACTAAGAAAAATGGAAAAAAGGAGATGGACAGAAAAACCACCACCATGCCACACATAAACTAGGTAAATAAGGGCACATGATTCTATTACATAGGTCTCCAAAGCTGAAATCTGTTTCAGAGTGTGTCACTTGTGTCACAAAACTGCAAAGTAGGTGTCAGAAAATACAGTTAAGCCCTCTCTCTGGTATCCTTCTTTTGACACAGACCTAATTATTTGTTCTAAATTGAATTTTGTTTAGACTTGGACAACTAAATAAAGTATAATAATGCCACTGTCTTTCATAAAGTTCTTTTTTTAAATTCTAACCTGTTAAATATGAAACAGTAGGCATTCAATCTAAATGACTTTTTAATTATTTCAGATGGATTGCCAAAAACGTTATTCTTTAACATTATTAGAGAAATAACAAGTTGCAGCTTTTGAAAATAATTTTTATATGAGTTTTTCCTTAAGAGTCTAAAGAAAGAGAAACATATCCTCACTACAGTATCATTTATTTAAAAGTTTGTGAAGTCTTGATTAAATGGAGTATTCATTACAAAGAGGCTTCTCCTGAGATTGAACATGGACTATGACATCTAAATAAGCCTTTATGTTCCATATTAGTCCATTACTACCTTTGTGACAGGTGGTGAATAAGACGCTTTACAACTATTATGTATTTCTCACAATGAACCCATAAAGGTATCAACCTTATCTTAAAATGAAGGGTTCAAAGATCAGAATGGTTAAGCAACTTAAGTCTATGCAGCTAGTTGTTATTGTTGGATCTAGGATTCGGAGAACTACATTGTATATTCATATATGCATAATTTACTTTGTACCTACCTTTTGAATATATAACTAAGACTACATTTTCTTCCACATGTCAAAATAATAGGTGTGAATATATTTTCCTAGTTTAAAAACAGTACTCAACAGGAAGTAATAAAGATTAATACTTGGGGTTTAAGTTTTTCATATTATTTCTTTCCACCCTTGCAATTAGCAATAGCAATTATTATTCTTTTTACTTTAGAGTCTAAAAATGAAGGGGGAGAATTTAAATAATTTGTCCATGATAATGTAGCTGTCAAGACTCAAGATGAGATTCAAATTCAGAGGTATCAGGCTTCAAATCACCAACACTGGGAATAGGTGACTGCTTTTAGCTTAGTATTAATACCCGCCCTTTCTCTCTGGTTCATATACACACTGCTTCTTAATTATCTCAGTCAACAAATTTCTCTTCTTTTCTTATTTATACATGCACTTCCCAACATGTAAGCATCTTGAATTTGCATCGTGAGATAAACTGCAGCCTCCCAATGACAGTCAACCTCTATTTTACCAAGAAATGCATCACAACCAATACACTTATAAAGGGGTTTCCTTGAGTTACTCTTGTGCTTTGGACTCACTCCTCTTCATGGACGTGGTTGCCAGTGAGATAAGACATAGCCCCAAAATGGCATAGCCAGGGAACACTAAGAAATAGAATAAAATTACCAGCTAACAAACTCTTCAGATTTTATTATCATATAATTATATCAAATTTCTAGACATTATATTAACGTCTCTTATATTATATAATGCAACTCAACCCAATGTTGCAGATGAAGAATAAGGATTAAATAATTTGCCTAAGGTCAGACACAGGACCAATAAATGAATGATTTGAAGCCAAGTCTGTTTAAAGCCAAAGACATGCTCTGAAGTATTTCACTGAGCTGCCTCCAAAGTACAAGGTTGCCAGATAATTTAATTTAAAAAATTTTAAAAAAGCAACTTTTCCCCTTTCCCCATTACCCTTCCCATGAAAACAAATATGACTCTGGTAAGTCCATATATATCTTCTGGAATCACAGTCAAATCTCTTTCAAGTATTTCCTTCATCCTCTGGGAGAATTTTTATTTAAAACAAACAAAATTAAGAAATGAAAAGCATCTAACACAAGTTAAAGGCACTAACCACAAATGATTTAACTTTAAACCTATATACTGATTTACTATCTATTCTTTGCTATTTGCAGGTGCTATCCAACATGGACGTCTAATCTTTATGTAATTTCTTGGAGAAGAAACACCTATCAGTTGGAGAGTGTGTAACCACTGCAGAGGAACTCCTACGCTGGAATACAAGCATAGGCCAAAACCTTTCTTGCTCAGTAAAACTCAATGTAGTTAGACTGACTTGTTTATTCATTCAAAACATATTTTGAAAGTACCATTATGGAGGTTTAATGATTAGAAAAGATAAATTATTTAAAAAGCAGCGCCAATGCTGAGTTGATATGCTTTGAATGCTTTGGTATAGTATGATACACTATGGAAGTCCACAGCCAGAAAACCTAACTTAAACAAGTTTGTTCAGGCAGAGGGAAGAAAAAAGGAAAAAAAAAAATAGCTTTTGAGAATTCTACAGAAATCAACACACTCAAAAAAATTACAAAAAGAAAAAAAAGCTTCACGGCAAGATTCCATCACAGATATGGTTATAATTTGGGTTAGAGATGACCCCATGGGCACACAGAGATTTAGTGCAATGCACTCACTTTAAACATAAATGTTCAACAAAGTGGGTGTTTTCTTTGTCCCTTAACAGCAGTGCACTAATGAAAGTCTGCTGTTAAAGCAATAAATTATGAAAGGGGAAAAGGTATCATGTATCTTATGGACCAGCGGGAATAGGTGTTAGGTCATACAAGCAGTTTCTAAGTTAAAAATAAGGAAGATGAGTTCCAAAAATGAAAGTCTGAAGCTATATATATATTTTTTTGCTTGGAATAGATTTTTCAACTTAGCAACAATTCACTTGAAGGTTTATCCTGAATACTTCAGAATTAGAAGAAAAACACTATTCATAACAATCTTTTTTTTTTTTGTTTAAATTAAGGTAGGGTTTCCCTCTGTTGTCCAGGCTGGAGTGCAGTGGTATAAGCATGGCTCACTGCAGCCTGAGTCTCTTGGGCTTAAGGAATTCTCCCACATCAGCCTCCTAAGTAGCTGGGACTATCGGCATTTGCCACCAGGCCTGGCTATTTTTGCTTTTTAAATAGAAACAAGGTCTCACTATATTGCCCAGGCTGGTCTTGAACTTCTGGGCTCAAGTGACCCTCGTGCCTTGGCCTCCCAAAGTGCTGGATTACAGATGTGAGCCACTGAGCTTGGCCTGTAACAATCTTTCTAAAGTTGCATTTGTTGATTTAATTTTGGTGCAGAAAAGGAATGGCCCCCTTCACTGAACTCAGTGGTCATAGAGAATGAGGAGCAATTCATTGCCATAGGCATCATTTAGCGGCTTCAGTCATGGAAGCAGGAGCCAAATTGGTAGACAAGGCTGAAGAATGGAGAAAAAGGGCTGAGAGACGTTGACAGAATGATGGAGGTCTGGGGATCAAGATGCCAAATTAAGAGAAAACTGGCAAATACACTCAGCAGCACTTGCTTCTATTCTCTTTTCTATTCATTCTACCCTTATATTTAATAAGGCTACTGGTCTTATTTCCCTTGACTTTTCTTTAAAACAAAACAAAACAACAACAAAAAAACAGGGCGTAAGAAATGGCCAACTTGCTTATTTTTCCAAGCCATCGATTGTTGCTTTTGATTAAAAATTGCACTCTGAGGCTGGGCACGGTGGCTCACGCCTGTAATCCCAGCACTTTGGGAGGCCGAGGCAGGCGGATCACCAGGTCAGGAGATCGAGACCACGGTGAAACCCCGTCTCTACTAAAAATACAAAAAATTAGCCGGGCATGGTGGCGGGCGCCTGTAGTCCCAGCTACTCGGGAGGCTGAGGCAGGAGAATGGCGTGAACCCGGAAGGCGGAGCTTGCAGTGAGCCGAGATCGCGCCACTGCACTCCAGCCTGGGCGACAAGAGCGAGACTCCGTCTCAAAAAAAAAAAAAAGAAAAAAAAAGAAAAAAAAATTGCACTCTGCTCCAACACCCAGTTTCAGGAGACTGAGTACACACTTTGCAGCCCAGGTTTGCACCTAACACTAAAGTTGGTCTTTGAAGATTTAGAGATTTTTTTCTAAAGAAATTTTATTTCAAACAGGCAAATGTACAGGGGACACACTCAAACACAATACCATCTTTTAAAGGCTGTCCTTAGAATAACAGTGCAGTTAAAACCCAGTCACCCTGTAGACTTAAGACAACTTGGATTGTTCTAACCAGAAATTTCTGTTGTTAAAGAAAGTGCATGCCTGGGCCGGGTGCGGTGGCTCACGTCTGTAATCCCAGCACTTTGGGAGGCCGAGGAGGGCAGATTACGAGGTCAGGAGATCGAGACCATCTTGGCTAACACTGCGAAACCCCGTCTTTACTAAAAAATACACAAAATTAGCCCGGGGTGGTGGCGGGCGCCTGTAGTCCCAGCTACTTGGGAGGCTGAGGCAGGAGAATGGCGTGAACCCGGGAGGTGGAGCTTGCAGTGAGCCGAGATGGCGCCACTGCACTTCACCCTGGGCGACAGAGCAAGACTCTGTCTCAAAAAAAAAAAAAAGAAAAGAAAAGTGCATGCCTACTCTCTGAGTCTGATGATGACATGTGGTTTCTAGAACAAGGCTCCATCTGTCTCTCTATTGCTAGATGGCTGTTGGACATTTCCTCACACTGTCCTCCTTATTATCAGAATAGCAAGATGGCATCACTTTTACCCAAACCCTGTGCCATGAAACACCCTCAGCTTATCATCTGTAACAATAGGGTCGCTAAGTGCAAAATGAAATGAGAGGCACAATGATTAAAAGCAATGGAGATGTGAAGCAAAAAGGGCATCCTTAGGTATTCTTTAATTCTGCAGGGGTAAATGGGAGAGAAGAAGGGAGAAAGAGAGAAGGAAAGATTCTAAAGTAATCTATGTACACCCTTCACACATGAGGAATTTAAGGAAAACATATGTACCTAAATCAATGTGCATGCAACTATTATTTATTGAACACATATGCTAAGCACTATTGCAGACACTAAGAATATATATAAAAACAATGCTTTGGTGAAGCTTACATTTTAGCAATATACAAAGTAAACTAGGTTTACATTAATTTTAATATCATTATTTGTCATTATAGGTAGTAAATTATATAGTTCACTAGAAGGTAATACATGCAATGTTTTAAAGAATAAAGTATAGGGGAACAGAAGTCTGAGAGAGGCAGATGGGTTGCTAATTTAAATAGAATTGGCTAGGAGGCCTCATTCAGAGAGTAACATTGAAGCAAAGAATTGAAAGAAATGAGTGATATAATTTAGCTATAGAAATAATGTATTATTTAGTAGAAATAATATGTAAGAAAAAATAAGCAGCAGATGACACATTCATTTTTTAAATTCACTATCATCTAAATATCCAGATGTCCTTCAAACTTCAATTACACTTTAAGTAACTTTTCCATCATATAGGGGAAACCACAGTTAGGTTTTGTACAAGAAAGAAAGTAAATTAAGTGAAAGACAATATTACTATATTTCCTGGTGTGTCTAGGAAATAATTCTTAACTCACAGTAATTGGAAATCTGCAGAGGACTGATTGGAACTACACAAATAAATTTACATCTGTTCATTTTTCTTCAGGAGCAGAGAAATAAGAAACTTTTTTCATAATGCAAAACCTCCTTCTGAGAAAATTGAAATTAATTTACTTGAAATTCTGCTGCACATCAGCCTGCACTTTCCATGTTAGCGTAATTTTAGGAACAACAGAAAGCTTCTGGCCATTTAAGTAACTTTCAATCAGTTTTAAAGTTAAACCAAACAAAAGGCATTAAAACAGGATGTGATTATGAACTTCTTTATAAACCTCTTTTATGGGTTTTCTAATATATGCCCTCAAATTTACCTACAGTGTCCTGGATGAAAACGACAATAAAATTAAAGGCCTTTTAATGAGATTGCAGAAAAATGTCTTTCACCATTTTCCAACATGGAAAATAGTTTAACTCACTCTACACTCTTGAATGAATATTTCTACATAATACAATTTTGCAGCTACGTTTGTAAGAGAAAACCTTTAATACAAATGAGCATAGGAATGAGTGAATCTTTCTTTTGCCAGGCTCCAATTTCTAAAAGGATTCTGATTTCCCCCAATTCTGCTTTGGGGTAGAGTGGGGAGTGCAAGGCTTAATAGTTAGTTCAGCAGGCAATTCTAGACACCAATTTCCATTGCTATAAGAGGAATGAGTGTGAAATCAGTTGTTTGATTCAATTTGATTTGAAAGCATTTAAGAACTAAGGAGGTACTGAAGACCTCACTATGTGATAGAAACAAATACATATTAATTTACATCTCCAGCCATCAAAGACCTCCTAGTGTGAATCTCAGTTCTTTGGTCTTTGTGTCCATATATTTCATAAGATAAATTCACTCTCTGAATGATACCCTGTAGTTTTGTGATAGCAACATGCTGTTCTCTGAATACCACGTGGAGGAGAAGTGAATAACATGTTTAAGTTTCTACACCTAGGACTGATGTCACTATCTTTTTTTCCCATGGGGACACAAAAAAGTCCATAGAAATATTTAACTTCTCTATAGTACATGGTTTTGGCCATTTTCTCCCATCTTACTGTCCTAACCAACAGCTTCAATGACATCACACAACTTAGTCTTTTACTGTACTCCTTAAGCCAACTTTAGGTTTCTACTTTTTCTTTTTCTTTTCCTTTTTTTTTTTTTTTTTTGAGACTGTCACCCAGGCTGGAGTGCAGTGGTGCAATCTCGGCTCACTGCAAGCGCCATCTCCCGGGTTCACGCCTTTCTCCTGCCTGGGAGTCGCTGGGACTACTGGTGCCCGCCACCACACCCAGCTAATTTTTTGTATTTTTAGTAGAGATGGGGTTTCACCGTGTTAGCCAGGATGTTCTCGATCTCCTGACCTCGTGGTCCGCCCACCTTGGCCTCCCAAAGTGCTGGGATTACAGGTGTGAGCCACCATGCCCAGCCAGGGTTCTATTTTTTCTATCGATCTCCTTAAATATCGGTATTCCCTAGGATTCCACCCATGGTTCTTCCATTTATTCTTATGCATATTATTCACATACACATTATTTATTTTCAGTTTTAATTTACATAATTATGACACCAAAATCTATACCCTTTAGCTCAAAATGCTCTCATGAACTATGGAAACACATTCCAGTTGCCCACTGGATGTTCAATAGTCACCTCAAACTTAGCCAACACTGAAAAGTAATTCCCCCAAACCACCTTACTTACCTGTCTTTCTAGTATGACTCCTCTATTCTTTTCTTTTTCATTTCTCTTTCCTTCAGGCTGATTTACATTTCTTTGTATACCTTGTCACGATAATATAAGCATATCACTCAGAAAAGATGTCACTTTATTACATAACATTCTATTTTTACATCCAGACTTCAAGTTACTTGAGAGTAGAAACTACACTTTGTCAGCTTATTCCCATCTTTTAATATGATGTCTATCACTCTGAAGGTACTCAGTATTTGTTGAATAAATTAATGGATCCTTATTTCCAAAATGTAAATTCATATTTATAAATATACTCAAAAGACATAATCAGTCTTGACTGAACTTTAGAATTGCTCATTCTTTCTCAGAATTATGTGAAAACTAGTGATGTCTGAAATAGGTGCTATAAGAATTGAGGATTTTGAGTGGCAGGAAGATAAATTTCACCTTGAGAGCTAAACTGTAAAATCAATCACAGTGAATCAGAGAACAGGAGTGCAAAATCAACTGTGGACAAAAAAGATACCTCCAAAACTAGCAGGGATGCAGTGTAACTGACCATATTAGTGCAACAACTGAGTACAAAATGTAAAAGTGTGTAGGGAGCAGGAGGTGATGAAACTTTGAAAGCTCTGGAAAAGTAAATTTAGAGTCAAATGCCAATAGCAATTGTCTCAGCACTTTCCAGGAAAGGAGGAGCTGCAGCCAAGAGGTTTCATAGCATCAGGCTGTCTTAGATGAATGTCATTATAAATTTATTCATCCAATACTACTTGGATTGACGCTGTTACAAATTAAATGTTTTCAACACATTGAGAGACAAGCTTGTCAAACAAACTTGTGATTCCCATATAGACTTGCTCAGATTGAGTCATTCTAGTACCTATGACAATATAATGAACGAAATCTCTTAAAAACACTGACACAGAGGGACTTTCTTAGCCTTCAGCATGCTTTGTTTATATAAGCAGCTCTCTCCAGGACTAATCACCCCAGGCAACCAAGCACCAGGCACCTGAACAGATCAGCTTCTTTCCTAAGACCACTTGCAGCAACTTACTGAAACCAATGAATGCTGCAAGATAAAATTTTATGTTATATACAATTTATAATTTTAACTAATAATCACACATGATTCTAAACAGCATAAAACCTGCAATAGAAAGAAAATGTTTCATCTTTTGTTTTTTTTTCTAAATAAAAAAATTAAGCTAGATGTATTTTAACTCTAGCTTCTCCATAAAATCCTTTCTGACTTCTCCTTTACCATTCTGCAGACGTCCAGGTCATCATGTAGTAATTCTTGTCTTAATCCATGTCTGGCATCTTGACAAGAACGACTTAGCTAAATATCTTGAATATAGTATGTCTTGGCCAAAACTCAAGAATGGATAATTTAATGTTAAAATATATTCAAGAATTTACATTCACAAATGTATAGCTGGTTGATGAAATCATTAAACATTGTCAATTTGCCCTAGTTTCAAATAATTACTTTTTACTTTCAAAATTTTTTTCAAAAGGCTATTTATATTCTTATGTTTTTCCTACAGAAAAATATGATAGTAACTCTACAAATTATAATTGAAAAACTAAAAGACAAATTTAAACAACATGTTTCTATGAACAAAAGTCAGTTACATAGCCACTTATAACCCAAGTAGCCCTTTAAAGGACAGACTGATATTTTAAGAACCAGGAAACATCTTATCCTATTAATAATAAATCAGAATACAAGTATATACTTCACTATTTACTATTTAATTTTTTCTGATTAACAAATGGAGCTATTGAAGTGTATTTTGCTGAAATATCCCTTGGCTGGTTATCCATTTAAGTAACATATTCATTATATTCTCTTATCAATTCTGAATTAAAATATGTTTTCAATGTGTATTCAATAAAGAAAATATATCCAAGGTTTGGTAGGAAGAAAGAAAAGAGAACTTAATCCTTTACAATAGAGTTTGTAAGACTATATTTCAAAATCATTATCCCAGCCAGGTGCGGTGGCTCATGCCTGTAATCCCAGCACTAGATTGAGGCAGGCGGATCACTTGAAGTCAGGAGTTCAAGGCCAGCCTGGCCAACATGGTGAAAACCCATCTTTACTAAAAATACAAAACTAGTCAGGCATGGTGTCGCACATCTGTAATCCTGGCTACTCAGGAGAATCGCTTGAACCTGGGAGGCAGAGGTTGCAGTGAGCCAAGATCGTGACACTGCACTCCAGCCTGGGCAACAGAGTGTGACTCCATCTCAAAAAACAAAACAAAACAAAAACAACAACAAAAAATCATTATCCCACATCAGTAGGTATACAATAACAATGGTCTCAGGGAGGGAATTTTACTGCTTTTATGCTTTGTGGACAATGATTGTTTCAAAGACATATATAATAGATAAAAGTTGTGGAATCAATCAACATTCAGAATCAGATAAGAACACATGGCCAGTAATGCAAGCTAGAAAAGAAGTGGGTCAGACAGGTTGCAAGGACAGGACAAGGGGTCAGCAAACTTGAACTCTGTTGATTTATATCCAGTTATTAGATTACTCATTAGTTTATTATCTCATTAATTAGTCCATTAGGTTATTAATCAACATATGCATGATTTAACTCATTAGCTTATTAATTCATTCATTAGTTTATTAACATATACACAGTTTGAAGCCTATGTGCCTGATATTGTGCTCAGTGCTAGGGGAAAATGGTACATGGGCACTGAGCCAGGTGTGGTGTCATGTGCCTATAGTCCCAGCTACTGGGGAGGCTGAGGCAGGAAGATCACTTGAGCCCAGCAGTTCAAATCTAGCCTGGCAACACAGTGAGATCCCATCTTTTAAAAAAAATATAAGAAAGATAGATCTCCCTCCTAAATATCACAATGCAACTAACACTTGGCTCTTTTTAATCTGGATATTAACATTTGTGACACCATGTTCCCCTTTATATATATGATATCATGTTCCCTTTATATCGTATTTATGTATTCTCCGTTATGGTATTTTGTGATACCTTGTTCCTTTATATGGTATAGGACATGGTATCACAAATACCATAAATACTTGGCTCTTTATAATCTGGGTCATGTTAACATTTGTGATACTATGTTCCTTTATATAAAGAGGCACATACTATCACAAATGTTAACATAATCCAGATTAAAAAGAGCCAAGTATTAGTGGCTTTGTGAGACCTAGGAGGCTTTCACATCTGAAAGTGGGAGAGGTATCCAGAAACCTCCCCAGAAAGTGTTGCTTAAGCTGAGAAAAAAAAGGATGTATAGGTATTATGCAAAAAAGGTGGGGGTAGGATAGAAAGATGTCATAAGGGGTGGAAAGAGGTCAGAAGGGGAAGGAAAGAGAGAGAATGTTGCAGGCAGCACAAATAGTATGTGCAGAGGCCCCACCAGAGGAAAAAAAAAAAGCAAAACATATTTGGGAAAACTCCAAGAAAGAACCTTCTAATGAAAGTAAGATTTATGATACAGAAACAACAGCAAAAAATTGAAATTACGCATATCTAGGAAAAAATGTAAATAACCAGGAATGACCAATTTAAAATAGAATAAAAGATAAAAAATCTAATTCTCATTATTAAAAATAATTTCTAAAAAACTAAGAATAAATTAACCTCAAATATGTGAGACCTTTGAGAACCAAATACAAAATTTTAATAAATCTTGAAAATTGAAAGAAATGTAGAAATACATGTATCTGGCCGGGCGCGGTGGTTCACGCCTGTAATCCCAGCACTTTGGGAGGCCAAGGTGGGCGGATCACCTGAGGTCCGGAGTTCGAGACCAACCTGACTAACATGGAGAAACTCCATCTCTACTAAAAATACAAAATTAGCCAGGCTTGGTGGCGCATGCCTATAATCCCAGCTACTCCGGAGGCTGAGGCAGAATGGCTTGAACGCGGGAGGCGGAGGTTGCTGTGAGCCGAGATCGCGCCACTGCACTCTAGCCTGGGCAACAAGAGCGAAACTCCGTCTCAAAAAAAAAAAAAAAAAAAAAAAGTAAAGAAAGAAAAAGAAATACATGTATCTGGAAGAGAAAATTCAAGAGTATAACAATGTCAGCTCTCCTTACTTTAATATACAATCACTGCAAAACCGATGAAAACCCTAACTGGACTTCCAGTTAACTTAAGAAGTCTATGGGTCAAGTTCACATTGAAGATAAAACACACAGGAATAATCAAGAAGTGTGGGAAACAAATAACAAGGATGAGAGGTTTGCCTTTTAAAATATAAATTTCCTACATATCATAGTAGGTGAAACAACTTGATCTTGACAGGGGTTACCAACAGAACAGAATAGAGTCCATAGCAATGAACTGTGTTTATATAGGGATTTATTCTAAGTGATAGGTAGCTATCCAATAATTGGATAGGTAAACATATCCACTTTAGGTAAATTTATTCTAGATGATAGGTAAGTATCCAATAAATTATAATGGGAATTTTAGTTTTCATTGGAAAAAATTATACCTTAATACAAAAAAATAATGAATCCAGAGTAGACTGATGATCTAAACAAAGAAGCAAAAATAACTTTAAAACCCCAAAAATATCAAATTTAAAAGCATATTAGGCTGCAAATGGTCATTTTCAGAGAGACACAAAATACAGAGGGCTTAAATTAGAGAACTTAGGGATTTTTTTCTATATAGAAATTAAAGTTACACTAAATGCTATAAGTAAAAGTGATATGTTAAAAATTAGTTGAAAATATATGCAAAATAGGTTTGTGTGCTTACACATAAGTTTTCAACCCTACGACTCAGTAAGAAAAAGAAAAAAGCCTACACAATAGAAAATTAGACAAGAAATATAAACAGTAAATCCCCAGGAAAATTACAAAGAGCCAATTAACATAAGAAAAATTACTCAACTGCACTTGTAATTAGAAAAATGGAAAATGAAGCAATATAGTTTTGAAATCATCCCACTGAGCATTCATTAATGTTGTTGATCTTAACACCTCCAATATAAACAACTTAAAATGAAGACGATTATACGAATTCTGACGTATCTGCACACACGTAAAAAAGTCAAAAATTAATAATGATTCATATATGCAGGGGAAAAAACTTAAAAGTGTATACATAACCACATGTATAAATGCTTACCAAAAACGTAGTAAGATCTATACTAGAGGAGGAAAAGGACATGAGGAATGCAATAATAGGGACTTCTATGTTTTACTCCATATTCTTCAGTATTATTATTTGAATGTTTCACAAGAGTATATTTGTGTATTAATTGATATTTACCAATTAAGACAAAATGAACGTTATATACTAGGCATTAGGCCTTGCTCTTGCCACATGAAAACACAGGTACCTGCAAGCTGCCCCACTTCATTCCAGGAATTAGTAAAGGGCCGGCTGAGTTGTACACCAAGAGCACTGGTGACCTCAAGCCAACAGCATTATAACAAAATCTCTCAGTCTCATTTGCTCTGTCAGACATGCCCAACACTTCTGGGCACTCCTGCTTGATAATCTCTCTGAAATTATCTATTTTAGGAGACCAATCGGCTTACCTGGCATCAACTAAACACGTCCCTCTATCCCCAACACATATCCCTACTATGGAGCTTGGTAGGAAACCCTGTCCTGAAGTATTACTTTTCCTCACATTTCCACCAGTCCTCACTTCTCACAGGCCAAACTGTTTTTAAACTCTACGTCAAGTAGTCTCACCAATTGTATTCTGCAATCTCTGACCATTGTAACCTCTCAAATATTCTCAAAACCTGGCCCTGAATTTTCAAGAACATCTCTCATACCCTTATTAGGATTGAATCTAAAAAGGTCGGGCACAGTGACTCATGCCTGTAATCCCAGTACTTTGGGAGGCTGAGGTGGGTGGATCACCTCAGGTCAGGAGTTCGAGACCAGCCTGGCCAACATGGCGAAACCCCGTCTCTACTAAAAATACAAAAATTAGCCGGGTGTGGTGGTGGGTATCTGTATCCCAGCTACTCAGGAGGCTGAGGCAGGAAAATCGCTTGAACCTGGGATGTGGAGGTTGCAGTGAGCTGAGATCACGCCACTGCACTCCACCCTGGGCGACAGCGTAAGACTGTCTCAAAAAAAAAAAATAAAAAAAAAAAAAGGTTTGAATCTATGGTGTCAATTCTTCACCACATCTTTCTTTCATTGCTGTCTCAACCTAAACTACCTCTTCCTAAGAGATTTCTTGGCATCATTTTATATATATATGTGTGTATATATATATATATATATATATATATATATATATATATATATATACACACACACACACACACACATCCACACACACACACACACACACACACACCATTGACATTTGTTCAAAATGTTAGCTTTTTAAAGGAGTCTTACCTGTCCCACTCTTTCACTCTCCCCATTAAAAATTACCGGCTGGGCCCTATCTCTTTTACACTGAAGCTACTAACAGGGAGGTAAGGAAATGTGATGGGTTGAATTATGTCCCCCTCACCCCCTCAAAAGATATGTTGAAGTCCTAAACCTCCACTATTTCAGAATGTGACCTTATTTGGAAACAGGATCATTACAGATGTAATTCATTATTATGGGTAGGCCCCAATCCCATATGACTGATGTCCTTTTAAGAAGATGGCGATGTGAAGATAGAAATACACAGGACAACATCATGTGACAATGAAGTCAGAGATTGGAATTATGCAGCTGCAAGCCAAGAAATGCTAAAGATTGCCAAGAAACCACAAAAAAAAAGGCAAGGAAGGATTCTTTTACAGGTTTCAGAGGGAGCATGGCCCTGCCAACACCTTGACTTCGAATTTCTAGTTTTCAGATCTGTGAAATGATAAATTTCTATCTTAAGCTATGTACCTTGTAGTATTTTTATTATAGCAGTCCTAGGAAACAACAAATACAGGAGTCAACCCTAATATAAATGTGTTTGTTTCTGAAACTGCAAGAAAATGAAACAACAAATGTCCAATTCAAGAAAGCTCTTTATAATAAGCCAGATACAGTGATAATGATCAAAATATACTTACATAGTTCAAAGAATGTGGTTATCCTAATACTCATTACTAGTCTTATCACTTATTGAAAAATAGGATATTTTCTACTCTGATATGGATTTCATAACTTATTTAAAAAAATCAGTGCAATTGGAAATTCTCTAGGGATGGGGGATACAATAATGAATAAGAAAATGTCACTACCCCAAGAAGCTGAATATTAATGGAAATGACCACTATGCTTCAACATTAAATGTAGTAATTACTACTAACTTTTGACAGATATTTATTATGATATAGAATTATTTATTTATTCCTAGTTTATTTATAAGTTTGCTTTCCAAGGCAGCTGCTGGTCAAATGCCTTCTTGGCATTTCTAGAGATGATATTTTTTTCATCCTCTGACTTCTTAAATTGAAAGAGTATAGTAATTTAATTGTAATATTAAATATCCCACCACAAATCTTAGACTAAAGCCTATCTGATAATGGTGTTTAAATCTTTAATATGTGCTACATCCATTATATTAATTTTAAGACATGTATATACATTTATATTTGTTGTGTAACTGGCCTTTTGTGGGTTGTATGGTTCTTGTTTATTTGCTTTTTGTTCTGTTTTGTTGTTGTTGTTGTCCTTGTGTGTGTGTGTTAAATTTAGTCAGATACATTGCAATCAGTTTTATCTAGCTTCATAAAAAATACATAAGAAGTCTAATTATTGCATGAAATATCACTTCATCGAAGATTTGACAGAACTCACTTGTGAAACGCCTGACTTAGTTCCTTGTCGAGATAATTCCTTAATATTGTTTCCAAAGTTTTCCAAGGTTTTTGATTGAGATTGCCCATCTTTTCTTGGGCCAATATTGACCATTAATATTTTCCAAGAAGAAGTATATATATATTCGTATGATTTTCATATATATTATTAGTGTTTTATTATTTTAAGCATATATCCAGTTATAACTTTTCTCAGTCTTAAAATTGTATATTTGACATTTTTTATTTTGCCCTACGTTACCCTTACCCAAAGCTGCTGATCTTCCAGAGAACAAGATCTTAGATTATGCATTACTTCCTATTGTTTCTCTGCATTCTGATTTATTTATATTTTCTCTACTCTTAAATTTTTAGTTTATTTTCTTGCTCATTTCTTAGCTTCTCAGATTGGATATTTACTAAGATTCTTACAACACAGAACAAAATGACAATTAACTTATAGTAGCAAAATCTCTATCATCAACAGACATAATTCTTCCATTAGGTAAGATAATCAAGAATTGATTATAGCATGTTAAATTCATCTGCATTTTGAAATCTAATTCCTAATACAATATTTAATGCTCTATTGAATTACCTTTTTAAATATCATTTGGAACAGACCGAAACAAATCCATAACAACAACAAAAGGACATTGACTCTTTCTTAGTCTAAAAATCAATTACATTTCACATTGCAGTGAGTGGTGTAGCGAAGAGGTTGAAAGTGAACTCTATACTTATAAAATCTGACTGTGTAAATCACTGAGCCACGATTCATCTGCTTTGTCTCTGAAAATGTATTATACATGAAAAGACAAATCAACATCATAATGCAAATCTGTTAAACCTGGTCTTAATAATTTCTTGTATGAAATATCAGATTTTAGTAAATTTGACAACATGAATAAAAGGCTAAATACAAGGCTGTACAATAAATGCATGATATCTATTGTTATTAAGAATAGAATTAAGTGCTGTTTAAATTTCATATTATATAACTATTGTCTGTAAGCACGGATTCAAATGATATCAAATGATATTATAATTAATAGATTTAGAATTAAAAATGCCTTAGGTAGCACTTTCTTCTTGAAGGCAGCTCTTAGCACAGGTATGCAAACCCAATGATATTTTTTTTACCAAAATTCTATACCATGAGTTCAGTAAACTCACTAACAGTTACTAAAACCTTATATTCTCTAATAGATTTAATTCTAAATATTTTATTTCTACATATAAAGGTTATTTTTTTCTAAATTTGAAACATATATATTGAGGCTTTTTTCCCAAAACTTTGGTTTATTTCTGCCTAAAGAAATACCACAATGAGATACCATCTCACGCCAGTTACAATGACGATCATTAAAAAGTCAGGAAACAACAGATGCTGGAAAGGATATGGAGACATAGCAACGCTTTTACACTGCTGGTGGAGTCTAAATTAGTTCAAACACTGTGGAAGACAGTGTGGCGATTCCTCAAGGATCTAGAACCAGAAATACCATTTGACCCAGCAATCTAGGTATATACCCAAAGGATTATAAATCATTCTACTATAAAGACACATGCACAAATACGTTTATTGCAGCAGTGTTCACAATAGCAAAGACTTGGAACAATCCCAAATGCCCATCAATGATAGACTGGATAAAGAAAATGTGGCACATATACACTACAGAATACTACACAGCCATAAAAAAGGATGAGTTCATGTCCTTTGCAGGGACATGGATGATGCTGGAAACCATAATTATAGCAAACCAACACAGGAACAGAAAACCAAACACCACATGTTCTCACTCATAAGTGGGAGTTGAACTATGAGAACACATGGACGCAGGGAGGGGAATATCACACACCGGGGCCTGTCAAGGGGTGGGGGGCTAGGGGAGGGATAGCATTAGGAGAAATAACTAATGTAGATGACGGGTTGATGGGTGCAGCAAACCACCATGGCATGTGTATACCTATGTAACAAACCTGCACGTTTTGCACATGTATCCCAGAACTTAAAGTATAATTTTAAAAATTAAAAAAGAAATACAAGTGTTGCACAGATACACAATCAGAATGTCTTAGGTTCATATATTGGCTCCTCTATTTATTTTCTGTGTGACCTTAGACACATTACCTCTGAGTCTCAGCTTCCTTGTGTTATAGATTTCCTTTGAAGAAAAGCTATGATAACATATGTAAAGAACTAAGAAGAACATTTAGCACACAGAGGTAATTGAAGCTACTGCTACTAAAGAAAAAAAATTAAAATTATCCCATCATTTTACAAACATGGAATATAACTCTTTGTATATACCTCTTGGATATAATTTGATTTCATTCCTGAAAAAAGCTGTCCTCAAATATTTATGATCTTATAAGGTAATGTTCCTTAAATTTCAGATATAAATCTACATCACTCATACTATTGCTTACTTTATATTTTCCAAGATCATTTCTATTTTTCCTCTGTCTTTACCTATAACAATATTCCTATGTGCTACTTAGATGTAGAAGTTATGTTGAGGGCCTAACAGAAGCTTACGATTCCCTAAAGCTTCTAAAATGCATGAACAAATGTAGGTATTCCACGCCAATTAATACAACTAGGTTTGTTCTAGGCCTCTGTCATAAACATCTTTAAGAGACATAACTGTAACTGATGATAGGACAAGTGATTAATGCATGCTATTATCTCAAAGGGGTATTATCACGTTATGTGTCCTAGAAAGACTGAGCAAAGCAATTTCCTTCTCTTTTAGGAGTTAAGATAGAACAAGGACTAACTTCTGTACACCAGAGCAAATTAGGTACATCTCAAAACTAAAATTTACTATTTAACAGTCTCTGAACTTTCTATGAGAAAACTTTTCTTTTTTCTACCTATGCAAATAAGTAGAAAAAATGTTCCTATAAATATGATACCAAACATATTTATAATATTATATATTGCAAAGGATCTATCTTGGTGTATTTTTAAAATATTTGATTTAAAATGACTGAAAAATTTACCTATTTTAAAATAGAATTATTGATATCAGAATTCTGTCAAAGCCAATACTTTCCAATCATTGCCAATATTTCTTGTGGAATTTAAGCTTCTCCGTTTAGGGTGACAGATAAGTGTGGTTTAAAGACCCATCATATTAGTAAAAAATATCGTGGAACTATATTGGGCACTTACGACATAACCTATTTCCAACAATTACGGGGAAAAACTGATCTTGTCAATAACCACTCTTCCAGTACAGATTTTTCGCTAGGAATTGGGAAGGTCAATTCCTATGCTGTCATGACTTATATATGCATCCACAGACAGACAGTCCTAAGATGTAATTTTAAAATTACATGTCAAGTGAAATTTTCTAATTGAATACATTTCTCTTCTCAGTAAAGAATAAGCCTGGATAAACACTCTGAATCCTTGTCCAACAGGTATCACAAAGAGGTGGGCAACGTTTTAACCAGGGACTATTGGATAAGACAGAGAGAAACATTTCAATGAAGAGGTGTTCATTGTTCAGTTTCCTTTTCTTCCAAAAATGTATGAAGGATCGGAACCAGAAAAGTAATATCCCATACTGCAAGGCAAGAGGCCCCCTTTGACATCACTTTCAGATGCAAAAAGTGTAAAGAACATATGTGTGAATACATTAAACTCATAAGATTCTTTTTCATAAAATAAAAATAATAAAAAATATAGTAATATAACACTATTTAGATGAAGAGGACTTGAGCCTTTGTAGGAGTACCTAGATATGTATTTTCATTCAAGAAAAGAAAAAGATACAAATTCAAATTAGTTCAGCAAAGATGATGGTAAGATACATGGTGAAGCAGGACACAGAAGAGGAGTAAGTAGAAGGAACAGTGTGCTGGAGCAGGTGTGCTTCATGTGAAAGAATTCCAGGTGACAAAGAAAAAAATTACACACTGTGAAAGCCGACACAAAACATATCTGCTGACCTAATTCAGACCACAGGCCGCTAGATTGAGATCCCAGTGTTAAAGCCTACGAGGTTAAACACGAAGTCAACGTATGAACAAAAAATTAAACTGAGCTCATCCTGTCTGCTTTCCCTTAAATATCTAGATTTTTTCTGTTTATTTTTAGTTATTTTTTTAAGTATCTGTGCCTTTAGACTTAGCCAATACAAAAGATTCAGCTAACCAGAGCATAAATACACATTTTAAAAGTTTACAGATTAGTTTAATACTGTCAGTATCACACAGCATTCATTAAACACAAGCCGCAAGCACCTTATTTTACCTAGGATCAGTCATCTTCCTATAGAGAACTGTTTTGCCTCCATTCCATTCCAACTCTGGAGGTGCTGTCAATGGAAGTGACTCGTTGCCCCTCCCACATCACTCAGTGTTTCAACCAAGAGACGGCACAGAACTGCAGGAGGGTCAGTCCAACAACTTTTTCCGGGATTAATACAGACACTGAGACAAAACAGTTCTCTTTCCTTCTGAAATTGAGAAGAGTAAGGATGCTATCTATGTTTATAAAGACACAGGAATCATCTTTCCCATTGTTATAGAGTACCACAGAAAATGGAGCAAACCCAGAAGAAACCAGAGCCACAAAATGGAGAAACATTCCTGAAACACAATCAGGCACTAGATCTAACTAGGCCTGCATCTAGTCAACCCAGGAATTTCCAGTTAGGGGAGTTTATACATTCTCTGGTGTGTTCAAGCAAGCTTAAACTGGATTTCTGTTACTTATAAACAAAATGTTCTCATAAATATAAGAGACAAAGAAGAGATTTGAGTTTGGTTTGCATTTATCTACTCACATCTCGTTGTACCAGCTAGGACTGTCCACTCAAAGAACAAAACCAGTTTTTCCCCTAGGGATTTTTCTAACCCAACATACAAGAACATTCTAAACTATCCCAACCTCACTGATAATCATCAGTGCCTATGAAAAGGAAAACAAAAAAGAACCATAACCTTACTCGCTCACTTTTCTGGTATAGCACATATTCTATATATACTTTGATACAGCAATTTTTTTTTTAATGGAAGACAAAATCTATCATTAATAATCAAGGCTGGGCACAGTGGTTCACACCTATAATCCCAGCACTTTGCAGTGTGAGGCAAGAGAATTGCTTCAGGCCAGGAGTTAGGCACCAGTCTGGGCAATATAGTGAGTCCACATCTCTACAAAAAAATTTAAAAATTAGCCAGGCATGGTGACAGGCACCTGCAGTCTTAGCTATTTGGGAGGCTGAGGCAGAAGGATTGCTTGAGCTCAGGAGTTTGAGGCTGCAGCAAGCTATGACAGCGTCTCTGCACTCTAGCCTAGGCCGCAGAGTGAGATACTGTCTCATAAAAATAATAATGCTAATAATCAACACATGATTTGCATAACTCTCATACATAACAGGCTTATTTTATGAACTCATCTAAGTATTAATGGAACAAACATTTTAAGAACTAAAAAATATTTAAACCAATATTTATGTTACATGGCATACTACTTCCAAAAAATTCAGGCATAACATATAAGTACACATGAATATTGATGATGTGGCCCGAAACAAAGAAATCACAAACACCATCCACCTAATAGTCTCAGAGGCATGATTAACAAAAAGACTATTTCAGGACAATAGCTATCATCATCTCCATTTCCAGCAGTTAAATCAATAGTCCCTCTCACTGCAGGTTTCAAAGACGAACCAAACCAGAGAAGCAAGGCATACTCACAAATTATAAAGCATGTCAGCCATGTTGCTGCGGTAGTACAAAGCATTTCTATAGGCGCTTTCAGCTTCAGAAATTTTGCTCTGACTCTTCAGAACATTTCCAAGGTTACCCCATGCTGCCAAGAAGAAAAAGAAATTTTCAGACTGAGCATCAATCCAATTATACATGACATAATATCAGGCCATCAGGAAGTACCACAGGGAGAGAAAACCATCATAAAACATTTTTAAGAAGGAAAATGTATTTCCTTTATACTCTAACATTTCATCAGGCCAGGAGATTAAATATAATCAAAGCCTTAAAAAATTAAAGTAATTATTATGTCTCAAAGCAGATATACATATACAGTTCATCATAAGGCCAAGAACAATGTTATCTTAAGATCACCTACAAAGGCTTCATGCTCTTCCAGATTTCAGTAGGGGTCTTCATGGTCTGAAATTATTGTATACTTACTGGGCCAGAAACTGCAAGAAATGATCTTAAAATAAACAAATATTTCATTCAAGTATGAAAAAACTGATAAATGGCATAGAAGATCTGGAGATGAAAAGCAAAAAAACTAAACAAGATCAAAGCTATAAAGAAGCTTGCCAGGCATCAGAATACATCAATAAAACATTATAGATATAATGTTCTTTTATACTGTTTCTGCTTATGAGCTCACTTCCCTGAAAATCGCTATTTCTACACTTAATCATGTTGAAAATTAAATATATTTTCTGTGTACCCTTTGTTCTCCCCAAATAATAGTAATTTTTCAATATTAAAAATAACAAAAGGCACAGCACCAATAATTGCCCCCATAGTACGGCTCTCCAGTGAACCTTGCCCTCAACCTTGGCTTCTTTTCTTGCCTTCTTACTTCCTACAAGGAGATGGGGTATTGAGTCCTGAAAGCAGAGTCCCCCAGCAAATGATGAGGATGAGAAGAAGGGTCATGTGTGTTGAGATATATTTAGTTGGGTGACTACTGACTGTACCTGAAAAATGAAAGGGTTTTGAGTTATCAATTTTAATGCAAAAAAAGAGCACAGAATCTTTCAATCTCAGATTTGCCTGTGTGCCTCTAAGAAATTTAAAACTCCTGTGCTTCAGTTTACTTTATCTGTAAAGTGGGAAAATAGTGTCTCATCTGTTTCATGATGAAGTGTGTTAATATAAACAAGCTGTTTAAGACAGTGTCTGAGGCTGGGCAC
The DNA here is from genome assembly GCF_000001405.40 of Homo sapiens. Classification (NCBI taxonomy): domain Eukaryota; kingdom Metazoa; phylum Chordata; class Mammalia; order Primates; family Hominidae; genus Homo; species Homo sapiens. The sequence continues at coordinate 82,929,346 of NC_000012.12, read as the reverse complement.
AATGGCTTGCACCTGTACTAGCACTTTGGGAGGCTGATGAGGCGAGTGGACTGTTTGAGCTCAAGAGGAGTTTGAGACCAGCCTGGGCAACATGGTGAAACCTCGTCTCAACAAAAAAATACAAAAATTAGCTTGGCGTGTTAGATGTCATGATCGCTTGAGCCCACAGAGTTGAGCCCATAGAGTCGAGGCTACAGTGAGCCATGATCACGCCACCGCACTCAAGCCTGGGCGACAGAGTGAGGCCCTCTCTCAAAAAAATAAAACAAAACAAAACAAAAAAACAAACACAGTGCCTGAAACATGGTAAACCCTCAATAAATATTGCTATTATCATTAATATTATTGTGTTTGATACTCTTTACAATTTACAATAGTTAAGCATTTCTTACAAAAATAACATTAAATACAATACACTTTATGCCCTTATGTTATCTACAGAGAACACAAATCCTTCACGTTTGCAAAGTCATATACCTTCTTTGCTTCCAATGGAAAACAGAGGAAAGGCATTGAACTCACAATTATGCAACAGCTAATAGTGCCATGTACCATGCCACACACTTGACATATATCATCTCACCAAGCTCTCAACACAGTTCCACACATAAGTGCCCATTCCCCAGATGAGGAGACAGAGGCACTAAAGAATTTGTAAAGTTAATACTGAAGTGTTACAGCAAAAACTCTAATCCGACACTGGCTGTTTCCAAACTTTTTCTCCCCTCTGCCTAACATTTTCATACCACATTTCATCTTTCACTGCAAACCAACATTCACATAGGCCTTGGCATTATGAGTCCATAGAAAATTGTATCCTTTAAATTAAAAGACAAAACAGTGTAAAATATTGTCAAATTAAACTACTAAAACTACCAGTAAAATAAAACTACTAGTAAAATAAATTATAATTATCTTCAAACATAATAGGCGTGATATCATAGGTATTCTATATCTACCACAAATTAATAAGATATCCCTCTATGGAAATTTCTAATAATTACGCAATTTTTAAACCCCTATTCCTCCCAAAGTTCTGCTCTGATTGTGTGATTACTAAATGAGAATATATTTACATTGGAATCTCTCTGAGAAATGCATTCAAATGTTAATTTAAGCACCAGGAAATCCTCATTATAATGGTATCCCATTTTGATAGTAGTCTTAGAATATAGATGATTAAAAAAAAAACTAATAGCAAAGACATACCTTTGAATATTTTAAGGCATTATTTCCAATGAAATAAATTGATTTCTTTGATACTTATATCTCAAATAAATAATAAACTAATAAGTGCTTCTCTTGTTGGCAACAGACATATAAAGGAAAACCTTGGAGATGTTGTGGGTTTAGGCCCAGACAACCACAATAAAGTGAATATCACAATGAAGTCAGTCACATAATTTTTTTTTGGTTTTCTAGTGTGTATAAAAGTTATATTTACACAATAATGTTGTCTAATAAGTTTGCAATAGCATGATGTCTAAAAAATAATGGTATACCTTAATTAAAAAATACTTTGTTGCTAAAAAATGCTAACAATCATCTGAGCCCTTGGTGAGTCTTAATCTTTGTGCTGGTGGAGGGTCTTGCCTCAACGCTGATGGCTGCTGACTGGTAAGGGTGATGGTTGCTGAAGGTTGGAGTGGCTGTGACAATTTCTTAAAATAAGACAACATAAAGTCTGCCATATCAATTAACTCTTCCTTTCACGAAATACTTGTCTGTAACAGGTGATGTTATTTGATAGCATTTTATCCATAATAGAACTCTTTCAGAATTAGTCTCAATCCTTTCAAACCCTGCAACTGCTTTATCAACTAAGATCATATAACATTCTAGTGCTTTGTTGTCATTTCAGCAATGTTCACAGCATGGTCACCAGGAGTAGACTGCACCTCAAGAAACCACTTTCTTTGCTCATCCATAAGAAGCAACTCCTCATCTGTAAATACGTTATCATGAGATTACAGCAATTCAGTCACATCTTTAGGCCCACTTCTAATTCTAGTTCTCTTGCTCTCTCCACGACCTCTGCAGTTTGTTCCTCCACTGCAGTCTTGAGCCCCTCAAAGGTATCCATAAGGATTGGAATCAACTTCTTCCAAATTCCTGCTAATGTTGATATTCTGACTTCATTCCATGAATCACAAATGTTCTGAATGGCATCTAGAATGGCAAATTCTTTCCAAAAGTTTTCCATTTACTTTACCCAGACTAATCCAGGGAATCACTGTCTATGGAAGCTACATCCTTACAAAAAGTTACTTCTTAAATTAGAAGACTTGAAAGTCAAAATAATTCCTTGATCGATCCATGGGCTACAGAACAAATACTGTGTTACTATGCATGAAAACAGCATTAATCTCCTTGTGCATTTCTGTCAGAGTTCTTCGGTGACGAGGTGCACTGGCAATGATAATCTTTTGAAAACAATTTCTTTCTGAGCAGTAGGACTCAACATTAAGCTTAATATATTCAGTAAGCCATGCTGTAAACAGATGTGTTGTCATCTCGGAAATCCAGTTCCACTTACAGAGCATAAACAGAGTAGATTTAGCATTATTCTTAAGGGCCCTAGGATTTTTTGAATGTTAATTGACCAATGGCTTCTACTGAAGGTTACCAGTTGTATTAGCCCATAAAAATAACAGTCAGCCTGTCCTTTGAAAATATGAAGCCAGGCACTAACACCTCTCTAGCTTTGAAAGTCTTATATGGTATCTTCTTCCAATAGAAATCTGTTTTGTATACACTGAAAACCCATTGTTTAGTTGTAGCCACATTAATCAATTATCTTAGCTATATTTTGTACATAATTTACTGCAGCTTCTCCATCAGTACTTACTGCTTCACCCTGTACTTAATATGTTACAGAGCTGGCTTCTTTCCTTCAACCTAATGAAGCAATCTCTGTTAGCTTCAAACTTTTCTTCCACAGCTTCCTCACTTCTCTCAGCCTTCATAGAATTGAAGAGAGTTAAGGAACTTGTTCTGGGTTAGGTTTTGGCCTAATGGAATGTTATGGCTGGTTTGATGTTTTATCCGGGCCAATAAAACTTTCCCGTGGCCGGGCGCAGTGGCTAATGCCTGTAATCCCAGCACTTTGGGAGGCTGAGGCAGGCGGATCACGAGGTCAGGAAATCGAGATCATCCTGGCCAACATGGTGAAACCCCATCTCTACTAAAATACAAAAAATTAGCTGGGTGTGTTGGCACACGCCTGTAGTCCCAGCTACTTGGGAGGCGAGGCAGGGGAATCGCTTGAACCCGGGAGGCAGTGGTTGCAGTGAGCCGAGATCGCACCACTGCACTCTAGCCTGGCGACAGAGTGAGACTCTGTCAAAAAAAAAACAAAAAAAAAAAACAATTTTCTCCATATCAGCAATAAGTCTGTTCCACTTTCTTATCATTCGTGTATTTGAAATGTGTTCCTCACTAAGTTTAATCATTTCTAAATTTTGATGTAAAGTGAGAGACATGCCACTCTTCCTTTCACTTCAAGGCCATTGGAAAATTAGCCTAATTTCAATATTTTTTTTGTCTCAAGGAATAGGGTTGCCCATGGAAAGGGAGAGAAATTGGGGAAGGGCTGATCAGTGAAACAGAACATGCGCAACATCTGTTAAGTTTACCATTTTATATGGGCATAGTCACAATGTTAACATCAGACATCACAGATTACCATAACAGATATAATAATTAAAAAATTAATATATTGTGAGAATTGCCAAAATATGACAGAGACATGAAGTCAGCACTTGCTGTTGGAAAAACGGCACTGACCAGCTTGGTTTATGCAGTTGCCACATTCAATTTGTTAAAAAAACATATGCAATATCTGAGAAGCACAAAAAAGTAAAATACAAGAAAATAAGGTATGCCTGTCGCTATACCTAGAATACATGTCCACTTATTTGGTTGATTGTTCATTTATCCATCTATTAATGTATTAAATATTTATTAATTTATTAGATATTTGTTAAGCACCTATTGTGCCAGGAACTTCATTAGGAGCTGGACACTTAGTACTGTTCAAAATAGTCAATTCCCACCCATGTGAGCTTATGCTGGAGATAGTGGAGGGAGGGTGGGATCTATACAATAAAATAAATGAATTAACTTCAGATAGTGATAAGTGTTATAAATAATGTAAAATAAAGTAACATGGTATGGATGAGGATAATTTAGGTATGGATATCACAGATTTAGGAAAATAGGTATGATCTCTACGAGCTAAAGGATAAGGAGCAAGCCTGGCAAGGACTGCTGATGCCACATAAGGAAAACACAGCAAAGGATCTAAGGCAAAAATGAACTTGATGTTTCCAGGAACAACACCAGTCAGTTGAGTGGCTGCAAAATGAGAGGGAAAGTCAAGATGAAGTCACAGAGATAGGCAAGGGTCCAATCACATAGGGTTTCATGTGCCACGATAAGAAGTCTGGGGGTTATTTTATGTGCGATATTTGGGGGGAAATATTCAGTGAGGGATTTTGTGATTTGACTTTCATTTTCGAAATGTCACTCTTGACTCCTCTGCAGAGAAGGTACTCACTGCAAGCGAACTAAAGGAGCAACAGGGGGACCAGCTGGAAGGCAACTGCGGTAATCTAGATGGCAAAATTACAGTGGTTTCCAACAGGACAGATGAGCAGCAGAGATGGCTATTTCAAAGTGAGAAAACAACTTAGAAATTAAAAATCATCAACAAGGTTAACTGAGGCAAAGTCACAATCTGAAACTAGGTTTCCTGCTTTTTATCCAAATGAAAATCTCTCCTATTTCTTATGATTAAGTAATTGCCCTAGATGCCTGCAAAAATCTTGTTTTCCTGTTGTACACACACAATTATACACAATTACCAGCTTCAGACAAGGTTACTCTGAGATCATGATAAAGCAAAACAAATAAAGACCACCTCATAATTTTGTATAAACACAAAAAAAGGAAAACGTCACTGTATAACCCACAAACTACCAAACATCCTCCTCTCTTGCTATATGAATGATTTTTTATCCAGACATAGAATTATCCTGGTATCCAATCAAAATAAAACCCTCACTTCCTTAGACTCTCTTCCAAATCACCCAACCAAAGTCAAAATCCTATAATAGGTCATATAATGAGATGCCTCAGAGTTCTCCATGGTGTAGCTGTTCTCTCTCAGCGCAAGAAGTAGTTAAGCCAACTTTTACTTCAGGTGTGGCCCTAGTGGTCTTTGGCTGAAGGGCATTGACAGAGGATTTCATTATCCTCAAATATAAAAACAATTCCTTCTCAAATCCTATCTTCCTTAAATTATTGCTCCACAATGCTGTGTTTATCAAAATAGATTTTAGGTTTTTGAAGAGCTGCCATAACTCTTCATAGTTGATTCTATGAGTTAATTCTTTAAGAAATTTGATCATATTAACCCAATCAACTTTTTAATATCATGTCAATTTTGAAATCTGACCTTTCTGACTACCTGGAAGTATGCAAACCAAATCCTAAAAGAAATGGAGGAATATTCCAAGGCTCATGGATGGGGCAATTTAACATTATAAAGATGTCAGTTCTCCCCAAATTAATCTATGAATTCTATGTAAATACAATCAATATTTTAGCATCATTTATTAAGAAACTCAAAAACTATATTTTAGCCATAATATATGAGAACAATGAGAACTGATTTTTATACCATATTCATGAAAAACAAAGATAAACCCCAGATAGCTTAAAAAGTTAAATGTGAAAAAGTAAAGCTAACAGAAGAATATGTAGAAGAATATATCTGTGGAATGGAAAAGAACTTCTTAAAAAGAGCCCCAAATATCATTTGAAATGTAAAAAAAAAATTAATGGATTTGGGTACTTCAAAAAGGACTTCTATTTAGTGAAGAACATTATGAACAAGTTAAATGTATAATATACTGGGAGAAGATATTTCAAACATCTAAACAAAGAAGTGTCTGTGCTTGGAAACTAGAAGGAACTCCTGCAAAGCAACAATAAAAAAATAAGAAATCCAATAGAGGAAAAATAGGCAAAGGACATGAATAGGATTCTACAAAAAGGAAAACCAAAATAAATACCAAGCATTTAAACTAATACTCAAATTTCTTAGTAACCCCCCTGAAATGAAAATTATAACAACAAGATATCTTTTATACCTAGACTGGCAAGAAAATAGAAAAATGGATAAGGTCAACTACTGGTAGGGATGTTGGGGAAGAATCCTGTGCACAGCTGGTGGCAGTGTGGCCCGGGGCAGACATTCTGTTATGCCATCTGACAGTACTCAGTCAAATGAACAAATGTAAGTGACTAAGTCAAAATGGACCTCTGTCTAGCAATCCCACTCCCACATAAATTCTCACCTTAGAAAGCACGTAAGAGAATGTTTAAATTCAAGTGTCTTAGTGTTGGCTGATAGTGGGTAGGAACAATATGTCCATCATGGGAGTACAATGTGGGTCATTCACTTTACACACTCCTATGCAGCATTAGGAACAATTAATACCATGTAAATACTGTTACATGAATGGACCATAACAGCCTACAGAGAATTTAAAAAAAAGGAATGCATTGTCATAACAATGATAAATATTAAAAATTGATTCATGCCCAAAATATCACTGTGTATTTAACATAGTGTATATTACAATTAAATCAAAGGTATATTTTAAATCAAATACATTACATACAAATCAAATATGTTAGATCAGCTGTCTATGCTGCAAAGAGAAAACGAAGTTAAGAATACAGATAAAAGGGGATTAATACATGAATAAAATAGAGGAAGCTTACAGGGATTAACCTGAAACTGCAGTGAAGGGAAAAAAAAAGAGAAAGAGAAGGAAAAGGAAGGTAGGAAAAGAAAGGAAACAAAATAAAATTAAGGTCACACATCATCTTCTTTTAAAATAGAGATGCAGTTATGCTATATCCTACTTAAGGAATAAAAGGTTTTAACATACACTTAACCTTTTTTTTAGAAAGATAATTCAAAACAGATGTTTGGGATTATCTTCAAATTTTCACTTTGGTACTTATTCTTTGGACCACTCAAAGACTTTGTATTTTCATTAACATTTAATATAATGTGCATTTTTTACATGTTTAAGCCTGTATATTTTATTGGTGTATTCATTTCATATAATCTTTTAAAAGTGCAATTTTATTGAAATAAAATTCTCCAAGTTCTTTCAGTGAAGTGTGATGAAGTGTAAATAACAGTTACAAATGCTTTAAAAGTCCACATTTATTTTTTCCTGTTGCCCAGGCTGGAGTGCAGTGGCATGATCATGGCTCAGTGCAGCCTCAACCTCTTGGGCTTAAGCAATCCTCCCACCTCAGCCTCCCGAGTAGCTGAGACTACAAATGTGCACCACCATGACTGGCCTTTTTTTTTTTTTAATTTTAATTTTTGTAGAGGTGGGTCTCACTATGTTGCCCAGGCTGGTCAAAAACTCCTGAACTCAAGCGATCCTCCCACCTTGATCTTGCAAAGTGCTGGGATTACAGGAATGAGTCACTGCACCCAGCCTAAAAGTCCACATTTTAACAGAGTATGTCTATAGATGAATGCAAATCACACTTTCAACCCTGGATATAATATAATAAAGCATTTATCTGAAGTTCAAAAAATATAATTGTTGTTCCAAAATCCCAATCTAATTTTGAAAAGTTTTTTCCCAATGAAGTTTCCAAATATTCAGAGTATTCATTTCATTCCTGTTTTAAACAAAATAAACTTCATATGAAACTGCTCTAACTTGGAAGGGCTACTGCTCCATCTCAAGGGCCTGCATTGCAGCACTGTGACAGCCTAAAGAGAGCGAAAGAATGGGAAGGGGAGAAGGAGATGAAGAAGAAATTTTAAAAATTATAATAAAAATAACAACAATAATAGTATTTACATTTATTTAACAATTACTACATCCTTGGTAGTCTCCTCAATTCATTTAAACTAATACAAACATTTGGGGTCTATAGTATTACTATCCTCATTTCACAGATGAGAAAACTGAGGTTAAGCCTCCTAAGTAGCAGATGTAATAACAAGGAAGATTCAGATATGTTTCCAGGCATCCAAATGTGGTCAGAGGCAAGGCTATTTCACCCTCTCAATATTGAGTTTGAATAGAAGGTAGAATATCATAAGATGGTACTTAATATGTTTTAATAATTTTAATTTAGGGACTATAGCATAAATATGAAAACAAAATTATCCAAATGAGTTATCCTCTCAGAACTGCTAGGGGGAAAAAAAAACCCTCAGTAGTAACAAAATAAAACTATCTGGTATCCATATTTCATAATATATTTTTCAGACCAGAGAAAAATTAATGCCAAGTAGTATATCAAATGTTTTACATTTCTTTGGGAATATAATTTTATATGTCATATTTTCCTGTTAACATATTGGAACTGAACATATCCTGCCTACGTAAACAAATGGTTGTTGCTCAAAGATGCCGGCTGGGAACTTTGGTATATTTATCCATTCTTCTTAGTGCCCTGAAGATACTTTACATGTGACAGAGATTTAATAAGCATTGTTTAATAAGTAAGCAACTTCAATCCTAAGACTAAGCATATATAATTAGTATATTAAGAGAAGGCAAACAGACACTTCTAAATATCACTGGATAAGCTCTAGAAAATATGATCTGTGGAGTTATTTTATATTCAAAAATAAAAAGAAATTCTTCTGCTAAAAAAAATCAAGAAGTGAAGAAGTAGGAATAACTCTTATATCTCAAGGGCCCTTCACATTGATATTAAACTAAACTACCTCTAAAAGGTATCCATTTACTAAGAAACTTGATGTTAATTCACAATGAAAGCTTCTCTTGTACTTAGTCCACAGTCTGCCATGGTTTGATGTTCTTTGAAAGGCAGAAGAACAATTAAATATTCCCATCTTGCTGAAGTTGTTCTAAAGAGAAAATCAAATGTGAGGTCCCTCTAGAAATGCTGTGATCTGCTACAATAAATACCTCTAAATTTTTTCAAAGTTCCAATTTCAAATACATGGTAGTTTTAAGTTTATAGAGTAAATTCAAACTTACTCTGAAGTAACTATTGCAATTTCATATCTCTGATATACTTCACAAAATCAATACAGGGAGATTTGAGAAAGTTTTTTAAGATTTTTTCTTATGTTAGTAATTTGAAGAAATTATATATATTCATTAATTATAAAAGAAGTTATAATGAGTTTTTCATAATTTGGCATACACTGCTCTTTGAAAAAATAGCTAGAAGAGCAGAAAACAGACTAATATAGAAAATTGATACTTAGAGCAGGGTTGTTGCTATAACAACACCTGAAAATATGGAAGCAGCTTTGGAACTGCATAACGGGTGGAGGTTGGAAATTTGGAGAATCAGGCTAGAAAAAGCCTATATTGCCATGGGAGGGCTCAGAAGACCACAGAACTGTAGAGCTACCAGTGTACGATGCCAGTCTGAGAGAGCGGAAATGTGGGCTGAGCCCAGCAAAGCCATGGGCGTGGCAGTTCTCAGTGTCTTGAGAGCCCAACCCCTATATCAGTGTGCTCAGGATATGGGACATGGAAACAAAGGAGATTATTCTCCAGTTTTAAGACTTCGTATTGTTTTCCCTACTGGGTTATGGATTTAGTAGGGACTAGTTACTCTTTTCTTCTTTCCTCTTTCTCCCTTTTAGAACGAGAATGCCTACCCTATGCCTGTTTCACTGTTGTATTTTTGAAGTAGATAACTTGCTTTGATGTTACAGGCTCACATCTGGAAGGAATTTGCCTCTATACAGATCATGCCTTGAGCATCACCCATATCTCATTTAGATACGACTCTGGACTTTGGATTTTTGAGTTGATGGAAACAAGTTAAGGCTTTTGGGACTTTGGGGATGAAATGAATGTATTTTTGCATTATAAGAAGGACATAAATTTTGGGTGCCTGGTACAAAATGTATGGTTTGCATGTGCCCTGAAAACTCAGCATGCTGTAAACTTAATTCCCAATGTAACTGCATTGGGAGGTAGGTCCTAATAAGAAGTGACTGGGTCACAAGGGTGAAGCCCTCATGGATGCATTAATGTTAATACATGAGTGGGTCAGTTTTCACTAGAGTGAACTGTTATAAAAGCAAGCCCAGCCCCTCATGCTTTTTCTCTCATATGTGCTCTCTTTCTCTTTTGCCTTCTGTTACAGTTCAACCCTTGCCAGATGCCAGCACAATACTCTTGGACTTCCCAGTCTCTAAAACTGTGAGCCAAATACATGTCTTTGTGTTGTTTTGTTTTGTTAAAAAAGAGGCTGGGTGTGGTGGCTTACGCCTGTAATCCCAGCACTCTGGGAAGCCAAGGCTGTCGGATCACAAGGTCAGGAGCTCAAGACCAGCCTGGCCAACATGGTGAAACCCCATCTCTACTGAAAATACAAAAATTAGCCAGGCGTGGTGGCAGGCACCTGTAGTCCCAGCTACTCAGGAGGCTGAGGCAGAAGAATCACTTGAACCTGGGAGGTGGAGGTTGCAGTGAGCCGAGATCGCACCACTGCACTCCAGCCTGAGCAACAGAGCAAGACTCTGTCTCAAAGAGAGGGAGAGAGAGAGAGAGAGAGGGAGAGAAAGAGAGAGAGAGAGAGAGAGAGAGAAGAAAAGAAAAAAGATAAAATAAAAAGATAAATGAATTTCTTAATATTTAATTTTTACCTATTTAACATTCAGGTCTGCATAAGTAATCACTCCTCTTTGGGTTATCATCTCAGCATTTTCATTTTACTAATACACTGCACAGTCACTAAATGTGGTAAGGACTCTCATTCTTGTTTCGTGCTTCAGCTATAATTCATTTTAAACCTTACAAATTTAACATATGTCTTTGTCCCTATATGAAAATCTTGAGTTCTATGTAAGAATCTGCCAAAATTGAAGTACTTAACTGCATTAAAAAGGGGATAAATCCTAAATTTTGCTTCCACCAACGCTGAGTTACTTGTTTGAAATCAAAGTGTTACTTCCATGAGGAGGTAAAAATTGCAATCTTGCCAGTCATCTATCACAAACCGTCTGCAAAAGAAAATAACTTATTTGCACTTAATATAGTAGTGCTTAATATATCTACTAAGAATTGTTTTTATTCAGATTAAAAGCCAATTTTGGCCAGGCGCAGTGGCTCATACCTATAATCTAGTACTTTGGGAGGCCAAGCTGGGCGGATTGCTTGAGTCCAGGAGTTCAAGACCAGCCTGGGCAACAGGGTAAAACCCCAATAAATACAAAACTTAGCCAGACATGGTGATGCATGCTGTAGGCTGGGGTGAGGGAATCGCTAGAGCCTAGGAGGTCAAGGCTGAGGTGGGAGAATGCCTTCAGCCTGGGAGGTTAAGGCTACAGTGATTTGTGATGGCACCACTGCACTCTAGCCTGGGTGACAGAGTGAGACCCTGTCTCAAAAAAATAAAAGCTGGCCGGGAGCAGTGGCTCACGCCTGTAATCCCAGCACTTGGGAGGCCAAGGCGGGTGGATCACGAGGTCAGGAGATCAAGACCATCCTGGCTAACACGGTGAAACCCTGTCTCTACTAAAAATACAAAAAAATTAGCCGGGCCTGGTGGCAGGGGCCTGTAGTCCCAGCTACTGGGGAGGCTGAGGCAGGAGAATGGCATGAACCCTGGAGGCGGAGCTTGCAGTGAGACGAAATGGTACCACTGCACTCCAGCCTGGGTGACAGAGTGAGACTCTGTCTCTAAATAAATAAATAAATAAATAAATAAAATAAAAGCCAATTTTAAGCTAGACTTGTGTATGCATATGTGATCTCTCCTAATCCTCATAACAAATGAGCTTACATTATCATCCAGTTTGTACTATTAATAGAAGAAGAAACCATGCCTTACAGAAGTGACACTCAAAAAGATAAGAGAACAAAAAGATGTGTCTGTCTGGTTCCAAAGTCCTTGCCTTTAACCATAATGGAAGTCTTGGACTTTGGATGTGCCCCATGAATGGTCTTACCAGCTACAATTTAAATAAATATTATTTTAAAATATAAATGTTAATTATGTTAAACTTTCTAATGTCAATGGAGAGAGAAAAAAAGGAAAAAAAGAAAACAAAGGGAGGAGAAAAAGAGCCATTTAACTGCATGGAACTGAAAACGAGCATGAATGTGTTGTTGCTGTTTTTTAAAGTAGACTGTCTTCCCACTCCATCTATTAGCAAAGACTATGGGGCGGGGTCAACACTTGTAGACTGAGCATTTTACTAATTGTATGATAGTCACTTCATGTGACTCCAGGGAAATAAGAGCCTTTGTAAGCCTACAGGAATTTATTTTTTCTGAAGAAATTATACCTCGGATTATTACAGAAAAGAACATAATAGTAAGTAGGTAAATAAAACAGATATAGTTAAAATATTAAGTAGAAGAAGTGGCTATGATTTAAAGATCATGATTCATATGTTATCACAACACATATCCTATGTACTTATATGTAATTCTAATTACAGGAATTCTACAAGATACAATTATTTCTCTTTCCCCTATCTGTAGTTATTTCAGATAGATCTGAAACTAAACGTATTCCCAATAAGAAAAAAATTTTAATGTAAACATAAAATTTAGTACTTCAATAATATATTAACACTGTTAGTCTAGACAGCATTATTTGTCACTATAACATCTATGTGCATACTGTAATATCCACATGTATAATCCAGCACCCATGTTCGTTTTGTTTTAGTGTATCTACGGTTGTTCCTTGGCATTTTACCATCTGCAATCTCTACCATATTCCTGAATTTGACTATGAGCCATCCTCACATCCATGGCTCAGGTCTGCTGCCAGTACCACTCATAGTGTTCGATTTTTATTTTGGGGTTTGCATGCACTTGTCTTCCATCCATTTCTTCTCTATGCAAAATTTTTCCCATGGCTTCTCAATTTTGCCCTATGTCCCTAATAACAATGTGCTCTACACAGTTTCTGACAAACTAGCACATGGTATTATAGTAAAGACAATTAATATAACTGCATTTTCAAATATAATGACTGGCCAAAGGGAGAGAATTTGGGAGCAACAAGCCTTGAGGCTCTCCTCAAATCACAGGCAACAAACCTATTTTGCCTATCACACTGTCAAAAGTAGTTAATGGAACACTTGGGGAATATATATACTAGAATGTCATAAATAGTGGTCCTGTTTATGTAACAACTATACCAATTCAGTAAAGGCTTTTTAGAAATTCCTCATATATGGCTGATCGCATAGCCCATGCAGTCATCCAACCAGTACCTTTTTTAATTATTATTTTTCTGTTTTAAATTTTTTCTCCATAAATACTGGGTCTTTCTATGTTGATCAAGCTGGTCTGGAACTTCTGGCCTCAAACAATCCTCCTGCCTTGGCCTCCCAAAGAGCAGGGATGACAGACGTTGAGTTGCTGTACGCAGTCTTGATTATTAACAATGATAGATTTTGTCTTCCATTAAAATACCAGTTCCTTTTGATTTATGGTAAATCCCAAAGAGTACAAGTTGCCTCTGAGTTTGTATCAGGAATAGAATTGTCTCCAAGCAGCCCTTACAGCTTGCTTCTAACACAATTGGGATCATTTGAGTTTGGTTCAGGTATAAAAGATGAAGAACCCTTAGAAAGACCAAGAGTTCTTAGACGACTTGTACAGAATTACGATTTCCAAACAACTTCAGGGGGAACAAAAAGAATCCATTTTCTCCCTTAAATTCCCTTTTTAATTTTATCGCCCAAACCACATCTGTTTTATCTCACAGTGGATCCAGCCATCAGGTATGTTCCTGCCACCTAATGGCCCGAGGCCCGAGGTTAGTTTCCTACTATAAGTCACTAAAGGAACTTTGATACAGAAACATAAAACAAAATGTCCGAAATCTACGTTGTAGTACTAGCCCTGTTACCAGTTAGATTTGGGTACAACCAAGTAAATTACTTAACTCTTCTACTTCCTATTTCATAGTAAAAGCAATAATTTAGTAAATATGTAATGTGGGACAAACCCTGGGCTAGGTATGCTATGCATAACCACAAGATGGTATTGCTATACTCACTCTATAGATGATAACACTAATAAGGAGGAACAATAACCACTATAAATGAGTTATAATCAATACCCACATCTACCTTACTGCAAAGTTTGGAATCTTTAACCATGCTCCTTAAGCATCCTGCCTCTCTTAGTTTCTCATCTGTAAAAGAATTGTAAGGCCGAGCACAGTGGCTCATGCCTGTAATCCCAGCACTTTGGGAGGCTGAGGTGGGCAGACCACCTGAGGTCAGGAGTTCGAGACCAGCCTGACCAACATGGAGAAACACCATCTATACTAAAAATACAAAATTAGCCGGGCGTGGTGGTGCATGCCTGTAATCCCACCTACTCAGGAGGCTGAGGAAGGAGAATCACTTGAACCTGGGAGGCAGAGGTTGCAGTGAGCCAAGATCGCACTATTGCACTCCAGCCTGGGCAACAAGAGCGAAACTCCGTCTCAAAAAAAAAAAAAAAAAAAAAAAAATAAGTGAGTTGTAATGATGCTTGCCTAAACTAAACTCTGAGTCACATATTAAATTAACATAGATGTGTAACTCCTTGGAAAGCACATTATTATGGAGATGGTATATTTCATTAATGGATTATTATATACTAAAAGCATAACCAATTCGATATACACTTTTATAGTAAATCTGCCCTATTCATTATCTATGCTCATGCTACTGAGAATCGCATTGCCAACCAAATCCAGGGCAACAAAAACATAACTAAAGGCAATATTGAATACTCTAAAGGTCAATTTTAAGATTTAAAAAATAATGAAAATCCTAAAGATTGCATCTTATTTTAAAAATCTGCTTATAAGTTATAAATATAGTACCTCTCAAATATAGTACATCAGGGAGAATATTCCATGTGTTAACTTCTATATGTTAATTTTTGGCATTCACTGTGATCAATCCAGTAGCTAGTGTTGAACAGGGCAAAAGTAAATACTAGAGAAAAGAGAATTTTTTTAAAAAAAAGAAATGATGAGTAAAAAATGCAAATAAAATATTTATGTGAGTAGAAAAATATTTACATGTGCTAATGAGGACAATTATTTGTAAATAACTGAGATCTCTAAAATAAAATATCAATTATCTTTGCTATATGCAAAAATCTTGGGCACGTATCATTTTAAAGCATTTCTTCTGTACTTTCAGTTGATTTAACAACAGAAAAGAATGGGAAGTTAATTTTCTTTGCCTTCTTTGCTGGTACAGGACAAGCAGACAAGAATTCTGAAGACTGTGCAAATACATGTCACCCTTGAACAACATAGGTTTGAACTGCCTGGTTCTACTTATATGTGGATTTTTTTTTTCAACCAAACACAGACTGAAAATACAGTATTTGTGGGATTTGAAACCCACGTATAAAGAGTACTGACTTTTCCTATATTCTGGTTCTGCAGGGCCAACTGTGGGAATTGAGTATGCAGGGATTTGTTTTTAAGTGTGTGGTCTTGGAACCAATCCTCCACATATATCAAGGGACAACGGTACTTGAGTATGAGCCATTTTTGTATGAACTGAAAAACATGATATTGAAATAGAGAATGCTGTTATACATATAAAAGTCTTGAAACTACAATTCAGAAAGTTATACTTCCATGTATTAAAAAGAAGCTAGTACCCAGAGGGTTAAGTAAGATAGAGGAAAAATCAGGAAATATGTCAAAACCAGTGATTAATGAATATTACCAATTAAAAAATATGACTAGATGTGTGGTCTTAGATATAAAGCCATATATTCTATTCATGAGTTTTAAATAATCTTGTCAGATTATTGACATGTCAGGATGATTAAAACTCATAGAGAAGCCACATTTTCCTTTCAAATAATCAGAACTGGGTCTTAGGATATACTTCTTTAAACCCTAATTTTTAACTTAAAACCTCAAAAGTAAATGTCTGCTCCAGGCTCAATGTGAGAATGAGCTGAGAACCAGCAAAAGCCAAAACCAAAGTATGATGGTCCTCTGCCCAAAGCAGTGCACAGCCTCTTGCTTCTGGAATGGTACCACAGAGAACAGAAGCATGGCATTAGGACTTTAGTGACTTCATCAACTGCCCTCAAAAACTATCTCAAAATCATTGTGCTAAAGTGTAATGGCAAAAGAAATTTTAAAATTCTGTACTGTTGCTTCCAAATAATAGCATTTCAAGAACAAAAAGTAATTTTAAATTTATCACTGTGATTAGAGATAAGAAAAATGCAGAATACATGGGTTTGTACAGTAATCGTAATATACTAATGTTTTCATTATGCAAGCACAGAAACTCCTTTCTAACTTAAAATTATTGTAAATATTTACATGAATATGAATATTACCACCCATTCTTTTTTTTTTTTTTTTCAGACAAGGTCTCAACTCTGTCACCCAGGCTGGAGTGCAGTGGCGTGACCATAGCGTACTGCAGCTTCGACCTCCCCAGGATCAGGTGATCCTCCCACCTCAGCCCCCCAAGTAGCTGCAACTACAGGTATGCACCACCACACTCAGCTATTTTTTGAATTTTTTGTGGAGACAGGGTTTCACCATGTTGCCCAGGCAGGTCTCAAACTCCTGGGCTCAAGTGATCCACCCATCTCTGCCTCCTAAAGTGCTAGAATTATAGGCGAGAACCACTGCACCCAACCACCATTCATTCTTAACCACAATTGTGAAGGTAACATGATGCCATCATCTTTGGAAAATATTCAGATTACTCAACACCAGTACTGCAAACCATCAAAACTTGTTTGCAAATCTCAAAGAGATTAAGTCAACTGACTTGGTGAAAAAGGAAAACATTTCAAAATATCTTAGACCTTGTGGTCTTTGCTGGTAGTCTCATGAAATACAAGTTGAGATATTTACTCTCTTATCCTAAGCAAGGAGAGGTAAGAAGAGCAGAAAAAAAATCACATTTCTTTATGATATGACTTCCAAGTTCCTACACAGAGCCCCAAATATTAAACGACTGTAAGTTTCCTCTGCTATTCCAGGCATCTTAAGAAGAAAACGCCATGCTTTGACACCTGGGTAATCTGTTCTTGTCAAAACTTGACTCTGAGCTGATATATTACATTTCTAACCCAGTTCCTTCTTTCTACACTTAAAATGTCTACAGAGAAATTTTTCATAATTAAAACATATGTTTAAAGTGCTTCCAAAAAAGATATTAATGCTGATATTTTAATATCTTATGTGTTTTGCAAAAAGGAACTGAATTATGCTGTTTAAGATCACTGAAAGAATGGGCTGAGAGGCAGCTGGTATTATTGGGAATTAGAATCCTTAAATACAAGACAAAATAAAACCTCCAATACAGTTCTGCTCTCAAGATGATGTTTTTGTTGTTCTAAATTTCCTTCTAGGTACTGTCTAACCAAATCCGAGTATGGGCTGGACGAGGTGGTTCACACCTGTAGTCCCAGCACTTTGGGAGGCCTATGCGGTCAGATCACTTGAGGACAGGAGTTTGAGACCAGCCTAGCAAACATGGCAAAACCCCATCTCTACTAAAAATACAAAACTTAGCCAGGCATGGTTAATTACAGGCGCACACCTGTAATTCCAGCTACTGGGGAGGCTGAGGCACACGAATCACTTGCACCGGGAGGCAGAGGTTGCAGTGAGCCAAGATCGTGCCACTGTACTCCAGCCTGGGCAACAGAGCAAGACGCCATCTCAAAAAAAGAAAAGAAAAAAATAAATAAGAATACGGCTTATACTTAGAAAACAATATTATCATTCTTTAAAAAAGAACGTCTAATATGTTTGATCATTATTTCATTTTGAGCAAGCACATGATATTTATGTCCCTCCTAGATCCCCTTGGATGATAATGTTAAAACTGCAAAGAAATTTACACTGAGAAGCCATGGTCAAGTGATGATGATAACAGAGTGCTGGGAAGGGAAGAGAGTGGTCCCTTTAAATGACACAGAGGCTGGAGGTGGGCGGGGGTGGGGGAAGGGCTGGGTAGAGGAGGGCATGGTTCCTTGCTAGGGCTCCACCCAACAGACCTAGGGGAGGACAGGCACTCCTGCCTTCCTGCCCAAATGTTGCATTTTCCAAGACCACCCTGGCCCCCCCACACCCAAACCCTGGGGCTGTAAAAACCCGAGACCCGCCGGGCGCAGTGGCTCACACCTGCAATCCCAACACTTTGGGAGGCTGAGGTGGGTGGCTCACAAGGTCAGGAGATAGAGACCATCCTGGCTAACACGGTGAAACTCTGTCTCTACTAAAAATACAAAAAATTAGCCGGGCATGGTGGCGGACGCCTGTAGTCCCAGCTACTCGGGAGGCTGAGGCAGGAGAATGGCGTGAAACCGGGTGGTGGAGGTTGCAGTGAGCCAAGATCACACCACTGCACTCCAGCCTGGGCGACAGAGCGAGACTCTGCCTCTGTCTCTAAAAAAAAAAAAAAGAAAAAAACAACCCAGAGACCCTAGCAGGCAGACACACAGAAGCTGCTGCTGGATGGCAAGAGGAACACATCTGCAGAAAATGACAAGAGGCTGGACACAGACAGGGGCATACCAGAAGGACATCCACCAGCCAAATGAGGCAGAGTTTGGCCGGAGCAATCAGAGGAGAGCCCAGGCTGGGGAGCAGCCGGACTCCATGGGAAATCCATCTCCCTTCTGGCCCTCCGTCTGCTAAGAGCTACTTCTTAATCAAACCTTCCACTCATTCTCCAAGCCCACATGTAATCCGATTCTTCTGATACACCAAGGTAAGAAACCCTGGGATACAGAAATCCCTCTGTCCTTGTGATAAGGAAGGGGGTCTAATTGAGCTAACACAAGCCGCCTATAGAGGGCTAAACTAAAGGAGCATACTGTAACATGCCCACTGGGGCTTCAGTAGCTGTAAACATTCACCCCCTAGGCACTGCCGTGGGGTTGGAGCCTGGGGTTGGAGCCTGCCTGTCCGTATGTTCCCCTAGAGGTTTGATCAGAAGAAGTGAGCCACACCCTCTTCACACGCGCTGTGAGGGGGACAGGGGAAATTTTCCCATTTCAGTAAGATTTCTAATTTAATGCCCACATGCATAAAAATTAAAATACGGCTCACACTTCCTCTACATCAAATCCTTTTACAATAATTATATGACTTGAATATCTCAATTTTTTCCATAACTTCTTGAGACTTATCTGGAATTCTCTTCAAAATCCATGATCACCAGAAATAGGCACCAGTGCGTGATAAGGCTAAAACTAAGACAGGTGTTTGTCCTCTCGAAAATCTGCTCTTTAACAATATCAGCAATTGTATCTATATTACAGAAAGGAAGGAACATATTTTACCCTGCTTTAGAGGGTTCAAATACCTGTAATTTGATAGTGTTTTTACACATATTTTTAGCTTCTTTTAAGTTTTCTTTTGCTGAAAGAGAATTAAATATTTCAAAAATAGTAGCTCTGATCTTAACTCTATTCTCAAATAGAACTTCTAACATAGCTAATCATTCCTTAATAGGTGTCAGATTTGAAGATATTTCATAGGTCTCATTTTCTGACAGTATAGTGAAACTCTATGTTCAGAGAATCACACCTTGTACAGAACCAATAAAAATGCTACATTAAAAATAAAAATATTTGCAAATGAATGTATTAATTGGTTGGAAAGTAAGGGCAAACCTGAAGTCTAAAAACTTCATGAGGCCAGGCACGGTGGCTCATGCCTGTAATCCCAGCACTTTGGGAGGCTGAGGCGGGTGGATCACAAGGTCAGGAGAATGAGACTGTCCTGGCTAACATGGTGAAACCCCATCTCTACTAAAAATACAAAAAAATTGGCAGGGTGTGGTGGCACGTGCCTGTAATCCCAGCTACTTGGGAGGCTGAAGGAGGAGAATCACTTGAACCTGGGAGGTGGAGGTTGCAGTGATCCGAGATCGCACCACTATACCCCAGCCTGGGCGACAGAGTGAGACTCCATCTCAAAAACAAACAAACAAAAACCTTCATGAATGCAGGACTCCAGAAAAGTAAACTAGCTGTGAAGATGGTATTCACCTTGCATACACTAGATCTGTCAAACAGATAAACCTAGGTTTAGGCTTTAATGAACTTCATGCAGGAGGTCACACTGCAGAAGCCACATAAACTGTGATCTGCCTGAAAGGAAACAGACTTCATCACTTAACTAGCAACAAAAAAATTTAAAAAACTTAGAGAATGAAAAGATGGGTGACTGTTTGGCCTATTTGGACAAACAGAAAATAGGCAAAAATATTCCTTGGGAATTCTTATGCGTAGGTCCACCTTCACAAAGTTTGGGGCAATACTACATCTGTTGCCTGAAGAGTATCCAAGCAAAAACACTTTTAAAACTACAATTGTAGCAGAGATTTTTAGAAAGATATTACAAGAATATTATGTGTAACATTGTACCAATTGAACAAAACACAGAGAAAAAAGTTACTAAAACTGACCCAAAAGCAAATTTGGCTCTTTCCAAAACTATGAAAGAAATTAAATCAACAGGAAAAAAAAAGAGTCATCTATAACCAAAACATTATGCCTAGCTAGTTTTGCAGGTAAATTCTACCTAATATAGAAGAAAAAAATAATTCTAATTTTACATAAAATCTTTGAGGGAATGAAAAAGAAGTAATGCTCCTAACCTGATTCTATAAGGTTAAGATCATTGATTTTAAAACCAGAATATGACACCACAAGAGAGAAACTGACAATCACTCAGAAATACAGATGAAAAACAAATGTAGAAGAAAATGGGAATGATAATACATTATAATCAATTCCTGGGCTTAATCTAGGAATGCAAAACAGGTTCAACATTAGAAAATCTATTAATATAATTCATCAAAGAGACTAAGTGAGGAAAACCTATCATCATCAATATTAATTCATAAAATAGTTCTTAAACTAGAAATGAGGAAAACTCTACTGATAAAAGTTACCTACAGAAAAAACTGTAAGTACATAAAATCAATGGTGAAAAAATCAAAAACCATTTTTTAAACAAGAAATAAGGAGAAGTATAGGGAAAGGTCCTCAAAGACACTGGTAATATTCCTTTAATAAGCTACAGAATAGATATTTCAGTAGTATTCCTTAAACTATACAAATATGATGTATATGCATACTTATATGACTATGAATGATATATTTCATATATATTTAATAAAAGTAAAGAAATGTTAGGGCTTTTGTTTTTGTTCTGTTTTGTTTTGTTTTGAGAGGGAATCTCGCTCTGTTGCCCTCGGTACAGTCTCGGCTCACTGCAACCTCCGCCCCCTGGGTGCAAGCAATTCTTCTGCCTCAGGCTCCTGAGTAGCTGGGACTACAGGTGCCTGCCACCATGCCCAGCTAATTTTTGTATTTTTAGTACAGATGGGATTTCACCATATTGGCCAGGCTGGTCTCGAACTCCTGACCTCATGATCTGCCCACCTCGGCCTCCTAGAGTGCTGGGATTACAGGCATGAGCCACCGCGCCTGGCCTAGGACATTTTTAAGAAACACAAAAATATGGAAATCAGAAAAATTTACCTTCATGCTTAATCATATGCTAGTCTCAAGTATTTTAGCATATAAACCGTGATAAATATAATCTAAAGTAACTCTAATTTTAAGGTTTGAAGGTTTCAAAAGCCCATAAAGATTCTAAAAGTTTTGTTGTGGGTAATTTTAAGAGTCAGCAATATGGCACCCACTTCATCTATAATACATCACAGGACCACTTGCACTGAGTCTGTTGTGGTCTGGATTTTTTTTCCTGCCCCACAAAACTGTACTTGAAATCATTAGAGTCAGACAACAGGAAAACATTTCTGTGTCAATTCATTCTTTTTTTTTTTTTGAGATGGAGTTGAGAAGGAGTCTCACTCTGTCACCCAGGCTGGAGTGCAGTGGCACAATCTCAACTAACTGCAACCTCCACCTGCCCGGCTCAGGCAATTATCCTGCCTGAGCCTCCTGAGTAGTTGGGACTATAGGCGCGCACCACCACGCCCAGCTAATTTTTTGTATTTTTAGTAGATACAGGGTTTCACCATGCTAGCCAGGCTGGTCTCGAACTCCTGACCTCATGATTCACCCGACTTGGCCTCCCAAAGTGCTGGTATTATAGGCATGAGCCACCACGCCCGGCCCCAATTCATTCTTAAAGGCGTCTGAACTTCTGCAACTCCCCCATCCCAAATGGAAAACAACCATACTTGATTTCTTCAAGAATCAAATATTTAAAATGGGCCTTAATTTAACAATTTAGTAAATGTAAATCTGCTTTTAAAAAATATTTCAGTCTAGTTCAGCCAATGAGATACCTTCCTTTTATTCTTGCCAGCCCTGTTGTTTATCTATTTTTTTCTACTCAATAGAGAAGATATGGACTGAGAAGACAAAACACATAATTTCCTTATGGAAACCAGATTTAACTTCCTGCTATTTGTCTCTCAATCAGCCTTTATTGGTGGGATGCTTTTAGCTAGTTTCTCTTACCAAGGCTCTCTGGTAAAAATGAAAAGCTGTGTTTTACAGCACAACTCAGGCCAGTCAGTTTCAACAAAATACTATAGTGGTTTTCCTCCTTGATTTAACTAGTAAATTTCTTTTTTCTTGTTTTGTTTGTTTGTTTGTTTTTTGAGACAAAGTCTTGCTCTTGTCCCCCAGGCTGGAGTGCAATGGCACGATCTCGGCTCACTGCAGCCTCCGCCTCCTGGGTTCAAGCAATACTCCTGCCTCAGCCTCCCGAGTAGCTGAGGCAGGAGGCGCCTGCCTCAGGCGGGTTTGAGGCGCCCGCCACCAAACCCGGCTAATTTTTGTATTTTTAGTAGAGATGGGGTTTCACCATGTGGGCCAGGCTGGTCTCAAACTCCTGACCTCATGTGATCTGCCTGCCTTGGCCTCCCAAAGTGCTGGGATTACAGACTTGAGCCACCGTGTCTGGCCTTAAATGGTAAATTTCATGTTTTATAAAAATCTGAACTTCTGTTGAAAAATTTTTATCTTCCCTTGGACATATCATGACAAATTATTGGTGAAATATAATAATAGAATTTGTTACACCATTTCAAAGCTAGCTGGTTAATTACAACTCATCATAGTTAAAGACACTCAATTCGAGGTAAACAAAAGCTTAGACTATAAAATCCACAAGGAAATAGTCAATTTTTACATGGCTTAGAGGCTTGAGTTTCACTTAAATTGTGAGTTATTTCCTAAATGATATTCCTACAACATACTTGTTTCTTAAAATTTGATGCCATGTTAAATTGAAATAGAACCACCAATTTTGCAGGAATCTATGAAGGAAAAAAATTGTCAGACGCTGCAAAATTGAAACAATTTTGACTCTCTCTTTTTCCTTTCTCTTTTTTTTTTTTTTTGAGACAGAGTTTCGCTCTTGTTGCCCAGGCTGGGGTGCAATGACGCGATCTCGGCTCACTGCAACCTCTGCCTCCTGGGTTCAAGCGATTCTCCTGCCTCAGCCTCCCGAGTAGCTGGGAATACAGGCGCCCGCCACCATGCCCGGCTAATTTTTGTATTTTTAGTAGAGACAGGCTTTCACCATGTTGACCAGAATGGTCTTGAACTCCTGACCTCAGGTGATCCGCCCGCCTCGGCCTCCCAAAGTGCTGGGATTACAGGCGTGAGCCATGGCGCCTGGCCAACTGTGTTTTTCTATATCTAAAAAGGTAATGTTTGTCATTTGCACTGGGGGAGTGAATGCAGACTGCTAGGATAATCACCTTGAAAGTTCCAAATATGTATGAAATTTTACATATATCTTTTGTATTTATCATTTCACATATTTACATTAAAAATGGGCATTAAAAACAACCTTTAGCACTTAAGTTTTCCTCAGATTCACTCTTAATTGTTCTTAACTATTTAAGAAATTGCTTTCAAACAATTAACCACCATAGTCATATTTTTTTAAATCAAATTGACATAGAGTTAACAAACCATTCTCAGAACCTATTTGATTTTGAATCTATAACCTAATTTTAAAATGCCTTTAGCAAGCCAGATGTGCTGCCATATATACTACAATTATTTTATGTTTATGTGCTCACTGATCTGCTTATCTATAACTTTGTTGGCCTGGGATTATGATGTTAATTAATAAGGAAGTTTGCAAGAAGTTGATTTCAGGGAAGAGAGGTGACCAGTTTGAGATCCCGGCAGATCACCCAGGTGGAAAAGTTCCTCATAGATAGGCGGTCACAAAGAACATAACTTAGAAATTCAATTGTATATTTATTGACCCCTACTATATACCAAGAAATGTTCTAGATACTGTAGGGAAGGGAAAATAAAGGCAGGTTTTAGGAAAAAAAAAAAAAAAAGAAACAAAAAACTTGAAGAATGGATTAGTTTAGGGAGGAAGCAAAAATCATAGAAGAGAGAAAGCTGTCGGAAATTGGAGAAAGATAGTCAAAACCAAGCAGTGGCTTAAAAGCTATGGTAACAGAGATCAATGGTGCCAAATTCTACAGAGACTAGAGCCACATGGGGATTTAGAGGAGGCCACAGCAAAAAGGGTGATCACACATTTAACTGCTTTGTAATGAATCAAGAAATTCTTTCTTTAAGCAAATACGAATCAATATGGCTTTAAAAATGAGTTGCTTTAAAGGCGAACGGGGGAAACACTTTCAGATATAATGTGGCTTGCTCATTAAGGCGTCATCAGAGAAAATTTGCTTTTTCCTAAGCACAGAAATGCAAAGAGTCATTGTGAAATCAGCAAACTACAGTAATCAACTATGTCTAGTATTTTCCTGATATTATAAACCACATAATGAGACAGGACTTGTGGTTTACATAGTCCAAATCAGCTATCATTTCTCCACTATCCAGATTTAAACCATAAATTAGCAGCACAGTCACTATGACAGGGTTTACTCATCGTCATTTGCATCCAATCAGTTAATGACTGGCAGCTGTCTACAGGACCCATTACTGAAGGCAGCAGTTTTAATGCATACTGTTTCATGAGGCTTAAAATCATATTCCATTAAAGCACATGGTAGACTGAAGTATTCCAGAATTTGCAAAGGCTTTCAAAGGAAGAAAAAAAATCCTAACTCCATCTGTAATCTCAGAAAACCATACATACATAAGACTGGCTTTATAGGGTTTCTAATGTTTTACTTAGGTTCAAATAATGTATTAGACTAAGAAAATCTGCCTTAAGGAAGATTACTGACAGTCTCATAATTGCTAAGGAAGTAACTACAGCCAGAATTATTATTAACATCTTATAAACAGAAAAAAATATAAGAAACCTGGATTGGAAGAGTTTTGCCTTGTATCAAAATGGAAGCATATGTCACACACAGATGCAGTCACACAATCCGAAACTAACTCTACTCCCGATTCTAACCCTCTCATGATAAAGCATCCCTCACTACCTGGCATATCAAAGGCATAATATTTCACACTTTTGCCTTATTTCATGCATGTACATTATATCTGTAAACAGATCATGAACTCCTTAAAGAGAAGGACTATGACTGTAATAATACTGAACATATCCATTACTGAATGCCTTTGCTTTACCAGGCACAGTCCTCGTTGCAGCATCTATGCCATTTTTTAAAATGTAAAAATATCGGCGGGGCGCGGTGGCTCACGCCTGTAATCCCGGCACTTTGGGAGGCCGAGGAGGGTGAATCACGAGGTCAGGAGATCGAGACCATCCTGTCCAACACGGTGAAACCCCGTCTCTACTAAAAATACAAAAAAAATTAGCTGGGCGTGGTGGCGGGCGCCTGTAGTCCCAGCTACTCGGGAGGCTGAGGCAGGAGAATGGCGTGAACCTGGGAGGCGGCGCTTGCAGTGAGGCGAGATCGCGCCACTGCACTCCAGCCTGGGCGACAGAGCGAGACTCTGTCTCAAAAAAACAAAACAAAAACAAAACAAAAACAAAAAAACTCTACCTTCTTGTGTTGTACATTCTAGTGTATGCTGACAACACGTTCATACAATGAACACATAATTATAGAAAATATAGTATGTCAAATAGTGATAAGTGCTAAGATAAAAATGAAGCATGGAAAGAGGATAGGGAATGCTCAGTAAGACAGAGGTGGAGGGGTGGCTGTAATTTATAGCAGGGCAGTCAATTTTACATAAAGCACCTTACTGATAATGCAACAATTGGTCAGAGACTTAAAGGAGGTAAGGGAGACCCCAGTGAGAATAACCAGGAGAACACATTGCAGGAAGAAGCAATGACGAAGGTAAAAGCTCTGCGGCAGGAGCTTACCTAGCATATAAAAGGCACATCAAAGAGGCCAGCAGGGCTGGTGTGGAGTAAGGGAAGGAAAGGCTGGTGAGTATACACAGGGTCCTGAGACTGTGTGCATCTATATCTATCATATCTATAATCTATCTAGCTAGCTAGAGTTTTTAAAGTACAGAACTGTTCTAATTTTATTTATTTTTATTTTTTCAGCTTTTATTTTAGATTCCAAGGCTATATGTGCAGGTTTGTTACAAAGGCATATTACATGAGGCTGAGTCCTGGAGCACAACTGAACCTATCACCCAAGAAGCGAGCATAGTACTCAATAAATAGTTTTTGAACCCTTGACTCTCTCCCTCCCTCCCCGCCACTGTTATGTGCCTTCAATTAGAGAGAAACTGGCAGCCAGAGAATAATTGGGGACAGTGGAACACCATGCCCTGACTTGTGTTTCCAAAAGGTCACCATGGCTGCTGGTTAAGCATAGACTTTGAAGGTGAATAGAAGCAGGAGTTCAGCTGAGACATTAAAGAATGTGAAGTTGTCACTCACATCATTACAAAAAGAAAAAGCTAAACAGACTGAAAATCAATAACTTGTCTTGGAACCATCAGTGAACTGGGGTCACAGGGCCAACCACCACCCTGAAATCTAGAGAAAGACAAATCCAGAGACACAGCACAGGAGAGCTTACCTGGAGCAGAAGCTGCTGGAGACAGAAACTGTTAGAAACAATTGACTACTCATTTTGACAAGCTGCTGGAGGCTAAGCATAAACTAGTTTTAGAATCAGAAACTCCTGAGGGTGGCAGTCTTAGGGGACTCCCAAACTTTTGGGGGTTTTCCTTCCCGGGACCCCAACAGAGTGTCATCGGGAAGAGCCAAGAAAGATGTTCTCCTGGCTCTGGCAGTAGGAGAGGAATAAACCTTATGAAATATACCCAGAGCATCTGTCATGACAAAAGACCACTAACTCCGTAAGGGAAAGATCTCAGCCTTGTCCCAGAGCCGTGGGGGAAAACCATTCCTCTCAACTCAGCCCCCTCTAGCCTTTCTGTCTTAACTGGAGTGGGACATAAGGAAAGAGAAGAAACACTTGGTGAAGGTAGTAGCCCAGAGAGGCGAAGATTTAGTCATAAAATAATAGAACATTTTTCCTCCCCCATACCAACAGAGCTGCAGTATAATAATAGTTGATTACAGCTGAAATAGATGCAAAGCAAACTGAGTCTGTGGGAAAGCCCACAGACAACTGGGAAGACCAAAAACAAGGCCACCAGAGGAATGTGGCATCTCTGGCACCCACGGCTATAGCAAAATACAGTCCAACTCCTAACCAGATTTACATAAAATCTCACAATAAAGCCTGTTCACCTCATTTCTTATTACCCAATACATCATGTCTGAGTCGAAAGAAAAAAGTACAAGACATGCTAAAAGGCAAGAAATACAAGCTGGGAGGTGAGGTGAGAGTCTTTTACTAATATTACAGATAAGGCCTGTAATCCCAGCACTTTGGGAGGCCGAGGCGGGTGGATCACGAGGTCAGGAGTTTGAGACCAACCTGGCCAAGATAGTGAAACCCGTCTCTACTAAAAATACAAAAATTAGCTGGGCTTGGTGGTGCATGCCTGTAGTCCTAGCTACTTGGGAGGCTGTGGCCGGTGAATTGCTTGAACCCAGAAGTCGGAGGTCGTGGTGAGCCAAGATCGCACCACTGCATGCCAGCCTGGGCAACAGAGCGAGAATCTGTCTCAAAAAAAAAAAAGAAAAAAAAATATATATATATATATATTACTCTCTCTATATATATATTCCAGATATATATATATTCCTATATATATATTCCAGGTATATATATTCCTATATATATATTCCAGATATATATATATTCCTATATATATATTCCAGATATATATATATTCCTATATATATATTCCAGATATATATATATTCCTATATATATATTCCAGATATATATATATTCCTATATATATATTCCAGATATATATATATTCCTATATATATATTCCAGATATATATATATTCCTATATATATATTCCAGATATATATATATTCCTATATATATATTCCAGATATATATATATTCCTATATATATATTCCAGATATATATATATTCCTATATATATATTCCAGATATATATATATTCCTATATATATATTCCAGGTATATATATTCCTATATATATATATTCCAGGTATATATATTCCTATATATATATATTCCAGGTATATATATTCCTATATATATATATTCCAGGTATATATATTCCTATATATATACCTCTCTATATATATTCCTATATATATATTCCAGAGATATATATTCCTATATATATATATTCCAGAGATATATATTCCTATATATATATTCCAGAGATATATATTCCTATATATATATTCCAGAGATATATATTCCTATATATATTCCTCTCTATATATATTCCTATATATATTCCTACATATCTATATTCCGGATATGTATATACATTCCTACATATCTATATTCCGGATATGTATATACATTCCTACATATCTATATTCCGGATATGTATATACATTCCTACATATCTATATTCCGGATATGTATATACATTCCTACATATCTATATTCCGGATATGTATATACATTCCTACATATCTATATTCCGGATATGTATATACATTCCTACATATCTATATTCCGGATATGTATATACATTCCTACATATCTATATTCCGGATATGTATATACATTCCTACATATCTATATTCCGGATATGTATATACATTCCTACATATCTATATTCCGGATATGTATATACATTCCTACATATCTATATTCCGGATATGTATATACATTCCTACAGATCTATATTCCGGATATGTATATACATTCCTACAGATCTATATTCCGGATATGTATATACATTCCTACAGATCTATATTCCGGATATGTATATACATTCCTACAGATCTATATTCCGGATATGTATATACATTCCTACATATCTATATTCCGGATATGTATATACATTCCTACAGATCTATATTCCGGATATGTATATACATTCCTACAGATCTATATTCCGGATATGTATATACATTCCTACATATCTATATTCCGGATATGTATATACATTCCTACATATCTATATTCCGGATATGTATATACATTCCTACATATCTATATTCCGGATATGTATATATATTCCTACATATCTATATTCCGGATATGTATATATATTCCTATATCTATATTCCGGATATATATATATTCCTATATATGTATTCTTATATATATATTCCACATATATATTCTTATATATATATATTCCACATATATATATTCTTATATATATATTCCACATATATATATTTTCTTATATATATATATTCCACATATATATTCTTATATATATATTCTTATATATATATATTCCACATATATATATTCTTATATATATATATTCCACATATATATATTCTTATATATATATATTCCACATATATATATATTCTTATATATATATATTCCACACATATATATATTCCTATATATATATTCCAGATAAAAGATGGTGGTCACCCAGGCCATGATGCCAACAGTGATGGTGGTAAAAAGTGGCCAAGCTCTGGATGTATTTTTACAAACAGAGCAGAGAGGATCTGCTGATGGAATGGATGTCAGCTATGAAGGGAAAAGAGGAGGTCAACTGTGAAGGGAAAAGAGGAGGCAGGGATGACTTCAGAATTCTCGGCCAGAGCTGCTGGGGAAATGGAGATTCCATCAACTGAGATGGTAAAGCCTGCAAGTAAGGCAGTTGACTGGGCCATGAGTGGGGTGGGGTGTTTCAGGAATTCAGTGTTTGATGTCTGAAAGAACTTATCATGGTAGTGGTCAGCTGTACATTTATTTAGCTAATAATATTTTGGAGTGCCTAAATTCTGCAGCACTTCCTAAGTATTAGGATGGACACCTGAAAATGTTGGAAACCAAGGAAATGTTTAATAATTGTTTTACTTAGTGAATGGAAAAATAAAGAAATGATCAAACATTCTAACTGTGTACCAAAATATCTTATTTAGAATCGTAACTTTCAGCAAAAATACCAGCTAATGCTGGAAAATACCTAAGCGTTACAAAACGTTTTCACTTATTCTGACTGACTGCTACTTATACCCTAGCATCTGAGTATTTGCCCTCTCCTTTTTGCAGTGTAATAAAATTTGGCTGGGTACTTGGCTTCCCAGAATGAAGATAACATTTCCCAGCCTTCCTTTTAGGTAGGTGTGCCCAGTGGTCTGTGAACAAGCATGGTGTGTGCAATTTCTGCAATATGCTCTAAGATCGGGTACACCCACCATTTGCCCTTTCTCCCTCTCTTCCTGTCAGCTGAAGTGCTAATGTGATAATGAGCCATCTTGGACCATAAGGACAGGGTGACACCACTGAGATGGCAAGGGAATAAAAGAGAAATAGCTTGGATTCTGAGAACCCATGGCGCCATCTTATCAGCTCTGTGTTTGCACATACTTAGATTGTCACATGAAAGAATAAAGCTTCTATCTTACTTAAGCCACTTTTGTCTTGGCTTTTTGTAACAGCAGCTTAGCCTGAAACTTAATAAATTTAATAAACCCTCAGAACAACACTGTGATGCAAATAATATGCCAAGAATTTTTTCAATTCCCTATATGTTTTAAACAGCAGGAAAATAAATTGGCAACATAGCCTTATTCTATAACCTTACATCTACCAGTGCAGAAAAACTAGCTGATAATTATTCTGCAAAAACTAATTGTAATGATTTTTACAAGATTTGGGTCCAGGCATTCAATAAACTGTGAAGTACTCGCCACCTAGGAAAAGTCACATGGTAATGATTTTTCACAGAGAATTGAGAAATTACATGCTATGCAGTAGCTCAACTTTAATGCTTCAACTTCCCATTAAAATCCCTGCAATTTATTAAACAGTGTTAAGTACAAGCAATTAGTTCCTTAAAGAAATGTGTAGTTGCTCACTGAATTCTTGACTTAATTTGTGCTCATCAGACAAGCATGCCAAAGTAGCTTTTGGAGTATCTAGGTCTTTATATATATATATATACACCTATTAGCAGGCCATTTTCATATTCTGGAACAGTTTTACACCTTCTTTTAATCCTGATATAGAATTGTGTTGGAAAGAGTAGAAAAATGCCAGTTCAAATGCTATATCAGCAAACATAATTTAAAGAATAAAAATAGGCCAGGTGTGGTGGCTCACACCTGTAATCCTAGCACTTTAGGAGGCCAAGGCAGGCAGATCACCTAAGGTCAGGAGTTGAGACCGGCCTGGCTAACGTGGTGAAACCCCATCTCTACTAAAAATACAAAAATTAGCCAGGTGTGGTGGTGGGCGCCTGTAATCTCAGTGCCTCTGGAGTCTGGAGGAGGAGAATCGCTTGAACCCAGGAGGTGGAGGTTGCAGTAAGTCGAGATCATGCCATTGCACTCCGGCCTGGGCGACAGAGCAAGACCCGGTCTCAAAAAAGAATAAAAATGGCTTATGAAGAACAAGACTCTTTAGTACTATTTACTATGATATATTTCTGCACTAAAAATTTACATCTATTTTTATGTAATTGTCCTCTAGCTTCCAATACATTTAATTGCCTAAACTAGAGTCATCCATTGTCATAGCTTTTGACTTTTTTATTTTAAAGGAAACTACTTTCTACTCTATCGATTCTGAGATTTGCTCAAGTAATTTTCTAAATCTAAAGCAATCATGAATGGTATAATCAAAACTCTCATTATGTAGTGAGAAGTGTGTTTTTCTAAGTGACTTAAGAACTCAAGTAAAAACTTGCTAACTGCTTGGCAACACTCAGATAATTCAGCCTCTGCGCAGCCAAAGGTGACTCATACCTGAATGTGTACACACTGACATCTAGAGACATACTTTCAGGATTCAGAGGCAGTGAAATCTCCAAATCTTTTAAAGGTTTCAATGAAAGTCTTGTATTTCCTCAGGCGATGCTTGGAAAATAGAAGAGCTGAAGTATACTTCAGTGGGATAGCCTAACTTTTATTATATGATAAAAGAGCTGTACCTATCAGTATTTTAAAATGTGAAAACCAAGCTCTTTTCTAAATTCTTGGAATAGTCAATATTGTTTACACAACAGGAGCTCTAATTCTTCTGGACAAACATAGTCAGAAACACAGAAAAATATTTTCTTATTCCAAGTAAGGAATATTGGATATGTCTCTAAATTGGTTATATGGCATATCTCTTTAAAAAAATAAAAAGAATGAAAGATACAGGTACTGCATAAAAGGACCTCTTCCTCCTTAATACTGTGTTTTAAGACAAGAAGCAAAGATATAAAGAGGCTGAAAGTGTAAACTATCCAGACAAAAGCATAAAATAAAAGATTACCTTTAGCTGGGTTTACTTTTATCCCTGATCTATAAAGCATTTCCTCATTCTGCCAGTCTCCATTCCTGATCGCAGTCTTGAGTCCATAAAAAACAATTAGTGTAGCTGTAGCATAAAAAATCAAGCTCTTGAGGAACCGCTTTTGGACTTTGACATAAAGGGCTCTAGCACCCACTGTAATCAGTAGGCAGAAGCCCATACTAGGAATATATAATACTCGCTCTGCAATTACAAAGCCGACATAGAAAAACAGGTTCGTGGCAGGAACAAAGGGTATGATTAACAAAGATAAAGACAGAACAACAATGTTCTCCGTAGAAGGAAGCTGGGTTCTCTGTGATACATCGTTTTTAATGCCATTTTCTACTTTGGATGCAAAGCTGGACTTAGTCTCTGAGTTCTGGTACTCCACATCTGAAAGGCAGCTATGTCCATTTGCATTCTGCTTGCCATTTGTTACAGTTTTCCCATTGCATTCTCTGTCTACGCTCGGGCTCTTCAAACCATAGTAGGCAAGGAGAAGGAGTCCAGTATAGAAGGCCACAGTGTGTAGGTTTCTCCAGTCACAAACTGTTTTGAGCAGAGGCACAGCATCCATTGACCAATCAAAACTGAGGGTATCTGGACATAGCAACAGCCAGAGGTTCTTGGTTGGCAAGTAGAAGAAGGTGAGAGTGCGGGTGAGGAGGCTGTCCGAATCAGCAGCGGGGTTGTCCGAGTTGGAAAAGCTTGGTGGTTTGTTTCCCATCCAGTATAACCGGGCACCCAAAAGGGAGGAACCCCAGAAAATTAACAAACTAATGCTTAGGAAAAGCGACAAGTTCTTCCTCTGAAACCAAAAGAGAGAAGGGAAAAATTAAGATTATTATCAGTACAGCATGGGAACACTTAACACTTAGAGATAAAATACATTTTTAAATGGACCGTTAAAAACACAGCATGATGTCTCCAAAACATGACTTCATGTCCATCACCTTTCAAGCACGCCTAGAGAAATTTTAATCTCCAAAAAAACCTGAATCTGAAATCGTAGTTTGTATATATTTTTTGATTATCTTTTCTTATTTTTTTCTCTCTAAAATACCAATAATCATAGCTTCAATTTTGTGACCTCTACAAAGTAGGTTCAATATATTTATTTCCCTTTCAGAATTCATGTTGGGTCACAAGGGGACCACAATGTACAGTACTTAGCACTCTGCATAAGATAAAGGCACCTAATAACTGTTGTCTTTCATTTTATCGTAGTTTAGATTTTGAAGAAAAACAAAAAGTAGTCATGTCAAAAAATATGTGGTATGGCAGGACTCTTGTGCTTGTCTCTAATGGAGTAAAGGCACGCAGCTATGTCTAAGCCAGTCCCCATTTCATTGTCTTAAAGAGTTCCGTCCTTGCAGAATTTATAAACCAGGCTTTTATCTGCTGCCCCATATTGTCACTGATATCAGTGGCATCCAACACTCAAAAACACTCCTCATGAATCCCAAATTTTTCATGTTGATGACAGCTTTTAAAAATAAAATTACTTTAGGCCGGGCACAGTGGCTCACCCCTGTAATCCCAGAACTTTGGGAGGCTGAGGTGGGTGGATCATTTGAGACCAGGAGTTTGAAACCAGTCTGGCAAACGTGGTGAAACCCCATCTCCCCATCTCTACTAAAAAAAAAAAAAAAAAAAAAAATTGCCAGGCATGGTGGTGTGCACCTGTAGTCCCAGCTACTCAGGAGGCTGAGGCAGGACCATAGCTTGAACCTAGGAGAAACATGTTGCAGTGAGCTGAGATTGCACCACTGCACTCCAGCCTGGGCAACAGAGTGAGACTCCGACTCAAATAAAAAATAAAATAAAATGACTTCTTTAATAATGAACTAACTTATTTCAAGAGAATGACAAAAAATTGTGAGGAGGGTCAAAGGACATCATGTTAAGGCTAATTTTCTGGCAAAGTCCTTCTCCCCCAGCAAGAAACTTAGGTGACATCTAAAAATCTAAGTCGTAAAGAGGCAGACCAGGAAGGGTTAAAATGGGCACCATATCCCAACCTTAATGGTTCAATGGTAAAGCCATTCTTTACAGCAAACATCCTGGCGTTGTATAGAATTGTCTTACTCAATGACATTCAGAAGGGGGTTTAGAATCTTACAAAGGATACACCAAATATTTAATTTTAAAAACAACCCACAAAGAGCAATATACCTTAAGCATATACAACTTCTATGAAAACAATGTCTATGTATTGTATACAACTGCCACACTGGACTCTGCTCCTCAGACTTCTCCTCCACACCAACTCTGATTGCTGGAAGCCACAGAACTAATTATGAATGCTCTTTTCCACTCTACCTTCAACCTAATGATCCTCAACAAGGTTCATGATTTTAAACGTCCTTAATGTACACTAATGACTGTACCTTCACCCTCCCTCACCTCCATAGGCAATTATTCAGTTGCCTACTGGGCATATTCACTTAGATACCTCAAATTCTAAATACCCAAAATAGAACTCCTGACTTCATACTTCCCCAACGGAAATAAAACAGTTCCTCCTCCAATCATCGTCACCATCAGGAAATAGTAACAGTACGTAACCAGTTTCTTCTTCATAGCCTCTTTCCTTCCCTCCACATTCCACTCATTATCAAGTCTTCACAACTTTCACGTCCAAATATATCCTGAATCTGTCCTTTTTCTCTCCATCTCCTCTGTCATCACTAGTCCCAAGTGCCAACACTGGGATTCCTACAATAATCTCCTCCTAACTGGTGACCCTGTCCTTCTTAACACAACTTATTTTATTCCCTAATTTTAAACTCAGATCTTACTTTTAAGATCTTAGAAGTTTTTCTATCTCTAACAAAACAAAAAGTTTGTAATTCATTTAGGGTTCCCTTCTCACTTTATGGTGATATGTCCATTTTTACATTTCAAAAGTATGAAAGTTTTTTTTTTAATCTAAAAGGGGGTAATTCTGAGTATAAAATAAGAGAAGCAAAAGAATAGGTGGTTAGAAGTTAAACATGTAAAATAAGGAAAATGAGAAACAGCAACCAGATGGAAATTAGACAATTTTAAGCGGTGGAATTATTCATTAATATCAGATACAATAGTGCCAAATTCACAGCATTAACTTGTTTTAAAAACATCCTTGTCAAATGTTGGATTAAGATTAATTCACATAATGCTGTATGGAATTTTTAATAGTAGAAGGAGAAATATCACATTCTGCCTCACCAATCTAACTTTTTTCTTTTCTTTTCTTTTCTTTTTTTTTTTTTTTGAGATAGAGTCTTGCTCTGTCGCCAGGCTGAAGTGCAGTGGCATGATCTCAGCTCACTGTAACCTCTACCTCCCAGGTTCAAGCAATCCTCCTGCCTCAGCTTTGCAAGTAGCTGGGACTACAGGCACGTGCCACCATGCCCAGCTAATTTTTCGTATTTTTAGTAGAGACGGGGTTGCACCATGTTGGCCAGGATGGTCTTGATCTCTTGACCTCGTGATCCACCTGCCTCAGCCTCCCAAAGTGCTGGGATTACAGGCGTGAGCCACCGTGACTGGCCCACCAATCTAACTTTTAAACTGCCGAAATACTTCAAAGCCTCATTATCATCTAAGAATAACTTTTGCAAACCATTCCATTGTTCCTCTGAAATTCTACCCAGCAATAATAATTCTAAAATTTCTTGATTTTAGAAAGAAAAATACCACAAAACCATGCTTAAGAGCTTGTAATAACATGATCGGATCAATCACATAATTGAGTACTCTTAGATTATACAAGTGAGAAACACCATTTGGCAAAGATAAAGGAGACAAGATATCATGGATAAAGAAGACTGATCTTGAAAGACAACTGAATTCTGAATTTGTACCAAAAGCCCATTTTTAAAATGTGCCTAAGAACATTCTATTACAATATCTTGTGGTGGAAGTGATCGGGGATGTAGAGAGGAAGAGAGAAAGCATTACAAAAACAGCTGTAATCAGGCAAGAAGAGAAGCCAAGGGACAGGAGAGCCACACGAAGGAGGAAACATGGTCAGATTTCTTTGCTAGTCATTAAACTCCAGAAGTAGTTAGCCTTAACAATGATGTAATTCTATTTTATTTCTAAAGACAGAAATGTCATAACAAGGCAAAACTACTTTATTCTTTAATTTTTCATAGACGTATCTCTAATAATTTGTTATATCTTAATAATTATCGAAATAAAATTGAGATTCCAGATGTGGTCATATTATTGCATTTATTATGCTAAAAAGAAAATTTAAATACAATGGGCTATAAAGATATGAATAATGAAAACTATTGAATGTTAAATATTATATGTCTAAGTACTGAGAAAATGAAAATGACATAAAAACAAGAAAACATAAGTAATAAAATGCTAACAAACATTAATTTATGTATTATTTCACATTTAAAGTATCTTCATATATAATCCCTCATTTGAACAACTAACAGTCACTAAGATCAAAAGATACTACGGTTCTGAAGTGAAATGCTTTCACATACTTATTCTAACTTAATGGTGAGTTCTGTAAGGACGAAATAAATGACTCACTCTTTCTATTTATTTATTTTTAAGACAGGGTCTTGCTCTCTCACCCAGGCTGGAGTGCAGTGGTACAATCATGGCTTACTGCAGCCTCAACCTCTTGGGTTCAAGCAATCCTCCTACCTCAGCCTCTGGAATAGCTGAGACCACAGGTGTGTGCGTGTGTATTTTTTTGAAGATGGTGTTTTGCCATGTTACCCAGGCTGGTGAGTGACACTCTTAAAGGGAAACTAAACCAACAGGTAAAGCCGATTTTAAAATGTTTAAAGTAGAAGAGTTTCTAAAGTGTTGTGATTTGCTATGGCTTTTAAAGTATCGGCCAAAACACACGTTCACCTATGTAACAAACCTGTATATCCTGCACATGTACCCAGGAACTTAAAATAAAAATAAAAATTAAAAAAAGTATAAGCCAAAGTATGAAACTGCAATTTTCAAGTGTCTCTGATGCTTTCTCATAAAATTTTATTAAAAATTATCAACTAGGCTGGGCGTGGTGGCTCACACCTGTAATCCCAGCAATTTCGGAGGCTGAGGCAGGCGGGTCACCTGAGGTCGGGAGCTCTGGACCAGCCTGACCAACATGGAGAAACCCCGTCTCTACTAAAAATACAAAATTAGCCAGGCGTGGTGGCGCATGCCTGTAATCCCAGCTACTCAGAAGGCTGAGGCAGCAGAATCGCTTGAACCCAGGAGGCGGAGGTTGCAGTGAGCCGAGGCCCCGTCATTGCACTCCAGCCTGGGCAACAAGAGCCAAACTTCTTCTCAAAAAAAATCAACTATATAAATGAGCTTCTGATAAAAAAACAAATCTCTCTTCAAATCCAATTTTTAATAAAACATCTCAACTGTTCTTGTGGAGATGGCCTTAAAACAAGATAAAAGAAAGCATGGAAATGGTTTTCATTTCTAATTTAGTCCCTATGCTATGGTTTATGGATTAAATCAAATTAGCAAATTTTTACTGAGCTACTACTAGGAGTAGGAGTCAGGTGACCCTACAATTTACCTTAGCATTTCTGTATCCGCAGTTTGGTGTAACAAACTGACCTAACACTTGTATTTCTCAGATGCAAGTATAGATAAGGCATGAATCTCCTTGCAAGCTAAAACTAGCAAAAATTCATATAAAGAAAATAAGACTTCAAAGTGTGGGATATTTAAACATTAGTTAAGTACAATCTTTGATAGGGAGCATTAGAAAAGGATTGCAATTTAGTAGCTAAAACAATTAGTTCATTCAACTTATCATTAAGGTTGCAGGCACTCTTCTATACGCTGGATATGAACTTCTCATAAAAAAAAGAGAGACTCTGTGTGTTCTTGGAGCTTCACACATTCTACTACTCTGTCCAGAAAACCACTTTGAGAGAAGAGTCATAATGGCTTAAAGGATAGTTTTCAAACTTAAAGGTCCATCATTATCAATTATGAGCTTTTAGAAAAACTAATGCCCCAGTCCAAGTAAAATCTCATAGGTGATTCTAATGCAGCCAAAGTTGAGGGTCACTGCATATTTGTACAACTCTAATTCTTAGTACTGATATTAAAAATGTTGTTGGACTCTTGTTTCACAAAGTTTTAAGGTATATTTGCCTCACTGTAAACAAGCAAACCATAACAAAACATAAATAATTATCCTTCTCAGGCTCTGGGACAAATTGAATTCTTAGTACAATAAGAGTATCACAAAGGCCAGACTACAAAGGAGGTTAGAACCCAAGGTTAAAATATTCAAGTATTGCTGCAACATGCAGAAGATAAGATTTGTTCCCAGAATATTAGGAGAAAAAATGTCTTAAATATGAGCCACCAAAGGCAAAAAACCCAACAGAAAAAAAAATGAATTAATAATATAGCCAGGAAATTCAGAGAAAAGACAAATAACCATAAAGATCTGAAAAGATACTCAATCTCATGAGTTAATACCAATTAAGATTAAAGTGAAACAAATGTAAGTTAAATAAAGTGCAAAACTAAAGAGATAGACTTCACAGATACTGTTCTAGAACAGGTAGACTCATACATTGTTGGGGAAATATAAATTGTACAGTTGTGAAAATGAAAGTACACAATAAAATTAATAGTTTGTATCATGTATGACTTGGAAATCTCTAGTTAGTTACCTACATTCTAACAAAACCTCTAAGATCTAAATACAAGGATACTTAGCATTGTTTATAAAAGAAAAAACAGAAATAGATATAAATTTCAATATGGTAATAAAAAAATCATGGTATAGCCATATGTCTGAATCCATATGGCAAATAAAAGAAATAAACTACATACAATACAAAGAGAGATAAATGTTTATATATATGCATAAATATCAACATAATATTATGTAGCAGTGAACCAAATCATTCTATAACAGCATGACTGGTGAAAAATCATGTTGCAAAATATGCATGCTACAGAATCATAAAGTTCATTCAGAAAAATACTACCTTATTTGTGAAAAATATTTTTGTGAAAAATATTTTTCACAAATGCTTACGTATGTACGAAAGGCCTTTTATTTTTTATTTAAGTGTAGAAGTATTTATACCAAACATGAGACGAGGAAACCTCTAGTGTAGGGAGATGAGTACATGAATAACAGAAAAGATGGCTTCAAATCTGTGTGTGGCTCCCCATCTGTGTGTGGCTCCCCTTTATTCGAAAAGCTTATTTGAAAAAACTAAAAGGTTTGACAACTTGACATACCTAGACTTACACTGACTAGATTTAAAAAATATGCAATTAATATATTAACAAATCTAAATTTTGGTTATAGGCAAGTAGATAACTGATGTGTCATTTCCTACACTTTTTTTTTTTTTTTTGGAGACTCTGTCTCCCAGGCTGGAGTGCAATGGTACGATCTCGGCTCACTGCAGCCTCTGCCTCCCACATTCAAGTGATTCTCCTGCCTCAGCCTCTCGAGTAGCTGGGATTACAGATGTGTGCCACCACGCCTGGCTAATTTTTGTATTTTTAGTAGAGACCGGGTTTCACCATGTTGGTCAGGCTCGTCTTGAACTCCTGAACTTATGATCTGCCCGCCTCAGCCTCCCAAAGTTCTGGGATTACACGTGTGAGCCACCGTGCATGGCCAGTTCCTACACTTTTCTATATTTGTTATTTATTGAAGCTATTATTTTATAATTAAGTGTCTCAAAATTAAAAATATTTTCCATGTTCTAATATACTTATCTTGCGATTGTTACCTTAATTTTATGAGAACATCTCTTAAGTTCAATGGAAAATAATATAAAAGCAAAATGCACAGCAGTGGGATATACAATATCAAAACACTCTCTTCTAGAGCTAAGCTATAACTGACACATCTCTCCCAAGAGGGTAACACAGAGTCTGACATTTGTAGGAATTCAAATAAATGATTCTTAAACTAAGTCTGACCCTCAAACTTTTAAAAGTCAGTTTCTATCTTTCTCTCACACATTTTATACCATTATGCTAACTCCTAGCTCCCAATATCCCACACAAAGGCTCATAAGTCAACAGAATTAGCTGTGCACAGTAGCCTGTAGTCCCAACTACTCAGGAGGCTGAGGTAGGAAGATGCCCTGAGCCCAAGAGTTCAAGATCAGCCTTGACAACATAGCGAGACCTCATCTCTTAAAAAAACAAAGTCAAAAGTCTTCCACACAACTCCAAGTCACCATTTTCAAGCAGTTTGTTGTCACCACATACAGAAACTTGACCTTTTCACCTTTATGTCATCAAATGTTTTCTGCCTGTTTCCCTCTCTCCATGAAAAGCACACATTAAAGTAGTAGCATATGTTCTGGAGGAACATTTTCCTAACTACAACTTTGTTGTAAAAGTAGAAATATAAATGGGAAAATTACTGCATCTGTACAAACAAAAAATTTACAGATACATTTCACACCAGTATGGACAGGGTTTCTTCATGTTTTAATTCACCTAATTGTTCACAAAACATTATAGGTCTGCCTTATGAAAGTGTAATTTTTTAATTTTATTTTATTATTTTATTTTATTTTTTTGAGATAGAGTTTCGCTCTTGTTACCCAGGCTGGAATGCAATGGCGCGATTTCGGCTCACTGCAACCTCCGCCTCCTGGGATCAAGCAATTCTCCTAGTTCAGCCTCCTGAGTAGGTGGAATTACAGGCATGTGCCACCACGCCAGGCTAATTTTGTATTTTTAGTAGAGACGGAGTTTCTCCATGTTGGTCAGGCTGGTCTCGAACTCCCAACCTCAGGTGATCTGCCCGCCTCAGCCTCCCAAAGTGCTGGGACTACAGGCATGAGCCACCACATCTGGCCGAAAGTCTAATTTTTAAGATGTTCAAATATGTTCATTTTTAAAGTTATTTAACATAAAAAAGGAAATCAGCTCTAATCCCCACTTTTCTGATAAACAAAAATAGATATTTCTAATTATAAAATTTTAGAGAGTTTTTCCTGAAACTGCCATACATAGAAAATCATAGAATTAAAGTCAGCCAATATAAGGTTCCTGGTTGACAACTTAGTTTTTTGACACACTAATGGAATGAAAGTATATAACTATAGCTTAATGAATGAATAATGTGAAATTTATCAGAAAACATCAAAATCTTCCCCACATATCACCTGAAATATGAGGGAGAAGCCAATGAGAAGACTCTGCCATATTAGTTAGTGGTGATACCTCTACAGAAGCCCTGTGGTGAATTATTCCCTTCTATGGGGGTCTTTGACTAAATACATAAAAATAAGAGTGAAGTAAAATTCAACTATAACAGCTCCCCTCTCTATTATGAAAGAAAACTGTCATTAATAATAGCAGCTTCAATATTGTCTTCTGATCTCAGATTTTCTGGGACATAAATGAAACTGAAAAGGAATATTTTAGTCTCAATGAACGAAAAATGTAAACATCCTGCTGTTGAATATTAAAACCATCATGAGACCTACATTTTGGCAAACTAACGAGAATAAATTACTTAAGCATAAGGCTCATTTAATTCCAAATTAAGCCCTTGGCAATGATAGTAGTTGTAATAATAAAGTAGATAAAAATCAGTTTCTGAAAGTTATAAGACAGAGAAAAGGCTATCCAGACATAACAAAAATCTAGCACCTTCTATTTTATATTCACCATCCATCACTTTTCTTATGTCAGTAAAATAGGATTTCTCTTAGCTCTCCTCCTTCCCAAAATAGTTACCACTGGATACTCCCCTCAAAGGCATAATTTCTGAACATGTGACAAGAAGGAATGCATGGCTGAAAGTATGGTTAGGAATTGTTTCTAGAACATATCCATGTGATTAATCAAAGTTTCATCATAATCAAGTTGTCATAGTTGTTCTGTTTCCCTTTAAAAGAAAAATGGGTTTCCTTATTAATGATCATCCTGTCTGTAAGATTAGAAACATTTGTTTTCTCCCCCACACCAACTAACAGACAAGATTAAAGAGTTTTATAATGTTTGGTATCGCAAAAAATATTAAAAGAGGTTCAATGAGTGGGCATATCCAGACTTTGTGAGGAAAAAATTTAAAGATTAAGGGG
The DNA here is from genome assembly GCF_000001405.40 of Homo sapiens. Lineage (NCBI taxonomy): Eukaryota > Metazoa > Chordata > Mammalia > Primates > Hominidae > Homo > Homo sapiens. The sequence continues at coordinate 82,886,564 of NC_000012.12, read as the reverse complement.
CATAAAAAAGTATCTTAAGATATTCAGTATTTCGGATTATAATGAGTTCTTTTGTTCACTTAAACCCATAGTACACCATCATGTTTCCCACTGAGTTCAAGCATCCATCAGAAAGCATTAGTACATCTCCAGCTAAACACATAACAGCTTAAGATGATCATCTAGTCTCTCATTTAATCATACTTGAAAGATATTTTCCTGAATTTTACTTAAATTTTTTTGTATTTATTCCTTCAATGGTTGTTACCATTTTCCAATAAAGTGTATCAGGGCTCCTTGGATAAATGGATTGATTTTAGGACTGGAACAGAAAATATACAAAATGAGCTTAAAGCAACTTGTAGTGCCAGAAAGGGAGAAAGTGCTCAAAACACACGTGAAAGTACACTGATACAGATATGTCCAAGTGTGAAAGAGACACAGGAACCCACTTAAAGAGCTCCCAATGGCCAAAGCTGGAAGAATTTGAGCATCAAAAAAAGTAAAGTGGCAGTGGATTATAACCCAAAGTATAAAATAAATATTCATGAGTCCATATTGATAAGTGATACAAAAAATAAATAAATGAGAGAAGAAACAAATCTTCTTTGCAGAAGAATTCCAAATAACTTATATATATTCTCCAACCTCAAAAAAGGGGAGCATAATTCCCATTCCTTAGATGTGGTCTGTGCATAGTGACTTCCTTCCAAAAGGCACAGTATGAACTGGTTGGGTGGGAAGATGTGGGGAGAAAGTAACTTTACGGTGGAGAAACCTGAAAAACACTATCACTGGCAGGTGATGAAGGTCAACTTTATAGTGGTAAGTTGTGTTGACAGTATGTACCCTTGTTATGATGTGATGAAAATGTTATTTTACATGTATGTTCTTCCTCTCAAAACCTATATACCCAGCCAGGAGCAATGGCTCACACCTGTAATCTCAGCACTTTAAGAGGCAAAGGTGGGGGGAATCACTCAAGGCCAAAAGTTCAGGACCCACTTGGGCAACATAATAAAATCCTATCTCTATAGAAAAAAAAAAAATTAGCCAGACATGGTGGCATACACCTGTATTCCCAGCTACTCAGGAGGCTGAGGTAGGAGGATTGCTTGAGCCCAGGAAATCAAGACTACAGTGAGCTCTGATTAGCCACTGCACTCAAGCATGGGTGACAGAGTGTCTCTGTCTCAAAAACAAACAAAAACTTAAGAAAATTAGAAAAAAAAACTAAAAAAAGAAAACAGATAACAAAATTAAAAAAAACTTATTCCCAGATTAATCATTTAAACAAAAATCCGACAAATTCCAATGGAAAGACATACTGCTAAATATATAATTGGGAATCCTCAAAACTGTCAGTCATCAAAAACAAAGTCTGGCTGGGTGTGGTAGCTCACACCTGCAATCCCAGCACTTTGGGATGCCAAGGTGGGAGGATTACTTGAGTTCAGGAGTTCGAGACCACCCTGGGCAACAAAGTAAGAGCCCATCTCTACAAAAAAAAAAAAAAGTACAAAAATCAGCCAGGTGTGGTGGCTTGTGCTTGTAGTCCCAGCTACAAGAGAGGCTGAGGAAGGAGGATTGCGTGAGTCTGGGAGGTTGAGGCTGCTGTGAGCTGTGATTGTGCAACTACACTCCTGTGTGGGTAACAGAGCTAGACCCTGTCTCAATCAGAAAATAAACAAAAAAAGTCTGAAAAACTCACATGCAAGAGTCTAAGGAGACATGACAAATAAATGTGCCATCCCAGCTGACACCATGGAACTGAAAAATGACATTAGGTAAAAACTAAAAAATCTGAATAAACTATTGATATAATAATGTATCAGCTCTGGGTCATTAATTGCAACAAATGCACAACACTAATGCAGGATGCTAATAATAGGGGAAACTGGGTGTATGGGAACTTTGCCTTATTTTCTTAATTTTTATATAAACCTAAAACTGTTCTAAAAAATAAATTTTTAAATGGTTGTTACTACAGTAGAATAAAAGCTCTTAGAAACCAAATGAAATTAAATGTAGATGAGCTTTGATAGATCAATAGCTGAAAACTGCTAGCAAAGAAAAATTAACAACTGAAAAATAAGACCAACATTAAGTGCCTTGCTACCTTCTAAATTAATCAAAAAAGTCTGAATACACAACGAAGTAAAATTCAGGATAACTCAACATAGTCACTTACATGTATTGTACGAGAGGACACATTGATTTCAAATCCTATTTGGTTTTTGTCTGACACTCTATAGCGTTTGTAGTATATTAGAAACCCCTAAATGGGAAGCAAGTATCAAGAAAGGATGCCTCTAAACCCATTGCTATGGTGTTTTGGTTGGCATGGTGACCCATTCTTCCTCATTAAACTAACGTGGGGAAATCAAGCAGTGAGCAATTTCTTGCGTACCCATGGCAAGCCCCTTCTAGAGCTAACTATTAGAAACTGAAGTACCCAAAGAGTTCAATTAGTGGAACTGCAAGGGGTGTGCCATAGCCCCTAACCCATTACACTAAAAACAAGCCCCTGAATGCCAGCCTTCAGAGTAATCTTGTTTAGCTTAGAATGAGAGGTTTAACCCTTCCCACCAGGCAGTGCGCTATGGTCAAATCAGGGTAGCCACAAAACAATCCAGCCTTTATGAAGAAAATATGTGAAGAAAATATCCTTTGTGACCTGAGAAACAACAACAAAAAAAGTTTTAAACGAAAGTAAAGAAGATACTTCTCTTGACTATGAAAACACTTTGTTTTTTATTAAACTCCTTTCCCTGTTCTTTAAGAAGAAGACAACTAATGGGAGGAGAAGTAAAATTAAGTGAGCTCAAAATTAACAGAATTTAGAAAAGGAACTTTCTTTTATCAATCTTGCCCCAATTGGCCAACTACATTGCAAATGCATTTCCTGCACCAATGGATTAAACTGCAACATTCTTTAAACTCTGTGTGGCTTTAGTGCGACAAACCAGCTATTATGAGATGCGTTCCAGTCTCATTAATGAGTTAAGCATGTGAGCCCAGCATTTTGGAAACATAAAGAGACAAATTATAATGAGACTTCACTCAGTGGGGAGGCTAAGATACAGCCGCCTTCTCTCAAAGATACCATAATAGACAGCTATTTAATGAGTGTGGGAGTTTTTCTATGAAAACACAAAAGACACCAGCAAGAAAAAGAAGATTTTATATTATATATACAAATAGAACTTAATAAACATACATGCCTTATAGATGTTCATTAATAAGCATATAATTTCAATGCTTAATGTTGTTATATGGAAATATACTCCAACTCTATAATTACGCTATGTCTTCTACAGAATTTAAATAGTAAATTCAATGTCAAATGGACAAATTATTATTTACTGTTTCTCACAGGTAAAAATGCGGCCATTTATCTGGGCATAACTCACATACACTGTCTTTTTTCTCAGAATGCCACACTGATTCAGAAAATGCTCATTTGCTTGACTGGGCAACTGAGGCCGACTATAAGGTTTTGGTTTTTTTTTTTTTTTTTTTTTTTTTTTGAGACCAAGTTTCATTCTGTTGCCCAGTCTGGAGTGCACTGACGCGATCTTGGCTCATTGCAACCTCCGCCTCCCAGGTTCAAGCAATTCTCCTGCTTCAGCCTCCTAAGTAGCTGGGATCATAGGCACACGCCACCACGCCCAGCTAATTTTTGTACTTCTAGTAGAGACAGGGTTTCACGATGTTGATCAGGCTGGTCTCGAACTCCTGACCTTGTGATCTGCCTGCCTCGGCCTCCCAAAGTGCTGGGATTACTTTGGGATTGCCACTGCACGCACCCTAGACTATAGTTTTTAAACTAAAGTTTTCACATAGGAAAGCATCCATCAGTTTCATAATTCTTATTTCAACATCCAGTGATTTTAAACTATTCAGCAATTTCCAGACAGCATTGTGGCACTTACTTGGGCTTCGTAACTATTAGTAATTCAGAGCAAAACCAAGCAGAATTGGAATCCTTAAAAGGCCGCTGAGTTGAACATTCTGGGTTTACTAAGCAAGCAAGAGGGTCATCCTCTTCCCCTCACCCCCACATGAAAGAAAACAGAATAAGCGAAAGGCCATTATAAATTTTCAGATACATCAGAGTAACAGATCGAGTTATGGTTAGTAGAATTATAGAAAAAACAACTCTAATCCCAAATCTTTCTTGGTACGTACTATTTAGTTTGCTCCCTTTGATATAGAAAGATATGTGAGAAGGGGTAAAGTACTGATATCAACAGTACCCGAAGGCTAGTTATTTAAAAACATCTTGGCCGGGCGCGGTGGCTCACGCCTGTAATCCCAGCACTTTGGGAGGCCGAGGCGGGCGGATCACGAGGTCAGGAGATCGAGACCATCCCGGCTAAAACGGTGAAACCCCGTCTCTACTAAAAATACAAAAAATTAGCTGGGCGTAGTGGCGGGCGCCTGTAGTCCCAGCTACTTGGGAGGCTGAGGCAGGAGAATGGCGTGAACCCGGGAGGCGGAGCTTGCAGTGAGCCGAGATCCCGCCACTGCACTCCAGCCTGGGCGACAGAGAGAGACTCCGTCTCAAAAAAAAAAAAAAAAAAAAAAATCTTAACAACAAAAATTGAGTCTGGGGATGGGTAACGTGGGAAAAGGTGAAAAATATAATCTGAGTTTTCACAAAGTGTCATTTTTCAGACCTATGTATCTTATTACTCTGATGGTTAATATCTTCTTGAAAAGTAAAATAGTAAGCTTAGAAACAATACTTGTTATAAATAAATGGAATAACTTTGCTGAAAGCACAAATTAATATTGGTACAATCAAATAAGCATTTCTTAAATGCACACTTTATTAGTTGGAATTAATCATCAAAAGTGTGACTTTCAAATTATACTAACTTTACAGTAATAAGCTAGTGGAGTATTTCATGTTATGTTGACATAGAAATTATTAACGTGGCTGTGAAGTGGCAATCCATCAGATGTTTGGGAACAAAGGAAAATATTAAGAAGTTTTTCAATTCATTCAGGTTCTATTCTGATAACTCTCCAAAAACGTCTTCTTGCCAAAAGCAACTTGAAAATATGCAATTTTTGGAGCCTGTAGGTGGTGACCAATCTAAATAGATGAAATCTTTGTGTAATTGTAATCGCTCTAATTTATTTCTTTCCCTCTTTTAATGTGAAATTTGAAATTAAATTTTGATCATATACTGACTTTTAAAATCATGAATGGAAATTACGATGTCGGAAAGTTAATACACAAATTCACGGTAAGATTTTGAAACAGAAAAGTACTCAAACTATGAAACCCATATAATCATTGCAGTATTCATTCTCCATTTGAATAAGACTTCAATACAACCCAAAAGTTTGATCTTACTTCAAATCAGTTAAAACAGAATTTTACATTTACTGAATACCTATTTTGATGGCCATTAAAACACTCCCCATTAATCTTTTAAAGCATGCCTAGCCTTTGTAGCTATCATTATAGTACTATCTTTTAAATTATTTCAGGTTGTGTTAAAATCTCGTATTTTTTTCATTAAGATGTGTATCTTTGAGTTTTAGCATTATCAATAAAACAAACTCCAGAGTTAAATAAGATTTACTGTAAAAATCTCTCATGAGTCTTCAAAACACACTTGGATAATTCTTTCAGCCTGACATAGCTCCAATTAGCACTAATCATTGCCATGCCCTAATTATTTAAAATTAAATAAACTGAACTTACACGTGCAAACATTTTGCAATTCACCCTGCATCCACTTCTCTTTTCATGTTAACTCATAAGATTAGACAACTTGTTTTAATAGATTATTTTCATTGGATTAGGTCCAAAAAGCATTCTTCTAATGGGAATTCTGTCTGCTTTAACAGTTGTAGTTTAGTGAACTCTCCCTAACTGAACTGTCGATCATTTTTTGACTGGCTCAGGGCCCTTGGAACCCTGCAGGGAGACAAGCAAAAAGTTTTTGCCAGGTGCATGTCTGGCACTCAGTAAATTCGGATTAAGCAAAGGGGAATAAGAAGTGGAAGGGACCGGTTAACTGACTGGAATCTCTGGCTTCTTACTCCCTACTTAAACATGCCCTCGTTCAAATGCACTGGCTGTCTTTGTCCCCTTGTATGGTGCCCTGCTAGGCACATTCAGTGCAACAGTGAACTCCAGCAACATTCAGAAGTGCAGAAAACACATGCAACTTCATGCCATGGGCCAGTCAAACCTTAATAAAAGTAAAGGATAAAAAGTCTTAACATTGTGCTATAAATGTTGATTACCAGATAGTAATAAAAATTACAGGAGGTACTAGACGCTTTATTTAGCTTCTAACTCAAACATTACCTTTTAAGTAATATCAGGAAATTCCACTCTTGAATAGGTTTCTGTAATAACTCCTAAATGAAACACACCAGAAATTTTACAGTAAGGATCATATTTCTTAATAAATCCAGTTTTGTTCTATTCTGAACCATATCCCAAATCAACCCATGTGTCTTGCTCCTTCAACAATCTAAACAAATGCAGGTCATCCAAATGATATATTAAGTTCCGTTATATTTTTCTGTGAGAGACCAGATATTATGAGGAAAGAAGGCTGTGTATAATTGCCTAATGAATTTAAACACCTGTTACATCACTTTATTCCTCCCAGATGAAGTCCCGGCATCCAGTAAGGACAGCAGTGCCCAGAAAACATTCTGTTCTATTATTATATCTCAGTTTGGGATGTGATGTGGAGAAAATGGTTTATTAGTGGCAACGCTAATTATGAATGTTTATTAAACATTTTACAGAGTGTCTTACATGTATTATCTCAAGTAGCCCTTTCTAAAACATCATGATGTTTGTAAACTTTGTGAATTCGTGTTTTACAAAAAAGCAGGTAGAATTCAGAAAGGCTAGGTTGTTACTGAGAATCTCACCACCCAATGGGTAGAAGAATTAGGACTCAAAAGCTATGTCCTTTGATTATAAATCCAGGGTTCTATGCTGTAAACCTGCGGTCTCCAAATCCTGGGCCACGAACCGGTCCTGCTCCATGGCCTGTTAGGAACTGAGCCACACAGCAGGAGGTGAGCGGTGAGCAGGCATTACCACCTGAGTTCTGCCTCCTGTCAGATAAGGAGCAGCATTAGATTCTCACAGGAGCTGGAACCCTATTGTGAACTGCACATGCGAGGGATCTAGGTTGTGTGCTCCTTATGCGAATCTAATGCCTGATGATTTAAGGTGGAACAGTTTCATCTGGCAACTATCACCACCCAGTCCATGGAAAAATTGTCTTCCATGAAACCGGCCAAAAAGGTTGGGGACCACGGCTATAAACCACACTAAACCCTACAATACCCACTTCATACCCACCAAGTCCAGTTCTTCAACAGACCTCTGTTCATCAAAGTACTCTCACCCTGACTTCAAGGTGGTAACTGATATAAGAGACAATTAACTCCCACTGGAAAAGTTCATACAGCCACAGATTGGTCAATGCTAGGAGACAAAGAGGTCAAAAATTTGTATCTATAAAATCCAGAACATTGGAGAACATCTCCTCAATGTTTATTTTGCAGTGAGGAAATTGATGTCTATATGTGTTGGAAGTGTTCACCAAGAGACAGCGACTCAATCACAGCTAGGACTAGAAATTCCATCTTCCTTTGTGCTCATGGAATGGCACTTTGTTCATTTGTTTCTAATTTTTCATTATCTATTTATTTATTTTTAGAGACAGGGCCTTGCTATGTTACCCAGACTGGCCTTGAACTCCTGTGCTCAAGAGATCCTCCTCCTTCAGCCTCCCGAGTAACTGGGACCATAAGAACATGGCACCGCACCTGGCTCATTCATTTATATTTTTAATTACTACTCTTCTTCAACAATCTATGATAATTCTCTAAAGCAAGAACATTTAGATTCCAATGTCCTCAGCTGGGTGTTCAAAACTGTCCAAAATCTGGCCCATCTTTACTATCTAAACTTCAAATTTCCCTAAATTACATTGATATCTTTACTGTTTCAAAGTCCCCTCGTGGTACTGCCCCCTGTATCATTCTATTTGTAAACCAAACTCCCATCCATCCACCCATTATTGTCACAATTTTAAATGTTCTTTACCTCCAGCCTAAGTTCTATTTTTTCTGCAAGACTTGCAACAACAATTCAGTTTCTCCAGGTTACATTAATCCCTGCTTTCTCAAAGTTCACCAATCTCATAACTTGTATCACATATGAAAGATATCAACTACTGTAAAGGTCAAATCTGAAGTTGTTGAGGCCCAAAGTGACACTAAGCATACAATCTTAATCTTATTATCTCACACTTACAGAAGTGAGTTTCACTGCTCCCACAAGAATACCAGCTCTGAAAGGGCAAGGATTTATCTATGTTTTGTTCACTGACTTACTATCCATAGCAACTAGACCAGCACCTGGCACAGAAGAAACACATCATGTCATATGGGTGAATGGGTACATGAATGATTGAGCAAATGACTGAATGAATGAACAAAAGAACAATGAACCAAGAGAACAGGCTGGGGGCAATTTTAGATACACCAGAATCTTAATACGTAGCTCAAATAGCCCAATCTCATCTGTGTGTCTGTGTACTTATACAAAACAATATAGAGTGGGGGTTCTTTACTCTGGGATTTTTAAAAGTATACATGTCTAGGTGATATTGTAGCTCTCCATTTCTTTAACTTACACATTTCATGTCGGTGTCCCTCGTTTCTTTAACAGTTTGATTTTGTTTTTTCTTCTACTGGGTACTGTATTAATTGGGGCATTAAAACAATGGGAAAACATTTAAAGCTCCTTTGGCAAGTAAGGACCATCCTTTACTGTAGAAATAATTTCAAATATATTTTAAATATACATGAACTATGAAGCCAAGTCAAGTTCCTTATCCTTAAGTCACTTTTTAATCAATGAAGAACAGGAGAAGAATATAGTGTTATAAGGAAGGAGAGAAGAAAAAGAGGGACAGGTAAGGGGAGGAAATGAGAGAGGGAGAAAGAGGAGACAGGAAGACTAGATTTTGAATTGTTAGACTTGCATGTTCCCCACAACAAGAAGACAGTAATAAAATTACATAATTCCTCTGGGCATCTCCAGCTCTAAATGAAAGGTCTTAAAATATCTACTTCACTTCTGGGGTCTTTAGGAGGTAAGCTGAAGTGTTAGGATAATTTGTAAACAAAGGGGTTACTGATATGAGAGACAGGATATTCCTGAAACAGCAACTGTCAGTAATTTGGAAAGGATGCAATTGTAGGATTTGAGAAACTCCTATATAATCGCATAGAAATCTGTGACTTAAGAATGCGGTTTCAGAGAGAAAGTTATTTTTAATCTAATTTTTAAATATCTCTCAAGAATCCAGCCACTTCCTAGTTTACTGTTGTAGTAAATAACAAAATTTAACTTTGATCAATGCAAAAATGGACTAATATATCTTTGCAATGTTACACAACAGTATTACAGTATTCACTTTCATTACAACTTCTCTAATGAACTTTGATATTTAAAAAAAAAAATTAGTAACCACAGGTACAGCCAAACATATGATCTTTATGACATATTTTTAAATTAGCCAATTTGGAGAGAAGGAAAGCATTCTTAAAATAGATAAAAATTTAAAAAGGCTCACATTAACTGAGCACTGTTGGGCACTTAGAGATGTCTATGTATTAATGCATTTAATCTTCAGAAAACTCTAGATATGAGATGTGGACATTGGGGAAACAAAGAGGTAAAATGAGGATTCCCAGGTCGCACTGCTATTAAAGCAGCAGGCATTATACTGCCTCATAGAGCCAGCAGCCTGATCAAGATAAAGAAGTAAATATTACAAATCGTTGCAAAAAACAAAACGAAATGAAAAAAACCTGAAATAACCTTGAAAAACGTCAATTATAAAGTTATACTTAAAAAGACTAATTAAACAATACTTATTAGAATGTATTTATGGAATATTTAGGATTTAAGATTTTGGCCTGATGAGTTTAAAAAACAGGGAGAAAATGTCAAATTCACATTGAGCTTTTCAGATTTCATTACCCAGCCTTTTCTTAATTCTGAACCAATAAATCCAATGGTATTCAACCACCCTATGTGTTCTTCATTTGGATGGAAAAAACACGGCCCATTTTTAGAGAGACATGAAGAGAGATATTAACATCATTAAACTTTCTATTATCTCTCAGCTGAAATATGTCACAACCACCAATGCACTCCTCACCAAGACTTAAAACAAAACACAGAACTCACTGCCAAAGTCAATCACTTCATATCTACCTGGAAGGTAAACACTGTGAGAAACACACTACCATCCCATCAACATCACTACCACCTGCCAAAGTCAATCACTTCATATCCACCTGGAAGGTAAACACTGTGAGAAACACACTACCACCCGATCAACAACACTACCACCACTACCACCACCACCACCACCACCACCATTACTAATACCACCACCACCACCACCACCACCATTATGAATACTAATCACCATCATCATCATCACCACCACCACCACCACCACCACCACCACCACCACCACCGCCACCACTACTACCATTACCATTACCAATACCAACACCACCAACAACAACTCTGGTCAAGAAAAAAGATACTAAACTGCTACAACATTTACTGCTCAGTTTTCTTTCTTTTTTTTTTTTTTTTTTTTTAAGCGTGAGCTCTCCTTCATGATAGAAGTGCTTAACTTTTATACTAAGAGCAATGAATAAATCTGTTCAATATATCTAAATAATTTGGTGGGGAAAAAAGAGGATTAAAAAAAATCAAGTGCCCTAACACCACAAGCTAAATTTCAACTGAAGATATATTTTTACAGCTGCTGTGAACTTCTAGAGGTGGTTATTCTTGGAAATCACCTTCTGCTTACTTGGGCTTCCTTTATGGGGTAATTGTTACCAAAGTTTACTTTGTCTGATTATTTTGAATGAATTCAGTATCCAGAGAATAGCCGTAATGCTAAATTCTGACTTAGCTCATTTTCAAAATTTTAGGGTAAAGGAGTTTCACTGACACAAAGTGGGATCAAAGATACTTGCTCAATGAGCTCACTAGTATACCTGATACAATATGGAGTAGGAAAAATGAGTAAAGGTCTTGCACGCTCAGGCTCAGCCTGGACAAATCATACTGCTCTAAGGATTTGCTTCCTCAGCTGTAAAACATATATATATATACACACATATATGATTTAATTTAATAATTTTTAAAGTAAGATTAATATCCTCATGACAGAAGAGTTAAAGTGTCAGATAAAAGTAAAAATGAACATAAAAGTCCCTTGTAAAATGCATGCAACTTGTATGAAATGGAATGATTCATATTACTACAAATATATTGCCCTAAACATAATCTCTTTGGAGAGCCTGAATTACTCATACATATGAGTTTAGCAAGTAAGTTCTTAGAAAGATCAGGAGTCAGCAAACTACAGCCCAGAACACACAACCACACTCTTTGTCTGCAGTATAAACAGCAGAGCTGAGTAATTGTAGTAAACTCCATATGGCCCTCACAGCAAAAAACATTGACTATCTGGCCTTTACAGAGAAAGTGTCAGACCCCTGAGATTGAGGATCAAGCATGGCACTTAACGATTTTTTTTTAGGTTTTCTTTTAATTTCTCTATAATTAAAAAAATTAATTTCAAATTATTTGTCAAATTAATTTCAGTATTTAAAAAGCATTATTTTTCTTGCATGGAACAATGAATCAGAGTCAAGTTCTAATTATATGCATAAAATGATTATACAGGTAATGTAAAAATGGCATAATTCCCTATTTTATTCCATATTTGTTAAGAATTAGAAAGTGGGATTGACTCATAAAAGGCTCCATTTTAGATAATCAAGTATTAACTGTATTTAAGTTTAAAAGATAATGGAAAAGATAACTTCATGATAAAAGGGAGAAAAGGGGGTATTATTTTAAATGTAAATAGATTCTTCTGAAAGCTGAAACACAAAATGTATAGCCCAGTACAGTTTGCAATAAATTACCTGGCCTTCAAAAAAACATAAGCACTTTGGAACTTAATCTTTTGTTCATAGAAATGAGTGAAAAACATAATATCTGCACAAGAAGCCCATCTTTCCAATCAGATTATTTCAAAGAGACGAAATTATGATTTTACCCAAAAATGGCTTAGCAGTAAAATTATATTTTAAATTATGATTCAAGTAGCATGCAATTTGGTCCTGAAGCATCCTCAGAAATGCCCATATTAGGAAAATCTCCTGGAGAGGTTAAATGAGTTGTTCACAATTACACAACTAGGTAGTGGCAAAACCTGTGTGAGAACTCAGGCCTCCTGATTAGAACTGCAGGGTTTATGTCATTATGCCATATGGCCACACTTTTCACAGCATGTTCCCTTTATCTACGAAATCACAACTTCTCTCAAATGTCTAACATTTTTCAGAGGCTTTCACTTAATTAATCTAGAAAAAGGCTACCAGCTGGACGCAAAGGTGCAGGTTCAAACAACTTTTATATAAATCTGATGTAAATCAGCAACTGTCTTAATAGCATATTAAATTTTTATAGAATCGTTCCCCCATAATTAACTTTATGTGATTGCTCTTTTAAAATTGTTCAGTAGTGAATTTGCCTCTAGGAAGCAATAAGCTGGGCATATTTTAGGATGGCCATTTATTTAAAGGGATAAAAAAATTCCAAATTCATTCCCTGCTTTAAATGTTTGGTTTGTCTGAAAATGATTCCTTTTTCAAATAGGTAACAGAATGGAAACTGGGTTTACCCCAAATTTTACAGTCACCTTTATAATTCGATAAAACTCCCCATCAAAGCTAAAAACAAGACAATTTTATATTTTAAATACAACCTAATTCCTGTTGCATATGTAAGACATTTGTAAAACATCACTTAGGCAAGTAAATGGGAAAGAAAAAGAAGCACCCAGATTCATATTTATACTGTAAACCACTGTTACTCAGAAATCAAGGGCTGCATGTACCAAACACACAGCCAAGAAAGCAATCAAATGCTAATGTAAGACTATTACTCCAGAAAATTGCAATTATGTAGGGACCTACAATTTATCATAGTTTTGAAAAAACAAATTAAGAATCCAACCATACTGACCCATACACAACCCCAAAGAAGATATCCTGATTACTCAAACTTCAGTGCCAATTTGTTATACAGTAGAATAGACAGCTAAGCAGACTAAAGGCACAAGTGAAAAAACAGGGGCTTCACAAGACTTTAACCAGGTTTACTGACCCACATGGTTCGAAGTCAAAACTTTTCACTACAGATCCTGTTAAACTTGGAAAATTACACACACACACACACACACACACACACACACACACAACATCTTTGAAACAGGGCCAAAATCCCTATCCTTAATTCCATTCCAAAATATAAAATTAAGATTGATGGTGATAGTTAAAAGTTCTTTGAATACACTCAAAATCAATACACTGCATTCTTTAAATGAGTCAATTTTATGATATGTGAATTACATCTCAATAAAAGTATTAAAAACTAAAAGCCTGACCTGAACTGACATGAGGCAATTTATAGTTTTTATTTATTCCAGTTACTGTAAATATTCATATATTTTCCTGCAGAAATACTAAGTCTTTCTTATTGTGAAGTGTTGCCATGTTGGGAGTGTTATTTAATGCAGGGTTTATGCACTTTGTCTTTGAATAGTAATTTTTAAAAAAATCAAAATCATACGTCACTGGCCTCATGGTTTTGGATATTGAATAAGGGAACATGTAGGCCTTTTTTGTATAAATAGAGGAAAGCTCAGATATCGAAAGTCTTTATGATCTTTACAACCCACACAAGAGAGTCTGCACAATTTAGGACACCATTAGACACATGGACACTCCTGGACATTAAAATATTGCTAATTAGTCTAAGCAATTTTGTATTTTTTATGAAATTTGCAGGAAAAAAATTTATCTGAATTACAAGGAGCCTCTGTAATGCAGACTCATTATTTCCCATATAAAGCAATGCGGGAAATATTTTCCTGTATTAGCAATGCCTGTCAAGAACACATAAATAATATGGTTGATTAGCAATGATGCAGCAATATGAAATTCAGAAACAAACCAAATGTTTCAATGTCAATTGAATCCGAATAATTCTTGCTTGCATGCTTTTGAGAAACACCATGTAGAGTAGGTGAAATGCATAGGCACACAAGAGGCAAACTTAGTCAAGACCAACCTCCAGGGTATATGCACAAAGCCTCTCCTTTAAGTCTGTTAAATGTAGCGCAAGGCCACAGTTGAAATGATATGCCCCTGCAGGCCAATGTGATGTTCAAGCTCAGAATACCAAGATCTCAATGCCCATTTCCCTTCTGGGACAGAGGCATGCCAAAGAAAAAGACTATCCAGTCTCTGGTCTCAGGGAGGCTTCCAAACCAATTAGAGCCTAGACACACTCACACATCCATCAGTATCACTCCTCTAATATTCTAATTATCTGGCTATTTTTTTACTTTGAAACTCAGTCTTACTGCATACTAGGCAACTGCGGGGTGTGGGCGGGGGGGGGGGTGTTGTTCAACTTTTTTGTAATATGGAGTAAAAATAATGAATGCACAAATTATCTGGAGAATGGTTACCACACGAATGTAAATCCTGAGAGAGCAGGTGTTTGTCTATTTTCTTCACTACTTTACCCTCAACATCTAGATTAGTACTTAGAAAACAGTACATATGTATTAATAAATAAATATGAATTTAACAAATTTCTCCTCACATGAGCAGCATTGAGGAGAAAAAAAAATGGACACCGACTCTAAACCTAAATGAAATGCACAAGCATGAAATGGTCTTAAAACACACACACACACACACACACACACACACACACACACAGATGAGCAGAGCTACTTAGACACCACTACTTTCTGTCACTCTCTTGACTCTTCCCTAACCAGGCTAAATTAATTTTTTTGACACTTGTGCTTCTCCAGCATTTCATAAGGAATTATATTAGCACTTAGCACAGAGTTATACAGTTATTGTATACATGTCTGCTACTTGCTAGGGGCAGAGAGAAAATATCCATCATTGTATTTTTAGCACTCATAAAATTAGCTTTTGCACCTGCAAGTACAGATTATTTGTATTCAAAGCTACTGTAGATAATGAGCATTGGTCCCAAAGCCAAGTAATGTGAAAAAAAAAAAAAATCATTGTTTCTTTTGTAATACTACTTGGATCTTTCATTTTCACTAAAATTGCACAAAAACAGTATAACAGGAAGACCATGAGCTTTGGAGTCAGATATTTGAGATGAGATTCTCTCTCTGCTGCATACTATCTATGAATCCTCAGGCAAATTATTTCACTTGATAAGCCTCAGTTTATCTTATCTGTATCTCATCTGTAAATGAGGTTAATGCTTTCATAGAATGGAACAAAATATTGCACAGAAGACACATTGCTAGCACACACTAAGCCTTGATAAATGGTGGTTCTCATTACCACCAGCTGTGTGTATATGCAAATGAAAGCTAGTGAATTCAGATGGGTTATTTCTCTTCCTCTTGAACAATATGGAAGTCAGAGCAGCCAGGGAGAAGATTATACTGCAGAATGAAAGAGAATCAAAGACTACAAATTATCCTGTCCAAGAACCAGAAACTTCAGGCTGCTGCTTTGACAACTTAAATTCAGCCCTTTTCTCACTCAGCCAGCCCATTTTTCAATTGGCATCCCCACATTTTCTCCTTTCTTGCTATTTTACCTCTGAAATATGCTCAGTTTTGGAGTCATTTTCACTTTTACATTAGGGTTGCCAGCAATTCAAGTATTCACAAGACAGCAAGAAGCTAAAGTGATATTCTGTGGTCAAAGAAACTTTAAGACTCTAGCGGTGGCCTTTTTAAAAATCCCACCGCATTTCTGGAGTTACAAGTAACAGGATGAATGCTACACACACAGATGATGTGCCCAGTGCTAATGACTAAAATTTTGCTCCTGAGTTTGTGCAGTGGTGCTGTGTAGAATTGAAAGAAGGTGGAGATTGAGCTGCCCTACTTTTAATTCTCCACTTCTAAACCCATCTTAAGTTTGGCATGAAAGAGAAGAGACCTCTACTGAGGGATAAACTATTTCAAACAGTAACACCATGTTAGTAAAGGAAATAACCAAATTAGAAAGAAAAATACACTGTGATTTTAGTCTCTTTGCGTTAAGCTTGTGTTATTTGCAGAAGCAAACATTCCATTTGAATGTGAGCTGAAATCAAGCTGGAGCACTAGGATGACAAAATGCAAATAAGGAGACCCTATCTGAAGCTATTTGAGGTGGGAGGGAAGGAGGAACCTGGGAGGAAGGGAACAAAAAACAACTACCAACAGCTCAATTTCACGAGGAAGCTTGGAATTATTAACAAAGGAAAAAAGAACCCAGGGTGAAATAAAAATTAGAATTGTAATTAATTAATGATGAATTTGAGTGACAGGTACATGGAATTCCAATACTAGTCTCCAGTCTAACTGAAGTGCAAATGGCCAACTGAAAATGTCCATAAACTAATTTTTTAAGCATTAAAAGAGAAATATGTTTACAGTGACAAAAGCATTCAACCTGGTTGGGAGAGGCTAGAATATACCGTTGTCTCTCCTCTCAACTAATCGTGGGCCTAATTTTTGTGGGCCTCAAATTCTTTTCTTATTTTTTTTATTTTTATTTTTTATTTATTTTTTTTTTTGAGACAGGGTCTCACTCTGTAACCAAGGTTGGAGTACAGTGGTGCAATCATGGCTCACTGCGGCCTCCACTTCCTGGACTGAAGTGATCCTCCTGCCTCAGCCTTTCAAGTAGCTGGAATTACAGGTGCACACCACTGCATGCTGCTAATTTTTGTATTTATTGTAAAGATGGGGTCTCACCATGTTGCTCAGGCTGGTCTCGAACTCCTGGCTCACACGATCCACCCACCTCGGCCTCCCAAAGCGCTGGCATTACAAGTGTGAGTCACCATGCCCGGCCTCAAATTCTTTTAAGAGGGTGGTGTTGTGGAGATGGACAAATGGTTTCTAGTATACCATTCCAGCTATAAAAATATTGGTGTTTTTGTGAAATTTTTATAATATTTAATGTCATTATAGGAGGGAATCAGATTCTCAATGTACATCAGTGGGTTCCAAACCTAGCTATTCATCAAAATCACTGGAAGAGCTTTTTAAAAATGTCTCCCTCCTGCCACCTCCAGAAATTCTCCCCTCAAGTCCTTAAAAACAAACAAAAGTAAGTAGACCAAAAAATTCTTATTCGGTAGCTTCCAGTTTTGTGCTGTCATCTCTAGTCTAAAATAATTTCCCCATGAGCAGCTGATGATCATCCAAGTTTGGTGTACTCAAAGAAAACTCATGACGAATCCTCAAGTTTTCTTAAAGTAAATGGTCACCCCTGCCACTCGCCCCATGTATCTATCATCTGTCAAGTAAATCATATTTTTATGTATTGAATTTTCTGAAATCCAAAACCAATTTTATCTATAGATTTGTCTCAGTAAGCCAAAGTTACCAAGATATAGGATTCTGTAAAAATAATTTGGTCTGAGTGTTATTAAGTTGTCCAAAATAGTTCATGAAATATTTTTGGCAGCCAGAAAACCGTATTGCTTTAAAGACAAAATTTTCTGCCTCCTGTTGTCGCTCCAGGAGGTGAGAAAATAAACCACTGAACAACAACAACAACAACAAAGCCAGACTCAACGTTTCCCTGAAAAGGTTTATTATATAGAGATTCTGGGATCAGCTGCAACAACATTGCCTGCCAGGTTGGGGAAGAATAACCTTTAGATGATAATAGTGCCTCCCTTTTTTTTTCAAAAAAAAAAAAAAAGAGAGAGACTTGAACCTGCAAGCTATTGCAGTTACTGAACTACTGCTCCCTACAATAAACCTTGCTAAAAGAAAATATATGGGAAACAGGGTGGTTTGGGGAGAAAAACAGAAAAACCTGTCTCCCCTCCATTTTCAGATATATAACTAACAGCACCCTCCTGAGCCCAAAGGGGAAAAGAAAGCAGGCTCTGAAAGTATGAGATGATGATGATGGCAAGATATTACCAATGGAGGAAAACTGGCATATGTACTTGTTATCAATCTCAATCAAACAAAAGATAAATTATCAAATCATGTTGTTCAGAAGAATTAACCTTGAAAAAGGCTTTTCCTCAGCTTTCTTTCAATTATCAGCACTGGTGAACAGGATAGCAAGCATTCCATTCTTTGCTGATTGACAGTTCAGCATGCATTCCATTAACTACTCTATATGGTTCTAGAATAGCCGCAGCCATGCTAATTGAGTGCTCCATAAAATGACAGATAAAAAGATCACCATTACTGAAAATGCTACAAAAATGCCATAGAATGCTGACAATGATGATACCTGCTATAAGACAGGGACGTGGCAAAAGAGTACACATTTACTATATTCATACTTAACACAAAACAGCGAAGATATTATATCCCTGATTTTACAGGGCATTTAACTGATGTTCAAAGAAGTTTAGAAATTTCCCCAAGGTCACACAGCTAGAAAATGACCGAGTTTCTATTTAAATCTAAATCTGCAGGCACCAGTCCAATGGCCTTTCCCCGATAGACTTATAAGCATCTCTGCGTGAAAAGATTAGCCAAATACCAAATAGTTATTCAAAGTAAACAGCAGTTCTTTTCACAATATTAAATATATTTAGCTTTTATTACAATATGTCATGAGAGCTTAAGAAGAGACTACATATAGTGGATCATATAAATGGGCAAATTTTTACTTGAATCTTGAAATTAGGAGAAATAAGGTTTTCATGTAACTTTGAGTTTTCCATTTTATAAAAGTTATGGAAATGTACTGAAATCATTCATGTGAAACCTTGGTATAATCTTTTTTTCAGTTCTTAAATACACAAAATTGAATTATGTTTAAATATCCACAACTGATATTGCATATAATCAAGGTCTCTATATTAAAAGTACTTATTTGTACTTTATATTTAGCAACAGTTTGATGGGAATTCAGGATATATTTTCCATGTGCTCCCTTAAGTAGGAACTAAGTCATTTATTTTTTAGGTGTTCTTCATTTTCCCCATGTTATCTGTACTGTTTTCTTTAATTTACAGTAATCATAAGCAAAATTGACAACCACATACCAAAACACAGACAACACAGATCCCCCATCACAACAAAGAGAAATACTATGATCTCTGCATTTTATTTGATTCCTGAAATTAAGTGAATCAACACATAGAGAAAGAAAGAAATTGTCCTTTGGAACGGAAACTGACTTCACTAATCAAGACCATAATTACTGAAGAAACATGTATTAAATTCGGAATTCATGCTATTTCTCTTGATGCAAGAGTTATAATCAGACCAACAGAGCATACAGGAGCCATCTGGGTACTGCAGCATTGTAAAGACAAACCCAGAGAACAAGGGCACACTGACCTTCCTACCACCAAATCATCACTGACTTCGAAGATGCTATTCTTCCCTTTTGGTTTCTTATTATCCTTTTTGAAGAAAGAAATACTATGACCATTAAGTACAAAATCTGATTGTTTAAAATAAAATAAAACTTATAATCCTATGCAACCTTACCATAGTATCACCTTTCAAATGTATTTGAACCATCAATGCATTTGACATAAGTCAGTTTTTTCTACACCACCCCATTCATGCCTTTTAAGGAATCTCTAATGTACTCATGGAATCTGGCTTTCTATAAAATTTCATTCGATAAATCAACAATAAGTTATCATTTCCACCATTCTAAGCATTTAAGATAGGAACTGAACTTCTAGGTAATGACAATGGATTTCAAATTTGTGCAAACCACATCATTTTCTGTGAATTGAAAATACTGGCTTGAGTATGAGTAACCTGATATCCATCGGATCCCCCTCAGTCAATTTGATTCCCCCAGGCAGCAGGTATCGAAAATTGAGCTGAGTGATGTAATATGCATCCCAGACACAGTGTTATGAGAATAGCATAGAAGATTTCAATGAGACTCATTATTTATTCATCACAAGATCCAATTTGCGTGTCATTTTCACTGACGGAGTATTGAGTTAACTGGTTGAAATTCAGTGCTGATAGAATATTTCATGCTGTACTGTAAAAAGGACCCTTTAAAAAATGTTTTTTCTATCTTCCTGTATGAAACAGTCCAAAACAAAGAGGTATTTTGTACTTGTAGCCATTCACAGTAATATCTGAACATTGTTCATCAAGGTTGGGAGAAGGGACACAGGAGAAAGAAAGTTTTTTGTTTTTTTTTTTTTTTTTTTGATCTTTTCAAAAAACCAGCTCCTGGATTCATTGATTTTTTCAAGGGTTTTTTTTGTGTCTCTATCTCCTTCAGTTCTGCTCTGATCTTAGTTATTTCTTGCCTTCTGCTAGCTTTTGAATGTGTTGGCTCTTGCTTCTCTAGTTCTTTTAATTGTGATGTTAGGGTGTCAATTTTAGATCTTTCCTGCTTTCTCTTGAGGGCATTTCGTGCTATAAATTTCCCTCTACACACTGCTTTAAATGTGTCCCAGAGATTCTGGTATGCTGTGTCTTTGTTCTCATTGGTTTCAAAGAACATCTTTATTTCTGCCTTCATTTCGTTATGTACCCAGTAGTCATTCAGGAGCAGGTTGTTCTGTTTCCATGTAGTTGAGTGGTTTTGAGTGAGTTTCTTAATCCTGAGTTCTAGTTTGATTGCACTGTGGTCTGAGAGACAGTTTGTTATAATTTCTGTTCTTTTACATTTGCTGAGGAGTGCTTTACTTCCAACTATGTGGTCAATTTTGGAATAAGTGCGGTGTGGTGCTGGGAAGAATGTATATTCTGTTGATTTGGGGTGAAGAGTTCTGTAGATGTCTATTAGGTCCGCTTGGTGCAGAGCTGAGTTCAATTCCTGGATAACCTTGTTAATTTCCTGTCTCGTTGATCTGTCTAATGTTGACAGTGGGGTGTTAAAGTCTCCCATTATTATTGTGTGGGAGTCTAAGTCTCTTTGTAGGTCTCTAAGGACTTGCTTTATGAATTTGGGTGCTCCTGTATTGGGTACATATATATTTAGGATAGTTAGCTCTTCTTGTTGAATTGATCCCTTTACCATTATGTAATGGCCTTCTTTGTCTCTTTTGATCTTTGTTGGTTTAAAGCCTGTTTTATCAGAGACTAGGATTGCAACCCCTGTCATTTTTTGTTTTCCATTTGCTTGGTAGATCTTCCTCCATCCCTTTATTCTGAGCCTATGTGTGTCTCTGCACGTGACATGGGTTTCCTGAATACAGCACAGTGATGGGTCTTGACTCTTTATCGGAGTCTTGCTCTTGTTGTCCAGACTGGAGTGCAGCGACGCGATCTCAGCTCACTGCCACCTCTGCCTTCCTGGGTCCAAGCGATTCTCCTGCCTCAGCCTCCCGAGTAGCTGGGATTACAGGCACCCCTCCACCTTGCCCAGCTATTTTTTTTTTTTTTTTTGTATTTTTAGTAGAGACAGGATTTCACCATGTTGGACAGGCTGGTCTCAAACTCCTGATCTCGTGATCTGCCTGCCCTGGCCTCTCAAAGTGCTGGGATTACAGGCGTGAGCCACTGCACCCAGCTGAGAAAGCTTTTAAAGACCTCCATTTTTCTTATGAGGACTGTAGAATAATATGCCAAATATTATTCAGTAAAAAGTACAATAACATTAGTCTTCCAAAAATAAACGTTTTTTATTTAATGATAAAAAATGTAGGCCGGGCGCGGTGGCTCACGCCTGTAATCCCAGCATGTTGGGAGGCCAAGGCGGGCGGATCACAAGGTCAAGAGATCAAGACCATCCTGGCCAACATGGTGAAGCCCCATCTCTACTAAAAATACAAAAAATTAGCTGGGCATGGTGGTGTGTGCCTGTAGTCCCAGCTACTCGGGAGGCTGAGGTAGGTGAATCGCTGGAACCCGGGAGGCGGAGGTTGCAGTGAGCCAAGATTGCGCCACTGCACTCCAGCGTGGCGACAGACAGAGACTCCGTCTCTCAAAAAAAAAAAAAAAAAAAAAAGAATGTGACATACACTGATATGAATGAGATATAAAACTTCAACTCTAGCTTTCAGGAGGATTTTCAGTTCATCACCAAAGGAACCCTCCCTCAGATTTAGGAGACAGATGGGATAGTTCCCCCCTCCCCTCACCCCCGACTCCCGAGTGGCTACACGGAGCTGACCTGCGTATCCCTAGGCTCCTTCCATGGACAAGCAAAAGTAGGAGCACATTTTGAAACCATGCATTGTTTCCCAACATTTTGGGAGCCACAATATAGCACAGAAGGCCCCGATATCACTATACATACCAGGTGGTCTCAATCTACCCTACCTGACTCATTTTCCTCTATCACCCATGTCCTCTGTGTATCTGCCAAAACAACTGCTCCATGGTACCCAGTAATTTTCTGTGAGTTTTCCTCTGTGTAATGCTCATGCTGTACCCTTTACTCTTCCTCACCTCTCCAGTTACAAATGCCTGTATCTTTACCCTGCAAGGTTCTACTCAAATGTCTCTGCTCCAGAAGGCATTTCTTGATCCCCTCAACCAAAAGTAACCTCCCCTTCCTCTCAACTCCCCCACCATTCTCAATGGCTCCCTTATAACCCTCACCACTTCCCAGCTTGAATTTCAATTCTATATTTACATGCACTATTCTCGACTTCATACTACTCTATAAAGTCCTGGCATATTGGCATGTTCCTTTTGATTCCTCTTTGAATCCCCACATCGCCTACTATAGCGCTTGGCACAAAGATGAATTTTTTTAATGATAATTTGTGAATAGATCGTTGTTCCAAGTATTAACAGTGTAATGCAGGCATTATAGATGCTTGCAATGGTAGTCAGACTCCCAAATTTAAATTACTTAACTTGAACTTAAACTGCAACTGGAATACAGAATCACCTTAAATCAGCTGAACAAGGGAGCCAGCCTGCAGGAATACAATATCTTATTAATCTTTGACTTTTTGAATCGTAAAATATTTTTGAACATTGACTTTATTTGTGGTATTATCTGGTTAGCAGTGTTGGCAGCTGTTCAAAGTTTTATAGTACTACAGGTCATGAATATTAAATGCCACAAGTTTACTGGGAGGAAATCCAAATTCATTCGTAAGGGCCTAACAAACAGCCCTACAGTTTCAATAAAGCTAAGAAATATTGTGATCAGAATCAGAGCATCTTGCTACATCTGGATTCTCGCAAAGTCAAGTGTAAGGCAAATGAAAGGAAAGGGGGTCATAAAAGTGGGAATACTACTTGGAGGAGAGTGGCACAGGTGTTGAGTATGGAAAATCACAAACGGTAAATATATCATATTTCATTCAATGCAATTGATATTGGGGGGGGGTCACAACTTAGGCAAAACCACAACCTAGTCTAGAAACAAAAGGGACAATGCCATAAATGATAACAGATTCCATCAAAGCCATCCCCAGCAACTAACGGAAAAAGCACATGTGGATTCAATATGCAAACACCTGCAGGCTATGCATCTCTATTCGCATGCTCTTCTCTATAGAGAAAGCCACACAAAATAGTCAGAAGTACAGAAACACTACATTCAATACCTTTAGTGTTCAGACAGTGATGAACCAAAAATCTTTAATAGAATATAAACTCCCACCCTCAGAAATTATTCTCAAGATAAACCCTACTATAAATGGTTTGGAAATATGGGGTTGTTAGTTTTGATCTGAACACTATTATCTGGATGTAGAATCAAGTTAAGCAACACATAAGACAAAGGTAAACTTCATTGCCCATGGGCAACCTCCATCATTCACTTTCTGCTTAGCATTAAAACAAGAAAATTATTTCTAGAAAGAGATGACTGGAAAATCTCAATGTCTCCAATTTTCCCATATAACAATATTATTTATTGAAACAGAGTCACAAAATTTAATTTTAAGAAAAAGAGATTACCTAGATAATGCACATCTTGGAACCAACTACATAAACTTTAGCAAAACCAAGGTAATCATCTTTAGAGAAATTTTAAAAACATCAAACTAAAAGGGCTTCATTTTTCTAAACTATCTTGTGTTAGTATTAGTATTGCTACATTGACTTTCAGATTTTTAAAATTTTCCACCTGTAACTGAATAAGTGGTTATGAGGCTAATAAAGGGGAAAGAGATGTTTCCACATTAAAACAGTTAACAGATGTTAAATAAGCACAGAAAATGGCCACTAGGCAAGCAATGACTGACGTTGGGCAAGAAAAATGTTGCTTTTACTGATTTTATTACCCATGTACTTCCTGGGGTCATGAGAGGCTTGTAAAAAATTTTGTGGGCAGATAAAAGTCTAGTATGTATTTGCAAGGCTAAGTGTATTTCAAGGGCTTTTCCCCCCTTATTTTTTGACCACATAAAACTAAGTGAGTGAAAGTAATCTAAGTAATGCTAAAACAATCATTTAGTGAGAGGTCAAGAAAATTTATTTTCTGACATACATGTCTTCCAACCCTACCTTCCAGACCCCACTAACTCAGGAATGAAATTCTCATTGTATAAAGGGGAGAGTACAGGAGTTCACTTTAACATTTCAGCCACATATTTTAAAAAGGTAAATATTAAGTGTGAATTCAATAATTTACTAAGTTCCTACTATAAGCCAGATGTATGGTGAAGGACAAGGATAATGTAAGAAATATATTAAACTAAATCCTGAAGCTAAGAACTAAGACTACTCTAAAACACTGATTTTTATTCATACTTCTGAAGATTTTATACTTAATGTTTTCTGACAAAATTAACTACTGACAAAATTATAGTTTGACAGCATTCAACCATATTATTTTGTAAGTCATATTACTTATCTCAACGAGCATTTGTTACATAAGCTAAATAAGTTAACATCTTTAGCACACTAAGAATAGTGCTTGGCAGATATAAACACTGTTCATTAAATACTAAATAAAATATCTACTACATGCCAAGAACTTACTATTTCCCATATATTTTATCAAATAAAAATATAACTTTCATATTTCCTTTGCAAAACTGCAAAAGTCTGATGACATGCACATCATTTGCATGAGTCTTGTAACATTTTTGGTGATTAACCAAAATTCTTTAACAGAATATAAACTCCCATTCTCAGAAATCATTCTCAAGACAAATTCCGTAAATGGTTTGGAAGTATGGGGTTGTTAGCTTTGGTCTGATCACTACATCCGGATGTAGAATCAAGCTTAAGCAACACCTAAGACAAAGGTAAACTGCAATCAAAACTGGCCAAATTCAGCCAAGAGCCTTGCCCCTCTGGCCTTAATAATTTCCAGCTTTAAGTGGGCCACCATTTTTAGGTTTTCATTACTTAGCTTGTTCTCTAATTTGAGTAACAGGGTTAAACATTTGTATACTGCAGTTTTCCATTTGTATATAAGTTATGTTTTAACAGAGCAAGGAAGTTTATCTCATCTGGCAAACCATGATAACTAGGATGCAGAGTTAATTGGCAAGATATTTAAGATGATTATTTTTTAAGGTTGAATGGATCTTCTAAAGCCTTTCAGACTACTTCCTTCAGAAAGAATCTCCTCTAACTCACCCCAGGCATAGAAATCTATATATTTTACAGACAGAATATGGAATTTTCTATAACTTTCATATGGATTCTATGTCAGTGTTTACAAGCTTCACAAGCATGAGATTTTAAATGAAAGTTTGTGCTTAAATCTGTTTACTTCAGCTTTGGTCAATTACTAAGCAGTCCTTATTTCACATGCTGTCAAACAACTCTATGTGTAGAGACTACTGGCAGTTCACCTTAAGAAGGCAGAGGCCAAAAGATAAAGAATCAAAATTTCCATCGACATTTCTTCTTTCACTTCAACTAATATGTATTAGGTATCATCCAAATACTGGACACTTCAGCTCACACTGAACACCCCCACAATTTCAAATAAGCCTCACAACTCTGGGAGAGAACTATAGCTGCCTTCATTTCCAGATGAAGAAACAGATCATGGAATCAGCCCAAGTTGAGTTAAGATTCTATTCCATATTAGTTTCCTTTCTACTGGGCAGTCAATTGACTTTACCTATATTTGTTCCTCAAACTATCAGAGTGTAGTAAAGATATCACCAGATAGTCAGAGATGTGTGCTTCAGTCCTAGTGATTCCATCATTTTCTGTGTTACCTACACATCTCTGGCTCTCCACACCCCAGATGGAAATGAAGAGAGTGGCAAAGATGATCCTACAGGTCCTTAAAAATCTATAAAATGGGCTGGACGTGGTAGTTCACGCCTGTAATCCCAGCACTTTGGGAGGCTGAGGCGGGCGGATCACAAGGTCAGGAGATCAAGACCATCCTGGCCAACATGGTGAAACCTGGCCTCTACTAAAAATACAAAAATTAGCCAGGCCTGGTGACGCATGCCTGTAATCCCAGATACTCAGGAGGCTGGGGCAGAAGAGTCGCTTGAACCCGGGAGGCAGAGGTTGCAGTGAGCTGAGATCGTGCCACTGCACTCCAGCCTAGGCGACAGGGCAAGACTCGGTCTCAAAAACAACAACAACAACAACAAAAATCTATAAAATGTGTTATCTCCAATGTTCTTATTAAGCTCATTGGCCCCAAACCTAAGAATGACAGAAAGAGCTACGATAGAATAGCAAATATCAGACAAAGTCTTGCTGCCCCCGACCACTACCCTTGCTGCTGCCATTGCCTAGCCCTGCAAGTGGTGGTCGCCAAGAGAGTCTGGGCAAAGAGCCATCTGGAAACTTCTCAGGACACTGAACCTTCAACAGTATTAAGTCCTTTCTCTTAACATGGGGAACTTCACACTCTTTAGTCTCAAGAGTTCCTTGCTAGTGGCATTTCTTATTTTTGAAGCAGCTGTTACATGAATAAGGTTGACAAATAAAATACAGGATGCCCAGATAAATTTCAATTTCAGAGAAACAAAGATTAATTTTCTATTATAAGTATGTCCCAAATATTGTATAGAACATATTTCTAGGAAGGAGTACTGCAGTGGGCAACTCTGCCCTTGAAAATATGCTTAGAGGACTGTAAATTTCTCAGAGAACTTCGTAAGGTCCTGCAAGTAAATCCTGAATCATCATAGCCAAATAATTCCCTAACTTATGAGATGGTAAGATGGAAATTCTGTAAAAGAAATCACAACCGGGTGCGGTGGCTCACACCTGTAATCCCAGCACTTTGGGAGGCCAAGGCGGGCAGATCACGAGGTCAAGAGATCGAGACCATCCTGGCCAATATGGTGAAACCCCATCTCTACTAAAAATACAAAAATTAGCTGAGCATGGTGGCATGTGCCTGTAGTCCCAGCTACTTGGGAGGCTGAGGCAGGAGAATTGCTTGAACCTGGGGGGCGGAGGTTGCAGTGAGCCGAGATGGCGCCACTGCACTCCAGCCTGGCGACAGTGTGAGACTCCGCGTCAAAAAAAAAAAAAAAAAAATCACAATATTTCACAGGCGACTAATGCAAGGTCCTGAAACAGCCAGCACTAAGCCTGCATCCTCAAATACATCATAACCTCCCTAAGGACAAAGAGCAGGAATTACACTTCTCCTAGTTGTACTTCTAATAAAACAAAGTTTGCTATTGTCGATGACATTGGGTTAGATGAAAACAATTACTCTCTCTAAATCTCTTTGAAAGAATTAAAATTGATTTGAAATTAAGAGCTTGACTTTCAAACCATATGTTGTTTTCAAGCATCAAACTCTAACCAGAGTTTCTTTTAAAGTTTCAGCATTTAATTGAAATCACAAAAGAACTTCATTAAGCCCTTAATACTCTAAGTGAAAAGGTTAGGTTTCCAGCAGAGAAAAAGCACAGCAGAGATCACTCTGACTCTTAAGAGGAAAAAAAAAAAAGGGCATTTAAAAAAATTGATGTTTCGAACAGCATTTGCCTCAATTTGTTTTTAAATTTCTTCTCAATTTTAAATAAAATTAGAAATCGATGGTGAAAAAGTAGTCAAAACTAGGAAAACTTGACAGTTTCCTCATAGCAAAGTATCCAAAACCTTAATTCCTCACTTGTATCCAAAAGATAGGCGGGAGCCTGCCTAAAACATGACCAAAGTTGGCAAACCCTGGCCCAGTTCCGTCTTCACGCCAAAGTCAAAGCAACGGTGAGTTTATTCTGAGTGAAGGAGGATGGGGAGATGGGAAGGCAGACAATTTCTCAAGATGCCCCGTCCGCTCAATGCCTCTCCTTAATGCTCTAGCAGAAAACTGCTCAGTCTCTTCAAGTGTATGGGGATCCTAAAATGCTTCTGTGGCCTTCAAACAACTTTGTACTGGATACCACTAAGGGAATACGGGAGAACAAATATGCCCTAAGGCAAAGGTCTTAATTGGCCACAGGGAGAAACTCAATAATAACCATTTTCTGTTTTGACTTTTCTATTCTTATGCACTATCACGAGAAAAAGGTGAGTATGATTCATTGTTTAAGAATTTGACTTCCCAGTGCACTAAAGGGAAGGATTGTTTTCCAAAGTCAACTCAGGAAAAGTAATATTAACAAATGGCAGAGGATTTCCCCTGTAAAGTCTAGCATCTAGCTCTATTATCAGCCGTGTTATTTTTTACAAATACACGTTATAGACAATTTATCAGATTATAGACAATTTGTGCAGAAATATAGAAATAAGAACTCAATAAATAATAAAGGTGCATATTCTTTACAAGGCAAAATTATTCTTCTACCACCCTTGAAATCATGAAAGTAAGAAACCAGAGAAATAAAACAATCAGTGACTAAAACCCTGCTTAGTACAAAGGTCAAAAGGACACTTCCACTTACTGAAGATCAAAAAGGAACTTATTTTAAATTCCGCTTGCAGAGGAATAAATTTGCTTTTTAAATGGTGGCAAAGGAGTAAGCAAGTAGATTACTCAGTAATCCAATGCTCAAGAGCCAACAATCACTTACTTTGTAAATGGTAGGTAATATCTGTTTTATTTTCAGCCTGTGAAAGACAAAGACATCATAAACTGCTGAAACTGCGAGAACAGTCACTCCTTGTTCCTTCCACAACATGCTGCATCCTGCGCACAGTCCTGACCCCAGGAACCAGCCCCAGGTTCTGGCTGAGTAGCCTCTTGTAGAACAGTGTTTAATGTAGCAGAGCAAGGAGAGGAGAAAGAAGAGACTGGCCCCGACATCGGCTCGTCCCACGATTCCTGCCACTGCCTCCGTGTGAATGGGGTGAGAAGCAAACATCAAGCCAGCCATGAATGTCCAGTATCCATCACCAAGGAGGATCTTGGAGAAGCTTGTGAAGAGACCAGTGACTGCTGCATGCAACAGGACATTGACAAGATGGTAGCTCCAGGGATTCAACCCTCCAATGGCATGGTTCAGGCGAAAAGAAAGAGTGCAGAGTGGCCGGTAGGACTTGTGGCTGCCACTGTGGGTTAGAAGAGTCCCCCAAAAATCATTGTAGAAAATGTGCGTCCATGGAGTTTCTGGGAGAAGGTCCTGATTAGTCTTGATAGCACGGCTAAAAAACAAAACGTTAAAAAAAATCAAATGTAAAACACAGAAAGAAAGAAAAAATATGACATTGATAAGATACTGCCTTTCTCAGAAGCTTTGTTACTATGTAGCTTTGTGATGGGATTCCAGGCACATATAAGCTGAATTCATGTCCTCCCCTTAATGCTTACTAAAACCACAATGAGGGTTGTTTTTCTCTTCCTTAAAAGCTTCCTTCCTTGTTGAAATGCAAGTATCTTTGAAGAATAAAGTTCTTCAACTGGTTTAAGCCTTAATGTAGCAGTCTGCCAAACAACTGCCCTGAAAATCATGTGACATACTGGCTAAAAATGAATATTCCAGATCGAGGCTGGGCCTGAGAATCTGCATTTTTAAGAAGCAAGGCCCAGGTGATGCAAGGACTAGCCTCCTACTAGAAATAAATTAATAAATTTTACAGGGAATATCAGTGCCCGGTGCTTCTCATACATACAAATCACCTGACAACCCTGTTAAAAGGCAGGTTCTGATTCAGTAGGCCTGGGGAGAAGCCAGAGAGAGAGTCCACATTCCAGTAGCTCTCAGGTGATGCTGATGTTGATGGTCCTTGGACCACATGTTGAGTATTAAGGGCCCAGATAACTGGAAAGACTAGGAAGAATGGCTCTCCACCTATCCAGTGTTTCCCTTCCTACTGCATTCTAATAAACTTCAGCCTTTCCCACTTCTTAGCTTTCATGGGACTTACTACCCTCTATAGAAATCTTCATGGTGCTTCACTGATTCTTGCTTTTGAGGATAGTTTCCATTTGCATGCCTGATATTTTCAAACAGACTTCAAGAAGGAAGGACCTACTAATTGCTAAACAATTGATACACTGCCAAACACCATGCTGGTCTCCTTGGCTACATCTCATTTAATCTTTAGAGCAACACTGATGAGGTAGATATTATTCTCTACATCTCTCAAGTGAGAAAGTTTGTGGTTCAGAAAGATTAATTAATAACTGGCCCAGAGTCACACAAGTTGAGAGCAGTAACACAGAGCTTCATGGCTAATTCCCTTTCCACTATTCTGGGTTTCCCAAAATATGATCCATCTACTACTGGGGACATGTAAAAAGATGTCTGCACTTTGTAAAAACTGTAATGGTTATATTCATGTTAAGGTTATTTGAAAGTAAATTTCATTACCATATCAAAGCTGGATTTCCTAACTATGGCTCAGAATAAAGCTGTTGAAAATTAAAAAGTGAATATAAAGAAAAGGATTAAAGACTCAAAAGTACTGACATATGTGGATAAGGTACAAACATTGAATGTGGCATTAAATTATTCAGTTTGGAACATCCTGGCTCTGTGCCACTATCCTCCCAGAGAACAGAGTGGCATTTGGAGTCTTTTTGTATCCCTAGTGAACCTATCTCTGTATTTACAGAACATATAAGAGACACATGAGTTAGTAAGGGCACAGGAATGAGAACTCCAGAACTATAAAACTCTTGCCTAGTCTGATATCAGGGCTTTTTAAGGAGCTGTGGGCATCTGTGTGGATAAAGACTATGTTGTGGGAGACTGTCTTAATGATGTTCAACTCTAGGCCCTCCACCAGTTCTGCCTTCTCTTGTGAGGCAGGTGTGATCAGAGAAATTTCCACATGAGTATTACCGAAAAGCAGGTTGGAAAAACTCTGGATTCAGGGAAAACGTTCCTGAGTCCTAACTCTTTCATTCACTGCCTGACTGCAAAAATAAACTATCACAGAGACTCAGCAGATTAAGAAACCCATCTAAGGTGATCTCACCAGTGGAAATAACTGAGTTAGTATTCTAGTTGAGTTCAAATGACTAGGCATGATAGTTTTCAACTGCTTCTCTAGATTGCTTCCCAATTAACCTTTCTGAGCTTCAGTTTCTGTGATAATAGTTTTACCTTGAAATCATTTAATAAACATGTATAATTGTTCATTTGTCTTCTATATAGAGAAGCAGAGAACAGTGCTTTACATATACATGAGTGTTCTGGACACCCTAGTGCAAATGATCTCTCTGCCCTGTTAGCTGCGCTGTTATTATTATATAAAGACTAGGATACAATCTATGAAAAGTCCCTTATTAAAGTCTTCCTGACCCATAACCTGGGAAATTAGGTGCATTTTGGGGTTAGAATTAAAATAGGCCGATCAGAAGTTGATGATTA
Source organism: Homo sapiens (assembly GCF_000001405.40). Taxonomy (NCBI): domain Eukaryota; kingdom Metazoa; phylum Chordata; class Mammalia; order Primates; family Hominidae; genus Homo; species Homo sapiens. Next base: position 82,854,835 of record NC_000012.12, on the reverse strand, counting down.
TATACAATGTGCCAAATACCATGCTAATCCATATAATAATACATATATTATCTACTAATAAGAACTAGTTGACTTTTCTAAATGTTCAATAAAAAGGCAAAAGATCTGTGAAAATCTTCAATTACTCCATGTGGCCGGGATGGTTCACTATATCAGGGATATCACCCAATATCTATTCTCTCTCTTTTCCATACAAATGAACTTTAATTTTTAGTTGGGCATGTGGTCATTTAGAAAAAAATTTATTTCCCTATCTTCCCTTCATACTAAATATGATCATATGATGAATTTTTGTCTACTACTTCCAGAAAGTGTCCTTAAAAGGAAAAGCTTAGCCTTCTTCCCCTGCACCCCTCCCCTCCACCCCTACCCTCCTCCTTCCTGCTGAGTGGAGCACATATGTAATGGTTGGAGTTCCAGCAGCCATCTTGGCCCACAAGGTGTCCTTAGGAATAGAAATCATGCAGAGAGCAGAGCAGTAAGATTGAGGGAAACTCAGTCCCTGTTACAAAAGACCATAGTGACCCTGGGCTAACTACCTCCTATTTCTTCAGTATGAGAAATAAGTTGCTACCTTTTCTAAACTGATATTTTGAGTGTTAACTAGTAACAGTTGAACCCAGTCATGAGCAAAATCCTTTATTAAAAGAAGACCTATTACAGAACAGTAGATTGATTTTCCATTTTGATTTTGATTTTTACAAGTCTCCATGTATTGACTGTGTATTAAATAAATTTCCATATAAATTGGCTTTTAAAATATTAGAACCAGATGTTATTCTGGATCTATTAAATTAAAACACCCTGCTATGACATTCATCAAGAGTCTACCCAGAAGTAATTGCTTAAGACTTGATGGGTTATAATTAAAATTTAAAAGAAATATGAAAAAAAAAAACAACTGCCAAACTGCCAAAGAGTGTTGCCAGAAAGAGCTTATTTCAAGCAATAGAGAATGAAACCCAGGCTTCAACTAGACATTAACCTAGATATTGATGTAAATATCTCTAATATCAATCCAGAAACCCTCATACCATCAAGGCCAGGGCAGTGGAGAGCTCAAAGGCAAACCATTCTGGGATAAGGCTTTGTCAAGGCAGTGAGAAAAACTGTGAGGCACGCTTTGTTTAGAGTAATACTCCATCCTTTCTGTGGCAGATCCCAAAGAATGAAGAATCATCTTTTCCAAACCTGGATTTCTACATGCTATTAGTTCAATGCCATGACCAACTATGTAAAGGCTTTTGATAAAAAATTCACCCATTAAAAAATCTGTTCAAAGCTGCTGGAATTTATCTTTATAGCAATAAATCTAGCAGCCTACAGCAGCCACGAGATATACTACATCCAAAGACCCTCCACCAAAAAGGGTTTCAACACAAAGAACACAATTAACACATCTCATAATTTTACCGTGAGAAAAAAACCTTTGAGGCCGGGCATGGTGGCTCATGCCTGTAATCCCAGCACTTTGGAAGTCTGACGCAAGTGGATCACCTGTGGTCAGGAGTTTGAGACCAGCCTGACCAACATGGTGAAACCCCATCTCTACTAAAAATACAAAAATTAGGCAGGCATGGTGGCAGGCACCTATAATCCCAGCTATTCAAGAGCCTGAGGCAGGAGAATTGCTTGAACCCTCGAGGTGGAGGTTGCAGTGAGCCGAGATCGCGCCACTGCACTCCTGCCTTGGCAATAGAGTGAGACTCCGTCTCAAAAAAAAAAAGAAAAAAAACTTTGAAACACAGCCCTAAATTTACATGGAAAAAAAGACAAACATAGTTAATAAAACAAAAATGAAGGAGCAAAAGAGTATCTCATCCATGTGAAAAACATACTATACTAAGGGAGACATTAGTATGATAAAATTCTCCAATGTGTGTTATCTGCTTAAGTAGGATTTTATTTAACCAATGAATATTATGATAAAAAATATGGAAGACTAAAATGTACTGGAATTTAATATACAAGTCATGTCACACATGCAGGTCAGTGATAAGGGATGCATTACACCACCTCAACATCCTATTAAGAAAGATACAGACCAACAGGGCCTTAATAGAATCTGAGTAATCCTCCAGCAAAATAAGAAAAAGGGAGTCATTCAAACCTAAGCATAATAGATTTTGATTCATTTGCATTTCCTTCTATGAGTCCAAAATAGAAATAGTAAAACCTCTTCTGCTGTTTCACAGCTAATGAAACACCTTGACTCAAAACAAAATTTCATGCTGATATAATTTTTGAGGTTGCTTCCGTGAAATGGTGTTGAAAATTCAGAAAGGCACTAAGGAATCAGGATATTTTCCACTCTAGGAAAGGTGGAGGAACTCAGAGCAGCAGATATGGGAAAAAAACAATTGTTGGCAGAATTCCCTAGAGAACACAGGACTGAGAAACTGTCTTTTTGAAGCAAAAAGATAGTCTCTGGCCGGGCGCGGTGGCTCACGCCTGTAATCACAGCACTTTGGGAGGCCGAGGACGATGGATCACGAGGTCAGGAGATCGAGACCATCCTGGCTAACACAGTAAAACCCTGTCTCTACTAAAAACACACACACACAAAATTAGCCGGGCGTGGTGGCGGGCGCTTGTAGTTCCAGCTACTCGGGAGGCTGAGGCAGGAGAATGGTGTGAACCCGGGAGGCGGAGCTTGCACTGAGCTGAGATCCCACCACTGCACTCCAGCCTGGGCGACAGAGCGAGACTCCATCTCCAAAAAAAAAAAAAAAAAGATAGTTTCTGAAGTCTTCAAGGAAGTCTTAGCCTGTGTCCAGGTTTGTTCATTTGTGGCTCTTTGTTTTTGTTGCCTTATGATTTTTCCTTTAGAAAATGTTGACAAAGGCCAACACTATTGTAAAACTGATGAATGATGTGACACTGCCACCCAAACTGTCCTTGTGTGTCTTTCTCTCACAGCTTTTTTTTTTTTGTCTCGTGACCTTTTCAGTCATAAGCACCCATGTAAGTAATGACCAGTAGTCCTTCAGAGCAGGAATGACGCTTAGATTCTTCCAACATCAAATGGCGCTGTTCTGACATGCTTTCAATTGTTCTACTTGAAAGTAAGCAAAGGCCAAACTTAAATTAAAAAAAATAAATAAATAACAGTAGGTTGAAATGTTCTTTGCAAGAAAGATAAGAAAAAAGACTGGCCTTTGTTAACCTGCCCTGCTTCAGTGCTGCCCAGTGCAATGCAGCAGTTAAGAAAATCCATTGTGTAGCCAACTGGATACACTAAAGTTGTGAGACAGCAGACACAGTTATTTCACCTCTCTGTACCTTAGTTTCCTCAACTGTAAACTAGAGAGCACTATACTTGCCTTATAGGATCATTGTGAAGAGTAAATGATTACATGCAATATAATGTGAGTATGTAACATAGGTAACATATGTTAGCAATTTTTTGTTGTTGTTTTGGAGACAGAGTCTCACTCTGTCGCCCAGGCTGGAGTGCAGTGGCATGATCCCTCCACCTTCTGGGTTCAAGCGATTCTCCTGCCTCAGCCTCCCCAGTAGCTGGGATTACAGGTGCCCACCACCACACCTGGCTAATTTTTGTATTTTTAGTAGAGATGGGGTTTCACCATGTTGGCCAGACTGGTCTCGAACTCCTGACCTCAGGTGATCTGCCTGCCTCGGCCTCCCAAAGTGCTGGGATTACAGGCGTGAGTCACAGCACCTGGTTACATGTTAGCTATTATTATCATCATCAACACCAAACAACTGATGCTAGCCATCAATGCAAACACAATGTTGTTTTCTTTTTTTTGAGATGGAGTCTCGCTCTGTCACTCAGGCTGGAGTGCAGAGGTGCAATTTCAGCTCACTGCAACCTCTGCCTCCCGGGTTCAAGTGATTCTCCTGCCTCAACCTCCTGAGTAGCTGGGACTACAGGAGCACGCCACCACGCCCAGCTAATTTTTGTATTTTTAGTAGAGATGGGGTTTAACCATGTTGGCCAGGATGGTCTCCATCTCTTGACCTCATGATCTGCCCACCTCAGCCTCCCTAAGTGCTGGGATTACAGGCGTGAGCCACTGTGCCCTGCCCACTGTGTTATTTTCATCATGTTTATAGCATTCCAAAATCAGTGGATCATGGTCATGAATATTTCACTAAAAATTCCTTTAAGCTTTCCTGATACTTTGAAAAAGACAATAAGCATTTATGAAGTGATAACTGTAGTCTTTAGCACATTACTCTTCTCATTACTTTTCTCATTCTCTTCCTATCTTTTTGAGGACCTTGTTCTAACCCTCCCAAATGTGGCTGTTTCTCTCCTGGTCCCATCGCCTGACCTTCTCTTTCTCTGCAATTTCCACCTCTTTGGTGGTCATATCCAACAACTGCAACTCAAGGGATGACTTCTCCATTATATGACTCCACCCACTCTAGCCTGGGGGTTGCTCACGAGCCTACACTTCCAACTGTCCATTTGACATCCACATTTGAATGGAAGAAAGATTAATGGAATCCAGGGTCTTCTATTAACACTACATGTGCTGCTTTTGCGAATTAGCCTCTCTAAAGCTCCATTTCCATACCTATGGTTTACAGATAATGTTAATGACGCTTTTCACAAAATGTCATGTTAAAAATCAAACAAGGCAATGTTAACTTAAAATGCTTGGAATTTATATAGCATTGCGCACTGGACACTACATGTTTTTGCAGACCCCCTCCTTTTAGTAACAGTGTCTTGGTTTTCTTTTTAAGAATAGCCCACATCTATTCTCAGTCCACGTGGGTAGGATGACACTGCCCTTACCCCCAGATGAAAGGTTAATGTACTGTATCTCCCCACCCCCATCACTGGCCACACAATTGACTTAGGTTCAAGCAAGGGCAGCAGGAGTCAATATGGTACCAACTATGTACTAGGAAAAGGCATCTTCTTTTAAGAATGAAATTTTAAAAATCCTAGAGCTGCTTGAGAATTGCCTGAAGACAGGGTCAGCCTGAGGGTGAAACCAAAATAAAAGAACCAAAATCAAGGAGATAAAGGCAATTCCTAGTGTAGCCGGATCCAATCATACCTGAAGCTAGTACTATACTGTCAAATAAGCCAGTAAATGCCTCTTAGTCATAAAGTAGCTTGAGTTGCTATTCTGACATCTGCAACCAAAAGTGTATTAAATAGTATGGCACTGTGTAATTCCCATGTAACATTGGTAGTTTCAGTACCTTAAGCTTAGTAAGTCTGAATCCAAACTAATTTTCTCCACAAACCATCTCTTTTTCATACAGTCTCATCATTGAATATCATCATTCTTCCATTACTGAAATTAAGGTTGTACATGACAGCTTCTTATGGTTTTGCTCCTATATCTATTTTTAAATTGGTTAAGGACATTTTAAAGCTGTTCAGGACCTCAGAGAAAATTCAATTCAGAAGTTTCCCTTGAATCTGCCTCTAATTTCCCTTTTCTCTTACCCTCATTCAGGCCTGCTTTATTTTCTGACTGCATTGCTTAGCATGCTTATTAAAACTGCCTGATCATTTTTTCTCTTTCCTTCATTAGGCTATAGGTCACCTCTGGAAAGGAATTGTCTTTTCTCCCAGTGTCCAACACATCTTAGGCATGCAACAAATATTGTTAAACTGAACTAAATAGCTATCCCTGCCTGCCTTCATTCCCACTTTGATCCATTATGCATGCTATGGATAGAAAAACTTCCTGCAATGTAACTCTAATACCAGCACTCCTCTCCACAAAGGTCCCTCATTCTGCCCTATTTCTTACCATAATAAACAACCTTCACAGCTCGCATTCACAGCCTTCCTCTTGATGACCTCAAGGCCAATCTCCCATCACTTCTCCATACGCATGCTAATTTAAGCCAAACTTCCCTTCCTCTATGCTGCCGCTCAAACCATTTCTTTTCCCCCTCTACCTGGATTACTATCCTTCTACCATTACATCTTTCCAAATATGCTTCAACCACCAATGCTCATTTGCAAAGCCACTGTCCTCTCAATCCTTTCCTAGTTATTGTGGCAGAATATGCTGGCTTTTGACTTTGAGTATTGACACATTCCCATTAACAACACTGACTGCTTGCTACAAATATCAGGGATCTTAAATGGGATGATATATGGGAGATATTTCAGGAGTGGGAAGAAATGTATGCTTTGAAAATAGCACACAGGTGATCTTAACATTCCCTCTTCTGTCTCTATTGAAAATCATTGCCCAATAAAATGGAATGTCTGTCCAGAGAAAATCACTCACTCATTCCTTTATTCATTCATTCATTTATAAGCAAGGCACTGTGAAGAACACTGAAAATGGAATGATGAGCAAAATAGAGCCCCTGACATTAAATATTCAGCCAAGTAGACAAGGCAAATAAATGTACAAGGAGTTTCCCTGTAGTATGATAAATACTATCTAATACAAATAATGACTGGTATGGGAGAACACAAAACAGATGCCCAATGTCTTAGAGGGTCAAAAGTTTCCAGGAGGAAAGCATATCTGCATACATGTAAAAAGTTCAATGAAGGAGAAAGGAAACTGTGGCGATACTTCCAGGCCAACAGTCAATATTTTCAAAGACTCTGGGACAGGAGAGAGCATGGCAAGTCTGATATCTGAAAATACAGTTAAGTATGGATGGAATGAAGCTTGAGGGATGGAGCAGCAGGAATAACTGGCATTACTCTGTCATGTATGATTCTTCTTCATGGGATGGACAGGAATTTGGCTGGACATGAATCTCTCAATGATCTTCAGGTTTGATTCATTTATTGTCTTGAAACTTCATCTCCCCAATATATTGCTAACTCCTTAGAAGTTGAAAAGGCATCTTATTTATCTTTTGGAGCCTAACATACATAGTACTCAATATGTATCTAATAAACTAAATTCTTTTTTAAAATTATTATTATACTTTAAGTTCTAGGGTACATGTGCACAACGTGCAGGCTTGATACATAGGTATACATGTGCCATGTTGGTTTGCTGCACCCATCAACTCCTCATTTACATTAGGTATTTCTCCTAATGCTATCCCTCCCCCAAGTCCCACACCCCCTGACAGGCCCCCGTGTGTAATGTTCCCTGCCCTGTGTCCAAGTGATCTCATTGTTCAATTCCCACCTATGAGTAAGAACATGCGGTATTTGGTTTTCTGTCCTTGCGATAGTTTGCTGAGAATGATGGTTTCCAGCTTCATCCATGTCCCTGCAAAGGACATGAATTCATCCTTTGTTATGGCTGCATAGTATTCCATGGTGTATATGTGCCACATTTTCTTAATCCAGTTTATCACTGATGGGCATTTGGGTTGGTTCCAAGTCTTTGCTATTGTGAATAGTGCCACAATAAACATACGTGTGCATGTGTCTTTATAGCAGCATGATTTATAATCCTTTGGGTATATACCCAGTAATGGGATTGCTGGGTTAATAAATTAAATTCTAATTAGAGATGATTGGTACTGATAAACTGCATTTACCGTTTTGGAAAATTCTAGATTGTTTTAAGTATGTAGGGAATTATCACTTTCATCTAAAAGTGGTTCACTCAGGCCACTAACCTCTACTCACTCAATGATAATTAACTGTGAAAAACCACCAGGTTAACTGGCTTAGCCACATGTCTTTGGCACTCATTTGCCACTTAACCTATAATCCCTTCATTAGAGTACCTCTTTAGGGATAAGCCATTATATTTAGAAAGCTCCAGTTAATATGCAAATACTTGGCTAATAGGGTAAGAGAATGAGAGAAATACTATGCATCTAAAGCTCATCTTACTTTGGGGATGAGCACTGTATTTCAGATTCCTGTATGAAATTAAGGTAGGGCAAATAAATTACAGTGTGGGGTGCTGGGTTGTTAGGGGCAGTGTTAGGTTTCTAGGTCCCTAGGGTAAAGGAAGGCACTACGCTTTGGACAAGCGTTTATCATTACACTGGTAACACTTTTCCAAATTTGCTTGTTTTTATCTTGATCTCTTCCTACTAGATTGTAAAACTTTCATGGACAAAAATGACAACTTTGTAAGCATTAATAAATGCTGGCACTTAATAAATTGTTACCACACATATGTTGAATGAAAAGAGAATACAGGAAGTTATTAAAGAGCCTGTTGTCAGACACCCAATGGTCAGCGACCCCGAATAACTGCTGGTTTTGAGAAAATTCTACGAATGCTAAGTCTTCCAACTACAGGAATATTCTTAGTGGATCCCGCTTCCATCCCTTTACGAGTTTTTCCGATAAGCAATAAAGGAATTTTATGAGCTATATCTGCACAGCAAGATATACCTCCCTAACCCTAGGCCCCTAAGAAAAAAGAAAAGTCAACTTGTGATTAAAAATGGCCCCAGCTGCAGCTAAACTCAGCCCCCAAGATGTTGGAGATTTGCCTTCATAGAGCTTCCATGGATGATGAGGAAGCTCCTTCTCATCTCAAGTCAAGAAGTTTACCTAGACAATCTTTCCTGTTTTTCGTTTTTTTTAAAAAAAAGACAGAGTCTCGTTCTGTTGCCCAGGCTGGAGTGCAGTCACATGATCTCAGCTCACTGCAACCTCCGCCTCCTGGGTTCAAGCGATTCTCCTGCCTCAGCCTCCCAAGTAGCTGGGACTATACGTGTGCGCCACAATGCTGGCTAATTTTTGTATTTTTAGTAGAGATGGGGTTTCACCATGTTGGCCAGGCTGGTCTCGAACTCCTGACCTCAAGTGATCTGCCTGCCTCGGCCTCCCAAAGTGCTGGGATTACAGGCGTGAGCCATGGCACTGGCACTCTTTCCTCTTAGTAGGAGAAAATGAGGAAGTAGAATGTTGGCTAAATATTTTTAAAAATATCTTTAGTTCCCCCGATAAAGCAATGCTGTCATTTTCACAATTTCTACAGGAAATATCAAAAAAAAAAAAAACAAACACAAAAAACACTGTGACCCTGAAAACTAATAAACCATTTAAAAGAATGTTTATCACGTATAATTAAAACTTGAGTTACCTAGAGATGTTTTTAAATGTTATATGAAAAGCATTTTGCAAAATTAAAGCAAAAACTAATACAACATGAAAATATGAGAAATACCACACTCTAAGCACTTTCACTGATTAAAATAATGAGTGAAACAACTTGAGCTACTTTTCACAGACTTGCAATTTGCATGATGAAAAACAGTATAAATATTTTGCACATAATCAGTTGGTCACTATATCCATATCAGAACATCCTAACATAATTCAGTACACCTCACCTCCTTCTCACCGTACTATACTGTATCAGAGTTTCAATTTAAAAGCTTAATGAAAATAACTTGTTTCTAATTTTCCAGATTTGAAATTAGAAACAACTAGAAGGGATACTGTAAGGCTTTCTCACACCTAAAAGTTAAATCAGGTACTATACATGAACCACTTTAGTCCATTTGTTTACATAATTTATGAATTTTGATTTTGTAGGTTTTCATCAACTCATAGCTACATTAAAAAGTTCATTTTCAAAATTTTTACATCTAATACTATGTTTCCCCTACAATAAGGTCTTGAGGATTTGTGGTATTTGTGGTATGTTGCAATGTGTGACTAGTTCAATATATATATATATATATATATTTTTTTTTTTTTTTTTTTTTTTTTTTGAGACAGTCACGCTCTGTCACCCAGGCTGGAGAGCAGTGGCACGATCTCGGCTCACTGCAACCTCTGTCTCCCAGGTTCAAGCGATTCTCCTGTCTCAGCCTCCCAAGTAGCTAGGATTACAGGCGCCCGCCACTACGCCCAGCTAATTTGTTGTATTTTTAGTAGAAATGGGGTTTCACCATGTTGGCCAGGCTGGTCTTGAACTCCTGACCTCAAGTGATCCGCCCACCTCGGCCTCCCAAAGTGCTGGGATTACAGGTGTGAGCCACCGCACCCGGCCCCTTACAGTTTTTCTATATTAAAAACATGATTACTGTTTGACTTCAAGGGATGGAATGAATACGAGATTATACTTTTTTTAATGAAGTTCGATGCTTTCAAAAATGAATGAGCTCTATGGAACACTAGATTCTTTTTTTTTTTTGAGACGGAGTCTCACTCTATCGCCCAGGCTGGAGTGCAGTGATGCGATCTCGGCTCACTGCAAGCTCCGCCTCCTGGGTTCCCGCCATTCTCCTGCCTCAGTCTCCCGAGCAGCTGGGACTACAGGCGCCCGCCACCAAGCGCAGCTAACTTTTTGTATTTTTTAGTAGAGACGGGGTTCCTCTGTGTTAGCCAGGATGGTCTCGATCTCCTGACTTCGTGATCTGCTCGCCTCGGCCACCCAAAGTGCTGGGATTACAGGCTTGAGCCACTGCGCCCGGCTGGAACACTAGATTCTAAAAGAGAGAACGTAACTATAACCATCAGATTCCAATAACACCTATTTTGTGCATGGTCTTGGTCTATGTGCTTTTGCAGAACAAAAGGTATAATCTTTGTGCCTAGGGATTTGATTATCCAAATATACTCTCTAAGGATGCAGGCATGGCAAGCTAAGAATACACCCAGTTAAAATACTTGCCTTTACGCATGTGCTGTACACATTTCAGAACAGATAAAGTACATGGCAATTTTCCTCTAACTATTCAAGTATTACTTTAAAAAAATTCACATCCTGTGGGGTCATAATCTTCACCTAGGGTAAATAGGAAAAGTACCCTCTGGCTATGAACACTGATTGTGAATCCACTGACTCCTCAGCCTGAAAACTACCAGACCAGGAAAGTAAAAGGGGAAAAAGTTTTAAAGGGAGAAACTAACAGGCTCTAGGAAACGAAGTCTTGGGAGTGGAAAGACATTCATGATGCATTATCCAGATGTTTAGCTTATCTGCTCACCTAATACTCCTGTCTTCTCTGAATTGAGTCTTAACCAAATCAACTTTTTTGTCCTCCCAAGACCGAGTCTCACTCTGTCGCCCAGGCTGGAGTGCAGTGGTGTGATCATGGCTCACTGCATCCTCCGCCTCCTGGGTTCAAGTGATTCTCGTACATCAGCCTACCAAGTAGCTGGCACTGCAGGCGCCTGCCACCAGACCCGTCTAATTTTTGTATTTTTAGTAGAGACGGGGTTTCACCATGTTGGCCAGACTGGTCTTGAACTCCAGACCTCAAGTGATCCACCCGCCCCGGACTCCCAAAGTGCTGGGATTACAGGTGTGAGCCACCACACCCGGCCCAAATCACCTTTCTTTACCCAGAACTCCTGCAGCCATACAGAATAGCCAAGAAGCTTATTTTACACAAATGTTTGCAATAATCCTTACCCTTTCATACTTAAAATATTCTACATGTTGCCAATCTATCCCTCACAGGTATTCCTGTTATAATACTACCTTGTATTTGTATCACCTTTTTACATTTTACAAAATGTACTCAGGTTCATGATCTTCTTCAAGCCTCATCATGACTCTGTGAGTAAGTGGATATGGATGTGGACACTGGAAAGTAAGAGTCCTGCTGGGCATGGTGGCTCACGCCTGTAATCCCAGCACTTTGGGAGGTCAGGGCAGGCAGATCACTTGAAGTCAGGAGTTCGAGACCAGCCTGGCCAACATGGTGAAACCCCGTCTCTACTAAAAATAGAAAAATTAGCTGGGCGTGGTGGCGGGCACCTGTAATCCTGGCTACTTGGGAAGCTGAGACAGGAGAATCGCTTGAACCCGGGAGGCAGAGATTGCAGTGAGCCGAGATTGTGCTACTGCGAGACAAAAAAAAAGAAAGAAAGAAATTAAGAGTCCTACTCGAGACTATTAGGGTCAGTAAAGATCAGAGCTGCACATACAAGAATTTAACTTTGTCACTGCTCTTTGTCTACTGCTCTCCCTGTTATGTGCCACACACACTGTGCCATGTCCTGCCTTGCCACCCCCAAATTCATATGTTGAAGTCCTAATCTCCAGTACCTCAGAATGTGACTGTATTTGTAGATAGGATCTTTAAAGAGGTGGTTAAGTTAAAATGAGGCATTTCGGGTGGGTCCTAATCCAACATGACTGGTGTCCAAGAAAAAAAATTTGGACACACACAGAGACATCAGAAATGCACATGAGAAAAGAAAGACCATGCTAGGACACAGCAAGAATGTGGCCATCTGCAAGCCAAGGAGTGAGGCCACAGGAGAAACCAAACCTGCTGACACCATGATCTTGATTTCTAAAGTCTAGAACTGTGAGAACATAAGATTCCATTGTTTATGCTACCCAGTCTGTGGTGGTCTGTTACGGCAGCCCTAGAAAAATAATAAGCCCTACTATACCATAGAGACAGTACCATATTATTACATATGCTATATACTGTTTATCTTTCAGTTTCAGGAAAACTACATTTCACGTACAAGCCATATTTCTACAATATATACTATGTCTGCTGCTGTTTTTGATGACTCGTTGAACTGCTTTGTGATTGTAAATAGGGTTTTAAGAGGTATCTTATTCTCAGTTCTGACAGAATTTGTCTAGATTCTCTACCAGAGGAAAAAAAAATTTGAATCACTCAATGGGGCCAATACAACAACAAGGCACTAATGCTAACTAAACAGACACAATAAAACACTAGTGTCACATCATATTTACATTGAGATTGACAAAGTTTACAAAGCACACATATTATCTCAATTTATCTTCAATAATGCTACAAACTAGAAAACTGAAGTTGGAGGGGTTAAGTTAATTAAAGAAGTGCATACACTTAATAAGAGGCAGAAAGGACTTGAACACCGTTCTCCAAACTACTCCATTTAACCTTCAAAGCAGCCTGTGTTCCTCCACATGTACAATAAATCTCCAGTGAGAAGTGTTTGCAAGACGATTTGAAAGTAAAATCCCAGTCTATTATTGCATTTTGTCTGGAATCCATATATCTGCCCTCAAGACTCAATAAAGCTATAAAAAACACTTTTGTACCATATTCTTTTAATTTCTGCATTTCAAAAAGAAAGTCTTCTTTTAACACTAAGGAATCTTGGAAAACTTGAGTCAAAAGAAGGTGTTACTTGTCTTGCAGTGACGGGTGGAAAAGGCAGCTTTATGAGAGCCAAACGCTAACCTATAATTTCATATTACAAAATTTAAATAGAAAACATATTCTGGCAGAGACTTTGCTGCCTGCATCCCTTTTCAGCTATAAAATAGTTATACACACACACATACATCTGAGAAAGATCAGACTTTGAACATATTGTAGCAACACACATGCGAAACATGGGAAGTTTCACCAGGGCTGCCAGTGATGACAGGGTACACAGACATCCCTACATTAAAATCAGCCTCACAGCTAAATCAGAGTTTTTTCGGACACACGGATATGCGAGCGCTGATGAAAAACAGATAGGCAAGGAGGAAAACACTCTAATTTAAAAATAACACAGATGAGCTTACACAAAGTACCCAAACATTTGGTCTGCAAACCACCAGCAACTCTAATTTGTCATGGAAGGCAAGAGATATTTCATCCAAGAATGAGGGGAGAAAGAGAGATATTAACTCTAGCATTAAAATTTACTGACATCCTAATATATACTGTAGTACTTTCTAATCTTTATATCATTTCTTGACCAAACTTTAATAATCAAGAAATAAATTAGATTTCAGGGAGCTCTAACACGTTTTATTCTGTAGCCCTTTAAATAAATCACATAGCAGGCACTTGATATATACACATATATGATAAATGTTATGTGAAAACTATCAGCTTTTTCAGATCTCAGTTATGAACAGATAAATTATGAAGCACTAACATGTCCCTTTAAGAACAGTAAAATCTTGGCCAGGTGTAGTGGCTCATACCTGTAATCCTAGCATTTTGGGAGGCTGAGGTGGGTGGATCACCTGAGGTCAGGTGTTTGAGACCAGCCTGGCCAACATAGTGAAATCCCGTCTCTACTAAAAATACAAAAATTAGTCAGGCATGGTGGCAGGCACCTGTAATCCCGGCTACTCAGGAGGATAAGGCAGGAGAATTGCTTGAACCTGGAATGTGGAGGCTGAAGTGAGCCAAGATCACGCCACTGTACTCCAGCCTGGGCTACAGAGCAAGACTCCACCTCAAAGAAAAACAAAACAAACCGGAACAAAACAAAAGTAAAATCTCAAGTGATGGTATAGTTTAGCCTTTTGCTGACCCCAAATTCATATACTTGGAACAGGTGTATACGCGCAGTGCCTTTTTAGCTCTCCATGTCTATGACTACTACATCAGATAACCTCTGCAAAGACTAGAAATCCCAAAACCAGGACCATGAGATCATTTTTATTCAATCGTGACCATCACAATAAACATAATTTCTGTCACCCTGGCCACTGCCAATAAAATAATATTTTTTCTATGTACAAGTAACCGTGCTAATTAAATAAATTCACAAGGCATAAAATGAACAAGTAAAATTTAAACATAAGAATGGAAGATGGTATTCAGAGAAATCTAAGAACAACCAATCTAACTTTTTACTCCAATATGTGAAGAAAACAAAAGTCTACATTCATCTCTTATCTGAAGCAACTCCCCAAATCCACACTGTGTTAAACACACATACACACACACTTTAGAGTTTGCCAAATTTTGATTGAAATCATTCCTCTTGGACTTACTAGCTGTTAGGATTCAAGTTTTCATCTAAAAAATGTTGTTTATGGTGAACAGTAAATAAGGTAACTAGGTTAACTCCAAAGCACAGTGCATGACGCACAGTAGGGGCTTCACAAATGACTGCTTCAGTTACAGTGATTCACCTGCCTCGCCTTCCTGGATGCTGTAGGCGAGCACTTTTTCCTGAAATGTTGGTCAATACCCCTATATATAGCATGCAGTTACTGGTATCATTTATCTTTCCTCTTTGCATATTCTCTAGGACTTTGCTCCTCTCTCCCACGCTGCACCCATGTGAAATTTTGCTTGCATTAATCATAAATTAAGCCCAATAGCCAATCTAAGAGCACAAGAATGATGTTCACAGCAGCCAAACTCAGCTGGAAAGATGGATGACAGCAAGGTTAAGTGAGGTGATCAAAAAGCATAAAATAAAAAGAAGTTACAGGACTTATATCACTGTTCACAGCCTAATTAAGATATTTTGGGAAGCAGACTCATCAGAAGGATGACAGTTGCACACTACCAAAGAAGCTGACCTTGGGTACATCTTCTTGACTAAAGATAATCGATTCTAATAAAACAACCATAATGTCTTCTGCCTATTTTTTCTTGCACAAATTAGGAAAAGAACTAGCCAGGCATTTCCAATTACACACTTTATTATGTTTTTAAAGATGGCCACTTCTAAACAACAGGACAATGTGAAACCTCTTGTATCTTTGTTAATAAAAATAAAGGTCAACATAATACTTGAAAGTGCCCTCTTTACACCCTTCATATAAGTCAGCCCTACACAGGTGGGGAGTAAATTGGCTATAATTTATGATGGCCTAAAATACAACCTAGAAGAGTCTAGGATCAGAAATCTGATCACCTGTGGAAAAAAGGGAATGTCATGCACTTTACTATGGTCACTCTACTCAGAATAGATAGATTCTCACATTGAAAAACATTAAAAGTTGCCTTGGGGAGAATAACAGAATAGGATGACCAAATGTTATAGTGGTCCTGTCTTCTAATGGTTTCCCCTCTGAGGGCATCCTGGGGAGAAGTTCAATCTTTCTAATGGGAATAAAACTGTAGTACAACTCTCTAAGCGCATTTACCACTTTAAAAAGGAACTCCAAACTCTGCTGTCTTTAAAAGGCAGCAGGTCATTGGGAAAAGTCATTTTTCAAAGCTCCAGTGAACTGGCACTCTGCTTTTAGCTAGCCACAGAGATAAGGCATGCAGCCTCAGTAACAGAATCACCTTTCTTTAATTTTTAATGCCCAGGCATTTCACAGCTCCCAAGAGGAATCAATAACTTACTTATGGCATCATAAATGGCTTGGACTGAGAATATGCATGTGTTTTGACAAAGCAGGAAGGAAATCATCCATCAGCAATTCATTTTAGATGAAGATTTAATAAAGGTTACAAAAGTACACCATAAAGCCATCGTCCTACTCATCTCAAAAAAAAAAAAAAACAAGAAAAAATATTAATAAGCTCATCACTGTCACCCTGCAGAAGAATTTAAGTGAAAATAAAGCCCCTAGAGGGGACATGTGTTTTTACTTCCCACTCTGAAAGCACATACAGGTATAAACATATTCAAATGGCAATGGATTCATCTGGAATGTAAAAGACCAGGGGGTTCACACATATAAAGATCAACAGTTGTTTTAGAAATTAACTACACCACATCTTGAACTTCTACATAAGTTATAAACTGATCCAGGGGTTATCATCAGGGTAGAAACAGATGCAGTGTTAGCACATTAAACTGTGAATCCAGCTCCAACACTGCTTAATGGGCTCCACATGCTGAAAACGATCATCATGGTAGGGAGTGCACTCAACTAAAAGCCTAACTTTCAAGCAAAACAAGAGTTTCATTATCTTCATTATGCTCACAAACAACTATTCTGGGACTAACACTGTTTTTACATTGATTATGGTGCATTAGTCATTTTGAGGGAGGGAAATGATAGGAGAGTAATTCAACATCAGAATAACAAAGCCACAGTTGTCACAGGGTGTTGATGACATGACACTGATGCTGTCCCCACAATAAGTGAGCACTGGTTGCACCAGCCTGCCTTATCTTGTGATCCCATCTGGACCCCAAAAATGGCTAAGGGAGGGGAGAAGAAGGATAGGGAAGTTTGTAGGACAACTACCATTACTTAATGTATGTGAAGAACTTTCTAGATTTCCAAGTATTTTTTATATACATTATGTGTTCTCACAAATGCTTTCTCCCATCTTTTTGTGATGTAAATAAAGATTTTCAACCAAGATTTCACAGCAAGTAGCAAAATTATGAAAAAATTGCATCTTCGAACTACTGTTCTAGTGCTGCTTCTGTTACTCTATAATCTCCAAACATGAGATCCCTGTACTAGGGAAGCCATTTGCCCCCATGTATAATTTACTGATTTAAAATAATAAAATAGATAATCCTAAAAGAATAATACACAATAAAGCAGCACAACTTTGTTTTAGTCAATTCCCCTTGGTCCATTTCTTTGGCAGCTACTGATATTTAAAAGGTTTAAATGATGCAAAATTAGTGCAACATACTGGAAAGCTGTCGGAATGGAAGAGATTTCACCATGGAGCAGTCTGCATTTATTGACTTTTCTATCGACCAAAAGCCTTTACAGTCTTTAAATAGCAACTTCAAAAACAGACAATTACAATAATGCCAAATTAATCTTTGTAATTTTTCTACATTCAGAATTCAACTCTGGGATGACAGACAGTTAATTGAATATTTTAAGTCTCCTGAGAGGTCATCATCGTAACCTTTTTTTTGTTTTGTTTTTAGAGACAGGGTCTCATTATGTTACCCAGGCTAGATTTGAATGCCTGGGCTCCAGGGATCATCCAGCCTCAGCCTCCCAAGTATCCGGGACTACAGATGTGCGTCACCATGCCCAGCCATTGTACACATTTATTGAATCAAATCATTTAATTTGTAAATCCAATCTTATTTCCTGAACTTCAGCCTTAGTAATTGTTTTGCATCAACTGGTCCGCAGTAGATGGTTAAACCCATGCTAAGCCAGCTTCTAGTATAATTCATGTTAAGAACAAAAGCTGCTGTTATGACAAAGTGGACCATATGTCCAAATCATATCTCAATGAGAGGCTCCAAGAATAGGCTTCAGTTTTTGTCAAAATGTCATTCTGAAAACTGGACTTCCATTTTTAATCTAACATGGTCTTATTTTGTCCCTGATGACTAATATACATACTTTACTAATTAGAAACTAAATGAATTCGAGGATGAAAAGGAAAAAAGTGATGGCAGACTAGCAGTAAAATATTTTGAGTAGGCTTGGGAGAAAGAACAACCTACTACACAAAGTCCTAAACCTTCCTGTCTCAGCAGTGATGAAGGAATGAAGGCTGGTCAAATTGTCTTTTGTTTTTTTTTTCTATCCTGTTAGTTGTAGTTATTGTTAAAAGAATGAAAGCTAGATAATTTTAATTATTAGCAAAGGGGCTAAATTACAATCCCCAAAATGGATATTGATCTGTGTTAGTTTCCTATTGTTACTGTAATGAATTACCATCCACTTAGTGATAAACAAACACAAATTTATTATATTTCTATTCTGGAGGTCATAAGTCCAAAATGGGTTTCAGTGGTCTAAAATCAAGGCATCAGCAGGACTGTATTCCTTCCGGAGGCTCTAGGGGAGAATCTAGTTCCTTGCCTTTTCCGGCTTATAGAGGCCACATGCATCCCTTCACTCAGGGCCCATTTTTCCATCTTAAAAGCCAGAAATTGATTACATCATTCCAACCACGACTTCCCTTGTCCCATCTCCTCCTTTGACCCTGACTCTCCAGCCTCCTTCTTTCCCTTATAAGGATCTTTGTGAATGCACTGGGTCCAACCAGATAATCCAGGATAATATTCAATTTTAAGGTTCTTAATTCAATCATATCTGTAAGTTGCTTTTGTCATGTAAGTTAGCACATCCACAGGTGCTGAGGATAAGGATGTGGATATCTTTGGAAGGCCACTAAGTGTCTCACTTAGCTAGGCTTAACCAAGCCCATTAAAAGGGTTATCAAAATCATTTCCTGACTAACATATACAAGCATACAAGCTATTCCATTCTCCAGAGGCATTACGAAGTTTCAACTATTTTATGTATGCATATAAGTAAATAAAAATTACTGCTATTTCTTATTTTTTGCTAGATTATCAAAGGAAAACATGAAACATGGTGTTAGAGCCCCACAGACACTGTATTTTACTCATATAATGTTATACCCAGGGGTGATATTCAAAATATTAACAACTAGTAGAGAATGGGTACTGGCCACAGCACTGGAGAAGGGCTTTACAGGGCCTCTGCTATGTGCAGCATTAAACTTCCATAAGCTGGACCATGCGGAGGTTTATGTGACGTCAAGTGGGGGCATAAGGGGGTCAAGGAAGAGGGAAGTCTCAAGGGGCAGGGAGCAACAGCGATTTACCAACTGCAATGTCCATATCAATGCGAACTGCCTAAATATTGTGTCTCCAATAGAACTCCAACAAGTGACCGATAATTTCCATAGGGAGTATGCATCACATTCATAATCAGGTAAATAAAAATCAGATTGCAAAGAACGCCTAATTTAAGAAAAAAATGTTGATTCTATTCTAAGCAGGGAGGAATGATTAGGTTAACAGGGTCCAGTATCCAAAAAGATCCTGAAAGAATTAAATGACCAACTGAAGTTAAACAAAGCTAAGTTTAATAGGAATAGGATTAAATCCTAAGACCTAAAATTGGATCCAAATCTAGCAGCTACAGGATAGGAAGATGTGAGTCAGCAGCATTTGCATGGAAAAATACTGGGACATTTTAGGAGAAAGGAAGAGTCAATGAGTCAGTGAGATGTCACCAAGAACAACAACAAAATACAGTGCAAATTTAGACATCAATGAAAACAAATACAATAGATAATCAAAAAGCTATAGTGTCTACAATTAGATATTATACCCTTAAAGTATTTTCTCAGTATTGTTATGTATTATATTTGGCACACATAATAATCAGGACTAATAGTGATAATAGCTACGAGTTAAAATGATGACAATAGGCCAGGTGTGGTGGCTCATGCCTGTAATCCCTGCACTTTGGGAGGCCAAGGTGAGGGAATCAATCTGAGCTCAGGGGTTTGAGACCAGCCTGGGTGACATGGCAACACCCTAGCTCTACTAAAAATACAAAAATTAGCTGGGCATGGTGGTGCACACTCAGGAGGCTGAAGCAGGAAAATTGTTTGAACTCGGGAGACAGAGGTTGCAGTGGGCCGAGATAGCACCACCGCACTCCAGCCTGGGCGACAGGGCAAGATTGCATCTCAAAAAAAAAAATAATAAAATGATGATAAATATCTATGAATTACAGCTTATGTGACATAATTTATAACAGAAGAACTCAAGTTCACCATCTCATAGTGTTTGTGGAATTAAATTACTATCCTTCTTTGCAGAATGATTAAGTAAATCATCCAAGATTAGGGAACTGTTGGGAAAGATACCTTAAAATAAGGAGGCATTCAAAATAGCAACCAAGATGACACGGACACTTTGGAATCATGTCATTTTGAGAATTACTGAAGGAGAGAGGCTCATTTATCCAGTAAACGGTGACTTGGAAAAAGGAGGATGATAAATGTCTTTAAATAACTAAAATTCCATCCAGCAAAGAGCGATTACTCTGTACCTATCATTGCCTATCATTAGGTAAGACTGAGATGTGGGAATTACTAAAAGCTAGATGTTGAAGGAACTATAGCTGTGAGATATATCTGATGATGGAGGCTGCCAAGTCGGAACTTAGCGAATTCTCCATTACTGGATATTCACAAACAGAGGTTATAGAGTTACAAGGGCTACAATAGACAAATTTCAAGGGCACTTAACTCTTAAGATTCAACCTTTTTCTCTCTCTGTAGGACAGCACCTCTAAGACGGATAATCACAATCCAGTGTTTCCCAAATACTAGTCATCCATATAGAACGTCCATGATATCTGCCACATTCATGTAACAATTGTATTACTAATTAATGTCTTCCTGTAAGTTGTCTCATTTTTGCTTCCTTATTGTTAATATGTTTTGCCTTGTTCTTAGCAATAATATCCATGGGCAATCTGACATGCTAATTATATTTCTAGTAGTAATTCTTAAATATTAAAATGGTTACATGTACATCCCTTAAAATCAACAGCACACATGCCACACTTTAAACAGTTATAACTTCTTAATTACCAAAGTCCACAAGTTTTTAAATTAGATATTTTTTCTCAGATCTCTAAGTTTTGAAAATCATTTTAAAGAGATCTACTGGGTAATTATCATCTGTTGGTACAGTTCTTGTATTGCTATGTTTATTTGTTTTGTTTAAGAGAAGACCATGGAAAAACATTCCCCAGTCCTCCTACTTACTTGGCTATATTTGCCTCACGTTTTGGAAACCAATTATTCATGTAATGGATAACAGCCTTGAGTGTCAAGACAGAGCTCTGGTCAGCATTATAGTTTCTTAAAGCTGAGCTAAAAAATCTTGAATGCATTACTGAATTTGTCAATATTCCAATTAGCTAACAGATTAACAGCTGTATATTTGGCAGATTTATTTAGGATTTTTGTTTTCCTTGCAGAGTTGTTTGGCAATATACTACACATTTTGTGAGCATGAATCAACTGAATGAATAAAGCATTTTGAGAAAAAGAAATAGATATGTTTAATTGCTTTTCTTCCACAATCTCTTCAAGAAAGAACCTCAAGAGCATAGACTTGTCAGAGCCCAAACTGCTGAAATTTTAAAACATAGAAGTTTTTTTATTTGACTTAGTTTTAGTTGATACTTCTTTGTAGCCTCACAAGTAATTCTGAAAATTTCTGCCATAAACTGCAATAAGGCTCTTAACACTTGATCAAGCTTCATACTGGGATTCTCGCCTGGCTTTAGCACCTACTTTAGTTGATAAATGTTTGTCCAGCTGGTTTTATTGGTTTATTATGCTACGGTAAAACAAAATATTTTCCATCTTGCTACCTTAAAAAATAAACAACTTTGTCATTAAAAAACACTCCAGAATATATGGCAACATTAGATGTTCTACTCCATAAAGTTTATTGACATTTTGGAAAAGACGACAAAAATGCATAGGGAGAAAGAAACTCTCCACTGAGAGAAAGCAGCCATGCCTAACTACAATTAGACTGATTTTTGTGCTAGTCTGACACCATCTTGGATAGAACTGGGGTAGTACTAAATCTCTTGCATGGTGCCTTCCATGGGCATGGCCTAAGTTTTACATTAAATTTCCACGGGAAGTGGGACCAACAGGGAACTGGGACTGCAAAACTGGATCTAAAATATTTGCTTCCCAAGACTAATCTATTTTACATTTCCCTTTGTCTTCCGTCCCTTTTTCCTCCTTTTAAAAAAGCTATTTCTTGGGATGACAAATTAAGTTAAGGGTATAATTCAGAGAAGTTTAGAACTTTCTGCTAAAATTCAAAAGCTGCTTTGAATTAGTAGTCGCCACTGGCACATAATTTATTTGTAGTGAAGATTTGTGCCTTTCAGTGTTTGTTTTTTGGCTAAGCCTTATAAATTAATGAGTTTAATAAAACGTCACCACTGCTTTGCAAAGAAATTTTTTTGAATTATGGAAGATACACTCCAGACAATAATGCAGGACAAATTATTACACAGGACAAAATATAGAGGTACCCCATGCTCCTCACTCAGATACTGATTTACAATATAATTACTTGATGAAACAGTGTACAATAGTATAATATTTATTCAGTCTGAAAATGTATACTATAAGTTTCCTTTTATTTAAGAAATTACACACATAATTAAAAACAGGAACTTTGCGTCAAAAAAAAAAAAAACTTGTACATAAAGTCTAGCTGTGGAAGGGAAGGGAGAATGAGGAAGCAAGTTTAGCAAGAAATCTTACTATGTAACCACTAGCTTGCAGAGTTATATTTTAAAGATTTTTTTTTTAACTTCACAGCCAAATGAATTCAGCTAGAAGGCCAGGAAAAGAAAATAATCAGAGAAACCTAGCATGTTTGAGTCCGTGAAAAGAAATGGTTATTAACCTGGCTGTCTAGCCTGAGAAGCTCATACAGATCTTCAGATCACTTCAAAATGGTAATGGTTGGCTATTTCACAGATAAAACGTTCTGTATAACCCACTTTCTATCAACTGTGAAGGCAAGACCTAGCCATGAGTCCGGTTTTAGTCAGCGACATAATGCTAAGGAATGCAAAGAAGACTTCTATACTACTCAAAACCTTTTCTTAGCACATTTTTCGGCCTCATCAAAAGTTCTTCGTACGATCCTGAAGGAGATTCACTGCATTGGTGATTTTTCTGTAGTCTTTGAAAAGGAATGTACATACACAGAGCCAGCCCTGGAGCAGAAATCAAGGACAGAGTTCCAGTGTCAGCAGTGCCACGACCTGTTTGAACATCTACTTTCCCATATGGGAAAAATTAAAGGATTGAGATTAATAATTTCTGAGCTCTTTTTTAAAACACCACCACCACCACCACCAATAATCTGATTTCCACCCTAAGTATTAGAGACAATTTCAGGAAAAATACAACAGCATCAACAAAGAGT
This sequence comes from Homo sapiens, assembly GCF_000001405.40. Taxonomy (NCBI): domain Eukaryota; kingdom Metazoa; phylum Chordata; class Mammalia; order Primates; family Hominidae; genus Homo; species Homo sapiens. The sequence goes on along the minus strand of NC_000012.12, from coordinate 82,831,602 downwards.
TTGGCCTGAAGATGAAGATCACCCACAAGAAGAAACCTCCCAAAACAATCATGGCAATCCCATTCCCCTTTGCTAAAGACAGACTCATTCAACAAATATTTATTTACTACTTATGATCTGCCAGGCCGTATGTTATAATTAGAGTTGGCCCATGCTCTGAAGCTCTGATCAATGAGACATAATGTACTCTTTTGCAAAATACTTTCCAACCAATAACAGAAAAAAGGGCTCTCATTCTTTCCCCTTCCCATTTTGGGTGACCTGCTTTGAGAATTTGATGTTTGCAGTTGCAGCCACCTTAAAAATAGGAGAGAAACTGCTGATGCACAGGAGAAGCTCATGGTATCATGGTTAGGTGGTCAAACCAGAAGGCAGAAGGCCACCTTTCTCTAGATATATAGTAACCTTATTATAGTTTAAACCATTTTTAGCTGTCATTTGCCATCAAAGTCAAAGCAATGGCAATATCCTGGGTTTTGTTAAACTTATTTGATATTTCTCATACACCTCCTATCACCCAGAACAAATATCCATTTTCCTGTTACTTATTTCAACCATGTTTTCTCTTTTAGAAGTGAGACAGAATATTGTTTTAACCTACCTCTAAATCTATTCCCTCGCCTTCCCTTGCAGAAGTTACCACCTTCTTGAAGTTGATATGGACTATCTACCCTGTGATTTCATATTTTTACTACTTAAATATTTTTCCATGTAAAATATATGGTATTGTTTGGTATACATTTAAAACTTAACTGAAATATATCTTAAGCTAAGCAGCATTCTGAAACTTGCATTTTTATTCAATAGGTTTCTAAGATTTATCTATATTTATGTAACTTTTTCATTAACTACTATAGAGTATTCCAATGAATGAAGATTCCATAATCCATTGCCCTGACATTTAGATTGTTTATAATATTTTACTTCATATGTATTTTTAACGCATAAAACTAACAGCTATTGCTTGGTCTTCCAAATACACTAAACAGAAAAACAATTAAAACTGAAGACATACAGTGTATCTTCAAGATACCATTAGGACATGGTAAGGTGTCATTGTAAGAAAAAAAGGCTTCTAGGACATATTGCTCTGCAGGGAAAACTCCACTGATATCTGATGTTCTACTAATATTGTATCTAGCTATCTGTAAACTAGTGTCAGTATCACCAATAAACTATTCTCACACTAAACAGCAAGATACAATGTGCACCAATGGGGCCCTAAAACAGCTACACCTGCATTGCAGAGACACCGAGAGTGGGCTAAGGAAGGACTAAGGATTTGTTCGAGGATCAATTAACATTTTAAGGGCTACTATGCTGGGCAGAAACACAAAGGTACAATTATAAAAACACAATAGAATTCAATTTGAGACAATGCAGTTTAATTTGTGAAAATGCCATTTCAAATTTTCCAATTTTGCATTTAACATTTAAAATCCAAACAAATTCCCCTTAAAGAAAAAAAAACGTAAGCTTGCTTTCTCAGGGCACTGGCAAATCTCATCTTGTAATTCCATTCTTTAAAAGGTTTTTAAGTGCATCCCGTTGCTCTTGGGACAAAAAGGAAAACCTTTAATATTCTCTACATAGTTCAGGATTATCTGGCCTCTGCTCACCTTTCTGGCTATATCTGAGACTACATTTCCCATAATATCAAACCTCCAGCCACACAGGACTTTTATCTTTCCCCACAAGGCTAAGGAGCTCTTACCTCCCTCTGTACCTTTGTAAAAACCCTCTAAAGCTAATCCTTGCCTATCAACCCCACCCACCTTCACCTAGTTGACTCCCTCTCTCCTCCTTCAAAGTTTAGCTTCAGGTTGACTTCAGAAGCCCTCTGACATTTATGAGTAGATGAGGTCTCCTTGGTTTACCCTTATAGCACCTATCACAGCAAGAATGATGATATATAAACAGCATTACATTGTATACATATAACTTTTTACAGTAATATGGATTAATCAAGGGTGACATTTGCCAAAATTAGCTAATAGCATGTTTATTGGTACTAGTATCTATCATAGAGGTGGGATTACTTTGATGCCTCTTTTCTTAAAGTCAATGATCTCTTCACTGTAAATATTTTTAAGATATTCACAAAAACCAACAATTTGGATGGTGTAAATTCTCTTTTAAATGAAAACGAAAAGCCACTCTAAAAACAAAAATTCAAACAAAACCTTAACAGATAATCCTGGATTTGCTACTCACAAGCTGTGTAAGAAAAGACCTTGCTTTGTCTATAAAATTATAGAGAGGTAAGGACAACTGATTTCGAATCCTCTTCAAATTTCAGTACTCTGTGTTTCTACAGTGTTACCATGAAAGTAACTCAAGCACTAGGAAGTAGGTTTAGTTCCAATTATAAATTTTTGTGAGGACTCTGAAAAGCTTTGTAAATCAATTATGTTTCTGATTCCTCACTTGTAAACAAAACAAAACAAAACTAAAGGTGACTGATAAAACCTTAGTGTACTCAGGAAATTAAAAGTGTTTTAAGACTTACTGCCTAACATGGACAATGCTGCTACCTACTAGAAAAACATCATTAGTTATTTCAGTCTGCACATTAAACACTTTATTAGTCAAAATACTCACATTATTATAATTCAGTTCTATAACAGTGTCAAATTACCTTTTCCATTTTCGTTTTAAGGGTACTAAGAGCACTACTACTTTTCAGTAAATAACACTTCTGCTTGTATTTTAATCACTATATTAAGCAATACATAAATTTCCAAGTTATTGCCCCTGAAAATAATTAGTTCCTGAATTTCCTTTTATTACATTAATATTGAAATAGGTTTTTCCTTTAAGTCATACACCTATAATCTGTGCTGTGCATGACCCAATTTAGTAATATTTGGGTACTATGTGTATGGTCCAAGTGCTAACAGTATGAGTGCTAACAGTATGCCCCAATTAATTTAAAAAATTTTAAGGACAGAAACCTTTTATGATGTTTCTTTTCCTCTAAACAACCTAGCAAAGTCTATCACTCATATGAAAGGCTTAACTATTTGACTATTTTACAAAGAATATCTCTTTCAAGAGTATATGAAGGCCATACAGAACTAAGAGCATTTCAAATGTTCATCCTGGCTGAGTACAGTGGCTCATGCCTGTAATCCCAGCACTTTGGGGGACTGAGGTGGGCAGATCGCTTGAGGCCAGGAGTTCAAGACCAGTCTGGCCCACCTGGCGAAACCCCATCTCTACATAGCCGGGAATGGTGGTACATGCATGTGGTTCCAGCTAATCGGAAGGATGAGGCAGGATAATTGCTTGAACCCAGGAGGCAGAGGTTGCAGTGAGCCGAGATCACGCCACTGTACTCCAGCCTGGGTGACAGAGTGAGACTGCCTCAGAAAAAAAAAAAAAAAAAAAAGCCAAAGAAAAAGCAAAAGGGCCAGGCACGGTAGCTCACTCCTGTAATCCCAGTACATTGGGAGGCCAAGGCGGGTGGATCACCTGAGGTCAGGAATTCGAGAACAGCCTGACCAATACCGTGAAACCCAGTCTCTACTAAAAATACAAAAATTAGCTGGGCATGGTGGCGCATGCCTGTAATTCCAGCTACTCAGGAGGCGGAGACAGGAGAATTGTTTAAACCGGGGAGGCGGAGGTTGCAGTGAGCCGAGATCGTGCCACTGCACTCCAGCTCAGGCGACAGAGCAAGACTCTGTCTCAAAAGAAAAAAAAAAAAGAAAACGAAAAAAGAAAAAGAAAAAAAAATAAGCTGGACATGGTGGCAGGCATCCATAGTCCGAACAACTTGGGAGGCTGAAGTGGGAGGATCACTTGAGCCTGAGAGGTCAAGGCTGCTGCAGTGAGCCCTGATCATGCCACCACATTCCAGCCTGGGCAGCAGACAGAGCTCCTGAGAAAGAAAGAAAGAGAGAAAGAAAGAAAGAAAATAAAAGAAAGAAAAGAAAAGAAAAGAAAAAAGAAAGAAGATGTTCATCCTTATACTGAGCACAGACATCATTACTAGCTGATCCTGGCCCATAAGAAGCTTCTTTAAAACTCTAGATCTTCGATCTACTCTTTCACAATATACTAGGATACAATTTAACCTGGGTTATTCAAACTCACAGAACTTGTAGAGATGTTCCCCACTTAAGCCGTAATAATTTGATGCAAAGAACAATAAAAGTCTTGAATGCCGGCAAGAATGAGTCCTGTCTTAGCTTGGGCCCCTACTAATTGCATGAACTCAGGTCATTTCCTTAACTTCTTCAAGTCCAATTTTCCTCAACTGCTTGTCAAGGAGTAGGTGCTTGGTTGATGTGACTTACTTTTCTCTTGTTCCACTTACATGAGAGAGGGAAAAAGTAGGTATTGCACCTTTGAGGTTTTGAACTCTACACAAAACAAAACCAGCTTACTATAGTTACTTAATTCAGATATCATAGTTAGCTAACTTTCAATGTCTTTGTTGTACATCTTACTCCTTGTATTCCTTATGATGATTTATTTATATTAGACCTACCCATATTACAATTTCTCCACATAATAAAATTATAGGGAGCCAGATTCAAGTCAAAATAACAGCAATTTTAAGAAATACTTGGTGCAAATCATTTATCCTCATTACCTTCCAATCAGTAAAATAAGAGCATCAGAGCTCTCTAAAATGTACTCAAGCTTTAAAAAATAGATACATAAAATTTATGATTTAATGTGTTGATCTAATAAGTAAATTTTCAGAGAAAACAATAACAAATTTCAGACACTAATATTTCATAAATATGGATAGGGCTCCAGGCATTGGGCTGGAAAGGTTCTCACAGATTTGTTTACCAATAGGACATTCCAATCTTCAGTTAGCAAGAGTGACTGCTACATACTCATGTCACACAGAATTTCAAATAGCTCATCAGGGAGACCACATACATTCAACAAGAGGGGAAAAAAATCAGTCCAGCCAGTAATTAAGAAAGACTTTCTACCCCCACTGAAGATGTGTAATGATTTGAAGCAAATGTTGCTGCATAATTACTTATGAACATAATTGAGGCTCTCCATCTCTGCAAGTCCTTTTATGTGAGTAGATGATTCAAAATGAAATGCAAAATTAAAAATATCTTTTTTTTAAGCACACCATTAAAATTATACTTTGGACTCTAAACTTAGCAGGGAACAAGAAAAATCTTCAGAGGCATGGAGTATAAAAGATGAAAAAGTAGCATAAAGTTAAAAATCAAAAGACTACACATATAGTGAAGCCATTATTGGAATATCAACATGGTATTCGTGGGTTCTAACCTAGGAACACCACACATCAGTATGCTCCCACATACCCCTCTATATGGTAACTGCCCTTTTAATCTAAACTCACCATAAGAAGGAAAGATACACCAGGATGAGTACCGGATATACATACTGTTGTCAAAGCTCAAACCACAAAGAAATATGTGCTCCTTTACCAATTTATTTCACTGGATGAAAAGATATTTAAACTATATTTTGGAATAAGATTAGTAAGTTTACTTAAATATTCTTTTTTAAAAATGAAGTTGGGAAATCAGCTTGATATGTATAAATTTATCCAAGTCTAGCATCACCTGCTGTTTCCCCTTAATTTACTACAACCATCATTCTGAAATAAGTTTTTGAAGCTATGGTAAAACTTTCCATTCGCAATAATTTGTGTACTCTCTCTTTCACTGGTATTGAAGGAACTCAGTTAATCTCCAGCAATCTGACACTGTGTGAGAGTGTGTGTGTGTGTGTGTGTGTGTGCTTTCCCTATCACAGAGTGAACACACTGAGAAGACATAAAGGAAAAGTAACAAAACTGTCAAACCTCACAAAAATAGAAAAAGCCATTTCTTACCACAGGAAAATTTGTTTCTTAAAGTTAAATCTTCGACAAAGTATCCCATTTGATTATTTCAATAATTATGTTTATATGGCATATGTAAATACATACACATATTTGGGAGAGATTTTTTATTTTACATTATGATAGGGTGTTTTTCCATCACCCTACCACATTGTGGAAATAATAGACGTACTGCCTACAAGAGAAGGGATTAGAAAAGGAAGCAATTACCTATAAAATACGTGAAAAGCAGAAAAGGAAGCTCCAGTGACAAGGAAAACTTGGTTGAATTGAGAAACTAAAGCAATTTTACGAACAGCCTCATTGTTCCCCTGTGTCTCTTGGCCCTGTACTGGCTTATCCTCTCCACTCCTGTGGCTGACTGAATCTGGAAGTCCTGCATGCTCTCCCATTCATGTTCAGCAGGAAAATAAAAACATCAGATACCCCATCTCACATTCCCAACAGTTTTTGTCCTGTTATAAATACTTTGTATTTCCAGTGGTACCCATAGTTCAAAAAATGTTTTTTCAAATAAAACTTACTGTGGATGTCAACTTGGAATCAATTTAAGGAAGTCCTCTTAGTTTATCACCTCTTCTGTGGAAGGAAGAGCTGAATCACAATAAAACATACAGTGTCTTCTGATCTGCTCGTATGTCTTTTTTTTTTTTCTTTTTTTTTGAGTCAGAGTCTTGTTTTGTCACTCAGACTGGAATGCCGTGGCACGATCTCGGATCACTGCAACCTCCAACTTCCGGGTTCAAGTGATTCCCCTGCCTCAGGCTCCCAAGTAGCTGGGATAACAGGCACGCGCCACCACGCCCAGCTAGTTTTTATAATTTTAGTAGATACGGGGTTTCACCATGTTGGCCAAGCTCATCTCGAACTCCTGGCCTCAGGTGATCTGCCTGCCTTGGACTCCCAAAGTGCTGGGATTACAGACGTGAGCCACTGTGCCAGGCCTATGTATATTTTTAATAGATGATTTTCCTGAAAATACTCCCATGGAAAATTAGCCTCCCCCTTACTTAACTAGAAAGCTTAAAATTCAAATACTAATTTCCATAATTACAAATCATCACATCTACAGCATTTATTTCTAACATCCTACTAAACAGCAATTTCTCAGGCCATTTAATTTTACTAAATGTTACAGGCATATAATTCCTATTAACTTCTGTATCTTTTTCTTACATGAAATATTGGCATCATACCTCTTCTGCATATATTGACGTGATATAAATTAATTTTCATCAGAACAGCCTAAATTGCATTTCATTTCTATTTATTGAAACACATTTTTACTGAGCACATGCTAAGTGCCAGATACTTCAGTAGGTAAGAGAACAGAGAATAATCCTGAACCAAATTATTATAATGAATGGTGTAAATTTTTATTAGCATATCAAGGTCCCATTCTGATTAGCCTGACCACCAAACCACATCAGCCAAAGAGGGCTGATGGTCTGTTTATGCTGTTGGGTAAAGTATTGTGTTCCCTTTCTTCAAAGTCCAAGTCTCTATAACATACATTATAAGATCCATACAAAACATTTGTTATTTAAGAAATGGAATAGGCCAGGCGCGGTGGCCCAGGCCTATAATCCCAGCACTTTGGGAGGCCGAGGAGGGTGGATCACTTGAAGTCAGCAGTTTGAGACCAGGCTGGCCAACATGGTGAAACCCCGTCTCTATTAAAAATACAAAAATTAGCTGGGCCTGGTGGTGGACGCCTGCAATTCCAGCTACTTGAGAGGCTGAGGCACAAGAATCACTTGAACCTGGGAAGCGGAGGTTGCAAAGAGTCGAAATTGCACCACTGCACTCTAGCATGGGTGATAGAGCGAGACTCCGTCTCAAAAAAAAAAAAAAAAAATAGAATAATGGCCAGCAACAAGGACTTAATACACATTATTCTTCCTGTCTGTCTTTATTTTTTTTGTGGTGGAGGGGGTGAACAGAGGGTAGAGAGAAGTACAGAAGAGATTTAGGACTAGAACACAAGAATAAAATAATATCTATCCATTCCCTTTCTCAAGAACAGGGTTACCTGGGGTTTTTCTGTAAAAATAATCAATGACCACCAACATCTGAACTAAGGATTAGAAAGAGGTCCAAATCCTAAATTAATTTTATATTCCCTAACTGTAGATTTTTACCTGTCCTTCTTTGAGTTAAAGAAAACATCTATGCTAATAATTGTCTACTAACACTTAGAAATACTAACAAGCTAAACACTTTGATTTTTAATTCCATAGCAAATTAGATTTAACAAATCAGGAAATGGGCAAAAGCCTAGCAGAGTACTCATATAAATAGCAAAAGTAATACCTGGCAGGTGAATTATGAAAGAAACAAATTAAATATATTTTTTAAACATACAGCTAACAGTCTGGGGCCATTTTGTGTAGAGAAAAAAATTCCTATCCATAGACAAGCTCCTGAATGTGTGTACATATTAGCAGAAGATATAATACTGAATGACCATCATGGTGGTCCCGAGTTCTGTGAGAGGATAAATCCAATATACTTCAATTATGAAGGTAAATATGGAATACGTTTTAGAAAGATTTCCCACTGACTTATGAAATGTTTCAGCATATAATATAATATTAATAACAGAACTGATTTATGAACTGCATCACTTCTCAGAAACAACAGAAGAGGAAGTACCACAGGTTAATTCCAGTCCCATCAAAGAATCCTGAAGTAAAAGTTAAAAGTGCTCAGAATACTAGCACTTTCTCTTAACACCTTTTCAAAGAAGCTTTTTTAAATGCCCTCCATCCTCTTTTTCATCTTATCTATCATTTTCTCCCATACCTGCCTCCAGACTGTGGCTCAGTCCCAGGCTGTGAAGAGATGAGGAGGAAAATTTGTTACATCAGACTAGACTACCACGTGGAAAGTGGAGAATACAACGTACTGCAGCGTGCCCAGCTATACGAAGCACAAAATGACTACACCAGAGCAAGATGGTCACAGGTATTTTTATCAAATGATTTCAGGAAAATATCACCTATTTTTAGTACCATTGTCAAAATCTCCATTTGCTACTGGGAATTTGAGAAAAATGTTCAATGAAAATCAGGTTTGCCACAAAATCACTAAAAGAATATTTTACTTGGTTTCACAGGCTGATAAGCTAAGTCAGACCTGTATAGCAAGGGATACCTTGTTATAGGCATTCAAGTTTTAGTATGGTATTTCATAAAGCCCTCAATCTTTGTAAACCCTCTCACCCCCCAAAAAAGGGGAGAAATATAGACTATATAAGAGTATTCTTTTTAAAATATAACTTATTTTTTAGAGCTCTATGAGGTTGACAGCAAAACTCAGCAGAAAGTACAGAGAGCTCCCATATACTCCCTGCCCCTCACATGTACAAGCTTCCCACTATGAACATCCTGGCTATAGTGGTACATTTGTTAAAACTGATGAACCTGAAGTCACACATCATTATTACACAAAAGTCCATAGTTTACCTTACAGTTCATTCTTCGTGTTGTACCTTCTATGGATTTGGGCAAATGTATCCACCATTACATATCACACAGAGTAGTTCCACTGCCCTAAAAATCCTCTGTGCTCTGCCTTTTCATCCCTCCCTCCTTCACGGCAACCATTCATCTTTTACTGCCTCCATAGTTTTCCCTTTTCCAGAATGTCATACAGTTAGAATTATACAATATGTAGTCATTTCAGATTGGCTTCTTTCATTTAGTAATATGCATTTAAGGTTCCTCCATGTCTTCTCATCACTTGATAGCTCATTTCTTTGTAGCACTGAATAATACTCCATTGTAAAGGAGTGCTTTTTACAGTAGCTTGCAAGAGATACAAGGCAGAGGACACATCTAGCTTTTTTTTTTTTTTTTTTTGAGACGGAGTCTTGCTCTGTCACCCAGGCAGCTGAAGTGTAGTGGCGCGATCTCGGCTCACTGCAACCTCGGTCTCCAACCTCCGTCTCCCAGGTTTAAGCACTTATCTGCCTCAGCCTCCCGAGTAGCTGGGATTACAGGCACGTGTTACCGTGCCCGGCTAATTTTTTTTGTATTTTTAGTAGAGATGGGGTTTCACCATCTTGGCCAGGCTGATCTTGAACTCCTGACCTCATGATCCATCCGCCTTGGCCTCCCTAAGTGCTGGGATTATAAACTCCTATGCGCCTACCACATAGCAGGAATCCAGTAAATAATTTGGAGTGAATATATTATTGAACAAATGAAAATATAAATGAAGTTACTTAATCTTTCTAAGCCTCATTTTCCTTATCTGTAAAATGAGGCTAACACCTTCCTCATAATAACATATGAGAAATAGAAGACTGTATTTTAAAGACAGCTGTTATCATTAGTCATTACCAACATGAGTTGATAATTAAAACAGTATTTACAAACTTGGCATCATGAATCTTTTAGTTCTGGAAAAATTAAATGGTAAAGAAAGAAGGTTAGGCCAGGACTTTTGTGAGATGCTTATGGCATAAAATTTAAGAAGGTACTCCCCTATTTGCTTTGTCAGGATTCAAAAAGTTTTCAACAGACTAGTAAAAAGGATCAAAACAAACGAGGTGATATTTAATGTACTTGATCATAAAAACCTAGAATTGGCCAGGCACTGTGGTTCATACCTATAATCCTAGCATTTTGTGAGACCAAGGCAAGAGGATGGCTTGAGGCCAGGAGTTCAAGACCAGCCTTGACAACATCGCAAGACTCTTCCTCTACGAAAAAAAAAAAAATTATCCAGGCACAATGGCATGCACCTATAGTCCTAGCTACTCCAGAAGTGGAGGCAGGAAGATCGCTTGAGCCTAGGAGTTCTTTCCGCCACTGCACTCCAGCCTAGGCAACAGAGTGAGACCTTGCCTGTAAAAAATAGTCATAATTCATTTTTTGAAATTTTTTGTAAAAACATAGAATCCAGGTCCACAAATTAATTGCACCAGTAATGGATGAGGGACTTCTGGGTTAATGGGAGAAAACATGAGTGTTTTAATTATTTGCAAGGTAATTAAGGATCAATAGTATGTTTGTAAAAGTTAATACAAACTTAGAGTGAATAAAAACATAACATAGAAATACAGTTTCCTGGCTGGGCACAATGGCTCACGCCTGTAATCCCAGCACTTTGGGAGGCTGAGGCAGGCAGATCACCTGAGGTCAGGAGTTCAAGACCAGCCTGACCAATATGGTAAAACCCTGTCTCCACTAAAAATACAAAAATTAGCCGGGTGTGGTGGCACACACCTGTAGTCCCAGCTACTCAGGAGGCTGGGGCAAGAGAATCGCTTGAACCCAGGAGGTGGAGGACGTTGCAGTAGAGCCGAGATCACTCCACTGCACTCCAGCCTGGGCGTTATAGCAAGACTGTGTCTCGAAAAAAAAAAGAGAAAAGAAAAAGAAGGAAAGAAATATAGTTCCCTTAGTGTGATGGTTAATATTTGAGTGTCAACTTGATTGCATTGAAGGATGCAAGGTATTGTTCCTGGGTGTGTCTATGACAGTGTTGGCAAAGGAGATTAACATTTCAGTCAGTGGACTCGGAAAGGCAGACTCACCCTCAATCTGGGTGGGCACAATCTAATCAGCTGCCAGCACAGCCAGAATAAAAGCAGGCAGAAGAACATGGAAAGACTAGACTGGCTTATTCTCCCAGCCTACATCTCTCACCCGTGCTGGATGCTTCCTGCCGTAGAACATCGGACTCCAAGTTCTTCAGCTTTGGGACTCTTGGACCTTTGACCACAGACTGAAGACTACACTGTTGGCTTCCCCACTTTTGAAGTTTTGGGACTTGGACTAGCTTCCTTGCTCCTCAGTTTGCAGATGGCCTATCGTGGGACCTCACCTTGTGATTGTGTGAGTCAAACTCCTTAATAAACTCTCCTTTATATACACATCTATCCTATTAGTTCTGTCTCTGTAGAGAACCCTAATACACTTACAAAGTACTATGAGGGGCTGGGCACGGTGGTTCACAACACCTGTAATCCCAGTACTTTGGGAAGCCGAGGCAGGTGAATCAACTGAGTTCAGGAGTTTGAGACCAGCCTGGCCAACATGGTGAAACCCCGTCTCTACTAAAAATACAGAAAATTAGCTGGGTGTGGTGGCAGGCACCTGTAATCCCAGCTACTAAAGAGGCTGAGGCAGGAGAATCGCTTGGACCTGGGAGGTGGAGGCTGCAATGAGCTGAGATCATGCCATTGCACTCCAGCCTGGGCAACGAGAGCGAAACTCCGTCTCAAAAAAAAAAAAAAAAAAAAAGAAAGAGAGAAAGAAAAAGTACTATGAGATCATGAACAACAGTGTCTAGTTCTGAATATCCCATTTCAAGAGGAACCATGATAAACTGGAGATTATCTATAAGTATGCCAGAGAAAAAAGGATCTCAGAGCCATGTTATCTAAACAGTTATAAAATTAGAAATGTTTGATCTGATTAAAAAGTTAACATTATAAGAGCAATTCGAGTTGAAGTAACAAAAAATTATCTTTCAGTTGAAAGAAAAGTTTTCTAAAAATTAAAATTGTTCAAGAATGACAGAAATTGTGTCCTAATAGTAGCCTTCCTTTCAAAGAAAACATTCAAACAGAGGCTAGATGGTCATTTCTGAGGCATACTGCAGATGCTGTCAATCTAGAATTTTCTTCTCATCTAGGATGTATATAAATAATTCTAAAATCTATGTGAAATGCTACTTAAACCCTGTAGAATTCCCACTGGACTAATTATTAGGAAAAGGTAGGCCTTACTTTGTACCTACTGTAAATGTAGTCCGTAAGTTATCTTTTCACACCAAAATTTAAAAACAGAAAAAAAAATACACAATAGTGCTAGAAAGCTTATCCACTACAAGTATTTTGGATTAGAGATGAAGTCTATCACTGCCCATCTGGACTTCAAGTGACCTACTTTTTATTTTCACATTACATTAACTTGTAATTAGCTTGTAGTCCATAAGGTTCAAAACAGATCTGTTTCCAGAACAAGCCCCATGTCAACATAAAATTCTAATAGGTTGAACATGAGAAAGTAAATAAGTGATGGCTGAAAATGCTACAAAACTATTTAACATAGTTGAGTATTCATTAAGCAACTATTAGTGGGCACTCCCATATGAGGTATTTGAGAGATTCAGAGAGTCTTCATCATGTCCACAATCAAACAAGGGGATGCCTTTACATTTACACAGGAAATAAACACAAATACTTCACCTACAGCCTTGTTCACTGTTACCAATGACCTGGAGAACCTTGCAATTAACCTTTCTATTGAATCATGGTCTAGGGCATGTGGTCAAGTGCATGGAAAGAGTCAGGCAAAAATGTTATGTGCTTGAGAAGCATGTAGGCATTAAAGTTGAGTCATCCCTCATTTTTTGGACTTCCCATAAGTAATAAACAGTTTCAATTTTGCAAAGACTTACCATGGAAAACTTATACTGAGAAGAAAATAACACAATATTAGCAAGGACAAAAGAAATTACTCTTATAATATGAATTATCTGGAAGTATTTGGAATTCTGCTTTTCCATAGATAAAATATAAAAATATATATAGCCAGTCAGCAGTTCCATAGCAAGTACTGCAATAAGAAATAAAAATAGGTCTGGGAAGTCCAAATGGTATGGCTCCATGTCCAAAAATACAAAATTATTTTCATGTAGAAAAGATGAGATATAGCACTAAATGATAAGATACAGGGGGAAAGAACAGAGATTTTACTCCCATCTTAAAATCATAGCTGTAGCTCATTCCTTCCTTTAAAGTGTAAAGTAAAAGGTGCTGCCTGGTACTATACAGAAAATGCCACCCAAGATAGAGGAGATAGAAATTAGAGCCCTAAAATAATATTCCATTATCTCAAAGGTCAACATACACAGCCAAGAATAAATTGTGTGTGCCACTAAGCTTGAGCCTTCTGGTGATAAAATGAAGAGACACAAAAGGCAACTGATCCAACGTTTAAAAAGACAACAATTATCAAGGTCATCTAATCAACTTGGTTTCATTTTGGAAGCAGTGAATTCCATATTATGGAGTAAATGAAGTGCCAGTTTCATCTTTTATGGTCTCACTGTGCTTTCTCTTACTGAGGAATGAGACAAAGTTTAATGACTAAAGACACAAATGACCTAATGAATAACAGTGAAGGAGATGATTCAAACAAGGCACCAGTAGTAAACACTGACACACACACACACAAAGTGATCCTTTTATTCCTTTGCCAAGGGCAACAGATTTTAACAGCAGAAATGGCCTTCTGTCACTCCACTTACAGAAACACATTCAAGAATTATTACAGGATATAGGTCAAACTGTACCAAAAAGAACAACTGAACTATAGGCTGAACTCCTGAAGAATACTATATAACAATAAAATAAACACAAAATGGCTTTAGGAAAAGGTAGAAAAAATCTTAGATACTAAGTTAAAAGTATAAAAAAACAAAAACAAAAACCAATAGACTTTCACAGAATAAAGAAAAATTCTAGCCGGGCGCTGTGGCTCATGCCTGTAATCCCAGCACTTTGGCAGGCTGAGGTAGGTGGATCAACTGAGGTCAGGAGTTTGAGACCAGCGTGGCCAACATGGTGAAACCCCATCTCTCCTAAAAATACAAAAATTAGCAAGGGTGTGGTGGCGGGCGCCTATAATCCCAGCTACTTGGGAGGCTGAGGCAGGAGAATCACTTGAACCCAGGAGGCGGAGGTTACAGTGAGCCGAGATCCTGCCACGGCACTCCAGCCTGGGCGACAAGAGTGAAACTCCATCTCAAAAAAAAAAAAAAAACAAAGAAAGAAAAATTCCTGACTCTTACGAGTTTTGTTCCTATGTTCATATACTGTGCTATATTCTCTTTCACCAATTCAGCCTAAACTATTTCTACAGTGCAGACTGGAATAAGCAGAAATTTTATTTGCTTACACAAATTTTATCCAATATTCCTTCTAACATAGAATCTTTTTGAATTTTTCCAATCTCTACTAAATATTTCCAGTAATTGGAAGTTTATTATCTTGTAAGCCTGCCCTTTCATTTTCAGAGAGCACTATAGGCCAAAAAATTCCTCTCCTCCTAATCTTTGCCTAATATTATTTGATGTAAAAACAGCAGGTTTTTGGTGGGTCCCAAGGTAAAGGAGACACCTTCCATATGCATTTGGGAAGATAATAGAAGTCTGATATAGCAAACACATATTCTATCTTATTACAAACTCATGCTACGTCTCAAAGGCCACAACATTTCAAACACATCACCACTGTTACCATCTAATCCTGAGTTTTTTTGGAGACTCCCTGGCAGTCTCCTGAAAATTCTGCGGCCCCCCAAAGAATTAACAAGTGTTAACGGAGCCCATTTCTAGGGTGAGGGACATCTGTGGTATTGTACGTATGTATCAAATGGATATCTTCAATTTTAAATGAATTTTTCACAAGTGAAGCTTAATTTTGCTGAATGAATTTTAGGTAATATTATATACGTTCATTTTGAAATGATTTAGGTTTTCCCAATGTCCTGAGGTCTACACATTTAGAGAACTATTTAGAGCATTCTCTAAATAGGAACCTTCACTGTTCATTTCTAAACTGAAGAATTAGAAAAAAAAAAAAAAAGATAGCACATTCGACTCAACAAAAATTTGTAAATTGCCTTAACTTCTTTTTAGACAAAGTTTGCTCATTCATGCCTTTATATATTATTTAATACATACCCACTACTATATCAAGTACTATGTTCCATCACAGAAATGCAAAGATAAGCATAATCTGCTTACAGGAGAGATGTGAAGCTAAACAGGTCTATTAGAAGCATTACAAAATAGAGGGAGGAAAAAGACTTCCTCAGACTAAACCAGTCCCACTCTATCCTCAGTCCATGTACCTGTGAAGATTTATCCTTTGTAATACAAGTTAATGAAGCCCATTATTCCTTCCGGAGAATGGACAGTGTTATCTTTCAGATTGATTCAACATGTCAGTCTGAAGTTTATTGAGTTCTTTAGATTTGCCGGGTCACACCTTCACTGGACAGTTAATGTTTTGGCCTACAAACTTTCATTCCTGCTTCTTACTGGGATAAAATAAGCCAAAATAAAAATAAAAAAATAAAAAAATCTGTATTTATCTTCAGTAGAGCAGATGCCAACATCAATAAACCTTGAAGGACGCCTGTAATCCCAGCACTTTGGGAGGCCGAAGTGGGCGGATCATGAGGGCAGGAGGTCCAGACCATCCTGGCTAACACGGTGAAACCCCGTCTCTACTAAAAATACAAAAAAAATTAGCTGGGCGTGGTGGCGGGCGCCTGTAGTCCCAGCTACTCAGGAGGCTGAGGCAGGACAATGGCGTCAACTCGGGAGGCAGAGCTTGCAGTGAGCCGAGATAGCACCATTGCACTCCAGCCTGGGGGACAGAGCAAGACTCCATCTCTAAATAAATAAATAAATAATTAATTAATTAATTAAAAAAAATAAATGCGCAAAAGAATGGCGTGAACTCGGGAGGCGGAGCTTGCAGTGAGCCAAGATCGCGCCAATGCACTCCATCCAGCCTGGGCCACAGAGCTAAACTCTTGTCTCCAAAAAAAAAAAAAGAATAAAAGAAAGAAATGCATGAACCAGGAGCTTACATGAAAACTGTACACAAAGTCCTTAAGAAAACAGTCAAGCTGATGTTTGTCACACACTACTATCAGAAAATGCCACTGGTCATCTCCAAGCCTAGAAGCAGTACCTCCAATGTCCTGATGTCATATGGTTTACACCCGCTCATCCTCTTTAGCACCTGTATGTTTACTTCCATATGTAACTCAGTTTTCCCCTCTACACAGCTAAAATCAGGTCTATTTCTCCATTTTCAACTTTCCCCTGAGCTACAGCACTGATTCTCAAACTGCTCATTAGATAATTCCATCTGGATTCTACAGTAGTATTTCAAACTCAATGTAAAGGTCAATTCCTCATCTTCCTAAAATAATGTTCCTCAACCACATCTGACTATTTCTGTTGTCAGTGTCTTGATTTTCAGTTACCACTTCTTTCTTACTCCAATATTCATTTGGTTTTAAAGTCAAACAATTTAAGGAACACCCTGTCTTTTGTGTCTGTCCTTTTTGTTCCTTCTAATCATGATTGGTAATTCTGGTTCTTTTTCTCTCTTATCTACTTGCTTCCTTTATAATCCTCCGTGAATACTACTGCAAGATAACAATTTTAAGGCAGGAGATGACTATGCTCAACATTCTTGCTCAAAAACTAACAACATACATTCATTTTGTCATGGCACTTGATGTCTGCCA
This sequence comes from Homo sapiens, assembly GCF_000001405.40. Classification (NCBI taxonomy): domain Eukaryota; kingdom Metazoa; phylum Chordata; class Mammalia; order Primates; family Hominidae; genus Homo; species Homo sapiens. Next base: position 82,814,460 of record NC_000012.12, on the reverse strand, counting down.
CAATCTGTCTCTAATCTTTTTCCTATCTTGTATTCCTCAACATGCCTTATGTGTCTGTCCCCATGTAGCCAAACTACACGAATAGTATTCTCCCATGGAGCTTTGTTCTTTTCCATCTCATTCTTTTATGCCTCTTCCTGGTGAGAGTTTCTTTTGAATGGATAGTTCCCCTTCTTCAAAGCCCATTTCCTCCAGGAAGTCTTTGTCATTCATCTGAAAAACAAATTTTTTCCCTTACTTCAAATTCAGTAACACTGTTTCTTACTTAACAGAGTGGTTAATAAAATTTACTTTGCAGGCCGATTAACTGGAATCTAATGCTAGCTCTGCCATCCATGACCTCACCATGAGCAAGTACCTTCATCTCAATAAGCCGTGGTTTCTTCATCTGCAAAATGGGAATAATAAATAGTACTTGTGACTTAAGGATTGTTGTGAGAGGTAAATATGCCAGCACCTGTTAAGTATGCTATAATCTCTGGCTATCATTATCATCTTCATTATTATTCCCTGTTCCCTCTGAGGGTATCATAAACATAACATTAAAACCAGAGGAAATTTAAAAGTTTGGTACTATACTTTGATTACCACTTTCTACCAGCACCTACTAGAATATCTGGCACACAGGAGCTCAGTAAGTATTTGTTGAAATTAACCATAAATGAATGACCATAAACATTAAATCAATAAGTACATAGAAAACTCAGTCTTAAGTTTTTGGTTAAAAATATTGCTATATATAAAACAGATAAAGGAAATACAGATTAAAAGGGTAGGGAGGGTAGGCAAGAAATTTCCCATGCCAGTATCATAAACTGACTGCCAAAAAATCTTATAAAACTGTAAAAATATAGTTTATAGATCAAGGGAGGTAGGAGACTCATAGTGGTGCTCTGTGGAGGACCATATTTTAAATGTCACCTTGATTAAATAGCATGTGTCAAGCAGAGAATAAGCAGAATGGTTAAGGGTTTAGAAAGAAGGCCAAATAAGAAACTCCTGAACAAAGGAAATGGAATATTTAACCTGAGAAGAGAAAATCTTAAGTAGGGATAGAATCATCCCCATAAAATATATGCAAAGTTAACACTTGGTAAAGAGAGTAGATCACTTCTGTGTGGCTTCACAAGACTTAACGAAAAATGTAAAAGGAAGAACATTTTGACTGAGTATGACAAAATGACTATTAAACCTGCCCAGGAACATAACCAGCTGCTGTTACAGAGTAGTGAGTTCCAAATAAACATAAGCATTCAAGTAGAAAATAGTATCTGCCAGAGATGCTAGAATATTTAAAACTATACATATTGGCATAAGTATTACATAGCTGAGTTCACACATTTTAAAAGAAAGAGATACAGATAAACACTATTACAGTGAGGTTGGGGAATATTTATATAAACATAATGATCCATATATACATATGTAAAGTACTAGTCTGATATATTTCTGAAAATTTGTCACTGAATGGTAAAAACTGGATTCACAGTGTGACGGCAAATAACTAAATTACATATACCAGTTAAATCTAACAATCAAAAGTGAAAGTTGCTATTATAGGGATAGAGATTGTTCTAAGTGATTTTATGATTTTTAAAAATTTGTTTTTAATCCTACAAATCATGTTTTAAGATCAGTAATATTTCTTACATTAAAAAATAGTTAATTATCAATATTTTTCTATAAGCTTACAAGATTTTCATAAAAAAAATAAGAGCAAAAGAAAATGGAAGAGGGAGAGAAACAAACCGAGTTAGTCAAAAATAAAAATCTAATGTGTTTAATTATTTCAATAAACCTACAGAAACCATCTTTTATCACATGTAAAAGATGCTTTCCATAATTCTATCTTAACTGTCTTTATTATAGCTATTCCACATGATACAGAAAATATCCAATAGTTTAATTTAATAAAATTCCATTTCATTTTGGATCTATATACATTTCAAACTGATTAGATGTCACCTTAAATAACCCTTCCACTCAAAAAACTTGGCTAAGTCAGTTGATGCTTTCCATTACCATTAAATGGACAAATTTTATGACATGCAGATTTCCAGTTGGGCCATTACTTTAAAATAAACTCCTTACTTCTTATGGGATTCTTTTTTTTAATTCCCAAGGAACTTAAGGTTTCATGAATCAATCTCAATACAACCACTATTACAGAAAGAAACAGTTGAAATTACATGCAGTTGAAATTACATGCAGTGACAGTCTGAGACAACTGCAATAACTGATTTTACTTCTAATAAGTATCAGTAAGTGAAAAGTAGTACTTAAAAAGAAAAATTATGGTACTAGCATTCTCTTAAAGTTTCAGATGTGTTAAGATATCTTCAGAAGGAGAGAATGTGGCTCATGCCTGTAATCCCAGCACCTTGGGAGGCCGAGGCAGGTGGATCACCTGAGGTCAGGAGTTCGAGACCAGCCTGGCCAACATGGCGAAACCATGTCTCTATTAAAATTACAAAAATTAGCCAGGTGTGGTGACAGGTGCCTATAATCCCAGCTGCTCGGGGGGACTGAAGCAGGAGAATTGCTTGAACCCAGGAGGTGAGGTTGCAGTGAGCTGAGATCACACCACTGCACTCCAGCCTGGGCGACAGAGCGAGACTCCATCTCAGAAAAAAAAAAAAAAAAAAAAAAAAAAGAAGGAGAGCATGGAAAAGAAAACTTCAAATAAATCTTAAAAAAATGTACTAAGTAATTTTACCTATAAGCAGGGATCTAATATTAAAAAATACTTTTCATAGTATAAACGGCTCATTCATTCAGAAAAACTTATACCAGCTCTTATCATTGTAATTTAAATTATATTTTAAGTTTCTAAAATGATTTGCAAATATATGAAACTTCAGACCCATCCTTTGAAAATACTAAAGCTTTAAACAATTTTCCCCAATGTTCCTTATACATACATTTGTACTGATTTTTCCATTTCTTTCTGTGACAACACTACTTAGAATTTATACATAATATTGGCTTAAGAAATATGTATGGTGAGCAACTAAATTAATACTATTATTGTAAAATATATAAGAAATTGGCCAAAACCTAATTAATTAATGAGAATAAAATTTCTACAAGGGCAGATCTTTCTGCAGCACAATCACTAGAAAAATGCCTAATACAAAATAGGTGCTTGTATTAGTACGTTTTCATACTGCTATAAAGAACTGCCCAAGACTGGGTAATTTATAAAAGAAGGAGATTTTATTTTATTTATTTATTTTTGAGACAGTCTCACTCTGTTGCCCAGGCTGGAGTGCAGTGGCTCCATCTCGGCTCACTGCAACCTCTGCCTCCCGGGTTCAAGTGATTCTCCTGCCTCAGCCTCCCAAGTAGCTGGGATTACAGGCCACCACGCCTGGCTAATTTTTTTGTATTTTTAGTAGAGATGGGATTTCACTGTGTTAGCCAGGATGGTCTCGATCTCCTGACCTCAAGTGATCCACCTGCCTCAGCCTCCCAAAGTGCTAGGATTACAGGCGTGAGCCACCGCTCCTGGCCAAAAGAAGGAGATTTAACTGACTCATAGTTCAGCATCGCTGGGGAAACTTACAATCATGAGGGAAGGTGAAGGGGAAGCAACGCACCTTCTTCATAAGGTAGCAGGTAAGAGAAGTGCCCAGCTAAGGGGGAAGAGCACCTTATAAACCATCAGATCTTGTGAGAACTCCCTCACTGCCATGAGAACAGCATGAGGGAAACAGCCCCATGATTCAATTACCTCCATCTGGTCTCTCCCTTGACACGTGGGGATTATGGGGATTACAATTCGAGATGAGATTTGGGTGGGGACACAAAGCTTAACCATTTCAGTGCACAATAACTATTTCCTGCATAAAGTGAATGAAAAACAGTTAATTTCTGTTTTATAAAAACCTTGCTGGAAAATACAAAACTTCCCATACTTGAAAGAGGATCTTACAGACCCAATTTTGGGGTCAATGTTTTGTAAGTAAAATGTTTGTTTTGTTTTCTAATAATTCTGTTAAAAATAATAAAATTATTTTAATTTTAAATATAATTTTAAAAATAATAAAAAAAATAAAAATAATTCTGTTAAAAATTCTGTTGTTTAAAAATAAAAGTTTGTAATGTGGAATTCAAATAAACACTGCACCCTTGCCTTTTACATGAAAAGCAAATTAAAATCTCATCCACTATATTTTAAAGAAAATAAAAATCTAACATTTGACAGTAATCAGTATAAGCTTCCTTTGACCACAGCAAAGAAAAAAAAAAAGTCCACTTTTTCTATGCTTTTAAAGAAACTGGTATGCAAAAGCAACTGATTATAATTCAGTCTTCTCTCTCATTAAGCATGTATAGATTCTAATCATGAACAATTTCTCTCCATATCCAAAACAATAGTATCATTATGCATGACCAGAACATTCTAAATTTCTCCACAAAAAGATTCTGTATATAAATTCTCAGCATTTCAGCTCCTCTAAAATGAAGAGATTAAGATGATATATACAGAAAGGACCAGCCTAATTTGGAGAATATTCAAAGTCTATGACCCCATACCGTAAGTATTTCCTTCAAATAAAAAACGGCTGATGAAATACTAGACGTATCAAATATGATGTTTCTTCCAGGTTTCTTCTCAGAGTCATTAGTCCAGGGAAAATGGTAAGAAATAATTATTTCTTGTATGTTAGTAATTCCTGATATGAATCCCAACTCACATTCACACTCTAGTCCCAAAACTACTGTGCTCCAGGCAACTGGCAATGACTTATTGCATACACAGAATCTGCTCCTGCCTCCAACACGTACTCAATCCCAGGGAGGATAGGTAAATAGTACGAAAAAATTGTGAATGACTTAAGTATTTGTGAGAATACCTAACAGCAATAAGATTTTTAAAAATCCAATTTGTAGACATACTTATATACTGTATGTTTAAACACTTTTTAAAATTCTGGTGTGCAATCTCAAAATATCCATCTCCCCTGCAGAAATCTGCTCATCCTTTAAAATGAGTCCCAATACAACTGTCTCCTTTACCCTACAAAACTGTACCCAGAGGACTTAAGCATTCAGTCTTCTGTATAGTCAAGGAAATTGGCTACACATATTTCACTCCAATTTGTAATGGAGCTATTAGTATCTCTTCCCAACCAGGTTATAATCACATGCAATGCAAGATCTGTAGATTTTTCTCTGTTAAAAAAATCTTATGAAGAACCTAGCATAAGTCTAAATATATAACCAAGAACAATTTATTAAACTAGATTTGGAATATTCTTCCTATGACCAATGCATATTATTGGTCATTAGCGGTAATATCCTTTGTTTCTTTACCATGAATGTTTTTATTTACTATTTCTAAATACTATAGATATATAAATAATATATAAATTATATAAATAATTTCTGAATCTTATTTTCATTCACTCAGAATAAAAAGTCAATTAAGATAGCTTCTTTCCTAGAAAAAAAAATCAAACAATGGATTTAGAAGCCTAAGAAATCTTGAAAGAGGAATCTTTTCCATACCAAGTGGAAAAAGAGATTATATAAGAATTTAACTGTAATTTTATATAGTAATGGACAAAACTTTTGGCCAATACAAATTTATACTTTAAACAAAAGGCTGATTATAGAAAATCTATACATTAAAATGTTAGAATAGAAAAATATTATGTATCTATTACAAAATAAAAACTAATCCCAAACTCTGTCCAGTAAAAAGGCTTATCACTTAAACTGTAATTCTGAACTGCAGTTGAGATGCAGCAAGCAGTGGCAGGAGAAGAATACTGGAATAGATACCAAAAGACGCAAGTACAAATTTTGCTTCCAATACCAATAGAGGGCCTCCTGGCATATAACGGTGACCAATATATGTCTGAATAATAAACAGATGAAGAAATGAAAGGAGTAAGGGTTTATAATTCTTGATGATTAATTTATTTAATGTTTCAGCTCAGTTTCCATATCTACGAACTGACAGCAATAATTCCTTCACTACCTGGTTAAAGATTAAATAAGATGATATACATAAAAGAACATTTAAAATTACAAAGCACTATATCAATAAAAGTTATTTTATTGTAGTTAACACACCACCTTCTTATATTCGCTAAAGAAATAAAATTATACTGTCTATTTTTTAAGCAAGCATAACAAAACTTCAAGAAAAAAGTTTAAGATACATGTATATTAATTATATCACCATATTTCTTTTTCTGAAACATTTAAAAAAATTCATGTTGTTTTTGGGTAATTTAGCTAATAATTTTTACTGTGAGGTAATTGTAATTTTAATGACATTTTGGTTCAACTTATATTAATATTCTCTATTGCTTTTTAATCCCCAGAGATGCAGCCACTGTTTTTTAAACAGTTTTTTTAAGATATTTTTAAGATTTAAGATTCAGTTTTTTAAAAACTGAATCTAGAGATGCCAATTTCTGCATCCAATTAAAATTTGTCCAAATCATTATTAAACAGTCTCAAATAAAACCTAAAAATTTTTAAAGCCCATTATAAGAAAGTCCTAATAATTTTTAGGTAGCTACAAATATAAATTGGATGATTCTGTGTCTTCTAATCATCCATCTAATTTTTTTAAAGTTCTACCTTAATTAAATTCATAAACTCTCTTTTGTTCAGACTATTACTTCCCAGTCTAAATCTCAAATCTATCTATTAGGATGGCTCCATCACCTATTGTAGGAGTATTAGATCACTGGTCTACTTATGCTATCCCAGAATAAATGAGTCTGGATATTTTGTATTTGTTAGCTCTTTCTGTAAGGACACATTCTACCTCACATGATGCTTCCTCATTCAATTTGGCCCCACAGTCAAAGACCATATATAATTCCCCTAAGATACAGAAACAGATTTATGGGACCTTATTTCCATCAGTCATTAGAAACATGCATTGTCTCTGTCATGCATTGTCTCTGATGCTTCTAAGTCCATATTTGGTGCAGTAAGACACAGAAGAAACTTACACTGAAATACCTACTTTATCTCCTAGAGGTAGCACTCACACAGGATATGAAAATGAAATATTTCCCCAACAATTGACACTGAATGAAAGGGAACTAGTTACCCTTCTTTTTGCTCCATTTCAAACAATAAAATTTAGAGGCTTGTTCCTCACACTCTGGTTTAAGCTGTCTGCCTCTCCAGTCTTCTGTCAAGGAATTAATGGTTTGGAAACTAACAATTAAATGCACTGGGTAAAACTATCAAATTAAAGGAACCCTGGGTAAATCCCTTTATAAAGTGAAAAATCATTTGACAATGAACACAATCACTTCCTTATATATGTTTCATAGGTTTAAAAGTCATATTGAATGAACAGCACACTAATATCTCCGAATATTTCTGAATATTTCCATTAATTAGTTAGAATTTAAAGATCAACATATCAATTCCTGTTTGCTTCAAACAGCTGTCAATCGTACATGTTAGGAGCTCGTTTTGAACTCAACAGGGTTCTGTGCTAGGAGTCATAAAATCATGGGTAGATTTTCATGGACAAAATATGTACACAGTCCATGTACTTAAGAATGGTGTATATACAGCTGACCCTGAACAACAAACGTTTTAACAGTGTGGATCCACTTATACAGATTTTCTTTTGCCTTTGCCATCTAACACAGCAAGACCAACCCCCCTCTTCTTCCTCCTCTGAAGCCTACTCAATGTGAAGACAACGAGGATGGAGACTTTTATAACGATCCACTTCTATTTAATGAACAATGAATATATTTTTTTCTCTCTTAAGATATTTCCGTTAATATTTTTCTCTAACTTACTTTACTGTAAGAAAACAGTATATAATACATATACCAAATGTGTTAATTAACTTATTGGTAAGGCGTATAGTCAATAGTATTAGTAATGAAGTTTTTGGGGAGTCAAAAATTATATGCACATTTTCGACTGCACGGAGCTTGGTGCCCTTAATCTGTGCATTATTCAAAGGTCAACTGTATATCCACGTTCCGTATCTATCCCCACTGGAGAATAAACAAAAATGCCAAATACCAAGGATAAAATAAATACAATGCCAAATACTGTATCTGATTCTTCTTTGGTCCTTGCAGGCAAGTTGGAGGAATTTGACTATGGTTGCCATGGAGTATCAGTCATAACTCCTTACTACTTAAGTAATTTCAAGTTTACTGTACTTGTGTGACTAATTGAGCCATTTTTTTTCTTGTCTTAAAAAAATGCTGTCAGAGTTGGCAGAAAACAGTAAAGAAAACAGAATTTCCTGAATCATTTGTCAGTTGTGAACCACTTAGATTGCTGCCATCTAACAATGTTTAACTCAACGCACAAAATAAGATTTCCTTCCAATTCCTCCCAGTGCTTCCCTCCCCTCTAGATGCTTCCACAGCACCTTGTTCATATCCCACACTGTCTGAATTTTGATTTATCTGCTTACTTCTCTGCCTCCCCTACTAAACTGCATATGCCTCAAGGATATGAGCTGCATCATCAAGGATAAAAGCTGTATCATTCATCTCAGTATTCCCAGAACGAGTAGAGTGTCTAGCACCAACTAGATGTTCAATAAAGACTTGGTGAGTTAATTAAAAAACTAAAAATTTTATATAGCACCACTGATGATAGCAATGAAAGGCCAAGGGCTTTTTCAAAAAGTGGAAAAGCCAGCTGGGTGCGATGGCTCATGCCTGTAATCCCAGCACTTTGGGAGGTTGAGGTGGGCAGATCACAAGGTCAGGAGATCGAGACCATCCTGGCTAACAGGGTGAAACCCCGTCTCTACTAAAAATACAAAAAAAGCCGGGCGTGGTGCCAGGTGCCTATAGTCCCAGCTACTAGGGAGGCTGAGGCAGGAGAATGGCGTGAACCCCGGAGACGGAGCTTACAGTGAGCCAAGATCGCGCCACTTCACTCCAGCCTGGGTGACAGAGCAAGACTCTGTCTCAAAAAAAAAAAAAAAAAAAAAAAAAAAAGTGGGGAGAGGAGAGTAAACTTACTAAGGGGTGTAAAAAGTAATGTAGAGGTTCCTCTTCAAAGACTTTCCTCCCATCTAATTAGGAATACATAATAACTTCTCTTAGAAGCAAAATTTATTCAAAGACCTGTGCTAACATTCTTAAATATCTGCTAGCTGTAATAAAGAAATCAAAGTACTTTATGTTCTTAGCTCCCACAATTTAGCCTAAATATTTGTCCTGGCATGCTTATACTGGTCCAAGCAAGCATTAGGTCATAGCTTGTTCCTCTTCCTTATCTGAAGGTATTTTTACCTTTCTCAGCATTCCACAAGTTACTTCCTCCTTCCTTTGTTCTCCTCTACCTTTGCCTCTTTTTGAAAGTTCTACGTTGCTAGCCAATAGGGACAAATACAGAATGTGAGGTCCTGTTCCAGCCAATGGAAACCAGACACAGCAGTAGGGTGGACGCCTCATGTTATAAATGACCCTGTCTCCTTTGTTTGGTGTACTCTCATGGCAAAACTGCTAGAGAGTGTACCCTTTCTATAAAAACTAAAAATGGCCTTGCTGAGGAAATTAAATTTATGTTCAAGTGCTATTTTTTTATGGCACCAGGGAACAAGCATTTCTAACAGGAGCAATCCACTGTGTTTACGTAGGGCCCATGTACACTCTTAGTTAGGTCTGCCTGTTATATGCTAATGGTTGTGATGGAAAGCAACTTCCAGTCTCTTCAAATGCAAGATTTCTTATGAAAACTGAGTGCTACTTGAAATTTCTGGGCAACAAAGCCTCACTGCACTATTCAATACCGGAAAAAGTTACTCCTTCTGAAAACTGACATGTCAATTTTAAATTGCTATCAGTTGGTCAATAAGCACTTGAGGCTTTTGTAGAAAGCCCTTTTATATTTATGAAAAGATAAGGTGCTTCAAAAGAGCAATTAAAAAAAATATTTAGCTAAGCACCTATTGCAAAGCCCGCCCTTTGTTATTAAAACAAAAATTATCATTGCTTTAAAAAGTCCAGGAGTGAAGAAGTAACACCTCTTCCATTAAAAGCCCCAAGATTTATCTTTCAGAAAAAGTTTCTAGGTAACAGAAATAATACACCATGATTTTTCAAAGAAATTCTAGAAATTTTCAGAGGAAGTCAATAAAAGCAGTCTCCACTTTCTGAACACTTATAGATGCCTTAACTCCATTTACTTTGATCTAGGCCCCTAAACTCTTAGCCAAAACCTCTCTTTCTGAAAGGTGACCAACCTCCTTAATCTCATAAAAACATTTCATGCTATTGACTACTGCATTGACTTCTTCATGCTCTCTCCTGGACTATTCTGTGAGGCTGCACTTCTCATTCTGCTCTCTGAAGCTCATTACTCTCTTCTTTCCAGTTCTTCCTCCAGAGCCTGAAGTTTTTAACCCTATTTTCTTTGAAATAGCATTCATGTCCCTGAACTTGTTAGGGATGTGATAAATATCTAAACTGCCGGAGATGAATCCATAGGGGTCTGCAGCAACCTCAATTCTTGCCTCCTCAGAAGAAAGAATTCCACTGAAGGGCACAAGGCAGAAAAAGACACCGAGGCAAGTTTCAGAGTAGGAGTGGAAGTTTATTAAAAAGCTTTAGGACAGGAACCAAAAGACCATACACTTGGAAGAGACCCAAGCAGGAACTCTGGAGGTCAAGTGCAGTGTCTGACCTTTTGATTTGGGGTTTTATATGTTGGTATTACTTCCGGTGTCTTGCGTCCCTTTTACCGTGATCCTTTCCTTGGGGTGGGCTGCCTGCATGCCTGGTGGCCTGCTAACATTTGGGAGGTGAGCATGCACAGTGTGTTTACTGGAGGTGTATGCATGCTCAACCGAAGCATTTTTCCCTTTTCCAGTGAAATGCTTCTGGAAGGTGATACTCTTGCCATTTTGTCTCTTAATGCGCATGCCCAAGCCTACTCATCCAATTCCTGAGCTGCCAATTAGCAATTTCAAGTGTTTTTATCTACTGTGAAACTCCTCTCTCCCTGGCACCTGAGATCAATTATCACTTTCATGTAACAACTGTGACCCATCAGGAAACTGCCTCTCCCTGGTGCTGGCAGCCAACCGTCATTTTCAGAGAGGCCTTGTGATAACTGCTGAACCATCACCTGATTATCGCCTGATATTCCTGGTGGGTGGAGAGTGGGGAGCCTCCTCTAGCCCAGCTCCTGCCTGGCTAGCTACCTACTGTAACAAACTCAGCTGTCTTAATGTCTTGTCAATGAGAATGAGTCCAATATTTGTTCCTCTCACCAAGTCTTTCACATTTCCAACTGCCTTGTGAGGCATTCATCTGGATACAATATCATACTGGCCACTTAAGGATGACATAGCCAAAATTTAACATCCTCTTGTATTCTTTACATTTGCCACTCAGTGTTCCTAGACACCCTGGATCAAAACATGGGAGTCATCTTTGATTCCTTCTCATATTCTAACATGCATTAAGTCCTGTTGATAACACTTTTACAATATGTCACACATCTTGTCATTCTCTCTACATTCCGACTTTCATTAATAACATTCAAGCCCTCATGACTACAAACCAGGAATACTACAGAAGCTCCTTGAATGTGTCTCCATCGCCGGAGCATCTCTAAGTATCCTATGCTACCAGACTAGCCTTTTCTTCTGCAGAGCCTGTTCAAAGGAGTTACTCCTAATTTTCTACCACAAAGTCTAAACCCCTTAGCGTGCTATCATCAACCTTCTACAACCAGTTCTTTTCCTGTCTTTCCAACATTATCCCTATACTTAATTCTTCAAACCAGCAATTCACTTTTCTATATCTCATGCCTTTTCCTTGGAATTCTTTCTCCTTTACCCTATTTTGTCAAAATCAATTTTATCTTTCAAGGAGGAAAACTAAAAAAGTTTTCTTGAATTATCGAATTAGAAATCAGTTCTATTCCTGCAAATGTCTTTACCCAATTGCCTGATGTCCCTTATTACAGTAGAAGTGAGAGGTGACAGCGTGCTGGCAGCCCTCCCAGTCCTCGCTCACTCTCAGCACCTCCTCAGCCTTGGCGCCCACTCTGGTTGCACTTGAGGAGCCCTTCAGCCCACCACTGCACTGTGGGAGCCCCTTTCCGGGCTGGCCAAAGCCGGAGCCGGCTCCCTCAGCTTGCGGGGAGGTGTGGAGGGAGAGGCACTGGCAGGAACAAGGGCTGCGCACGGGTGGGCGTGGGCTCAGCGGCCTGCACTCAGAGCTGCCGGCGGGCCCTGCCGCCCCCAGCAGTGAGGAGCCTAGGACCTGAGCCAGCAGCTGCTGTTCTTGATTTCTCACGGGGCCTTAGCTGCCTCCCCACGGGGCAGGGCTCGGGACCTGCAGCCTACCATGCGTGAGCCTTCCCCCTGCCAGAGCCTCCCCCACGAACGCCACCCCCTGCTCCATGGCGCCCAGTTCCATCGACCACCCAAGGGCTGAGGAGTGTGTGGGCGCACGGCGTGGGACTGGCAGGCAGCTCCACCTGTGCCCCCGTGCAGGATCCACTGGGTGAAGCCAGCTGGGCTCCTGAGTCTGGTGGGGACCTGAGAGAATCTTTATGTCTAGCTAAGGGATTGTAAATGCACCAATCAGCACTCTGTATCTAGCTCAAGGTTTGTAAACACACCAATCAGCACCCTGCGTCTAGCTCAGGGTTTGTGAATGCACCAATCGACACTCCGTATCTAGCTAATCTGGTGGGGACTTGGAGGATCTTTATGTCTAGCTAAGGGATTGTGAATACACCAATCGGCACTCTGTGTCTAGCTCAAGGTTTGTAGATGCATCAATCAGCACCCTGTGTCTAGCTCAAGGTTTGTAGGTGCACCAATCTGCACTCTGTGTCTAGCTGATCTGGTGGGGACTTGGAGAACCTTTATGTCTAGCTCAGGGATTGTAAACGCACTAATCAGCAATCTGTCAAAACGGACCAATCAGCTCTCTGTAAAACAGACCAATCGGCTCTCTGTAAAATGGACCAATCAGCAGGATGTGGGTGGGGCCAGATAAAAGAATAAAAGCAGGCTGCCCAAGCCTGCAGTGGCAACCCGCTTGGGTCCCCTTCTACACGGTGGAAGCTTTGTTCTTTCGCTCTTTGCAATAAATCTTGCTGCTGCTCACTCTTTGGGTCCACACTGTCTTTATGAACTGTAACACTCATGGTGAAGATCTGCAGTTTCACTCCTGAGCCAGGGAGACCACAAACCCACCGGGAGGAAAGAACAAACTCCGGACACACCGCCTTTAAGAACTGTAACACTCACCGCAAGGGTCCGCGGCTTCATTCTTGAAGTCAGTGAGACCAAGAACCCACCAATTCAGGACACAGAAGCTTCTCTCATCCTTACTCCATGCCTGAAATCCTCCCATGGGGCCTATCATATAAGTTTGAATATAGGAGATCCTTAAAAATGATGGCCAAGTATTTTGGAAGTTGTCAAAACCCTTGCCTTCTTTTTAAAAGGTTTATAAATAAATACTGTTGAGAAACAAATACATAAAAGTTACAAAACTATAGGCTAGTATCCTGAACTTCCATTAACATGTTTACTAAGCATGCCAATGTATGTTTCTGATTTAACCCCCTCTTTGTTGTTTAATAATGATGTACAATCAACAGGGACAGCTCTAAGCCACACACAAATACATTTCATATTTCCAAATAAATGCTAACAGGAAAAATGTGTTTCTATAGGATTTGACTCTACCAGTTAAAAATCGACAAGGACAAACCCTGTTGTCTCCCTACTCTCTGCAAAAAAAGTGTGGAGGTGTCATTTGTATTATCTCATCAATGACAGTAAGTCATACATTTCCAAGCTCTTAAGTGTGGAAACACTAAAACTCAAATTTTGGTGGTGGGAGGATGTTAAATAGCATTTACTACTTCAGGAGCTTAAGCAAATTCTGACATTTACCTTTTTCTCCCTTTCCTCCAATAATGTGCTTTAATGAGAAAAATATGAGTCCTGCTCTGAAAACACAATAAATGCAACAGCTTGAAAGAGGAGAAAGCAGTCTGGTGTCCAGCTGGGTGCTGAGTGCTGAGAACAACTGTCCAGACACACAAGCTGAATAGAGCAGGAATCATGACAGCGTAGGACTTGTAGCAGACAGAGGTGAGCCACACTGCAAGGTAACGAGCCAGATGTTTCCCTCAGGCCTGGAATAGGCCTGTTTCCCAATATCTGCAAGAGGCAGCAGGACCTTTTTGTTTGCCTTCTTGTTGGCTGTCATTTCATATGCTCACACTCTAGGCCAGGCACTACAGTTAAGGTTTTAAGAGTAATATCTCATTTATTCTGCAAGCAATCCTCTGTGAGAGAGACACTATTATTACCTTCAGTTGACAGAGTGTACGTGCCTTGCCCAGGTCACAGGGATAGGAAAGCCATGATTTGAAACCAGGTTAGATTCTAGAGCTTAAATTCTAAACCTCTCTGCTTCATACCTACAAACACACATTAAACTAGTTTATATCTCTTTACTTTTTTTTTATTATACTATGTAATCTGATGTAGTCTTGCAAAAGGCCAGAGAAATTGACTGGGATTAGGATCCTGGACAAAGAAACAACACCTGCTGGCACATGTGATGGTGAAAGCTTTGCCATGAAACTTGATGTTCCTTGCCGGTAAGAACACCACAACTACAGTAAGCAACTCTGAGGGATTCATCGGCAAGACCTCTGTTGTAGGTTAAATTGTGTCCCCTCAAAAAGATATGTTGAGGTGTCCTTATAAAAAGGGGAAATGTGGACACAGACACACATGCAGAGAGAATACTATGTGAAGATGAAGGCTGAGATTGGAGTATAAGGCAAGGAATGCCAGAGATGGCCAGCAAACCACCAGAAGCTGAGAAAGGGAGACACACAGAACTAATCCCACAGCTCTCAGAAGAAACCAACCCTGCAGACACTATCTCAGATGTCTAGCCTCCAGAACTTGAAGAAGAAATGTCTACTATTTCCACCTCCCAGTCTGTGGTACTTTGCTACAGTAGTCCTGGGAAACTCGTACCCCCTATCTGAAAATCTCAGAGATATGTGACTTACAGTAGTGAGAGAAAGGGCATCTTTCTTTTCTACCTTTCCACGTAATCCCTAGGAAATGCTCCTTAATATGCGAAGCTCACTTCTTACTTCTGGAAAACAACGGGGCACAATCTCTCTTCCTGCAACATGGAGGCTGGAACCAAGAGAGTCAAGTGATTCTCCATCAGGGCAGGTCATTAAACCCTCAGTCCGTAACAATCTAATCTCTGGTCTGCAGGACTGAGTACATTTTTCAACACTGAATATATTTTTAAAATCAGTGCTATCATGAGCATAAGAATTCTACATAAAGTTATAGGTAGCTGCTACAGATAATTCCCTGGTAGTAATTCTCACATGAAAATATTTTATAGCAAGAATATCAGACTGATGTACAGACTGGCAGACGGAGGAACTTTCTGTTGTAAAGGTAAAGAATGGTATCTTTTGCTGGAGTTATAAATGCAATATGGACTTTTTAGAGTGAATCAGCTAGAGGTTACTTCTCTTGAAAGCAAAATTTTTCCTGCAAGTATCATCATTGGATTTGTTTCAGATGTATATTTTCATTTACCTCTGGCTGTTCATTAGTCACAACTTCTCTAACTAGCAAGTCTTTACATCCTTTTTTTTTTTTTTTTGAGACGGAGTTACCCTCTTGTTGCCCAGGCTGGAGTGCAGTGGTGTGATCTCAGCTCAATACAACCTCCGCCTTCCGGGTTCAAGCGATTCTCCTGCCTCAGCCTCCCAAGTAGCTGGCATTACAGGCTCCCACCACAACGCCCAGCTAATTTTTCTATATTTAGTAGAGACAGGGTTTCACCACTTTAGCCAGGCTGGTCTCAAAACTCCTGAACTCAAGTGATCCAACCACCTCGGCCTCCCAAAGCGCTGGGATTACAGGCTTGAGCCACGGCAACCGGCCAAGTCTTTACATCTTTTTTTTTTTTTTTGAGACGAGTCTCCCTCTGTCGCGCAGGCCGGAGTGCAGTGGCACCATCTCTGCTAACTGCAAGCTCCGCCTCCCAGGTTCACGCCATTCTCCTGCCTCAGCCTCCCTAGTAGCTGGGACTACAGGCGCCCGCCACCACGCCCGCCATCCACCGGCCTCGGCCTCCCAAAGTGCTGGGATTACAGGCGTGAGCCACCACACCCGGCCCCAAGTCTTTACTTCTTTTAAAATGAAAATTAGGTGGCCGGGCGTGGTGGCTCACGCCTGTAATCCCAGCACTTTGGGAGGCTGAGGCAGGTGGATCACGAGGTCAGGAGATGGAGACCATCCTGGCTAACACGGTGAAACCCCGTCTCTACTAAAAATACAGAAAATTAGCCGGGCGTCCTGGCAGGTGCTTGTAGCCTTAGCTACTCAGGAGCCTGAGGCAGGAGAATGGTGTGAGGCAGGAGAATGGTGTGAACCTGGGAGGCGGAGCTTGCAGTGAGCCGAGATCGCGCCACTGCACTCCACCCTGGGTGACAGAGAGGGACTCGTCTCAAAAAAAAAAAAAAAAAAAAATTAGGGTGGTTATATTAAAAATTACTACTCTAAAAAAGCAGAACAATACCTGCTCTGTAAACAATTTTAGAGCCATTCATGGTACCTAGGAATTATAAGATTTAGAGTATTTTATATAAATTGTATGATCTAATCTTCCCACATGAGCCTAAAATGACTTAATACTGTCCTGGTTCTGTCTACCTAAAATCCTTCAAAAACATGCACTGAATATATGAGTAAGCCAGAAAACCACTGTCAGATAATTCAAAGCTTGATAAACCAGCGCCTATTATCTTTAAAATTGATTTAACATCTAATTCAGAATTCAGAAAATAGAGATACTGAGATTTTTTTATACGCTTTTGAGGTGACTCATTTTTGTCTGCCTAGACCTTTTTATACACGGCAACCAACATATGTTGTGATACTTGAAGAACACAGTGCTTCCTAAAACACCATGTATCAGGAGACCGTACCAGAGGTGCTGCTACATGGTCATTTCTCTGTAAAATTCAACCAGCCTATTCACTTTAGCAACAAGGAAGTCTATTTCTCTGAAGTACATAACAGTGATTGTCCAATTCATTATGCTACAGAAGTGTAACAATTGTCTTGGTGAATAAAACAATTAATGTGAAGACAGCCTCCCACACGTTTTATTAAAATTGTAATTAGCAACACACTGCTTCACAACAGTAACACCTAGGCTATATGGGAAATATTTCAAATCATTTTCCAGTGGTATAAATAAAAATTTCAAGATCACTTGTGGAACACCCATTATGTTTTTTAAAATGGCAATCAGTGTTGCAGAAAGCAAGGCAGGGAAGATAATGATACTACGAACAATGTAAAGTATGAACAATACAGTCTGCATCGGAAAGGCAACTAAAAACTTCAGATCCTCTGACATAAATCACAGCAGGAACCAACATTTAGTCTTATATTATACAAACATATCTTAAATAATTGTTATTATAGCCAACTTTTATTTTGAGCTGATTATATCTATTCATGAGATGAAGTCAATAAAACTTCACAAAAATATGAAGTAGGAACTTTTATATCCCCATTTTAAAGCTGGGGAAACTGAGGCTTAGAGGGGTTGAGTGACCTGACCAAGGTTATAACCAGTAGCTGGTAAGTTGTAGAACTGCACTTACATCCCAGTCAGACTCCCAATACACCCTGCTCTTGGTCTTTAGACCACTCTGCTTAATAGAACCAGCCTGAGAAGAAACAGGCTCGGGCAGAAGTTTCAACCACAGTTCAGCCAAAGAGGCTGCTGAGGAGGAGGCTGTCACTTAGAACAACTTTATTAAATATGTTATGCAATATATATACTTTTCCCCTAAGCTTACCACCATAACAAAGTTATTCTTAGACCAACTACTTACATTAAACTGCTGGAATAGGCTAAAGTTATTTTTATTATTTTCACCAAAATGTAAAGGAGGCTGTTGTGTAAGTTAAAATGCATGTAAAAGACTGTAAATAATTACTCATTTGTTTTGGAGTAAATGCCACTAGCTTTTCTTGAAATTTTTCACTACTAAAACAAGAAGCCAAAGGGCTCAATTTACCATGAGAGCCTTCAGCTGGGGTATCAGTCTATTACAGAACTAATTTTTATAGCAAATAAAAATCATTCTTCGGCCTTGTTTCAAGATACCTTAGTAACCAGCTCTATGTTCTTCCCTCACTAGTTCTCAATGCTTTCACTGAAATACAGGACTGCAATGAATTCAGCCAGGTCGTCCCGGCTACAAATAGTCTCCTCCCAAAACTCCACACCCACCTCAACCCCAATCTTTTTAAAATCCAGCAACTCAAAAGGCCCATGGGAGGCCGCTCATACTCACTTCAGATACACACACTGAGTGCCATCTATGTGGCTGGCCCTGTTCTAAGTTTCTGGTGTTCTGGTATTGTAACCCATCTTATTACCTCTGAAAAGCCAAAATAGCTGATAACTCATAAACCTCAATCTACAACATATAAAAGCAAAGCAGTGGAAATCACTTAATCATGTTCTCCACTGTTATCTTAGTTTGCTTTGTCCTTCTATAACAAAACACTGGAGACTGACTGGATAACTTACAGAAAAATTTATTTTCTCACACTTCTGCAAGCTAGGAAGTCCAAGATCAAGGTCCCGGCAGGTGTGGTTGTCTGGTGAGGGCTGCTCTCTGCCTCCAAGATGACGCCTTGTTGCTGCATCCCCAGAAAGGGAGAAACATCGTGTCTCCACATGGTGGAAGGCAGAAGGGCAAGCTAGTTGAGTGCTCTTGAAGCCTTTTTTTTTCTAAGGGTCATAATCCCAATTTACCAGGGAAGAACTTTCATGGCCTAATTACCTCTTAAGGGGCCCATCTCTTAGTACCATATTGTCATCATACTAGTTGACATCATATTGTTAACACCGGAATTTTGGAGGGGATGTGAACAAACCATAGCACCTGTGGAAACCAATGTTCTTTTAAGGCAAACCTATCTCTACCCTTCAGACACAAATACTAGGTTAAATACAGGACCATGATATCAACATATGACTGAGAGTTTTCTATAGTGGATATAACGTACAGAATATACAGGCTGTCTTACCATATAAATTTTTTAACTTCTTTTTTTTTTTTTTTTTTGAGATGGAATCTCTCTCTGTTGCCCAGGCTGGAGGCTGGAGTGCAGTGGCACGATCTCGGCTCACTGCAACCCCTGCCTCCCAGGTTCAAGCAATTCGCCCACCTCAGCCTCCTGAGTAGCTGGGATTACAGACACGTGCCACCAAGCCCAGCTAATTTTTGTATTTTTAGTAGATATGGGGTTTCACCATGTTGGCCACGCTGGTCTCGAACTCCTGACCTCAAGTGATCCACCTGCCTCAGCCTCCCAAAGTGCTGGGATTACAGGCATGAGCCACCACGCCAGGCCAATTTTCTCAACTTCGGATTCCAGCGATTCACAGATGAACTCTTCTATGTTGGCTTACCTCTCTTAGAATCCCGGCCTCCTTTTATTTATTTTTCCAAAGGATTTCTATTAGCATCACTGCTACCTTTTCTTGAGTGGTTATTACAAGGCAGAGACTATTGGTAGCTTTATATAAATATCCACAAGGATCCCATGATAACTAACTACTTCTTCTCTGCAAATGGCAAAACTGCGACTTACATCAGTTAGATAACATTCCCAAAGTCAAACAGTCAATAGCTAAGGCATGTCTCTCCGGGTTCACACTCTATTCCCTTAATAAATATACTTTCAAGATGTGGTTAAATTCACCTTCTCAAATTGGAAAATCATTGATTATGGTAATTGGAGTAATGACCATTTTAATGTGCTTATAATAGAAGCCTTTATAAGAGGTGGTAATGCAAATACCTCATTTGACCTAACACAAAATAGAACCATAGATGCTGTTAAAAAATAAAACACACACACAACCAGCAAAATTCATAAGATTTAGAGTCCTTCACTTGTTTGTGGAATCAAAATTCTATAAATATGCAAGGCAGAGCTTGGCCTGCTCTATGAAATGTCACTAACAATATACCTCAATTTGTGTTTCCCCCCAACACAGGCCCTTTTTTTCTGTGTGAGTTGGTAGATGGGGAAGAGGGGAAACGTGCATCATTTATACCTTTCAAGAACAAAAGACGAACCAGATTCCAATGACAAGCAGTAAAAAGAGGAAGGACAAAGGATGAGGGGAGGAGTGAGAGAGGAGGGCGCCCCAGGAGTCAACACTAGCTGAACAAATTGCGGGCCTGCGCCCTGTCCCACATGCCAGCTGAGGCCAGCAGGCTGTCCCGGGACCAAGTCACATGTGCCCTCTTCTCACGCATCAACAGAGCCTGGGCAAATAAGTGAACAGTCACAAGTGAGTGACTGAAGCACCCTGGAGCCATCAAATTGTAAAGAAGGGTTTCTATCAGAAAGCTGAAAATCACATACTGGGGGCACAAAGCAGTTGATATTGAAAAACGTCCCTAGGGATCAAGAAAGCATAAAAGTTGAGTCATTTTCCCAAGTCGCATATACAGTAGATAAGCCTATTAAGAACATTGTAAGCTATGCTAATTGGTTCAGAGGTTATATATCTCTTTTGTTTGTTCCAACTGAGCCTTTACACGCTGCAGTGAATTGGGGAAGAAGACAGTGTAATAAATCTAACTGAAACAAAACAGCATTAGGGTTTGAAAGATGCTAATGAGCTGCAGTGTTCCAACTTGAAAACTCCCCTTCCCACCCCCATACCATATAGCTCCTAAGTCATTTCTAACAGCACGGGAAGAAGGCGTTTTTAAAAATTCTTCAACTCCTCATGCTGTTAATTTTTTATTACAGCTAATACTTTTAAAATTAAATCGTGTCATTTGACAGAGTAACACTAATTTAGTCATTTATAATGAAAGCATGTTCTTCTACATATAAAATATTAGGGAAATATTACATTTGCATCTTGTCATTGGAAAACTCAATGAACATTAATTAAATAATGTTTCTTAGAACTTACTATTTTCAAAGTAAATCTGTCCCTACATTTAGAACTGAAGATATATTCTAATTTTGAAAAAAAAAAAAAGAAAAAAGACTGGGTCAATTGATTTTGCTTTCTTATCCTGAGAAAAAGATGAAATGGGACATGTAAATGAAAGCACGACGAAAAGTATTAAGTCCTTTAAAAATGTTAAATATTATTTTGAGATCTTAAGAACCCAAGAACCAAAAGGTACTAAAAAAGGAAATAATGTTCTATCCCTTGCATCAGCAACAGTTAGCTTTGTGTAAATAGCTAGGTAGTGAGGATACTGTGGAAACAATTCTGAATAATTAGCCATACTATCATCGTGTAATTAAACCCTGCAGTGGTTACGTGCATATGTGTGTATTCATTCTATCAAAAGGTGCCCTTACAAAGTAAACATAAAAATATAGCACACTTTAAGAAATCTCAGAGGAACGCCTGGACAACATGTATTAATTTCCTTTGGCAAAAATTAATCACATTTTGTGGTCTGATTTAGATCTTCAGCACATTTTAATTTACCATAATTAAGCTAGAACTGTACACATACTAGGTGGCAAGTACTATATATCTTCAAAAAATAAAAGATGAATATGAGAATATTCATCTCCAGAATCTGTATCATGTGAAAATAAAATGTAAAGTAACATCGAGAGGCCAGGTGCAGTGTCTCAGGCCTATAATCCCAGCACTTTGAGAGGCTAAGGTGGGAGGATCATTTGAGGCATTCAAGACGAGCAGAGGCAACATAGCAAGACCCCCATCTCTACAAAAAATGGAAAAAAATAAAAAATAGCTGGGTGTGGTGATGCACGTCTGTTGTCCCAGCTACTCAGGGAGCTGAAATGGGAGAATTGCTTGACCCCAGGAAGTTGAGGCTGCAGTGAGCCATGATCACATTACTGCACTCCATCCTGGGCGACAGAGCGAGACTCTGTCAATTTAAACAAACAAACAAACAAACAAACAAAAAACCATTGAGGAGAGGAGAGGGAATAGAAAGTGACTGGGTACAGAGTCTCCTCTGGAAGTGTTGATATATTTTGGAAATAGATAGAGGTGATGGTTGCTCAACATCATGAATGTACTGAATGTCACTGAGTCATACACTTTAAAATGGTAAATTTTATGTTATGTGAATTTCACCTAAAAAAAAATTACAGTACTGAACTCTAGTTGATAGAAAGATAGGTGCTTTATACAGAACATTTTGTTTTCGGTCTTGATAATAATGCTAACGTATCATTAGCCCCATTTTCAGATAAGAAAAGCCAAGCAAAAGTGGACACATCTGAACACCACAGTCGACAGATTTTAACTCAAGGCTGTTCACACTCTTTCCCCTCTACCTTGCTGCTTCTTGCTTCTGTGGGAATTTCCCAAGCAGGTGGGTAAGAAAAAACACTCTTGATTAAATCAGAACAGCTTAGCAAAGCATGGGGCAGGGAAGTATACGTCATGTCATGTTCTGAGAATGATAAGAAGCTTAGAACGGTAACAGTTGGGGTAGGAGAGCAATGAAGATATAGCATAAGCAGTGGCTGTGGAGGTAAAGCTTATCAAAGGTCCTCCATGCCTGGTAAGGAGTACAGGCTTTGTCTTGCTACCTACAGCAGTAGTTCTCAAAAAGTGTCTCAAAATCACTGGCAGGTTTCCTAAAGTACAGATTTCTGATTCACTTTGTCTAGGGTGGTGTCTGAGAATTTACATTACTAAACATTTACCAACAATGTTGATGCTGCTGGTTCAGTGACTATAACTTAGGAACTTCTGGCCTATAGAATAATCAGAGGTTTTTAAGTAGAAAAGGAACATGATTTTATGAACATATATAACACTATATATGGAAAAGTTATCTTGCAGTGGAGTTACTAAATCCCTTCCCTTCTGAAGTTGGTATTTATCAGGAGGAAAAGCCTTTGTACCACTTTTTCTGTGACAAAGAGCCTAGCTCTCACTTGTGTTAGTTAGTAGTAGGTCTGATTCTTATATCTGAGAGTATCTGCCTGTCTTAATTTCACCATTCATTCCATAACTTATGGAAATATATATAACATTTGATTTAGGACTGGTAGCAGAGAATACAGACAAGATTATTGCAATGTCCAAAGTAAAAATAAATAAATAAAAACTTAAAGTAGGATAACAAAAATAGGGTTTGGAGGTAGGGATGTTATGACCTACAGCTATATCAGTAAAAATAAAAAACCTTAGTAATACGGAAAGATAAAAAGCTCAAGAATTGGAATTACATAGTATGGGAATATAATTTTTCTCAAAGTAGTGACTGATTAGAGGAGAAGTCATGTAGAAAGAATAAGCTATGTCAAAGATAAGCTATGTTTCCATGAAGGAAAAGCAGAAAGGAGAAGCATCTGGTCCTACAATACAGAAGCCCAGAGATGATGCTCACCCCCATCCAGGTCATATGGATGAGCTCACTCAACTGGCTCCCCTAAACAGGGGTAAAGTGGCACAATAGCTCCCCAGCAATTATAACACTCTGTTCGAATATTTCTTTTTTAAAGGGAAAGAGGCAGGGAGGTAAGCAAAAGAAGAATTTTTTCTTTTTCTTTTTCTTTCTTTTTTTTTTTTTTTGAGACAGAGTTTCACCCTTATTGCCCAGGCTGGAGTGCAAAGGCGCGATCTCAGCTCACTGTAACCTCCGCCTCCCGGGTTCAAGTGATTCTCCTGCCTCAGCCTCCTGAGTAGCTGGGATTACAGGCATGCACAACCACACCCAGTTAATTTTTTGTATTTTTAGTAGAGACGGGGTTTCACCATGGCCAGGCTGGTCTTGAACTCCTGACCTCAGGTGATCCTCCCACCTCGGCCTCCCAGAGTGCTGGGATTACAGGCATAAGCCACCGCGCCCGGCCACAAGAAGAAATTTTTCAAACACATTGAGTCTGGTCCAGCAATTTACTTCTTCCCAGGAAAATCAACATCCTCTTCTTGTGAAGAGAATTCATAAGAATAGTTTTTTAAAAAATGCTATCAAATGACATTTCCAAACCAAAGCCAAACAAATTACTGGCATTTTGAGAAATTTCAAATATTGACTCTCTCAAAGAGGGACAGTAAACTGTAAACAGAGACAGAACCAACTCCTACAGGCCCAATCCACCCCCTCACAATTACAGTAATGAAATCCTTGGTTCAAAGCCCTGGGCTCAGCATCTGAAAGCACAAGACTGTCCATGACAACATGGCCATGGACAGTTTACCCATCTTTTTTTTTTTTTTTTTTAAGAGACAAGGTCTCACCCAAGCTAGAGTGTATGGTGCAAGGAACCTGTGAGCTCAATTCATCCTACCTCCTCAGCCTCCTAAGTAGCTGAGACCACAGGCATACATCACCACACCCAGCTAATTTTTTCTGTTTTTGTAGAGATGAGGTCTCACTATGTTGCCCCAACTCCTTGCCTCAAGGAATCATCCTATCTTGGCCTTCCAAAGTGATGGGATTACAGGCATGAGCCACTGTGCCCAGATAGCTTACTCATCTTTACTGAGCAGCTTCCTCCTCTGTAAAATGAAAGATAACATTAATAGTACTTGTCTTGCCTACTTTACCAGTTAGATGTGAAAAGCAAATATAATAGAACACAGAAAGCAAACTGAGGGCATAAAGCAAACTCTTAGTCTATGTATTCCTATCATGATCTTACAATAGATTCAAGGTTACATTCAAAGAGGGAAGATGAACCAAATGTCCATCAGTTAGGATTCTTCCTATAGTATTAATAACACAAGTTTCTTTAGATTCTCTGCCTTTGTTCACAGTTCACTGTTTCATCAGAGGTGAACATGAATCAGAATTGTTTGCATATTCCAGTAGAGAGCCTGGCTTAGTCTATATTTCTATATAATTTAAATCGGGTGGCATTTTACTTCAAATAAATATTAATCATACCAGATGAAAGGACAAACTCTAATGAATCTTTCCATTGTTCATGTTGCTAATTCATCACGGGAATATTAATTCATAGAACCCATTAAGCTGTGTGTCTGCTTATATTGTTTTAAATGTTTCTTAACCATTATAGTATACTTAAGCCTATTTGTTCCTCCCTCTTTATTAATAACCTCTAAAATTCAGCATACACACAATTAGACCCCACAGGTTGCAATTCTCTTTTTTCCCCTGACACAGTTCTAGATGGTCATGATTGCTTGGCAAAGCTCCACCTCCTACACCTGCAATTCACAAGATTAGAAAACCCATTTAACTTTATCGTACATATCAGACACTGGTTTCAAAACGACAAAAGCGTGAATCTGGAGACTTGAGGAAGCCATTTGGCAAAAGGAAGCCGAATCAAAAAAGTATTACCTCAAAGAAGCATCCCTAAATGGGTTAGGAGGAGCTGGTGACAGACAGAAGTAGGTAACAGGTTTTCCTTTCTTTTATTTATCTATTTTTTGAGGCAGAGTCCTCCTATGTTGCCTGAGCTGTTCTGAAACTCTTGTGCTCAAGTGGTCCTCTGCTTTGGCCTCCCAAAGTGCTGAGATGACAGGCATGAGCCACTCCTCCAGGCCAGGCTTTCCTGTAAAAGTCCATTCAGAACCTCTTGGTTCTGAAAGTGAAGAGAGAGAAAAGCTGCAGGAGTTTAGAACTTCAGCACCCTGGAAAGAGAAGAAAAGCAGAGTAGGCCAAGAACCTAAGAGCAGGGCAGTGCTTAAGGTGAGTGCAAGGAGATGTTAAGGATGTGATTATACATTCTCCAGAGATGAAAAGACCAGGACATTAGCTCCTGAACATGAAAAAGTTCTGGGAAGGCTGTGAGGGAGAGAAAGGTAAGTAAGGTAGTAAGTTTTTTCTTATCCTTCTAGGAGATTGTAACTAAACAAATTTAATTAGGTAAAGAGACATGCAAAATATAAGTGGGGAGAACAGACATATTTACCCAGCATTGTTAACCCACCACTCAAGCAACCCCACTGTGCTCTTATTGCTGTTCCTAGGCTACCAAACCTTGCAGTAAAAACTTAAAAATCATGTACCCATGAAAATTCAGTCAATTTGTGCCATCTAAATTCAACTTCACTAGTAGTTACCAATAGTTGCAATGATGTAAGAATTTAGAATATTTCCATTGAATTTGTAGAAAAATACTTATTTCCCTTACTCTAAATATTTATATAAAGGGTCAGAAGGTATATTGTAATATCATCTCTGTACTCAAATAGCATTGCTATAACTTACCCCTAAAATAAAAGATGTTGCCAAAATAATACATATTTTTATTAAGTCATATTTAAAATATAGTAGCAGATCTGACTTTTTTAAAGAAAATCCATTACAGTCGTTTTGTAAGGAAATCATTTAAATGTGGGGACACTGGAAAGTCTATTCTCATCTCACGCCAAAATACCACTTTTGGAAACCACGTAACCACGTTCTTAAAAGAGGACATACATTCTCAAGATGAAGTAAGGAAAGAAAATTTTAGCCTACTGGTGGTCTAAGGACATTTACTTTTTTAAAATTATTATTATTATTATTATTTGAGATGGAGTCTTGCTCTGTCACCCAGGCTGGAGTGCATTGGCGTGATAGCTTGGCTCACTGCTACCTCCACCTCCCAGGTTCAAGCGATTCTCCTGCCTCAGCCTCCCAAGTAGCTGGGACTACGGGCACACACCACCACGCCTGGCTAATTTTTTTGTATTTTTAGTAAAGACGGGGTTTTGCCATGCTGGCCAGGCTGGTCTCAAACTCCTGACCTCGTGTGATCCACCCACCTCGGCTTCCCAAAATGCCGGGATTACAGGAGTGAGCAACTGCGTCTGGCCAGGACATTTAATTCCTAATATCTGTTTTTAATCCGCTAAGAGTATTACAGAAATACAAATCCATACTGACATCATAAAATGAATTAGGTCAAAGATAATTTTAATGGATAAAGATTTTAAGAAGTAAATCTAACTTAAGCAACTGTCTGAAAAAGTTTAGCAAACATTTCAGAGAAAAATATACATTCATTTACATATAACTAGGTTCTGTATTTTTTTCAAATCCTTTAAGAATAAAGTCTAAACCTCATTACAAACAATTCCTTAAATATCCCCTTTCCAACTCAGAAATAGTTAAAACAACAAACAAGCTATCCCACATGTAAAATGGAATTCAGCTCAGAAAATAAGTCCAATGACATTTCATAAATAATGTCCCTTAGCCACCTCATTAGACTCACACCATCTAAAATTAACTCTGGGAGAAAAAAACATGAAAGATAGAAAATGATAAAAACTGCTTTGTCTAGTAGATAGTGAAAATATAAATATGAAAAAGTTTCACCAGTTTCCATACTGGGTATGATAATTAAAATATGTAACCCTAGCCCCCAACGAAAACACAATATTTGATAGAAACAGCCTGATAAAGCTCTCTGAACAAACAAAATAGTGTGAGGGCTACATACAAACTGTATGGTTATATAGGCTCCTATAATTAAGCACTTTTCATTTTCTCTAGCTTGTAATAAGAAAGTAGGTATGCATGAGGAATTTATTTTAAAATGCCATATACATAAATCAACTACAGCATAGCTGAGGAGTAAAAATGTTCTAACAAAAACAAAAACTTTTATTGTAAGATCCCTAGTACATGGAGTGGTTCCGACTTCACAGTACCCCAACAAAGACTAAGGAAAATCTCTTGTTAAAAGCTCTAAGGAGCTGGAGACACTCTCTTCAAAGATGCCAGGCCCAGATCACTGTTGAGACAAAGGGAAGAGATGTACCAAGCAGTGTTCTAATCAAGGAATTCCCAGTAATAAGAGTCTAAAAAGTAAACATTTAACACTAGTTCATCAGTGTTACTTCAAAATAATGGCAGATGCTCATTTTTTTACCCCAAATTTAATCAAATATATTTTTTCACTATCAAAAAATACCAGCCGGAGAAGTAATTTTCAAAGTACAAATTGGAGAAAATTAAGTCAGCACCACTGATCTCTATGTCAACGTGAATAAAATGACTACAATACAAGGAATCACTTCTGAACGGTGAGAGCCATTACAATTTATTGGGCAACATATAATGTACTATACCTTGTGATACCTTTCCATTATTGCCTTATACCATTATTTAAACTGGGGGAGGGGAGACTAATCATTTATCTTTTCAGGTGTGTGTGTCATCATTTCTCAACTAGACTATAATTCCTTTGAAGAAGGAAGCTAGAAAGTAAGATGTTTCCTTGCATTTTTCTTTCTAACACTTTACACCCATGCAGATACATATTAGATGATTTTCTCTATGGCTTCTTAGTGGAAAGGAAATCTAAGGCAATAGAACACAGGGAGATCAAGAAAAGAAAGACATCAGCAAAACACAAATCAAGTAATCAGAGCCAGTTAACCTTCTGTATTGTTCGACAGGCAATGAAAAACACTTAAAAGACTGTAGCCCCTGCAGCAACCAGAACATGGGAAGAAATCTAAAAATCAGAAAAGGACACAAAACAAAGTAGTCTTGCCACACTTAGAATTTCAACATACTTAAATCGAGATGGTGACATAAACTTCTACCCAGTGCCTTTTACCCATTTAGCAGCTATTTAACAAATATCTGCAGAAATGAACCAAATCTTTTAATGGACAAGGATAATCTCTGAATCATGGTCTCTAGAATCAAGGAGACTAGAGAATTCCAAAGTGACAAAGGGAACCATGTTTCAGGATTGTAAATCAGGTTAGACAGTGAAAGACTGCCATTTTAATCTTCGATATCATTATTTTATTGAGGGCATTTGGGATTTGAGAATGAATGTGGTAATAAACCATTCCTTTTGCTGCTGCCCTATCTTGTGAAGTCTGCTTAAATTATGCAGTCCAACAACAGGCAGACAAATATGAATGGACATATATTTTGCTAAATATATTTTCCTGTTTGAAAACAAAGAGCTTTACTGCCAGCAACTTGGTAAACTAAATAAAAGTCATGTGATACACAGAAAAGAAAAAGTTACATTCTCACATTCCAGTGCTCTAATAATATTCCCTGGTTTGTTTTTATTTTGTTATTTGTTTCTTTTGTGTTTGGGGGGGACGGGGGGGGGTTGTTTGTTTATTTTGGATTAAAAATTAAAATAGCTGAAACCAGAAAGAATAAGAGGGCTCAGGATTCAGCATAGGGTAGGGAAATTCCTTCCCGACTGCATTTCTCAATCCCTTTGGTATCAAAGTAAAATGGAGTTTTCCCGCTAAGTCTTTCTCATCTAATGTTTTAGTGCTCAAGAGATTCCCAGCAGCTTCCGGGTCTAAAGAGAGGCCTCAAAGTAAAACTGAGTTCTTTCCCATTGGCATGGATCTCTATGAATCCTATACATGACTACATCTTTAAGAGAAGCAAAAACTATTAAGAAAAGTCTCTTCCCTTCTATGCCAGGTAATAGCCTTCAGTTGTTCACTCTTATTATTCCCAATTGGAAACTGAACAAAAAGACACAGAAATTGTAAACTAAGCTATTTTCTGAAAATTCTAAAGCCTTTGGAACCAAAACCAAACAAACAAAAACAAAACAAACAAAAAAAAGACACACACGCAAGGAAATCAGTGAAACTCAGAAAGCTGCAGGGCAGAATTCTGTAATAAAGCCAGTGTTCTCCACCAAAAAATTAATATGCTGTTAACTCCAGCTGAAAATACGCTGGAAAAATTAAAACCTCCAAATACAAAAATGAAGCATGGAATTGCTCTGACAACATACCAACCCCACATTTCCTAACCACTTTCAGACTTCAAGACGGAAGTTAAAAGGAAGTTACCCTTCGCCTACAAATAGAGGTGGCTTTAAGGTGAATGAGAAAGAGGAAAGCTAGAAGTCTTGCTTCCTTTTAATGTTCACAACTTCAGCTTTCCCACTGGCAGTAAAGCAGGAAACCAGTCCCCAGTATCAAATTGTACCCCTCTATTTTCTACAAGGTAGGAGGAAACACCGATGTATCAGGCCGTGCGATCATAGTAATTACATGAGACCTAATACCCAACTCCATGTAGGAGATATACTTAACCATAATATACCATGTCAATTTCATGTATCCTTTCCACTTAATATGCAGGTTCTCCCAACACACCTTCTCTAAGATATAGTCCCCTAGCCAATGCCTTTCAAAGTGGCTTCCACATGCCAAAAAAGGAAAGAGTTGCACAAAATAATTAACTGGGGTATGGGAAAAATATCTGGAACTTCTATTTCTGTCACATTATTCGGGTTTCCATTTATTTTAGACTTACAATATTCAAAATATACTATTCAAGTATTATTTGTGTATATTTTTAAATATATATGTAGTATACATGTGTTTTGGAATGATGATGTGAACTGGTTAAAAAAAAGAACCACTCCAGTTTACAGCAGGCCCACTCTACATATTCATGTCTGCTAATAATTAATGGAAAATATAGCTATAATCAGAATTCTCATCATCCATGTACTCCATTCTACAACTTGTAGAATATTGTTATAAACATTCTCATGTATCACAATCTTGGACATAGCAGGCAGAGAGAGGTGCAATCCCATATTTCAACAATTGAGCAAACCAAGACTAGGAGAGAACCATTTGAGGTTGATTGCTGCTTTGATCCTCCTCCTCCCCACCCTTCCCAGTTGCTCCTCCATTCCTTCACTTCATTTACTGCAGAAGCTTGTACCCTTGAGAAAAAAATCACCCCCTTGAGGATCCTTCAAATGGTGGAGAAAATAAGTAAGCTAAATTCTTCATGAAATGACAACTTAGTAGGAAGCACTCTTCCCCCGGATTTGCATTAAACACATAACCATGCTTCCGGCCAGATTTTAAACCCAGATGAAATCATAAATGTAAATCCTCCACTTAGAAGAATGTGAATTTAGGCATAAAGAAAGATCAGTAACCTACTGAAGAAAAATCCACAATCAGAATCTTACAGCTGGGACACATTTCTACTCACTGGACTACAAAATATCCTAGTGTCAGATCAATGGCAACAAAAGGGAAGGTTTGCCTCCAGCCAACCCCTTTTTATATGAGAAGGAGACAAGAGGCAAGGGAGGATCTTCAGGAAGGCTTAGAAGCACGCTGTCTGCCACCCCCACCCCTCTCTCTCAGACACACACACACACACACACACACACACACAGAGGCATATACCTTCTTGTTAAAACAGCTACAAAAAAATTATTTAAACCTACCCAGCACCTACACAAAAATAGGTTTATCTTCTAATACTATGAATTGTTCTAAGGACTTCTATTTAAATGGCCAGCCCTACTTGCTTTTTTAAATACCTATTAATTTCCCTCAAAGTCCAGGAAATTATTCAAACTCATTTAGCATCCAAGTTCATTTGCCCTTAATTGAAGCATTTCTAATCAAAAATTCTAATGTACCCTGTTTTCATTGTGAAAGAAACTATATAAACAAGTTTATCAAGCAAAGTAGCTTGTCAACATTATATTTATTATACCCATGAAAGACTAAATGAAGGCATTTCCCTCTATAAACTCCATATCTTGTCTCTGTGCAAAAAGGAACATTCAATAATTTTTGTTAATTTCATTGCAATAAATGTCACATTATCAAAATTAGGAATAAAGAGGCTACTTAGAAGTAACTCAAAGGCACTGTGCATCACACAAGCCTTGAATCATAACGCCACAAATAGCCATCCACATTGTACTTAGTCTAGAAAAGGTAGAAAATATCAATGTCCATAGGACAGAGATTTATTTTCATTATCCTCTTCTTGGAGATAGTGTGGTTCAATGACTATCCAAACGCTGATCTCAGAAGTTCTGTTTCAAAATGTGCCTTTGTAATCAGCTCTCCAAAGTGATCATGAGTGAGATCTTTGACTTGTACAAACATCAGTTAATAACTTCATAAAATTAGGCAGGAGGAGTATTAGAGACAGTATTGGCCAAAGAGCTCTGTTTAGAGTTCCTGTTCCTTCCTTTATCCAAACACTAGGAAGGCTAGCAAAGCTCTCAGCTGAAATGAAGATAAAATGTCTACTGAATAAAGCCTGTAATCAATTCTGAGACCTATATTTAGTACCATCCGATACATATCATACATAAGAGTCCACTGAATTTTTTCGTTTTGTTCAATCAGTTTAATCAAACAGTAGATAAACATAATATAAATATTTCTTAACCTGGGACCATTTAACTGTCCTCTTTTTAAACACTCTTGCCCTATCTTTACCCAGTGTTCACAGTGGGAGGAGAGGCTGAGATGATCTGTTTTTTTAGGACCTCAAAGTTAAGTTTTCCTAAGAAGCATCCAGCCATCATTAGGAAGCATCAGAGTCAAATATTCAATCCTTCATTGTTTATTTATTTATGTTAATGGTGTGACTGTTACATATTTCTAAATAAATAGAAGTGTGAAGAGGCTTTTCTCTGCGGATGGGGGAGGTCTTCAATTCTACCAGTTTAGCTTAGGACCACCAATGTGGTCTTTGGGGAAGGCCCTGCTTTCTAAAGCACACAGTTGTAAACAGCAACTGGTTGAAGGCCTAATTAGCATTAAACAGGCCCCAGGAATGAACAGCAAGATGACAAGGGTCACTAAACTAAAGAGGAGGTCAAACTACCCCAGCCCCTCAGGACAATGCCCAAGGTACCCATGCAAATTAGAGAAGCAGCCTAGGCATGTAGAGATGAGCAGCAGCATTAAAACCTCTAAGCCGCCTTTCACTTTCCTCTCCAAAAAAAAAAAAAAAACAATAATAATAACAACAGAGGAAAGAAAGAAAAAGAAAAGAAAACCAAATGGCCTACTTCTTCTGTGTAGCATGATACGTAATTAGTAATCACTTCTGTCCTGGAGAAACAACAAATAAAAGGCAGCTAAGAACATCGCAATGGCAACCAAGAAGAATTACAGAATACAATTAGCATCTGTGTTAAGATGGACAGCGGTTTTCTCCCACAACATCCCAGTATTTCCACCACAAAGAGGAAATCTGTACAACCAACTGCCAACTTGTAGATTTTTTTTCTGCTAAAAAAAAAAAAAAAAAAAAAGAGCAAACTCCACACACATACTCTATTCAAACGTGACAAAGAACCCTTTTCTTAAAATGTACTACAGGACTGTTGGTTTTTCCATTCTCCTAGCAATAAAAATTCTTTCTTCTTCAAATTACTGCAAGATAATTGCAGAAATTTGATTTTGAAAAGTTTGAGAGATATATTTTCAGCATTTTGAACCCTATTAATTTTGATCTACTCATCAACGATACTCTCGTGTCCTATTTTGTTTGTTGTCTTGTTTTTAATCCTGCTTTTGCTCAAATCCATCTTGGGAAAAGTTTCAGCTACTCTGAATGGGAAGAGATTTTATTATACCAGCAATGCATTTAAGGTAAAAAAATATCTAAAACTGCAAAAGCAACATTTTTCCAAGATAACTCAAAAAGAAACTGTAGTTTAGAAAACTCAAAATAAAAGCTAACATTCATTATTCCAGCCCTGCTTTCTAAAATAAAAAGTTGTCTTTGTAACAAAAACATGAGACATAACCCTATTAAAAAACCTCTTCCACACCACACTGCAACTAGAAAACAAAAAATATTTGCAACCAGAAAGCTCATTAAGCCAAATTAAAAAAAAAAACAAAACTTCTTACATGTTGAGAAATTTTATTTAAATACACAATTGACATTTTGTGTCACGTGCCTTCTTTAAGATTTGCCTCTGAGAATACAAACACATTTTTACCACCAAACGAAGTGTTAGTTCAAATTTCTCATGACGCAAACATTTTTTTGTTGTTGCTTATGAAGAGACTTTTTAAAGCACATTTCCTAATCTTTCTTTTCATTTGACATAAGAAGCAAAGAAGCATGCAAACTAACTTTGTGAACTTCTCTTGTATGATATTACTTACGCTTTTAATATATTCACATCACAAGGTATCGGTATGATACATTTTATATCATGTGTTTAATCAGGTCTGCATAACATAAACACTCAACAAAAAAAAAAACTGTTTACTGTTGTGAAAATGAAGCAATGGGTCTGATATTTTAGGGAAG
Source organism: Homo sapiens (assembly GCF_000001405.40). Taxonomy (NCBI): domain Eukaryota; kingdom Metazoa; phylum Chordata; class Mammalia; order Primates; family Hominidae; genus Homo; species Homo sapiens. The sequence goes on along the minus strand of NC_000012.12, from coordinate 82,780,386 downwards.
TTATCAGAAAGTTATCTATTCTCTGTTTCTTGCAAAAGGGAAAAAAATAAAGTATGCTATTTCTATTTGAAGCTGGAGAAAGCTATTTTTCTTAGATATCAGAATGGTCAGTTAACCTCATTTCATAAGGAAAATGAGCCAGGTATTTTCATTCACTGTAAGATTATCCACAGCAGGCATGCAAGTTTGCATTAAATATTAGCAAAAATCTTATACTGTGCTTTGTTCAATGCATTAACAACTGAATTATACAACTGGCGTGGACGTGCTAAAAGGCAAATAGAAAAGACTGAGAACAGATAATTAGTAAAACTATAATCTTTCCTGTAATTAAATATTTACAAGTAAATGGTACAAAAAATACCTAAAAAATACCCATCTTTTAAGGGACAGCCCCTACTCTTGAAGTAGCAGTCGAATGGATGAGTCTCACTTAATGCCGTAACTCTGGCATGTAACATCATGAGAACTATGGCTATTTTTTTTTTGAGACGGAGTCTCGCTCTGTTGCCCAGGCTGGAGTGCAGTGGCATGATCTTGACTCACTGCATCCTCCGCCTCTTGGTTCAAGCAATTCTCCTGTCTCAGCCTCCCGAGTAGCTGGGACTACAGGAGCATGCCACCACACCCGGCTAATTTTTGTAGTTTTTAGTAGAGACAGGGTTTCACCATATTGGTTAGACTGGTCTTGAACTCCTGACCTCAGGTGATCCACCTGTCTCGGCCTCCCAAAGTGCTGGGATCACAGGCATGTGCCACCACACCCAGCCTAGAACTATAGTTATTTTGTTTAACAGCTACACTAAGTTAAATTGTGAAAAGATGCCATCTATTATCACATCTTCACTATTCTTGGTTACAGTTTAATCTATACTTGTTGATCATAGAATAACAGAGATATTAATCATAAGTTTATCTTGGTAGGTTTTACAATGTACAGCTGTGCCCCAAATATCAAGTTTCTAGTTATAATAAATGTGAGTTATACCTGAAAGGCTTATCGCATGAAACATTCTTATTTGCTATCTGAGTGACATCAGAATGATTTATTTAATATATCCTGACATCCCCTGCCTAAATCCTTCAGTTCTCTCCATCGGCAAGCCCATCAGCCTCTGCCCTCACCAACTTTTCCCACTTCTGCCCCCACCATCAGATATCATCACCTAGCACACGCTCAACCATTTCAGACTTCCTTACACTTTCTACCCTGCCGTGATGTTGGGATTCCTTGCCTTTGCATATATTATGCTCTGTCTGGAATGCCCTCCTCTGCCACTATTGTTTGCCCAGAGAGCTACTCAGCCTTTAAATTTCAGGCTGTGTGAGATTTTTTTTTTTTTTTTTTTTGATATGGAGTCTCGCTCTGTCGCCCAGGTTGGAGTGCAGTGGTGCAATCCTGGCTCACTGCAACCTCCACCTCCTGGGTTCAAGCAATTTTCCTGCCTCAGCCTCCCAAGTAGCTGGGACTACAGGTGCATGCCACCACATCCAACTGATTTTTTGCATTTTTTTTTTTTTTTTTTTTTTTTTTTTTTGAGACGGAGTCTCGCTCTGTCGCCTAGGCTGGAGTGCAGTGGCGGGATCTCGGCTCACTGCAAGCTCCGCCTCCCGGGTTCACGCCATTCTCCTGCCTCAGCCTCCCAAGTAGCTGGGACTACAGGCGCCCGCCACTACGCCCGGCTAATTTTTTGTATTTTTAGTAGAGACGGGGTTTCACCGTTTTAGCCGGGATGGTCTCGATCTCCTGACCTGGTGATCCGCCCGCCTCGGCCTCCCAAAGTGCTGGGATTACAGGCGTTAGCCACTGCGCCCGGCCGATTTTTTGCATTTTTAGTAGAGCTGGGGTTTCACTGTGTTAGCCAGGATGGTCCTGATCTACTGACCTTGTGATCTGCTCGCCTTGGCCTCCCAAAGTGCTGGGATTACAGGCATGAGCCACTGGGCCCAGCCATGAGAATTCTTAATTGACTGACAACCATAATAAAAAGAACCTTCCAGTTTAATACTTAGCAAATCTTATTTCAAACTTTGTCAGAAGGATGAAATTGAAGAACAGGGAAGATGGGGGACAGATGTAAAATGTTCAATATTTAAAAAAATAATAAATTATTTGCTTCTCTGTGTTCATCACATCTCTAGTCATGATTGGGGAATAATGAAACTTTAGATATGCTCTCTGCCCTTAAGCTATATATGATATTGTTGGAGAGGTGAGAGACTATTGTACATAAAATAATTAGCAGACCCTAATAAAATCTGAGCAAAAATAAAAGACTAGAGTAATACTGAAGAATATTTACATAGTATTTTACAATGCGAAGAGTAATCTTTATATATGACCAAATTTAATCCTTGTATCTGGGTGAAAAAATGTTTCATAATATACCCAAATTACTGAAAATAAAATTGAGTCACTAGATTATGAGGTACAGCCCCCACAAAGAGAGCAGGCAGAGGACAGGGGCCTTGGAAGAAAGGGAAGCATCTGGGCAGGCAGAAAGAGAGAAAATGGCAAATCGTGGTGAAAACCAATGGAAACAAAGCATGAACATCAACAATTTAGGAGCCACTGAAGAGATGAATGTGCAAGAGCAAAAATTTCAGCTGAGGAATGGGAAATGGAGCTAGTATAAAGAGAGATGCAAAGCCAAGAATAGGCATTTGGAATGAGATGGTATATAAACGTTTGCTACTGGCAGTTTGTGAGCAAGGCAACCTCAAATTTAAAGAATTTTTAAAAGACATTTAATACTCTCCAGAACATTTTATTGGGAAAACCACACTAGAATTCAATATAAGTTTAACAGTTTAGCAGCTAGAGAAACTTAGATTTGAACACATAAAAGAGTGGAACATTTTGAATCCTCTGTAAAGGTGGCCAAAAAATACCCTGAAAAAGAAATGTATCCTCTAAAGATTTCTTTCAGAAATTAAACAATATGGAAAGAGAGAATCATTATTAGCATATTTCATTTTGATTCTATTTGTTCTACTCCCTTGCTATACCAATAGAAATGTTTTAAAGAGAAAAGCATATTTAACCTATCTTAATAACCAACCAGTTCTATATTGATTGCAATAAGTAGAAGAACTATAAATGTCTATATTCCCAAAAGAGTCCAAGTTCATGCCCACTATTCTACTATGGTTATAAAATCTGCCCCCTTTCACTCTAAAAAGTGTTCTGGCTTGGACAATAAATGATAAAGTCATCCTAGCTATAACATACTACAACTAACATAGCAAATTCAAGGGTGTGACCAGAGACTTCATGTTCAACTCCATGGGGGTTTCACAGATTTCACTGTAAATAAAATCTATGAATATGGTATCCCCTAGAGCTGTGCAACTCAGACAAACAGGGCACCATGTAGATCAAAGTGTGTTGGCTGGCTTCTTTTTCAGGGCAGTTTAAGGTACACCTTCATTTATTTATTTGTTTATGTTTTAGAGATGGGGTCTGTGTCACCCAGGTTGGAGTAGAGTGGCATGATCATAGCTTGCAGCAGACTCAAACTCCTGGGCTTAAGCAATCCTCCCAGTTTATTCTCCCATGTAGCTGGGACTACAGGTGTGAGCCACAACCACTAGCTAAAGTAATGTTTTTGTTTTGAGACAGGCTGTCACTCTGTTGCCCAGAATGGAGTGCACTGGTGTGATCACAGCTCACTACAGGGCTCAAGCAATTCTCCCACCTCAGCCTCCTAAGTAGCTGGGACTAGAGGCATGTGCCATCACACCCAGATTCTTTTTTTTTTTTTTTTTTTTCATTAGAGACAACATCTTTCTGTTGCCCAGGATGGTCTCAAACACCTGGACACCTGGGTTAAAGTGATTCTCCCACCTTGGCCTCCCAAAGTGCTGAGATTACATTCAAGAGCCACCATGCCTGACCAAGTATACCTTTTAAAGCTTGTTTAGTATGATACTCATTTACCCAGCAGATTTTGGTGTCCAAACTAAATACCAAGCAGGAAATAAAATGCACAGGTAATCTCAAGTCCAGCATATACCCAGAGTGGACACAGGATGTTTGTCTGCCATTCCCTGGGGACTACTTATAGCACCACACCATTTGGTAACACCTAGGAACCATCAGGAAGGCCTAGGTTGGCCTTTTCCTCTCTTTAGTTCATGCTACATTACATTTAGCATATGTATGTTGAAAAAAGTGACCTAAACATAAAGCAAGCAGTTTCAAAAAATGCTAACGTGAATAAGCCAAGAAAGTCCTAAGATATGTTAGCTAGTATTAATATTTATGTAGGTAACACTGGAAACTCAATAACGGTTCAATTCAATGGGACACTGTATACATATACATAGCTGATTTTCTTGGTAAAACCAGAAATTGGGTTTTACGGGTGCACACACAGGCAACCCATGCATGTACAACTTTGAGAGGAAATTATGTTTCCTCTCAAAAGGAAAGAACACGATCCTCTCAAAAAATGAAAATCTGCCAAGCCCTCAACTAGAGACTAAAGAAACTAAAAAATTATAAATGTGTCAGAGAAAAAATCAAACGAAGCATAAAAGGAAACTGAGCAGAATTTTGTCTCCTTCCACTAGATATGGGTTGGTACATTTACTTTCCCTACCACAGTGCTATTGAAAATGGAAGAAATATGAGCATCATTATATATCACAGGCTTTTATTGCTACTAGAGACCAAGGCTGGCCTCAAGCAGAACATTTTTATTCTCCAGTAAAAATATTTTTCTTTTTGAGACTGTGAAAAATTTCAGTGACCATTATTCATTACTTAGAACTCTATGTATTTCATGAGGCCTAAAATCAGCTCTAATTACTTTACATGCCCTCTCCTAACTTCCATTTGCATGTCTCACATAGTTTCCTCTCTATACACGTCACTCCTGATTCCTGAGTATGGAAATCTTGTTTCTCTTTTTCTCTCCCCGCCCGCCCCCCTGGAGACAGGGTCTCACTCTGTTGCCCAGGCTGGTGTACAGTGGTGCAATCATAGTTCAATGCAGCCTCAATCTCCCAGGCTCAGACAATCCTCCCACCTTAGCCTCCCGAATAGCTGAGGCCAGAGGCACACACCACCATGCCTGGGTATTTTTTTTAATTTTTTATAAAGACCAGGTCTTGCTGTGTTGTCCAGGCCGGTCTCAAACTCCTAGGCTCAAGCAATCCTTCTGCCTCGGTCTCCAAGTGCAGGGATTACAGGTGTGAGTCATTGTGCTTGGCCGGGAATCTTGTTTCTATCTTTATTTCACAAAGGACCTAAAAAGTAAGGAGCCCCTGCTTTAATTTTTTTCATTGTGGTTAAATTGTGTTACTAATAGTAAAATAAACCCTGGTTTACTAATGACATTTTGGTGTCTTACCAATGGCAAGACTCACAATTAGTTGATCTATGGCAGAAGCAACTTGTCCCTGATAGATTTTTCCTCTTATTCCTTTAGAATACAACATTCAGCTGGGGCTGAGGACGTGAATACCTAAAGACTGTTTCTCACCCTCCCTGTCAGCTGGTTGTGGCCGTGTGAGCAAACTGCAGAAAAATGACAGGCAGCAAACGAGAGAGAGCAGAAGTAATAAACACAACTTTCAGGTCTTGCCCTTAGAGAAAAGTGTGTGCCACCCCTCCCATCACCTCGGTATAGCCCAGACTGGAGACATGCTGGAAGGCATGGCAGGCATCTAAGATACGAGATGAAAGCCTGCTCTTGAGGATGGCTCAAAGGAACTTTATCATCCCCAGACAAAAAAAAAAAAAAAAATTGTTCTTTTTTTTTGAGACAGTCTTACCCTTTCACCCAGGCTGGAGTGCAGTGGCTCAATCTCAGCTCACTGCAACCTCCACCTCCCCAGTTCAAGCAACTCTCCTGTCTCAGCCTCCCGAGTAGCTGGGATTACAGGTGCATGCCACCATGCTCAGCTAGTTTTTGTATTTTTGGTAGATACAGGGTTTCACCATGTTGGCCAGGCTGTCCTCAAACTCCTGACCTCAGGTAATCCACCCTCCTCAGCCTCCCAAAGTGCTGGGATTATAGGCGTGAGCCACCACACCTGGACATTACACAAAAATTTTATAAGCAAGAAATAAACTTCTATCACATTGATGTCACTGTTATTTTGGCACCATATATATACATACACACATATACACACACATACACATATATACACATATACATTTGTGTACACGTGTACATATATACACATGTGTGTATATATGTGCGTATATGTATACATATGTATACACACACATATATAACAGCATCAACCTGTAAACTGCTGAATAAATTAGCTTTTCTTTATTTCTCTTCATTGTTCTTCATTTCTTAAATAATAGAGGAAAAAAAGTTAAAATATCTTGGGATGAGTATTCTTCCTAACCATTGGCAGGGCAATATCAATTCTAAACTACATCAAATTATTACATTTTAAAAATACATATACATAGCTTATACCACAATGAGGGATTATTATTTTCATTCCAACACAGAAAAATCTTCCCTAAAATTCTCATCTCTGGACTGCCAGAATTAAAAGAAAAAAGAAAAAAATAAAAGGTTAAGAAAATGGTTGGGGAAGGGCTCCTGGAGTCACTTTAGGGCTCAAGCATTAATATCCTGGCTAAAGAAGTATCAGTGGCTAGGTGTGGTGGCTCATGCCTGTAATCCCAGCACTTTGGGAGGCCAAGGCAGGTGGATCACAAGGTCAGGAGTTCGAGAGCAGCCTGACCAACATGGTGAAACCCCGTCTCTACTAAAAATACAACAACTAGCTGGGCCTGGTGGCACACGCCTGTAATCCCAGCTACTCAGGAGGCTGAGGCAGGAGAATCACTTGAACCCGGGAGGCAGAGGCTGCAGTGAGCCGAGATCGCACCATTGCACTCCAGCCTGGGTGACAGAGCGAGACTACATCTCAAAAAAAAAAAAAAAAGAAATATCACTTCTCATTTTGCTGTGGATGAATTACATTCTAGACAAATTTTCTTTAGTCCTCAGGACACAAACCACTACCTAGGCAACTCCAACAGTCTGAGTAATATTAATTATTTATCACAAACACATTTTATCACAAACTGCAATACAATCAAAAGAACATTAGGTTGAGTAGTAATAAATCACTGTCAAGCTTTTGACTATATACAATTTGAAACAAGACTCTCAAACTGCCAAAAAGACATAGAAGCTGTAGTCACTGGTGACAACCAATATAACTAACTCAGGAATAACAGTGAGAAGAAGAGTGGTGGGAGAAAGTTTAGAAGCAGCAAAGCAACATATAACATTTTCACTTGGGATCCATTTTCCATCAAAAAACCAACATGGCATATAAATTTTATGAAGAAAAACTGTAAACTACATATTCATGACAATACCAAACTATATTTAAACACAAACAAAAAATACCTTTCAAACCTTTGAAAATAAGGAAGTAGAAAGACAATTTTCTAAAGTAATTAATAATTATCCTTTTTTCATTTATACCTAGGAAAGAGAGCTGTCTCCCCCCACTCCGACACTACTTTCCCATTTGTGTCAACACCAAAATAATTTCCACAGATCATTAGCGAAAAAAAGCACCCAACGTAGAATTTAAATAGGTGTAAAATTACAGAATTTTCTTGGGAAAGTAGCATTATTTGGCTTAGCTTTTGGTTCCAGGGGAAAAAAAAGAATTAAATTTATTTCAGGGGGTGGAACATGGACCAGGAAGAGAGACAGGGATAATTAACTCTAAGAAGTTAACTACTCACTACTCCCCTTTACAGAAACCAACATTTTTTCTACCTGCTGCTGTGATGCAGACTACTATGTCTACTAACGCTTTCAGGAGAACTTTCTGCAATGATGGAAATGTTTTACAGTTTCCAAACTGGTAGCCACTACTCACAAGAGTTGACTGGGTTCTTGAAATGTAGTTAGTGTAAGTGAAGATAGAATTATAAAAAAAAATTTTAATTAATTTTAATTGTCACATGTGGCTACTGGCTACAACATTAGATAAAACAGTACTTCCACAGTCTTTCAAGACTCCACTGAAAATGCTGTCTCCTCTATAAAGCAGTCCCAGATCCTGCAGCTTAAAAGTTAAAACCTTTTCTTCTGGTATGCCACAGCAATTTAAATGTACACATAGATAAAATGCATGAAGTTGGCTCAGCATGCAAGGCAAACTTTTGGTCTAGCCAAGATAACTGTCTGGAACCCCTTATCAAGATAAACAGTAACTCTTAAGTCTAGCCCATTTTTCTCCCAAGCTGGAAACAAATTCCTGTTCATTCAGTTAAACAACAAATGCAGCAGGAAATTTACAGTTAAGCGCCATGGTGCAAGAAAAAAACATACACACACACATCTAAATATCCAATTGACAGCAGCAGAGGGAGATGTTGTTACTATGAGACGAACAAGGTTAATGAGACAATCTGCGAGAATAGAAGATTGATTTGCCCATATTCTAGTGCAAATATGGCATGGTATAGACAGAACCCATATAATGGCACCTGTCTCCCTCACTACTGTTTTCCTTTCTTGATTACCTACTTTCCTTCCTATCTACCTACTTCCTTTCCTACCTACTTCCCCTCCCCACCCCTTTGGTACACATCCTAGATATTTAAATTCATATAAGTTAAATGGAATTCTACTAAAATAGCACTTATCACTTTCTATTGTTCATTAGTTATTTATGCATAACCTTTCTGTCCTACTGAATTACTTATCTTTGATGCATATATCAATATAATTTACATTACAGTTATCAAATTTAAAAGCATTGCATCTAGTTATACCATTATTTATTCTTGGTTATAATAAAATTAAGGACTGGTTTGAAAGCAAGGGTACCAAATCAAAAGCTTTCAGTGACTAAGCAGTTAAAAAAACACACACAAAAAACTGGGGCCCATCTAATTGATAAGTGACAGCATTATCTACTTCCTGCTGATGGTGCCACATGGTAATAAGGCCTTAAGTTTTCAAGGGAAGTCAGAATCTCAGGTGATTATTTAAAACACAATTTATAAATGTTTCACTTATTTAATTGAAAGACCAAAAAAGATACTGAAGGTATCAAACAAATGCTTTCTGGTAAGATACTGCAAGGTACTGATTTCTGACCTCTGCCCAAATGGATAAGGGCTCTAGGCAAACTCGCTTGCATTCGACAACTTTTTTTTTTTTTTTTTTTGAGACAGAGTCTTGCTCTGTCGCCCAGGCTGAAGTGCAGTGGCGTGATCTCGGCTCACTGCAATCTCTGCCTCCAAGGTTCAAACAATTCTCCTGCCTCAGCCTCCTGAGTAGCTGGCATTACAGATGAGTGCCACCATGCCTGGCTAATTTTTGTATTTTTAGTAGAGACAGGGTTTCATCATGTTGGTGAGACTGGTCTCAAATTCCTGACCTCGTGATCCGCCCACCTCAGCCTCCCAAAGTGCTGGAATTAGAGGCGTGAGCCACTGCACCCCGCAACAACTCTTTACTGTGTTCCTAGCTAGGAATATTTTGGTGATCGAGACATTTGGTACTTGCTCTGTGAGAACTTAGTTTTGATAGGGCAAATAGATAATAAGCAAGGAAACAACTAATAAGATAATTTTAGATAGTCATAAAGGTTATACTTTAAGTACACCGTGTAATCCGAGCAACTCCAGAGGCTGAAGAAGGAGGACTACTTGAGCCCAGAAGTTCCTGTCTGGCCTGGGCAACACAGGGAGACCCTGTATTCAAACAATAAAATAAAGTAGAGCTATGTGATAAAAGAGTTATAGGCTCATTTAGATTAAGTGCTCGGGACAAATCAATCTTCCCCCTGGTTTTTCTCACACAAATGAAAGATAAAATTACCTGAGGGATGACTCAGGGTAAGGTCAGTGGTTGAGTCTATTTAACTTGCTCTGAGAATCAACGCATCTTCTTAGGCATACTAAATTCTATCTAAGAAAGTTACTGAACCTTTAAATAGATGGAAAAATCCTACTGAACTATAAAATAGAGTGCTCAGTTCTTCTAATTTTCTGCAATAGAGTAAAACATATTTGAAAATCTGAAACCCTAAATCTTTGATATACTCTTATAAACAATAGACTCAGAATGACCAGAAGCAAATTGAATCATCAAATGCATATGTCTATGAAATTTAATTGTCTAACCATATACCACAGTCATATTATATTAAATGGGATACTAAATTCACAGATTAGAAGGCTTATCGTTTCCTAGGCAAACTCAAGTAAAAGTCACAGTTTGACTTGCAGTTATACATTTTATAAAGGGTAACATAATAAATCACTCAAGGACACTTAAATTCTATGGGAATTCGCACCCACACACAAATTAAACTCTCGTAGTAGAATTTTATACTTAAGGTAAAATATATCATTTTCAATAAAAAGTAACTTAGAATATAGGCATCTTGGTTTTTCAGGGATGAGAGAACTATATTAAAAGAAAACAAAACTCAGATATCCATAAAAAATAAGTGTCTTGGCCGGGTATGGTGGCTCATGCCTGTAATCCCAGCACTTTGGGAGGCCGAGGCAGGTGGATCACTGAGGTCAGGAGTTCAAGACCAGCCTGGCAAACATGGCGAAACTCTGACCCTACTAAAAATACAAAAATTAGCTGGGCATGGTGGTACACAACTGTAATCCCAGCTACACAGGAGGCTGAGGTAGGAGAATCACATGAACCCGGGAGGTGGAGGCTACAGTGAGCCGAGATGGCGCCACTGCACTCCAGCCTGGGCGACAGAGCAAGACTCCATTTCAAAATAAAAATAGTAAGTGTCTTTAACATCACTTCTGACTTTTATGCTCCAGAAACATTAGACAAGATAATGGCTTGAACACAGCCTGGTAGGTTGTTGTCATAATTGTTCAGCAGTTACCCTTACATCTTTTTTCTTTTTCTTTTTTTTGGTTTGAGACAGTCTCACTCTGTCACCCAAGCTGGAGTACAGTGGCACAATCTCAGCTCACTGCAACCTCTGCCTCCCAGGCTCAAACGATTCTCCTGCCTCAGCCTCCTGAGTCTCTGGGATTACAGGCACCTGCCACCACGCCTGGCTAATTTTTGTATTTTTTTAGTAGAGACAGGGGTTTCACTATGTTGGCCAGGCTGGTCTCAAACTCCTGACCTAAGGTGTTTCACCCGCCTCGGCCTCCCAAAGTGCTGGGATTACAGGAGTGAGCCACCATGCCTGGCCTACCACTTACATCTTAAGTTGCTCTTAAAGTAATATTGCTAGATTCTCGTGGCCACTGAATTGATGCGCCTGAGGGAAAAGGAGAGACATACTAGATTTGTGAGCTGGGGCTTGAGCTAGGCATATGGCTTAGCCCCTGAAGCTCTTTGGGATTTGCTTGCCTGCAGACAGTGTGTGTTTTGGTATGCTGTCTTGGCCACATAGCAGCTAGACAGGCTCTCTCTTTGGGAGAGGACTGCAGCCACACTGCTTATGACTGGGTGTGGAAGCCTCATTAAGGAAAAAGCATTAGCATGCTCAATTGTCACAATCTTGCCACAGTCAAAACAGCTTTATCATAATTAAGCAGTGTGTGATCCCCATCATTCTTGTATCTCCCTCTCACTTGGTTCTGCCTTAACTGAAAAAAAATACTATAGGCTCTCGGAACCCCAACTGTAATGACCAATAAGTATACAACTGTAGAAAATCCTGCATCAACACTATAAACTAAGGAAGCACACCACCAAGATGCCAGAAACCTTGAGGAATTTCTCCTGTATATATTGAATATGGAACCTAATTTTAACAGACATGAAGAGTCGAAAAAACCAGACTCACTGCCAGAAAACTCCCCAGCATTGTGGGATGTAAATAAAAGGTGTTTGGCAAAATTCCACTAATGCATCTTAATTTGCAGGGCTGAGAGCTGGAAGTGCGGACAGGCCATGGAAGATGGGACGCACACTATTTAGCATAACTCAGAGCAGCTGTGCTAGAAGGCCCAACACACACACAGCCTCTTTTACAAGCAGAAAATCAGAAGTGTTCTAGGGCCTTTTCTTTCTGTCAAATGCTGAAGTATAAGAACGTGCATTAGACACAGCTATTGCACAAACCAGGTGTTACGATCAAAGCAAAAACACGGGCACTCCACATTAGGTCTGGCACTACAGATGCAACTGCAGAGGGAGTGACGGCAGACACAAACTCTTGTGCTGGATTCTGGGCAGCTCCATCTTCTGCTATGATTCCCTTCTAACTTCTAGCATCTTTCAACTGTAGTGTTGGTTTCTATCAATTAGCGCTCCTGTACAAGTTCTGAGAGGAGAAGCCCCTGGCTATCCTGTAGGACAGGGAGATAAACTGCTCTGAGCAGACCTCTTGATAGGTAAAGATGAGTAAGTAAGTTTAAAACACAAAGTAATATGGAGAAAAACAAACTTTTGAAACGAATTGTTTCAGGAAGCACATTCTTAAATTCACCTTTGTTTCTCTATGGAATAAGAGACACCACAGAATAGAATAGGATTTTGTAAAGGAGCAGGGGAGGATCACCTGAGGAGGGATCACTTTAAGGGGAGCTGGGTTTCTTTAAGGAAATGGTTTACTGAAGTTGAAAATTTCAGAATAGCAGAATTTCAATTTTCGTAAGAAGAAATAAACAATAGAACCAATCGTAGAAAACAAACTTCCTGTGTACCAAAGAAAAGACAAAAACAGATGAAGAAGGAGGAAAAGCTACGTATGGAGTAGAAAGATGAGAAACCAATATTCAGTAAAGGACAAAATTAATAAAAACTGACCAACATCCAGCCATATCCTAGGTCAACTTTTTTTTTTGTTTGAGACAGAGTCTCACTCCATGCCCAAGCTGGAGTGCAGTGGTGTGATCACAGCTCACTGCAGCCTCGACTTCCTGGGTCAAGTGATCCTCCCACCTCAGCCTCCCAAGTAGCTGGGATCACAGGTGTGTGCCACAACGCCCAGCTAATTTTATTTTTTATTTTTGTAAACACAGGATCTCACTATGTTGCCCACGCTGGTCTCAAATGCCTGGACTCAAGCAATCCTTAGCCTTGGCCTCTCAAAGTGCTGGGATTACAGGCATAAGCCACAGTGCCCATTCATACCCTAGTTCAACTTTAAAGTGTAAGAACTTAAGAAATAATCTCAAAAGCAGAAAAAAGAGAAATTAAAAAGCTACAAAGTATGGGGAGTAAAATCAGACTGGCTTCAAATCTTCCAAAAGGCAGCAATACTGTAATTCAAGAATTACATAACCACACAAGTTGTTCACTCATGATTTAAAATAGAGAACAGTGACAGGTATGAAGGAGCCCTCACATGTTTGTATGTAAAGACAGTATTCCTTCACATACAGAGCCAATACCAAGATGAAAAAAAAGCTATTGTCAATCCAATATGGTGAAACCCCATCTCTACTAAAAATACACACAAAAAAATTATCTGGGTGTGGTGGCGTGCACTTGTAGTCCCAGCTACTTGGGAGGCTGAGGCAGAAGAATTGCTTGAACCCGGGAGGCAGAGGTTGCAGTGAGCCGAGATCATGCCACCGCACTATAGTCTGTTGTCTGGGTGACAGAGCGAGACTCCGTCTCAAAATAAATAAATAAATAAATAAATAGAAGAATCAACAATGATACCAGAATTTCTAGATTGAGAGACTAGAAGAATAGTATTGCCTACAATGTAAGTGGGATTTTTATTCAAGGAGACTGACATGGTATACAGGGACAGTAATCTGAATATTTGGAATCTCTGCCATATTTGGCATTTTCGTCGGACTTGATCTAGAATAATCATCTTCATAAGATGTAGGCTAAAAAATGCAACTATGGAAGGGCAGATAAAACCCATTTGTTATTAATTGTGATTCCTCTAAGAAAGAGGAAGTGAAGTGAAGAAGCTAAGACAAAACAGTGTGCCTAGTGATCAATCATCAGGCAGATGTTTGTCAACTCTTCCAGGCTTTGGGAAGGATCATTTCAGGGGAGACCCTTAGTCAATACCATTTTCTTTCTTTGGGGCATTTAGTTGATGAAAAACAGGAACCTGGGAGAGACACAGTAACTTAGCTCATTGGAATTCTCCCTAGGAATGGAAGAATGTAGTCACAGATAAGAGTATGCCTTTGCTATGTTCCAGGAAGCCTACAGTGGAAAGTGCATAGCCCAAAGCGAGAAGGAGAGGGCCAAGTAAAATTTGAAGCATACTCTGCCCTGAGGTGATATTGAACATAGGTAGAAATTTGGAGCTTTTTAAGCATTAGCACTGAAAGCCCAGACACAGAGAAACTTCCAAGCCTTTAGGATCCAAAGCAGTCTTTTAACTGTGAAACTGTCATGGGATCCTAGACCAGCAGAGCCCGGGCCAGGACTGGAACCTGTTTTACCTTGGCTTAAAATGGCAATACACGTTTTGGGCCTCACCCCAAAGAAGCCGGGTATGGTCAGAAATAATGATGTTGAAACCCACTGAGTTCATGAACATTTTTCAGTGTTTCCAATGAAAACTCTTGTTTGATCATCTATCCCCAGCCCCTTTTAAAAAGTATTATCTTTTAATACATAGATTCTTCATTCCTTTTCTTCTTTTCTTTTTCTGACAAATACTTTTTGAGCCCCAGTGATATGACTGGGTGAGAGAATGATGAATATGATAGCAAGGTACCTGTTTTTTCTTTGTTTTTTTTTGTTTGTTTGTTTGTTTTGTTTTGTTTTGTTTTGTTTTTTCGAGATGGAGTTTCACTCTTGTTGCCAAAGCTAGAGTGCAATGGTGCAATCTTGGTTCACCTCAACCTCTGCCTTCTGGGTTCAAGTGATTCTCCTGCCTTAGCCTCCTGAGTAGCTGGGATTACAGACATGTGCCACCACACCCAGCTAATTTTGTATTTGTAGTAGAGACGGGGTTTCTTGATGTTGATCAGGCTGGTCTCAAACTCCCAACCTCAGGTGATCTGCCCGCCTCGGACTCCCAAAGTACTGGGATTACAGGCACGAGCTGCCGCGCCCGGCCAGCAAGGCACCTGTTTTTAGGGAGTCATTAGTCTGTTTGGGGGAAGGAGAGAAATTGAGAACACCCAACATACTATCTGACATAGACTAAACACTTGATACATATTTATTGAATGGATGATTGAGTAATATCATATAGAAAGGTGCTTTGAAATATGAAAGGAAATTAAATCTTGGGACCCCCAAACTCATTAAGCCAAAGGGAAATGTCAAGCTCGAGAACTGGGTCGCGCAAACCTGCCTCCCCATTTTTGGTTCCTAAATAATGTGGCTGCAAGATTAAAAGCTACATGCCTCCCCCATATTTTGCCCACAAGGAAATGCCTAGTGAGCTGCAAGATCTTTAAGGTGTTTCTGTTAAAATTTCACCATGGCAATGTAAATTGATAGCTTACCTTTACAGGTGCAGTCACCCCCCCGCCCACCAGACACAAATGAGTATCTGATTGTTCCCCTGCCCTGTTTTGTCTGTGTTGTCTTACGTAAAATGCAGATTCCCTGCATTTTTCCTCTGCCCTATTTGTCTATGTCATCTTATGTTAAAAAAAAAAAAAAATGCAGATTCACTGAGCCAAAGGCATGAATGAGTATTTTTCCCTACCCCCCTCTTACATGAAAATTGTGTACTTTTAAATATCTCACCCTTTCCCCTTTAAAATTGGAGCCCTCAAAATCATCTTCGGAGAAAGGCGTAGACCTGTCTCCCCGGCGTGGTGTCCTTAACTTTGGCAAATAAACCTCCTAAAATGATTGAGACTTGTCTCATCATTTTTCTCGATTGACAGAGCTTAAGGGCAAAATGTGGTCTTTTAATAAAGTATCTTTAAGCATTTATGCTCCTGTAAAAGATCCCTCCATTGATATATCTGTTGGATTTTGTGAGAGAGCAGAGGCAAAGTCATGTTTTCACTCTCTGCTGACTTTAACAGAAAGCCTCCATTAAAAAAAAGTGTATAGGCCAGGCATGGTGGCTCACACCTGTAATCCCAGCACTTTGGGAGGCCAAAGCAGGTGGATTACCTGAGGTCAGGAGTTCAAGACAAGCCTGGCCAACATAGCGAGACCCTGTCTCTACCAAAAATACAAAAATTATCTGGGTGTGGTGGTGCATGCCTGTAATCTCAGCTACTCTAGAGGTTGAGGCAGAAGAATAGCTTGAACCCGGGAGGCGGAGGTTGCAGTGACCCGAGATTGTGCCACTGCACTCCAGCCTGAGTGACACAATGAGACTCCATCTCAAAAAAAAGTGTGTATGTGTGTGTATATGTATATCTGTGTAGTTACCCATGTTTTCTGCTTTCCCATATTGATGTAAAGAATTATGCTAATAATTTTCCTAAAACTAAATGAATATTGCACCAGAGAATAAAACCAACATAAATACAGTATGATATATTAATATTCACCTAGAGTCTTCTTGCAAGTAGTTTATTTTTGTACCTGTATTCATGAGTGAGATTGGGCTGTGGTTTTCTTTTTTTAAGCTGTATTTTTCAGGATTATGCTAGCATCATAAAATGATTTGAGAAGCTATTACGTTCTCTGAAACATTTTCCATGACAAGAGTATTTGTCCCTTGGGTTTCTGCGAATTTATCTATGTAACCATATTAGCTTGGTTCTCTTTAAAAGGTACTTCATTGACAACTTTCTATTGTTTTTGTGGCTATTGATCTGTTTAGCTTTATTTTCCTTCTTAAGTCACGTTTTTCTTTTTCTTTGGAGAGTCATTCATATCTTTGAGTGGTTAGAATTTATTAGGATAAAACAGTGGACAATGTTTTCTTATAACTTGAAAAGCCTTTGACATATTTTTGTCTGTGTCTTCTTTTATTATCAAGTTCTTCAGTTTATTTACTTCTCTTTAAAAGACCAGAGCTGGGTATGAAACATTTTCTCAAGTTTTCAAAGGGTTATTGTTGTCAGGCTGTAGGCATCACAATCACTGGGGTGGTTGGTTTTAAGTGGACAGTCCTGGATAGCACTCTCCCCACTTGGGTCAGCACATTTTAATAATTCCCCTAAGTGACCTTTCAGTACAGGAAATTTTGAGAACTGATCTAGAGGGTTCTATTTTTTGTAACACTTTTTCTTGGATGTACTAATCTGTTAGTTCTACCATGTTACTTTCTGTCTTTCTGTCTTCTATTCAGTTTGTGGCTCAGATTTTATATCTTAATTATTTTTTTCTTGTTTTTTTTTTCTAGCTTCTATGCTTGAATATCTGTTTAACTTTGTCTGCTTTACAGTGTTTAGGGATGAAAGCATTTTATTTTAAATTTGTGTCTCAATATTACTTGGCATAAAATATAGTCACATTTAAAAAAACTAACTATTATACTACTTGGCACAAAATATTGTCACATCTTTAAAAAATTAATTAACTAATTATTTATAAATTACCCAGTCTCGGGTGTTTCTTCATAGCAGTATGAAAATGGACTAATACACTACCCATATATATTCTCTCACATAGTTTTATGCTTTTGATGGATTTTTCCTTTTTTAAGTTATTTGAGAGGAATGCATCTTTTTTTTGTTCCACTAATATCTACCTTAAATTTTTAAAAAACATAAACATGTATTTTCCTATTCATTAATTTGTTTTTATAAGAAAAAGTACATTGATATCCACTTTTAAAATTCACAGTATTTACTCAATTTTATTTCCTTTGATCACCATTCTCCCTGTGTTTTTATTTGGCATATTATGTTTCCTTTTATGTTTACATATTTCTCTACTCATTTTTTTATAAATTACTGGTACCGTTTGCATTCTCTTTTATGACAGGATTGACAATAGCCACTGCACCCAGCTGACTCTCTCTTCTTTATCTCTTATATTCTATCTCTAAAATATCATCAAAGGAAATAACTTGAATAACAGGGAGGTGGAAAAAGAGGTTAA
Organism: Homo sapiens; assembly: GCF_000001405.40. NCBI lineage: Eukaryota > Metazoa > Chordata > Mammalia > Primates > Hominidae > Homo > Homo sapiens. The sequence continues at coordinate 82,762,486 of NC_000012.12, read as the reverse complement.
GCGGCCACGGCATTCCTCTCAGGAAGAGAATTGTTTGGTGGCAAGGCTGGCATTATGTATACGGTAAACGACAGGATGCATTGGGAAAAGACACATAAATGGCTCTACAGTAGAACTGCACGAGCATTGGAGGGGTAGGGGATGAGTGAGTTAAGGAGGAGACATGATGCCCAGCAATGTGCCAGAAAACTGGTTCCAGATAGAGTAGAAGGAAACAGTCGGCCACGCGTGGTGGCTCACACCTGTAATCCCAGCACTTTGGGAGGCCGAGGTGGGTGGATCACGAGTTCAGGAGTTTGAGACCAGCCTGGCTAACATGGTGAAACCCCATCTCTACTAAAAAAATACAAAAATTAGCCTTGCTTGGTGGCATGTGCCTGTAATTCCAGTTACTCAGGAGGCTGAGGCAGGAGAATCACTTGAACCCAGGAGGCGGAGGTTGCAGTGAGCTGAGATCGCACCACTGCACCCCAGCCTGGGCAACAGAGCGTGACTTGGCCAAAAAAAAAAAAAAAAAAAGGAAAGGGAAAGGAAAGGAAAGAAAGAAGGAAGGAAGAAAGGAAAGAGAAAGAAAAAGAAAAAGAAAGAAAGAAAGAGAGAGAAAGAAAGAAAGAGAGAAAGAGAAACAGTCAATGAATATTTTCCAGAGTAGCAATAGCTAAGCGGCTGTAAGAAGATGAGATTTCTAAGGGTCTGTTTAAAGTTGTTGCTGGGTTGCACTGCAAACCCTTCACTGACAGAAAACCTTCATGAAATCTGGGTACACAGCACTAGCATTAATGGGACTCCTGGAAATAAAGAGGTCACTTCTGCCAAGCAGGGTTCCGGGGTGGAAAAGAGACACCATAAGGAGGAGATACAAAGTGTAAGAGTGATCAAGACCTCAGCAAAAACTTGTAGTAGGCAGTGGCTAAGAGAAATGTGAGTTTTGTGTGCACCCCTATAGATGGTAAGGCCATAGAGAATCCCACCACATGTGGGACAGGAATTTAAGCGAATACTCGCTTGAATCTGTGAGGACTGGATGGCCACGGGTGTGAATTGTATGAGTCTCCCTGATGAGCCATCTCCATCCCAACTGACACTGTACTCATCCCCACCCTCATTGCTCTGCAGTTTCTCTTATCTGACCAGCCACAAGTCTCTTAAGAACAAACCATTAGTAAACATCATAACATACCAGGCTGAATGGTAATAACGCATGTTATATCCATATCTCCTTTAACATTTAGTCCAATGAAAAAGGTACTTTGTTGTTTCAGAGTGAGAAAATGCAGACTCAGAAGCTAACAAACTTGATCAAGATCACACTGCTCCTGAGTAGCAAGAATAAAAACTGAAATCTGAGACTAAACCCCACACTCCTTACTGTTTTCTCTACTGCAGCAGTCCCCAACCTTTTTGGTACAAGGGACCAGTTTCATGGGAGACAATTTTTCCACAAGCTTGGGAGCACGGGATGGTTTCAGGATGATTCAAGTGCATTACATATATTGTGTACTTTATTATTATTACATTATAATATATAATAAAATAATTATACAATTCACCATAATGTATAATCAGTGGGAGTCCTGAGTCCTGAGCTTGTTTTCCTGCAACTAGATGGTTCCATCTGGGGGTGAGGGGAGACAATGACAGATGATCAGGCATTAGATTTTCATAACAAGTATGAAACCTAGATCCCTCACATGCGCAGTTCACAGCAGGGTTTGCACCCTATGAGAATCTAATGCCACCACTGATCTCACAGGAAGTGGAGCTCAGGGGGCAATACCAGCAATGGTGAGTGGCTGTAAATACAGATGAAGTTTCGCTGGCTCACCTGCCATTCACCTCCTGCTGTGTGGCCCAGTTTCTAACAGGCCATGGACCCATACTGGTCCATGACCTGGGGGTTAGGGACCCCTGCTTTACTGCATTCTCAAGCTAAAATGTCTCTTTCTCTGGAGAAATGCTTAGCTTCTAACTACAAATCTGCCACTGACAGCTTTCGAGAAAAAAAAAAAAAAAAAAAAAACCCTGGGCACAGTGCAAGCCAAATAAGCATAATTTTAGTAGACAATTTAATATTCTCCTAAAACTAAGAAAATATAATTCATTGAATAAAAACCTGAGGATACATACGCATTTTTGTTGTTGTTGTTTTGACACTGAGTATAAACAGAAAGACCTGGTCAAATGACTGTCAGAAAAAATTTCCAGGATGATGCTTAACCACAAAGGTCTGCCTAGAGATTCAACAAAATGAGAGCTTCTCAAAAGTGCTGATTACATATTTTAAAATAATAATACAAAAAAATAACCCCAATTATTTTCTTTATGTAAGTTAGTCATACTTCCCAAATTTACTTGGTTAGTTTATTAATCTAATCCTGAGACCCAACTTTGGACGAGGTGATAGTATAACTTGAATAACAAAGAAATTAAAACTAAGAAAAACACAAAACACAGGAAATAATCCAGCAGCACCACCCATTCATCAGTTAACAATTTGAGATACACGGTACTTCTGTAAAAATCAGGCTATCGAGGTAACCCAAACTTTGTCAAAATAACTATCGTTCACATTTGGCTTAAAGGAATAATACTAAAGATTTAAACATGTTCACATTTATCCAAATCACTTTAAACATTAACTCCTGGGTTTCTAACCCATAGGCATTAAACCATCCAAGTTGCCACTCGATAGATCTTTACAATTTATTTATCGTTTTACAAACTCGCCTTTGGGCTGTCATCTATAAAAGGGCATAGCCACTGTTTCTGACTAGAGCTCAGAAAAATTGTCAAGCATTTTTAACTTTTTACATTTCCAGCTTTTCATAAAGCAAGAGTCAAGTGCAGTTTTTAAAATTACTCTTATTAAAAGTTTATAAGGTAACAATCAAGTGCTGGAATTTTGCCAGAAGGAATGAGCTACAACTCAGTGCTTATGAATTAATCACATCAGAGAGTTACTAAAATGAGATCAAGACCTCAATGTTCCAGTGTATCCTCTTCACATAAAAGTGCTTTTGTATCATTCTTGGAAATTTTTCATAGAGAGAAAATAAACTGTTCAAAATTTGTAATTAGAATCTTATCTCTCTTTTAAGATACATTTTAAAGATGAGGGTAAATGTTCCTTTAAATTCTTATGACAGCTTCTTGGTCATTTTATGTAATGAAGTATTAACAAAAGCATGTGCAGGTATTGGGCAGGGTTCAAAACATTCTTGTTAAAAGGCTGTTTTAATACACACTAGAGCACTGAGACACATTCTCTTCATTTAAATGTTCAAAAGATGTGAACCAGATTTGCTTCCCAAAGCACAGTGCTTCAAACAACAGTGATGACAACAGTAATAGCAATCATTCACCTTGCCCAGCACTATATAATTGAAAATAATTTTCTAATTCACTTAATTGGCAGACAGCCGTGAGGCAAGTCTGATACTGTCATCTCTTTTTTTTTAACCAATGATGAAACTGATGCTCGGAAATTAAGGTCATATGAAGCTTGTGCAGTACAGCACCATACAGACACCAGTTCTTGACACTCAATCCGGTATGTTTTCCTTATGGCTACACTGCCTCCTACAGTGATATATTTATATGGTGCTGTGCATTTCTCAAATCAAATTCATATAAAATGTTTAACAAATCAGGTTCTCCCACTGGATAAATATTTACATCAAAAGGATAACTAAACTAAAATTATTTCATGATACCATTAGGATTTTAATTATTGTTAAAAGCTATTCTTATGCTAATGGTAATACAGTTTGAATTTAAACTGCTGTTTGAAAGGAAAATGATTCCACAGTTTTATTTGAGGATTAATGGAATTAATTATAGGTCATACATCTAACATTCTACACTACACTTACAAAATAAGTGCTTTTGTGAATAATTTTACAAAATTTATAATTCAGATTGATAACTCTAGATACAGGATCTATGCCTAGGAATGGAACTGCAGAAATGGCTTTAGAAGTGAATGCCAAGTTGTTCTTCAAAGTTTTATACCAACTTATCCTCATACCAGCAATACATAAGAAACTCCATGAATCCACACCATTTTTTGATATTGTGAGTCATATTGTAGAATGTTATACAGCAGTACAAATGAATAAAACAGAGCTACATACTACAACAAAGATAACTTTTTAAAACATTATATTGAGTTTTAAAAAGCAAATGACAGGAGGCTTCATAGAGATCAATAACATTTTTATAAAGCTCAAAACCATGCATATCTAAATAAAGGAATATACACATACAGGGTAAAACTACTTTTTAAAAAACTGGAGAATAAACACAGAATTCCAGATTTTCATAGTAGAGACAGAAATATGATATCTGGGAGAAGTATACAGATATTCAGGTTATTCATATTCTTTTATAAATATAAAATAAGGTAAAATTTATATTTCTTAAGTGATAACAGGACCACACAAATCTTACTTCATACAACTTACAGTAAAATCTGAACAAAAACACTGTTTCTGCCAAAAATAGTCAAGGGTTTTGATTTCCCAAGAGTCTCACGTAATCCTTTGATATTTCAATCAGACTCTTGAAGGGCTTCTCTTGTCATTATCTATGGTGATAATTGCCTGATCCAATCCTGCCATACCAATTTGCCTAGGGGTTTATATGTTAATGCAGATCTTACTGAGCCACTTTCCCTGACTTCATGGAATCCTGCATCCTTTGCAAGATGTAAAATCTGACTGTGCATTTTGCAATGCATTTGCATGTGGTTTTGAGATATTCACAGAAGACAGTAAAAGAATTATCAACACTTGATGCCAAAGAGTGGAAATGTTGGTAGCATTAAGCAGAGAGAAATATACAAATAAGGAGCAATTTGAAAATTCATTAATAAATATTTTCTTGTCTTCAAGAGTAACCTCATAACTGCAGAAATGGTGATAATAAGCACTGTACAGGCTGGATTCCCAAAATATAAAAAGTGTATTTCCTAACCTATATAAAGCCTCAGATTGCTCTTCAATGAACTCACCAAGAGGAACATAAATATCTACCAGTCCCTTAATGTTGCTATAAAGATAAACAAGATAAATTATATGAAAAACTCTTTGTAAGCATTCAAGTATATTTAATCAAATGTTAACGTTTTAAAGAGATTTCACTCATGAGCAAATTGCAAAAGAAAACAACTATACAAATGAAGCAATATTTATCTTGACTTAGAACCAGATGAACATAGCACAACAAATAACAGAGGAATGCTTCCTTAAGCCTCTCTCAAAGATCTCTGGAGGAGGCTCTCATTTGCTTCCTAATAGATTCCCAGTGGAATTATTTAAACTGCAAGCTCTACCACTAAGTCAAAAACAGGATCCACTTACTTTTCAGCTTCACAGGAACATTCTATTAAATAGAGTTAAAGCCATGTATACAGTGAAAGTCATGTCAAATCTGAGAATACCAGGGGTTTTTCACGTGTTGTCTTTTTATCCCTGGAAATCAGAGTTTGATTTCAGGAAAACCACCTGGAATAAGAAAATATAGAGGTTTAAGTACTTCTAAGATAGCAATATTTGTATTATTACCACTAGAGCACTGATTCAAATTCTCTTCACAGGAAGAAAAAGACCCTGGAGGCAAAGGGCTCCATTTGGGTGAACCCTACTATAGCTGTGTGATATTTGGAATCGTAGTTGCCCATCTGTATATACAGCCAGTAGGGCCATCACTTGCAGTACAGGGTGGATGTCTTCCAAAAAAAGTAAATGCTGCTAGGCCAAAATAAATAAATAAATACTATCAAAATCCACAAATGCCTCCACATTTGACAGAGTTGGTGATCATTTCTAAAGCATTCCTAAAAGCTAACTCTCTCCAGGTTCTCTATCTGTTTGCTTTGTTTATATCTAATCACTATTCAGGATACTCTGCTGATGCTAATTATTCAAAGGCAGGAAGGAGGTCTGTATATTCCTTTGTCCCATGCTGTGACCAAATCTGGAAGCAGTAATACCTGCCAACGCAGGGAGGCCACATCAGTAAGGTAAAACCCTCACGCAGCTTTACTGGCAGGATGATTGCTCCCAAGCACATCTAACCTCTCTTTTTGTAAAGAATATATGTAGGCTTTTCCCTTCAACTCTTTGAGACAGACTGTAATAACCCAGCTACTCTGCTAATCAAGGACATTATCTGTCCTTGGAGGTGTTTCATATACATGGAAAAATTTCAAATCATTATTGATAGGAGAAGAATTGTGAGACAAGGATTTTTTAAAATAATTTTACAAGCTTTTTAGTAAATAAAGAAAATATACTAAGTATCCAACTCAAGAAGTTAGAAAAACAAAGTAGAACATACCCAAATAAAAACTAAGGAGATAATCAACCTATGATTAGATAGTTTTACAGATAATTTTATGACATTCAAAGAACAGGTAACTACAAATTATTTAACAAAATACAAAAAGAAGAAATGTTCCTTCAACTTATTTTATGAGGTACTGTCACCCTGACTCCCAAACTAGACACAGGCATCTGATGTCACCTTTGAGCACAAATATCAGGGTTTTTTTTTCCTAGTACAGCATTTTATATTTAGTAATTTCTATTTTTATTATGATAAAAACCCCTATTTTATTTTTTAAGAAAAATACTAACAACAACCACCACAACAAAAATCAATGACATACATATAACAAAAGTTAGCTCTTGGGGTGAAAGCAGTTCCGACACTAAACTTACAAGGGTGTGTCAATCAGGTCTATTTCAGTTACAAGTGACAGAAATCCAACTCAAACTGGTTTACACAAAGCAGAAGAGTTCACTGGCTTGCCTAACTGATCAGGTATTCAGACTAGGTCCTCAGGATTCTGTATCTCCAGCTCCAAGCTCTGCCTTCCTCTCAAACGTGATGGTAGCAAAAGAACTACCACTAACACCGGTGATCTTGCTTATTATTGGCTAAAAAAACTCCAGAAGAAAAAGTAAAGTCTTCTTTTAAATAATTTCAACAAAAATGCCAGGAACTGAATTTCATTTGAACAATTTTGATTAATTAATCATCAGTTAGTCACTGTGGGCAGCAGATGAACCCCTTTTTGATTGCAGCATGGGTTGGGGTGTGAGCAGCCCCTCTTGAACTACATAGACAAAGAATATAGGAGGTTTCCCAAAGGAAATTCCAGACTATAAGAAGAAAATGGGAATTGATGCTGGAGAAGAACTAGCAACAGATAGACACCACAATCAGTTTCTTTGCAATATCTTAAAAGAACAAATAAGAAACAGACATCCTGAACAGCTCAACTCACCTGCTTGCCACCTCCTCTGTAATAAGGCTTCCAGTAATCAGAATTTAAATCACATTTCCCCACAACACTGATGAATTTGAAGAACTTTTCCCTCAAAGCAACTTCAAGTTGGAATGTTGGCATGTACTCCAAACACAATAGTATACAGATGAACTTTGATTGTAATCTCTATTTCAAGGAAGCTTTGATTGGTGAAAGCTGCTCAGATAGCACTTGGAAAATAATTATGCCTTGCATAACACCTTTTTCTGAGATGCTTTCTACAGTTCATTTAACCCATCCTCAAACATTTCTGTTCACAAGGAGATGAGTATGTTATACTGCACTTTGAGAAAATCAAATATAAAAAATTTCCAGGCCATGTAAATTCAGGGGTGCTTACCCACATTCCAAAATGATACACTACTGCATGAACTGCCTCAGCTGAAGTACCTTTTATTTATTTATTTTTATTTTTTTGAGATGAAGTCTTGCTCTGTCCCCCAGGCTGGAGGGTAGTGACACAATATCAGCTCACTGCAAACTCTGCCTCACAGGTTCAAGCGATTCTCCCACCTCAGCCCCCTAAGTAGCTGGGACTCCAGATGCCCAGCACCACACCTGGCCAATTTTTGTACCGTTTTAGTAGAGACAGGGTTTCACCATGTTGGGCAGGCTGGTCTCGAACTCCTGACCTCAAGTGATCCACCCGCCTCGGCCTACCAAAGTGCTGGGATTACAGGAATGAGCCAACACACCCGGCCTGAAGTACTTTTTAAAGGCAAGTACCTCTACTACAATCCAAATATTTAATTTAAAAAGTTTTGTTATATAAATAAATTAGCAGAACATAGCTATTATACTTCTTATAACACAAAGTTTCTAAGCCCCAAAACCCCATGGGTTTTTCTTTGTGTTTTGTTTTGTTTTTTAAAAAATAACAGTTTTCTTAACTCAGTGAATTAAACTATTGATATGAAAAATCAATGACAGTATTTCTAGAAGCCACTAAGAAAGGAGTACCTTCAAAAAAATACAATTACTCTTATTATAAGAAATGCCTTATTCCTGATCTTCTCTCAACTTCTTTCTGATAAACTAAAGGCAGAAATGTTAGTAGATATCATTTCTTTGGGGTATCTCCCAAGAAAGCATCTGGACTTTTGGGCATAAATCTCAATCTCCTGATTCTGGTGACATCTCTATTTGTCCCTTCACAGATTTAACTGTTGGATCCCAGAATGCCCCAATGCCTGGAAAAACGTGACCTACTAAGACTCCCTAGAGAATCCACTCAATGACAGCTCCAACTCCATCAATGTTTTCCAATTAATATAGTACGCTTTATTTTTACCTGTATTTCCTCAACCACTTTCATCACCATAAGACACAAGCTGACATCTGAAATCAATTAACTTTTGTATCAAAAACTAGAAATGCATTTTAGAAGATCCTTGAAAATTTAAACAGCTTTACACAATAATCAATTGGGCCTCCCAGAGAATTTAACTGTGCCTTTGGCAATCTCATGAGAGAGACCTAAATTTCACAAGTTATATCTAAACTTCTCATATCTTCTTTGAAAAAAGTCAGCTTCTGAAGTTTTCTTTTTTTATGACTTCCTTCCAGTTCAGCAAACAGAAGTGAATAACTGTCTTCCTAATCAGTTTTCTCCAGTTAAAACCATTAAGCCACCCAATACATAAAACATTGGTCAATATTAAAAACTTGCTGGTAATAAGCAAATTGTTATAACATTATATTTACTTTTAAAATTTAGCCCTCCACACAGTAAAACCACAGTGAGGAAACAGTTTAAAGAATGTTTACACATGGTCAGTCTCTTTTGCTAAAAAACCAGAAAACTTCTCCTCAAAAAAAAAAAAAAAAGCCATTATGTTTTCAGCTAGCATACTGGCATGACAATATGAAGACTGCAGAAATAAATTATTTTCTCCTTATATACGTCTATAAAATAGATTTTACACAGCTCACCTACGGAGAATGACCTGGCTCCTGAGGGTAGGAGGGCAAAAGTGATGAGTGGAAAAGATGAGCAGCTGAAAGGACCGCCTCATATATCTGGTATCTGCCTGAATGCTTCTTTAACAGAAAAGAAAAGCCACAAGGTCAACAGGGTATATATTTCTATCTTATTGGCTTAAGAGAGCCGCTCATTCAAAAAGATGATGAAAAGACCAAGAGAGAGAAATTCTCACTGTAGCAGCCCTCGAGAACAGCAGGAACAAGTGATCAAGGTGATTTTAGCCTAGGGGTCTAATAAAAGCAAGACAGTGACACCTGATGTTGGATATTTTAAAGCCAGCTGTGCTACTCCATGGCACAGCTGAGCAGGGATAAACAGAAGACAGAAGAGATGTGACTCAATGTGTTGCTAAACCTAGCTCCCTAAAAATCTTGATTATTTATGAAGTTCACTGTCCCTATTTAAAGCAAACCCCAAATACAGCACACATTTGTCTTTAAAGTTCTGCATCCTAGATGTTTACTCATGTCCACTAAGATACATGATGATGTTATGCAGCTATATAGGCCTATTTTAAGATTAATTTGCTGGAGGTGGTAGTTGGTCTTTATGAAGTCTCTAAGCCAATTTACCAAAAGAATCGCCACTCCCCAGTTTATGCTCCCAAGACTATAAACAGCGCCCCTATCGTCACTCAGGGTAACTCCAGCCCTAAGATTCTTTGTTTTGTTTTGTTTTGTTTTTGAGATGGAGTCTCGCTCTGTCGCCCAGGCTGGAGTGCAATGGCATGATCTCGGCTCACTGCAACCTCTGCCTCCCAAGTTCAAGTGATTCTCCTGCCTCAGCCTCCCAAGTAGCTGGGATTACAAGCGCCAGCCACCAGACCTGGCGAATTTTTTGTATTTTTAGTAGAGTCAGGGTTTTGCCATGTTGGCCAGGCTGGTCTCAAACTCCTGACCTCAGGTGATCTGCCCTCCTTGGCCTCCCAAAGTGCTGGGATTACAGGCGTGAGTCACCACCGCACCCAGCCTGAGAGTCTTATAAGCAACGAGAAAGCCTTCAGAAAAAAAAAAAAAAAAAAAGGAGCTTCCAATAAATATAAAAACATAGTTGACAGTCTATGGGGGAGAGGGATAATGTATCTATTTAACAACTATTTGGAAAGATGTTAAATACAGACTGCAAATTACTAATGGAATGGCATTTTTCCCATATAAAAATGTCAATGCGTTTAAACACCAATAGCCAATAATATTGGTCTGAATAAAGTACATGTTCACAATGATCGAGAGGCAGTGTAGACTGACACACTCCTTTTATAAATACTTTGGCATTTTGTTCATCCTTTAACACAAAACTGTTTAACTGGAACCATCCAAAATATGTAAATATGGAAAAAATATTTCAGATTCCACACAACATACAATTCCAGATACTTTTTCCACACTATTTTCCTTCTTTAAAAAGACTACAAACATTGAATGTATCAGAGAATCTTAATATTCACATACATTCATATGAATGTTAATATACTCACCTCCCATGAACCAGCAACATTACCATTATCCATGATTTCTTTATTAGCCATTGTAAACCTTAAAACCTTTCCCATTAAGTGACAATTTACAAATTTCAAAAATTTGAAGTTTCCAAAATAACTTTATATATTTTATTTTATTTTATTTTATTATTATTATACTTTAAGTTTTAGTATACATGTGCACCATGTGCAGGTTTGTTACATATGTATACATGTGCCATGCTGGTGTGCTGCACCCATTAACTCGTCATTTAGCATTAGGTATATCTCCTAATGCTATCCCTCCCCCGTCCCTCCACCCCACAACAGTTCCCAGAGTGTGATGCTCCCCTTCCTGTGTCCATGTCTTCTCATTGTTCAATTCCCACCTATGAGTGAGAATATGCGGTGTTTGGTTTTTTGTCCTTGTGATAGTTTACTGAGAATGATAATTTCCAATTTCATCCACGTCCCTACAAAGGACATGAACTCATCATTTTTTATAGCTGCATAGTATTCCATTGTGTATATGTGCCACATTTTCTTAATCCAGTCTATCATTGTTGGACATTTGGGTTGGTTCCAAGTCTTTGCTATTGTGTATATATTTAATTTTAGAAACCTAGTTTAACACATCATTCTGCCTCAGAATTCAACATTATCCCAGAAATTTGTTAACAAAGAAAAAATAACTCTCATAACACAAAGATAAAGGTTGCAGGCTCTGAAGTCACGCTTGCCTGGGTGTAATTCCCAGCTTCATCACTTGAACTTGGGCAAGTTATTTAACTTTTCTTAACAGTTTCCTCGTTCAAAAAAAACTGGAATTTGTTCAATCAATAACTATTTACTAAGCACCTATCCTGCAATAGGTATTATACTAAATGCTCTCCCAGAATTTAGCCCAGAAGAAGAAAAAGTCATAACACTCATACAGCTTATATTCTAGTGGGATATTTCAGAAGACTTTGGGGAGGAATTAGAAAAATAATACCTATAAAGCACTTTGTATAGTGTCTGAAACAAGGAGAGACAATAGACATAAAGTCAGGATTAATAATAATATCTCACAGGACTGACGATAGCTATTATTATCTCACAGCACTGTGAAAATTAAATAAGCCAGTTCATACAAAGCACTTACCGTTAGGTTTTTAAAAAAACCTCTCTACATATCAGCTATTATCATAAAATAATCAACTTGATTATTTCTGATGCAATCTCTATCCCCTGGAGGTACTGGGTGCGGAGAACAGAGTGCAGAATGCCAATTGCCAACAAGATCCTCTAAGCCCCTAAAGAAATGCCAAACCTGAGGTCACTTCTCAAAAACATGAGGAAAAGACATCCAGGGCCATCTCTTCTCTTCATCTTAAACAAGCATGCTAGTTTCTATAGAAAGCTGCTTGATATGGCCAGCATTGTAGAAAGTATTTAAAATCAATCATTCTTTGTATTAAAAAAAAAAAGATTAAACTTTTAGAGTTCAGTGGTATAAAACAAAAGAGGAACTTCAAAATTTGAATGAAATACAATTAAAGGAATGAGAAAAAAAACTACAAATAAGTATGTAGTGAGCCATCACAGAAATATCCGAATTGGCTACTGTATGTTTTTCTGTGAGAACCCTTCTCTTCCATCTTCAAAACAGGATTGAAAAACAAAGTTTCATGGGCCGGGAACAGTGGCTCATGCCTGGAATCCCAGCACTTTGGGTGGCCGAGGCAGGTGGATCACCTGAGGTCAGGAGTTCAAGACCAGCCTGACCAACATGGTGAAAGCCCACCTCCACGAAAAATGTAAAAATTATGCGGGCGTGGTGGTGCATGCCTGTAATCCCAGCTACCTGGGAAGCAGAGGCAGGAGAATTGCTTGAACCCGGGAGGCGGAGGTTGCAGTGAGCTGAGATGGCACCACTGCACTCCAGCCTAGGCAACAAAGCGAGACTCCGCCTCAAAAAAAAAAAAAAAAGAAAGAAAGAAAGAAAGAAAAACAAACAGTTTCTATCTGTTAACACAATCTTTACCCTTGTTCCTGAAGCACTAGCATTGCTACTGCTTATATCTGCTCTGAGGAGCCACAGAACAAGTAAGGCTGCAAGAGACCAAGAGAATAGGAGCCCACCTGGACCAATAGGGATGAAGACATTCAGTTCTTTGTGCTGAGGCTGTGTCTCACAATCACAGTACAGCTTTTATACCAAATTAAAAAAAAACAAAAAAGCATCAAATCTACAAAGTGGAGCTGTGTCCAGATTTTTAAACTCAGGTGAGAGACACCAAGCAAGTAAAAAAATTGTTTGCTTCCCATGTCTCCCATGAGAATGTAAGTCTACGAGGGCAAGGATTTTGTTTTCTCATAGTGTAAATACAAATGTGTGAGTATTAGTTTCTAAAGTAGAAGCAGTCTAAATTAAAAGAGTTTAGCATACTCAGGAGAAGCCAGTGTGATTCTGGGTAACGTGTGTCCCCAAGGCAGGAAAAGAAGGTTATAAAAACAGAGAACCACCCACTTTAACTCCTCCAGTTGTCAGCAAACATACTCTGAGCCACCGTCAAAGAGGTGCTATGCACATATTTGACGTGAAATAAGCAAAGGATAAGATTCACTGGGGAATTCTATTTATTGGGGTCAAGTAAAACAAGAAGCTACACTTATTCATCAAACCTGAACATATCATTTAACTACCACTAAAAACATTTTAAGAGACAAACAATGCGTAGCACAAACTATGTATTAGGTTTATATATAAGAAGCTTACCCACATATATATAGAGATACACATACATATATACACATACATACGTGTGTGTGTATGTGTGTGATTCTTTTTGTGATGGAGTTTTGCTCTTGTTGCCCAGGCTGGTGTGCAATGGCACGATCTTGGCTCACTGCAACCTCTGCCTCCCAGGTTCAAGCGATTCTCCTGCCTCAGCCTCACAAGTAGCTGGGATTACAGGCATGCACCACCACACCCTGCTAATTTTTTGTATTTTTAGTAGAGATGGGGTTTCACCATGTTGATCAGGCTGGTCTTGAACTTCTGACCTCAGGTGATCCACCCGCCTTGGCCTCCCAAAGTGCTGGGATTACAGGTGTGAGCCACCGAGTCTGGCCCCCACTAATGTATTTAATCCACTCAGTTCATTTGCTTAGGGAGTACCTCTTATGTGACAGGTATAAAGTTAATACTATTAGTCTCCATGTTACACGTGAAGAAACTGGAGTCTGAAGAGATTAAGTAATTTGTACACCATCATACCATTAGTAAGTTGCCAAGCTGGGATTCAATTCCCTCCAAAGCGCATACTGTATTTAACTACCTACCAGAAGAGATGGGATACTCACTCCAGTCATGCCAACATTGCTCCAAAATGACTTCTAAACTTTTTTTTTTTCTTTGAGACAGTCACACTCTGTCGCCCACGCTGGAGTGCAGTGGTGTGATCTCGGCTCACTGCAACCTCCACCTCCTGGGTACAAGCAATTCTCCTGCTTCAGCCTCCTGAGTAGCTGGGACTACAGGTGCGTGCCACCACACCTGGCTAATTTTTTTGTGTTTTTAGGAAAGACAGGGTTTCACCCTGTTAGCCAGGATGGTCTCAATCTCCTGACCGCGTGATCCACCCGCCTCAGCCTCCCAAAGTGCTGGGATCACAGGCGTGAGCCACCGCGTCTGGCCTAAACTTTTTTTAAAAACTACGGTTAATTAGATTGAATTTAGAAAACAAATAAGAAAGTCCAACTTAATACTTAACACCAGTATTTTCTTTTGGTTATATTACCTAGCCCAATTTTCTTATATACTAGCCCAACTGGTGTTTATTATATTATTCAGGATGATCACCAAATCTGATTCTTCATATTAGAACTATCTACAAGCTACTGGAAACAATATCATATTAATCCTCCCAATCAAATAGTTGCTAAAAAGAAAGTGCTAAACGTATTTAAGTAAAAAAGCTACTCCCATGATATGCCAAATAATAGCAACATCATTAGAAGAATTCAGCAGTGGGTCGATATTGTTAGAAGGAACAATACTCCATTGAAGGTATGAATGCTTCTATATTGCCTAACGAGTAAGTCAAAGCAATGCACTCAATTCCATGCTCTAAAATCTTTAGACAAAAAATAATAATGCTTTCCTGAAATTACCTTTTTCTTCCATTTCTTTCCTTCATTACACTTGGCATTATGACAGAGAAATTACCATTATTTAGCTTTTTTACACTTTGGTTCCAATTTAAAGCTGGAAGTCATTATGCACCATAGTAAGATACAGTTAAAAAAATGCTGAACCTTGAATCAGGAGACAAGCTTCTATCCCAGCTCTGCCACTAGCCAGATCTAAAATCTTGGATAAAACCTTAACTTCTCTGAACTTCTATTTTCTCATGTATAAAATGAAGATATTTGTAGTAAATTTAAAATCCTGTTAATATTATCTAAACCTTTTCTTTTTGGTCCTGAAAACTGAAATTAATTAGCACCTCTCATATATCCTGGTATAAAGGAAATGATCACTCTGTGTGTGTTTATTAGTTTGCCATTGTTGTATAACAAGTCACCACAATGGTAGAGGCTTAGGACAAAACAAACTCACTGGCTCACAGTTCTGTAGGTCAGAAACTCAGCAATAACTCAGGTGGGTTCTCTTGCTTAGAGCCCCATCAAGCCAAAATCAAGGTAATGGCCAGACTGGGCTCTTATCTGGAAGCTTTAAGGAAGAATCTACTTCCATGATCATTCAAGTTGTTGGACAAATTCCATTTCCTTGCTATTCCAAGACTGATGTCCTTATTTCCTTACTGGCTGCCATCCAGGAGCCACTGTCAGCTTCTAGAGGCTGTGCACATTCCTTTTCATTTGGCCCTCCTCTGTCTTCAAACTGGCAATAGCAGAGTGAGTAGAGTCCTTCTCAGGCTTTGCATATCGCTGGCTTCCTGTTCTGCCGTTGCTAGAGAAAACTCTCTGAATGGTTTGCTTATCCATCTGGGTCATGCCCATTTGGACAATCACCATATCTTAAGGCCAACTGATTTGGGACTTTAATTACATCTACGAAGTCCCTTTGCAATAGGGCCTGGATTCAGGTTTGAATAGCCAGGGGACAGGACCCTAGCTTCTCTTCTTTAGAATTCTGCCTACAATGTGTTTTGGAGGCAGATGGGGGGCAGAGAAAGGAAGGTTCATGTGGGTGTATGTCCCTCACAAAGCTCAAAGCCATAGTCTTCTTTGTACCCCATTATACACACGAGTGCTGAAATATGATGCATCCCATAAATATGTGTTCAATTAAATGAAATACTTCCCAGTAGACAAAAACATGCACAGTGCCAAATACTACTATTAATTGAGCCCTGGCACTCAAGATAAAAATGAAATATATACCTAACTCAAAGGACATGCTTTATTAGACCTATGGACAAGATGTTGATGTTAGTTGTCTCAATACAAAAATGCCAGAGGCAAATCAAAAGCTGAATAAGTGAGCAAATGGGCAAAAATATTTCTTGAATATACATGCAGTTCTTAGTATTCTAGTGTCCAGTAACAGCTATGAAAGCTCTTTGTATCACTGAATAATTCTAAGACAAATGAAGGCCTCTATATAAAAATTCTTAAATGTATTCCATAATGCTTTCACTCTCACAATAAGGCAAACAATGCTCTCTCCAGCCAGGACCAATAGGCCTGACAATTTAGGATCAGCACCTTCAAGAGTGCTGATAAGCAAACAAACTGCCCACGTAAAAAGCAGGATAAAAGAACAAATCGTTCTGCCACAGTTCCTAATTCTGAAGTCTCAATCATTTTGCAGTACTTCTTGAATTTAAGAAAAAGGGGAGGGGTGTTAGAAACGTGCATTATATTCCTCGATGCTCTGAATTAAGTCACCACATTAATACCAATTCAAATAATTTATTCTTTAGCAGCTATTTGCCTGCTCTGTATCTCATAAAAGCACAATGGTATTTTTTTGAAAGCATAAATAATCCTGTTCTATTGCAGGCTGATGTGACACCTGCATAAAGACAATTAATTCTCATCTTCCACTATTATCTATTTGTCCATTACCAAAGGGTAAGTGGTGTTTTCTCTAGGCTCTTGTCTGCTAATGTACAATGTTTACTGGTAATGAACATTTTAAGCTACTGAACAGGAGCTTCGAAAGAACATGAAATTAGTTAAACATACATCACAACACTGTGGCATTTACAACAGGCTCCCATGGATAACAAAACTTCACTTAGGACACTCTAGTTCTGTTCAGTCAACACATTTCAAATACCACTAAAGAGATCACTACCTGTAAAGAACCTCAGCTGATCTAATTTAACTTTATCTTGTAACACAGGGGAGTTACAGCATTCTTTGTGACAGTTGTCTTTTCAGACACTACAAAAGGTTTTCTACAACAACTGTTATCTGTCCATCTCCAGAACAGCCAGATACAATGTAATCATCATGTGATGTACGTCCTGAACTGCTTTAATTTGGGGTTGCCTGAGTTCTGCTTGAGGAATGAAAAAATTAAAGGGCACACACACGAAGAGAAGGGAAAATAAATCCCTGTTGTGTCTTTCAAGATGCTAACTCGTGCCTTATTCTGCTTTTTTCCTTCCAGCAATAAAACAAGGATTTATATTCTGAGGAGTTCTTCAATCCAGACCTGAAATAGCAATATCTTTTGTATACATTCTTTGACAACAAAGAAAAGCCAATAAGCATCAAAATCCTCCCCCCAAATAAAACTATAAACTTCCCTTCAGAAATTAAGTTAGTAGTTTCATTAACTTGAAAAGTTATTTTCTGAAAGATACATGTAGAGGGCTTTTTCAGACTGAAGTTTCCATAGGGAAAGTAGCTATTTAAGCTGTTGCTTACTATGTATGTGGGATACTGTTGGTTGTCTGCAGCAACCTTCTGCTAGCCCCTGCCAGAGGCAACTTTTAGAGAGGGGTCAACACGTGACATAATTCCATGCAAAGAAATCTAAGTGGAGGGTTTCTGGCCAGAGTTCCATAAAACTTTATGTTATTTCTATAAATAAAAATATTTTTAAAATAACTGGCAGATGTGTCCCTGTCCACCCCTTGCTGCCTTCACTCTTTTTTTTTTTTTTAGAGTCAGAGTCTCTGTCGCCCAGGCTGGAGTGCAGTGGTATAATCACAGCCCACTGCAGCCCTGAACTTGTGATCCTCTGCTTCAGCCCCTCAGTTATGTCTTGGCACATAGCTAGGACAACAGCTGTGTGCCACCATGCCCAGCTAATGTTTTTTGTTTGAGACAGTCTCGCTCTGTCAACCGGGCTGAAGTGCAGTGGCACAATCTTGGCTCACTGCAACCTCTGCCTCCCAGGTTCAAGCGATTCTCCTGCCTCAGCCTCCCGAGTAGCTGGGACTACGGCATGTGCCACTACGCCCAGCTAATTTTTGTACTTTTAATAGAGATGGGGTTTCACCATGTTGGTTGGCGAGAATGGTCTCAATCTCTTCACCTCACAATCCGCCCGCCTCGGCCTCCCAAAGTGCTGGGATTACAGGCATGAGCCACCGTGCCCGGCTGCTAATTTTTAAAAATATATATTTTAGAGACTTTTCTTGGGGTCTCGTTTTGTTACGCAGGCCAGTCTTAAACTCCTGGCTTCGAGCGATCCTCCCGCCTGGCCTCCCAGAGCACAGGGATTAAAGGTGCGAGCAACCATGCCCAGCACCCCCCTCCTTTCTGACCAAAACCTGTACCTGACATTTAGAAATATAGCAACCAACCATCATACAAAAATTAAAACATAGAAAAACTATAGAAAACAATGAGAAACAATGCAAAATATAATACATCCCTGGAATAGATAAGTCACGATGCATTAGGACAACAGAGTCATATTTTCTGTAGTATTAAGGGAGCTAAAAGAAAGAGCAGATTAGTTTAAAATAAAGCTATCAGAAAGGCATTTATTTGTTAAACAGGGCTTGCATTAGATTTGAAAGGATAGGTAGTAATTAAATAACCAAAGTGGAGGAAGAAGGGCACTCAAAAAATTATAGTATAAAAGCCAAATCTGAGAACCAAGATCAAAATTGGACATGGAATGTTTAGGAAAGTAACACCACCAGCCTGGTTGAAAGGGAAGGTGGGTTGTGGGAAACAATGAAAAGGAATAATAATATTAATAATAAATTATTTATTGAGTACTTGGCAGTTCTTGTCTAACATGGTACTAAAAGCCATATATCTGCTTTTTCTTTTTTTTTTTTTTTGAGACGGAGTCTCGCTCTGTAGCCCAGGTTGGAGTGCAGTTGTGTGATATTGGCTCACTGCAACCTCTGCCTCCTGGGTCCCAGTTTAAGCAATTCTCCTGCCTCAGCCTACCGAGTAGCTATGATTACAGGAACGCACCACCATTCCCAGCTAATTTTTGTATTTTTAGTAGAGATGGGGTTTCACCATGTTAGCCAGGCTGGTCTTGAACTCCTGACCTCGTGATCCACCCACCTCGGCCTCCCAAAGTGCTGGGATTATGGGCCTGAGCCACTGCGCCCAGCTACATCTGCTTTTTCATTTAAATCTTCATAATTGTGTGATACAGGTATTATTATCCTCATTTACCAAAAGGTAAATCAATGCTCAGAAAATAAGTAACAAGGTCTACAGCCACACAGCTACTATTGCAACTGCAGAAAAAATTTCCTAACAAAGACAGCAAATAAGATAAACACAATGAAAACTGTCACAGAAAGGCAACTGTCTACGTAGAAAACAATCATGATGCACTAGAGTGGCTAAAAACTTGAGTTAATGAAATCATATGACCTTGGTGAAATGGTGAAGTGGTGTTAATAAAAATGGACTCGATCTAGGGAATGAAGAATATACAGGATATAGCTGGAAGCGGAGGCTCACGCCTGTAATCCCAGCACTTCGGGCGGCTGAGGCAGGCAGATCACCTGAGGTCAGGAGTTCGAGACCAGCCTGGGCAACATGGTGAAACCCTGTCTCTACTAAAAATACAAAAAAAAATTAGCCTGGCATGATGGCAGGCGCCTATAATCCCAGCTACTAGGGAGGCTGAGGCAGGAGAATCACTTGAACCCGAGAGGCGGAGGTTGTGGTGAGCCGAGAATGCGCCATTGCACTACAGCCTGGGCGACAAGAGTGAAACTCCACCTTAAAAAAAAAAAAAAAGAATATACAGGATATAGTGGGAAGTCATCTCGTTTAGACAGCAACTACTAAATTCTTATTTACTCTCATTTGAACACTATACAGTTACTACCTGTTCCTAGCTACCATATAGTGGTGGCATATAATGTAAATGTTGTAGACAACACGGCATTTTTTTTTTTTAAACTTCTTCATTTAGGCCCCTTTGTCATTTGGGTCTCTTAGCTTAGCTCCGAGGCTAAAGACATAAAAAAGAATGGCATGACCTAGGGAAAGTTTCAGGAAGAAATACATGAAGACATGCCTCTGTTTGTCTTGAAGGATTTGGGTCATAAGGATGCAGACACAGGAGGGTCTCGAGGTCACATTCCATGGTACTCCAGTAAATAAGTAGGGATGCGCCTTAGGAGAAGCCCCAAAGCATTAGGGCACTGACAACTATCCTGGGCCATACTAGGCCTCCACATGGTACGCAGTGGACCTAGAATTTTTATGGGCTCCAGTAGGGGACATTCACGCTGAAACATATACATGATGACTGGGAGAAGGGCACTGGGATGCAAACAAGAGATGTGTCCAGATTTCCTCAACAGAAAAACCAGAACTCCTTGCATCTTGGTCATTGCTCTTCTTGATCACTGTAATACCAGTAATACCAGCCACAGGAACAAATAAGAATCCCAAGGACTCCACATAGGTCTAAGGACCATTCTTCCCCACTACCCAGTGTCCCACTTCCTCCCCCATATACATGACATCTTAAAGGAGAGCAGACAGGAAGATAAACACTACAGCCTCCACACTTTACATCAAATTACGATTTAAATCATGTCATGGATGAAATTTCTTCTATTTGATTACACATTGGTTTCCTTCACTACTATCTAGCAGGTAAAGAAGGTCAGATTGGTAAATTGAAAAGCTAAAAAGCACCAGCTGCGTGTGGTGGCTCACGCCTGTAATCCCAGCACTTTGGGAGGCTAAGGTGGGCTGATCATGAGGTCAGGAGTTCAAGACCAGCCTGACCAACATGGTAAAACCCCATCTCTACTAAAAATACAAAACTTAGCCAGGCGTGGTGGCGCGTGCCTGTAGTCCCAGCTACTCAGGAGGCTAAGGCAGGAGAACTGCTTGTAGCTGGGAGGTGGAGGTTGCACTGAGTCAAGATCACGCCACTGCACTCCAGCCTGGGCAACAGAGCAAGATTCCGTCTAAAAAAAGCTAAAAAGCTCCGACTTTTTCTCTACATCTGAGCTGTGGGAAACAGTCAAGTATTTAACAACAACAACAAAAAACAAACAAACAAACCACCTCAGGAAAGCACTCTTGGGATGAAATACAAATAAACAACTTTTATATTGAAAAGTATGTGTAACTACATACTAAAATAAGAGTTTAGGCTTAGGCCTCAGGAGATGAGTGTCAGACTCACAGGGAAGTGCAAACCAAAATGCAAATTTCAAAGTGGGTATCACTAAAGTACATGACCCCTTGTTGATATAGTGGGTATACAAGTGACAGGTAATAAAGGCTGAGGAGCGCTGGGGTAAGAGTGCCACCTCCTTCACATCAAGACAGAGAAAGCTCAAGGCCATGTCAAGAGCTGGCTATGTTGTGCTCGAGTTTGGAAGACACCTTTTTCTGGCGTCTCTAACCTGAGAAATACCAGATTGCTCGGGCAGCATGAAAGAGGCCTTTTAGCTTCCCCTTCTGAGAGCAGGTCAAAGAAAGGTAGGCAACTGTTCTCCATGGACTCACAGACTTGGCAGAAAGAAGAGCCGGTATGGAGCCATTGTGAATCCTTCCTGAGAGGGAGGGTCACAGATAGAGAAAGTCTGTGGCACAGACAACCAAAAAACCAAGGGCTGAGGGGAAACTGTTAGCCAGAGGGAAAGGCAAAATACTTCAGGCGAGCTGTGGTTAGAGAATCCCAGCAGGGAAGGTTCTAATGAATTCGAGACACACCCATAAGAAAATGAGTCAGCTCTGAATATGTGCTAGGATCAGAGTACATAACATCAGTTTAAATCCACAACACACACAGACCTTCCCTGCGGATCCTTCACACCATTCTTACATCTCTGAAGAGTCCATGTCAGGAGCCAGTAAATGGAAGAAAAAATGACCAGGAGGAAATAAGTAGCCATTAGATAGTCTGTTCCAAGAGGCAGGGATTTATCTGTTTTGTCACTTGCTGTATTGTTTCCCAGCCTAGAACAATGCCTGCTACATAGTAGCTGTTCAATAAATATTTGCTCAACAAATGAAAACCTATCACACCCCACTTTTCCAGAATGCAGATTCCCTTCTATAGCAAGGTACACCAGAGGCAAAGATTTATTTCCCAAATGAGACTGTATTTGTAATTTAAAGGGATTATAAGGATTTCTAGTAACAGAAAAATCAGAGGATCTGCTAGAATTTTCATTAACAGCAGAGGATAAACTTTCCCATCTGAATATATATTCAATTGATAGTAGGAAGTGCAATTTAAATTTGCATTTTCCTTTCATCCATTACATGTATATGTTCAAACATACTGACTACTACCCAGAGTATGGTTTGCAAAGCAATTTACCATACATGTTCCATTTCATCTTTATAACAATCACACTTTCATAGTTTAAGAAACTAGGACTTATGGAGTAGTAAACAACAATACTGGTTCTACAATACTGGTTCTATAGTCAACTCTAGAATACTCTGTTTTCCTCTAAATTTTTATCTGAAAGTCTTCCTGGGTTCCTATCTAGTATGTTCTACCCACATAAAGATAGATAAACTTGGACGCTTGCCTTAATTACAACCCAGCTATTCCTAACAGATGGCCTTTTCTTTCATTACTCAACTCACTTAGACGTCTGGTTTATTGACCAATGATTGTAAAATGTCTTATAGAAATAAATAGAAATAAAAATAAATAGAAATTCCAAAAAGTGACTTAAACATGATGGAATTTCATCAATCTACATAAATATATAGTCCAGTGTTAGAAATGGCAAGTCCTAATTATAAGGCACCCATACTCCATCTACCTTGTTGCTCTGCTGTATTTAACTCATGGCATCTGCTTTTTGGCCCATCTAGGTACAGCCATCATATTGGCATTTCAGGCAGTGGGAAACAGGAAAAGAAACAACAGCAATCAAGTTACACATATCTCTTCTCCACCCAGAACTAAATCATATGGCCACACCTGCTCACAAAGATGCTGGAAAATCTGAGCTCTTATACAGGTTAGAGATGTGTCTTATTCAACTTCAAGTTTCCAACACATTTTCTGGCACTGTTTAAAATGTTTGGCAGTATGATATTTACAATCACTGCCATATTCATTCATAGAATAAGCATGTATCAAACATATTTCTATGTATCCTCTTTTTTTTTTTTTTTTTAAGACAGAGTCTCACTCTGTCGCCCAGGCTAGAGTGCAGTGGCATGATCTCACCTCACTGCAACCTCTACCTCCCACGTTCAAGTGATTCTCCTGCCTCAGCCTCCCGAGTAGCTGGGATTACAGGTGTGCGCCACCACACCTGGCTAATTTTTGCATTTTTAGTAGAGATAGGCTTTCATCCTGTTGGCCAGGCTGGTCTCGAACTCCTGACCTCAAGTGATCCACCTACCTTGGCCTCCCAAAGTGCTGGGATTACAAACGTGAGCCATCACACCCAGCCATGTATCATTTTTCATTAACTAGAAAGAAGAATTATTAAATAACATTTTACTAATTTTTTTCATCACTGATAAAAATGACTATGGTTGACATTAAAATAACTAATAATTATACTTGGTTCTGGTTTGACACTATTGCCTCAAAATTTTTAAATATTTGGTGGCAAACAATTTAGAATTCTCATTCCATATGAATGACAGCATTTTTAACTATCACGTTTTCTTACTAGTTCAAAGACAATTTATTCCAAGTGATTCAGAGGAGAACATTTCCTGTTCTTAACCTCATACACAGCACTTAACACCTGAATACTACTATAAAACCAAAATGAACACGTGAGCCAACCTTATTTGTGTCTCTTTAAGGTATAAGTAACTATTAAACTCTTGGTGCATTCATTTAGAATGTAAATATCCCTGTCACTCAGTAAGTGATCATAAAATTTAAAAGGCACTAGATCACTCTTCTTGCATAATCAAAATAATAAGAAATGTCCTAATAAGCTAACTAGAAGGAAAAGAGGTCTGATCAAGTAGCTGAAACTACAGGATAAAAATCAATCCTCCATGACATCCCCAATTCATCATCAGTAAAGATAGATGCACTTTTATGAACAATGAAGATAAAATATACATTGGTGCCCTGGCATAGTCATTTAAGGGAGCACTTAATTTCTGCCATTGGTCCTTTTCAAGCTTGCAAATGAACAGAATAAAAAAATTACCTAATTATACTAGACCAAAGGACTTATACTATCTTGTTTACCTTGGAACAACTGGAAATTTCTAAGGGAGACAACAATAAAAATACCATAGCAACTCAATGCTGCCCAGTAAATTACTAATGAGAAAGTTGAGAGAGAATTTAGTTTTTTTGCCACCCCAATGGACTCTCTTCCCTTCTCCCAACATACATTTATTATTCCATATCACTGCCCAAAAAGCTTTCTTTAGAATGTGGTCCTTGGAAGAATAACATCAGGGAACTGTCTCCCTTTGGGCACTGGTATTTAGGCATTAGAAACAGCATTAGAAAGATAAAATATTCTCCTTTTTAAAAGCATGTAACAAAGCTCAATGGGGTGTTTGTGACTTACTACTGGTAAGGTTGAGCATTACAGATTTAAGTCAACCTCAAATTCCTGTATAAACAATCAAACCTGTAGCTGGAAAAGCTTTGTGTTATTTTACTCTTTGACTTCTGATTACTTATTCATTTATATTTCCTGAACTATTTACAAAATGTATACAAACAAAACCAAACTGCAAGCCTATTATGTTGCTTATACTGGCATCTACTTCCTGCTCCCTTCCTGGGGTTGATAAAGATGGCAGCCATTTTAAATAAATATATTAATAATGCAGCTATTTTTAAAAGTTTCCCACAGAGTGGCTGCTTTAAAGCAGTAAACAGAACTGTCGAGTCTCACAAGACAGATGCTTTGAATATAGGTTCAAATTCATTTCTAAACAGTGCTGCACGTAACAATTTTTATTACCATTACTCTCACAGTGGTGTCACTTTAGACCTGATATTAAAAAACAAAAAAAAAGTGTTAGACTGTTTAGCTGAACATAATGTAGGATGGAATTAATCATTTGGCTAAATTACTGCTAAACTTAACTGGTATTTAAATTACATCAATGTGATGAAAGTTTGAAGATAAAGAGTTTAAACAATACCACGATTTTATAATTCTAGTTAAAATTGTATAAAGAAAAGCACTCATGGCATTGCTCATTTAATGCTTATAGTTATTCAGAACAATTTCTAAATGGAAGTATCATTCCCTCAGATTGATTAATACTATCTCCCTGATGGACTTTTTATTTTACCGGTCATAAATTCTAACTGATCTTTAGTTGCTTACATTTTATGTGATTTAAGAATGTCTAAAATCATGGGTACATTAGTTTATACAAATAGGGCATTTGTTAGTTTGTAAGGCAGAAGAAAAGGATTAAGTTTACCTACTATGTCTTAAAAGCTCTATAACTGGGATATTCATTAATGTTAGAGATTTCATTTCACCTCTGATTAACTAGAAGCTTCCAATATTTTCCTTTTCTAACTATCTGTTCTCAGATAAAGACTATTATTTGAAATACATTCAAAATAGCAAGTGGCAATCTTGGTTTGTACTTCTCAGAAATGTTAAAATGCTAGCAATAATATAGCAATCATGGGACTAAATATCCATCATGGGAATAATGCCCAGACCATAGAAAATTTTAGCCCTCTCTGACAAGGCTGTGGAAGGAAAACATAACCTAGTAAAGGTTTGAAATGAAAAAGTCATTCTGATATTAGGTTGCAATTACCTTAACCACTTACATTACTGGAAAGCATGCATAATAGAATGCAATAGCTAAAAAGAATGATTATAAAGCTACTGAAATCACAGAGGAATCAAACAAAAAAGTAAAAACTGACAGATGTGTTACTATATGAACATGATAATGGGACTTTACTAATACTGGAAGATGTTTAAAGTAACTCCAAAATAAAAAGAAATTCTGTACTTTAAATATAGGACATGTTGTTTTTTTTTAAAGTTAATCATCTTGAAAATTGCTAATAATTATTTTAATAACTGAGGAATCTAAAGAACTATTGAGAAGAATGCTAGGATGTTAACCTAAAATAATACTTAGATGTAGTCAAAATAATATTACAAGCAAAGTTCAACTCCGATTACATTTTCTGTACTGTTTATTTAACTTCTTTATCCTATTGCTCATTTCCTATGGTCCCTAAATGGAAAAAGCAAAGTCTTCTATCAAGCAACCAGGGCAAGAGTAGGATAAGGCGAGGGAGGCATTCATCTCCGGAGCAAAATTTAAAACTCATTAATCAAGATAATTGTGTGTGTGTGTGTGTGTGTGTGTGTGTGTGTGACGGAGTCTCGCACTGTCACCTGGGCTGCAGTGCAATGGCATGAACTTGGCTCACTGCAACCTATGCCTCCCGGGTTCAAGCGGTTCTCCTGCCTCAGCCTCCCAAGTAGTGCCTACCACCACGCCAGGCTAATTTTTTTATTTTTTATTTTACTTTTTGTATTTTTAATAGAGACGGGGTTTCACTATGTTGGCCAGGCTGGTCTTGAACTCCTGACCTCATGATCCACCTGACTCGGGCTCCCAAGGTGCTGAGACTACAGGCGTGAGCCACCGCACCCGACCAAGATAAATGAATACATCTTTAAAAAATCAAAATTAGGGGGGCTGGGTGCGGTGGCTCACGCCTGTAATCCCAGCACTTTGGGAGGCCAAGGAGGGCGGATCACAAGGTCAGGAGATCGAGACCATCCTGGCTAACACAGTGAAACTTCGTCTCTACTAAAAATACAAAAAATTAGCCGGGCGTGGTGGCGGGCGCCTGTAGTCCCAGCTACTTGGGAGGCTGAGACAGGAGAATGGCATGAACCTGGGAGGCGGAGCTTGCAGTGAGCCGAGATCGCGCCACTGCACTCCAGCCTGGGCGACGGAGTAAGACTCTGTCTCAAAAAAAAAAAAAATCAAAATTAATGTATAAAACTGTTAAAGACAGATCAGATCAGTATCACTGACTTTTCCTTTTCCCTTGGACTCTAACATGGCTCAGTATAAGTGGTTACTGATTCTGTATTGTGATATTGGGTTTATTTTGGTATTTGATATAGATTTCTAAATTAACTTTATATTATTTTAGCATATGATTGATTTGATTTAAACATAGATGTTTTGAGGGGCACATCCTGAAATTCTGTGCTCAAGGCAAGTATCTCTCTCACTTCATTTGAGTCTCAGCCCTGTGGTTTAGGATTCAATAAGTATCTGTGGAATAAGGAATAGAATGTGTGAATTAACCTGCAATGAATCTCAGACTGTTCCCAATATACCACGTGGGCTCTCTTGATACAAACTCTATTAACTGAGCACCCTTCTTTGTTAGACCCTTTCATTATTATTTCTAATTCTCTTAAGAGACCTTCAAAAATATATAACCATCCCAACTTTATCACTAAGGAAATTGAGTTTCTGACAGTGCAGTGACTTGGCCCCAACACAAGTTCTCAGTAAATATTGGTTGGATAATAATAACAAAGAAAATAAGTAGAGACCTAGACTTTAACTCAAGTACATGTCCTGGCATCTCAGGGACTTCATCCTCCAGGAACTCACTTTTAAACCTCTCAAGTTGGATTTTGGTACTTGTCTTCTGTTTCCAATAGCAACTGTGGTAGGCATAATATTAAGATGACACTTATGATCTCCATCTCCTGGTATTACTCCTATGATTATGGCAAAAGGGTCCCTATGAACCCTTCAAAAGGAAAGAATTTCTTAGGCAGGTGGCAGAAGAGATGTCAGAGAGATTCAAAGCAAGAGAAGGATGCACACCACTGCTAGTTTGAAGGTGGAGGGAGGGTTGGCACTTGAGTAGGAATGTGAACGGTCTCTGATAACAGAGCATGGCCTCTGGTGATGGCCAGCAAGAACACAGGAACCTCACTCCTACAATCACAAGGAACTGGATTCAGCCAACAACCTGGAAAGGCTTGGAAACTGATCTTTCCCAGGGTCTCCAGAGAAGAAGCAGTTAACACCTTGACTTTAGCCCTATTAGACCCTGAGCAGAGAATACAGCCAAGCCTGCTCGCTCTTGTGGTAATTTTTTAAGCAGCAATAGAAAACTAATATATCAACCTACGTATAACCTCATCATATCACAAACATTGCAATTATCTTTTCATCTAACCTTCTTATTACCAAGGCCTAGAGATTTACTCACATACCCTGATGTGATCTGCCCAAGGCCAGGCACATTATAAACACAGAGTTGACACTGAAGACATGAATGAATTCACATACTAGTTCTTCAATAAAGGTTTAAAGTACTGACAGCAATGATAATGAAAATGAAGTGACCTGCACCTACCTGGGCCCTCAATTAATATTTGTGAGCTAAATCTTGCTTTTTCGTATCCTGGCACACAGTTGAAAGAACACACATTTTCTAAGACCAGTTCCACAGCTATGTAAATATATGATATTTACTGGAATATGCTCCATCTTTCTATAATCTATAGAGAAGTACACAAATTTCGATACAGAATAGCATTATATCCTCCACAAAGATATTAGATAAAGTATCTCCAGTGTCACCACGTACCTTACTTCTCTTCACTCCAATTGTCCTGTTTTCCAGTTTTTCCTTTGCTGCTGGGATAACAAACAAAACCATAATCTCTGAAACTTTCCACTAGAAACTAATTCTGTCTTCTACAAAGGATATCGTCAAAGGCATGTCATTTACAGAAAGATAATGAAGTAAAATTAATCATCTAGACTGCCTGTTCATAAGTAGTTCTTAGAAGGGAAGATCCCCCACCCTCCCTACACATGCACAAAAGACTGAAATCACACTACAGGAATTAGCTGCTTAATGCTGACCACCTATAGGGCCCTAAATACTGCAAGAAAAAGGAGCTAGTGTGCATGTTATGTATTTATTTATCTTTGAATCCCAAACATTTATCACAATACCTGGTAACCTAGCAGGTACTCAACGCATGTTGCTGAACTGAAATAGCAGTAAAATCTGTAATGATTTTTGGTGTCCTTAAACACATACAATATCCTCACCTCACAGCAATGAATTACTTATAACTGAGCTGGTTTAAAATAAATGATCCTTTCCAATATTCAGCTTTCCTTAATTGCATCATTTCTATTACTCAACTTACTTTCTTAACAGTATTTACGTATGCATAATGGAGAAAGGATTTCACAAATGAAACATTTTGAAAAAAAATAAAGAGATCTTCCCTCTGAGAACAATTAAAATCAAAAACCTTTAAAAAGATGTCTTATATATTAGTCAATGCCTATAATTGTTGTAATTATGTAAATATAACCCACTAACATCCAACAATGAGGCTGGCATTAGTTTCCAAGCTTTGGAACTCCCTTACAACAAGGTCCTTTTAAGGCAATTAGCCTTATTTGGATAGCATCTAAGAGAAATCAATGCTTTATCATATTCTAAGCTCCAGCTAACAGTGTTTTAGGTAGGTGCCAGGATGTTTCAAATTAGAACTATAAAATTACTTAATTGTGTGACCTACAGAAATACAGATTAAACTACACTTCCACACAGCTGGAAACCAAAATTAGTCCTCATCTGTCTTTCTATAGCTACCATATTCAGTCATTCCCTTAGCCTTAAAGATGATGAGAACCAGCTGTGTGCGGTGGCTCATGCCTGTAATCCCAGCACTTTGGGAGGCCGAGGCAGACGGATCACAAGGTCAGGAGATCGAGACCATCCTGGCTAACACGGTGAAACCCCATTTCTACTAAAAATACAAAAAAATTAGCCAAGCGTGGTGGCGGGTGCCTGTAGTCCCAGCTATTCAGGAGGCTGAGGCAGGAGAATGGCGTGAACCTGGGAGGCAGAGGTTGCAGTGAGCCGAGATCGCGCCACTGCACTCCAGCCTGGGCGACAGGACAAGAATCCGTCTCATAAAAAAAAAACATGATGAGAACCAAAATGCAAAAAGGTTATCCTATTCTTCAATGAAACAGTAGCCAGAGTAAAATAAGCCCCACTGAGACATTTACTCTGACAAGAATCTGTAGAAAGATCAATCAATAAAGTATGATACAGAATTTTAAACTTCCAAAATTGGTATTACGCAGCAGGAGTCAACTTGAAATTGGTAAAGAAAGCTAAATAATTTTTAAATACATAAGTACTTAATTCTGTTTGAAATATAACACCTGTAAAACATTTTAACAATTCTTAGTTTCCAAAAATGTTAGCCAAAATCTAGAACAAATAAATTCCCATCACTCTCCTGACCCCAACCCTTGTCTAAGCATCATCCCTCGTTAACAGGAAAATGAGCAAAGCCAGGGAAAGAGACAACAAGCAAGGAGAAAGAAAAGGGAAAGCCCTCATGACTTACAAATTAGATAAACTTCCTATTAATCAAGAATTGGCTCTATATTATTTTTGCATATATTACCATGATCCAAGAACTGAAGTCAGAACCATTTAGTCATTTATCACACAAACCATTCCATGTAAAATTGAACCTTGTCAGCTAAACACTTACTTGGTTTACTAGTTGCTGATTACACAGCAGTTTAATTGCAGCACACACACATAACTAGACTGTGTATTGAAGACATTGCTTTTGCTGTATCCCATATTTTTCTTCACTTTGCCTAAAATAAAGCCTATTATTTATAGTAATAGTCTAAAACTTTCAATAAATTGATAAGTAAACTAATTATCAAGTATTTCTATGTCGGCTTTCTGATGCCTACAGTTTTGTTAAGAACAAACAGCTATAAATTCCTAGCCAAAAATTCCCACTGGTCTAAAATTTGTATATGGCCTACTAAATACTTCTCATAAATTATGTCATGACAGCATGTTATTTCTACTTACTGAACATATTACTGTACTCACACTAACGTATAATTTTCTTTCTTTAAAAGATGAGAAAAAACTCTAAATTCATACTTGCCAAATCTTAAAACCACAGGGCCAGACACTCTGGAGCCCCACGTTGGCAACCTACGCAGAAACATTTGCTCAGTTCAGCGATAAGCCTGTTAGGTTACGCAACACAACCTTTTGTGCTACACATTACACAGCAAATTTAAGTTGTGACAACTATCAAGTGGTATGCTTTGCAGACTCTGAGACAATGCACATTTGCAAAGGTAGCAGCCAATACTCGATTTTTTTTCATTTGTTGAATGTATAAACACCGATAAGTCTAGCACTTGATTCTAAATTCTCCAACTGTAATTACAAACACATGTGCACATTACATAGCTACAGATGCATTTAAAATAATTACCTTATTGAAGATGTCTGCTTTTCCACAAGCTACTAGAAATAGCTGCTAGCTACTCTGAATCCAATAGTTTTCCATGTGCAAACACATTAATCAAAACGACTTATATACTTGAAAAAGCAGAATAGCTATCCATATACCCGTTTGATTTTACCTCTCTAGAAAATTGTATCTCACAATTTCTAAGTAGATCCTACCTTGCTAGTGTGTCCATTGGAATTCGAAAGGACAGGAGCCCACAATAAGGTAAGGTTATTGATGTACGGCCACAACTTTCTTTTCAAGATGGCTCCATCAAACCTATTTTCTCATTCCACTGTATCTGATTTAGAGATTACTTAACTACCTCACTCTTAACTCTTAAACTAGTGTCTTCAATAAAAATATGTGATACACAACTGTACAAAACAGTGTGCTAAAAGTGCTAATCTCTGCATGGATTCAAGAGAATGCTCAGTAGTCACAAAGCACTCACAAATCTAACTAGAGTCAATGTTGTTTAAAGTGGACATAGAAGCATGTGCACCTCCACTTCTTTTTGGAGGGCACATACTGATAACTAGCAAAGCTTGAACTCAAGTCTGAGTGACCCCCAGACTACACTCTTATTATTATTCCAATAGCAGAAGAAAAGCCCAAGAGATTAAAGTGGTTGTTTTTTATATAAGATAGGGAGTGGATGAGGTAGGGTCTGCTTTTTTTTTTTTTTTTTTTTGAGAGACAGAGTTTTGCTCTGTTGCCCAGGCTGGAGTGCAGTAGCGCAATCTTGGCTTACTGCAACCTCTGCCTCCTGGGTTCAAGCGATTCTCCTGCCTCAGCCTCCTGAATAGCTGGGACTCCAGGCACGTGCCAGTGTGTCTGGGATTGGTAGGTTCTTGGTCTCACTGACTTCAAGAATGAAGCCACAGACCCTCGCAGTGAGTGTTACAGTTCTTAAAGGCAGCGTGTCCGGAGTTTGTTCCTTCTGATGTTCAGATATGTTCGGAGCTTCCTCCTTCTGGTGGGTTCGTGGTCTCGCTGGCTCAGGAGTGAAGCTGCAGACCTTCCCGATAAGTGTTACAGCTCTTTAAGCAGCGCATCTGGAGTTGTTCCTTTCTCCCAGTGGGTTCGTGGTCTTGCTGGCTTCAGGAGTGAAGCTGCAGACCTTCGCCATGAGTGTTACAGCTCATAAAGGCAGTGTGGACCCAAAGAGTGAGCAGCAGCAAGATTTATTGCAAAGAGCAAAAGAACAAAGCTACCACAGCACGGAAAACGGCCCCTGCGGGTTGCCACTGCTAGCTTGGGCAGCCTGCTTTTATTCTATCTGGCCCCACCCACATCCTGCTGATTGGTCCATTTTACACAGAGCCAATTGGTCTGTTTTACAGAGAGCTGATTGGTCCGTTTTCACAGGGTGCTGATTGGTGCATTTACAATCCCTGCGCTAGACACAAAAGTTCTCCACTTCCCCACGAGACTAGCTAGATACACAGTGTCCACACAAAAGTTCTCCACATCCCCACTAGATTAGCTACATACAGAGTGTCGATTGGTGCATTCACAAACCCTGAGCTAGACACAGGGTGCTGACTGGTGTATTTACAAACCTTGAACTAGATACAGAGTGCAACTGGTATATTTACAAACCCTTAGCTAGACATAAAGGTTCTCCAAGTCCCCACCAGAGTAGCTAGATACAGAGTGTCATGGGTGCATTCACAAACCCTGAGCTAGACACAGAGTGCTGATTGGTGTTTACAAACCTTGAGGTAGATACAGAGTGCCAATTGGTGTATTTACAATCCCTTAGCTAGACATAAAGGTTCTCCAAGCCCCCACCACACTCAGGAGCCCAACTGGCTTCACCCAGTGGATCCCGCACTGGGGCCACAGGTGGAGCTGCCTGCCAGTCCTGGGCCTTGCGCCAGCACTCCTCAGCCCTTGGGTGGTCGATGGGACTGGGCACCTGGAGCAGGGGGCAGCGCTCGTCGGGGAGGCTCGGGCCACGCAGGAGGCCGCAGGGTGAGGGCGGAGGCTCAGGCATGGGGTGCTGCAGGTCCCGAGCCCTGCCTGGCGGGGAGG
Organism: Homo sapiens; assembly: GCF_000001405.40. Lineage (NCBI taxonomy): Eukaryota > Metazoa > Chordata > Mammalia > Primates > Hominidae > Homo > Homo sapiens. Next base: position 82,728,950 of record NC_000012.12, on the reverse strand, counting down.
CAGCTAAGGCCCGACGAGAAGTCCAGCGCAGCTGCTGGCCCAGGTGCTAAGCTCCTCACTGCCCAGTGCAGCGGGCTGGCTGGCTGCTCATAGTGCAGGGCCGCCGAGCCCATGCCCACCTGGAACTCGCGCTGGCCTGCAAGCACTGCGTGCAGCCCCAGTTCCTGCCCACGCCTCTGCCTCCACACCTCCCCGCAAGCTGAGGAAGCTGGCTCCGGCCTTGGCCAGCCCAGAAAGGGGCTCCCATAGTGCAGCGGCATGCTGAAGGGCTCCTCAAGCGTGACCAGAGTGGGCGCCAAGGCCGAGGAGGTGCCCAGAGCAAGCGAGGGCTGTGAGGGCTGCCAGCACGCTGTCACCTCTCACCACCATGCCCAGCTAATTTCTGTATTTTTGGTAGAGACAGGATTTCACCATGTTGGCCCGGCTGGTCTGGAACTCCTGACCTCAGGTGATCTGCCCACCTCGGCCTCCCAAAGTGGTGGGATTACAGGAGTGAGCCACCGCGCCCAGCCTGGGTCTGCTGTTTTCCATTAAAAGCCTTCAGGTACTTTTGATTTTTCAAATGAGAAAGATCAATTAAACAAAAACAAAAACAAAAAAAAACCTTTTTATAAAAACTAAGAAACTTAAATAATCATAAATTAATTTTAAGTAAGAGTTCCTCCTATTGTATACCAGGCTCTGGGGTACCAAAAATAAAAAACAGAATAGGACTCATCTCTATTACCTAAGCTCTCACAAGCAGAGGGCCAGCAGAGAACCAGGCACCCTACCTAACCAAGTAAGCAGTTGTTGGGGAACAGCAGTGGGGCCTGCCATTCCCAGCTATTCTAATGTGCGCAATTCTAATGTGTGCATTGCAAATGCTTGAAACTGCCTGGTACCACAGGAAGAACAGTGTAAGAGAGGAAGACTGCATATTCAGCCATGGCTCTGCCACGATGTAAGGGACCTCATATCCTTGACTTACCCTCTTGAAACTATACCTCAAGAGTGTTAAAAGGAGACACCAAAATAACAGACATGAAAGTGCTTACCAGATATAACCTGTTCAGCTATCTAGTAATCTGCCATTTCCTTCTCTCTTTTTTTTTTTTTTTTTTTTTGGCCTTTCTTAGACTATCCTTCAATTGGTAATACTTTCTAGTGGAGTTATATAATGGAGTGGTCTCTTTCCCTGCACCCAGGTTTCCAGGTGAAAGTTGGATTTCAAAAGAATTTTTTTTTTTTTTGAGACACTCTCACTCTGTTGCCCACGCTGGAGTGCAATGGCACAATCTCAGCTCACTACACCCTCCGCCTCCCAGGTTCAAGTGATTCTCCTGGCTCAGCCTCCCGAGTAGCTGGGATTACAGGCCCACGCCATCATGCCTGGCTAATTTTTGTATTTTTATTAGAGATGGGGTTTCACCATGTTGGTCAGGCTGGTCTTAACCTCCTGACCTCAGGTGATCCACCCTCCACCGTGAGCCACCACGCCCAGCCTTAAAAAAACAGAAAATTTTAAGTTATGAATCCTCTAGTCTTGGGAATGATCCCAACCTTTCCAGTCAGGGGTCAGGGTAGCTCTGGAAAAGATTCAGTCTCACCAATAACAGAGAATCATATTGAAAATCCGAAGCCCAACAAGCAGAATACAAATGGTTATATATGTGATGTAATTTTAATCTCAGTAAAATAAATATATCGATACATACACGGAAAAGGAAAAAAGACTAGAAGAAAGGTTAAGACTGATTCTATACTGAGGTGGTAGAATTACAGCTTAATTATTCTTCTTTTCTATTTTCTATAATGGGAGAAAGAAAATAAACATTATAAGTTTTCTGGTTGTTTTTTTTTTCAATTAGTTTTAAAGTTCCAACACAAAAGATCAGAATTAGAAGGGGAACAAAGAAAACATCTAGTTTTCCTTATTTAACAGGTCACTCAACTGTGGCTCAGGAAAGAAAAGGGGCTTTTCTAAGGATACACAGCAATTCAAAGGCAGTACAGTAGAATTGGTTAAGGGTACTCTATTTGAGCTCCAAGCTTGGCTTTGCTACTTTCCTTTTTTTTTTTTTTTTTTTTTTGAGACAGAGTCTTGCACTCTCGCCCAGGCTGGAGTGCAGTGGCGCCATCTCAGCTCACTGCAAGCTCTGCCTCCTGGGTTCACGCCATTCTCCTACCTCAGCCTCCCGAGTAGCTGGGACTACAGGCGCCCACCAACACGCCCGGCTAATTTTTGTAATTTTAGTAGAGACAGGGTTTCACCGTGTTAGCCAGGATGGTCTCTATCTCTTGACCTTGTGATCTGCCCACCTTGGCCTCCCAAAGTGCTGAGATTATAGGCGTGAGCCACCACACCAGACTTGGCTTTGCCACTTTCTAGCTATGTGACCAAAAGGAAAATCCCTATCATCTCCAAGCTTCAATTTCCCTATTTGTAAAACATGCAAATAACATAACCTTCCTACCAGCATCACTGAAAAGTCTCTGGTGGAGAAAGTATATGTAAAGTGTCTAGCCCAACACCTGGCACATAAGAAAAACACAAAGAATGTCTTTTTGCTAGGAAAAAGAACCACAAGTGTCATTACCATCTCATTATCATCTGGTAGGTATGCTTCATGCATACTATTAAGTCATCTATGATGTACCCTGTGTTTTTAATCTTAATCTGTGTTGAGAACTAAACTGATTGTTTTTAGTTTGCCCAAATTCCTATCTGAGGGGTCTAGGGAGTCATGCCCTACAAATCATAAATTCTCATCAGATGGGTTTATTTCACCCTATATATCACGGCTTACTTTCCAATCTGACTCTAGAATAACATTATGTGACAAAGAAAAAATCAAAATATTTTACCCCAAAACATGTTTCTTTGCCTTATTTTGAAATGGCCCTGCAAAGTGGTCCTTTGTGGGGGAAAATTTGCATCTGTAAAGAATCTCTATTAACATAACTAGATCATTTTCTTCCAAGCCCTCCCAATCTTGAAGAGATTAACTGAGAGTCTAGCACCTTTTAAAGGTGTGAAAGGGAAACATTTGTCACCTCTAAGGGCAGCCACTATGAGGCTTCAAAAGAACCTTGGTCTCCACAGTCTTTTATCTTAATCCGAACATTTCCTTTCTATTAATCCCAGGTCTTTAGACAAACCCAACCCATTGTAAACTAGAAAATGTTTAAATTTACCTATTACCTGGATGCCCCACCCACCCCTGGTTTCGAACTGTCCCATGTTTCTGGACCAAACCAATGTATTTATCAAGTGTATCTGATTGACATCTCATGCCTCCCTAACATGTATAAAACCAAGCTGCACCCCAACCACCTTGGCACATGTTCTCAGGACTGTGGGCTGTGTCATGGGCCATGGTCACTCATATTTGGCTCAGAATAAATCTCTCCAAATATTTTACAGAATTTGACTCTTTGTTGATAGTGTGCACCATTAACAATTGGGATTTTATTTTTCTTTTTATGATATCAAAGTATTAATGGAAATAAGAATCTTGTAGACTATCCATCCCAAAATGTGATTCATAAACTGTAATTTCAATTTTCTAAAGTGACCTGTCCAATAAAAAATTAATATTAAAAATAAATTCACATCTAACAAAAACTCCTTTAGGCATTAGAAGCTGACAGAAAATATAAAATAAGTCTAGAAAAGTGACTGGGTCAAAAGAAAACTTACTTTGGTTATACAGATTAGCAAGGTATTTTTGGAGGAAAAAAAAGTATCCCCTAACCCTCCACTTCCAAACCTGGATATCTGGATGTCTTCTAAAAATATTCTCTACTGATAGTTTTTTTGTTTTTTTTTTAAGACTTTTTAAAAATCAACACTGTTGAAAAAGGAGAAAGGCCTCTTAATCAAAATCAAATTTATAATTTCTTACTCTCCTACTGCTAGAAAAGAATGCTCAGAAATTTTGGATAATTAATAGGACAAGCTCTCAAAAATTTGAGGTGTTCAGCCTACAGTGATCAGCCTACAATTACCTTCACATCCCCTGATCGCCTGATGCCCTACAGCCTGCATGTATCATCCCTCACAGCAGAAATGTGTTTATTGTACAAACATAAAATTGTCACCAAGGTCATGAAGTCACACAGTATTTTCTATGGAAAAGTATACTGATACTGCTATCTATAAGAAACAAAATATAAGACAGTAACATTATTCAATAATGGCCATGTTTTCAGAGAATCACACCAACCTATTTTGAGAAGACGGAATGATGGAAAATAAACCTGACAACTGGTTGTAAGTCTTTCCAAGTTGTATTAGTCCGTTTTCACACATCTATAAAGAACCACCTGAGACTGGATAATTTTTAAACAAAAAAGTTTAATTGACTCACAGTTCCTCAAGCATGGGGAGGCCTCAGGAAACTTACAATCATGGTGGAAGGTGAAGAGGCAAGCACCTTCTTCACAAGGCAGTAGGAGAGAGAGAGCGCAGGGGAACTGCCACTTTTAAACCATCAGATCTCATGAGAACTCACTCACTATCACTAGAACAGCATGGGGGAAACAGTCCCCATGATCTAATCATCTCCCACTAGGTTCCTCCCTCAACACGGGGGGTTATACATATACAATTCGAGATGAGATTTGAGTGGGGACAGAGAGCCAAACCATATCACAAGTCTAATAAGCAGCATTAATTGTTATGTTCCTCCTATTTAAAACCAACATCTCCCTTCATTCCTCATAATGTAATGAAGGATTCTTAATGCATGCCGTGGTACTCACATTTAGGGCTCCAAAGTTAATAAATGATTGTTTCTGAATTTCTAGTTTGCCTTGCACAGTCTCAATGCCCTATGCTCAAACGTGAGCTGTGTCAGAGAGAAACCAGACAAAATTTCTTTCCCCAGGGCATCTTGCAGATATTATCTCTAACTCTTAAAACAAATCCAGAAGTTCTTTGTATCCCCATTTTACTGACAAGGAAATCAGAAGTCAGAAAAATTAAGTGGTTTATCCAGGGTCACCCTGGATAAATGACAAAATGGGGCTGAATTTCAGGTGGTTCTTTTGACAAAGTGGGGCTGGAACTCAGGTGGTTCTTTAGCTAGAAAGCCAATACTCTGCTCACACCAGCAGCCCTGTAGTACACAGAGTAGGCTAGGTGTGTTTTCAGAAGTCCTAGATGCTTTGGAATGTACTCTAGCCTATGCTTTGGTTTGGTAATGCAGGAAAGGCCATATAGGTTGAGCATACCAAATCTGAAAATCTAAAATCCAATATGCTCCAAAATCTGAAATATTTGAGTGCCAACATGATGCTACAAGTGGAAAATTCCACACCTGACCTCATGTGACAGGCCATAGTCAAAATGCAGGTACAGTTTATTCAGCATTCCCAAGAGAAAAATAAAATTACTTTCAATCTATGTATATGAGGTGTACATGAAACATAAATGAATTTCATGTTTAGACATAGGTCCCATCCCCAGTACCTCATGATGTATGTGCGAATATTCCAAAATCCAAAAAAATCCAAAATCAGAAATATTTTTAGTTCCAAGCATTTCAGGTAAGGGAGAGATAATAAACCTTTATTAGATCTTAACTCTCAGGAAGCCTTGCATAACCATAACTAACAGGGCTCAGAAAGCTGCGGTTGGAGCTCCTAAATTAAAATAGAAACTGTTACACCTCAAGCTTTCCAACCACTAGGAGAGTCCCTGGTTTTGAGTAGGTTTATTGCACCACTCTCATGATCAAACCCTCTCCGACACCAAACTATGAGCCTGAGGGCCAATAATTACTATAGTTAAAATCGTCTCTTTACTTGTGTGATTATGTTTCTCCTTTAAGTCAAATGATGATCAACTGAATCCTAATTTATTGATGTGGCATAAATGTAACTAATGAGTGCCTACTATGTGTCAGGCTCTGTGCTAGGTACTATGAAGCTATGAATAGACATTTTTCCATGAAAAAACTACAGTTTTACAGAAAAGTTGAATGGAACATGTTAAATCCCAATGACAATAACTTGAGGCAGAAAGGTTGAAATCCACTTTGTTTCTTAAGATGGATTTTACTGACACTGAGTAAAATCAAGGGGAAAGACCCAGAATTTTTTAATGTTAATGAAGCTACTTTTTCTTTAAAACTATCTGTTTCTCTGTTTAGTAAATCAGATATTCTTGAGGCAGCAGCATTCTGAGATTTCACATTTGTATTTATTTTGTTATTGTTGTTGTTGAGAGGGAGTCTTGCTTCATTGCCCAGGCCGAAATGCAGTGGGATGATCTCAACTCACTGCAGCCTCTGCCTCCCAGGTTCAAGTGATTCTCCTTTCTCAGCCTCCCGAGTAGGTGGGATCACAGGCGTGCACCACCATGCCCGGCTAATTTTTTTTTTTTTTTTTTTTTTTTTTGAGATGGAGTCTCACTCTGTGGCCCAGGCTGGAGTGCAGTGGCAGGATCTCTGCTCACTGCAAGCTCTGCCTCCCGGGTTCACGCCATTCTCCTGCCTCATCCTCCCAAGTAGCTGGGACTACAGGCGCCCACCACCATGCCCGGCTAATTTTTTTTTTTTTTTTTTTGTATTTTTAGTAGAGACGGGGTTTCACCGTGTTAGCCAGGATGGTCTCAATCTCCTGACCTCATGACCCGCCCACCTTGGCCTCCCAAAGTGCTGGGATTACAGGAGTGAGCCACCGCGCCCAACCTCACATTAGTATTTAAATCATTCTTTCACAATTTTAGGGGAAAAGAAAGGCAAGTAAGAAGTAGTATGTTTCTGTGTGAGAATACTACTTAAATCCAAGTCCTTTGATTTTTCTTTTTTAAGTCAAAAGCTGATGCATAATTCATTAGGAGTGTCTTTATAATGGCAGAAATGGGAGAGCTGGTGAACAATTTACAAAATACACACAGAATAAAACCTTACAGTTCTTCCAGAAGCAATCCAACAAAAGTGAAACATCCACAGAGTATATGAGAAAAATCCCTGATGATGTCAGAAGACCCAGATTCTAATTCTTGCTAGAGGACAGACTCAGGTAGGTCACTGTCATCTCAGGATCTCAATTTCTTCATTTCTAAACTGAAGATAATATTGCTTGCCCTATTTATATCACATAGTACTCATGAAGAGGCAAACACAATTGTGAATGGAAAAACACTTAGAATAAAAGGTTACATGCTACGTAAATAGTCACACATATTATTAAAGAAATCTCAGAAATTTAGTCAGGGCAAGACACTGACTTTTCCATAAATATTTAAATAGCGTGCATATTTTAATCTCTATTTTTGCCTTCTCTCATCAAAATGAACTTGGAATTTTTGTCAAGGAGTTTGCTAAATTAGTCAGTTATGCTCTTACTCCATTATTTTTAGAAATTATCTCAGTTAACTGTTGGATGTAGTGGGTCTTTTTCAGACAATAGGTTCACTGCATAATGGGAGACACAGTTCCTATTCAGCAGCAACTATAATAAAGAAGTCTTATTTCTAGTTTTATTTTTTAATTTTAGTAGTTCAAGTGGCTAAACCATAATTTAATTCAGAAAGAAAAAAACAAAATTAAAAAAACAATTTAAACTATTATAAGGGCAAAAGCAAGCAGAAAATCTTATTTCCTTCTCCTTTGTCAATATTTTCTGGTCCATAGGAAAACTGCAAAAATATGAGCTTCGTCCCTAACCAGGTAGCATCCCCTTATAAACCGACCCAGCAGCTGCCACTGACAGACAGCATGGGCAACATGCAAGTAAATACTCTTCTAGAAGAGTAACTTTTATTTACCAGAAACTGGATGGAGGAGGAAGGATGATAGCTGTTTACAGATTAAACCCAATGACTGTGTGCCCTTTCAAATTAACTTCATTTACAAAACCTGTCGTTAAATGTAATCTAATTTAAATGTGTATCAGAACCACTTATATTTGTAAATCCTTTCTTGATGAGCAATTAGTTCTAGTCTTGCTTTCCTTTCTTGATCTACTTACAGCTAAAACACAGCAGAGGTGAGAAACATCTGTGACATCATTCTTTGCTGAGTTTTCTAGACCCAAATAAAATGTTTTTTCAACCAGGCCATTGGGAATTGGACAAGACAAACAAGCCAAAATCTAGAGCTTTTTGCTTTATTCAAGATTCATAACTACATGACAAGAAAACATGTGAAAAGACGTTCAAAAGTACTAATCATCAAGAAAACATAAAACAACGAGATAGCATTTCATACTCACTAGAATCAAAGACAGATAACAACAAGCGCTGGTGACATCAACACTGCTGGTGGGAATGTAAAATAAGGCAGTCACTTTGGAAAACAGTGCAGCAGCTCCTCAAATGATTAAACAGATAATGATCGTATCTGCAGTTCCACTGCTACATATATACCCAAAAGAATTAAAAACAGGTTTTCAAGGAAAAACTTGTAAAATATTGTTCAAGGCAGTACTATTCATCCACAATCACCAACAGGTGGAAACAACTCAAATGGCCATCAGCTGATGAAAATATTTAATATTTAATATTTAATATAAAATGTTTAATATTCATACAATGGAATTGTATTTGGCTATAAAAAGGTATGAACTACTGATGCATGCTACAACATGATAAACCTTATAAATATTTTGCTAAGTAAAAGAGGCCAGTTATGAAAGACCACATATAATTCCATTTACAAAAATATTCTAAAACATGCAAACTTATATAGACAGTATATTCGTGGTTGCAGAGGGCTGGGGTCGGGGACATGAAGGTATAGGTGGGTGATAGCTAAAAGATACAGGGTTTCTTTTAGAAGTGATTATAATATTCTAATCATTGTAGAGACAGTCACAGACACCTGTGAATATACTAAAAACCATTGAGTTTGAGTTTAAATGGGTGAACTGTATATATGTGAATTATGTATCAATAAACCTGTTCCTCCTCCCAAGAAACAGACAAAAAAACAGAAAATATGCAAGTGTAGAGATCAGTTAAATGAATAATTGCACTTCAAAATTGGCATCACTTTAATTGCAAATATTTAATTATAAAAAGTTTCAACAAACAAATAAATTAGTAAAGACTACTGTTTGCCTAGCCTGTACTATTTGCCATGAACTTACGTTTCATTTCAAACTCTCGTAGCATACAGAAAACATTTCCATTATGCAGTTAAGTAAGAATCTACGAGAATGCATAACTTGCCTGTGGTCACAACAGTTAGAAAACCAAGGGAATCAGAAGATGTATCCAAGGTTACTTGGGGCCAAAACTGTGCTCTTTACCCTACACTATGACATTACGAAAAAAAAAAAAAAAAAGACAGAGAGACATAGAATCATGTTTCCTCAATCAGGCATATGCCCAAAGGAAATTGCTACATGAGTAATTAGGTATAAAAAAGGAAAAGGCATTTGCTCACAGTTGTACCTGTGTTGCATGATATTTTCACTTATTCACTAATAACTATTTCCCAAGAGTCTACCATCTGCAAAGTAAGAGTCACTAAAATTTTTAAGTGAATATTTTACTGATTTTCAGTCTTTGCTTATTTTGTAACTGTGCTTAATGATTCAGGGTTATTTAAAATATAATCATCCAGGCTGGGCACGGTGGCTTATGCCTGCAATCCCAGCACTTTGGGAGGCCAAGGCGGGTGGATCACGAGGTCAGGAGTTAGAGACTAGCCTGGCCAAGATGGTGAAACCCCGTCTCTACTGAAAATACAAAAATTAGCCGGGTGTGGTGGTGTGCGCCTGCAATCCCAGCTACTTGGGAGGTTGAGGCAAGAGAATTGCTTGAATCTGGGAGGCAGAGGTTGCAGTGAGCTGAGATCGTGCCTCTGCACTCTAGCCTGGGTGACAGAACGAGACTCCGTCTCAAAAAAAAAAAAAAAAAAAAAAAAAATATATATATATATATATATATATATAAAATCATCTAAAGCTGTAGAATTGTATTAAGCTCTATATACTAGCACCCAGTTTTCTGAATATATATGTTAAAAGGGAAAAGTACTGCTTCATTTTTATAATCAATAGGATTAAACTCTACAGATTATAGAATGGGCATGAATGTGGTATCTGTAGGGCTAAATCCTAAATCCTATGTTTAATCTGTTTATTTGGATCCACAATTTCTATATGAATCTTAATAAACTTGTCTAAAACTTCCTATTTTCCTATGGTATACTACCAACTTCCATTTTCCTATGAGGAGTTAAATTTCCACAAACATAAAAGTAAAACATATCAGAAATAATAGGGCATGGGTATGTTTTAGAAGTACCCATTGAACCATATGAATTTTTGCTCATTCTTAGCAGGCAAAAATGGCCCTGTCATGTGGTTCAACCTACACATAAGAAAAACACATCTTCTGAGTTCAGGCTTAGTATTCAGATGGTGAGCCAACCCTTGACGTTCACAGTATCCCAAAAGCTCCAACACCAGGGCACAGGGGCCCAGGGTTCAAATATGGACTCCGTCACTTAATAGATTTGTGGCCATGAATACTTTATGTTCTGGGCTTCTGCAGCTTCCCTTTCTGAAACCTGGGAATTAAAACCCCTGCCTGGATTTACAACGGTGATATGAGGATCTACAGGTATAATTCAGGTTTAACTGATTTCTAGCATTACCATATGTAGTTAATATTAGTTCATGTCTTGCTTAGTTTTGCAACTTCCACAATACCCTGCAATGTGAAAGAATAGATGGAGCAGTTTTTTGATTTTTGCTTTTTAATTGGATTAGATGAAGTTTCAAATCAAGCCCAATAACCAGTTTTGTGTCTTTATGGATACTGCCTAATTCTGTGTTCCTTAATCCATTTATGCCAGAGGTTGCAATTTTTGTGTGTGTAAAAAATCAGACCTTGGCAATGACCTTGAGCAGTAGGATATAAATAACTCCCATAAGCTTAGTGTTCCAATAATGGAACACCAGGCATAAATGGGTTAAGTTCTCATTTATAAAACTGGTAATGAGAGGGCAGGCACTCTTTTGCTCCTGCTACTTGGTTTCATGGATATAAGACCACTGTTGCCAACTCCTTTTTAATTGTTTTAATTAAGAAAGCTGGAAATATGAGTCAGGGAATAAAATTTCCTGATTACAGGAAATTAGGCTACTTTGTTGGCGACTTTATTTTGTTCTGTTTTGCTTTGGTTTGGTTTTTTACAACATAATTGAAGCTAAATAAAAAACTGAGCTAACAATTTGTAATTTCAAACCTAGTAAAATTCCTGACCCATTCTCAGTGCTAAACAATTTACTAAATGAATGTCTTCTGGATAAATAATAGAGGTACCTTGAAAATTTAAAGTATATTGTATAATTGATTTCCTGCTTTGCATTTGTCAAATGTTTAGAATATTTTAAAGAGCTGGTTTTTATTTGTTCAAGTTAAGTGCCTAAGATAAGACGCTTACAGTACAAAAAATAAAAAATACCTTTTGCCGGGCTGGGTGCAGTGGCTCACACCTGTAATGCCAGCACTTTGGGAGGCCGAGGCAGGTGGATCACCTGAAGTCAGGAGTTCAAGACCAGCCTGGCCAACATGGTAAAACCCCATCTCTACTAAAAAAATAAAATAAAAACTTAGCCGGGCATGGTGGTGAGCACCTGTAATTCCAGCTACTTGGGAGGCTGAGGCAGGAGAATCGCTTGAACCCAGGAGGTGGAGGTTGTGGTGAGATGAGATCACGCCATTGCACTACAGCCTGGGCGACAAGAGCAAAACTCTGTCTCCAGGATAAAAAAAAAAAAAAAAAGTGCCTTTTGCCTGTAAAGTAAAATCAGCAAACAGATAATACATTTGTCTTGGGAGCAGGTTCCGAATGTGAGAAAGAATTTTATCACAGAACTGCTTGAAGGACCTCAACTTCTGGGCACACAAAGGCAGAGGTGATATATATTCCTCATTGGTACAAACATCCCTAAATCACCCTATCAGCTTCCACCCTTAAGATTCGTGATGCTTTACATGTGGAGGTTTTTATTTCTGTTTTATTTCTACAGGACCAGGTAAGTATTATCTCCTCTATATATACCTTTCTTTCTCACTGCAGAGCCCTGTATCAACAAATTGCAGAAAGAGCAATACAGTACTTATATGTCAGAAGCAGAAGAGGCTTATAAGCATTTCACTAACCTTAAGTCTTGGCTTTCTGTGTCAATGTTATCATTTTCTATTAGTGAATGATGTAACACATGGTAGACTATAGTGCAATCTTAAACACACATTACTTAGATTCGGTGATAAATCCGGGCACCTGATAGTATGTCCACCCCTACATTTAACTGGCACTCAGCAAAAATGTACCAGACAGGCCGGGCGCGGTGGCTCACGCCTGTAATCCCAGCACTTTGGGAGGCCGAGACAGGCGGATCACAAGGTCAGGAGATCGAGACCATCCTGGCTAACACGGTGAAACCCCGTCTCTACTAAAAATACAAAAATTAGCCGGGCATGGTGGCGCGCGCCTGTAGTCCCAGCTACACGGGAGGCTGAGGCAGGAGAATGGCGTGAACCCGGGAGGCGGAGCTTGCAGTGAGTCGAGATCGCGCCACTGCACTCCAGCCTGGGCGACAAAGCGAGACTCCGTCTCAAAAAAAAAAAAAAAAAAAATGTACCAGACAAGCATACGAATGTGAATGTACCAGTAACTCTTAACAAGTGTCCACTGACTGGTAATAGCATAATGATTTTTAATTCTGCTACCAGCAAGCTCTCTGATGGCACAAATAAGACTAGATGTCTAGAAATAAAAAGCTTGCTCTTTAGAAGACAGTATTTAAACTAGCATATCAAGTTGCCATTTGCCCAAAGATATACCAAAAATATATCGAAAAATTCCCTATTGCATTCAAAATTAGATTCATTTGACCCCAAAAAAGAAGAAACAATTTAGACACCAAGTTTTCCAAAACCAAGCAAAAGAATCAAAACACCTCTTATCCCTCTTCAATTTCACGTAACATTGGATGATCTAATACACTACTTCCTAATGAAAATAACAAAAGTAGATGATGATAATACGAGCGGAGGGGAGAAGGAAGTAATTGCTTCTGTTGTCATTATCTGATTTCTACAGGACTCATGGCTGATACAGTCACAGGGAACCTTTTACAGCAGCTACAGTAAAATGTGAAATATTCTAAATGTTAGGGCTCAGAAACCAATATCCCAAATGGTTTTTTGACATGCTGAACTGAACGGGCAGCTTCAAGGTTGATATCCCTACCCCATCCCTACCATCCCATCCCCCACCATCCTGTCTCTCAATTCTCTCTCTTTCAAGGCAGAAGATGAAGTCCTTCTTTAAAGTTTCCTTATCTGCCTAAAGTCCAGACCCAACAAAGAAAAGAACTACCTCTGGTTGCTTCTCTGAGTTTTCATTCACTGAACTCTTACTGCAGGAAGAAAGTCTGAAGTCTGTCAGTACACCTGGACAGACTTGTCACAAACCACTGTGTGCTCTGCGTGGCCAACAGACTTTGTTCCAGACCACTGAATATTTTTCAAGCCCACCGAAATCCCCTAAAAATCATTTCCTATCCCCCTAAAATCATCCACACTTTCCCATCTCCTTTTCCCCTAAGAAAAAGGGGATATAAACATCCATATCTCACTGCATGGTGGTGTCATCACTCTGATTTTCCCCTTATGCATGTTAAAAGATTTGTATGCCTTTTCTTTTTTGTTTTTTTTTTTTGAAATGGAGTCTCGTTCTGTCGCCCAGGCTGGAGTGCAGTGGCGTGATCTCGTCTTGGCTCACTGCAACCTCCACCTCTCGGGTTCAAGCAATTCTCTGCCTCAGCCTCCTGAATAGCTGGGATTACAGGCACCCGCCACCATGCCTGGTTAATTTTTTGTATTTTTAGTAGAGACAGGGTTTCACCATCTTGGCCAGCCTGGTCTCGAACTCCTGACCTCGTGATCCTCCCGCCTTGGCCTCCTAAAGTGCTGGGATTACAGGTGCGAGCCACCGTGCCCGGCAGATTTGTATGCCTTTTCTATTAATCTGCTTTTTGTCAGCTGATTTTTAGCAAACCTAGAGATAGCAAGAGGAAGTTTTCTCTTGGCTCCTATGTAAATAAAGTTGTACCCTACCTATGTTCAAGTCCCATGAGCCAAAAAACAAATGAAGACCAATAAACTGAGAAGCAATCTCAGTAAAGGTCTTCCCTTGTTTCTATGAGGAAACCCCCACTGACTTTTTTTAATATCTAATTTTAGAATGTGAGCTATGTGACAACATTTTAATTATCCTTTTAAAAAAAATTCACGGTCCCTAACACAATTCCTGAATTCAGCAGGAAGAGAGGAAGCGAAGGAAAATGAGGGAGGTGGAAGCCAGCTTAGCTATCTAGCACATTATCCTGAAAGAGATCAGGAACAGCAGGTTCCAGGAAGTAACAGGAAAATGCTTCGTAGGTAGTAATCAACAAACATCTGAAACACTAGCATAGAAATAAAAGACCCAAATACCTTTTGTTTTTTAAAAAGGAAAATAAAAAAAAGGACAGACACAATTTCCAGGGCACCTTTCTGATAAGGAAGCACTCTACTACATTTAAGAGCATTTTTCTATTATAATCCACTGAAAACACCTAAAATTAAATATAACAATTCCAATTTGAAATCCTTTTACTTTTTTACAACTTTCTAAATATTTATTTTTCATATAAAATTTATCGGTTTCAAGTACACAATTCAACGATTTTTAGTAAATTTACCAAGTGGTGCAACCATCACCATAAATCATTTAAGATCCCTAATGTTCATTTACAATAATCCCATTCTCAATGCCAGTCAACAACTAATCTACTCTCTGCCTCTACAGATTTGCCTTTTCTGAGCATTTCAAACAAATGGAATTACACAATATCCCACCACTTTCTAAATGTGTAACTTTAGTGAAATCACTTAACATTGTTGTGCTTAATTTCCCTCGCAATAATGATTTCTACACCTCACGTGATTATTATAAGAAATAAATGAGACAGTCCATGTGAAATGCTTAGGACACAGGCTGGCACCTATCAAGTGCACAATAAATGAATTAAGTATTTTGTTAAGACATTGATACTATTTGCTTGTAACTCTACAAAAGTTTCAGAGCCAGTGGAGCCTCAAATTCAGCATGCCCAAAAACAAACTGTATATCCATCCTCTCAAAACTACTTTCCTCCTGTGTTTTTTCACACAGAAAATACTATGAGAAGCCAGACAGTCATACACTATGACTGATATGGTTTGGCTGTGTCCCCACCCAAATCTCATCTTGAATTCCCAAGTGTTGTGGGAGGGACCCAGTGGGAGGTAACTGAATCATGGGCACAGGTCTTTCTGGTGTTGTCATGATAGTGAATAAGTCTCACGAGATCTGATGAGTTCAAAAACAGGGGTCTCCCTGCACAAGCTCTCTCTTTGCCTTCTGCCATCCATATAAGACGTGACTTGTTCCTCCTTGCCTTCTGCCATGATTGTGAGGCTTCCCCAGCCACATGGAACTGTAAGTCCATTAAAACTCTTTCTTTTGTAAATTGCCCAGTCTCTGGTACATCTTTATCAGCAACATGAAAACAGACTAATACAATGACAAATTCATAAACTCTTTCTCTCTTTCTCGGTTTTTGTTTTTGTTTTTTTTTGTTTTTCTTTTTTTTTTGAAACAGAGTTTCGTTCTTGTTGCCCAGGTTGGAGTGCAATGGCACTATCTTGGCTCACTGCAACCTCCACCTCCCAGGCAATTCTCCTGTCTCAGCCTCCCAAGTAGCTGGGATTACAGGCGTGTGCCACCACGCCCAGCTAATCTTTTGTCTTTCTAGTAGAGACGGGGTTTCACCATGTTGGTCACGCTGGTCTCGAACCCCTGACCTCAGATGATCCGCCCTCCTTGGCCTCCCAAAGTGCTGGGATTACAGGTGTGAGCCACTGCGCCTGGCCTCCTAAACTCTTTCTTACTCATTTTCACATCATCGCCAAGTTCTAAAGAGTCAACCTCTTTAGTCCCTTGAATTTGCCTCTCCTCCTCTTCCTTCCCTCAGCTTTTGTGACAACTCTATTTCCTTCCTGACTTGGTGCGAAAGATTCCCACCTGGTCTCCCCCTACTTTTTCCTTTAATCTGTTCATCCTACTTCTGTTAGAGGATTCTCTGTTAGATCATTTCTCTCTCATTCAAGGGTTTGCCAGAGCTTTCCATTTAGCTCCTTAGTTTACCATCAATAGCCCATCACAAACTGATTTCTGCCTACCTCAGTGTTTTCCATATCTGGTTAGTCTCCAGAACAAGTCCTTGGTACTGGTTGTCTCAGTAACCTGCAAATGTTCTGAATGTGTGAGCCAGACTCCAGCCTCCCAGCAAGCTAGTCAACTCACAGCATCCCTGAGACAGCCATAACTCAAGTATGACTTCTTCCATCAGACTCCCTGGCCCACGCAGCATGATTTGGAGACCCCTCCTGTGTCCAGAACTGAATGAGGTAATGTACAAAAAGCAGCACTCACACTGCCATCAACTCTGTGAGGTGGCTTTTTTTTTTTTTTTTTTTTTGAGACGGAGTTTCACTCTTCTGCCCAGGCTGGAGTGCAGTGGTGCGATCTTGGCTCACTGCAACCTCCACCTTCTGGTTTCAAGCAATTCTCCTACCTCAGCCTCCCGAGTAGCTGGGATTACAGGCGCGTGCCACCACGCCCAGCTAATTTTTGAATTTTTAGTAGAGACAGGGTTTCACCACATTGGCTGGGCTGGTCTCGAACTCCTGGCCTTGTGTTCCACTTGCCTCAGCCTCCCAAAATGCTAGGATTACAGGCGTAAGCCATTGCACCCAGCCAAGGTGGCTCTTCTTAAACCTCGGTTTAGTGTCACCTACAGATGAAAGGTGAAGGAGGTGAGTGCAGAAAGGAGAGGGAGCACAGAAAGGAAATGGGGAGAGAATGGAGGAAGATAAGAAAAGACAGGAAAGGAGGAGGGAAAAGGGAAGAAGATAAAGATAGAGCGTGCTGTATGAGGGCAAAGGTGGCAGAAGAAACAACAAGAAGGAGGAGAATTCACTTCTCTCTAAGAGGAGCTGTCTTTTCGATATGAGCTGTCAATAAAAATGTGAACCTTTCCTTTTACTCCTATGTGTAATGATAATCAACTGAGCTTTCCATTCTTCTGATTCTGAAATGCTACCACTCATAGTGATTCTAGCTCTAAAGTGAAGGCAAAATTTACACACTTCTATCTGCTGCAGACATTTCATTTCCTTTCTGAAGCATTGTTCACATTTACCATCAATCACTAGTTACTTCTCAGATTGTCCATCTGTTTTCATTTTTTTTCTTTTCTTTCATCAGAATCCTTGGAAAACCAGATTTTACTATGCTGTAAATATCAAGGATATTTAGGTAAAAGACTAAGAGTTAAAAGAGCTATTAGACATTATCCAAATCAGTGGTTTCTAATATTTTCTCCTCAGACCTTTTGAAGTGTATTCACTTCCAATTCAACCCAATGCCTGGTTTTCAAATAGTTTCTTGCCCTTTTTCGTTTTTTTTTTTAACAACATATTTCCCCCATTTTATTAATCAAAAGGCAAGGCTAACAATCATATTTTTGGACTTATATAAGCTACCCAGTACTAAGACCCCTGAATGTATATAATTATTTACCAAAACCCCAAACAAACAAAATCCCAACATTCTGTTAGCGTAGGTGATCCTCTGTTAAATAATTGTAAGCTTTGGGATTTAACGGAAGTTGACGGTGACTTCTGACCTTACTACGCTTCCAACTACTGACTTAGCCAAACTCCTCAAGTTTACAGAGGTGAAAGCCCAAGAAATCTTTTATTTCTATACTCCTAATGACTTTAATTTTCTGCCTTGTTTCTTACAGGATCTTAATAAATATCCATTTGTCTTACCAGAAGCTTGCATCCTGGGTTGTATGGAAAGAATTCAAAAGATTCATGAACTTGGATGTCATGTAGGAAACCAAAATACATAATATCTGTCCAGTAGGTTTATGAGATCCTTGAGACCAGAGGCTATACGATTCATTATTTACAAGACATTCCACTAACATGGTGCCTGACAGATTACATGAAAAATAAAGATAGATGAAGCCGAATTGGATTCCATTCCATGCTCTTAACAGCCCTATGAGACCAGAAATTACTGTCCTCTTCACAGATGTGCAAACTGAGCTTCAGTCAAGTCACTAACTTGCTTCCAGAATACTGCCAAAAAGTGAAAGATCTGAGAATAAACCCAAGGACTCCCAGTAGTCAATGATTCACCCATATTTGATTTCTCTTCGACAAGAAATATTTACCCCATTTTCTCAATGCCTTACTCCCTGGAGACTTAAAATATAAAACTTTTAAATATTTCTTTTAATTCATTACTCATGTATCATGTTCGTAATGATCATAATTTATTCAGACCTTCACGTAAGTATCCAACAGGTAACTAGAAATTATCTGAGATGGAATTACTGGGCTGCCTAGAAGGGAAGACAGCACCCTATGCCTGTTTACAGCAATCATCTTGGATGAAGCAAAACAGATAAATTATGACAGCCAGATCTAAAGAGAAACAACTAAAATGGAGGTGGCAATATAGCTTAAATATTTGTTGGAGAAAACAAGGCATCTATGTTGGAAGCCATGTTTTTCTTAACAACAGCTCAAAATGATCACTGTGATTAGAGCACAGCCAACAAGATGTCTGGACACAGACATGAACCCCCACCAGAGAGGAACTGTGTCTCAATTGATCGAGTAGCACCAAGCACACTAAGCAAAACTTGTAAACCTCAAATGTGAGTTGGGAAATAAAATTCAACATAAACTCTGAATTTTCTGGATATGATTTCAACAGTACACATTTTCCTATTACTCCCATAAAGTATTTTACTGACATCAAAATACCTCCAAGCCTTACATAATGTAAGCGCTGCCTGGACACTTTCACATATCACCATATCTTTGGCTCCCAGCAACATTAGCAATTCACCACTTGCAGGTTGAAAAAAAACTACAGAATTATGGAATTACAATAGGCCTAGCTAGCATCACCACCAACAAATTTACTGCCTCTGTGTTATTTGTAAATTGATTGTTTCTTCTTTGGCTTGTGGCAAGTAGAGAATTGCATAGAAATGCATGAATATTACACATTTCCTCATAAACATTAACATTAGGATTGAACTTTCCCCAAACTCAAAATATTATGATACCCTTTAAATAAGTATTATAACATACATTGGATATAATGTGTCTCTCTTAGCTTTTTTTGTTTTTTGTTTTTTGTTTTTTTCATTGAATTCACTAGCTCCAGGTCAAAATGTCTCCACTTGAAAATCGGCTTTTACAGAAATTGTTTACTACCTGGTTTCTGATTTAAGAATTTTTAATAGACTCTTACTGAAAATCAAATGAGCAGGTTTTTGGGGTTTTGTTTTTAAGTACAGGTAGCTGTTGGCTAAAACATATTCCATTTACTTGTCAGGACTTACAATTTCATTTCACATGCATATAAAATTAGTCATTTTTCAAATTCACTATTAAAAATCATATCCAAGGCAGCATTTTCCACTCAATTAACCCATGTATTATTTTAAATCTACAAACCAACATTTCAGCTACAGATTTTGAAAAGCCAATTGTTACTATTTTGTAAAATTCACATTTCTAGCCACATAAATTAACAACATTCCTGAAAAACATAAGAATCAGATATAACTCTGCAGTAGGCAATCCTGGGTCCTGACACTGACTTTCCTACCTGAGGACAACCACATTCAAACTGCAACCATTTGACAAATGGGGAGTCTCAAAAAGTACAGAAGATAGCAATCCAGATCACGGCAAAAACATGGCTTTTTCTTGCCAATAAGAAAAAAAAAAAAAATCCTATCACAGCAGTATGTTACTGACATTTTATCAAAGGTGACTCCTGGGTAGCCCAAAGAACAAAAAAGCATGAAGACGAGTCTGTCAACAACCAAGCAATGATGCAGAGTCACTTTGCAAGTGTCAAAACCTCAATCACAGAAAATCAGGACCAGTAGGCTGACCACATGAGAAAAATGGATACCAGAAGAATACCAAACTGCTGCTTAGCACTGAGCTAAAGCAAGGCAGATACCCATGGGGAGGTCAAGCAAAACACTTGGAGAGCACATTGAAGCACAGCCTGAAACAATGTAACAAAGCAACAGACAGCTGGGAAACAACTGCTTGGAAACACAGGCTTGCAGCTAAGGAGGCAGAGGGGGCCCAAGTTAACAAACAGCAACTCGAGCATCGTAGAAGCAGCCATTCTGAGATGAAACAGCAGGCACTTCCTGCAGGCCAAACAGGACTGCCAGGACCACGTGACAGGGGCTGATGGGACCAGCACACAAAGACTTACAGTTGCATGAAAATCGCTGCTCGCCAGCACACTCAGATAGGATTAGTTGGGACAAAACCTGTAACGATTATAGTAGCATGGGGTCCATGCCATCTAGTCACTTACTGCTAGTATAGTCTCCTAGGCAGCATGCTTGCCAAGTTCTGCAAAAGTCACAGATAGTGCTCACTGTAGTGTGGTCTCAGGGAAAGGGAAGTCTGTAAAATTTTACATCTCTAAGTCTGACCTTGAGCTTTCACTCCTAACAATTACATCGTAGACCTGTGTTTCTCAACTGTGGTCGGAGAACCCCTGAGAATGTCCAGATGTGCTCTCAGGGATCAGTAAGTTTGCCAGAAGAGTTTTAAAATTATGTGTTTCCATTTAGATCAGGGGTTGGCAAACTTTTTCGGTTAAGGGCCAGATAGTAAATATTTTAGGCTTTGCAAGCCCCAAGGTCTCTGTCACAACTACTAAACCCTGACATTGTAGAGAGAAAGCAGACACAGACAACACATAAATGAATGGGCGTGGCTGGTTTAAAAAAACAGACTGCAGGGTGGGTTTGCCCCACAAGATGCTCACCCTCGAGACAGATAATAATCCAACACAAACACATGCTTGTGCACGCATATCTATATGAATCAACTATCTCCTATAGGTGACCACCTCATAATTCTGTGGGCCTACATGATTTCAAATATTGCATTTATGATGGAGTTGAAACCAAGAATACTACTTATTGCCAAGGGTCATGAGAGTAGAACAGAAGAGGACTTCATAGGTTTCACCGACCTCTGTGATCCTCCCACCTTCCAAGAATACCTTGCCCTTCCTCCTAACAGAGTGTGTTTCCTGTTGGTGAACCTATTCCATATAGTGTCACACAGACAAACCTGCCTCCTTTCCACTCATATGCCAGACTGTAAGTGCAGGAACAAGGCCTTGGCCTAGACAAAGTATCCCTACCATTCCCCAAGTCAGGATACCTAAAGTCCTCCACAGAGCACTTCAGAGAGAATTAGGGAGAAAACTCTAGGTTGCCAATGGTCATGAAGATCACCATAGCCGGACCAAGAGATGAAGAAAGAAACAGAGTCCTCATGGCCTCATTAGAGCTCTTTGGTTCAGACAAGCAAGAGGCTCCACCTTTCCTGAATTGTGCTCATGTCACTGCTAATGACAAGAACACAATGTGTGTGTCCTTGAAAATTCCTATGTTAAATCCTAATGCCCAGTGTAATGGTATTTGGAGGTGAGGCATCTGGGAGGTGATTAGGTCATCTGAATGAAATCCTCATTATAGGGATTCATGCCTTTTGAAAACAGGCCCCAGAGAATTCCCTTGCCCCCGACCTCCATGTAAGGACACAGCAAAAAGAAAGCCACTTTGAACAAGGAAGTGGGGCCTCTACAGGCACCATATCTGCTAGCACCTTGATCTTGGACCTCCCAGCTTTCAAAACTGTGAGAAATCAATTCCTGTTGTTTATAAGCTGCCTAGTTTATAGTATTTTGTTACAGCAGCTCAAACATATTGAGACAATCACTTATAACCAAAAGTCTTTATTATCAAAAGAAATAATATGCCAGCAAAAATAAAGGTGCAATGACGAAGTTTTAGCACCAATTGAAAGTAGCAAATACAGGCGTGCCAAACTCTGAAGCATCCACACAACACACATTTGTGAGCAGAGATGTTCTGACATCTCACCTCTCCTCCTCTTACTCATTAAGGAAAGTAGGCACGTCTTTCCATCTCCCTTCACCCAAAAGTGATCTACATATGTGTTTCTTTTTTACTCACTTGTCCAACAGAAATCTGAGAATAGTCTTAAACCTCTCTTTCCCCTTAACCCTCCACATTCAGCTACTTACCAAGTAAAGTCAAGTTTTCTCCACCTTTCCATTTCTACTATATCCAAATTTATTTTCATCTTTGTTCTTAACTTTTTAAAATACTAATCACCACTGGCAATACAAATCCTCCAATATAATCCTATACAGCCTATATAATCCTATATAGCCAATATAATCCTATAATAGCTACCTGTTTTTCTGTGTTGGATTTTATCCCACTTCAGACAATTGTTTAAATGTTATCAGAGAACCCCAGGCCCTTGGTGATCTGGCTCCTATCAACTCATCTCTCTTCTCTCCCTCCCTCCATCCTATCCTCCAGCTTTATTCCCTTTTCTTGGACACCAAGCTTTTCTCTCCCTACATATTTCTCCTGAAATATTCCTCTCTCTCATCCTTTTTTTTTTTTTTTTTTTGAGATGGACTCTTGCTTTGTTGTCTGTTGTCCAGGCTGGAGTGCAGTGGCACAATCTCGGCTCACTGCAACCTCCGCCTCCCAGGTTCCCAGGTTCAAGCGATTCTCCTGCCTCAGCCTCCCTAGTGGCTAGGATTACAGGCATGCACCACCAAGCCCAGCTAATTTTCGTACTTTTAGTAGAAAGAAGGTTTCACCATGTTGGCCGGGCTGGTCTTGAGCTGCTGACCTCAGGTGATCTACCCACCTCAGCCTCCCAGGGTGCTGGGAATACAGGCAGGAGCCACCTCACCCAGCCTTCTCTCTCATCTTTATTAATCTAATTCTTATTTGTTCTTCAGGAGTCAGTTCAAGCATAAGCATCTCACAAGTGCCTCCTTCCCTCCCAGTCTGGGTCAGGTGCCCCTCTTATGTACTCACTCAAGCCATAAGCATGTCTCTATTTTAGAGTAGCTGTTTGCTTGGTTGTCTCCCTACCAGACCCTAAGCTCTTTGAGATTATGTCGCACAATCTCTTCAGAGTCACTGCCCCCAATATCTAACATGATCCCTAACACGGCTAAGCATTTACAAATGCTTCCTAATGGAAGAGGGGATGGCATGAGCTGAAGGCATCCCACACTGATGCTTTCTCGGGAGATAGCACATTTCTACATAAGAATGACTTAACACTCTTAAATCAAAGGCCAATGCCTATTTGAGCTGATTTCCTAATTTAAAATAAACGAAGTTCAAATGTTTCTCCAAAATTTTGAATAGAACTATCATATTTTTACACTACAATATGCAGAAATCAGATTACCTAAAATGGTAAGCATACCCTTACTTTTCCTTTCCTTCCATTACTTCTGGTAACAATGGCCATTTCTGGCCTCTGACATAAGTTCTCAGAATACACTACAAAACAATCTACAATGTTCTTACCAAATATAATTAAATCTTTTGTCTGACATGTATATAAGGACAATTTTCTTTTTTTGAATTTTTTTTATCTCCATAGGTTATTGGGGAACAGATGGTCTTTGGTTACGAGTAAGTTCTTTAGTGGTGATGTGTGAGATTTTGATGTACTCATCACCTGAGCAGTATACATTGCACCCAACATCTTTTATCCCTCACCCTCTACCCACCCTCTCCCCTTGAATCCCCAAAGTCCATTGTGTCATTCTTATGCCTTTACATACTCGTGGTTTAGCTCCCACTTATGAGTGAGAACATAGGATGTTTGGTTTTCCATTCCCGAGTTACTTCACTTAGAATAACAGTCTCCAATCTCATCCAGGTCACTGCGAATGCCATTAATTCATTCCTTTTTATGGCTGAGTAATATTCCATCGTATACATATGCCACAGTTTCTTTATTAACTCGTTGATTGATGGGTATTTGGGTTGGTTCCACATTTTTGCCATTGCGAATTGTGCCGCTATAAACATGCGTGTGCAAGTATCTTTTTCATATAATGACTTCTTTATAAGGGCAATTATTCTTATAATTTTTGTTGCTTTCTTAATTTCCATACATCTCCTTTTTTTTCTAATACTAATCTTAATACAGAACAGAAATTTGTTAGTAAAGGGTGCCAATAAATTAGCTACAACTGAAGTAATTTCCTGGAACAAAACTTAAAGTACAAATAATTTCATTTAAGTGAACAAAAAAAAATACTATTTTACCAAAAAAAAAAAAGATTCATTAGTTTCCATCTCTTCAAGATTTTGAAAGAGACTACCATTCCAGTTTTCAATACAACTACCACTGCAGAGTTACTTATGCCTGTTTCTACCAGTTTCAGTCTATTCTGGTAAACTGTTTCAAAACACACAAATAGCTTACAGACATACACAAAAGATTTTCTTCAAATGCAGTAGGTAAGCTACATTCGATGTATTTACTCTACTTTTATATGTGCTTCCAAAGATGGTTTAAAAAAAAATTCAGGCTGAGTTCTAGTTTATGTTTAAATTTTTACTCAGAAAAAGTTTTAAGGTAAATAATATTTCTGTCCAATCTTATGATGTACAGAAAATCTTTTAACTTCATTTTCAACCAGTTTTCATAAATAATGATGACAGAAAAAGAAATAAAAATAAAAATTTAAACTTAAGATGCTGCTTAGTTTTTAACATCATCCATTATCTATCTAATTAAATCTGTAAAGTTTGTGGTATCTGAATAAACTGTCCAATGTAACATCAAATTTACTCCTTTGGACTGCAATTTAAAAAATAAACCTCCCCACCTCCCATAAAAAAATAAATTATCAGAACTCAAATTCTAAGTACATAAAGATAAGCATAAAGGTATTTACTATGATTATAGCATTTTAAAAAATACAAACAAGCCACTGTTTTATAACACATGCCAAAAATTCAGCACATAATCAAAATATATCCTAGAGGCTAAATACCACAGAGCTACTTCTATAGACAGTTGAATCTGGAGAACTTCCATTCTAACATGTCTTGATGTCACCTCAAAAGCTTATTTGATGCTCTGGTTCCAATTCACAAAGATACTCATTGAAACTATCTATCTTTGGCCGGGCACGGTGGCTCACGCCTGTAATCCCAGCACTTTGGGGGACCGAGGAGGGCGGATCACGAGGTCAGGAGATCGAGACCATGGTGAAACCCCGTCTCTACCAAAAAATAGAAAAAATTAGCTAGGCACGGTGGCGGACGCCTGTAGTCCCAGCTACTCGGGAGGCTGAGGCAGGAGAATGGCGTGAACCCGGGAGGTGGAGCTTGCAGTGAGCCGAGATCGTGCCACTGCACTCCAGCCTGGGCGACACAGTGAGACTCTGTCTCAAAAAAAAAAAAAAAAAAGAAAGAAACTATCTATCTTCCATTACAGTGCATCTTTTTTCTCCCCACAAAGAAAAAGTTTATCCAATTTTCCCTAGAATCATCCCTCCTCTATATCATAAAAGGAAAGCACTGTATCATCAGCAAGGAAGAGGCAAAATCCTCTCCAAGTCCACTTCTCTCAATATCACCAAAGTTAATTTATAGGGAGGTCATACTTAAACTTCTCCCCTCATAATAGATAACTACACCTTCCCATCCAACTCCAAAGTGGAAAAACCCAATTACTAGTCTTTTGTTAGTTCTTTTCTTTTCTGGAGACAGGACCTCACTCTGTTGGCCCAGACTGGAGTGCAGTGGTATGATCATTGCTCACTATCACTGTAACCTCAAACTCCTGGGATCAAGTGATCCTCCCACTCAGCCTCCAAAGTAGCCAGGACTACAGGCACCTGCCACCAAGCCCAGCTAATTATTATTTATTTTATTTTATTTATTTATTTATTTTGAGACAGAATCTCACTCTGTCACCCAGGCTGAAGTGCAGTGGCACAATCACAGCTCACTGCAGCCTCGATCCCCCAGGCCCAAGTGATCCTCCAATCTCAGCCTCCTGAGTATCTGGTACCACAGGTGTGCACCACCCTGCCCAACTAATTTTTATTTTTTATAGAGACAGGGTCTCCCTGTGTTGCCCAGGCTAGTCTTGAACTCCTAGGTTCAAGTGATCCTCCTGCCTCAGCTATTTTATTTTTTGTAGAGATGGAATCTCGCTATGTTGCCCAGGCCAGTCTCAAACTGCTGGGCTTAAGCAATCCTGCCCTCTTAGCCTCTTGAAGTGATGAGATTACATGTGTGAGCCACCACACCTGGCTTCTTCTGTTTAGTTCTAAAAGTCATCTGGTGAAAGCATGTTTAATAAAGTCTTGAACAGTTGGTTTCTTGCACCAATGTAAATTAATTCCATAGACTTGAGAGCCATCCTGCAAAATTGACTTGTTTTCCCATTAACAACTTAAAAATAGTATGACCGATTTTTTTTAACCCATCAGTAACAGAATTTGTTTTATTAAGATACGGGGTAAATTTTCACCTGAACAGTCTAAAAATATGCCAAAGAACAGATGTGGATTAGAGAAAACTAGGCTGCTATCCAACAAGAACCAAAAGTGTTCTTTTTAGGAGCTTTCCACTTGCTGTTAGACTTTAGTTATCAGTAGGAACAGAGTAAACATTCCAAGTGAGAATAAGGTAACATACAAGAAATGAATAATGATAGTGGCTGAGGTAAAATATCTTTGGTTGATATGGTTTATTGTATTAACTTGCTCATTTTCCACTGTAAGTGTGGCAATATCACTAATGTTTTACTCCAAACGTTATTAATTACTCCAAAATGGCCAATTTCAACTATATTTCTTAAGCAAATATAACCAACCCCATCGTTATAAAACTGTGACCTGTTTTAATCTAGAAGGGACTGGGGTGGGGGCAGGGGAAATCAGAAACACATTGACTTTAAAGAGAAAGCCTTATTGCCTCCGGTAGTAGATCACCTTCAGCATGTTTAGGTTTTTTTGGGGAGTTAAAAATCTTTCTCTTTCAAGGAAATGGGGGTGAAGAGGAAAGAAAAAATTGTTAACATTTTAAGTTAATACATATTTTCTTTATACAGGGAATCCCTAGAAAAATGTTAAATATGTAAAAGATGTTTTAATTAGGAGAGAGATTAATATTCTTTTTTTCTTTTTTTTTTTTTTGAGACGGAGTTTTGCTCGTTGCCCAGGGTAGAGCACAATGGCACGA
Source organism: Homo sapiens (assembly GCF_000001405.40). Lineage (NCBI taxonomy): Eukaryota > Metazoa > Chordata > Mammalia > Primates > Hominidae > Homo > Homo sapiens. The sequence goes on along the minus strand of NC_000012.12, from coordinate 82,701,713 downwards.
TGTCGGCTCACTGCAACCTCTGCCTCCCAGGTTCAAGGGATTCTCCTGCCTCAGCCTTCCGAGTAGCTGGGGTTACAGGCTTGCACCTCCACACCCAGAAATTTTTTTTTTTTTTTTTTTTTTTAGTAAAGACGGGGTTTCTCCATGTTGGTCAGGCTGGTCTCAAACTCCCAACCTCAGGTGATCCGCCCGCCTCGGCCTCCCAAAGTGCTGGGATTACAGGCTTGAGCCACAGTGCCCGGCCAAGATTAATATTCATAAGTGCACAATTACTTATAAATAAAGTAATACAAGTTGTAGGTCCTGGTGAGAGTATGAAGGAATGAGTGAGAACAAGCTTCCCAGAAAAGGATTCAAACAGAGCTTTTATATTCAGTGCTGCTTACTGTAAAACAAACAGTACATAAAAGTATTCCTGAGATTCGGGCTATCAATTTAACACAATCTTTTCCAATACAAACCAAGTCTGTAAACTAAGTCTGTATTTTCATTTTTTAAGATATGTCATTACCTAAGATATATACTGTAGAATAGAATCATTCTTACAATACGGTAAAAAATCATAACTTTGCATATACTCTCATATGGTATGACTGTGTCCCCACCCAAATTTCATCTTGAATTGTAGCTCCCATAATCCCCACTTATCATGGGAGATACCTGGTGGGAAGTAATTGAATCATGGGGGCAGGTTTTTCCCATGCTGTTCTCATGATAGTGAAAAAGTCTCACGAGATCTGATGGTTTTATAAAGGGTAGCTCCCCTGCACATACTCTCTTGCCTGCCTCCATGTAAGCCGTGCCTTTGCTCCTCCTTCACCTTCTGCCATGATTGTGAGGCCTCCCCAGCCATGTTGAACTGTGAGTCCATTAAACCTCTTTTTCTTTATAAGATACTCAGTTTCAGGTATTTCTGTATAGCACCATGAAAATGGACTAATACATACTCCTAGATACTATATCATCTAATTTAAAAGCATAAAGTCAATCATGGTAAAGAATTTGGAAGTCATCTAACAATGTTTTTCATATGTACATTTCATTAACTATACACTGCAAATACTTTATTGGCAAAATTTGCATATATGTACATGCATGCTTGTATGGGTGCCTGTGTGTGTGTATAATGGTAAAATCTCAACATCACTTCTCCAAACTTAAAATTCAGGATAAAATTTCAATTACAAAATCATTACCTAATTATTATAGTTCACTGAAATCTTTTCAGTTACCCTAAATCTACCTAAAATACTAAGTTATTATCAAAAGTAAGTTTAAATTTTGGATATTGGCTTTTATGAAAAATCTTTAAATGCCCTATAATAGTTTCAGATGTTATTACATAGTGATTTTTAAACTATTCAACAATACCATTAATGAATAATTTAAAAGAAATATTTAGTAAGTATCCTAGACACTAGTATGGTTCCAAGTACTTTACATAACTTATCTCATTAAATTCTCCCAACAACTCTATTAAGTAGGTATTGCTATTCTTATTCTATATAAGAGAGAACAGAGGATAAAGGAGTTTAAGTAACACAATCAAAATAACACCATTAGCACGTACAGTCACCCCTTGGTATCAGTGGGGAGCTTGGTTCTAGGACCTCTCTCAGATACCAAAATCCACAATGCTCAAGGACCTTATATAAAATGGCATCACATTTTCATATAACCTATGCACATCCTCCCATATACTTTAAATCATTTCTAGATTACAATACCTAATACAAGTACTATATAAATATAGTCATCCTATATTTAGAAAATTATGACAATAAAAAATCTGTACATGTTCAGTACAGACACAATCTTTGTTTTTCAAATATTGTCATTCCATGGTTGGTTGAATCCATGGATGCAGAACCCAGGTATGTGGAGGGCTGGCTATAATAGTTCTGGGATTAGATCACTGGACCTCTGATTCCAAAATTCTGTGATCTTTACTCTTTGCCTCCTTGTTGTTTGAAAAACTCTGAAAGACATTTTTTATAATTGTTACCCAAAATGTACCACCAGGCTAATTTATTACACGTTGCCACCCTGCACCTGTGTTAAACAAAACTCACTGCAAATTCTTGATATACAAAACTGATTGACACAAACACGTCGGTGCAGGAAAACTGCAGCTCATCTGACAAACAGCTTTCCTAATCGCCACACTGCCAGAACTACTCTGAATATGAGCGTATTCCAAAAAGAAAAAGGGTCGTCAATGAAGAGAGAGACCATGAGTACCCAGTAACAATATGCTCTGCCAAGCAGAACCAAAGTACCAAAGACTATTTATACCAGATGCACTGTAATTGGTCGGTTTACTCCGCAGAAGGAAAGAAGTACTCAGGTTGGCCAGAATGCCTATTCAAAATAAGCCTTCGTGTACAATGACTAGAAACATAGGAAAAGCAACAGAAAAGAAACAGAAGAGAACAAAAACTGCTTTTGTAATGAGACTGGAAACTGCTGGCCACAAGAGTGGATAGAGAGTAAAAGCAGAAACGGTGTATGGGGGATGGAGCAGGCCATGCAATAGTAGTTCAGATAGCAGGGGCTCAACCACAGACTCCAAGTGAAAAAGTCAGCAACAGCATCAAAGTAGGGCATGGCTCTGTTCTCACGGGAGATGAGAGTGAGATACAGTAGACCCCCTTATCCATGGTTTCAGTTACCCATGGTCAACTATGGTCCAAAAATATTAAAAGGAAAATTCCAGGAATAAACAATTCATAAGTTGTAAAGGGCACATTGTTCTGAGTAGCATGATGAAACTGCATGCCATCCTGCCCTATCCCACCCTGGATGTGAATCATCCTTTGGTCCAGCGAATCCAACAGTCTACACTACCCGCTCATTCATCACTTAATAGCTCTCGGTTAATCAGATCAATTGACGAGGTATCACAGTGTTTGTGTTCAAGTGACTTTTATTTTATTTAATATGGACTCCAAGCACAAGAGTAGTGGTGCTTGTATATTATAACTGTTCTATTTTGTTATTAGTTATTATTATTAATCTCTTACTGTGCCTACTTTATATTATAAATTAAACTTTATCACAGGTATGTATGTATGGAGGAAAACATACTATACTATATACAGGGTTTGGTACTGTCCTCAGTTTCAGGCATACACTGGGGGTTTTGGAATAAATCTTCCAAGGATAAGCGGGGACAGCTGTACTTAATGTACAGTGATCAACCAAGTCATTCAGCCCCCTGGTCCAACCACTCTACAGCTAAGTATATAACCATGCAGCTTTTTAAAACCACAGAGAACGTTCATCATATTATTTCATTTGAGTCTCACTCTGTGGTTGGCAGTTACTATTATTATTTTTGTTTCCTGACCAATTAAAATACTGAGTTCATGAGAGCTGAGCAGCTCAAGTACTTAGCTAGTACAGTGGTATTCCAAGACTAAAACTGTAATCTTTTATCTTGGTCCAGCATTCGTTCACAACCCTGCCTCTACTACACAGTACATACAGTATTTTAAAAAGAAAGGAAAAAGTATAACTCATTTTACAACAAGTTCCTTAAAAAGGTTTTTATTAACTAGGACTTTAAAACTTCAGATATAGTGCATTCACCTATTCAGAAACCCCCCAAGGTGCCTTAAAGCTAAGGTTTAAGTGTACCAGGTTAAAAAGTCATACAGGCCGAAGCATTTCTAACCTTACTTAGATACCTTCACTGAAGAGCATCACTTGGTGCCTGAATGTCACTAATAATAATCAATAACAAATTTTTATCTTCCTACTTTCAGCTACCTAAACTCTCATTTTTGCTGCTTGCCTGAAATCTATAAAGTCTTCATGCAATGCAAACCAAATTTCCTCAAAATGGGTTGTTCAACAAAAGCACAAACCAATAAAGACACTTGACTCTAGAGACTCCATTTAGGCATCAGCACCTACTTGAGCATAAGCCCTAGGCAACTGCGTATCAGTTTATTTGTCAAAATGAGAATCCAATATCTGCCCCCACAGTCATCTTACAAAGAAGATGACATTGTTTTATATGATGGTGACAGATTATTTAAATAGAGATCATCGCCTAGGATTTCAACAAGCTATCTTTTCAAAATCTGAATACCTCAAACTCATAGGATCAACTTAAAGATGCCGTTGTTGAACAAATAAGAAAAATAAAACACAGATTAAATAAACTGTCTAAAGTCATATCCATAACAAGCACACCTTATACTCAACCATTTTTAATCCAGGAATTTAGATAGCTTATCTGTAATACATTTAAATGAACTACAGCCTTATTACCCTAAGTGTGGTCAGTGAATCTGCAGCATCTGCTGTACGTGGGAATAACAGTAATGCAAAACCTGCATTGTTTTTTTTTCCTTTTTTTTTTTTTTTTTTTTGAGACAGGCTGTCACCAGGCTGGAGTGCAGTGGCGTGATCTTGGCCTACTGCATTCTCTGCTCACCAGGTTCAAGCAATTCCCCTGCCTCAGCCTCCTGAGTAGCTGGGATTACAGGGATGCATCACCATGCCCAGTTAATTTTTTGTATTTTAGTAGAGACGGGGTTTCACCATGTTGACCAGGATGGTCTCAATCTCCTGACCTCATGATCCACCTCCTTCGGCCTCCCAAAGTACTGGGATTACAGGCATGAGCCACTGCGCCCGGCCAAAATCTGCATTTTTAACAAGTCCATATGTGTTTCCCACAGAGGTTGAAGTTAGGGTAGCACTGATCTATTAATAGAAACATATATATATATATATATACGTATGTATGTATGTAGAAAGAGAGCTGGCAAGAAGCCATCTCAGCATCCCTTTAGGGAGATGCTTCTAGCTCCAAAAAACTGGGAATTTGAATTTGAACTGCACTTAAAAAGACTTTTAAAAAGTCAATTGTCCATATGAAAGCAGGGAGGCAAGTTATCAGAGGGCCAGGTCTAAAACTCCTTGCCAGCCACAGGCATCCTCAACATCATGCCAGGAGTGTATTGAAAAGTGGCCAACCAATAATTCCCTCCTAGAAATACTACACTATTTATCCTGATGACATACAAGAGGTTTTGAAATACTGATTTCATCCTCTGTTCAATATGGAACAAAAGCCAAAAAACACCACTGTTTATAAAAGAAAAAAAGTAAATTTAAACTTAAATAGAGAGGTGAAAGGAAGCAATCTTAATGTGGTCATTTCAACTGGGTATTTCAAATAGATATTCATGGTACACTATAGTTGATTTCAAGCTGCACACTGGTATCTTTAAAAGATTTTTATTAAATCTCAAATTCATTTTCTTTAGTTAAATCAGTATATATCCCTGTAAGAGTGGTTTAATGTATAAAACTTTGTTTCTTTAATATAAATCTGTAACATAATTCAGTACCATATTTTTTTTCTTTCACTAGAATAACAAGAATAACCTTCCTATTTTAAATGAAGTTTACCAAACGAATTCAGGTATACCAGTTTTTCCTATCAGCTATAAATAATTGCCTCCCTCTAAAGGGCCTATTTCTGCAAATAAAAATGTCTTTTTGCCTGATTAAGCTTCTTCATCATTTGAGAACTTTTCTTCTGCAAATTTCTAGTTGGAAAATTTGTCATAAACAGCTTGCTTTGTCAAAATGAGATCTTTTCCATTGCTTTGGGAGAACAGTTGTATAGTTAATTATTTGGGGCAGGAGAGGAGGAACTTGTTCTAAAGGAAATATACTTGAAAAAACATTTGAACCCAACTATTTTACCTTGAGACATTTTACAACTGAAGGCAACAGGCCTAGTTTCTTAAAGCTGAAGATAGGAATGCAGAAGTAGCCAAAAACCAATTTACAAAACCATGAGAAATGTCCCAGAGGAACCACTATAGGCTAATTTCAGCTGCCAGCCCCACTTTGAGAACCCCTTCTTCGGAATGGTTCTGTAATGACAAGTGTCCTCCCCAAACAGAAAAGCAGTCAAGCCTATGAATGTAATCTCTATAGCCACCACCTAAAGCACCCCCCGCAGAGGACACAATTTGCAGGGATGTCACTTCTACATGCACTGACAACCAGTAAGTCCTTGAGTTCCCTCTGGAGCAGCCTTACTCCAGAGTTTATTTACTCACATTTAATCCAAGAGACACAACTAACAGAAAAGAAAACTGAGCAGACATGCTTTCATTGTGGAACAAATTGGAAATTAACAAAAACAAGATGTTTACTTTTCACAAAGTATTTTGACTTATCTACCTCTCTCAAAGACCAGTTTTGTAATTTTGGGTTTACAATAGAACTCAATAACAATATGCTTTATAACAATGATCTTAACACAGATCTATGACCTAACAGATTAACATAAAAACAAAAAAAGCAAGAGAATAGTTTGCATCCTTTCAGTGTCTTTATAGAATACATATAAGCAACCAAAAAAAGGAAACAGAATTTCATAAGACACAGCTGTAAAAATTTTATGAGCATTATTCACCTTAAAAACTTATTAGGTAAGAAATAAACTTATGAACTGCACTTCAAATTAATAACCAAAGAATTCCAAGTATGCAGGGTTATATGGACTGCCATTCTTCCCACCGGATTTTTAAACAATGTTGAAACATGGCTGTTTGAAATACTTCAGTCCCATCATTTAACACTGTTCAAAATGTCAAGAGCCATATTGCGTCCCAGTGGCCACTCTTCAGCAAATAACACATCCTTTGAAGTTAAAATACTTCTAAATGATGTCAAGTGAGAATTCCTAGGCTGGTACAGTCAAAATTTTCTACTTCTAAGGAAATCAATAATCTCTGGAATCACAATTAGGAAAAAGGCACTTTCATTATCAAAAGTCGTGAATTTTTCGGTTTCAAATCTCAATCAATTCCGTTACCGCAAGGCAATTTTTTATACCGTTTCCTAATTAAACAAATTATGATCACATGGCTATAGTGAACCAGTTTTTTTTTTTAACTTAAATCTCCTGTGGAATAATTATACTTTTATAATAAATTTCACAAAAATGATGATTAATCATCAAAGACAAAGACCTCACAGAAACATTTTATTTGATAATACCTAGCACACAGCTGCTATTCCAAGGGCACTAATGTGTGTTTCATTTCAGAAATCATGTAATTTAGCCAGTCATCTTGACTATAACTACATGCTGTGCCACACTTCATACCATGTCTCACTGCAACATCACAAAATGCCCCGGCAAAGAAATTAAGAAACAAAAGCTTTATCGAATCATCATAAGCAAATAGCATATCCTCTGCCAAATACTAAGGTACTTCTAAAACGGATACAGTGGCACTGCCCTCAAGCAATGTGGTACAGGAATAACCTTCAAGAAAAGTAAATATATCTTTAATTCCATTTAATTCCACAATAAAATGGAATCTAAATCCAGGGTTCATATTTTCAATTCTCACCTTTTTTCCATATAATTTTTTTAGACATGAATAAATCAAAACCTCTCTATCTCATCTTTAAAATAATTATCTCTAGCTTTTCAAATTAATGGAACTTATGAAATGTCCTTAAATAAAATAAACTACTCTAAAAAATGCTATCAACTTTTAATGTGGAATCTTGAAAACAATCATTTCAGTCCTCCTGCCTTTTTCAAAATTCTCAGGTTTACACAGATAGGTTTACTTAATTGTTTCCCATTTACCTGTATTAAAAAAAAGTCAAAGTTATAAACCCAAAAAACCAATCCCAAAATGCTTCTAAAAGACTGAAGCAAACATTTACACCTTTTTTTTTTTTTTTTTTTTTTTGAGATGGAGTTTCACTCTTGTTGACCAGGCTGGAGTATGGTGGCGCGATCTTGGCTCACTGCATCCTCCGCCTTCCAGTTTCAAGAGATTTTCCTGCTTCAGCCTCCTGAGTAGCGGGGGTTACAGGCACCCGCCACCATGCCTGGCTAATTTTTATATTTTTAGTAGAGACGAGGTTTCACCACGTTGGCCAGGCTGGTCTCCAACTCCTGAACTCGTGATCCACCCGCCTCGGCCTCCCAAAGTGCTAGGATTACAGGCGTGAGCCACCGCGCCCGGCCACACCTTTTATTCTAGAAACCTTGAGTATCAAAACAACTGACAAATATAACTGGAAAGGTAAACACAGAGGAGAAAAAGAGAGGAAGAGGGTGAGACAGAAATTTAGAAGAGCTGCATCTTTTTGGACCTAACTGTCTTGAAAATACGGCCAAAAACCTGAGGCAAAAATCTTGAATCCCTATGACAAGTTGAGGCAAATCTAGTCAACTCAAAGAGTTCAGACATCCAAGAAAAACGACTGTCCTGAACAAGTAGGAAAGAGACATTTGGAAGAGGCATTCCAAAGCTTCTGCATGTATGAATGAAGCACCAGTAAGTACAGACCCAAAATAAGGCCAGGCCAAAGTACCAATCATGAATCTTAGGAGTGAGTGTTTTGGAAAAGAAGCTAACAGACTCCCAATGAAAGTTTTTAAATATGAGTATCAATAAAAATAAACATGAGTAAAATAATTAAAAGGTAACAATCAAGTGATAAATTCAAGTGGAATTCCACCTGCCAGAGGTCAACCTATCAGCATTTGTATAGATCTATCATTAGACTCTCAGATTCAAACCCTTTACAGTACCTGCTAAAGTACAGGTAAGAATGCACAATGTTTTGTGGGATGCTTGTTAACAAGGTAAGCAGTGCTGTAGTTGTACTATGCACTACATATACAAAGAAGCTCATATGTAGTAATATTCATAATTTGTGAATTATTGAATGTAAGTTTATTCCTCAAAAGCACATACAAATCATATCTTCAAAGAAACATTTAGCACTGTATGTAATTACACCAGCAATTATTCAAAATATTATGCCTTTTTCACCCAATGAAAAAAAGAAGGTATGCAGTCCTGCTGAAATATCCCTCCACTTTTTTAAAAAACTGAGCTCCTAAATGAGGACAGCTATTTATAGAGGAGAGGTCTTTACATTCAATAACCCACCGTTCCTTTCCTTGGAGGCTGCCACACTTGTCACTTTTGTGAAGCCATTAAAATAAGTATCCAAAGCTGATACAATACTCTGCTCCTAAGAGAGAACCAGAAAGGTTAACAGATGAAAGTTGCTGTGTTAAAAGCACTTCAGATGAGTATAATAAAGTTATAAGAAAGTAGGTTTGTCAGCCACAGATTTTTCAAAGAGCCTTAAGGGTAAACGTCATCCTTTCCTAATATTACAAAGGTTCCTGCTTTAGAGACAACGCACCTTTAGCCTACGAAAGACAGTTGTACCACCAGAGGCATTTTTTTGAAAAGTGCTTTTAGTGTGCTGAGCAGCAACAAAACTGTTAGAAAGACAAACTATGTTCCTAATGCATGCTGGAATGCAAAAGGTTGTTGCTATTTCAAAATTATAGCAGAAGAGAATTCAGTATTAACAACAGGGGCACATTAGCACTGAAGAACTAAGTGCAGATGACAAAACAAAAGCCCATAGAATCACCAATGTAAATGTAATAATCGTGCATGTATGTGTGTGTGTATGTGTGTATGAAAACAACTAAGAGACAGATGGCAATTTTCCCTGTGGCATTTGCACATGTCCATTCAATGCATGTATGTGGGTCAATTACTATGATAAACATCATGTGACAGGCTCAATGGAGGTAAAGCGGTTCATACTGACTTCACCTAATTTTAATTTATTGATGAGATATACTTATTCAAAACAGCAAAATGAACTTTTTCCAAATAGGTTTGTTTAAACAATCAAAATGTAGTTAGAAAATAAAATGCCACCTAAAATAATTTATAAACTCTAACTTGTATTCCAGTGAAAACTGGGAAGGAAACTGAAGAGTAAGACCATACTTCTGTATACAGTGGCTTCTTATAATAATCACTTGATAAGACAACCACTGATACAAAGAGAGCTTCTCCCTTACTTAATTATATAGTAATTCTTTCTAAACATGCTTTTTACTAAATACCAGGCCTGCCTTCAGTAGTTACACATGCTGGAATCTTAAGATAACAATCTCAGATTGGTCAAAGACAAGTCTATTAGAGAGAACTTTTTAAAGATAAGTTAACAGAGTGATTATTTCACGAGGGATTCCTATCATACCAGGTCAAAAAACCCAAACTAACAATAACATTAAAAGATCAAGCAGAAATAATAGTTCAATATCTTTAGAAAGAATGCAGGTTTTAAAAAAATTGTTAATATACTTAAATTCCATTCCTTCATTTTAAATAATATTAAAATCATTATAAAGAAAAAATTAACTCATGTGTTTATAAAAACTGAGATTTCCATTTATACCCAAATGAAAAGCTAACTAGGAGTGAATTATTAAGAGCTTGATGTAATTTTAATTCCATAGTAGAAACTTCTGCTGTGTAGTTGTTTCTCCAAGTTTCAAAAAATTACTGCACAGTGGAATAGCTAAGAGATCTACAGGTAACATTAATGATTCTGGTTGAGTTTAACAAATGCAAAATGGGCAATAAGAAAATAAATTTTCAGAGGAGTCGCAAATATATTTTCTACTTCCAAACCTGCAAATTGTCTTTGCAAACTAATAAATTATTTTACTCATATGAGAATTTAAAGCATGTAAAAGTTGCATTATCTTATTTACTTGTCGATGTATAAAAAGGGCATGTCACCAATTAGAAGATATGTGCTAAGTGAAATCAGACTTCTAAAGTTTAGAACAGTTATGGTTTGTTTACCTTTGTCTGCTTTGAAGTAAACTGACTCCTCTCATGGTGTTATCTCCATAAGAAACTCATAACAGTATTATTAAAAAGGATAAGAAAAAAGTGATGCCATGTCATCCTCAACAAATGCGTAAGAATGCAGAGAGTTTTGGGTCAGAGAAGTTTTACCACTGACCTAAACACCAAATTTCTCCAGAAAATAAGAGAAAATCCTTTAAGGAATCACATACAACATAACTTAAAATTTGGCAAAGACTGCATATTGTTAATTTCAATTTTCCTCTAACCACAACTTAAGATTCAATACTAGATTGAAAGCAAGGGGAGGGAGGATGAAGCTGAAACCACATACCCTTTTTCATCAGATACTGTGAATTCTTCTCCTCCACTGTTTGTTTCATCACATCAGAGGCATATTCTTAAATTTAGCACAGAAACACTTGTAAAATATTAAATTTTACCATAGAGAAATTGATTGTGCTATAAGAAAGTTTCATGTTACCATTTAATTTCAACCAAGCTACATCAAACATGGAAAGAAATTATATATAGTTTATAAAGTAAACGATCACTATATTTAAAAGAAATGATAACCTTGAGAAGTACCACAGCAATAATGATTTAGTTAAGCAAGTCAGGAATAACAGCCATCTCCCTTGAGTGCTTCTCCCTTCACTTCTGGCACTGGCCTCTCCTTACAGAACTGGATTTCACAAAAGTTCCTGGAGGGCAGCAGAATCCACAGGTCTAGTTTAAGCAATGTTTTAAACATGAATCTTTGCATCTGAAATGTAGTAGCGGAAATAAACAAATTATCATCATCCTACAGTTTACACTTGGCTCCCCAGCTTTCCTCCCCCTTCACACACCAGTGAGTTACAGTAGTTAGATAGAAAATATATCAGAAAAGCCACAATTTATAGTGTAACTTCACAATGAATCACTTGAACAGGCTGTGCATACAACAAATAAGTTCAGTGCTCCTATTTATGTGTCTCATAATTTCTAGGATACATAAAAACAAAGTTTGCTGCTCTTAAGATTTCACATTCTAAGAATATGTGATGGCATATGTAGTTCTGCTAAGAAATCAGTGTAAAATACACTTTTCAAATTGTAGCAAAGTATAATTCACAGTTACAGGCCCTCAATATTTTATCAATATATACTATCTAGACATCATATTGAGCATGCTATCAATAAAATCATATGGGCAAATAATCATACTATATTCACCTATGTAGCTACAAGATAGAAGTCACGAATTTTAACACTCCATTAGACTATTGCATCTGAAAAACTTACAACTGCCAACCATCAAAGCACAACTAATTTATCATCACACTCACACCATTCTTCCAAGTTACAAGGTCCAGTCCTAACACTTCTGATGACTCAAGAGCACAGAACAATTATACCTATAGAAAAATGCATATCCAAATTTAACCTTAATTTTTAAAGAATGGCTTCTTCTGATGTGTATTTTCTTAAGGATTAGACAGCAATGAACAAGGGCATACAATAGGAATACTTGATTCACCACCGTGTTCTATAACAAGTTGCATTATTATAATAAGTTTCTTTTTTTAAATAAACTCTATATTCTTGGTTTAAATGCTTACTATTCAAACTGCCCCCAAGAGCCAGTAACTGCCCACACTGACCCAAGGTGGTTTTAGTGAAAAGTCACCCATCAAGTTGCATTATTATAGTAAGTTTCTTTTTTTAAATAAACTCTATATTCTTGGTTTAAATGCTTACTATTCAAACCGCCCCCAACAGAGCCAGTAACTGCCCACACTGACCCAAGCTGGTTTTAGTGAAAAGTCACCCATCTTTGGAAACAAGGGCTTTTTCCACGAATATGCTAGAAATAGCAGGTGCACCATTACACAAAATTGGAGAGAACAGAAATTTACCTCACTCCTACAGACCATTTCTCAGAGCATGCTGTGTAGTTGCTAAAATCAGTATGCTGCGTAAAAGTTAAGAAAAAATGTATGTCTAACAGTGGTTCCCTATCAACTAGCCTCTGGTAGGCACTACATAAAATGCATTAAGACGGGTTTGCTGGATGTTCTGGCACCTATTATCAGGTGATTTTTTAACAGAGATGTGAAGATGCTTTTAGCAGGAGAATGGGCACACCAGAGAATACAGAATGTGGCTAATTACGACGAGAAGAAGATTCTGCCTTCACCTCCCCTCACTGTCAACCACTTTGCGTAAGTGCTCTCACTGCCTCGCCCTAACCCTGGGGATCCATTCACTTTTCATAGCTCAGAGAGGCTGCTGAAAAGCTGTCAAAGTAAATCTGTGCTCACTTTTTGGATGGTTTAATTTCAATGGAGCATGAAACACCCCAGGACGGTTAATAAGTTTAGCCAGGCGTGCTGTTATCCCTAATATATTTTAATTATGCATCTGTTTTAATTGTAATCAGATTAAGACACCGGAAGGACACAAATTGGAATTTTCCCTAATGGATATAGGGGCTTTTCATCACTTTCTGAACACTAATAACGTTTAAAAGATAGGAAGAGACACCAACACAACGGTGACATTTTCCAGAAATCGATGCAGTTTCTTTGACAACACAGTTCAGGTCTCATTAGCCACCCAAACTAACCTAAGTGCAGAAGACAACTTCAGTCTCTAGGGGCGTCTTCTTCTCCAATTAGTACAAAAGAACCACTAACATCTAATGTACAACTCCCAAACAGAAATGAGAAAGCCGAGGCTTTTATAAAGTGCTGCCCAATGGATTGGTGAAGGAGGCTAGGGCGGCGGGAGAGACCATCAGCAGCATTATTTTGGCTCAAAGTAAAAGTCTATACACGTTAAAAGGGAAAGTTAAAGCAGAGAACGATCTCCCTTTTCACAATTTTGGCAACTATCAAACGTGTGTTTTAACTTCGGGAAATAAAAGTGTCCCATCAATAAAAGGAAACGGGACAGGGAGGATCTATCAGGGATCGAGGAGAGGCTTCCTCCCAACCAGACGTAAAATCACTTAATGTGCTTTGTTGCATCAAGGAATACCTAAGACTTTAATTTAATACGTTCATTAAACAGTTTCCCAAATTGCCGGGATTTCCGCTAAGAAACTCAAGCGTCTGCCAACAGCCGAGAAGCAAGGGAGAGAACCTGCTGCAAACTAGGAGCGGAAACTCCCTCGGCCCGCCCAGCGCGCCTCACGTCCCCGGTGTTTGATTTAGGTGTTAATGTTTACGTGTCGCCTAAACCATCAGGTGCTGAACCAGTTCCTCCAAGACGCACTTTGAGCCTTAAAGAGGGAAGCTTCAGAGCCACTGCGGAGTGTGCCCCCTGCAGCCCGTCGCCCCCTCCTCTCGGCCCCTTACCTGTCATCATAGCAGAAATCCGCACTCAGGGTGTTGAGATACAAGGCGAGCCCCAGAGCGCTGCTCACCAACTCTGCAATCATCTCTCCACCGCCTTCCCTCCGGCTCGGCTCCCAGCGCGAGGGCAGCAGCGGCAACAAAAAACAGAAGCATCAATCTCCACCTTCCGCCGCCTTCTCCTCCCAGCTTCACTTTTCCCTCGCTTCCCCACCCTCCCTCCCTCGGGTCCTTCCAATCCACGACTCCTCTCCTCCTCCTCGCGCCCGTCTCCGCAGCTCCTGCGTCCTCCCCGGGTGCGGGCTCACACCACACTCCCCATGCCCGGCGCCCGCAAGCGGTGAGCGGCGTTTGGGCTCCGCGTCCCCCGGCGGAAGCGCAGGGCTGGTCTTTCGCGCGGGTCGCGATCCCCACCCTAACCCATGGCAGTTTGGGGCGTCCTAGGTGAGGAGTGGGACTCGGAGGAGGTGGAAGGGTGCGGGATGGGGGCAGAGGGACCGGACCAAGCCGGGCTCTGGGACCAGCTGGAGGAAGAGAGAGAAAGAGGCGCGGGTGGGAGGGACAAGGCGAACCGCCTCCCCTCGCCGCCTCCCGGGCGCACTGCTCCGGTGTCGCTCGGGCGGACTCCGGCCGCCAAGGCAGCTGCTGCACATTCAATGTTTATTAGCTCCCTCCCAGCCCCAGCCCCAGCCCCAGCCCCAGCTCCCTTCTCCAGTGAAGTGAGAAGCGGTGGCTGGAGACTCCAGAAGCTCCCGCGTGGGGTTCTCGACGCGGCCCCCCGCGCCTGCGTGACCAACCCTCCATCCCGGCTTGGCCCAGCCCCTTTCTCCACCCAGATCCTCCCGGAAGGCTCCTCCTACCCTGCCCCTCGGGCTGGAGGCTCCTCCCACCCTCCCCGGCCTGGAGGCTCCTCCTACCAGCCTCCCGTCCTCTTGTTTCTTTCACCTTCGATTTCACTCTGGAAAGCCCCCGGGACCCAAGGGCGACGGCTGGAAGACAGCCCAAAGGAGTAGATACAGTGCACCCTGGGAGGGGAAGCTGGGAGAAAGGAGGTCGAGGAGGAGGTGGTCGGTCGCCCCGCTGCTGCCTGGCAGCGCCTGGCACGGCTGAATCTCAGCCACAGCGCTGTGTGTGCCAAGAGCTGCCAGGCGTAAGTCCGGTCAGCTGGAGAGACTTCTGAGACCGGGAGAGGAAGAACAGGTTTGGCGACTGCTGCAGCTTCGGTTGTCACAAACTCACTGGCGATCTCTCACGCACACTGTGTGTGAGACTAAATGGGGGGGAGGAGGTAGTATTGGAGAGCTTGGAGGCAACTTAGGAAGGAGAGATTTCAGCTCTTAGCCTACGGTTGGCCACAATGTCAGTGGAAAGACGTGTAGGGAGAGAAACGTTTCCTCCTTCAGTAAGGTTAAAAAGAAAGGACCCCAAAAAGGGAAAGAAAGACACACACACACCCCGCAGCAACTGCCCGGGGACCCCTTCGTGGTTTCAGAGGGACTGTCGGGTTGACCCTGAGAACACAGGAGAGAAACCTCTAGTGCAAGCCGGTACAGCATTATACTTAAACCTAGTAAGGCAGTAAGCTAATGCCCTTTCCTTTCCGCTCGGAGGCAGGACTGGATGGAAAGCATCCAACATGGTGAAATATGGTGTAGAATGGTCTGTGTAGAACAAGCTCTGGGTACTAAAGTTGCAAGACCAAAGAGGACCCAGGGCTGCCTGACACGCCTCCTCCCGGCTTGTTGGCTTTCTGGCCAGGAGAGTAGCTCCGGTGCACCGCGATGTACACTACTGCAGCGCCCCCTGCTGCATAGTAACCACAAGGTGTGGAAGACAGGTCTGTTTTGCATGCGGGCCGACTGGTTCCAACCAAGAGCAGCACCTAACCAGCAAGCTCTCCGAAACTGTGGCAAGAAATTGAGCCCCCTGGGTGTCTAGCAGTGGCCTGGAAAGAAAATACCGTGGTCTGGGCTTCTGTAGAACAAAGCTACATATTTCCCTGATTTCACAAGGAAATCTGAGAAATCTGTATTGGATACACACAGATAAAATGATGAATATTTATTAATATTATACCTGTTATGCCATCCACAGTAGCACATTTTTTGTGCCCTGGACAAATATATGTAAACAAAAATAAAAGGAATTATGTCTTTACAGGTAGGGACTGATCTTTTACCCTTTTCCTCCATAACCTTTGCTCACTTGAAAATTTTGAAAATCATATCAGTTAGTCCATCCTGATGCTCTGTGTCTCTCCAATGCACTTACATGCTGAGATATATATAGTATATATAAAATATGTATATGGTGTCCTAGAACACTGAAGGAAGAACACATACTGTGGGATCAGATGTTTAAGTTTGAGTGCATACTCTGCTATTACTATTTGGGCGATCTTTGGCCAGTCGTTCAACCTCTTTGTGACTCTGTTTTCTAATCTATGAAACAGTGATAATAATAGTACTTATCTTATGAGTACTGTTATTATGAGTATTAAAGTAGTTAACCTATGTAAAATATCTAAAAGGGACCAGGAAAGTGCTACAGAAGTATTAGCTAGTATATCATTATTACTATGCTTTCTAGCTTCCTCGTTTCATTTTACTTGTTAACAAAAACCTGGACAGTTACCTCCAAAACACATCCTATCACATCTTTACTACTTGAGTCCACAGCCCAGCTGCCCTCATCTCCTGCATAGACAAATGCAGTAGCCCTCTAAGTGGTCCCCGTACTTCTACCCCTGCAATGCCTCCCTTCCCCAATTTTAACTTTAGGCAGAAGTTTCCTTTGAAAACCTATACATTCCCAATTTTTAAATGTTCCACAACTTCCTGTTGTATTTTTAAATGTCCAACAACTTCCTGTTTTACAGCTAATAAAACTAATTCTTACCATGGCCAGCCAAGCCTTCATTTAGCCCAGACTACCCCTCCCGCTTCATGTTGTGTTCATATGTGTACAACACAGACATCCTTCTCAGGAACTAACCACTTTCTCTTCCTCCTGCATGAGGTTCTTCTCCTCAAACCTTCTCTAGCTCCTTCTCACCATTCAGGTCTTAGCTCAAATGGCATAACCTCAGAAATAAAGTAGGCTCTCCCCCATCAATCTCTATCCAACCACCATGTATTAGTTTCTTCATAGTATGTATTAGTATCTGGAAGCACCACTGAGTGGAAGCTCCATGAGGTCAGGGATCCTGTCAGTCTTCTTTTCCACATAAAACCCAGAGCCTATAACATCTGGACACGGAGAAGAAACTTTAAAAAGATTGTTAATAAATGAACAAAATAAATGTGCTTAGGAGAAACTACGTAACAGCTGGAAAATCCAAAAATTTTCATCGCTGATTTATTGTTTGTCGTTAGTGTTAAAGATCGTGAAGTATTAACCAAGGAGAGAGGAAGGGAGCAGGTTCACAGTTTTTCAGAATACATCAAGTCTGCAGGAATACCCGTGAAGGGGAGTCACATGGACAGGTCTCTTCAGTTATTAAGAGGACTCAGATATGTAAAAATATTAGAGAGCTTTGGGTTCCACATGCTAAAAGCTTGTAAGCCTTTTCCACAGCTGTGTTCATTTTTAAGGCTCCAATAGTTTAATTTAATTTTTAATTTTTTTTTTTTTTTGAAACAGAATCTCACTCTGTCGCCCAAGCTGGAGTGCAGTGGCCCGATCTTGGCTCACTACAACCTCTGCCTCCCGGGCTCAAGCGATTCTCCTGCCTCAGCATCCCCAGTAGCTGGGATTGTAGGTGTGTGCCATCAAGCCCGACTAATTTTTGTATTTTTAATAGAGACGGGGGTTTTACCATGTTGCCCACGCTGGTCTTGAACTCCTGACCTCAAGTTATCCACTTGCCTTGGCCTCCCAAAGTGCTGGGATTATAGGCATGAGCCACTGCGCCCAGCCATGGCTCCAATAGTTTTAAATAAATTTTATACACTCCTCCATCTCCTCGTTTTCTCCTTTCCCCACCTCCCAATACCTCTGAATTGGAAGCCTAGGTGACTGGGAGATGGGCTGTAAAATGGCACATCTTGCCTTCCCTGATAAACAGAAGGCTGAAAACCTAGCTGTGTTTGAGAAATCCAGTTGCTTTTAACAAATTTTTCTATTATAATTTAATGTAGGTTTCAATATCCTTCCAGAGCATTAAGCCATGGTCTCTTTTAGATTGCTCTCCAAGGGCTGAGAAGCAGCCAATTCCTGAATTTTCTACCTTCCTGGAACAACTTTAGGAGGAAAATCAGATTAAAGATGTCATCATTATTGTTGGAGATCATTTAAAATCTGAGGACATAGGTTTTTAGTTTATCAAGGTGTACTTATTTGATGTAAGGTTGCAGCATCAGTTCTGAATATGTGTATGTTCTATTTAAAGCGACAGTTGCTCTCCACAGGTGAAGGAAATTAGGATGGCTGGCTTGAATTTTCTACCTTAGACACAATACTGGCCAAAAAAGCGCTAAGCCCTTATTTTCCTGAAGTAGGCTCCACACATCTGCTACCTCACCACTTCCTCAATGAATTCCTTTTTATAGTAGCCCCGACCTACCCTGCATTTGTTCTGCATTCTCAGTCCTTTGTTGTATAATTCATACCTTTGCAGTGCCAGTTCCTCAGGGTAAAGATTTCCTTATTTGCCTAAGACATTTTTAGTTTATTGTGCAATACTATCTTCCCTTTGGGTGTTGCATAAATATTAACTAAAGATCCACATCTGGTCCTGGTCGTCATTTCTATTTGTCCTAATATAACTTCTCTTTGAACAATTCATTTGGAAAGTGTGCCAAGGGTGAAATGTGGCACGTAAATTCTCTTGCTGCACAGAATGCTTTTTAAAGTGCCCACAGATTTGGTTATTTATGAGCAGGAGATTTGCGCCTCTTCCTTGCTCTCTCAATTCTAAAATTGTACTGGGCCAAAATAATTACAATCTTCCATATGTTTTCTGAAAAGGTATCCAAGTATCTCCTGCTAAAATTTTAACAGATTGACTAAGAAGCAGAAAAACACTAGCCCAGCAGGTGAAACTGCCTGTTTAGGGAGGTCAGAACAGAGCTCTCTGCTGGGGGACTCATAAGCTCTGGGATTTACTCAGGAAATAACCCTGCAGGAGAAAAACAGCAGAGCATGGATGAAATGTGGGTCAGGGAGCTGAGACAGGCACATGGGCGGCTTGGTTAACTAATGACTGTAAATGCATTGGCAACACATGTTACATTTAGATTCTTCCCAGCATACCATAAAGTGCTGCCCTGCAGACACTACAATGTATAACATCACTTTATCCCAAGACTTGTGATCCATTAGGAATAGAAGTAGAACAAGGCAGCCACGGAAACAGATCTTGTCACCTGTGTCTCAAAACAGGGACTGTTAAGAACCAGCTGCTAGCAAAATAATGATCACTTTAAGAATCTCACAGTCTCCCCAGCTTCCAAGTCTGAGAATGTGGGGGTGAGGGAGGAGACAAGGAGGAGGAGGAGTATAGAAATAACATGTTAATAACCAGATATGAATAATTGCAGAGATGTTGAGGCTAATGATAGAATTCAAAAACTCAATCAAGAAAAGCAAGGACAGCCTCCTTTATAGAATCTCTCTGAATGCATTCACATGCACTGATATAAACAGTGATCAAGAATGCTCTAACAGCTTGAAAAATTGCACCATCAGGAAACAAATTTTGATAAGCCTCAGATTCTTTAAGGAAAATTAATTTTGACGTGGACATTAGTTAAATTCACCAGCTATTCATGAATGTTGCCTTGATGTTTAACCCATATGAAACTTTTAAGCCAGTGTTGTCCAGCAGAACTTGCTGCAGAGGTGATTTTCTGTTGCACTGTTCATTAGTTATATGTGGCCATTGAGCAATTGAAATGTGGCTACTGTGACTGAGGAACTGCATTTTTAATTTTGTTTAATTTCAATTAATTTAAATTTAGTGACATGTGGCTAGTGGCTAATTTATTAGACAGAATAGCGTAAGCTGTCGGCTGACCAACACCACTTGTGTTTTACGGTGGATTTCATGTAAAAGCCAGTTAGTTGTCAACATCCTCCCACAGGTCAAAGCTTTAGCCCTGAATCATTTGATGTGAACTTCTGTGCTCCCCATGGGTGACCTGCTTTTATTTATAAAACGGCTACCAGCTATTGAGCATTTTTCTAGGTATTAGGCATCATACTAAGCCCCTTATATTTACTATCTCATTTAATCGTCATAACAGCACAGGGAGGTAGGTACCATTACTATCTGTATTTTGCAGATAAGGAAAAGGAGACACAGAGAAGTTTAGTAAGTTGCTCATGGTCTGAACAACCTCTCAGTGGTGGTGCTAATATTTTAACTTATGTCTTTTATTCCAAAAGTCTGTGCTTCAACCACTACTCAGTAGTCTTATTCCTTATTTTTCCATTCAAAAGACCTCATCCCACTTAGGATCTACCTCAGGAGTGGGAATTCCTGGGTACAGCCACGATGCTTTGGTTAAATTAATCTTTCTCCTCTACGCTCCCTCAGATCATTTTGGATAGAATACTGTGGAAGCCTTTTTAGTCTACCACTTTTGCCTGATTTTTCCCCAATCTGGTGTAGAAACCTGCAAAGACTATATGCTTACGTATAACAGAAACTCTCCCCCATAAAATATACACACACACACATTTTTAATAACATATTCAACTCATGCATATACATTTTTTCTAATACAATACACTGTATCCATTATAAAAAAAAATAGGATAGGCCGGGCGCAGTGGCTCACACCTGTAATCCCAGCACTTTGGGAGGCCAGGGTGGGTGGATCAGGAGGTCAGGAGTTTGAGATCAGCCTAACCAACATGGCGAAACCTCATCTCTACTAAAAATACGAAAATTAGCCTGGCGTGGTGGCACATGCCTGTAATCCCAGCTACTCGGGAGGCTGAGGCAGGAGAATCACTTGAACCTGTGAGGCAGAGGTTGCAGTGAGCCGAGATCGCCCCACTGAACTCCAGCCTGGGAGACTCCATCTCAAAAAAAAAAAAAAAAGGATAAATAACCTAACCCACACTCCAACACAAGAATGAAAGTATTAATGTAAATTACAATTTGGAAAACCAAATAAAAGATTTGCAGAAGTAAATATTATCATGTTAAAAACCCCACTACAAATTCACACCTTACATGTTTAATCCATTTATTATTACTCTGAAATGACTAGAAAGTCTGTTTGCAATTTGACCTATTAATCTAATAATAGGTGACAAAATCAATGTATTTAAAACTTTTGCAATAGATTTAATGAAATTCCTCATTAAAAATTATAATTTGTAATATTATTACTTTATTTAGTAATTATAAGTGAATTGCATATTTGTAGCCTTACATATAGACTTCCACCGCACTGTGTTTCTCTTTCCAAATGTCCTTCTTTTCATCTTTTTTGGTCCTTTCTAACCTATTCTTTCAGTTTTCCATATTTTGCTCTACAAAAGCATTTAAAACTTAATGCACAAAACCACAAAGTCACCTTCATATGTGTTGTAAAGATCTGTCCTGAGATATACAAACTAATAAAATAGATTGTCTGCAATGATTGATTTGAAGCAAAGACATTTATTTCTTGGCAGTCAGTTCCACAGAGTCAGTCCTTGGATTGAAGTGGACAAATGATGAAAAAGACATTGAATTCATCAGTCCCAAACTGAGCACAAATGGGAACCTGTGTCAGAAGCGCTCATCCTCTATAACCCGCTCCCTGCATTAATCACATGCCACTGCTAGGCTCAAAGGCTCGTCAATTTTTGTCCTTGGATATTCATTTGTTCCAGCACAATTTGTTGAAAAAGTCTATTTTCTCCACTGAATTGCCTTTGCATCTTTGTCAATTGATATATATACATATATATCATATGTCGGTATATATGTGTGTGTTTGTGTGTGTGTGTGTGTGTGTGTAGGTCCATTTCTGTGCATATATACTGTCTATTGATTATTTTGTCTATTTTTATGCCAATATCAAACTGTCTTGATTACTACACCTTTATAAGTGTTGAAGTTGGGTAGTATAATTTCTACAATTTTGTTCTTTTTGAAAATCGTTTCCAAACCCCGTTTAATTATAACACTTAAAATTTTATTTCCATTTGCTATTATAAGTCCCTATAATTTGGCTCTTGTTTTCTTATTTATTTATATCTTGAGTATATTTACATGGAGGTATGTGATTATGTGTATGTAGGCATTTAGATATATGAATGTGATTATGTCTGTTCTCTGAGTTTCTTTGTACAAAAAGTAGAATAAATATCTATGCCCTAAAATATCGACTAGCAAAACAGGCTGGGTAGGATTAAAATATGTGAGTGTCATCCCTTCTCATCAATATTCTTAAAGTATTTGTTCCACATGTATTTCTCTTTATATTCAAAATGAGGAATTTGTGATATGTACTAAAAGCAATATAACATTTTAATTTATCTGAAATTATCACTCATATCTGTACTGTCACGTGGACAGCACTAGTCACCAGCATTCACAAGTGATAAGTGATTTTAATGGATATAGTTACAAGTTTCTAGTACTTAAATTTTTTTCTTCTCTCTCTTTCTCTATCTCTTGCATATTAATACCTACAAAACATTTTTCATTTTTCTG
Source organism: Homo sapiens (assembly GCF_000001405.40). NCBI lineage: Eukaryota > Metazoa > Chordata > Mammalia > Primates > Hominidae > Homo > Homo sapiens. The sequence goes on along the minus strand of NC_000012.12, from coordinate 82,679,016 downwards.
TGGTTTCTGTTCTATCTTCAGTTTTACTTTTGTGATGTTTCAGAACCAGACAGTATCTTTGGAAACATATCAGTGCTTAAACTTCAGATATAAATCACTGATTCTCAACAAATATCATATACCATGTGTTCTAGTCAGTTTTAACATTTCAGCTGACAGCAACTACAGACTTTAGTCTCAGGGTTGGTGGCAGGGCCTGTACTTACAGGGCCATGTACTTACAGGGGCATACTTCAGAATAGCTAGTGGAGATAGGTTGATTCTGGCCCAGAGTAGTTTTGAGTTGCAATTCAAGGGATCGATCATTTTTACACTTTGCCACTCATAAAAGGATTCACATAAGCACCATATCTCTAATTAATTCCAGTGGTGACTTGGTATCTCTAATAGATCAGCTGACCCATCCTTTAACCTGGCTCTGGGTACACGTGTCAATATCTGCCCAAATAATTCTACTTACAGCTAAGCACTCAGGCTGCCCACGTGTAGACCTCGTTTGAACACAATGTCTTTTCTAATCTCTTCATCTCCTTAACAGTCTCTCTTAGCCACTACTAAAACAAGTCAGGGTTCCGAAGTAAGAACACAAAAGGAAAGATCTTTATATGTGTTCAGCACTTAATCTGCACAGGCACCATGTCAGGTACTTTAAATATGCATATAACTTAATTTTCGCAATAGAGAATTGATAGTATTGCTCAGATTGATATTATTATTGTTTTTTCAAAAATGACAAAATCGAAAGTCAAGAATATTATGTAACTTGACTGTGCAATGACCAAACGATGACCCAGGATTCTATATTATGTCTGCCTGTTCCAAAAGCCTTTTAGGTCTTTATATTACGGTGTCCATCTTATTAACAGTATTGAGAACCATTTTTAGGATAGGGTAATTTAAGATTTGATATGGTAGCTTTCTCCTTCTTTAAGCCCTTTGTAATATGGTGAGGGAACAGCTTTTGGGAGAATGTCAATGGTCTTCTTTGCTCTGGTGAGCTTTTTGTGAGAAAATGGAATGGAAGTAGATAGACCTGTGTACCATAAAAACACAATCATGTTTAGATTTTGCATAAACAAAAATGAAGGCAAAGTCTAGAGTTTGGGCAGGATATAAAGAATTTGTAATAGAAAAGATAGACATACTAGTAGTAGCAAATTCCTGTAGAGAATACTAAGAAGCTAAGATTCAGGTAGGGAATGGACTACTACTATTAGAAGTCTTATCTCACAAACTAGTATTCAGAGCCAACTGGGGGATGACGCCATTATGCACAGATAGACATCAAGGAATACCGTATCAAATTATTTTGTAGACAGAATAAAATTAGCCTTTTACCTTGAGGTCAGATGCAGAGATTAAAGAATGCAATGTATACACAAAGATGTACCAATTACATTTTCTGTCACTTCATCTTATTAAAATTTCTAATTAAGAATTATGTTTTGTAACAGAAACACCAGATAACAAAGAAGTAAAAAAATGGCTAGTCATCCCTGGAAAGCTTTTGAAGATTCTGGAAACAATTATTTAGTAAAAACAACTCAAAACAAAAATTCATAACAATAGGAATAGGTACTTATGAAGAATTCTAGAAATGCAGACTATTAAATAAAGGATCATTCATTAAAAGTGGCAACTGGAAGGTTGCCAGGGGTCAGGAAGGAGGGGAAATGAGGAGGTGCTGTCAATGAGTATAGAATTTCAGTCACACAGGCAGGAAAAACTCCTAGAGATCTGCTGTGTAACAATGTGTATATTAGTTAACAATTCTGTACAGTATGCTTTAAACTTTGTTAAGAAGGTAGATTTCATTGTGTGTTATTTTTGTTACTGCAATAAAAAAGTGATGCTAGGAAATCACTTTAGGTGACTATGAATAAGTACTGGCAGAGCACACACTCATGTCATATCATTATCAGTTTTTTTAGATATCATTGGACTTAAGTATTAATATTTTTGTGTATTTTTAGTTAATGCTACTAAATATATTTTTTAAATACACACTACAGCTTATGTCTGTAATGCCAACCCTTATTTCAAGAAGCTGACTAGTGGGAGAATAATTTAAATGAAATAGGAACATGTTTTTAAAGGGAGACTGATATGTTGGCTCTTATGTAAAGGAGGTAAGCAGGAAATAATATTAAACTACAGTTAAAATCAAAGTGTTTTCCTGAATATCAGCAAAATGAATTCTTCCACCTAAGTGATTTCCTAGGAGAGGTCATTTCCTAGTTTACATCAGTCAGGGGAGCTAAAATATTATTTAAAATAGGATCTTTTTTAGGAAAAACATCAATACAAATTATTTCGATTTCCTATGATTCACTTATTACTTTATAAAGTGCAGACCCCCAAGTCTAAATGACTACGTGGCTCCTTGATTATGAGTCTCTTGTGTCATATAAAGACAAAGTTGTTGATCTGGAATTTTAAAAGCCAGTAAGAACAAGCAAATGCTGCATGTTGCTTGCCAGCCGCTTGAAACCCATGTTCCAAATCTAAAACTTTCTTTGAAATCCTGTACGATGTCAGCATTACTGAAAGCATTGAAAGTCATCTTCAGAATGTGAAATTAATCTAGAATACTTTTTTGGACTTGAAAGAATATACTTCATCTTTCCTCTAAAATCTTGTGTTCAAAAATTTGCATTTTCACAGACACAGCTGATCCATGGATCAGCTTAGTCTCATAATAGAGATCTATTTTATACTGGATACTAAAAAGTGATACACAATTTCAGTCATTCAGCATTGTCACAAAAACTATCCATATTAAGGTAATTGCAGAGTCACAGGGCCCCATTTTGACTTATAGAAAATAGCAGTTTCAAGAGTCTTAATATGTATGATAAATATTTTCCAAAATTGATTTTATATATCCTTTCACGTGATATTATCAATGAAAACTTGTATAATGTTTTAATGCCAAATTTACCCACATATATTGGGTCAAAATGTCATCATAGCGAAAGTTAAATTAGCTTTCACCAATATGTTGGACCCATGGATTAAACCAATAATAAATAATTTCCCTACCAATCCCATATGTACACTTAAAAAATATTTGCCCTCTCATGGAACTATTTTAATATTGTTCAGCCAATCTCTTCCTGAGCTTCACTCACCTATAATAATTAATGCCCTTTCTATATAGAGTCAACCTCAACCAAAACCAGAAACAGTTTTCACCAGAGCCTAAAATCTGCACCATCAGCAAGTGGAGGGGACCAGGGGTCCATATGCTTCCTGTTTCACCCCCATCATTTGCCTGTTGAATCATTGCTTTCCTCTCACCCTAGTTGTATGGAGCGAATCTATGTATACATCCAGACATCTGCTTTGGTTTTCTCTAATTATTTCAAAGCCATCTGGATATAGAGCTTTTCCCTACACCCAAGCCCACTTGGCTGGGGCCCTGACATCCTGCCTAGCTTTGACAGGCTTGTCTATGGAGGTAGAGCTCTGTTACCTGGACCCTTCCACTACTCGAGGAGGTTCTGCTGTATATCACTTCAAACCACAGTTCCATCCATCTCTTTACTTCTAGTACAGCCTGATGCCTATGGGCTCCTTTGGCTGTATTCCCACCCAGCAGATTGAATCTCCTTGGATAGCCATACCTGCTGGAATCAGCCCAACTTCATCACGCATCTTTGGACTCTGTATGCTGGACTGCGAGAGAGTTCCCTCATGAAATCACCCAACAGCTGGGGTAGGTTTTCCTTCCACAGCAACTATTTTTTTCAGCACCTTCAACCACATTGTACTGCTTAGGTCCCAATGTGCCTTTCTTCTTTATATGTTCCCCATTCGTGATTCTGTCTGTACTCACAAATTTAGTATGCTATTCTCAACTGTTACACATGGCAGCTGAAGGACATTCTTTTAACTTTGTATTTGTAGGTCTAGTAATAAAATGTGTGATACTGATTCTTTACATTGGCAACCACATGAACCTTGAATAGTAGAGCTATAAATTGATTTATTTTAATAAAATTATTTAATAAGATTTAAGTAATTTTTTAAAGTACTTATGTTTAATAATTATAATTTGAATTCTACCTTTTAAGAATATTTTAGAAGACATAATTTTGTTTGATAACAAAATAATTAAAATGTTTCCATTTACATACATTTATTATTGATGAAAATATATTCAAATTCTGTATACTTTGAATATAATTACATATTTAGTTCTTTAGATCATTAATGTTATAAGAAAACAAATTACATATGTAAAAATCTTGATTTCAAAAACCTATTTAATGAGTTTGCTGAAATGAAGAAAACAAATTTTATAGAAAACATATAATAATATATTTATTATGGTTGTTAATTGTATTATCAAGACATCATTAGCCCATAACATATAATAATATATTTATTATGGTTGTTAATTGTATGATTAATCAAGACATCATTTGCCCATCAACTAAACACCCAATACAAGCAATAGTCATTAAATTCATTCAGCTTTGGTATTTTGCCAAGTTTAAGTCATGTAAAACACACAGCTTTACACATATTTTCTGATTTTGTTTCATTTGCTGTGAAAGTGTATTTGTTACAGTAAATGGAAAGATCTGTTTACTTAATTTAAAAGATATGTGGTAATATATAGGCCTGCTTTTATATTGTTGCCTTGGCCTCCACAAATGTTAGGAGCAGGCATAAGTTCCATTTTGTATCACAAGAGCTAAAAAATAATGTGTATTTAAATTAGAGTAAATAATGTGTATTTAATTCGAGTAATTAGAACTTTGCCTTTAATTTCTCCTAGCTTTGGTAATTGCTGTCTGTGTTGTGATGGTGGTGTTGTTTGAAAGTGGGATTCAACCTTCTATGCTAGTATTTATGTGAACCCCTGATTACAGATGTTAAGAGGTATTTTAAACTGATTGCTAAAGAATGTCACAGAAATACTTATTTGTTTTGCTTTATTCTTTTGTGGAATACAATATTTCATATGAGAAGATAATTTCTCTTCATGAGTAGGTCTCCTACACTTGAATCAAAGAAATGCTGTGACTTGTCAGGATGTGATACAGGTGGAGGGGTTATTTTTGTGTCATAATCTGTGTATCCTCATTTCTTGGCAGCTTTGTCTTCCAGTAGAGGAAAAATTTAAGGAACAGCTGAAATCTGTTGCTTATCATCATATTTTCCAGAGAATGGAGCAACCCCACTTGTCATCTGTTCACTCAGTATCCATCTATGCTGTTGGTTCTGTAAGATTTCCCTTGAGATTAAAATGTTGAAAGACAGCTTCATTCTTTCCGTGCTCCAGTCCTTTTCATAACACCTGCTCCATAAATGCACATCACTCAAGTGGAATTGTAAGTCGTCCAGTTCTCAAGTGATCTGTTTTAGAATTTTAATTTGTAAAATAAAAACAGTTTATGTAATCCTTTCACCATACCATTACCCAACTACCTTATCTGTTCTGTTATTTATTTTTCCCTAGGTATTTTGTGTAAATCTGGTTTGATAAACTGTAAAAATGGCAAAACATACATTTAAAGAAGTTGGCATTCATATATCATGCTGGGTACTTCTTTAAAAAATAATTCTAAACTATGGCATATCATTAAGAGGAGAAGGATAGAACTGCCAGAGAGAAAAGGCCTTCAGTCCAGATGAAGTTATGACTTTGTGCAGTGAGTTCCTTCCTCTGGAAAGAAGTATTAGCTGCAATAATCTGGCCACATTCCAAGTTGGTCAATGGTATGCTGCCTCCCTAAATTCTGCAGCTTCGATTACATTCATTGTCCTAGTGCACTTCCTGTCAGGAATGGTCGCATTGATCTGCCAGTTAAAACAGCTGTTGCTTCTGATGCATGAGAAACTACTAAAGTCAGTCTCTTATCCATCACCGATGTAGGAGTTAGAAATTGAAAGCCCAGTGACCAGGAGAGACAGAGGTAGAGAGAGAGAGAGAGAGAGAGAGAGAGAAAGGAAGAGAAAGGAAGAAGAAGAAGAAGAGGAAGAGGAAGAGGAAGAAGAAGAAGAGGAAGAGGAAGAAGAGGAAGAGGAGGAAGAGCAGGAAGAGGGAGAAGAGAGAGAACATCGTTCTGAAGTATTTTCAACTGCTCTTCATTTATTTTAATATATTCCCTCAACTTGTCTATTAATTGGCAAAAAAACAACTTGATTACACTTATTTTGAGTTTTTAAGATTTTCCAGACATTCCAATTAGAATAGACTGACCTACTTTTCTTGGTGATAACACAAAAGAGATTAGTTTTGTCAGTTGTACTGTGTATCTAAAAATCAGCACCACAAAAGCCATATATTGAACACTTTTTGTTAGCATGATGCTATTTTGCCTAATACATATTCTTGCCTTGTAAAACACCCAAAATTTTGCTTCCATATAAATATGCTGATCACAAAATAATCTTTACCTTTTTTAAAAATAATAAGATGATCTATGTCTATTTTCCCATTCCCAGGCAGAGAAGAAATAAGAACTGCATTTTGCCCCCAGTTAAGCTACACATATTGCTTGATGTTTTTCTCCACTTCCACATTGAGCATCAAGATATTTAAAACTTCCAACAGCCTGAAAATATTCAAGTAAATTGAATGGGGTAAAAAAAAAACCAAAATTTTGCCTTTTATGGTTAAAGACAAATTCCCCAAACAGTGCAGGCACACAGTGGTTTCATAGTTAGTGCTTACTGGACTGAATTATTGCATCCTTTTTCTGCATTTATTTCTAGGAAGCAGTTTAAAGTACAAAATATATTTAAATATTGATTTTTTTAAGAAAACCTTGGCTTCTATGATGAAGTCCAACTTAACAGCATATGTTAAATCATTAATTCTATTAGAAAGTGATGAGTACCAACAGTAGAGAGAAATATGCTACAGTTACTTGTTTATACACAGTCTTCCTATTTTTATATATTTTTTTAGTTACTAAAATGGAACCATAAGCCAGAGGGCAATGCGTTCTTTCTCTCTACCACCAGATGCACACAATTGAACTATTGCTTACAAGGAGGATCCTTGTTATTTCACATGCGATCATCAAGAAACACATGGAGAGTGATTATGTGTTCTACGTCCTGCTGACTGTTTCAAAGCAAATAAAAGTTCATCTGTATTTTCTGAATTTTGATTTGTAAACAATGATCACTTAGAATGAGTAAGATGCAGCTTCAGAAATATCTGATTATGTGTTCTACGTCCTGCTGACTGTTTTAAAGCAAATAAAAGTTCATCTGTATTTTCTGAGTTTTGATTTGTAAACAATGATCACTTAAAATGAGTAAGATGCAGCTTCAGAAATATCTGATTATTACAGATATAAATTGATATTGGGAGGTTAGGCCCATTTATTTCTCTTAGACAAACCTTGGTGGAAGTAACTGGACCTCTGTTTAGTGAATAGTGAAATATCTATAGGAGATGTTCCAAAGGTTTTATAAAGCAGAATTCATTCAATTATTCAGTCCAACATATGTTCAGGGAAGGTTTATTGAGTACTTTCTATCTGCAAGATGCTGGGGGTGTAACAGTAAGTAAGTAACAACGTTCCTATCACTAAGGAACACAGGAATGAGGTAAATATCATTTTCCCTCTGGCAGTCTGCTGTGGATGGATGGCACCACTTAAGTCAAGCTTCTAAGAACAAAGGTACTTTGTCAATAGTTGTCCAGTAGGTGACTATTATGCAGAAAGTTATAATGCCACTCCTCAGGAGAGTTAACAAGTGTCTTAGTTTGTTTGGGCTGCTATAACACATTATAGACTGAGTGGCTTATCAACAACAAAAATTTATTCCTCTCAGTTCTGGAGGTGGGGAAGTCCAAGACTAAGCCTCTGGCAGATTCAGTGTTTTGTGAAGGCCTTATTCCAGGTTCATAGATCCCAGGTCCCCACATGATGGAAGGGGCAAGGCAGCCCCCTTGGGCCTCTTTTATAAGGGCACTAATCATATTCATGAGGGCAGAGCCCTCATGTCGTAATTGCTTTTCAAAATTCCTATCTCCTAATACTCTTAACCTTGGGGTTAGGACTTCAAATGAATCTGGGGGAGACACAAATATTCAGTCCATAGCCACAAGATTAATGGAAATTTATAAATTTTTCCCATTGGCATTTAATTATTCCTCTTACTCTACAGCCATATTTTGGCATTGTTTCCTTCTCTCGTATGCAGATTTCTCCCCTTTTCTTATGGTTTATCACACTAGCATTAATCTCTCTTCCCTTTCTCCCCTCTCACTCTAATGCCATTTTAATGGATGTGAATCTTAGTACTCCAAAGAAGGTGTGTAAGGAACATCACATTGTTTTACATTAATTAATTTAAAGAAAGCTAACTGTAGCAGTTACTGTCACACTGCAATGTTTAGAGATTAAAACTCAATTATATGGTGGGAACCTGCTCTCTTTTCCTGGCCCCTGTTGAGAATGTAGTATCTTATGTGGCTCACTAAAATGGAAGTGGAGCCCTTCAGGTTTATCCTATTATGAGTTCTTGAAGTTTGGCAGCCCTTCCGCCATGATTGGGGCCTAAGAATCTTATTGGTGCCAAAATCTCAGAGTCAAATGTTTAACCTTCCAAATCCACCAATTTTTTTTCAGATCTTTCTAAGATCACTTCCTTCAGGTACTACAAGAGAGTGGGTTGAAAATGACTGAGAATCCCCACTAATCCCATGGGCCTGTAATCTTAGAGATACCAGACCTATTCTAATCTATGAGTTTACACATGTAGAGGTGGTGGTCTTCAGGTACTTTTGTTTTAGTGGCGATCTACAAACTCCTCTTAAGGCAGCCAAATGCCCTAGAAATCTTCTTAGATCTAGGGTTGGGATGAAAAATTACCCAGAATAAAACATAAGATAGTATCTCATAGTCATTTCATTTCTCTCTCTGAAGCTTAATCCTCTACTTCTGGTCTCTTGTTCTTTCTTTTAACATAATTGAATGCTTGCTGGGGGCCCAGGCTGATTGATAGAAATCCTGAGAGGTCAATACTATTAATCCTGTCTGAGCGTTGAAGAAACTGTAGGGCAGAAAAAGTAAATAGAATAGTAAAGCTAAGATTGGAAAATGTGTCTGTTTAATAATTTCAAAGAAAATATGGCTTAAATGGAAATAAGTGTTCTATAAAACAGAGGTCCTCAACCCCCAGGCCATGGATTGGTACCTTGCCCTGTTAGGAACAGGGCTGCACAGCAGGCTAGCAAGCATTACCACCTGAGCTCCGCCTACTGTCAGATCAGTGGAGGCATTTGATTTTCATAGGAGTGTGAACCCCATTGTGACCTGCACATGCAAGGGATCTAGGTTGCTTGCTCCTTATGAGAATCTAATGCTTGGTGATCTGACGTGGAACAATTTTAGCCCAAAACCATTGCCCCTCAGCCCCGACTGGTCTGTGGAAAATTTGTCTTCCACAACACCAGTCCCTTGTGCCAAAAAAGTTAGGGACTGCTGTTATATAGGACCAGGACTTCTGAGTTGCCACCCAAGGTCCTACAAAGTGGAGGATCTTGAAGAAGTTGCTTAACCTCTTAAATTACTACTTTGCTTATTTTGAAACTGAGTTAATTGCTCGCAGAGCTTATTTGGATATTAAATGAGATAATGGGTGATAAACTATTTTGTGAAGTTGGAAGCACTGTATAAATGTAAGAGATTTAGATCATTCTGTTAACATATGGCTCCACAGGCTACACATCCATGGTGATTATATTAGTCTGTTTTCATACTGCTATAAAAAAACTGCCTGAGACTGGGTAATTTATAAAGGAAAGAGGTTTCATTGACTCACAGTTCAGCATGGCTGAGGAGGCCTCAGGAAACTTACAATCATGTTGAAAGGTGAGGGAGAAGCAAGGCACCTTCTTCACAAGGGGCAGGAAGGAGAAGTGCCCAGCCTTATAAGACCATCAGATCTTGTGAGAACTCACTCACTAACATGAGAACAGCATGGGGTGGGGGGCTGCCCCCATGATCCAATTACCTCCACCTGGTCTCTCCTTTGACACCTGGGGATTATGGGGATTATAATTCAAGATGAGATTTGGGTGGGGACACAAAGCTAACCATATCAGGGACCAATGTTTGGTGGTGGTTAATTAAGCCAATGAGCTGGTTGAGATATCCTCAGGAAATCAGCAAGAGAATCTGTGTGCAGAATAATGGGGATTTGATTTCAAGTGGGGAGGAGATCAGGTAGGACAGTCAGAGCATCAGAAGTATTGACACAGAAGACAGTCATATGTTTCCCTGGATAATCTAAAGATACGGTGGTTTTCAGCAGAATGAGTAGAACTTTAAAAATCTGTGTCAGTGTTTCCAGGCTACTAAAGATACAAGAGGTATTCTCTAAGCGTGGCTGAATATCAACTAAGAAATAAACAGAACTCCTGTAATCCCAGCACTTTTTGAGGCAGGCAGACTGCTTGAGCCCAGGAGTTCAAAACTATCCTGGGCAACATAGTGAAACCCTGTCTCTATAAAAAATACAAAAATTTTGTATATATGTGCATGGTTGTACGCGCCTGTGGTCCAAGCTACTCAGGAGTTGGAGGCTGCAGTGAACCATTAATGCACCACTGCACTGTAGCCTGGGTGGCAGAGCAGCCTGGGTGACAGAGTAAGCCCCTGTCACAAAAGAGAGAGAGAGAAAGAAAGAGCCAAAGAGGTGGTGGGGGGAAGGAGGGGAGGAGGGAGGGAGGGAGGAAGAAGAAAGGAAGGAAGGAAGGAACGAAGGAAGGAAGGAAGGAAGGAAGGGGAAAAGAAAGAAAGAGGGAGGGAGAGAGAAAGAAAAAAGAAAGAGAAAGAAAGAAAGAAAGAAAAAAGGAAGAAATGGAGGTCAAGTGAGGAATCATCTATGAACAATCTGTGATGTTAAATTCAAATTTAAAAATGAAGCATCCTGATGGAACATGTTGTAGACCTATAAATGAGACTAGAATGGCAGTGTGTTATTGTTAAAGACAAAACAAAACACAAACAAAGAGTTAAGGCACCAAGTTGAGGATAATAACTAGAAAACCTAATATATTTGGTACTTTAATCCTGTTTCTAGCATGTACCAGGCACAATGCCAGGTACTATTTGAATGTAGGAATATATAAATTGCTATCATCCTGTGGGGACAAGCTAGTGAGAAGGGGGAAAAATAGAACTGAAAGGTTTAATCTAAAATCTCTAAGAGGGAGAAGTGTCTATTTTGAGGCAGAAAAGTGAGGAGAGTGAAAAAAAATGGGAGAAAATTGTTTTCTCCCTTCTCTAGGTATTATTGTCCTTGTTTGAAAGATGAGGAAATTGAGGCACAAAAAGGTTAAGTAACTTGTTGAAATTTGCTCTTATTTATACTTTATTTGTAAGACATAATTTGATTACATGACAGCAAAACAAAAGGTCTGAAAAGCAAAATGCGCCAAATATGAACATAATTATGGAGATGTGAACACATGTTCATTTACTAGCAACCAAAATGCCTTTAATAATAAAAGTATGAACCAAAATATCATACATTTTTCCATTATGCTTTCCTACTGTAAACATTAATCACTGTTAGGAGTTAAACTATGAACTGCTTTTCACTCAAAAAGAGCATCTAGAGAGCATAAGAAATTAAGGCTTGACTGCCTGGTTTTGAAGAAGAAAGTCATGTAACAGTACAGTTCAGGTCTTCTACAAATTCAGAATCTCTACCTTAAATTGGGTCTTTACTGCCAATTATTAATTCAAACCACATTGATTCCCTAGAACACCACATAATGCCTCTTTCCAACCATTCCCATCCTCCTCAAGGTCCCAGTCTCTTTAGAACCTCTTGATAGCAGGACCTTGCTTTTAGTTTCATGGATATTGAAAGTTGGGAAATGAAAATAACTAAATTGCATGGAGGCTAAAAGTGGTGTCTGTAGGAGGGAGAGTCAGGCTGGATATGGCCCCCTGAAAGAGAAAGAAAAGATACCAAGACTGTCATGTGTAGTTCTGAGAGACTGACTCACTGTACCTGAAATGCAAGAAAGTGAGACAGCAGCAGAATGCCAATCTATTCATTTAAAACACCAAATGTAACTGTCTCATTCACACGATCCACACACTCTCTCCTCATGTGAACCTGTACATAAGAATCTACATCATTATCAGAAATAACTTGTGAAACTCCTTTGTGAGTGGGTTGCCACAGGAACAAGGACACCTGATGTCTGTAGGATGTGTGCTTTCTCTCCCTGCAATCAGATCGCCCTGGAACCTGAAGGTGCTTGGAAAGCAGGAATCAAAGAGAGCGGGGTTGGAATAGATGAATCTCCAGATTTCCTCCTGGGCCCTCTTCTTCTCGCTCTGTATCTTTCCCCAGGCTACTTCACCCACACACTTAATTTACCTCACTGAATAGAAGCAGATGACTCACAAATTTGAATCCCCCATTCCCAGCCTCTGCCCCGGGTTTCATCCCATACATCTACCTATTTGACATTTCCACTTGAATGTCTCAAAGGCATCTCAAAACAAATATTTCCCCCAAACCAACTCAGGAGCTTTCCCCTCAAAGCCATCTCTCCTAGTGTTCTCAGTTTCAGTAAATGGCACTGCATTCACATGGCTAAATAAGATAGACTCCTATAGGCCATCTTTGATGTCTTCTCCCTTATTACCCTTTTAGCTGATTCTTGTCCAAGTTCTGTTGATTCTAGCTTTTAAAACCTCTCACCAACCTCTACACTTCCATCCATCACCATCAACATAACCATGTTCAAATCACCCTCATCTCTCACCTGGTGAGAAATGCCTCTAAATGATCTCCAAGCTTTCATTTTCCAATTCTTTCTTCATATTTTAACCATGACGTTTCATTTAAAACACTTCACATTTAATACACCCAGAACCCACCAGCAATGATTTCCCACTGCTATTAGGATAAATGAATTCAAATCTTCTAAATGCATTTGAGGTTCTGCATGGTCTGAGTACCCCTCTCCAGCTTTATCTTCCTCTGCAGCCCTGCACCCCCACAGCTCCAGCCACCTGGTGTTTCAGCATCTCTTATCTGCTGTACCTGCAGAGGCACAGAACTTGGTACATAATGTTCCTCCTGTCTATCGTACTCTCATACCCATCTCCTCTTCAAGGAATTGGCTGCTGCACATCTTCCAGATCTGGTTCAAATAGTGTTTCTTCAATGAACCCTTTGCTGGCCACGCTGACTTGGACAAATTGCCCTGTCTAGGTTCTTACAGTCCCATTTACCTATCCTTCATAACATGAGTCACCATTGCCATGTTATATTTGTAAGCTCCATGACAGAAAAAACTTGTATCATTTTTACTCATCATTCTTGCATCCTAATGCTTTGCACAGCTTTGCCCATAATAGGTATGCAACAGTATTTGTCAAAACAGTAAACAAAAAATAATGAGTGAAATATATACTGTGATACCATGGCACCAGGATAAGATTGCCTGAAGCGTATCTCTCCTTGTAACAATGGGCAGGCATTAGCAACTGAATGCTGGAAGTCAGATGTCTTTGTTCCTGGTCCCACAGTGCGGTGTCAACATCTGAATGGACCCTGCAGCCAGACAGTCTGGATTAGAACTCATACTTTATTACTTTGTGTGAACAGAGCAAGTTATTTATTTGCTCCAAGTCTCAATCTTCTCATGTGTAAAATAGGAAAAATGCTGATACTTACAAAATTGGATAAGTATGAGGAATGAATAGTACTGAGGCTCCAAACACTAAGTTCTCAATAAATATGAGCTATTGTTAATATTATAGGCTTCTCTTTCTTTCTTTCTTTCTTCTTTCTTTCTTTCCTTTTTTTTGAGACAGTCTTGCTCTGTCTCCCAGGCTGGAGTGTAGTGGCATGATCTTGGCTCACTGCAACATTCCCCTCCTGGGTTCAAGGGATTCTCTTGCCTCAGTTTCCTGAGTAGATGGGATTACAGGCACCTGCCAGGATGTCCAGCTAATTTTTGTATTTTTAGTAGAGATGGGATTTCGTCATGTTGGCCAAACTGGTCTTGAACTCCTGACCTCAGGTGATCTGCCCACCTTGGCCTCCCAAAGTGTTGGGATTATAAGAATGAGCCACTGCGCCTGCCCATGTTTCTTTCTTTATTGCTGTTCTTGTAAGTCTGATCAGTGGCTCCCTGGTCTGATTGACTTATCTCTGTAGTATTGCAGAAATATTAGTGTTTAATGTCAGCATCCCCAGAGGGAATCCTCTCCTCCCTACTCACTATCTATACCTTGGAGCAATAGACTGCTCTAGGCAACTTTGCATATCTATGCCTAGATGTGCTAAGTGTTGGTCTCAAAATTCCCTGATATTTAAATTCTCAGGGACCATTACCTTGTGATAATCCCTCAGAACTAACCACAAAGGAAAATGTTTTTGGATCTGTATTTGATACTTGCCACTGTCACATGTGTGAAAACCGCGGTTGTCTTGCTGACAATTCTAAAGATGTAAAAAATGAAATAACATTGTGCATGTTCGTCTCATAGGATTTCAAAAACACATATTTGAGAAAAACTTAAAATATAAACCTATTTAACAATCTTAAGCCTTGTCCTTCCTTTTGGGTTATCATATCTAGGTGGCAAATTTAGAATTTGGCACATCCTTGGCATGTCATCAGGAGCATTGTGTCCTGTTTATTGTGTTTTCTCTTTCATGCTGTGAACTACTACCTTTATTACTATCATCGTGAGCTCTTGGCTTGGCAACTCTGTGATAGCCTCTCCCACCCTTTTTGCCCAGCTTTTGGGTTGGAAATATTGCTGCCTTCATTTTTATTTTTTTTCCTCTAAGGAAATGTTTACAAAGCAGGCCGGTCTCACCAACCTGACGCTTCTCGGACTGCTGCCCTTCACATTGGATGAGAGCAGGGGTGCTGCTGCAATGAGGAGTTAGATTTTCTACCAGCACTAAGTCGTGCTTGGCTTGCTTCGTGGCAGCAATTACTTATGAGGGCCTGCAGTGTGCCAGGCATGGGTCACAGTAATCAATGTCTCCTTTCTCAGGGGCCAGGGATCAGCGGCCAGAACAGCCAAATGACTGACTTTAAATAAAACAAATCTGACTACATGCACATTTTGAAGAATCTTCTATATATACAACAACGTTCCAGCTAGAAAGCTAGCATACATTCAGTATATTGCTGTAAAATGGGATGCCAAAAACTAAAACCCACAATAAAAAACAGTGGCTTCACAGTTTCAGTAAGGGACTGTCAGAAGGAAGAATGGTTGCTATTAAAAAATTATGGGAAAAGTAGAGACATTAATTTTGCATGTCTTACATTACTGTGTTTACAATCTGTTATGTTTTAGATAAAGGTCTAGAAAAGATTTCTCATACTTCCTATGCAGCTTAGTTTCAGTGTATTCCTCCTGGGGAAAACAATAAGGGAAATCAAATAAATGTGTTTGTGCACAAGGAAAAAATAATTTGGTTGCCAAAGGAAAAATTTATCAGGTTGAAAGTTAGTCTCTAGAGATAGTTACTGTGAAATCAAGGTTTGCTTTTTTCCCCTCTTCAAAACTTCTTTGATCTTCCATTGTGTCATTTGTGGAGAAGCTCAATGCCATGAAAAGTATCAAAATATATAACCATTAGAAGCCATGAGTTCTGAAACAAAACATATGTAAAATATCAGGAATTCAAGTCTTTAAAAAAATACCTAATGCATCCAAAATCAAAGCCATTCGCTGTACCACCAAAATTAGGATAAAAATAGCAAACACGTTTTCTGTAATCCTTTAAAGTAAGAGGATTTACTTTCATATCTCTAGGGAATCTTTGGATAGATGATGGACTTCAAGGAGGTCTCTGGCTTCATGACTTTGATTCCAAAATTTTGCATGTGGGCATATTTACCTTCTTCTGAGACTAGAGTTATTTTCATCTGATTCTCGAAGATCCATGACATCTCAAAATTAAGAGCCACCACAAAAAAAACCTCTATTCAAAAATTTTATAAGTAAAACCTATCATTTGTATAACTAAATTCATAACCAATTACTAGAAAATGGAAATGTATTTTATTTGGAATATGAGAAAAAAAATTAAGATTTTTTTTTTTGCTTAATTTCTTTCAACAAGATAGGAACAGAAAAAGAGAAGAAGAATATTTCCTTTTAGAAAAAGGTAGTATAATTACAACTTAGGTGAAGGAATGGGCAGCAGAGATTCAAGGGCTCTTAAAACCTTTGATAAATGTTTCAAAACGCATGACGTATTTCATCCAAAGCCCCCTGGATTAATCACAATGCCCACTTCGGTTACACTCTAAACTTCTTAAAAATCCTCTTTCAATCTCATTCTTTTCTCCCTCCTCGTCACTCAAGATGTCAGTCAGAAACTTTCTGCCTCTGTCTATGAGATTCAACTACTTGAGTGTCCAGCCTAAAAGTCATTTCAATGCTGCACATCTTACAGTAAACATACGCCATCCCTCTCTCAAAACCTGGACTTCCTCCAATGGTCCCTGTCTCAGAAAGGCCTCATCCAGTTGCCCAAGCTGGAAGTTTAGAACTCATTCTTGATATTTCCCTCTTTCTTATCCTATTTTTCATAAAGTCCTGGCAATTTTAAACTCCCAAATTTGTCCCTTTTTGTCTATCTCCACTATGTCCATCCTGGCCCAGGCTACCCTCATCACTTGCCTGAATGAGAAATCTTCCACCCTGTTAGATTCATATCTTACTGCTTTCTCACAAACCATCCTTTCCACGGAAGCCAGTTATTATTTAAAAACACAAGGTTTTTTTTAAGTCAATCATATGCTTAAAATCATTCAATGGCCTCCAGTAGCTCTTAATACAATGACCAAAATATTTATTGTATTTGACATGGATGCAAAATCTTTAGTTAATTGGCCCCGACTTGTTCTCCATAGTACCTTTTACCATTCTCCTTGCTCTCAGCCATCTAGCTTCACTGGTTTCTAGATTTCTCAAGCATGTTAAGTTCTATGCTTGCTTGAGGCCTTGCACATTCTGTGCAGTGCTTGAATCTTTCTTCTAACCACACTACCTGCTTTCTCCCCACTCCACTCTGCTCTCAGCACATATCTCACCTCAGGAGGAAGTTTCCATCAACCTCTCCCCCACCTCAGGAGGAAGTTTCCATCAACCTCTCCCCCAAAGTCAGTTAGTCACCCTCTTTTCATGTTCACAGCCCCCTCTACTTTTAAAAATTATTACTTTAATTGACACATGATAATACATATTTATAGAATAGAGGACGAGTTGGAGAGGGGGATAACTAGATATTGGTTAACGGATACAAAATTACAACTAGATAGGAGGAATATGTTCTACTTTATACATATACATATACGTCAGATAAGACAGATTGTAATTTCATAGTTTTTTACTATTTGAGGACTCTCCCTCCACCTCATTGCTGGGCTATAGCTCCAATATTGTTTGTTTTGTACATCAATATAATAAAATCCCTGTTTCATTCCAAATAAATATTGAATAATGAATGAATGAACCAACAATTCTGATCTCTATGAGGAATCTACAAAATATAAGAGGAAGAGAAAAAAAAACATGAAAGTACAGAAAGACCCTATACTGGAGATCTGTTTATCACTAACAAAACATAAAAATTCCTTTTTTGAGAAATTTGTTTCCCGATAGTTTGTCAGAATTCTAGCAGAAAACAGGATTGTTTCAAATGAAGAGACTTGTTGAAAAACTTCAATAGAAGTATGGAGCAAATGAGGAGAACAAACAAGGGTTGATGAAGGACCAGAGACCAGTAACAGTGGAAAGTTATTACTGTTATAGTAGGTAGGTAGTCAGGCAAGAGCAGGGCAGGAGAGGGTCCACCCCTCCCAACCACCAGGAATGTCAGGTGACCGTCAAGTGGTGGTCAGGCAGTTGTTAACTGTCTCTCTAAAATAATACTTGGTAGCAGCCAGCGCCAGGAAAAGCCAGTCTTTCAGTAGACAGGAAAAAACCTGAAACTGGTGATCAGCAGCTTCTTGATAAAATCTCAGGAGTTGGGCAAGTGGGCTCAAGCATGTGCAGTAAGAGGCAAAATGGTGGAGTTTAACTGGTATACTTCCTAGGGACACTCAACTGGTAAGGGAAGAATACCTCAAATACGCATCTGTACAACTTCAAGAAACACTGCACATGCTCCCCTCTCCCCTTCCAAGTGCTAGCAGGCCACTGTTCATGTGCACAGCCCACTCCAAGGGAAAA
The DNA here is from genome assembly GCF_000001405.40 of Homo sapiens. Taxonomy (NCBI): domain Eukaryota; kingdom Metazoa; phylum Chordata; class Mammalia; order Primates; family Hominidae; genus Homo; species Homo sapiens. Next base: position 82,660,798 of record NC_000012.12, on the reverse strand, counting down.
AAAATCAGGGGAGAAGTAATGCAGATCCCAGAAGAATGTCAACATGTAAAACCCCAAGTCAAAAGGTCAAACCATGGATCTGATCTCTTCAGTTGCCTGCTTGGCCCTCTTCCAAGTGTACTTCCTTTTGTTCCTGCTTTAAAGCTTTTTAATAAACTTTCACTCTTGCTCTAAAACTTGCCTCAGTCTCTCACTCTGCCTTATGCCCCTCAGTTGAATTCTTTCTTCTGAGGAAGCAAGAATTGAGGTTGCTGCAGACCCATATGGATTCATCGCCGGTAACATACTTTGGTGCTGTATGACTTGGATAACTTCCAACACTAGCACACTTTGGTGCTATATGACTAGGATATGTTCTCCAGTGGTAAGACACCTCTACATTTCACTTGCCTTGGCTGGAGGCATTTAACTCCCCCATATATGATTTTCTTCTCCCCTTTTACTCTCCTGCTTACTAACCAACTCCCAGAATGATTCCTCAGTGCTCGCTCAAGCTAATCTCACAGCTCACCCTAATGGATGGCTCATGGGGGTGGAAAGGACCTTGGGGTCCTCACCAAGTAAAACTGAGGCACTAAAGACCCTCCTAAACAGAAGGCTTGTGAGAATGGTAATGCTAAAGCTTAAAACTGTGCAATGCCTGGGGTTTCCTCTGCTTTTTCAACTAAAATTGGCTCTTTCCCAAGAACACACACTGCCTATTCTCCTGTTTTTCTCTGTATGTTCTGAAATGGCCTTGCACACCTGCTGGACTGTCCACCTCAGGGGTAAGTCTGCCTCTTTGCTTTCACTTTGCATGCCACATGACTTCTTAAACACACACTCCCTTTTACTTGTGTGCCCGTGGCTCTTACTGCCTTTGTGTGGCTGCAAAGACATGGGCTCTCTTGCAGATACCCCCCGAGAGTTATACTTGTTTTTACCCTACCAGCTCAGATGACCTCCAACACGTCCCCTGTGTGCTGGCACATTGCCAGGACAGACACTAATTAGAACTCCAGCTCTGACAGCTCCTTATGACTTATTGAGAGGTGACAACGTGCTAGCAGCCCTCACTTGCTCTCTGCACCTCCTCGGCCTCGGGCATCCGCCTGGCCATGCTCAAGGAACCCTTCAGCCCACTGCTGCGCTGTGGGGGCCCCTCTCTGGGGCTGGCCGAGGCTGGAGCCAGCTCCCTCTGCTTGCTGGGAGGTGTGGAGGGAGAGTCGCAGGCAGGAGCTGGGGCTGCACAAGGCAGTCGCTGCGGCAGCGGGTTCCGGGGCGTGGGCTTGGAGGCCCCGCACTCGCACTCTGCGCAGCCCGCGGCCGCCTGGTGGGCTTAATCAGGGATGAGCTCCCTCTGGGCTGCGGGAGTGCACGGGCTAGGTGCCACGAAGTCCCATGGCGAGTGCCAGTGAGAGGTGAAGCCGGCTGGGCTTGTGGGACGGGTAGGGACTTGGAGAACTTTTCCGTCTAGCTAAAGAATTGTAAACGCACCAATCAGCACTCTGTGTCTACCAAAAGGTTTGTAAATGGACCAATCAGCACTCTGTGTCTAGCTAATCAGGTGGGGACTTGGTGAACTTTTGTGTCTAAAGGATTGTAAATGCACCAATCAGCACTCTGTGTCTAGCTAAAGGTTTGTAAATGCACCAATCAGCACTCTGTCAAAAACGGACCAATCAGCTCTCTGTAAAACGAACCAATCAGCTCTCTGTAAAATGGACCAATCAGCTCTCTGTAAAATGGATCAATCAGTAGGATGTGGGTGGGGCCAGATAAGGGAATAAAAGCAGGCCACCCAAGCCAGCAAGGGCAACCCCTTTGGGTGCCCTTTCACACTGTGGAAGTTTTTTTTTTTTTTTTGCTCTTCGCGATAAATCTTGCTGCTGCTCACTCTTTGCATCTGCGCCACCTTTGTGAGCTGTAACACTCACTGCGAAGGTCTGCAGCTTCACTCCTGAAGCCAGTGAGACCACCAACCCACAGAGAGGGACGAACAACTCCGGAAGCGCCACGTTTATGAACTGTAACACTCACCGCGAAGGTGTGCAGCTTCACTTCTGAGGCCAGGGAGACCACAAGCCCACTGGAAGAAACAAACAACTGCAGACGTGCCACCTTTAAAAGCTGTAACACTCACCGTGAAGGTCTGCAGCTTCACTCCTGAAGTCAATGAGACCATGAACCCACCAGAAGGAAGAAACTCCAGACACATCTGATCATCTGAAGGAACAAACTCTGGACATACCATCTTTGAGAACTGTAACACTCACCACGAGGGTCCGTGGCTTCATTCTTGAAGTCAGCAAGACCAAGAACCCACCAATTCTGGACACATGATCATATATTTTTCAATACTTATTAATAATTTCCTGTTAACACCCCAGGGCTGAGTTTTCTGGTTGTTTCTGAAACAGTTTGTGTGTCTGCCTAGGGCCTCACTCTGTAGTCCCTTAAGGACCCCACTTACGTGCTTTTTTTGAGGTAGCACTCATTTGGGAGAAGGGAAATTCTTCTTTTGCCTTTTACACATTCTTACACCAAGCCCCAAGTCTTCTGAAGGTTACTCCTTTGTGTCAAGAGGGCAAATAAATGTTGCCCTCTTGAATCCAAGGGCTGCTGTTTTTGCGAGCATATTAAGCCTTCCCAGGGGTATTCCTCTTGCTTTCTCCCCCTTCCTCCTGCAGCCTCCATTTCTCTAATCACTTCCACATGCTTCCCAACATGCATCAAGACCTTCAAGGTGATATTCAAAGGAAGGGAATCCAGACCTCTTGTAGCAATTAGCTGAAAAACAGGCTTCTCTTATACTGAAAGAATGTGGGAAATGGGAACCTAAGAAAAGAGATAACTATTTTGTTTCTAAAATGCTCTGAATGAGAGTCGCTATAAGGTCATGGAGACAAGGATACAAGCCGGCCAAGGCCGCAGGCATAAGAGACCCATAGGACAGCGATGAAGGCTGGTCCCAGACTAATAGATTACTATTAGAACAGAGATGAAGGTAAGGTTAGGAGTACACAGTAAGACCAGTTCATTTCAGAACCCAAAGGATGAACAAGGGGCCCACTGTTCACTCCAGTATCTCCTCTGTTCTCAAGTGGGTAATTGTGATGAGATGGGACCAAGGTTAAGGGCCCATGGTAAGAGTAATCTATTCTGGAACCCTAAGGACAACCTAAGGATGAGCAGGGAATGCCCCATTCAGGATAATAGGAAAGTAAAAGGAGATGCCTTCTTTTTCCTTTTTTTCTCCTCTGTTCTCTCTTCACAAATGGGTAATCGCATCTCCATATCACAGGACATGCCCCTTGGATACTTCCTCAAGAACTGGGAAAAGTTTCATTCTCCCAAATCTTAAACCAAAAAAACTAGGCTATGTTGGTAATACTGATTGGCCTAAAAAATGAACTGGAAAAAAAATTACAAAAGTCAGCCTTAGAACCCAGTGCCCTTATGCAGGAAATCCTCAAATTAACCTCCTCAGTCTTTTATAACTGAGAGCAGAATAAGGAGGACAGGGCTGGGACAAAGGAGAAATGCAGGGACAAGAGACAGGCTAAACTACTGGCTGCTTTAAAAGCTCTCCAGCCTGCTCCAGGTCGCCCTCAGTATACCCTTATGTGTGACTGCCATCAGTACAGGAAGTCAGGCCACTAGAAGGCAAACTGCCCCAATGGGAAAAATGGGAAAAAGCCCCACATGGCTTGCCTCCTCTGCCACAAGCTCAGCTACTGAAAATGAGACTGCCCTTAGGGCCAAAGGGCACCTGGGAAAGAATCCCAACCCCTGATGGACTTGAGCTGAAGGGGCTCTCTGCTCTGGCTGGCTTCCAAATCAGACATTGTCATCAACAGGACAAAGCCATGAGTGATTCTGGAGGCAGCAAGTAAAATTATAAATGTCCCTTTTGGGTTCAAGAGCTACTTTGTGCTACTCTCTTTCTCTGAGCAACTTTCTTTCAAATCCTGTTGGGTAATGGGGCAAATGGCTCCCCATCCTTCCAAAAGAAAAGATTCCCACCTCTTTAGGGCAAAAATATAATTTCCAAGATGGGTGCCTGCTTAATATTTACCCAGTCTCTGAATTCATCTTTCTCTCTGATAGCTCTATTTCTAACCAATAACTTTAACCTTGTCAGTCCTAACACAGGGGTTTAAAAATAGCCCACACGTATTCAGACAAGCCCTAGCAAAAATCTAAGTGAACAATCTCTTGAGGGGGAATAACTTAGATAACCTCTTTATCTACTCCCCCTTCACAGGACTTACATAGCAATATGCAGTGCAAACCAAAACTTCCTAACAGAAGGATAATGACTTTTGTCTAATTCAAAGGTTATAAATGTAAAAATGTATTTTTGGTAAGGAAGGTTAAAAATTTTAAAGGTTTTATATGACAAAGAATCTTGTATGGTAAATTCTTGCCCTAAAGTAAAATGACTGGTTGTTTAAAAGGACAGATGTTTAGGATAAGTCAGAAAGTACAAGCATGTCATAGGTAGTCTGTGGAAGTCATAAAAAGATTCATGAAAGGGAACTTATGAAAGAAATGTTATATAATTTTAAAGGTTATTAGGTCTACTAAATGCTTCATAAACTGATACTATGACTCTTAACTGTAACATTACTACTCTTAGCACTGAGTAGGAAAGGGGAGAAAATAGCATCATTAATGCTCAGTGGGAGCTGGGACTATAGACTTGTGGTCTCCCAATGGAAAGAAACAATGGTTGAGGAAAAAGGTGGAATTGGCCCTATGTAAATACGGTGTGAAAGCAGGGAGAGTGAAGGGGAGAAATACTCTATGCCCTCTCCCTTCCCACTCTGATCTCCTGCCCTTGTCTTCCATTGATAAACACAATTAGAGGCCAGCTGGTCAGCAAGCCTGGGATTTGTAGTTCACATGGGGTCAGTCTGCTGTACAAACAGTGCATGACAGAAAAGAGTAGACAACGAATCTGCAGCAGAGGGTGGACACAGGCACATGTTTTCTATTTATGCCATGGGAGAAAAAGTGTCTCCGTTAAAGTACGGAGACTTATTTTACTACAAGAAAGAGATGCTTAGAATGTCAACTGTTATGAAAGCCTAGACAAATGTGGTTGGCAATATCTGTGTGCTGAACAAAACTGGGTCACAAAGATGGTTTAGCCACATAGGTAAATTATAATCAAAACTCAAATTCTTCTAATATGCAGAAGTCCTGGCCAAAAAACCAAAAAGATTTATTTTAGTTAAAAGAGATAGAAGAATGAATTTAATCAGTGATGAAGAACTAAAGGATAGTTAGCAAAGATACAAACATAAAATACTGCAATGCAATGAATCTAACATAGGGAATGCTAATTTGACATCTGTTTGCCTCAGTTTCTTTGACAGGTTAAATAATGCCCAGCCACCGCCCCAAAAAGGTCAAAGTCCCAATCCCTGGAACCCATGAATATATTAAGTTACATGGTAAAGGAAAATTAAGTTTGTAGATGGAATTAAATTTGCTAATCAGCTGGCCTTAAAATAGGGAGATTATCCTTGCTTATCAGGGTAGGGCCGATATAATAGTAAGAGTCCTTAAAAGTAGAAAAGGAGGAGGAAAAGAAGGTCAGAGTCATGCTATATAAGGAGGACTTCAAAGCTGCTCTTACAGGTTTTGAAGATGGAGAAAGAGAGTTATGAACCAAGGAATGTGGGCAGCCTCTAGAAGCTGGAAAAGCAAAGGAAATGGATTCTCCAATAGAGACTCTAGAAAGGAAGGCAGGCCAGCAGACACATTGATTTAGCTCAGTGACACCCAGGTCAGACTTCTGACCTACAGAACTGTGAGATCTTACACTTCTGTAATGTTAAGACACTTCAGTGCGTGGCAATTTTTTACAGTGGCAACAGAAAAGAAACACAGTCTCCTTGTGTGTAAAATAGGGGCTAAAAATCCTACTATTGTGAAGAAAGCTAAAGTATGACTCAGCTCCCCTTCAAAAAACAAATATTTTAAGTCTAAGATTTGTGTTTTATGATGTGGGAGTCTGATTCTTAAAGATAATTAATTGTAGGAAACTTCCCTAAAAGTTTAGCTGGATGAATTATAGAGAAGTCATTTAAAACATTTTTCCCCTGCTTGTAGAGCACAACTACTAGAAATCAGCTGGACAATATCCTATTTTAAAATTGATCAATTTATTTATTATTACTTATTTATTGCTTGTAACAAGAATAACTTCATGTATTTATAAAATTAATTATAAATTATAAAGTAAATCTCCAATATCATCCATTAGTTAGACTGTAGTAGCAAATAGATATTGAAGTCTCATGGTACTGTCCAGGAAGGCTGCTCAAGTAGCCAAAATAACTCTCCTCTGTACTCTGTCCATCTATGGGTCCCCTCCTCCTGTCATTGTCTATATCAGGCCAGTAGAGGGGAAAGAGCTTGGAGCAGCACATGGGGAGATTTGTGGGCAAGGTCTGAAAGATGCATGTATCCTTTATGATGAATTAAATCTTGGTCACTTCAGTATACCTTATAACTGAGATATTTAGAAATGCAATATAGCTATGTGTATAAACATACATACCTTGAATTAACTAACTCAAGTTAAATTTTATTATTTGCAACTAAAAAGTCCAAACTAATCCAGTGTAGACACAAGTTTTTTGAGGTCCAGGTAAAATGTTTAGAATCAAGGAGGACTACAAACCACTGCTCAATGAAATAAAAGAGGATACAAACAAATGGAAGAACATTCCATGCTCATGGGTAGGAAGAATCAATATCATGAAAATGGCCATATTGCCCAAGGTAATTTATACATTCAATGCCATCCCCATCAAGCTACCAATGACTTTCTTCACAGAATTGGAAAAAACTACTTTAAAGTTCATATGGAACCAAAAAAGAGCCCGCATTGCTAAGTCAATCCTAAGCCAAAAGAACAAAGCTGGAGGCATCACGCTACCTGACTTCAAACCATACTACAAGGCTACAGTAACCAAAACAGCATGGTACTGGTACCAAAACAGAGATATAGACCAATGGAACAGGACAGAGCCCTCAGAAATAATGCCGCATATCTACAACTATCTGATCTTTGACAGACCTGACAAAAACAAGCAATGGGAGAAGGATTCCCTATTTAATAAATGGTGCTGGGAAAACTGGCTAGCCATATGTAGAAAGCTGAAACTGGATCCCTTCCTTACACCTTATACAAAAATTAATTCAAGATGGATTAAAGACTTACATGTTAGACCTAAAACCATAAAAACCCTAGAAGAAAACCTAGGCAATACCATTCAGGACATAGGCATGGGCAAGGACTTCATGTCTAAAACACCAAAAGCAATGGCAACAAAAGCCAAAATTGACAAATGGGATCTAATTAAACCAAAGAGCTTCTGCACAGCAAAAGAAACTACCATCAGAGTGAACAGGCAACCTACAAAATGGGAGAAAATTTTTGCAATCTACTCATCTGACAAAGGGCTAATATCCAGAATCTACAATGAACTCAAACAAATTTACAAGAAAAAACCAAACCACCCCATTAAAAAGTGGACAAAGGATATGAACAGACACTTCTCAAAAGAAGACATTTATGCAGCCAAAAAACACATGAAAAAATGCTCATCATCACTGGCCATCAGAGAAATGCAAATCAAAACCACAATGAGATACTATCTCACACCAGTTAGAATGGCGATCATTAAAAAGTCAGGAAACAACAGGTGCTGGAGAGGATGTGGAGAAACAGGAACACTTTTACACTGTTGGTGGGACTCTATGGTTGAAATAGTTCAACCATTGTGGAAGTCAGTGTAGCGATTCCTCAGGGATCTAGAACTAGAAATACCATTTGACCCAGCCATCCCATTACTAGGTATATACCCAAGGATTATAAATCATGCTGTTATAAAGACTCATGCACACGTATGTTTATAGCGGCACTATTCACAATAGCAAAGACTTGGAACCAACCCAAATGTCCAACAATGATAGACTGGATTAAGAAAATGTGGCAAATATACACCATGGAATACTATGCAGCCATAAAAAAGGATGAGTTCATGTCCTTTGCAGGGACATGGATGAAGCTGGAAACCATCATTCTCAGCAAACTATTGCAAGGACAAAAAACCAAACACCGCATGTTCTCACTTATAGGTGGGAATTGAACAATGAGAACACATGGATACAGGAAGGGGAACATCACACACTGGGGACTGCTGTGGGGTGGGGGGGAGGGGGGAGGGATAGCATTAGGAGATATACCTAATGCTAAATGACGAGTTAATGGGTGCAACACACCAACATGGCACATGTATACATATGTAACAAACCTGCACGTTGTGCACATGTACCCTAAAACTTAAAGTATAATAATAATAAAATTAAAAACAAAAAAGAATCAATACCAAAAAATCTTTGCTACAAAATAATGAAAGTCTGCTCTCTTGAAAGGGGAAAATGCAAGAGAAATACCTAAATAAGCATATCTATAGAGAAGAGAGTTACTTATAAAGAACTGGAAAATTGAAAATTGCCTCAGGACAATTCTAAACTGCTGTGCTGTTTATCAGTGTTCAGATAGCTCTTGTCATGGAGGCATTGCACAGAAAAATCTTACTTTAGCCATTGTCCTCAGTAGGAACTTTTATCGCAGTTCCTCATAAACAGCAGAATTGATTTCATTTTCTCCCCACTTCCCTCTAGATCTTTGCAAACATTAATCAAGTACTGAAATGGCAAAGGGCACAAAGCAGAAGAGAAAAATAAAAAGAATGGATAATCTGCAAATTAGAAAATCCATCTCAGGTATCAGAGAAATGACCTCTTATGAATAGAGTGAATTATTTAGGTCTCATGAGGTAGTTGTCTAGAGAGAAAAGAAGAAAAGCAAAAGGCATAATTGGGTAGTGGAATAAGTAATTAAAATAACAACAATGAAAAATATTCTAGAACATTTAGAAATTTTCATGTTGGTGGCCTCTATACATGTAATGTTTAAAATATTACACACTTACCGAAACCACCAACATGATAATTTGTTGCCAGCCTAAGGCATTTTGAAGTTGACTTTAGAATAATGCTTCTCCTTGCATCACTGCAAATGTGTCATGACTGGGGAGGTGAGGGCAGCATTCAGTACATGTACTTAGGGTTCTGTGAAGTGCCAGGTCGAGTGACTCACATCGAATTAGGTGCATCTGTTCACCTACCTTTTCTCTTGTGATAATATTCAGCTATGTAACTTACAATGAATCTTCCTCGTGCTGTTAAATGTATCAGAAATATATTCCAGTGTTTATTTTAGGTTTGGGGTATTTCAAGGGAAGGGGCGATTGGTATTCATAGCAAGTTATAAAATTCTGAAATAGACTGTGTATATTGAATTATGAATTAAAATGACTGACTGAAACAGGACTAGCATTCTTCTAAACTGTGAGTATGACTTGGAAAAAAAAGTAAATGGTGTTATACATTTTTTGTTGTCTAAATTTTAGACACTTGTATTTACTTTTAAGCTAGACCACCCATTTATTTTTTGAGGAAAAACACACAGCACAATGAGTCTTTAAGGGATGAAATTGTAAAACTAGGTCCCCACATTATGCTGAAGAAAGACAGGGCTATTACTTGCATGCAGATGTTTCCGGTCTAAGAAGTTATTTGTTCTATTGGGAAATGTTAATTGAGTCCCTTTTAGTAGAACCTGGCCTCTGTGGATTTGGTTGTCTTTGGGAGAAATGTTCCTTTTCCAAAACTGCCCAGTGCTGTAGATTATTGCTTATTCTCAGAGTTGTGGGTGTAAAACTTTCAGGCAACTGATTGCAGGAAATCTGAAAAGAAGATCATCAAGAATGTTGGAAACACTGGTAGGCATGAAGCTCCCTGGAGGAAGCCTGACGAGAGGAACCTGATGCTCCATGTGTGGCATTATCTAAGATTGAATAACTTCACTGCAGGCACAGTGGACTACTTTGTTCTGATGAGTCATAGGACCGCACCCTGATGGGTGGGGTTTCCTTGATAATTCCCTACTGTTCCCACTGTCAGTCATACAGAGAAAGGTCAGATTGAGGTCAGGAAATGAGGTAAGCCTTAGTGTGAAAAGGTGTCTGAGAAAGGCATTTCTTGCTTGGGCCTATTGATAATTTGGTCTAGGTTCCTAAAATGTAAAAAGAAGCCTTGGTGATTAAAAGTGCAGAACAAAACCTTGCAGTCAAAATAATGTTGATCTGCTACAGGAGTAACAAGTTGCTAAACAGTGCTACTCAAAGTATAGTTCCAGGATAAGAACAGGTGAAAGAAGTATGCTATGAGCTGATAAAAGAAGTCTGCCATCAGTCATTGATGACAAAGCACAGAAATGTAGAGCTAGAAACCTTTAGAACAGATTGATTAATTTTATATTTATGTAATCTAATAATAAATAAATTGAATTTGTATTTTTATAGCCTTTTAAATTTCATGATTTTAGCTATTTATTTTTACTACATTTTAGAAAAGTTTTAGTCAATGACAGATTAAAAATAAAAATGATGGTCCTTTATTATAAATAGCTTGAAAGCACTTGTGTTAACCTCTTTATTGAAGTTTCATATCTAGAAAATGTCACAGATTTATTGTAAATAATAAATGAGATGATGTTTGGAAAGTGCTTAGCCTAATTCCTGGTACTTATTAGCTACTTGATAGACAGAAGCTGATTTTAATATATAGAAATTGTTACTATTTAAGTTGGGACATAGAGAATGAAGAGGAATTCCCTACATGAAGAAGTTAAGAGTGTAGGCTAGAGAGAAGGACCAGGATTATGCAAAAATATAAATTTATGAAAGGGCATGCCAATTATTATTTGTCCATTCTCACACTGCTATAAAGATACTGCCTGAAACTGGGTAATTTATAAACAAAAGTGGTTTAATTGACTCACATTTCTGCATGGCTGAGGAGGCCTCAGGAAACTTACAATCATGGCAGAAGGGGAAGGGGAAGCAAGCACCTTCACAAGGTGGCAGGAGAGAGACTGAGTGAGGGAGGAAGTGCCACAGTTTAAAACCATCAGCTCTTGGGAGAACTCACTCACTATCATGAGAATAGCATGGGGGAAACCGCCTCCATGATCCAGTCACCTCCCACCAGGTCCCTCCTTCAACATGTAGGGATTATAATTTGAGATGAGATTTGGGTGGAGACATGGAGTCAAACCATATCACCAACATGGCTGCAATTTGAATGTGCAGGTCAAAGCCATAACAACTAAAATATAAGTGTGGCCATCATGTGTCCTGGGATGTGCTGGAGAGTCTTGTTCAATAGTCGAGCCTACTAAGGAGATAATTAAGGAGAACTAAGTGCCATTAAGAAGAATAATCCTTAAGAATTATTTTAAAGTCCTCGAATATTCCAATATTTATAATTCTTATATTCTTTCTAATTTTAGTTCTGAAAATATAGCCATTCTAAATGTTGATGGTGTTTGACATTTTTCAATTGGTAAGATCAAAAATGATAAAATATGGGCATTGGGGTTTATTTTTGTATGATGCTAAATGTATCCAAATGCAAAACCAAATGTGTTAAAAGATTATAAAGGAAACAATGAATGCATTTAAAAAATTAAATGTTTATAATTACTCTACAATACTTTTCACATATGCAAAGGTCTTAATTACAAACACTCCTTAATTATAGACCCTTGCATGACCTCTACTGGGAAGAATAACTTTGTTTTTCATTACAGTAAGGGAAAGTATCCTCTTTAAAATAATAAATCTATGTCTTTATATAGATATCTGTTAATTACTTTTCATTAATTGAACCATTCAGAAATATCAAGGTGTGCAGATGCTCTCCTGTTTTAGGAAGGTTTCAGTCACATTTTACTATTCATTATTTATGTGTCACAACACACTTATTGTCTAGGAAATATGCTGTAATCTCTGCATGTATATTACTATCTAAAAGATGCACAAACATTAATGAGTAAATAGCAGAAACTGTGCTAAAACTTTTGATTCTTAGTTCTTGGTTGTTTTCCATTTTCCTGCTGAGACAGCTCGCCTACTATTTTTGAAGGCAGGTTTCAGTTGTTATTTGCATTTTCCCCCTTCTAATTTAGACTTTCATGTCTTCAAAACACATTCTCATCTCATTTTTAACCAAAACCAAATGAATCTCTTATTTTGTTAATGAGTTACGGTCCCCAGCTCTAATGTTAGAAAGTGATCTTTCTTAAGAAAAATTCTAACAGCAGCACAAAAGCTCTATTAGGAATTGTTGGGGATATGGCCTCCCTTCCATGACTGTCACGGTTATGTTGTTTGATGTTGTGGAACTGGCATTGTTTTCATGACAAAATGCGTACTGCAGATGGTGGACAGCCAAATCTTGTTGAAATGGGCAATTGTAAGATGGACTCAATCCTGAAAAGCCCTCAGCCGGTGCAGTGAAGTGGTTATATTATTTTATTGGGAGGGGAGGAGATTGTGATTTGGATCCTGAATGACCTGAATGATAAATCAGAAGCTTTTCCTCATCTGTATACTACTTTTCATGGGGAGATTTTGCCAGACACAAAATTGCAAATTGTCTGCTGAATTAAAGTGTATGAAAATTAAAGTGGCCAAATAAATGCAAATCGTCACTGTTCTCAGGACAGGTACTGACCGATTTAGTCAGTAAGTCATACTTTGATGATTTTAGCAGTAATTTACTTTTTTAATTCAAAAAGGCATTCAAACAGACATCATAAACAATAATTTGTGTGGTGAACCAGCCAGCCCCCTGCTGGCTCTCACATTCGCTGTTCCCCTGCTTGAAGCAAGCTTCTTTTGCATCAAGTTTTACGTGGCCAGCTCCTTGTCAACATTCTAGTTTCTGCTTATATGCCAGCCCCTTGAAAAAGATTTCACATTTTATCTAAAATAGCATTCCTTTGCCCAACACTCTGTGCTTTTACTTTAGTTTTAACTCCTACCACCATGCAATATTATTTCATTTACAAATTGATTACTTGTCTATTTTCTGCCTCCTGTAGATAGAACATGTATTTATGAGAGCGGAGACCTTATTTGTGTTTTGACTGTCTCCAATCCCTGGCTCAATAAGTACTCAATAAATTTGTGTGGATACATTAAGCAAAATAAAATATGGTGTGTGTGTATGATATTCTCTATTTAAAACAAAAATTAACCTGTGTTATTGTCTAGGCACAAGAAAAGCCATTGATTTTGTTATAAGCTTTTTCATAGAACCACAGAAGTTCTAAGGTCATGCCTTTTTTCTCCATTATTGAAATATAAAAAAGTATTTTTTTGTAGAAATCTAGTTTAAATGGATTATTTCAAGAAAAAAAAATGAGTTTTCCTTAAACAGGTATACAAAAACAATCCTATTAACCATAATGCACAAAGAGTTTTTCATCTGTTGTTTTCCTTTAGTTGGGACTTTATGCTTTCTGTAATAGTATCATTATTGCCAAAATATGGAGGGATTTGGGGATACCTTCATTACATTATACAACTCTCTATATCATATTCATTTTCTCAGTAGTTAGTATTTGTTCTGAGTCAAATATCATTATTTAATCTATTTAGCCTGTATTTAATCTTTGTTGATCTTTTTTTCATAAAAAAGAGAAAAATCAATTTTCTATCATGTTTGTTAAACAGGTCGAGTGAGATTTTGATGGGCATAGCAAATAAAGTAATTGATAATTATTTGCCAAGAGATTCAATTTAATATATTAAAGGGAAACTACAAATAAGATAATAAATCACTGCTTGATCTCTATTAGTACCTCTATTTATTCTGAGCATCCCAGAACATGTGGGTGGAATGAAATGTCAAAAAAAAAAAGAAAGGTAAGGTAATTTTTTAGAGAGAAAACAGATATCATTAGAAATATTTATAACTAAAATTCCTAATTCTAATATATATCCAATGTACACAAATTGGAAAACAAAATGAATATAGGCAATACAAGATATTAAATTCGCCCACAGAATCTGGCATACAAGCCAAGGTTAACTACCTTTGCCCACCATGTAAATATAGCACTCTCAAGGCAGCTACATTTAAAGTTCTGTCATTCTCATGCTTTTGACTTATTTAGAAGATGAAGCTTATATAATTTTAATGTTCAAGGAGTTTTACTGTTCATTACTCCTGAATCTGTAAAATGGCACAATATCTAAAAGGATCTGTTGTATAGTCTTGCCATTCTATATCCAGACTTTCTTTTTTCCAGCATAGAGAAATACTGCCCATTTACAGGGGGAAATTAAACGGAGGACATTTGCATGCATTTATTTTATGCACCTGTGAAACATCCATTATGAGCAGATTACTGTAATGGTCACTTGAATACAGAGAGTTATGAAAAACAGATCACTACTTTCAGAGCTTCAAGTCAAACTGGATGATGACATAGATCTGTGAATGCTTTGATGACTTATGTGATGATTACGAGAAGGCCTAAAGCCTCTCTCATAGGAGAGGAAATTTTATGAGAATATGGAGTTTCTATAAGAAAGTGATCTATATAGGCATGTAAGTGGCAGGATTAAGTAAGTAGGATGGGGCAAGATCATGCACCAGGGAGCCATTTAAAAGCAATAATGAACTTCGTTTATAATGATATCCTGCCTATTATTAAAACATGGGCAGCATTAAAGACAATTACTTCTAAAATGTGGCTACAACTAACACAGGGTAGGGCTATTATCATCATTGCACTCAGCCTGTTAAATAAGACATACTGTGTTCGCTGGGTAATTTTACCCTCAAGACCTGGGGTAAATGAAGGCAAAAAGAGTCAGTAAAATTTGTACAGTGTCCTAACATTTAAGATCAAGCTTCCTCAGGGCCAGGTAGAAAATGTAAGCTTATGTCTTGCTCAGTACTGACGCGACCATGAAGCAACATAGGAGGCTGACCTGGTCATCTCCAACTATAGTGCCTTTTATTGTCAGAGGCAGATCATGATTAGAAAGCAAGCTTGTGAAGGAAAATGAGGAATCTCTGTCATTTTCAAGCAACCCCAAAACCATACCTTAGACTTATGCTCCCTACTCTAGCTGTATCTTGAAGTTACCTGGAGAACTGGTTGAAAATCTTAATGCCATCCCAGAGATACTGAATTAATTTCATTGCTCTGAGGTGAACCCCAGACATTAGTTGGCACTTGTAGAATGATTCTGATATGCAGGTAAGGAGGTGAATCACTGTTCTAGACAAAAAAAAAAAAAAAAAGGCTGACTCTCCCAAGTAAAGGGGTTGGGCCAAGGCTTGCTCCTTTTAAAAACCATTTCAAGCTATCATTTCATGACTTTTCCCTCTCCAATGCTAGCCTTGCTATTTATTCCTATAATTAAAGGGTTCAGAGCCTTGGAGGAAGAAGCAATGGAATAGGAGTGTGTCTTTTACACTGGATTTCACAACCTAGTGGGAAATCCAAAGTGTTGAACTTGGAACAAATCAGGACATAAGTTGGAGAGTGATAGAGGACATGAAAATAAATGTATTGAAAAGATTGCAAAATTTCCATTTTTGCAAAATAAATGAATAACCAACAAAAAATCTTGGTGTGCACATTTATTTTGGCCTGTCAGAGAAAAAGAATGTCTTTATTATCAAACAGGACTTGGTGTTAAGTGTCTTGGAGTCTGTGAGACTGTTCTAGATATTAGGAGTCTTCAGTGAAATCACAAATGGAAAACACATTATAACACACAGAATTAGGACGTTCCAAGCACATGTGTCTATAATCTTGACCAAATCCTTGGAAAGGAAAAGCTGCAGCAGGATTTTCAAGATGTCTAAATTTTGGAGTCTGGAAAGTATTAGTAGACAGAGAAATGAACAAAAGCGGTTGTATGTAGTATTCTGTTTTTACAGTAACAACCTTAGCTCACTCCTGCCTGGTTATCCACCACAGGTCTGCTTCAACAGCTGCACCTTGTGTTGTCTCATTTGATCCTTTACTTGCAAATGTGGATGATCCCAGTACACACATGCTACACTTTGAGGATCAACAGAAAGCTCTGACCCTAAGTCTCTATTGTTGCCTTGAGGTAGTGCTGAAAATTCCTGGTGATGTGCAGCAGGAAGGATTGCATTGAAAGACATGTGTTTTGATCCTGGATTTGCTGCTAACCAGCTAAGGAAAATTGGGTTTGTTGTTTAAACTCTAAGTATTAATTTCTTCAAATTTAAAATAAAATTCATTTAAAAAGCCCTTCCATGCCCACCTCTCAAGTATATAATAAGAAAGAATGTAATTTGTTTGAAAGAAATTTAGTGTGCCACTTACAAAGTACTTAGAGTTGGGGGTTATGAGCATTATTAAGACATCAACTTCACAAACTCCTCTTTTAAGTACCATTATGAGAATAGTAATCAAGTCACAAGTTATGTAATGGTGCATAATCATTGTCCCTAAATGTTATTATGCTTATGAAATTGGAGTATCAGAAATCTGGGAAGGGATCAGCCAGGTTCTTCTCACTAATGATTTCTCCTGGTTACAGTCAGTTTTTTGCTGGCACTTCAGTCACCCTGAGGCTTGACTGGTGCTGGAGGATTCATTGTCAAGGTTATTCATTTTCATGGTTAGCAAGTCAGTGTTGGCTGTTGGCCCAGGGCTTCAGCCTTTCCATATGGGTCCTGGGGCTGCTTGAGTGTCATTATAGTGTATGACAGTTGGTACCTTCATAACAAATGGTCCAAGAGACTATGGTGAAGTTGCATCACTATTTATGGTCTACCCTTGGAAGTAAGGCCCAGCCATGTGTTTGGGTCCTGGGGGCAGATTGCTCACGAATGGCTTGGTGCCCTTCCCATGGTAATGAGTGAGTTCTCACTCTATTAGTTCACACAAGAGCTGGTTGTTTAAAACAGCCTGGCACCTCCTCTTCTCTCTCTTTCCTCCTCTCTTCTTTTCTTCTTTGTTCCTGCTCTTCTCTCTCTCCTTCTTTGCCTTCGACCAATGTTGTAAGCTTCCTGAGTCCCTCACCAGAAGCAGATGCAGATGCCAGCAGTATGCTTCTCATACAGCCTGAAGAATCTTCAGCCAAATAAACCTCTTTTGTTTATAAATTACCTAGCCTCAGGTATTCCTTTATAGCAATGCAAAGCAGACTACCACAATTGTTTTGGCTATTCGGTATATTTTGTGGTTTCATATAAATTTTAGGATTATTGTTTCTATTTCTATGCAGGATGCCATTAGTACTTTGATAGGGATTGCATTGAATCTGTAAATTGCTTTGAGCATGATATGGTTTGGCTGTGTCCCCACCCAAATCTCATCTTGAATTGTAGCTCCTGTAATTCCCATGTATCATGGGAGGCACCAAATGGGAAGTAATTGAATCATGGGGCTGGGTCTTTCCCGTGTTATTCTTGTGATAGTGAATAAGTCTCATGAGATCTGACGGTTTTATAAATGGGGGTTCCCCTGCACACGCCCCCTTGTCTGCCACCATATAAGACGTGCTTTTGCTTTGTCTTCCGCCATGGTTGTGAGGCCCCCTCAGCCATATGGAACGGTGAGTCCATTAAACCACTTTCCTTTATAAATTACCCAGTCTTGTGTATGTCTTAATTAACAGCATGAGAACAAAATAATACATAGCAGTATTGTCATTTTGACAAAATTAATTCTTCCAATCCATAAGCATGGAATATCTCTCATTTTTTTGTGTGTCCATTTCAATTTCTTTCTTTAATGTTTTATAGTTTCCCTTACATAGATTTTTTTCACTTCTTTTGTTAAATTGATTCCTAGGTATTTTATATTTTGTATAGCTATTTTAAATGGGATTACCTTCTTGATTTCTTTCTTTCTTTTTTTTTTTGAGACAGGGTCTTGCTCTGTTGTCCAAGCTGAAGTGCAGGGGCCTGATCACAGCTCAGTGCAGCCTCAATCTCCTAGACTCAAGCAATCTTCCCACCTCAGCCTCCCAAGTAGCTGGAAGTAAAGACATGCACCACCATGCTTGGCTATTTTTTTAAATGTAATTTTATTTTAAGTTCTAGGATACATGTGCAGGATGTGCAGGTTTGTTACATAGGTAAACGTATGCCATGGTGGTTTGCTGCACTTGTTGACCTATCACCTAGATATTAAGCCCCATATGCATTAGCTCTCCCTCCCCCTACCTAATGCTCTGCCTCCCCCCTACCCCCACCAACAGGCCCCAGGGCGTGTTGTTCCTCTCCCTATGTCCATGTGTACTCATTGTTCATCTCCCACTTATAAGTGAGAATATGTGATGTGTGATTTTCTGTTCTTGTATTAGTTTGCTGAGGATAATGGCTTCCAGCTCCATCCATGTCCTGCAAAGACATGATCTCATTCTTTTTTATGATGGCATAGTATTCCATGGTGTATATGTGCCACATTTTCTTTATGCAGTCTATCATCAATGAGCATTTGGGTTGATTCCATGTCTTTGCTATTGTGGATAGTGTAGCAGTGAACATATGTGTGCATGTATCTTTCTAATAGAGTGATTTATATTCGTTTGGGTATATATCCAGTAATGAGATTTGTGGATCAAATGGTATTTCTGGACAGTATTGCCACACTGTCTTCCATAATGGTTGAACTAATTTACATTCCCACCAACTGTGTAAAAGTGTTCCTTTTTCTCCATAGCTTCGCCAGCATCTGTTGTTTCTTGACTTTTTAGTAATTGTCATTCTGTCTGGCATGAGATAGTATCTCATTGTGGTTTTGATTTGCATTTCTCTAATGATCAGTGACCTTGAGCTTTTTTTCAAATGTTTGTTGGCCACACAAATGTCTTCTTTTGAGAAGTGTCTGTTCATGTCCTTTTCCAACTTTTTAATGAGGTTGTTTTTTTCTTGTAAATTTGTTTAAGTTCCTTGTAGATTCTGGATATTAGACCTTTGTCTGATGGATAGATTGCAAAAATTTTCTCCCACTGTGTAGGTAGTCTCTTCACGCTAATGATAATTTATTTTGCTATGCAGAAGCTCTTTAGTTTAATTAGATTTCATTTGTCAATTTTTGCTTTTGTTGCAATTGCTTTTGAGGTTTTCGTCATGAAATCTTTGCTCACGTCTATGTCTTGAATGGTATTGCCTAGGTTTTCTTCTGGGGTTTTTATAGTTTTGTGTTTTACATTTAAGTCTTTAATCCATCTTGAGTTGATTTTTGTATATGGCACAAGGAAGGGGTCCAATTTTATTTTATTTTTTTTAATGTAGTGATGGCATCTTGCCATGTTGCAGAGCCTGGTCTCAAACTCCTCCCACCTCAGCCTCCCAAAGTGTTGGGAATACAGGTGAAAGCCACTGTGCCTGGCCCCTTTCTTGATTTTTTTCAGATAGTTCTTTATTGGTGTATTTAATGCTACTGATTTTTACATGTTCATTTTGTGTGCTGAAATTTTACTGAAATTGTTTATCAGTTTTAAAAGGTTTCTGGTGAAGTCTTTAGGTTTTTCTGAATATAAGATCATGTCATCTGTGAGAAATGCTAGTTTGACTTTTTCCTTTCCAATTTAGATGTCTTTTATTTATTTCTTTTGCCTAATTTCTCTGGCCAATATTTCCAGTATTATTTTGAATAAAAATGATGAAAGTGGACATCTTTGTCTTGTGGGTTTATCATATATGGTATTTATTATTTTGCGGTATGTTCCTTATATAGCCAGTATGTTGAGGGTTTTTATCATAAAGGGATGTTGAATTTTATTGCATAGTTTGTTAGCATCTATTGAGATGATCATACGGTTTTTGTCCTTCATTCTCTTCATGTTATGTACTACACTTACTGATTTATGTATGTTCAACCATCCTTGCACTTCTGACATGAATCCCATTAGATCATGGTGAATGATTTTTTAACATATTGGTGAATTCAGTTTGCCAATATTTTGTTGAGAATTTTTGCATCTATGGTCATCAGTGATATTGGCCTGTAATTTTTGTTGTTGCTTTTTGTTTGGTTTTGGTATCATGGTAATGTTGGCCTCATAGAATGTGTTTGCTTTATTTTTTTTAATTTTTAAATTAAAAAATTTACTACTATTATTTTTAGGGACAGAGTCTTGCTATGTCACCCAGACTGGAGTGCAGTAATACAATTATAGCTCACTGCAGCCTCAGACTCCTGGGCTGAAGCAATCCTCTTGCCTCAGCCTCCTGAGTGTGTGTGTGTGTATATATATGTGTATATATTTATATGTATATATAAATACACACACACACACTCTACTGAAATATATATATACTCTACTTAAAATGTATATCTTATATGTATACTCTACTGAAAATATATATTTTATATGTATTATATATAATATATAATATAAACATATATTTATATTATATATTTATATAATATATAAATATATAATATAAATATATAAAATATATATAAATATATAAATACATAAATATATAAACAATATAAAAATATATAAAAATATATAAATATATATAAAAATATATAAATATATAAAATATATAAATATATAAACTATATATAAATATATATAATATATAAATATATATAATATATAAATATATAATATATAAATATATATAATATATAAATATATATAATATATAAATGTATAATATATAAATATATAAAATATATATAAATATATATAATATATAAATATATAAAATATATATAAATATATAATATATATAAATATATAAAATATATATGAATATATATAATATATATCAATATATAAAATATATAAATATATAATATATATCAATATATAAAATATATATAAATATATACAATATATAAATATATAAATATATATATAAATATATACAATATATAAATATATAAATATATATAAATATATAATATATAAATATATAAAATATATATAAATATATATAATATATGAATGTATAAAATATGTATAAATATATATAATATATAAATATATAAAATATATAAAAATATATATAATCTATATAAATATATATAAAATATATATAAATATATATTATATACAAATATATAATATATAAATATATAAAATATATATAAATATACATAAGATATATATAAAGATATATAAAATATATATAAAAATATAAATACATATAAAATATATATATAATATATATAAAATATATATAATATATACAAATATATATAATATATAAATATACATAAAATATATAAATAGATATAATATATGTAATATAAATATATTTATATATAAAAATATATATAATATATGTAATATAAATATATTTATATATATAAATATATATAATATATGTAATATAAATATATTTATATATATAAATATATTTATATTAATATAAATATATAATATATAAATATAAATAAATTATATATAATATATATATAATAATTTAATATAAATTATATATCAAATATATTAATTATATAGAAATTATATATAAATTATAATATAAATAATATATAAATATATAAATATAAATATAAATAATATATTTATAATTATAAAAAATGTAAATATAAATAATATAATAATATAAATATAAATAATATATAAATATATATATATATTTTGAGACCAGCCTGGGCAACATAGTGAGAACCATTCTCTATTAAAATACATATATAAAATATATATTTTTTAAAATACATATGTAAAATATATATATTTTAAAATACATATATAAAATATATATATTTTAAAATACATATATAAAATATATATATTTTAAAATACATATAAAATATATATATTTTAAAATACATATAAAATATATATATTTTAAAATACATATATAAAATATATATATTTTAAAATACATATATAAAATATATATATTTTAAAATACATATATAAAATATATATATTTTAAAATACATATATAAAATATATATATTTTAAAATACATATATAAAATATATATATTTTAAAATACATATATAAAATATATATATTTTAAAATACATATATAAAATATATATATTTTAAAATACATATATAAAATATATATATTTTAAAATACATATATAAAATATATAAATATTTTAAAAAGTGTATATATATACATATAGTATATATATATAGAATATATATATAGAATATTATATATATATATAGAATCATTCTCACTAAGTTGCCCAGGCTGGTCTCAAATTCCTAGCTTCAAGCAATCCTCCTGCCTCAGCCTCCAAAAGTGCTGGGATTATAGGTATGAGCCACAGTGTAGAATGAGTTTGAAAGTACTGCCTCCTCTTCAATATTTTTGAAGAGTTTGAGAACTGTTAATAGTTCATCTTTAAATATTTGGTAGAGTTCAATAGTGAAACCATCAGGTTCTGGTTTTCTCTTTGATGAGAGTGTTTTTATTACAACTTCTATCTCGTTACTTGTTATTGGTTTGTGAAGATTTCTATTTCTTCATGGTTCAGTCTTGGTAGGTTTCATGTGTTCAGGAATTTATCAGTTTCTTTCAGGTTTTCCCATTTGTTAGTGTGTTATCTGTTCATAATAGTCTCTAATGGTTCTGTGTATTTCTGAGTTCTCAGTTGTTATGTTTCCTTTTTTGTTTCTGATTTACTTTGAATCTTCTCTCTTTTTTTCTTAGTGTAGCTAAAGGTTTGTCAATTTTGTTTATCTTTACAAAAAAACCAAGTCTTTATTGAATTGGCTTTCTCAATTGTTTTCATAATCACAATTTCATTTATTTCTGCTCTGCTCTTTTTTATTTCTTGCCTTCTACTAATTTGGGTTTGGGTTGTTCTTGCTTTTCTAGTTCCTTGGGGTGCATTGTTAAGTCGTTTATTTGAAATGTTTTTACTTTTTTGATGAAGTCTATTGCTATAAATTTCTGTCTTAGTATTCCTTATTCTTTATTCCATAGGTTTTGGTATGTTGTATTTCCATCTTCATTTTATTCAAGAATTTTTAAGTTTTCTTCTTGATTATATGTTGACCCATTGATCATTCAGGAGCATGCTACTTAATTTCTAGGTAATCGTGTAGTTTCTGAGATTCCTCTTGTTATTGGTTTCTACTTTTATTTCTTTGTGGTCAGAAAAGATACTGGATATGATTTCTATTTTTGAACTTGATGAGACTTGTTTTGTGGCCTAAGATATGGTCTGTGCTCAAGAATGTTCCATGTGTTGATGAAAAGAATATGTATTCTGCAGCAGTTGGATGACATGTTCTGTAAATGTCAGGCCTATTTGGTCTAGTGCGTAGTGTGTAGTTTAAGTACTAAGATTCTTTGTTAATTTTTCTATCTGGATGATCTCCATTATTAAGAGTAGGCCATTGAAGTCTCCTACGATTGCTTTATTGCAGTCTGTCTTTCCCTTTAGATCTATTAACATTTGCTTCATATACTTGGGAGTTCTGGTGTTGGGTTCATACATATTTATAATTGTTATATTCTCTTGCTAAGTTGACCCCTTTATCATTATATAGTAAACTTGTTTCTTTTTACAGTCTTTGATTTGTAGTCTATTTATCTGATGGAAGTACAGCTACTCTTGCTGTTTTTTGGTTTTCAGTTGCATGGAAATTTTTGCCACCCTTTCACTGTCAGTGCATGTGTATCTTTATAGGTGAAGTGGGTTTCTTGTAGGCAACTTAGAGATGGGTTTTGTTGCTTTGTCCTTTCAGGTACTCTTTGTCTTTTAATTGGAGAATTGAATCGAATTACATTCATTGTTATTGATAAATAAGGACTCACTTCTGCCAGTTTGGTGCTCGTTTTCTGATTTTTTTTTTTTTTTTTTTTTTTTTGTAAACTCCTCTCCTCCTTTCTTTCTTTATCACTGCCTTCTTTTGTAGCTAAGTGATTTGTCTCTGGTAATATTTTTTGGCATTGCTTTTAATTTGTCATGAATCTATCACAGGGTTTTGCATTGTGATTATTACTACGAGGCTTACAAAAATAGATATAACAAGTTATTTCAAAGAGAGGACAACATATTTGAAAAAGAAAAGAATAGAAACAAAGAAAAAATTGTTTGAAAAAACCTCTACACTTTAACTCCATTCCTCTCCCATTTTGATGTTATGTTGTTTCAATTTACACATTTTTATATTACTTTTAAAGGTTGTTATATCTGTTATTGCTTTTGATAGACTTGTCCTTTGAGCTTCACACTAGCATTATAAGTGGATTGCACATCACAATTACAATATAAAAATATTCTGGGTTTGTCCTTACATTTAATTTTACCTATGGGTTTTATACGTTCAGTTTTTTTTTTTGTTTGCATGTTAGTATTTTCTTTTTACAGATTGAAGAACTCTCATTGATATTTCTTGTAAGATGGGTCTTGTGGCAGTGAATTGTCTCAGCTTTTGTTTTTATTGTCTGAGAAAGACTTCCTTTCATAGCTGAAGAATAGCTTCACTGAAAACAGGAAAGCTATTCTTTATTTTTTACTTTATTCTTTAAAAAGGTATTTACTTTATAATACTTTTTTATTTATTCTTTATTTTTTACTTTATTCTTTACCGTACCCAGTAAAGAATGGAAGGTTTTTTTTTCTTTGAGTGCTTTAAAAATGTCCTCCTACTGCCTCTTGACCTGTACGGTTTGCACTGAGAACTTTGTTGCCAGACAAATAGGAGCTTCTTTATATATGATTTGCTTCTTTCCTCTTGCTACTTTTAGAAACCTCTCTTTGTACTTGACCTTTGAGTGTTTGGTTATTATATTCCTTGTGGTAGTCTTATTTGAGTTAAATTTGTGTAATATTCTCTAACCTTCCTGTACCTAAATATTTATATATTTTTCAAATTTTGGAGATTATTCTGTTATTACTTCTTTGAATAAACTTTCTACCCCCTTTTCTTACTCAACTTCCTCTTAAATACCGATACTTCTTAGATTTGGTCTTTTGAGGTAACTTTGTATATCTTGTAGGGAATCTTCATTCTTTTTCATTCTTTTTTCCTTTTTCTCCTTTGACTGTATTTTCAAAGAGCCTGTCTTTGAGCTCACTAATTCTTTCCTGTGCTTGATCCATTCTGCTGTTGAGAGCCTCTAATAAGTTTTTCAGTTCAGCAAATATATTTCTCAGTTCCAAGATTTCTGTTTGGCTTATTTTTATTTCAACCTCTTTGTTAAATTTATCTGATAAGTTTCTTAATTGCTTTTCTCCGTTATCTTGGAGATCACTGAGTTTCCTTAAAGCTGCTATTTTGGGAGCATTTGCTGGCAAGATGGCCGAATAGGAACAGCTGTGGTCTGCAGCTCCCAGTGAGATTGATGCAGAAGGCGGGTGATTTCTGCATTTCCAACTGAGGTACCCGGTTCATCTCATTGGGACTGGTTGAACTGTGGATACAGCTCATGGAGGGCTTGCCAAAACAGGGTGGGGCATCGCCTCACCCAGGAAGCACAAGGAAAGCTGTGAGGGACTGAGCCTGAGGAACCGTGCCATCTGGCCCAGAAAGAAAAAGAAACGTGCTTTTCCCACGTTCTTTGTAACCCGCAGACCAGGAGATTCCCTCCAGTGCCTACCCCACCAGCGACCTGGGTTTCAAGCACAAAACTGGGCAGCTGTTTGGGTGGACACTGAACTAGCTGCAGGAGGTTTTTTTTTGTTTGTTTGTTTTGTTTTTTCCCATACTCCAGTGGCGCCTGGAACACCAGTGAGA
The DNA here is from genome assembly GCF_000001405.40 of Homo sapiens. NCBI lineage: Eukaryota > Metazoa > Chordata > Mammalia > Primates > Hominidae > Homo > Homo sapiens. The sequence continues at coordinate 82,635,179 of NC_000012.12, read as the reverse complement.
CAGAACCATTCACTCCCCTGGAAAGGGGTGCTGAAGCCAGGGAGCCAAGTGGTCTGGCTTGGCAGGTCCCAACCTCACAGAGCCCAGCAAACTAAGATCTACTGGCTTGAAATTCTTGCTGCCAGCAAAGCAGCAGTCTGAGATCCACCGACTGGGGACTCTGGAGCTTGGTGGAGGGAGGGACATCTGCCATTGCTGAGGCTTGAGTAGGCGGTTTTACCCTCACAGTGTAAACAAAGCCACCAGGAAGTTTGAACTGGGTGGAGCTCACTGCAGCTCAGTAAGGCCGCTGTGGCTAGACTGCCAGATTTCTCCTCTCTGGGCAGGGCATCTCTGAAAAAAAGGTAGCAGCCACAGTCAGGAACATATAGATAAAACCCCCATCTCCCTGGGACAGAGCACCTGGGGGAAGGGGCAGCTGTGGGCACAGCTTCAGCAGACTTAATCCCTTGCCTGATCGCTCTGAAGAGAGCAGCGGACCTCCTAGCACAGCATTTGAGCTCTGCTAAGGGTCAGACTGCCTTATCAAGTGGGTCCCTGACCCCCGTGTATCCTGGTTGGGAGACACTCCTAGTAGGGGCCGAAAGACACCTCATGCAGGAGAGCTCTGGCTGGTATCTGGCAGGTGCCCCTCTGGGACAAAGCTACCAGAGGAAAGAACAGGCAGCAATCTTTGGTGTTCTGCAGCCTCTGCTGGTGATACTCAGGCAAACAGGGTCTGGAGTGGACCTCCAGAAAACTCCAGCAGACCTGCAGCAGAGGGGCCTTACTGTTAGAAGGAAAACTAACAAACAGAAAGGAAGAGCACGTCCACTCAAAGACCCCACTGAAGGTCACCATCATTAAAGACCAAAGGTAGATAAATCCACAAAGATGGGGAGAAACCAGTGCAAAAGGCTGAAAATTTCAAAAACCAGAATGCCGCTTCTCCTGCAAAGGATCACAACTCCTGGCCAGCAAGGGAACAAAACTGGACGGAGAACGAGTTTGATGAATTGACAGAAGTAGGCTTCAGAAGGTGGGTAATAACAAACTCCTCTGAGCTAAAGGGGCATGTTCTAACCCAATGCAAGGGGGCTAATAACCTTGAAGAAAGGTTAGATGAATTGCTTGCTAGAATAACCAGTTTAGAGAAGAACATAAATGACCTGATGGAGCTGAAAAACATAGCGCAAGAACTTCGTGAAGCATACGCAAGTATCAATAGCCAAATCAATCAAGCAGAAGAACGATATCAGAGATTGAAGATCAACTTAATGAAATAAAATGAGAAGACAAGATTAGAGAAAAAAGAATAAAAAGGAACAAAAAAAAAAGCCTCCAAGAAATATAGGACTATGTGAAAAGATCAAATCTATGTTTGATTGGTGTACCTGAAAGTGACGGGGAGAATGGAACCAAGTTGGAAAACACGCTTCAGGATATTATCCAAGAGAACTTCCCCAACCTAGCAAGGCAGGCCAACATTCAAATTCAGAAAATAAAGAGAACATCACAAAGATACTCCTCAAAAAGAGCAACCCCAACAGACATAATTGTCAGATTCACCAAGGTTGAAATGAAGCAAAAATGTTAAGGGCAGCCAGAGAGAAATGTCAGGTTACCCACAAAGGGAAGCCCATCAGACTATAAGTGGCTCTCTCAGCAGAAACTCTACAAGCCAGAAGAGAGTAGGGGCCAATATTCAACATTCATAACCCAGAATTTCATATCCAGCCAAAGTAAGCTTCATAAGCAAAGGAGAAATAAAATCCTTTAAAGACAAGAAAATGCTGAGAGATTTTGTCATCACCAGGCCTGCCTTATAGGAGCTCCTGAAGGAAGCACTAAACATGGAAAGAAACAACCAGTACCAGCCACTGCAAAAATATACCAAATTGTAAAGATCATCAACACTATGAAGAAACTGCATCAACTAACGGGCAAAATAACCAGCTAGCATCATAATGGCATGATCAAGTTCACACATAACAATATTAACCTTAAATGTAAATGGGCTAAATGCCCCAATTAAAAGACACAGACTGGCAAATTGGATAAAGCATCAAGACCCATCAGTGTGCTGTATTCCGTAGTCCCATCTTACGTGCAAAGGAACACATAGGCTCAAAATAAAGGGATGGAGGAAGATCTACCAAGCAAATGGAAAGCAAAAAAAAAGCAGGAGCTGCAATCCTAGACTATGATAAAACAGACTTCAAACCAACAAAGATCAAGAGACAAAGAAAGGCATTACATAATGGTAAAGGGATCAATTCAACAAGAAGAGCTAACTATCCTAAATATATATGAACCCAATACAAAAGCATCCGGATTCATAACGCAAGTTCTTAGAGACCTACAAAGAGACTTAGACTCCCACACAATAATAGTGGAGACTTTAACACCCCACTGTCAATATTAGACAGATCAACGAGACAGATAATTAACAAGGATATCCAGGATTTGAACTCAGCTCTGGACCAAGTGGAACTAATAGACATCTACAGAACTCTCCACCCCAAATCAACAGAATATACATTCTTCTCAGCACCTCATCATACTTATACTAAAATGGACCACATAATTTGAAGTAAAACACTCCTCAGCAAATGCAAAAGAACGGATATCATAACAAACAGTCTCTCAGACTACAGTACAATCAAATTAAACCTCAGGATTAAGAAACTCACTCAAAACCACACAACTGCATGGAAACTGAACAACCTGCTCCTGAATGACTACTGGGTACATAACAAAATGAAGGCAGAAATAAAGATGTTCTTTGAAACCAATGATAACAAAGACACAATGTACCAGAATCTCTGGGACACATTTAAAGCAGGGTGTACAGGAAAATTTATAGCACTAAATGCCCACAAGAGAAAGCAGGAAAGATCTACAATCAACACCCTAACATCAAAATTAAAAGAACTAGAGAAGCAACAGAAAACAAATTCAAAAGCTAGCAGAAGGCAGGAAATAACTGAGATCAGAGAAGAACTGAAGGAGATAGAGACAGAAAAAACAGAGTAGAACTGAAGGAAATAGAGACACAAAAAACCCTTCAAAAAATTAATGAATGCAGGAGCTGGTTTTTTGAAAAGATCGACAAAATTGATAGACTGCTAGCAAGACTAATAAAGAAGAAAAGAGAGAAGAATCAAATAGACGCAATAAAAAATGACAAAGGGGATATCACCACCGATCCCACAGAAATACAAACTACCATCAGAGAATACTATAAACAACTCTACGCAAATAAACTAGAAAATCTAGAAGAAATGGATAAATTCCTCGACACATACACCCTCCCAAGACTAAACCAGGAAGAAGTTGAATCTCTGAATAGACCAATAACAGGCTCTGAAATTGAGGCAATAATTAATAGCTTACCAACCAAAAAAAGTCCAGGACCAGATGGATTCACAGCTGAATTCTACCAGAGGTACAAGGAGGAGGTGGTACCATTCCTTCTGAAACTATTCCAAACAATAGAAAAAGAGGGAATCCTCCCTAACTCATTTTATGAGGCCAGCATCATCCTAATACCAAAGCCTGGCAGAGACAGAACAAAAAAAGAGAATTTTAGACCAATATCCTTGATGAACACTGATGCAAAAATCCTCAATAAAATACTGGCAAACCGATAAAAGCTTAATACTGGCACATCAAAAAGCTTATCCACCTTGATCAAGTGGGCTTCATCCCTGGGAGGCAAGGCTGGTTCAACATATGAAAATCAGTAAACGTAATCCAGCATATAAACAGAACCAAAGACAAAAAACACATGATTATCTCAATAGATGCAGAAAAGGCCTTTAACAAAATTCAACAACTCTTCATGCTAAAAACTCTCAATAAATTAGGTATTGATGGGACGTATCTCAAAATAATAAGAGCTATCTATGACAAACCCACAGCCAATATCATACTGAATGGACAAAAACTGGAAGCATTCCTTTTGAAAACTGGCACAAGACACGGATGCCCTCTCTCACCACTCCTATTCAACATGGTGTTGGAAGTTCTGGCCAGGGCAATCAGGCAGGAGAAGCAAATAAAGGGCATTCAGTTAGGAAAAGAGGAAGTCAAATTGTCCCTGTTTGCAGATGACATGATTGTATATCTAGAAAACCCCATAATCTCAGCCCAAAATCTCCTTAAGCTGATAAGCAACTTAAGCAAAGTCTCAGGATACAAAATCAATGTGCAAAAATCACAAGCATTCTTATACACCAATAACAGACAAACAGAGAGCCAAATCATGAGTGACCTCCCATTCACAATTGCTTCAAAGAGAATAAAATACCTAGGAATCCAACTTACAAAGGATGTGAAGGACCTCTTCAAGGAGAACTAGAAACCACTGCTCAATGAAATAAAAGAGGATACAAACAAATGGAAGAACATTCCATGCTCATGGGTAGGAAGAATCAATATCATGAAAATGGCCACACTGCCCAAGGTAATTTATACATTCAATGCCATCCCCATCAAGCTACCAATGACTTTCTTCACAGAATTGGAAAAAAACTACTTTAAAGTTCATATGGAACCAAAAAAGAGCCCTCATTGCCAAGTCAATCCTAAGCCAAAAGAACAAAGCTGGAGGCATCACGCTACCTGACTTCAAACCATACTACAAGGCTACAGTAACCAAAACAGCATGGTACTGGTACCAAAACAGAGATATAGACCAATGGAACAGAACAGAGCCCTCAGAAATAATGCCGCATATCTACAACTATCTGATCTTTGACAAACCTGACAAAAACAAGAAATGGGGAAAGGATTCCCTATTTAACAAATGGTGCTGGGAAAACTGGCTAGCCATATGCAGAAAGCTGAAACTGGATCCCTTCCTTACACCTTATACAAAAATTAATTCAAGATGGATTAAAGACTTACATGTTAGACCTAAAACCATAAAAACCCTAGAAGAAAACCTAGGTAATACCATTCAGGACATAGGCATGGGCAAGGACTTCATGTCTAAAACACCAAAAGCAATGGCAACAAAAGCCAAAGTTGACAAATGGGATCTAATTAAACTAAAGAGCTTCTGCACAGCAAAAGAAACTACCATCAGAGTGAACAGGCAACCTACAGAATGGGAGAAAATTTTTGCAACCTACTCATCTGACAAAGGGCTAATATCCAGAATCTACAATGAACTCAAACAAATTTACAAGAAAAAAACAAACAACCCCATCAAAAAGTGGGTGAAGGATATGAACAGACACTTCGCAAAAGGAGACATTTATGCAGCCAAAAGACACATGAAAAAATGCTGATCATCACTGGCCATCAGAGAAATGCAAATCAAAACCACAGTGAGATACCATCTCACACCAGTTAGAATGGCGATCATTAAAAAGTCAGGAAACAACAGGTGCTGAAGAGGATGTGGAGAAATAGGATCACTTTTACACTGTTGGTAGGACTGTAAACTAGTTCAACCCTTGTGGAAGTCAGTGTGGCGATTCCTCAGGGATCTAGAACTGGGAATACCATTTGACCCAGCCATCCTATTATATAATCCTTTGGCTTATTATTATTTATAAGCCAAAGGATTATAAATCATGCTGCTATAAAGACACATGCACACGTATGTTTATTGTGGCACTATTCACAATAGCAAAGACTTGGAACCAACCCAAATGTCCAACAATGGTAGACTGGATTCAGAAAATGTGGCACATATATACCATGGAATGCTATGCAGCTATAAAAAAGGATGAGTTCATGTCCTTTATAGGGACATGGATGAGGCTGGAAACCATCATTCTCAGTAAGCTATTGCAAGGACAAAAAAACCAAACACCGCATATTCTCACTCATAGGTGGGAATTGAACAATGAGAACACTTGGACACAGGAAGGGGAACATCACACGCCAGGGACTGTTGTGGGGTGGGGGGAGGGGGGAGGGATAGCATTAGGAGATATACCTAATGTTAAATGATGAGTTAATGGGTGCAGGACACCAACATGGCACATGTATACATATGTAACAATCCTACACGTTGTGCATATGTACCCTAAAACTTAAAGTATAACAATAATAAAATTAAAAAAAGGAAATAAAATAAAATAAAATAATCATCTGTACACACAAAAAAAAACCCACAATGAGATACCATCTCACACCAGTTAGAATGGCGATCATTAAAACATCAGGAAACAACAGATGCTGGAGAGGATGTGGAGAAATGGGAATGCTTTTACACTGTTGGTGGGAGTCTAAATTAGTTCAACCATTGCAGAATACAGTGTGGCGATTCCTCAAGCATCTAGAACTAGAAATACCATTTGACAGAGCAATCCCATTACTGGGTATATACCCAAAATATTATAAATCATTCTACTATAAAGACACAGGCACACATATGTTTATAGTGGCACTATTCACAGTAGCAAAGACTTGGAACCCGTCCAAATATCCATCAATGACAGACTGGATAAAGAAAATGTGGTGCATGTACACCATAGAATACTATGGAGCCATAAAAAAGAATGAGTTCATGTCCTTTGCAGGGACATGGATGAAGCTGGAAACCATCATTCTCAACAAACTAACAGAGGAACAGAAAACCAAATACTGCATGTTCTCACTCATAAGTGGGCTGTGAAAAATGAGAACACATGGAGACAAAAGGGGAACATCACACACCGGGGCCTGCTGTGGCGTGCAAGGCTAGGGGAGGGATAGCATTAGGAGAAATACCTAATGTAGGTGACGGGTTGATGGGTGCAGCAAACCACCATTGCATGTGCATACCCCTGTAACAAAAGTGCACATTCTGCACATGTACCCAAGACTTTAAAGTATAATAAAAACAAAACAAAAACAAAAACAAAAAACACTGCTATTTTGAATTCTTAGAGAGTTCACATACTGCTGTCTCAGATTCAGAGGATTGTTTCTTGCTTTGTCCATTTGGGGAGTCATGGTTCTCTGCTTGTTGTTTCTTGTGGATGTATATCTATATCTTTGCACTGAAGGATTATTTATTCCAGTCTTCTCTGTCTGGCTTGTATTGATTTTTATTTGATATGTTTGCTTTTAATTTACCCGTTGATTATTTTTCTTTTTCTCCTTTTTCCACTAGGTTACTGCCTCCTTTTGATCACTAGATGGCTCCTTAAGTCCAGGTTTGCCCAGTTCTAGTAAACAATCGCAGCCTGTCTGGAATGGAGAAGATACCAAGGAGAACATCCCAGTAGTATGAAAAGGCTGGCTAGGGGTTCGTGCCGTGGGGACCAGTGTAACAAACCACCTACAGTGCGGTGCTGCTGAACAGCCACTCTGATTTGGCATCTCCTTTGGCCAAGTGACAGAGCAGAGTTTTCAGGCCGGGAATAATACTCCCACCACCCCGCTTTGTCTCTTGCTCTCAGAGATATTTCTCCCTTCAGGCATTCCTGATGCGCTCATGAGTGGAGGTAGAAACAGGTCTCCTGCCAGGGAAACCAAGATGGTGCAGAAGCTAGTTGTTCGCCTTGATCTTACTTTTCCCAGTGTAGAAATTGTGAGTCAGAGGACAGTTTTCCACGTGCTTGGTGCCAGGCAGATTGGCATCAGGGATGTGGAGATCTGTTTCTCTTATCATCGCCTTCAAGTTTGTTCACTTCTCTGTGGCCCTGGAACTGCCTCCTCCTCATATTTGAGTTCTGGGATATTGCTGGTGACAATCTTAGAACTGTGTTTGTTTTTGGTTTTCTGTGAGGTTAAGTGAAGCCAGCTTGCTTCTTCACTGTCAATTAGGAACCACTTCAGACAATTATAGATTAAGCAGACTGTGTTGATGATTTAACTGCTCCAACTTCCATTATCCATTCTTCCTATGTTTTGCTCTGTATTGCAGGTAACTGTACCATGCCAACTCTCCACTTCCTTGCCTTTTTCTTCTGGTTCCTTTCTACCAATGTGAGGAACTGGCTAGATTGAAGTGTGGGACGAAGGAAGAAGCTAGGTTTTTTTCCCTTCCTTCCTTTCCACTTCAGGTAGCAACTCTGGCGATAACCACATAGTCTCTGTATTTCCAACTTTCATCAGATAGCTACTCCCTCTGTGGTCCTAACTCCTGGTGGACAGCCTCTTACAAGGAGGCATTGGCTTTGGGCTCTGTCAACCTTACCTCCTCCCTTGGGCCTCCTGCCATTGCTATATTCAGGCTGCCTCACTATCTCTTATAGATCTTCTCTTTGTACATCCATTATTAAACTATCTGATGTGGGCTTTGCCTTCTTGATTGATCTTGACTGACAATAGTAAATAATGGGTCATATAGGGTCCCAAATCCTGCTCAAACCATAACACAAAATTTTAATATAATTAAAGTTTTATATAATGATTAGACAGCATAGGATTCAGATTAATACATAAAGATTTTGATATACCTATGAAAAGAATGAGACAACCCCTATTGGGTCTCAATGATTATGTACATGTGAGGTTTTGGAAGTGTTTGAGAGGATAGGAAGAAGAAAATGGTAAAAAGACATATACAAATAAGTAGAACTTACCTAGAATGGGTCCAAACAAGTTGCTATAATGGCTCAGAGGAAGATGACAACATTTTAGCTTCAGGTATTGGGATGGTAAACACAGAGCAGGCAGTTTTCAATAAGGCCTTGATGGATGACTAAATCTTGAAAATTTAAAGATGAGGATAATGATATTCTGGAAATAAGAAAGAGCAGGCGCAAAATTTCAGTAGTGAAAAGAGGAGAAATTTACTTTTTATATTGAAATGTCTAGTTTGACTGGAATACCAGAAGAAAAAGCTAGAATAGGCTGGGTCTGAATAATTGAAGGGTTTAGGTAATATTTTAAAAGTCCTAGTTTCTATTTTTCACATACCCATGGCTTGTAACTAATATAGAAGTACACTTCAGTTTATGTGCAACAATATGATAACAGGGATTTTGTTTTGTTTACTGCCCAATCTGTAGTGACTTGCAATGTGCTGCTTGGCATAATATGTGCCCAATAAGTATTTGTTATATAAATTAATGGGGCATAGTCTTTGTATCATAGTTCACAATAACTATAAAACTAATCACTCATTTATATAAAAATCAGGCACCTACTAAGTGAAGGGCATTTTTAAAATGTCTCCTCCAAATATTTAACAGAACAAAGTGCTGCATTAGAAAATCATTCTAACAACATTATCACAATAACTACCAACACCTCTCAAAATGTGAGCTTTGAAGCACATGAATCTGTGAGACCTTGAATATTATTTAGCACAACTCCTTTCCAGCAGAATCTGGGCTTGGGCTCCACAGGATTCAACACCTATTTATCCCTTAAATGTTGCTGCTAAAATGTGGCCCTTCACAGAGGTTAATGGATCTTCAAACTGGAACGTCTTTCCAAACTTTCACAGCTGCTCTGAGTAAATACACCAGATTCCCAAATGCCAGGCTTGTGTGACAGAGCTCTGGCACCAGCTGAGTTTGCCATTCATTATGCCATTGTCTCACAACACACCCGGAAAACAAAGCCCTATAGATGGCTGGTCATTATCTTGGTTTGGGATAGCACAAGGGCCCAGAGGGCAGTGCTTGGAAGAAATCCACTTGTGTGTAGGGACTTTTAATTGAAATCTCAAACACACTCCGGAGCTCTGGAATGCTACTTCTTGGAGCTATTGCTATTCCCTCTCACCAGGCACATTTTGGCTCTAACTTTTGTAAGGATAGGAAGCTGTTCCATAAATGCTGTAGCCTGGCGAATGCGGCTACAGTGAGACACTAACAAATCCTGCTTTTAGGTGAACTGTTTCTAACCATGGATGCTTGCCCTGGGCTATCCATTTCAATTAGTGAGATTTAGTTTTGTCTTCTTTAATTTCTAACTTGGCCTGTTTTTAATGAGCAGCTAAAAATTCTATAACAATGAAGATGAAGAATGACTTACATTCTTTATTTGTAGTAGGAATGTCCATGTATCAACTGTTATTTTGAACAAGTTTGTTTTTTTTTTTTTTTGGTTTCTTGTTGTTTTGAACAGAAGTTTTCATCATGAGGGAATCTGATTTATAAATGGCCCTTGACATTCTATAGAGAGGGGAAAGGTTACATTGATAATTATATCTGTGAAGAAAGGGGAAAGAAAAGTTTGGATGATGGCTTGTTTACATGACTATCTCTGGAGTTCTGTACTATAGCACTGAGGAGATATTTTCACTTCTTACTCCCATCTAAGACCAAAGGATTTTATTTGCCAATGGCGATGTATGGCTTGGCAAATGTAGAGCTACTCAGAAGACGTTATACTGAACATAGATCCTAGTGGATTGAGACTACACCAATCTGCGAAGATTCTGGAAATCCAGGGCACAAGAATGCTACTGAAACCATGATCATGGCCTCAAAGCCCCTTTCACTACCAGTTATCACACATGATCATAACGATCCTAACACTTTGATCACCTGAGATATGTCTAAGGAAAACTTTTACAGGTTCTACATAATCCCAATATCTACTTCTGTTAAACTCGTTCCATAAAATGTAGGAGATAAATAAGGTCCTGTAAATTATTGCTGTGCAATATAATCAACACTAGTAGGTACAACGGGTAGAATATGCCTAGTTATCAACCTGAGCCTTCTCCAAACACAGGCAAAATTTGATTTATAAACAAAAGAAATGATTTCTATTTTGTCAAACTTTAAAATCTTCAAATCCATAGCAACATTGTGTGTGTGATTATCTAACACTTTGGTAAATTGTTTCAGTGTATGTAACTTTTCAAAGTACTTTAGTATTAGGTAAACTGACATGATATAAAAATATTGGGAAGAACTTACAGCAATATTAAAAAGCTTCCTGTTGCAATTATATTCAGAAATAAATACAGCTTAATTCTGATTTAAAATCTACTGCTGATTCCCTTTTTATATCTTCATCCTTTATCTTCCCTACCCCATCATGTTATCAATATTGCATTTATTATTTTTGTTTTTCGATGACTTTATTTCTTGGTAAAAAATTATGCTTGCTTGTCATTTTTGAAAAATTAAAGCAAAACAGAAAAATACAAGAAAGTTTTAAAAAATCCCACTACAGGCCGGGCGCGGTGGCTCACGCCTGTAATCCCAGCACTTTGGGAGGCCGAGGCTGGTGGATCACGAAGTCGGGTGATCAAGACCATCTTGGCTAACACTGTGAAACCCCGTCTCTACTAAACATAGAAAAAAAATTAGCTGGGCGTGGTGGCGGACGCCTGTAGTCCCAGCAACTGGGGAGGCTGAGGCAGGAGAATGGCGTGAACCCGGGAGGCGGAGCTTGCAGTGAGCCAAGATCACGCCACTGCACTTCAGCCCAGGCTACAGAGCGAGACTCCATCTCAAAAAAAAAAAAAAAAAAAAACCCACTGCAGAAAAAAACCCATTATTAATATTAAAGCAGGCATTATTCTCCATATTTTTCTCTTCATGTGGCAAAAAGAAATAAACATTAACTTATTATTTCTAAAATAATTACACATGTCCAAGTCTGGGTTCCCAGGAAGCAGATGTTAAGATGGAGTTTAGGGTGCAAGATAATTATAAGGAATCAACACACGACAAGAGAAAGGCGAGAAAGCAGTGTTGTGCAGAAAGAGAAGTCAAACTGTAGTACTGGCCCAGAAAATGCCTGAACCAACCCAGCAGAGAGCCCTGGGACATGTAATGTCTTTGGAGGGTCCTATATGGGTCCTTCAGACTCCTACTTTTTCATGGAATGCAGACTGTCCACAGAAAGGGTGTGACTCAGGCAAGGTGTCTTCATGCAGCTGACTTCCTTTTTCTCAGCTGGGCAGCAAGTTCTTCCTTGGGGAGGAACTGGACAGTATATCACCATGCCCACCATGGGTGGTGGTGAAGTCTGTGTCAGGCTTTATTGGCAGAAACATAGCTGAGAAACCCATTCCTCTAGTGGTGTTATCAAATCCAGGAATTAAAAACATCTACCAGAAGTAGCTTATGTAACATCCAGCAAAGTAAATTTAGACTTTCTTTCACATCTTTCCTCTAGTAAAACATTTGCTTTGATAACTTGATTACCTTGTGGTTTTAGAACACTAATCTTTGTTACTATGGCATATGGAAAATATTTAATCATCTACTAATTCCTTTTGTAAGCATTATTTGTACTACATGAAAGCATAGATTCAAACTTGGAAAAGGCCTGAGAGCTCATCTTGTTGAATTCCTGTACTTGATATCTGCAAATAATGGCTCATAGAGGTAAAGTAACTCCTCCAAATTTACCTGGTGGCAGAACCAGAGCAAAACTTGTCCTTTAATTCCTAATACATTACGTTGGCACAGAAGTAATTGTAGTCTTTGCCATTATTAATAAAAGTAATGGCAAGAAGAGCAATTATTTTGGCACCAACCTAATAATTGCTGTTTTATAAAATATGAAGTGTTATTTTTAAAAAAACTCCTTTAAAAGGGGGGAAATGATGAAAATATACCTCTGTATCATAATATCATAAAAATTTGCCTGCTAAATATATGACATTTCAGAGTTTATCATGATAGCTTTCGTTATAAGTACTGATTTGAATAGGCGATTAACAGAGAAACAAACCATCTTAGATGTGTTCTTAGATGAAAGAGATGAGATGAGCAGTCTGTGTGTTCAAAGAAATTTGGCAACATTTAAACCCTATAGAAGCTCAGAGTTTTCACAAATGATATTTCATATTCATTTCAAAGTATCATTGTTGAGCATTTTTAGGGAATTAGGATAAATTTGTTTTTATTTTTTATTTCCATAGCTTTAGGGGAACAAGTGGTTTTTGGTTACATAGATGAATCGTAAAATGATGACATCAGAGATTTTAGTGCACCCATCACTCAAGTAGTGGAAATTGTAGCCAATATATAGCTTTTTTAAAAATCTTTCACTCCCTTCTCACCTTCCCCACTTCTGAGTCTTCAATATCCATTATGCCACTCTGTATGCCTTTGCATACCCATAGCTTAGTTCCCCCTTGTAAGTGAGAACATATGGTGTTTGGTTTTTGATTACTGTGTTACTTTACTTTAGTTAGAATAATGCAAATGATTACTTATTCCTTATTAATGTCCTCTTCTTTTTGATATTGAAGTGTTTCCTTTAGTATTTCTTGTAGAACAAGTCTGCTGTTGATAAAATCCCACAGCTTTGTGTGTGTGTGTGTGTGGTCTGGGAAAGTATTTCTCCTTCATGCTTGAAGAATATTTTCACTGTATGTACTCTTCTAGGGTAAAAGCTTTTTCTCCAGCACTTTAAATATGCCATACCACTCTCTCCTGGCCTGTAAGGTTTCCACTGAAAAGTCTGTTGTCAGATATATTGGCATTCCATTGTATGTTGTTTGCTTCTTTTCTGTTGCTACTTTTAGGATTCTTTATTTACCCTCGATCTTTGGGAGTTTGATTATTAAATGCCTTAAAGTTGACTTCTTTGGTCTAAATCTGTTTGGTGTTCTATAGCCTTTTTATACTTATACTTGGATATTGATATCTTCCTTTAGGTTTGGGAACTTCTCTGTCATTATCTCTTTGAATAAACTTTCTGCCCCTATATCTTTCTCTACTGCCTCTATAAGGCAAATTACTCTTAGATTTGAACTTTTCAGGCTATTTTCTAGATCCTGTAGATGTACTTCATTGTTTTTTATTCTTTTTGGTTTCGTCTCCTCTGACTGTGTATTTTCAAACAGCCTGTCTTCATGCTCACCAATTCTTTCTTCTGCTTGATCAATTCTGCTAATTAAGACTGATGTGTTCTTCAGTATGCCAATTGCATTTCAGCTCCAGAATTTCTGCTTGATTCTTTTTAATTATTTCAATCTTTTTGTTAAATTTATCAGCTAGAATTCTGAATTCCTTCTCTGTGTTCTTTTTAATTTCTCTGAATTTCCTCAACACATTATTTTGAATTCTCTGTCTGATAGGTCACGTCACTGTTTCTCCAAGTCATATATCTGTCCTCTTGAATTTCTCTGAATTTCCTCAACACAACTATTTTGAATTCTCAGTCTGAAAGGTCACATATCTGTTTCTCCAGGATTGGTCCTTGGTGACTTACTTTGTTCATTTGGTGATGTCATGTTTTCCTGGATGGTACTGATGCTAGTAGATGCTTGATATTGTTAGGCTCTGTGTTCCCACGCAAACCTCATCTTGAATTGTAGTTCTCATAATCCTCATGTGTCATGGGAAAGACCTTGTGGGAGGCAATTGAGTCATGGGGGCAGTTACCCCCATGCAGTTCTCGTGATAGTGAGTGAGTTTCTCATGAGATTTGATGGTTTTATAAGGGGCTTTTCCTGCTTTGCTTGGCAGTTCTCTCTCCTGCTGCCATGTGAAGAAGGATGTCTTTGCTTCCCCTTCCACCATGATCATAAGTTTCTAGAGGCCTCCCCAGCCACGCAGAACTGTGAATCAATTAAACCTCTTTCATTTGTAAATTACTCAGTCTCAGCTATTTCTTCATAGCAGCATGAAAAAGAACTAATACAATGTTCTTTGGTGTCTGGGTATCGAAGAGTTAGGTATTTATTGTAGTCTTTGTAGTTTGGGCTTGCTTGTACCCATCCTTCTTGGGAAGACTTTCCAGATAATCAGAAGGACTTGAGCATTGTGATCCTAGCTGTGTCTGCTTTAGGGGAAACCTTATGCCCAGTAACACTATAGTGTTAGCCAAGTGAAAGACCAAGTCTTTCAGACTTGTAGAGGTACTGCCTTGATGGTCTTGGACAAGATCTAGAAGAATTCTTTGTATTACCAGGCAGAAACTCTTATTTTACTTCTTTACTTTCTCCCAAACAGAGTCTGCCTCTGTTATGAGCCCCCTGAAGCTAGGGATGGAGCGACAGAAGCACCCCCATGGCCACCAACACTGTGACTGCATTGTGTCAGACCTGAAGGCAGCACAACACTGGGTCTCATCCAAGGCCTGCTGTAATGACTCCCTGGCTACTGCCTGTGTTTGTTCAAGGCCTGGGGCTCTACAATCAGCAGACAGCAAAGCCAGCCAGGCCTATGTCCTTCCCTTCAGGGTGATGAGCTCCCCCAGGCCCCAAGTGGGTCCTAAGGTGCTATCTGGGAATCAGGGCCTAGAGTCAAAAACCTTAGAAGTCTGTCTGGTGTTCTGTTGTACTGTGGCTGGCACTTAATCCACAAGATTCAGTTTTTCTTACTCTTTCCTCCCCTTTCCAAAGGCAGACGAGGTTCACCCCATTGCCACTGTCACTACAGGCCCATGGGGAATACTGCCAGACTACTGCCAATGTTTTCTTAAGGCCTAAGTGCTCTTTAGTCAGCTTGTGGTGAATGCTGCCTGGCCTGTATCTCACCCTTCAGTGCAGTGGGCTCCTCTGCCGGCAGGTCCAGAAATGCCATCCAACAGTCAAGTCCTGGAATTGGGGAACCCAGGAGCACACTCAGCGCCCTACTCCCCTGTGGCTGAGCTGGCACCTAAGGTACAAGACAGTCCCTTTCACTTTTCCCTATGTTGCTTTCAAGCAGAAGGAGTCTAACCCCATAGCCACCACATCTGGGAGTGTGCTGAGTCTTACCTGAAGCCAGCAAGTCTTAGAGTCTCACCCAAGATCCTTGATATAATACCTGGGTATTGCTATTGGTTATTCAGGGGCCAAGGGCTCTTCAGTTAGCAGGTAATGAATCCTGCCAGGACTTGGTCCTTCCCTTTAAGGTAGCTGACTCCCTTCTGGCTCAGGGTGTGTCTAGAAATGTTTTCTAGGAGGCAGGGCCTGGAACAGGGGCCTTACAATTCTGACCAATGTCCTATCCTGCTGTGGCTGAGCTGGTATCCAATATGAAATACAAAATTGTATTAGTTTTCACACTGCTGATAAAGACATACCCAAGACTGGGCAATTTACAAAATAAAAAGGTTTAATTGGACTTACAGTTCCACATGGCTGGGGAAGCCTCACAACCCTGGCAGAAGGCAGGGAAGAGCAAGTCACATCTTACATGGATGGTGGCAGGCAAAGCGAACTTATGCAGGGGAACTCCTCTTTTTAAAACCATCAGATCTCATCAGACTCATTCACTATCACAAGAACTATCACAGGAAAGACCCACCCCCAAAATTCAATCACCTCTCACTGGGTTCTTCCAATGACATGTGGGAATTGTGGGAGTTATAATTCAAGATGAGATTTGGGTGGGGACACAGCCAAACTATATCAAAAGTCCTCTTTCCTCATCCCTCTCCTCTCCTCAATGGAAAGGAAAGAGTCTCTTTTGGAGCCATGAGCTGGACAGCGTTGTTAGGGGAGGAGTGATGCCAGCACTCCCTTACCGACCCCAACTGGTGTCTTTGTGGGTCACGTAGCCAGCAGTCCACTGTCTCTGGGCCCAGTTCGGCACTAAGACTCGCCTAAGAGTCCTTCAGACTACACTACATTTCAAGTTTATTTAGAGCCCCACAGCCCTTTAGTCCATGGTGGTGAGTTTTGTGGGAACTCAAGTTCTGACAGCTGGGATTCGCAATTCACTTCTGGCTAGGGCTGATTTAAATGCTCCCTCCATAGGGAATGTCAGCTGAGTTTGGTCTGGTTTTACTTTCTGCTATAACAGGACAGCACTGAGTTCATTGCCTCTCAAATTTTGGCATTGCCTCCTTTCTCTCTCCCCAGCACACAAAATCACTCTCCACACTACACCACTGCTGCCAGGGGATGGAGGATGGGTGGCATCAGTGATTCAAGACTGTTTGTTCTACCTCTTCAGTGTCTCTTCAAGTAATACAAAGTTAAAACCAGGTACTCTGAGTGCTTATCTGATTTTTGGTTCTTATGAAGGTACTTTTTTTGTGTAAATAGTTGTTAAGTTGGTGTCTCATTGGGGGAACAAACAGTGGAGTTTCTATTCAGCCATCTTGCTCCATTATCCATCTTTTGAGCTTTTAAATAAGAATTCTATAGATAGATATGTGAAAGAAATATTACGAAAAGCCAAGTCTTAATACTCATGTATTATGTCTTTTCATTTACAAAGTTGGGGGAAAAACCATAAAGAATATGTATATGATCTCTGAGATACACTGGTCTCAGCTTTAGGGTGGAGAGGTTATACAAACTTGACACCAAGCACTGAGTATTAGCAGAGACATAAGTTCCAATTTGTCTATCACCTTCTTTAAATAACACTGTCCCTTTAGATTTCTTGAACAACACGAACAATCTGAGACTAGTGTATCTCCATGCATCTTAGTGGGTTCTATGAATGCAGCATTCCCACAGCTGAGTTAAATACATTCCCCCCATAGCTCAGATTTTATATGAATATATTTCAGAATCTTCTCAGTATCTGCTCCCCATCACCATGACAACCAAGGGTATTTTCAGAGAAGTCAGCCAGTCACTAACATCTTCTCAGCTAATTTTGAGAGATGGGATTTCAGAATCTGTGAGAGCTGACACTAACTTGTAAGTACCAACACCTTCATGCCAATGTATAGTTAGTCAAGATTTTGGTTCCATGTATTAAAAACCCAACTCAGACTGGGCGCTGTGGCTCACACCTGTAATTCCTGCACTTTGGGAGGCCGAGGCAGGTGGATCACAAGGTCAGGAGATCGAGACCATCCTGGCCAACATGGTGAAACCCTGTCTCTACTAAAAATACAAAAATTAGCTGGGCGTGGTGGCATGTGCCTGTAATCCCAGCTACTGGGGGGATTGAGGCACGAGAATTGCTTGAATCCAGGAGGTGGAAGTTGCAGTGAGCTGAGATGGCACCACTGCAATCCAGCCTGTTAACAGAGTGAGACTCCATCTCAAAAACAAAAACAAAACAACTCAAGCCAGTTTAAGGCAAAGAAAGTAAATTTGTTGGTTCATGTGGCTGGAGAATCTAAGATATGAGGATGGCTTTAGTGGATCCTTTAAAGATGTCTCCATAAAACTACTCCCTTTCCTCCATCTTTCAGTTTTGCTTTTCTCCATAATGACCTCAATCTCATATAGGCCTTTAGCATCCCCAAAATATCCACTGGCAACTTTATACTTGCATATACTTACAGCTAGCAATCCAAGAGAATGGAGTGACACTTCTTCAAAACAAACTCTGGCACAAGTCCCAGGGTAATCTCCAATTGGCCTAGTCTGTGTCATGTGCCCCACAAACCTGGAGTTTTGGGTATGGTCAACACTGCCCACACAAACTGGACAAAGAATGAGAGAAGAATAATTCCAATAAGAGACATTGAGCATCAATAAAAAGTTTATAAGACAACCATATAGGTTAGGTTGTCTCTTACGAATGGTATGGCATCAAAACTAGAATTATGCAAAGTCTACATATCAATCAGAGGAAGGAAAAAGCATTTTAAGCCAAAAAAAGTGCAGGTTGAATGACAGAGGTTTGATCATTACATAATCCAGAATAATCTAATCACAGAATCCTAATATTATTGTAAGGGGTTTCACTCTATATATCCCCTGTAGCCACATGATTATTTATTGGGATTATACCATACTTTAATTTTCATTAGTCAGATTATGTTCTATTGAAACTTTAAGGAACCCACCAAAAACTTGCTGAAACAAAGGAGGGAATTTATTAGCTCATGTAACAGAAAAGTTAGGGCTAGGTTTCAGGCAGAACTAGGTGTAGGGGTCAAACATTGTCATTGGATCTTGTTTCTGTCTCTCCATATTTCAGCTCTACTTTGTCTATATTGACTTCAAAGAGTGCTGGTGCAGAAGCTTGTGATTCTTTGACTGTCACAAATTGAGCAATGCACCATTTTTAAACCAATCACTAGATCAGAGTGATATGGCACTTTGGCCAGCCTCAAGTTACAATCTCATCCTGGGAGCCAGGAATGGAGATCAATTTTGTTCAAACCACATTGACAGGGGTCAGAGATTGTACAAGGGAAAGTTAGGATGCAGTACCAAAAAAGGCAAAAGGAAGATATCCCGTATATAAATATCTTCTTCACATTTTGCAAATATATGCGATGTAGCATCCTGGAAATGACAGGAGAGGATGAGATCAAGGGTGTTGATAGAAAGATTTTGTAAGATGTGAGTAACTCTTCAACCACATAAAAACAGGAATCACTAAAGAAAACCAAAAACAGTGAAGTTACAACTTCTTGGTCACAATAACAACAACAACTAAAAGCTTTCAGCAAAATTTACACTAGAATCTTTGATTCCTGTAGCTCTCTCACTGAAATTTATTTACATCCTTGATTTTCTATTTCTTTCCATTTGTCTACAAATTCAGCTACTGCAGGTTTGTTCTCATGCCGTGGCTTCAGGCTTTGGTGTCCTCTCAGTCTTTCAAATCTTAATCTACTGGATCTTGTGATTCATCTTTATCTCTAGGAATCCTTTCATCCACACCTGTCTCTTTGCCTGAACTCCTTTGACATTTCAACCCTTCAACTCTACAAGTATTCTTAGGACTCCCTATCATCTCTCTCTTGTCTCCATCTACCTATGGGCAGTGGGAATCATTCTTCCTGGAACCCACATATTCTTCTCTTAAAAGTCAGAAAAGACTCAAAGTTTTGGTATTTTGGCATGTCACCCTTAGAAAAGAAGAAAGACACTTTTTTTGTCATGCACACAATGTACAGAGATGCAATGATATAGAGAATATTGAGGTAGCGAGAAGTTGGAAGCACTAATGTTATAAAGCCATCATCTTCACAGATACATAGGAGTAGGAAACAGATGCTTAGAGACATAAGGAACAGTTTGCAGAAACAGCTGTGGAGAATGAACTAGATCATCTTTCAAATAAATGAATAGATTGCTGAGCTATTGTGAGATCCCAGTTGAGGTCACATGACATGAAAGTATGTTACAGAAGGAATACATTGCATTTTTCTTCTCTTAGCCTTTGATAATATTTTAACTATTTGTTTGTTAGGCTTGTGAATAAATTCCATTAATTTTAACAAAAGTAGAATGGCACAAATACTTGCCGTCTGGGTTAGGAAAATCATCAATGAGTTAATAATAAATTGAGTCTAAAAATAAGTTTGTGATCTTCAAACATTTTTGATCACAAAGTTGTGTAGATAAAATAAAGATCTTTAACAAAGCTTTTTAAAAGAACCTGTAAGGTTATAATATTTACCTGTGGTCCTTCCTTCTTTATGTTCATAAGAACCACTTGAGGATTTTTTGTTGTTGTTGTTTGTTTGTTTGTTTTAAATGCAGAGTGGCAAAATTCAGCCCTAGAGATTCACTCAGGAAGTCAGTGTTGCAGGTATCAACTGTACATTATTCAAAGCACCCTAGGATTCTGTGATAGTTGATCCTTAGAAATACCAGCCTATACAAAGGGACAGGGGTGCAGTACCTGTCACTCTGTACAGTCCCTATGCTGGAATTGACCTTTTGTGTCATTTTTTCCAATTTTATCCTAATGTTGAAAGGTCAAATTTGCTCTTTTTTTTTTCATTTCACTGTGAAGCATTGCATATTTACTCATCTTGTAGGAGTGGAATATGGTCTGCAATAATTAGCAAAGTAGCCCGAATGGCAAACTGTATTAACAAAGGAATCAAAAGATGACAATGAGCAAAGCTAAAAGCCACAGGCATCACATTTTAATGGTCGGATGACACCAGGCCTCTGCTAACTGATTACATTTTCTAGTTATAGGATAGTAAGGAAATCCATCTTGAAAGATTGCCCAATTCCCACACAAGAATTTTCTAGAAGTGATAAGGTAATAGTAGAGGTAATGGCACATTTTTCATACAAGAGCTTATTATGATATACGTGACTCTTATAAAGCTGGGGATTCTGAGCTATAATTTAACAATGTAAGAAGGGGAAAAGCTGCAACTGTGATGAAACATTTGTTATGGACTAAGGATAATAGCTCAACTCACCTGTCTAATGTCTTGTTGAAAGAAATGTAGCCTGGATCAAAGTAACTTTTGATATTTTAGTTTGTGGAGCACAGAACAATCAGTAGAAAGCTGTACATTCTTCCTGCAGTGAGAAAGTAGTGGAATTTCAATTTCAAGTAGGAGGAAAGGAAAAGATATAATCTGGCTCATTTTTAAGGGGATGGACAATATTCATTCTACATAGTTTCTCAGCATGTGGATACTGGAGGGGTCCTCTTTGATATATCTAAAATCCAAAGTGAAGATAGGAAGTACAGGTGAGTACAAAGATGGGATGGGGTCACGTTAGGCAACAGAGGTAAGGTTGGGATGGAGTCAAGGTGGAAATAATGGAATTACATAATAGGCTGTTCCTCCCTTTCTCTCCTCATTCAAACAATTAAAACCCAATAGGAATTTCCTTTTCATTCAACTATTTATTTAACAGTTTTTAGTGAACTCCTATTATGTGCTGAGATTCATTAAGCTCTTATCCAAGAGAACTCATCCTTCCCTTTGCATTTTACAAATCAGAAAACTAAAATGCAGACAACAAAAATAGGACAAAATTTAATTTACTCTTAATACAATAAAGAGGGGAGCTGGAAAGGGAAAGAAGAAATTATCTTAATATGAAACATATATGACTTAAAGAACTATAAGGTTTATGGAGTGCTAAATACTTGAATAAATGTGAAGACATCATAAACGGAAAGGCAAAGACTGAATGATATAAAGATATCTGTTTTTTTCAAGATAATTATATAAGGTAATACAAATCCATTTAATATTCCAAGGATTTATATTTCTAGAAGTTGTTAAATGTTTTATAAAGTTCACGTGGAAAATAGGTGGGGAGGACATAGCTAAAAAATGAAGAAAGAAAGAACTAACCATCATGGTATCTAAGTTCAACAGACAGTAGAGTACATTAAAAACCAAAATAAGTGAAACAGAATAATGCTGATATGAGAAGAGAAAGTCTAAAGCAGCAGTCCCAACCTTTTTGGCACCAGAGACCACTTTCGTGGAAGACAATTTTTCCACGAAATAGGGAGCGGGGAATGGTTACATGATGATTACATTTATTGTGCACTTTATTTCTATTATTATTACATTGTGATATCTAATGAAATAAATTATACAATTCACCATAATGTAGAATCAGTGGAAGTCCTAAGCTTGTTTTCCTGCAACTAGATTGTCCTGTGTGGGGGTGATGAGAGACAGTAACAGATCATCGGACATTAGATTCTCATAAGGAGCGTGCAACCTATATCCTTTGCATATGCAGTTTACAGTAGGGTTCATGCTCCTATGAGAAGCTAATGCCACCGCTGATCTGACAGGAGGCAGATCTCAGCGCATGCAAGTGATGGGGAGTGGCTGTAAATACAGATGAAGCTTCTTTCACTTTCCCAGCATTCACCCCGTGCTGTGTGGCCTGGTTCCTAACAGGCCATAGACCCATACCAGTTCGTGGCCTGGGGTTTTGGGACCCCTGGTTTAAAAAACTATTATATAAGAAATAAATATACAATGAAATAGGTCCCATA
The DNA here is from genome assembly GCF_000001405.40 of Homo sapiens. Lineage (NCBI taxonomy): Eukaryota > Metazoa > Chordata > Mammalia > Primates > Hominidae > Homo > Homo sapiens. The sequence goes on along the minus strand of NC_000012.12, from coordinate 82,612,752 downwards.
AATAAACAAGAACAATAGTATTTCAATTAATATTTTATGCACATTTTTGATAAAATGTTTTAAATCACCCCATAATACATACAAATGTAAATTCCAGATGAATTAATAGTAATTGATTTTTTAAAATGTTACACTAAAAAAGAAATCAAACAATTGAATGTATATCAAATCTCTGAATGGAGTAGAAAGCTTTTCTAAGTTACAAGCAATTTAAAAAACAAAGAAAGCAATAATTTAATAGAATAATAAAATAACTTCATAGATTGTGTGTTAAAAACTAAAACTAAAATGAAAGCCAAAATAAAAAATATTTTTGACAAATGTGACAGAGGAAAAGTATTTTTTTAAGTCTAAAAATATTAAATCGATAAAAGAATTAGAAAAAATTTACCTGAGTAGATGATATTCAGAAAAACAAACACAGTAGATAATAGACAATTGTAAAGTAAATACTTAACATAATTCAATGACATACTACTATCATGTAATAAATTAGATTTTTTTAAAATTATAATACCTAGTTCCAGGTAAAAAAGGACCTCCCAAACAATACTATAATATAAGTATAATATAACAGTTTTTATTTCTTGAGTGGTTATCATACAGTGGTCTTTATGTGGATTTATAAATGTTATTGCATGTAATCCTCCCAGTCCTTGGGAGAAAACTTTCTTAGAGTGGTTAAGTAATTTGCCCATGTCACATAGCTGGAATTGATTTCAGAACTAATTTCAATATAACATGGGTCATATAACCCAATATAACCTGGGTTATACTGTTTTTAAATTAGTTTCCTTGTATGACTCAACAGTTTTCAAATGGCCATGCCCTTTAGATCAATAATTTTATTACTGGTCATTAATTCTAAAGAAATATTCCTAAAAATGGAAAAAAATGTATGCACAAAGCTGTCCATCTCAGTTTTGTTTGACAGTGAAAGATTATAAACAATCTTTATGAATGACTATAGGAGAATAGTTGTATAAAGTACATCAAATAAATGGAATATTACTCAACCATTAACACTGTGATGAAAAGCATAAATAATACCAAAAATGATTATAATATTGTGGAAAATGAAAAAAACAAAATGTAATTATATATAAAGTACAAACGTGTCAAAACCACTGTGAATATAAATGCAAAGAAAATTCATCAAAATATTAACTTTGTATTCAGATTGGTAGGGCTGCAAGTGCTGCTTTTTTTCTATCTTTTTCTTCCTATTTATAATGAGTTTTAGATTTCCTTTTACAAAACAAAATGTCATATAAAAGTATGTATGATCTACTACAGAACGTCTAAACTTGGCTATATATTTTAAGCAGATACCATTGCATGTCCCTTTTGAATTTTTGTTATTGCTATTTGAAAATATCAGTTTCATACCCTAGCTTTGGCTTTTCTCCATCCTTTGAACCCAAGCATATGTAATATACCTATTTATTGCTTGCACACATGTATGTCAATGAATTATCATCCCATAATTATTACCTAATATGATAGAGAGAGCCACAGATCAGCTGAGATTATGAGACAGTGGTGCAGCAATCTTAGCTTTCTCTATCTGGTACTACCCTATTTTATTCTGAGATCCTAAATTCAATAAAGATCACCTAAGAGCACAGCATAAAATAAATTCTTTCAGTGATTTTGGGATTTTTCAATTAAACAGAATGTCTGTGTGTGGTAATGTGTGGATTTTATGAATGAACTATGTAAAAACACACTTTCCAATAGATATTTGAGGAATTTGACATCACAGTAAAAGTCGAAGATTGTCATATTTGGTTCTAGATCTTGCTGACTCTCAGTCCTTCATTTGCTATTCTATACATTGTAGTGCACAGTGAAAATTCATTTACTTATTCCAGGTTAAGAATTGTGGTTATTAAGATGATGGCTTGAGCTACCTATCAATAAAAGTATTTCGTAAGTGGTGGAGATAAATTTTGTAATATACTCAATTGAACAGAACATTTTAAATACTTGAGAAGTGGTCATTCATAGCTATTTTGGGGACACTATTTTTATTCTTACCCACCCATGGATGGGGCCTGAGAAATATCTTCAAAGTAGCTATGAGCTAATTTACATTGTTTTAATTTTAATTAGTCCAATTCAGCAGAGCTTCATTAAAATAACAGAATATGAGAAATCCAGGATAAAACTGTTTATACTCCATTGTACACGCATGAGTGTGTATGACTGTGGTTATGATTGTGTTTGAGGATGTGTGTGCTCTCTTCCCTGATGTAGAATGGAACACTGATGGCACAAAGCATGGCTTGAGAGAATTTTACCTCCCTTCCGCATGTCCATCAAACCCTTTTCTATATTTTTATATGCATAATAGATGTTTTCTCAGTCTTATAAGATATTCCATACAAATGCAGCTTTACATTCCATCTTACCTCTTTCTACAGCTAGATGGACAACCCTAAGACTCAATAAAAGTTCTGGAGCTGCCACTACCAGGGAGGTTAAGGGTCTCTGGGGACTTTCTTGCAGAGAACCCTTCCTTCTATCACCTTTTCCTGGATACTGGATAGACATGAGTATTCCATAGATACATTGTATGGGTAAGCATTTTACTACAAAACTTTCAGTGTGAAAGAAATCGAATTAAATTTTACTCTGAAACTCTGTCCTGCCAGAATGGTCAAGAGTGCAAATCACTATTAATTTTGGGGTTGAGGTGGAGTAGAGCTTCTCTTTCTTGGGATCCATAAAACTTCAATAACTTTATATAATATCCCCAAAATGAAAGGGTCTGCTTCAGTTCGTCACGTTCTCCACTGATTATATTCATCCATTCAACAAATATTGAGAACTTAATAATGGGCAGGCATTTTTCCAGGGACTAGGGACACTCAATGAGTTGGACATCACCATGCAGGCTCACACGGACATGTGGAGGCAGGCAGCTCTGTGATTCTGTGGCTCCAATGCTAAGTTTGAGCATTGATGAGTTTGCTGATGCTTTGTGTCACAGGCCCAAGGAACAGCTTCTCCAAGTCTGCTCTGTAGCCCTTCCCCTTTCAGGTCTTGTTAACTGCAGTCATCTCTGACACTGGCTCTTACTTTCTCTGTCCCTCTTTACTCTCTTTCCTTCTCTATGTATACTAAAAGCACTCTCCACTTCTCTCTTTCTTCAATATATTTTCCCCAGAAAACCACAGGCCAGAAACCAGGTTGTCTGTAAGCAACTTTTGTTTTTTGTCCTCTAACACAAACCTCCTTTCTGGCAAGCTGGCACAAAGATCTGGCTTGGAAAAAAAGTATATGGGGGAAAGAGCATGGAAAGAGAAGTAAACACAGGTGTGTATGTCAATAAAATACCTTGCGTGAAGTGTGGTGAAGTCCTAGAGAGGCTTGACTTTCCCAAGGCCAGTTCATGTTTAGTTTTCCAGAGATTTTTATTAAACAAGCTCAGTCTGATCCTTTATGAAATTGAGTATAAATTTATTTTTGAAATAGGTCAAAGGATTTAAGGTCAGAGCCCATGGGTTCTAACATTTATAGGATTCTGGATCTTATTTCTGTATTGGATCCAAAGTGAAAATAGAGAACCAGAAACATTCTGGGATTTTTAAATCTATTTTTCTTTTGAAAGCTTCCTATTTCCTTTATTCTTTGCCAATTCTCAATTACCCAGATACAATTATTTTGAGATTGATGCTACTGGTAGAGAATAATAGTTATAGTTACTTATGTAAAAGAAAAATCATATCTACTTCATTTGTATCTCCAGTAGGAAGAGAATATTCAGTCACTGGGATAAAGTAAGAGCAAATAAATCAAAGGGAATTTCAGGAATGCATCATACCCAGAGCATTCTGTGACAGCTCAGCTCTTTTACAATCAAAGCTAAATTTTGCGGTTTTTGAAGCCAGCCCTTATTTGAGAGTCTAAACATCAATGAGTTGATGTAAGAGGGAATATAATTTGGTCTTAGAATGGTATATAAATAGCAGTGCAGATAAATGAGGGGTACAAACTATAATTTGCACAATTTTCTAAATCATTTTCACAGCAAGTTTCATGGAAAATAGCATTTAACTTTGACTTTGGTCAGCTTTGGCATTTCTGTACTTGAGGGTGACTATTGATTACTTGAATACTAAACTATTTTCACTCTTTTTCTACAGTCCGCTTTTTGCTAGTTCCTGGTTCAGAAGGAAGCCTTGTGAATGGGATGGTGATCCCTTTATGATAAATAATGTATTCCTGCACTTTATCTAGTCCCTACCATCATTGCCCCAAAACAGTTCTCTGTCTTGTTACCAGGATATGCCCTTTCCTACATATCTGGATTTCCTTGGTAGGAATCCAGATTTCATTTCAAGTATTAGACAGTGCAAGAATAATACATAAAAACATAACAAATATGCTTTAATGCAAGTTGGCCAAGCGATTTGGTAAGATTTATTACCCTCAAAGGCAAATGTTTAAGTGGTCTCCTTTAAAATAGAGTTTCTATAGAAACTTTTAGTTTTGGAATATTTGTATATTACATATATTTACATCCAGCTGGATATGGGCATAAGGAGAAGACTCATAACTTCATCTCTGCTATGGTGGCTGGAAACAAAAGGTGGGGTGGGATGGCTGATCTGGTCTTCTACAAATATAGGAGTGGAATAGGTGCTCCAGATCAGAAGTAATGGTAACCCTATTTCCAGGGAATTATTTTTGAGGCTCAATTTTTGCTCAAAAATTGAGCAAAAATTTTTGAGTAGAGTATTTCTTAAGTTTTAGTAATACTACTGGAAATGTTTTACATTTCTAAGTGATTTAACTAATATTTCTGCATCACACATTTGCCAGGCCTGCTTCCTCAAACTGTTTGTAGAAAGGAAGAAAGAAGAAAGTATGGGGTGAGAGGCAAGAAAAAGAGGACCCAAAGTCATGAAATGTATCCAATGCAATAAACTTTTCTAGGTATTTTCATAAGGCATCAATCATATATAGATCTATATAATTTGAGGCTCAATTTATGATATTATTTATATTTGTAGTAACTTATTTGAATCTGAGAGCCTCAATATCACACAAGAGCCTGAAATATTAATTTACACGTATAAGCACATTAATCAGTCTCAATGTCAAAATGACCCAGAGTGAGTGGATACAATGAAAGTGAAATGAATCAGACTTTCCTTTTCAAAATCATTCTTAATAATTAAAAACACTCACTTCTCTACGAAAAAAAATCCAGTTCTTTGCAAAATTTGAAATGCATAATATAAGCTTTTGCATCCAAGACATGACAGTGCTTATCTCTTACCACAATAATAAAACTATATGTGAGTTCTTTCTATGTACCAGTGATTATGCTAATATCTGTACCAATATTCCCTTCATTATTACATCTTGAGATAGATACAGTCTCCTTCAATTTAGAAGAAGAAGTTGTGATTAGCTAAGGCCTAATGAGTGTTATGCTGTAGTCTAAGATTCTAATCTAGGGCTGCCTAACTTCAAAGTCCGTGCTCTTACATTAGGAATCTTATAGCTTTAATAGGAATATAACATTGACACTAGACATGAAAAAATCATGTTTGAAAGAGAAAGCATCTAGAACCTTGTGCATCTATCACTTACTAAGGGTAAACTAATCACAGATCAAGTTCAAGGAAAGGAAGCATTCAGGAGATGGTCAGCCACCCAAAACCAGGCAAAAACACAAAGGCAAATACAAAGGCAAAAACACAGAAATGGAAAACATGGTGAAGTGAAGGTACTGTGGGAAAGTAACTTTAAGAGATGGGACATTTATATCTGACATCTAAGCCGGTAAGAAACATAAAAAGACAAAATTAATTAACTTTAAAAACATTGAGTGCATCCTATGTGCTAGGAGAGAGGCATGTGCCAGGGATATAGTAATGAGTCTTAGAGAAAAATGAGATACGATATCAGTTAGGATTCCTTTGGTTGCAAGTAGTGGAATACTTGACCCAAACCAGTTCAAGCAAAAAGTGATGATACTGAGATCTTAACTGAAATAATTGGGCTGTTCAAGGGGCCATCCAGTTTCAGGCATGGCTTGAGTTGGAACTCAATGCCACTAGAGAGTCACCTAAGTCCAGCCCCTAGCGATTTTTTTCTTTTCTTTCTTTTTTCTTTTCTTTTTATTTTGAGATGGAATGTTACTCTGTTGCCCAGGCTGCAACCCCTGCCTCCCGAGTTCAACTGATTCTCCTACCTCAGCCTCCTGAGTAGCTGGGATTACAGGCACATGCAATCATGCCTGGCTAATTTTTATATTTTTAGTAGAGACAGGGTTTCACCATGATGGTCAGGCTGGTCTTGAATTCCTGACCTCAAGCAATCCACCTGCCTTGGCCTCCCAAACTGCTTGGATTATAGGCATGAGCCACCGCGCCTGGCCTCTCTTAGCGATTTCATGTTTACATTTGGTTCTACTTTATCCTCTGGGTGAGAGGTTGAGAGAAACTAATGTTAAATAAGGACAAACGTTCTGGAATTGAACCTTATTGGTTCTGATTTGCCTGGCTTGAGTGTAATCATCCATGAAGCAATCACTGTGACTAAGGGGATACAATGCACAGATTGAATTAGCCTAAAGCAGGTGCTCTAGTCTTGGAGCCTACAGGTCGTGGAGTTAGCACCCATGCCAAATAAGTGTAAATGGACAAACCAAAATTGGGATCCTAATGTCAAATGAGGAAGGAATGGACCCTAGGTGATGAAAACAAATATTGCATCTAAAAGCCAAATGAAAATAGGACAGACAAGTGGGAGAATAAAAATAAACAGCAGTGGTAAAAATTTAAAAACTGGAGCTGATTCTAAAATAAATGTCGAAAAAGAAAAACAAAGTAGATAATTTTTGGAAATGGTAAGGACTAGTGACCAGAGAATTGGGTATTGAGGATGTGTGAAAGACAGAGGAAAGGTAAAGGTAGGGATGAATAAATAAATGTTAATAATAAGATTATTTAATCTGATAGGATTGTTAAACACTATTATTAAAGTAGCTTCATAATAGTTCAGTAGATTTTAAAATATATAGTAATAATAAGGTCACTTCATGGGGAAGATCCCAACTTCAAACTATCTATTATGGTTCATTGATGTTTTTCCAACAGTGCTCTAAGACAAGAGTTGGCACACTTTTTTCGTAGAAGGCCAGATAGTAAATATATTAGGTTTTGCTGGCCATGTGGTCTCTACTACTCAACTCTGCCATTGTAGTACAAAAACTGCCACAGGTGATATATAAATAAATGAGTATGGCTGTATTCCAATAAAACTGTATTTATAGATGCTGAAATTTTAATTTCATATTTTTCACATCTCAGGAAATATTCTTTTAGGACTTTTGCAATCATTGAAAAGGTAAAAACAATTCTGGGTTTCAGAGTGGTTTAAAAAAGAGGAAATGGGTCAGATTTGGCCTGTGCACCTTGTCATAGTTTGCTTACTCTGTTCTAAAATAATCAGTTACATGTTTCCAGAAGATTACCTAGAAAATGTGAAAGAATCATTGAAAGGAAAGAGGCAGTAAGGAAAGCTATTGCTTTCCATTAGACCATTGCACTAATCCAGGTTGAAGTAAGTTTGATATAGATGTGTTGAAAGTCTTGGTTGAGAAAGGAAAACTAACTAGATGACAAATTAAACTTTGTTATAGAGAGTTAGGCGCATCAAAGAAATAACCTGGAGTGATTAGGTAGAGAGTTGTATTAAAGCTGGTGATTCAAGCAGGGGAAGAAATGAGTAATACAACCCATGGAGGTAGAATGTATTCCCTTGGACTTGAGGGATGTAGTTGGGGGTCAGTTCAGTGATGGCAGTACTAGAACCTCAGAATGGAAATGGAGGGACAGTGCCACAGATGCTCAGGGTCTGTGATTGTGCTTGGCATATTTGGATGCTTTTGGGGGAGATGGTTTTTCACTTCTCTTGAGTTACTTGGAAAATAAGCATTTCAGTGATACACATTATGGACTGTCTTAGTTTTGTTTGTGCTGCTATAACAAATACTTGAGATTGGGTAATTTATAAATAATGGAAATTTATTTCTCACAGTTCTGGAGGTTGGGAAGCCCAAGATCAAGGTACCAGCCAGTCTGGTGCCTGACAGCCAGGTCTCTGCTTCCAAGATGGCACCTTGAATGCCGTGTCCTCATGTGGCGGAAGGTAAAAGGGCAAAAGTGCCAAAGGCTGTGTGAAGCCTCTTTTATTTTATTTTACTCATTATTTTCAACTTTTGTTTTAGATTCAGGGAGTACATGTGCAGTTTTGTTGCCTGGGTATATTGCATGATGCTGAGGTTTGGGGTATGAATGATTCTGTCACCCAGGCACTGAGCATAGTACCCAGAGTTAGTTTTTCAACTCTTTACTCCCTCCCTTCCTGCCTCCTCTAGTAGTTCCTGATGTCTATTGTTGCCAACTTTATGGCCATGAGTACCCAATGTTTAGCCTCCACTTATAAGTAAGAACGTACAGTATTTGGTTTTCTGTTTGTGTGTTAATTTGATTAGGATAATGGCATCCAGCTGCATCCATATTGCAGCAAAGGACATTATTTCTCTTTTTAAAAATAGCAGAATGGAATTCTGCAGTGTATATATGCCACATTTTCTTTATTCAGTCCACCATGGATGGGCACCTAGGTTGATTCCATGTCCTTGCTATTGTGAATAGTGTTGGGATGAACATGTGAGTGCATATATCTTTTTGGTAGAATGGTTTGTTTTCTTTTGGGTATATACCCAGTAATGGGATTGCTTGGTTGAATGGTATTTCTGTTTTAAATTATTTGAGATATCTCCAAACCACCTTCCACAGCAGCTGAACTAATTTACATTCCCACCAACAGAGTATAAGTGTTCCCTTTTCTCTGTAGCTGCATCAACATCTGTTGTTTTTTCTTTTTAATAATAGTCATTTTGATGAGTGTGAGATGGTATCTCATTGTGGTTTTGATTTGCATTTCTCTGGTGATTTGTGATGTGAAACACTTTTTCATATGTTTGTTGGCCACTTGCATGTCTTCTTTTGAGAAGTGTCTGTTCATGTCTTTTGCCAATTTTTTAAATGGGGTTTATTTTTTGCCTGTTCAATTGTTTAAGTTCCTCATAGATTCTAGATATTAGACCTCTGTTGGATGCATATTTTGTGAATATTTTCTGTTATTCTGTAGGCTGTTTATTTCTGCCATTCTGTAAGCTGTTTATTTCCCAAGGCCAATGTCTAGAATGGTGTCTCCTAGGTTTTCTTGTCAGTTTCTTATAGTTTGAGGTCTTACATTTAAATCTTTAATCCATCTTGAGTTTATTTTGTATATGGTGAAAGGTAGGAGTACAGTTTCATTCTTCTGTATATGGCTTGCCAGCTGTCCCAGCACCATTTACTGAATTATTTTTGTTGACTTTGTTGAAGATCAGATGCTTGTGAGTGTGTGGCTTTATTTCTGTGTTCTCTATTCTGTTCCACTGGTGTGCGTGTCTGTTTTTGTACTAGTACCATGCTGTGTTTTGGTTACTGTAACCTTTGAGTTTGAAGCCAAGTAATGTGATTCTTCTGGCTTTGTTCTTTTCACTTAGGATTCCTTTGCGGTTTGGCTCTTTTTTGGCTCCATATGAATTTTAGAATAATTTTTTTTTGAGATGGAGTCTTGCTCTGTCACAATGCTGGAGTGCAGTGCATGATCTTGGTTCACTGTAACCTCCACCTCCCAGGTTCAAGCGATTCTCCTGCCTCAGCCTCCCGAGTAGCTAGGACTACAGGCGCATGCCACCACACCCAGCTAATTTTTGTATTTTCTGTAGAAACAGGATTTCACCATGTTGGCCAGGATGGTCTCCATCTCCAGACCTCATGATCCACCTGCCTTTGCCTCCCAAAGTGCTGGGATTATAGGCATGAGCCACCGCACCTGGCTGAATTTTAGAATAATTTTTTTACAATTCTGCGAAAAATGACATTGGTAGTTTAATAGGAGTAGCATTGAATCTATAGATTGCTTTGGGCAGTTTGTCCATTTTAACAATATTGATTCTTCCAATGCATGAGCATAGAATGTTTTTTCCATTTGTTTGTGTTATCTGTGATTTCTTTTAGCAGTGTTTTGTAGTTCTGCTTGTAGAGATCATTCAGCTCCTTGGTTAGACATATTCATAGGGTTTTTTTTTTTGTAGCTATTTGTAAATGGGATTCCATTCTTGATTTGGCTCTCAACATGAATGTTATTGATGTATAGAAATGATAGTGATTTTTGTAAATTTATTTTTTATGCTGAAATCTTGCTAAAATTATTTCAGTTCTAATAGTCTTTTGTCGGAGTGTTTAGGGTTTTCTCAGTATAGAATCATACAGTCAGTGAAGAGAGATAGTTTGACTTCTCCTTCTCCTGTTTGAATGCCTTTTATTTCTTTTTCTTGCCTAATTCCTCTGGCTAGCACTTTCAGTACTATACTGAATAGGAATGGTAAGAGTGGATATCCTTGTCTTGTCCCAGTTCTTAAGTGGAATGTGAGGCCTCTTTTATAAAGGCCTCAATCCTATTCACAAGCAAAAAGCCCTCATGGTCTAACCACCTCCTAACAGCCCTGCCTCTTAATATTATTGCATTGGAAATAAAGTTTCAATATGAATTTTGGAGGGAGACATAATCATTCAAACCATAGGATGGACTAAAGACTGAAAGTCTTCCTTTTTTCTGTATTTTACAAGCTCCTGTGTTCTTTAATAATCTTGAGGAAACAGGAAGCATCTTTTGGAAAAAAACTGAGTTGGACTTTCTGTTATTAGGATGGGTACATATTGAGCAGATCAAATTTCAGGCAATTTCTTCCCCTGAATTCTAATGTTATAGGCAAATGTATACCAATAACTAATAGGATATTTAAATTTTTGCTAAGAAATATTTTAATTTAGAGATGACATTGTATCTCTGCATTGATTTTAGGTAGTTATAATATACTAGAGGGTAATCAGATTTTATCCTTAACCAAGTCACAAACTCCAACTACATATAGCAACAAAGAAGCAGTCATGTCTTCTTGAAACTTCAGACACTGTGTATAATGTGAGAAAGTAAAGGTACATAGCTTGACATAAACATGACCCCTCCTGGAAGAAGAAACTCCAAGCATGGGTCCTTCACCCTTTGAAACAGAAGAGAATCCATCCATGTGAAGTGCAATCTGTGAAGCATTTATATATGAAGCATAGCATTGTCAGTGCACAATGAATGTAGAGTTTCTTTGTAAGATAATTTATCAAATAGAAAAGAATTTATAGGCATGATGCCAGTGAATTCTTGCTGTAGTGCATTTGTAACTTTTATTCCATTTGCAGTATTCAATTTATATTAAAGTTAAATTTAATAGGCTTTATACAAAGAAGTTATTTCTAAGACATTTTTCAAAGGGTCTGTTCAATGAAGTATTGCTAATGGTCACTTAATCATCCAACTAAGGCACAGATAAAGCACTATGGGAAGTAAAATGGTGTGTGCAAAGCTATTCTATTTACATAAGCAATGGAAAGAAAATGGAAGTCTTAAGTATCCTCACTGAGCTCTCTACCACGATTATTATTCCTCTTTATTTTTTCTTCCCCAATTTTACTAACATATACACTTTTATCATCTTGGGTAATGTCTGTTTAAGAGGAGAAAGAATCATTTGGATTAATGTATTTATTTCCCCTGTACTTGGAATTTTCTTATTCCTTTATTTTTTTGTTTGAAAATAGTTAATGAGTACCTATTAAATACCAGACATTAAACTAGATGTTTGGGAAACAAAGATAAAAAAGACAAAATCATAGTCTAAAGCAGTTGTTCTCATAAGGTGGTCAAGGACAAATATCATTAGCATCAGCCTAGAACTTGTTAGAAATGCAAATACTCAGGCTTCCCATTTCACCCAATAATATGTGTTTTAACAGCTCCTCCAGTGTAGGTGATTCTCTTCTACACTCAGTTTTGGGAACCACTTATCTAACAAAAGAAAGACATGCAATTATAGTTGCAAAACATTTTAACAAGGTGAATAAGAGTTATGTATAAATTCCTATTGGAATGGAGAGGAGGAAGCTTCTAACCTCTTCTATATTTAGTATAGAAAATACATGCTCTATCTAAGATGCACATATGTTCTTGGCATCCTTCCCATGCAAAAAACACTTCATTGCTCTCTATTGCTTTCAGAATAAAGTCCAGGATTCCTAGCATGCCATTTGAGAGTTTCCAGGCTTTAGCCTCTGCCTGTTCTCTAGCCTCATCTCTTGCCACTCCATCAACTTTATACAGTTTGTAGCACTCAAACACACTATACTATTTTCATCTTTATTCTGCCTACAGTATCTTTACTTCAGATGTATTCACAACATTGTACAACATTATGACTCCACTAAGGAGTAATCTGCTAAGGGAAGTCTTTCCTAACTCTTCCCTATGGTTGTCTCAGCTTGTCTTCATGTGTTTGGGCTGCTGTAACGAAAATGCCGTAAGTTGGGTGGCTTACAAATAACAGAAATTTATTTCTTACAGTTTTAGTGGTTAGGAAGTTCAAGATCAATGCATCAATGCAACTGTGTGGATTTGACATCTGGTGACACCCCATTCCTCAAAGATGGTACCCTCTATGTGTCCCCACATGACTGAAGGGATGAACAAGCTCTCTTAAGCCTCTTTTATAAGGGCACTAATCCTATTAATGAGAGCCCTCATAATTTATCACCTGCTAATGGCTCCACCTTTTAATACCAACAGATTGAGGATTATGTTTCAACATATGAATTTTCAAGGGACACAAACTTCAATTATAGCACAGCTCACCTGTATAAAATTACATCATGGAATTCATTACCATTACATTGCTTCTCAGCATATCTGTCCATCTCTGACAAGTAATTGTTAGTTGCTGCAAAGAAGAAAGTTTAGTGTACCTTTTTATGTTCTTAATACCCATGCAATGTCTGGGACTGAATGGAAGTACAGAGAGTTTGCTGAGTATATTTTAAGAAAGGAGTATATTTCTTTTATGAGAAGTTTCTGTATTACATGGTTAGACTTTCGGGTGTATTCCTTTCCTTCAACTCCAGAATTATTTAGCCAGTCTATTGTGTTTAAAATTTCCTCTGATTTTCACACTTTTGAATTATGAAAAATTGTTGGAAAATGTTTTAAAATGAGAATTTCAAATATGCTAATTGATATTAATGGTAAACATATTTATAACTTTTGTAATTTTATGTGGATATCTGAAAAAATGCTTTACTCTCAGTCGTCAGAAGACATTGCCCAGAATAGAGGCTCGTCTCTCTGTAAAGGACATTATTAAGTGATTGCTCGCCATCTTGTCATGTTACACCAACTTTATCATTCTGTGCAAGGCTATATATATATATATACACATATATATATACACACACATATATATATATACACATATATATATACACATACATATATATATACACATATATTCTGAGATGGAATTTTGCTCTTGTTGCCCAGGCTGGAGCATGCAATCTCAGCTCACCACAACCTTTGCCTCCTAGGTTCAAGCGATTCTCCTGCCTCAGCCTCCTGAGTAGCTGGGATTACAAGCATACACCATCATGCCTGGCTAATTTTGTATTTTTAGTGGAGATGCTGTTTCTCCATGTTGGTCAGGCTGGTCTCTAACTCCTGACCTCAGGTCATCCACCAGCCTCAGCCTCCCAAAGAGCTGGGATTACAGGAGTGAGCCACCACACCTGGCCAACACTTTGTCTTAATCATTCTTCTTAAACATTTATTCAAAGGTTTAATGGACACCTATTATGTGCTAGGTGCTAGAATTAGAGTGATATAATGTAAATACCACTTATTGAGAATTTTGATAGACATTGAGAATACTGCATACATATTATTGATGCTAATTCTAACTATAACCCATGAAGTAGGAACCATTATAGTTTTACGAGAAGAGAGATTAAATAATTTGCTTAAGGTCACATGCCTAGTAAATTACAGAGCCCCAGAAATGAACTCAGATTGCCCTGATGTTATTATCTAATAACGTTCTTATTGGTCTCCTTCTGAGCTTCATGCTACCTGTTGGTTAGATATATTTAACTTCATTTTATATATCTTTCTTTCATAGATGTCATTGTCATCACATATGAAATTTTGGATGCCTAGCAATCAATCTCACTTTAGATTGGAAACTTTTAGAGGTAGACACCATTTATTCCTAGATCCTTCGTACAAAGGATCTATATTGCTCTGCTGTTTTATGTGTAAACAGTGCCTTTTAAAGAAGTTTAGATTATCAGATACTGCAAATTGCTTCAATTCAATTTTCACACCATTCATTCATTGCAAAAATGTTGATTAAACATCTATTATGTATGAGATACGTTTAGGCCCTGGAGCTATACAGAGAAGGAGATAAAGTTTTTCTCCTTGGAGAGATTATATCAAATAGACAAAGAGAGACAGATAAACAGGTAATTACTATACAGAGTGATAAGTGTACAGAGAACTGTGGATATACAATTGAAGGACACATTATGACCTAGACTTGGGGCTTGAGGAAGAGTTACAAATGAATTCTTAGAAAAATAATAAACCAAATACCTGAAAGTCCTGAAGAACCAGTGGAAGTTATGCTAGGGGAGGAGAAGACTGTTCTGTGTAGATGGAATTGTTTAGACAAAAATCTGGAGGCCAAAGTTTACATTCACAGTACATGTCAGAAAAGGAAAGATAGAAGCTTAGGGTGGAGGTCTTTCGTTTTACAATGACTTCAGACCCTGTCCTGATAAAAATAGGAAATTGGTGAAGGGATTTAAATAGAACAGTAGCAGATCTGAATTTTGCAAAAGTTCCTTTGGTTGCTGTATGGAAAATCAAGTGGATAAAATAAATAATAGAAGCAAGGAAATACATGAAGTGGCTGTGACCCAAATTCAGCAGCACATAATGGTGAACTAGAGTGGAGGCATTGGTTTCAAGAGAAATGTGTAGACTAAAAAGGTATCTTTAAGAAGTAGAATGGATAGGACTTTGTGATAGATTGTAGGTGGCAGAGGAATCCAAGGGAGATATCAGAGATAACATTCTGGTTTCTGACTTGGACAGCTTTCACTAGGCTAGGGAATTCAGGGTATGAATGCTCTTTAGAGAGGAAGATAATGAGTTCTGGTTTTGACAGGTTGAAGTTAGTAAAAAAAATCTTAGTGTAGGTTGGGACTCTACTGATCATGAAGAGATTTGCAGATAAAGAAGCTAACTATTAGAAATGAACTGACTACAGTGTGTCAAATGGTTTTGTAAAACTGAAATTATTATCTTAGATTAATTCTTTTTGAGTTTAGTGTAAAGCAGAAGTTCAAATTTCCTCATAACTCCTAAAAATACTAAATGCATATTTTGATGTGATGCAAAGTAACTATTTAAACTTAGTTTCAATTGGCATAATTCCAGCCACTAAGATTCTATAATTGGAAACAGATATCCTCACAGATCTTCAATTCATCAGCCATCCCACAGGTACCACTGAACATATAGTTTCTTAATATTTCAAAATTCCTGAGCTCAAATTTTAATTTTTATTGGAATTCAGATTATTGAAATGAATCCTACATCATAAACTCTAGCACAATATTTTTGGGTGTTTTCATTAATTGAAACATATAATTGATTGAGGAAAGAATAATAAATGTGCTCATAAGATTTCAGAAGGTAGTTTTTTTTTTTTTTTGCTTAGCTTCACAAAGCCTTATCTCAGAGGAATTCATCCTCCTCATTATATTACCTTGATAAAACTAGTAAGAAAGAGCTCATCACCAGTTAATGGGAAATGTCATTGAATCATCAGCATCTAGTAGGTCGTATTATAATTTACTTTAGTCAACTTGTGATATATTAGGCTTTTTTTCTATTAACTAGCTGACAATAAATGCAGCGTTTAAATTTTGAAGCTGATTCTGTATTTTATGCCATTGTGAATACAAGAGTGCTTTCCTAGGTATGTAAAGAGCTTCTACCAGCTGGTGGTGGTGAATCAACACACTTCAGCTGGGCACCCAGAGAGAAGTATGCTATTGTTAGACTGTTGACCCAGGTTTCTATGGCCATAGAATTGCCCACCTAGAGATCACATCAGCATGCATGGTATCAAATAGTGGAACATGAATAGAGTCAAATAATCTGTCATAAGTACAATCAGTCTGATGAAAATGATCTGGCTCAAATCCCTGAACAAAGACTGTGCCACTGAAAAATTCAATTGAAGCATATGTTTTGCAGGTCTGAAATAAAAATTCATTCACTCCACAGTAAAAATAACACTTGGGGAACTTTGTATTCATCTGGCAGAATCATTTAGATTAAAGCAACCATAAGTGAAAAGCACAACACCTAGCAAACGCCATTGAATCTGACATCTTTCTAGGTTTCATCAGAGTCTTTTACAGCCCTTTTTCCTTGCTAGCTAGATCAACCTGATTCTAAAAAATGCAGTAGAGAAACAAAGTAACATAATCAGAGATGGTATTATAAGGTCTATTAACAAAGCAGCTCAGTCATATCAGCTGAAGGGAAACAGCTGTGGATGCTGAAACCCTTAATACATTAACCCTTGTGTTGCTATTTATAAGAACCCTCTGTCTGTCATCATGCCTGTTGTGTCTGTCATTTGCACCTGGTATGAGGGTCTTATGGAACAATCATATATCATTTACATGCAGTCAAGAGCCAATGCATTGTAGAATCATTATTCCTAAATGCTGAACTCCTTTGAATTTAAAGAAAAAAATGCATGAGTACATAATTAAATTGATAATACATTACATCGAAATTCATTACCTGGAAGATATGCATAACTTAAAAAAATTTTTTTTGAGTTCCTGTGTTTTTTGAATGGAGATCCTTAATTAATCCTATTCATTGTCAAGTTTAACCATGATTTAGGATGTCATTCAAATGCATGTTCCTGCTCAAAATGAAAACTGTCAATCAACTTAAATATATACATTTATATATATATATATACACATATATATATATATATATATTTCACTTTTCTCCATCACCATGATGGTCTTCATTTTCTCAGAAAAAAAAAGAAATCATTCTGTTCTTTCTTTAGAGCGATGTCTCTAACAAGGCAATTGCCTAGTCAAAGAATTGAAAAGCTCTTTGGACAATGTGAAAACTTTCCACTTAACCACAGACAATTGTGTTTTCTTTTCTTGAGTTTTTGCTTACCAGTAGCAAATGTCTATGGTTACTAGGAATGTGTTATTGTTTTCCAGAAGGCCTGACCTCTACCTAAATTTGGATTTGACGTATCCAAAGTTCAACCAAATAGAGAGGGGGAAGATGATCACTGAAGTCACCAAAAGCGTAATATATCATGGAGAATTTTAGCTGCTTCTGCCCCTCGCAACTCATGAAAACACACTAGCACCAAGCAAAAGAATTATTTTAGAATATGCTTAGGATAAGAACCTCTCTTATTTAAATAAAATGACCTGAGGATTCCATTATCTCAAAATGGATCTACTCAAATTACAATGCATGTTTTTGACTATTTGTGTAACTATGGAAAACCGAAGTAAAGGCATTGGTGCAAGCTGCGGATTGGCTCAACTGAAATGCCTTCCAACACCAAAGAGCATGCAGAAGCTCACACATTTCTTAGACTACCTTGCAGTTAGGGTTTCATGTATGACTGAAGTTTCACCAACTAGATGATCTCAAGCAAAACTTTGAGTCAGGAATTTGTTCTATGAAAAGAGAAGCAATTTGGAAATAGCCACTTTGAAGGTATAGAACATGGCAGAAGTGGCTGGTTCTGAAGGTGACAGCTGTAGGGCAGCTTCCTAGTTTAGCAAATAAAGTACTGCTTTCATAGTCCTGCTGAAGGAGGGGTAGCTTTCCTGTTGAGAAAGGAAAAAAGGAAAACTGAGTCACTCTCAGTAACTTGGGAAGCAGTGATTGAGGGCAATTTTGTTAAGATCAAGAACGTTCTAAGACCAAACATTGTTATGTTCTTGAATATTGTCTCACCTTCATTACTACTCATCAGTATTTATATTTGTTAAATAATAAATATCTTTCTATTCACTTGCAGGAAGCAACTGGGGACTTTGGATGGACCATTTATGATTTTACACATTGATGGCTTGTGGTTTAAGCACAAGGTTGGTGCATTGTGTCTGTACTCTGCTGGTACTTTTGTGTCTAGTAAAGAGTTGTATATGGCCTTTTAGTCTGCACAGAAAATAGGCTGAGTTTGTTCTTAGGATGACCACTATCCCAATTTGTCCAGGACTGTCCCTGTTTTAAAACTGAAAGTCCCACGTGCCTAGAAATATTTAGTCCCACACAAATAGGCATATTTGGATATCCTATTTGTATGCTGCCTTCTCAGCCTGCTCTGTCTCCCCCCACTCTTCCTTGCACTAACAGCTTTTATGTTATAGAAAACCACCACGGCTGAGTTTTTCTACAGCTACTGCTCTTTTCAGAGAGCAAACACCTGTCAACTTTGTCTGCTAATGAGCCCTGTTCCCCTGGGCAGTGATCTGCTCATTTCTTCTTTTCCCAGAGGACTAAACAACCCAGCCCAGGCTTGACTGCCTGGTTCTTCCTTGGAGCACACATGGCACAAAATACTTCCAAAGCAAAAATAACTGAAAACACACTGGAGCTTACTTTTGGTAGCATGGCAACCAAACCACTGCTGGCTGCATTTGAAAGCTCCTTATTACTGTGAAAGTTATTTTGCATAAAGTTACTTGTTAACTAGGCTAGACACTTTCAGCTCCCTGTGAACCTTGCTTTTTTACAGATTATTTTCCCCCTCAGAAACCTTTTTGAACCAAAGGAGATTTGGAGATATCATGAATAATAATAGGAAATACTTGCCAAGGCCCTTCCAAAGGGTTGAGAGTATCCCTGCATACTAAGCCTAAATTACTTTGGGTTATTTCTTATTCTTTTGACTACTTAATGATAGAGAACAAAAAATACACCACAATACTCTATTCTTTTTATTCAGTTCAAGATAATATCCGACTCTCTATCGTATCCAGCCAGGTATGTGCATCACAATGTCAACCAAAAATTGTTAAGGGTAATGGGTGATTACTCACTCACTCTCATCCCAACAAAGAAAAAAATTATGGGCCTTAATAATTTGCAATTTATCCTTAATTACTTATACAGTTTTATTTCCCACTACTCTCCAATCATTTAAACACTTTAACTAGGTAATCTCATTGATCTAAAAATAAAACACTTGTAATTGTTTCCTAATCTCTGTTCATCCTGTTGCCACCATTAGAGTATTCTCTCCTCTACTCTTTGTTGATACTGTACCACAACTCAGGCAATTACTGTTATGAGTACCATGACTCGTACTACAACTAAGATTGTGACTACACCAACGATTACTACTTTGACTCTTATGACAACATCATTAATGAGTTAGATAAGTTAGAATGAGACTGACCCTGTATTGGGTGCTCTGCAATAATTGTCTCATTTGAATCTTCACCATTACTCAAAAAGTGACTATCATTTTTCTTTGATGGGTGAGGAAACTGAGGTTTGAGATACGAGGTAACTGTCACAAAGTCACAAAGAAAACAGATGGTGGGTATTGGTATGGACCCAGGTCTTTAGGACTTTAAAATTCACATGCTTAAAAATACTTAAATGTTGCTCTGTCGAGGGGAATCTTTCCTAATGATTTCACTCCAGACTGATAATCATTCCTTTATGGTCCTTATTTTCTATATCACTCATATGAATAGTAATGGTATGTTGCTCAACATTGCTATTTTACTAAATGGAATATACATTTATTTTCACTCATTGAAATAGTAAGAAGTATATTTCCCTACTTCTGTGCTAATGATAAGCACATAGTTATAGCTTAGTAAATATTTTTTGAATTGATTTAGTTATTGAATTTCACTGACTCCTCTAACAAAGTAACCAAAATATTTCTAACATTACCTTCTAAATTCAAAAGATATAGGTAATGGAATAGTATTCAGCCATAAAAAAGAATGAAATTCTGTCATTTGAGGCAACATGGATGAGCTTGGAGGTGAAATACGCCAGGCATAGAAAGACAAATACCACATGTTCTCACTCATATATGAAAGCTAAAGGGGTTCATCTCATAGAAGTAGAGAGTAGAATAGTGGTTACTAGAGGATGGGATGGGTAGGTAGGAAGGAGAGGTGGTAAAGGGGAAAGAGAGGTGGTCAGAGGGTGGCTGGTAGATGCAGTGTTGCAGCTGGATGGGAGGAATGGGTTCTTGTGTTCTATGGCACTGTGGGTTGACTATACTTAATGACATTTTACCATGTATTTTCCAGAGGATGGGGGAACAGATTTTGGGTATTCCCAACATGGGGAGGTGATAGGGGTTTAGGGTGATGAATGTGCTGGTTGCCTAGAGTTGGTCATTGCATGTTGTATGTATTATCAGGCTGTGCTCCATAAATATGTACAATTATTATCTATCAATTAAAAATACAAGCAAAAAATTGTACATGCTCATGGAGTGCCATGTGGCATTTCAATCCATGTATACATTGTATGGTGACCAGATTGGGGTGACTGGCATGTCCATTGCCTCATGTCCATTACCTTATCCTTTCTTTGTGCTAAGACCATTCAGGGTCCTCTTTTCTGGCTACTCTGAAGGGTATGGTGCACTGTCTTTGACTATGTTCTCCACGCTGTTCAGCAGAGCTCCAGAGCTTGTTCCTCCTACCTAGATACAGCTTTATGCCCATTGACCAACCTCTTCTCTTTCCCACTCCACTCTACTTTCCCAGCTT
Organism: Homo sapiens; assembly: GCF_000001405.40. Lineage (NCBI taxonomy): Eukaryota > Metazoa > Chordata > Mammalia > Primates > Hominidae > Homo > Homo sapiens. Next base: position 82,591,909 of record NC_000012.12, on the reverse strand, counting down.
TGGTGGCCACTGTTCTCTCTACTTCTATAAGATCAACTTTTAAAAAATGATTTTAATGACTGCATAATATAAAATTAAAGTTTTCAGGCTCAATGTTTTAAATAAATTAATTAACTAGCTCTCTAAAAGTTCAATAAAACTTATCATGAGCTGCATGTTGTGCCTACATGGTCTCACCCAAGGGAAGGTGAGCACATTCATGTTGAGTGGTGAAAATCCAGGCAATATGTCTGTATGGTTCTTTTATTATTATTACTATTATTATTATTATTATTATTATTATTATTATTATTATTATTTGGAGACGGAGTCTTGCTCAGTTGCACAGGCTGGAGGGCAGTGGCGTGATCTCAGCTCACTGCAAGCTCCACCTCCTGGATTTACGCCATTCTCCTGCCTCAGCCTCCTGAGTAGCTGGGACTATAGACGCCCGCCACTATGCCTGGCTAATTTTTTTTGTATTTTTAGTAGAGACAGGGTTTCTCCGTGTTAGCCAGGATGGTCTCGATCTCCTGACCTCGTGATCTGCCGGTCTCGGCCTCTCAAAGTGCTGGGATTACAGGCATGAGTCACCGCACCCGGCCTTTTTTTACTATTATACTTTAAGTTCTGGGGTACACATGCAGAACGTGCAGGTTTGTTACATAGGTATACACGTGCCATGGTGGTTTGGTTTGCTGCACCCATCAACCCGTCATTTAGATTAGGTATTTCTCCTAAAGCTATCCCTCCTGTAGCCCTCCACCCCCAACAGGCCCCAGTGTGTGATGTTCCGCTCCCTGTGTCCATGTGTTCTTATTGTTTAACTCCCACTTATGAGAAAATATGTGGTGTTTAGTTTTCTGTTCTTGTGTTAGTTTGCTGAGAATGATGGTTTCCAGCTTCATCCATGTCCCTGCAAAGGACATGAACTCATCCTTTTCTATGGCTGCATAGTATTCCAGGGTATATATGTGCCACATTTTCTTTATCCAGTTTATCATTGATGGGCATTTGGATTGGTTCCAAGTCTTTGCTACTGTGAACAGTGCCACAATAAACATACATGTGCATGTGTCTTTATAGAATGATTTATAATCCTTTCAGTCTATACCCAGTAATGGGATTGCTGGGTCAAATGGTATTTCTAATTCTAAATCCTTGAGGAAATGCCATACTGTCTTCCACAGTGGTTGAACTAATTTACACGCCCGCAAACAGTGTAAAAACGTTCCTATTTCTCCACATCCTCTCCAGCATCTGTTGTTTCCTGACTTTTTAACGATCACCATTCTAACTGGCATGAGATGGTATCTCATTGTGGTTTTGATTTGCATTTCTCTGATGACCAGTGATGATGAGATTTTTTCATACGTTTGTTGGCTGCATAAATGTCTTCTTTTGAGATGTGTCTGTTATTATCCTTTGCCAACTTTTTGATGTGGTTGTTTTTTTTCTTGTAAATTTGTTTAAGTTCTTTGTAGATTCTGGATACTAGCCCTTTGTCAGATGGATAGATTGCAAACATTTTCTCCCATTCTGTAGGTTTCCTGTTTACTTTGATGATAGTTTCTTTTGCTGTGCAGAAGCTCTTTAGTTTAATTAGATCCCATTTGTCAATTTTGGCTTTTGTTGCCATTGCTTTTGGTGTTTTAGTCGTGAAGTCCTTGCCCATGCCTATGTCCTGAATGGTATTGTGTAGGTTTTCTTCTAGGGTTTTTATGGTTTTAGGTCTAACATTTAAGTCTTTAATCCATCTTGAGTTAATTTTTGTATAAGGTGTAAGGAAGGGATATAGTTTCAGCTTTCTGAATATGGTTAGCCAGTTTTCTCAACACGATTTATTAAATAGGGAATCCTTTCCCTGTTGCTTGTTTTTGTCAGGTTTGTCAAAGGTAGGATGGTTATAGATGTGTGGTGTTATTTCTGAGGCCTCTGTTCTGTTCCATGGGTCTATACATCTGTTTTGGTACCAGTACCATGCTGTTCTGGTTACTGTTGCCTTGTAGTATAGTTTGAAGTCAGGTAGCATGATGCCTCCAGCTTTGTTCTTTTGGCTTAGGATTGTCTTGGCTACGTGGGCTCTTTTTTGGTTCCATATGAAAGGTAAAGTACCTTTTTCTGATTCTGTGAAGAAAGTCAATGGTAGCCTCATAAGGATAGCATTGAATCTATAAATTACTTTGGGCAGTATGGCCATTGTCATGATATTGATTCTTCCTATCCATGAGCACGGAATGTTTTTCCATTTGTTTCTGTCCTCTCTTATTTTCTTGAGCAGTGGTTTGTAGTTCTCCTTGAAGAGGTCCTTCACATCCCTTGTAAGTTGTATTCCTAGGTATTTTATTCTCTTTGTAGCAATTGTGAATGGGAGTTCACTCATGATTTGGCTATCTGTTATTGGTCCACAGGAATGCTTGTGATATTTGCACATTGATTGTGTATCCTGACACTATGCTGAAGTTTCTTATCAGTTTAAGGAGATTTTGGGCTGAGATGATGGGGTTTTGTAAAAGTACAATCATGTCATCTTCAAACAGAGACAATTTGACTTCCTCTTTTCCTAATTGAATCCCCTTTATTTCTTTCTCTTGCTGGATTGCCCTCGCCAGAACTTCCAATGCTATGTTGAAAAGGAGTGTTGAAAGAGGGCATCCTTGTCTACTGCCATTTTTCAAAGCGAATGTTTCCAGTTTTTGCTCATTCAGTATGACATTTGCTGTGGGTTTGTCATAAATAGCACTTATTGTTTTGAAGTAGGTTCCATCAATACATAGTTTATTGAGAGGTTTTAGCATGAAGGGGTGTTGAATTTTGTCCAAGGCCTTTTCTGCAGCTATTGAGAGAAACATGTGGTTTTTGTCATTGTTTCTGTTTATGTGATGGATTATGTTTTTTGATTTGCATATGTTGAACCAGCCTTGCATCCCAGGGATGAAGCAGATTTAATCATGGTGATTAAGATTTTTGATATGCTGCTGGATTTGGTTTGCCAGTATTTTATTGAGGATTTTTGCATCGATGTTCATCAGGGACGTTAGCCTAAAATTTTCTTTTTTTACTGTTTCTCTGCTAGGTTTTAGTATCAGGATGATGCTGGCCTCATAAAATGAGTCAGGGAGGATTCCCTCTTTTTCTATTGTTTGGAATAGTTTCAGAAGGAATGGTACCAGCTCCTCTTTGTACTTCTGGTAGAATTCGGATGTGAATCTGTCTGGTTCTGGACTGTTTTTGGTTGGTAGGCTATTCATTGCTGCCTCAATTTCAGAATTTGTGATTGGTCTATTCAGGGATTCGACTTCTTCCTAGTTTAGTCTTGGGAGGGCATATGTGTCCAGGAACTTATTCATTTCTTCTAGATTTGCTAGTGTATTTGCATAGAGGTATTCTAGTTTATTTGCACAGAGGTATTGCATATAGTATTCTCTGTTGGTAGTTTGTATTTCTGTGGGATTAGTGGTGATATCCCCTTTATCATTTTTTATTGTGTCTATTTGATTCTTCTCTCTTTTATTCTTTATTAGTCTGGCTAGAGGTCTATCTATTTTGTTGATCTTTTCAAAAAGCCAGCTCCTGGATCATTGATTTTTTTGAAGGGTTTTGCGTGTTTCTATCTCCTTCAGCTTTGCCCTAATCTTAATTATTTCTTGTCTTCTGCTAGCTCTTGAATTTGTTTGCTCTTGCTTCTCTAGTTCTTTTAATTATGATGTTAGGGTGTCGATTTCAGATCTTTCCTGCTTTCTCTTGTGGACATTTAGTGCTATACATTTCCCTCTACACACTGCTTTAAATATGTCGCAGAGATTCTGGTACATTGAGTCTTTGTTCTCATTGGTTTCAAAGAACATCTTTATTTCTGCCTTCATTTTGTTATTTACCCAGTAGTCATTCAGGAGCAGGTTGTTCTGTTTCCATGCAGTTGTGTGGTTTTGAGTGAGTTTCTTAATCCTGAGTTCTAATTTGATTGCACTGTGGTCTGAGAGACTGTTATGATATCCATTCTTTTGCATTTGCTGAGGAGTATTTTACTTCCAATTATGTGGTCAATTTTAGAATAAGTGCAATGTGGTGCTGAGAAGAACGTATGTTCTGTTGATTTGGGATGGAGAATTCTGTAGATGTCTGTTAGGTCTGCTTCGTCCAGAGCTGAATTCAAGTCTTGGGTATCCTTTTTAATTTTCTGTCTCATTTATCTGTCTAATATTGACAGTGGGGTGTGAAAGTCTCCAACTATTATTGTGTGGGAGTTTAAGTCTCTTTGTAGGTCTCTAAGAACTTTCTTTATGAATGTGGTGCTCCTCTATTGGGTGCATATATATTTAAGATAGTTAGCTCTTCTTTTTGCATTGATCCCTTTACCATTATGTAATGCCCTACTTTGTCTCTTTTGATCTTTGTTGGCTTAAAGTCTGTTTTATCAGAGAGTAGGATTCTGACCCCTGCTTTTTCTTTTTGCTTTCCATTTGTTTGGCAAATATTCCTCCTTCCCTTTATTTTGAGCTTATGTGTTTCTTTGCACGTGAAATGGTTCTCCTGAATACATCACACTGATAGGTCTTGACTCTTTATCCAGTTTGCCAGTCTGTGTCTTTTAATTGGGGGCATTTAGTCCATTTACATTTAAGGTTAGTATTGTTATGTGTGAATTTGATCCTGCCATTATGATGTTAGCTGGTCATTTTGCCCATTAGTTAATGCAGTTTCTTCATTGTGTCGATGATCTTTGCAATTTGGTATGTTTTTGCAGTGGCTGGTATTGGTTGTTCCTTTCCATGTTTAGTGCTTCCTTCAGGAGCTCTTGTAAGGCAGGCCTGGTGGTGGGAAAATCTCTCAGCATTTGCTTGTCTGTAAAAGATTTTATTTATCCTTTGCTTATGAAGCTTAGCTTGGCTGGATATACAATTCTGGGTTGAAAATTCTTTTCTTTAAAAATGTTGAATATTGACCCCCACTTTCTTCTAGCTTGTAGGGTTTCATCTGAGATATCTGCTGTTAGTCTGATGTGCTTCCCTTTGTGGGTAACCCGATCTTTCTCTCTGGCTGCCCTTAACAATTTTTCCTTCATTTCAACCTTGTTGAATCTGACAATTACGTGTTTTGGGGTTGCTCTTCTTGAGGAGTATCTTTGTGGTATTCTCTATGCTTGATTGGTGTACCTGAAAGTGATGGGGAGAATGAAACCAAGCTGGAAAATATTCTTCAGGATATTATCCAGGAGAACTTCCCCAACCTAGCAAGTCAGGCCAACATTGAAATTCAGGAAATACAGAGAACACCACAAAGATACTTCTAGAGAAAAAATTTAAAAAAAGATATAAGATGTGGCTTCAAATACATGAAAAGACCATAGTCTAATTTATAACATTTCGTGGGGTCAATGAAACACTTATAAATAACATGATACAATTATGAACTAAAATTTCAGTAAATTTTTAAAATAATATAAATTTTAAAGCATGTGATGTGACAATAAAATGTTAGGGATATATAACCTTTTGAGAGATGTTAATTATGATCATCTGCCTGTTGGTAATCCTTTGAAGTCATCTGTTCTTTTTCTGAATTTCTCTAGGAAAATATTAAATATAGCCCTGCCATTGAATGTCTAGGTCTGATTTTGGAGCATGAGTTCCCTGCCATTGGTTTTATAACCACACTCCTTTCCTATCACTGCATGATTAATTAATTGGCCATTTCTTTACTACACTTCCCTCTTCCAAATATCAGGCTGTACCATCATTGCATCATTGTCTTTAACAACTGATTCAGTTGAAGTTCTTCTCCTGTCTATCACTGCTCTTCAGATTGACCTTGTTAAACACTTATGAGTGCTTCTCTGTGTAAAGCATTTGACTACTTTGGGAGACATAAAACTGACAGTCTAGAAAGGGAAACAGGTAAGTAAAAATAACACGATGTATTTATTGTTTTACTTACTAGGGTCTCTGGGAACAGAACAAATGAACTATATGCTGTCATGGAAGGGACTATGAAACATTTTAATACTTGAAAAAATGCATCAGCTCCAAAATATGAAAATAAGCTGCAAAATTACATAAATATTACTTAAATACCTATAGATCTACCATTATATTACTAGGGCTTAGTTGTAAGTTCATGGTGTTTTGAATAATACGCACTGGATTTCAATTCTGGTTGTTACTTACCAGCTATGTGACCCTGGGGAAGTTACTTAGTCATTTTTCACAATGGGTGAAATGTAGATTATCTTAACACTTATAAGATGGTTGTAACAACTAAATAGGTATAAACTATTATGAACAATACTGCTAATAAGTAAGCTCTCCAAAAGTTAACTATTATTAAATTATGTCAATTTTGCAAAATGTGGATGTGTTTCAATGGTTGATATAATGTAGGCTGGGACCAACAAAAGTAGGAGTGTCTGGGGCCTTGATGGTCTTAAAATGTTTCTTGGCAATGATTGATGTGTGTGTGTTGGGTAGAAGGAAGCTGAAATATGATTTCTGTTTAGACGGGTCACAGGTAAAGAGAAGCTTGAGCTGATTCTTAATTTGCTACAATCTGCTCTTTTGATACTTCTATGATTTCTCATTTCCAGGTCAGAGAAATAAAATCAGGGATAGGGCACTGGATGAACCATTGCTTTTCTAATTTTGTAATGGGAATAGATTGACTTCCCATCATGTGTTTGGACCTATGCCTGACTTACATTTTTGTTTGTTTTTTCAAAAAAACATTTTCCTGGGCTGTTAAAAAAATCCTTAGGACTTTGCCTCATTAATTTGTCTTATTGGGTGTTTTCTGAGAATGTAAGTTATAGTAATAAATTATTAGTAGAATAAAAATAAAATATTAATAATTATTATATTAATATTTTTCTTCTTTTTAAAAATAAACTTAATTTTCCTAAACTTTTTAATCTAAAATATTCTTGCTTTTATGTAAACAATTTAGTAAAATAAATTGGAGAATTTCTTGTGGAATAAAAGTATTTCAGGGTAAAACAGCTATAATGCAAATAGAGATAGCTACCTTTACCATAAAAGCTTAATTTTATTTTCTTTATAAGGCAGGAAAAGCATAAGATGATACTGCAATATGGAATTTTGAATGATTTTTAGCACATGAAAAAGTTTTTCAGAAGAGTATCTTGTATTTATTGCTTTTCCTTAATAGTAATGTGAAATTTGGACAGCTAAAAATGAGCTATATAAACTAGAATTTTGGTTATCTAGAAATATTAAGAATTTTAGAGATGTCATTTGTGTGCTTAGGCTCCTTGCTCATGCTAAAGACCAAAAACTTCTATGTGACTCACTGGCATAGGATTTTTACTTTTAGAATCTGAATATAACGACATAGTATGTTAAGCCCATATTCTTCTTGCTTATGGAAACTACCCCATGCAATGGGAGTCTCAGCTTTGCTAAGAACTTATTTGGTATTGAAATTTGATGATAGAGAAAGGAAAAGATATTTTTCTCTATAATTAATCCATTTTAGAAAGAAATTTTATAGGGTAAAGGTCATACCTGCTTAATCTTCCTATTTGAGGTATAAAAGAAGTTTTGGAGATGGAGGATTTGAAGTCAAACAATATTAATTTCAGTTCAATTCTTGGTTCGATCTCTTATTATTTCTCAATATTTCTGAGTATAAGTTTTCCCAAATTAATAATGCTCACTTCACAGGTTTTTTTTGTAAGGATTAAAGAAGAAAACTTGTGAAACAATATTATTCCTGAAACATATTAGGCCAAAAAATATTTATGCTTTTTTTCTCCCTTCTTTCTAAATGATAATTCTGAGTTTATTCCCTTAATCCAGAAATTCTGACCATTCATTGACTACCAAGTATCTGTAATTTAAAGCTGGTGATAGAGAAAGAGATGGAAAGAACCTGAGACCCTGAACACCCCATTCTATCCTTTCACAAATCAACCTTCTAGAGGTCACCGAGGTGACAAGACCATACTAATTCACACCTCTTATCACTCTGAGGCTTTAACCCTAAACCACAGTGCAGTACCCTGATGGTAGCTACACTGAACCACATGGGTGACTTCTAATCATATTCCAGGGTTAGTGCCTTTGTTGCTTCTTTTCTCCTACCCTTATATAAATCTTGCCTTCCTTTTGGCACTAATCAAATGATGGAGAAAGTGCTAAACATGGATAATATCCTGCTGGAAGGAAATCCGTCTTTCCCCCTCCTGAAGGAAGTTCTATTCTTAGAAACCTCCTGCCTGACTCAACTTCCTAACTCCCTCTTTCCCATGGGGCTTTGGGAGAAAGAACTGAGCACGGACATCTCAAACAACTCCTACCTCCCACTCTTCCTTTTGGGAACCAGCTACTTGCAGGAAGCATAGACTCTGCTCCGTTCCTCCATGCAGCCAGTTTTGTAGGAACAGGCCTCAGTGGAAGCTCAAATATGCTTTGGCTATTCAGTGTCTTTTGTGGTTCCATATAAATTTTAGGATTGATTTTTCTATTTCTGTAAAAAATGCTATCAGGATTTTGACAGGGATTACTTTGAATCTGTATATCACTTTGGGTAGTATGGGCATTTTAACAATATTAATTCTTCTAATCCATGAATATAGGATGTCTTTCCATTTATCTGTGTCTTTAATTTCCTTCCTCAGTGTTTTATAATTATCAGTGTGCAAGTCATTCACCTCTTTGCTTAAGGTTATTCCTAAGTATTTTATCTTTTGGTTACTATTGTGAATTATATTGTTTTTTAAATTTCATTATTTATTCTTAGTATATAGAAACACAGCTGCTTTTTGTATGAGATTTTGTTTTCTGCAACTTTTTTGAGTTTGTTTATTGGTTCTAACAGGTTTTTTTCTTCTGAAATCTTTAGAATTTTCTACAAATATGTTCATTTCATCTGCAAGAAAACCCCATAATCTTACTTCTTTCTTTCCAATTTGAATGCCTTTTATATCTTTTACTTTTCTATTTGCTGCAAGTAGAACTTCCACTACTGTGTTGAATACAGTGGTGAGAGTGGGCCTCCTTGACTTCTTTCTGATTTTAGAGGAAAAGCTTTCAGTTTTCTCCCCTCATTTATGAGATTAGCTGTGGGTTTTTATATATGGACTTTAATGTGATGAGGTAAGTTCCATCTATGGATATTCTGAGAGTTTATATGGACATTAAATTGTGTCACATGTGTTCTCTGAATTCACTGAGATGATTCTATCTATCTATCTATTTATCTATCTATTCTTTTTTCAATTCATTCTTTTAAATGTAGTATATCATGATTTGCATTTGTCGAACAAGCCTTGCATCCAAGGGATGAATCTAACTTGGTCATAGTATGTGATCATTTTAACGTCCTATTTAATTGTTTGCTTGTATTTTGTTGAAGATTTTTGTTCAATAAAATACAAACCGATGTTCATCATGAAGCCCATGTTCAACATGAAGACCCATGTTCATCAGGGATATTGGCTTGCAATTTTATTTTCTTGTTTGCCTTTGTCTGGCTTTGGTATTAGGGTGATGTTGGCCACATGAAAGGAGATTGAAAGTATTTCTGTTTTTATTTTTTGGAAGAGTTTAAGGAGGATTGACATTATTTCTTCTTTGACTATCGGGTAGAATTCACCTGTTAAGTCATCTTTTCCTAGGCTTTTCTTTGTTTGCAGGTTTTTAATTACTGATCCAATCTCCTTATTTGACATTGGTCTGAAGGGCTTTCTATTTTTTCTTGATTCAGTGTTGATAGGTTGTATGTTTCTAAGAATGTCTCCATTTCTTCTATATTATCCAATTTGTTGGCATATAATTTTTTCATAAGAGTCTGTTATGATCCTTTCTGCCACATTTGTTACATTATCTCCTTTTCAATTCCTGATTTAATTTGAGTCTTCCCTCTATTTTTCTTAGTTGGCCTAGCTAAAGATTTGTCAATTTCATCTCTGCAAAATCCTTTTCTCTTTTTATTCTGTTCTCTGTGTCATTTATTTCTGCTCCTACCTTTATTATTTCCTTCTTTTGTTCTAACTTTGGGCATAGTTTGTTCTTCTTTTCCTAGTTTCTTGAGGTGTAAGGTTATTTTTTTTTTTTCTGGTAATACTTTGTCTTTTTTACTCTAGGCATTTATTGCTATAAACTTTCCTCTTAGTATTGCTTTTTCTGTATCCCATAAGTTTTGGTTTATTGTGTTTTTATTTTCATTTCTGTTGAGAAATTTTAAAAATTCCCTTTTGATTTTCTTTTTGATCTTCTTGACCCAATGGTTGTTAAAGAATATGTTGTTTAGTTTCCAGTTACTTGTGAATTTTCTGATTTTCTTCCTGTGATTGTTTGCTAGTTTCATTCCATTGTGGTCAGAAAAGATACTTGGAATGATTTTGATCTTCTTAAATTTGTTATACAACTTATTTTGTGACCTAACGTGTGCTCTAGCCTACAGAATGTTCCATGTTCACTTCAGAATAATGTGTATTCTTCTGCTATTGGGTGGGAAGTTCTGTGTATGTTTGTTAGGCCCATTTGGTCTACAGAATTATTCAAGTCTGCTATTTTTTTTCTGAACATTCTATCAATTATTAAAGATGATGTATTAAAGTCTCTTACTATTACTTTATGGCTGTCAATTTTTCCTTCAGATCTGTAAATATTTGCTTCATATTTTTAGGTGCTCTCATGTTGGGTACATAAATATATTTGTAATTGTTATATCTTCTTTGTCCCTAGAGACAGTTTTTAACTTAATGTCTACATTGTCTAATATAAGTGTAGCTGCCTCTGCTTTCTTTGGTTGCCATTTGCATGGAATATGTTTCCCATCCTTTCATTTTCAGACTATGGGAGTTCTTAAACCTAAGGTAAGTCTCTTATAAATAGTACATTGCTGAATCTTGTTCTTTTAAAATCCATTCAGCCATTTTATGTCTTTTGATTGGGGAGTTTAATATATTTACATTTAAAGTAATTATTGATAGACGAGGATTTACTATTGCCATCTTAATGATTTTCTGTTGGCTTTGTGGTTTTCTTCCTCTCTCTTCCTCTCTTACTGTCTTCCTTTGCTATCTGAAACTTTTGTAGTGATTTGTTCTGCTGCTTTTTTCATTATATTTTGTGTATCTATTATAACTTTTTCTTTGTAGGTGCCTTGAGGATGGCATAAAATATGTTAAAGTTATTGCCATCTATTTTAAGTTGGTAACAGCTTCCTTTAATCTTAAACAAAATCTCTCTACTTTTACTCCCTTGCTTTGTGTTCTTGTAGTCTGAGTTTGCATCTTTTTATATTGTTTATCCAGTACCAAACTTTTGTCTATATTAGGATTCAAAATAAATTACACACTACCATTACATTGTTACATTATGCTTAATTTGTCCATATATTTACCTTTACCAGGAGATTTATGCTTTTATATTGCTGTTCAGTGTATTTTCATTTCAACCTGAAAAACTTTTTAAAGCATTTTTTGTAAGGCACGTTTAGTGGTGATTAATTTGTTCAGGTTTTGTTTGTATGGAAAAAAATTTATTTCTCCTTAATTTTTAAAAGATAGTTTTGCTGAGTATAGTGTGCTTGTTTGGTAATTTTTGCTTTTAGTACTTTGAATATATCATCTTACCTTCTCTTTGCCTGTGAGATTTCTGCTGAGAAATCTGTTGATAGTCTTATGGGTTTCCCCTTAGATGTGATGCATTGCTTTTCTCTTGTTCCCTTCAAAATTCTTTCTTTGCCTTTAATTTTTGATAATTTAATTATAATGTGTCTCAGTGTAGACCTCTTTATGTTCAACCTATTTGGGACCTCTTTCACGTCTTGAATCTGGATGTCTATCCTCTTCCCCAAATTTGGGAAACCATCATTCTGAGCAAACTATCGCAAGGACAGAAAATCAAACATTGCATGTTCTCACTCATAGGTGGGAATTGAACAATGAGAACACTTGGACACAGGAAGGGGAACATCACACACTGAGGCCTGTCGTGGGGTGGGGGGTGGGGGGAAGGATAGCATTAGGAGATATACCTAATGTAAATGACGAGTTAATGGGTGCAGCACATCAACATGGCACATGTATATATATGTAACAAACCTGCACGTTGTGCGCATGTACCCTAGAACTTAAAGTATAATAATAATAAAAAAAAAGAAAATACATTTCCACCCTTGGGGGAGAATGTCCTTGGAGTTATTGAATTAATATATTGTTCTGACAAATTTCAGAACATCAAAGGACCAAATATACTTTGGCTACCAGCATTCCTAGTGGTCACTCTAAGGAGCAGTGGTGCTATTGAGACAGTGGTCACTTGAAATTGAGAACAGGACTTTCTGGATAAATTCCTCCCCTGTGGGAAATACAGGCACTCCTACTTGGTCATAAGCTCCACGCAAATGGAGGAGAGCACAGAATTCTGAGCACTATTGCAAGGGAAATACTTCTTGCCCCTTCCCTCTTGTATCCCTCTAAGAGGAGGGACATCCATTAGTGTAACATGTGTGACAACTTTCCATGTTGTTCATTCTTCCACAGTGGAGGTGAAGTGACCAGGTAAATTGATAACTTGGGATTAGGATCTGTATCTCATCCTCTTTCTGTCTTTTTCCTAGGAGCTGGGTGCTCTTATGCTGGCTCCTACACACATTGAGTTTCTTAAAGTTAACTTCAGAAATCCCCACAAACCCTCTATGGGTGGCTTGCAGTGTTCACATACTGGCAGTGTCTGGTTGACTAAGTTTGTCTAAGTGTGGTGTTCCATGTAAGGTTTGTTGCAACAAACCTATGCCATATTCTCCAATGTCACCTTTATCAGTAAGAAACACTGGGTGGGTATTCAGCAGAAACACACTGATATGACTATAACAGTTATTAAAATAACAAAATACTTGTGTATATGTTTTGTAAACAGTATAGTGGTAACTACAATAAGTTGAGATATTAATAATATAAATAAAATGATGAACTCAATAATTCAACCTGATGAGTCATGTTTCTTTCATAGCGATATCTGAAAATTCTTTGCAGCGAGTTCAGCCCAAGTGAGAGTAGGCATTGCAGCTGTATTGCAAAATCTTCACAAGGTATTCTGTATCAGTTTTCATTGTCTTTACATTAATTGCAACTGCTTCCAAATAGTCTAATTTGTACTTTGGTTTATTGTTATTGTGGTGCAATTCTAATGTAAGTAGAAAGTGTGTAGCATTTTGAGATACTGAAATTCAAGAATTTGCAATAAAGTAATTTAAGTGAACACCAAAATTTAAGAGATCCCGAAGTTTAAACTTCTTAATGCAAATGTTACTTTTTATAAACCGACATTCTCTGAATCTGTAGGATAATCAAGAAGAAATGACATTAATATTGAATCACAACCTGAAACTACAAAAATTAGAACACTCAGGAATATCTTTAATACTATGTAAGAAGTAATATAAAATTAAGCAAATAATATACATACCCAATGGAAAAAACAAATTTGCTTTTAAATTATTGTTAGTGATGTAAATTTTGAGGCAAATTGTGGTCAAGATTGTGTTATTTCAGTTAAAAGTGTTCAATACTACATTTCTCAAAAACCACATTCATATTTGGTTAAAGCTTCTGATTCAAATAAAGAAACTTAAACTTGCAATTATCTATAAAGATAACATTGAAATGCACATCAGTTTCACACAATAAAACATTTGAAACACTGAAAAACAAACGCAGAAACTTTGTCAAATAGTATCAAAAAAGAAAATGAAAAATCTTAGAAAGTGTCATAAGAATTTTTAACACCATCTACTATATAGTTTAAAAGGTCAAATATTTTCAAATATAAACTACTGATGATGTTGCCATGCATGTGGTGGAAAGGGAATACTTTTACACTGCTAGTGGGAATGTAAACTAGTACAACCCCTATGGAAAACAGTATGGAGACTCCTTAAAGAACTAAAAGAAGAACTACCATTTGATCCAGCAATCCCACTACTGGGTATCTACCCAGAGGAAAACAAGTCATTATATGAAAAAGACACTTGCACATGCATGTTTAGAGCAGCACGATTCACGATTCGTAACTGCAAAAATATGGAACCAACCCAAATGCCCATCAATCAATGGGTGGATAAAGAAAATGTGATATATATATACACATACATATATGTATACACATAAATACATACATACATACCATGGAATACTACTCAGCCATAAAAAAGAATGAAATAATGGCATTTGCAGCAACTGGATGTAGTTGGAGACAATTATTCTAAGTAAAGTAACTCAGGAATGGAAAACCAAACATCGTATGTTCTCACTTCTAAGTGAGAGCTAAGCTATGAGGACACGAAAGCATAAGAATGATACAATGGACTCTGGGGACTTGGGGGAAGGGTAGGAGGAGTGTGAGGGATAAAAGACTATACATTGGGTACAGTGTACAATGCTTGGGTGACGAGTGTACCAAAATCTCAGAAATCACCACTGAAGAACTTATCCATGTAACCAAACACCACCTGTTCCCCAAACTATTGAAATAAAAAAAATATAAACTATTTAATAGAACTTTGTGAAAAGAAAAATTTCAAACAGAGCTTAAGATTGCAATCTAGGTTTATGGTCTCTCTGGGTACAAAACATTCATCTACAGAAATGAGTTAATACTTTTCAAAAAACATATATTAAGGCAATAAAGTTATAAAATTCTGAAATTAGTAAGGAAGCTTAAACTATTTTAAATAAAACTTTTACTAGTTTAATTAAAGTTTAAGCTTTATGAATTAGATCATTCTGCATTTGTTGATCTTATAGAGCTATAAAGAACAACCACTAAAATAACACATCTGATTTTATTGCTACTGTTTGAGAAAAATAGTTTCAATTAGAAAAATTACAGAAAAATCTCACTGGATTTTGTGCAGATAATGTTAGAAGAATACTACAGAGAAATTTGAGTGTTTCAGGCAAAATTTTAGAAACATTCCCAGATGTTTTAATTTAGCACTGTGTCAGTCACTGTATTCAATTATCACTGGATGATGCAAATCACTGAATATTTTCTTGATAAACTTTTATTTGCTCCCATATATAAAATAAACTTTGGAGAAAAATTCCTGGAGTTAAAATCATGAAAATTGGAAGAATATTTCGACTTAAATAGGCAATGTGTGGTGCTGAGGCTGCAAAAATCTTATTTTTATTTATTTGTTGGAAATTGTGAAATGGGACTGCTTGAAAATTTGTAAAACAAAATGTTTATAAGGATTTGGCTTTAATAAATGATAGTCTAACAGAAATCCAGTGTGATCTGTTGCTTTACAAGAAAGAATATATTATAGTTATAAAAGCTGACTGATAAATAAAAATGTTTGAAAATATAAAATTAAATAGAGAAAACTTTGAAAGTGAAGCCAATGATATCATAAAAATATAAAAAATTATACTACTTGAAATAGAAAGTATCATCTTAATAGAGATTAGTAATGTCCATAAATAATATGAAAATACAACTGTTATTTTTATAACTAAAGAAAAACAAGACTTTGAATTTATTGAATCCTAAAAATTATCCACATAAATTTTGCAAAACTCTTTGGATTGATATGGAAAAAAACAATAAAATTAAGCCTACTAAATAAATATTGTAATAAATTATTTTGTGACTCAGCCAATAATAGAGATATTGTATATATAAAACTTTCAGATAAATTTACATAATAAAGGGAATATATTTTCATATTGATTTATGTATTAATTTATATTTCCATACAGATTATTTAAAGCTTTTCACAGCATCCAGAGACCAAAATTTTGTAAAAAATTAATGGCAATTATTTCAACAAAAGAGAATCTGACAGAGCAGTACCATGAAAAATATAATAGATATTAAGAGATACTTTCTACTTATTAAATTACATTTCACCTATTGAATGTAACTTTAATAGAGAAATCAAAGAGGTTGATGCCACTCCAAGATTACAGCTTAGATGCTAAGCTTAAATACTTAGCTTTTTATAACTCTGTTAAACAAAAGATTACATCAACAATTTATAAAAAACAAACTATAATTTGGAAATTATTAGAATTAGTTGATTAATGATTTGCATTACAGGTTATCATTATTTAGCATTTTTCAACATACTGTTTATTTAGAAAATATAAGAAGTGCTATTTTAAACATCGACTTATAAATTTATATCATGATAGAGATTATTAAATATTTTGAATCTCACTCCTGAATAAAGGAGACATCTATTTTCTTTATCTGCCAATTGTTTATTTTATTTTTTATTTTTTATTTTTTTTGAGTCGGAGTTTCGCTCTCGTTGCCCAGGCTGGAGTGCAATGTCGCCATCTTGGTTCACTGCAACCTCCGCCTCTTGGGTTCAAGCAGTTCTCCTGCCTCAACCTCCCGAGAAGCTGGGATTACAGGCATGCGCCACCATGCCCAGCTAATTTTGTATTTTTAGTAGCGTCGGGGTTTCTCCATGTTGGTCAGGCTGGTCTTGAACTCCCGACCTCAGGTGATCCACCCACCTCGGCCTCCCAAAGTGCTGGGATTACAGGCATGAGCCACCGCACCCGTCCCCAATTCTTTATTTCTTAAGAGGTTCAAGACTTTGGTTGAGAAAGTGAGCAGTCACATCTTTTCACTTTCCAGCCAGAGCCTCAAAATTCTGGCCAGTCCATCTCATGACTTCGTAGGATAGAATAAACTACCTTTCCACTCATTTTTTTGTTAGGTACATGGGAAAGAGAGTCAGAGGGAGTGAAGCAAGAAATCCAGAGTGGGAACAGAGAAGGGACCTGGCTTGATTGCAGCAAGTGGAACCTCATTGCATAATCTATCTGTAAGAAGAGACAGACTCTGATATGGTTTGGCTGTGTCCCCATCCAAATTTCATCTTGAATTCCCATGTTGTGGGCAGAACCCAGTGAGAAGTAATTGAGTTATGGGGCCAGGTCTTTCCCAGGCTGTTCTTATGATAGTAAGTATCACAAGATCTGATGGTTTTATAAAAAGAAGTTCCCCTGCACAAGCTCTTTGCCTCCTACCATTCGTGTAAAACGTGACTTGCCCTCCTTGCCTCCTACCATACTGTGAGGCCTCCTCAACCACGTGGAACTGTAAGTCCATTAAACCTCTTTCTTTTGTAAATTGTCCAGTGTCAGATATGTCTTTATCAGCAGCATGAAAACGGATTAATACAGACTCCAACAAAATAGGATGCTGAGAGATTCTGAGCTCAGTTCCATGATCTCATGAAATGTTCTTGAAGCTGGCTGTATACATTTTTCATTGCTGCTATAACAATAAAACAAACTTAGAGGCTATTGATATCCATTTGAGGGGCCTTCAAAAAGTTCATGGAAAATATATATTATTTTGAAAACAACTACACATGGATTTCAAAATTGTTTCATACTAAAATAAACTTGTACAAACATGTTACAAGATGTCTGAGCGATGTCTGAGCAATGTCTAGTTTGAGGTACTAAGAAGGATGAAACATCAGTTTGAAAATAGCCTCTATTCTATTCTGCTAAAGTTGAAGCAAGAACAAACAACAAATTTGTGGTGAAGCTTGGGTGGAAAAATGGCGAAATCATTGATGCTTCATAAAAAGTTGTGGGGACAATGCCCAATAAGGTATGGCCACCTGTGCCCAATTGTGGAATAGAGGTGGGTGGGGACATGGTTTGCTCATGAGATCAGTTCCATGGCATGTTGCTGATGCTGGTTTCTGAGTCTCACTCTCCATCTTTCTGGAGACTGTATAAACTACTCAATATCCTTTAATAATTAATTTTCTGATCAGATTATCCAGTGTTTGTGTTTCTTTCAGCTAAAATATTTACACCAACCTAATTGATTGATCGTATTTGCCACTTTCCAGCTTCCAAAGTTTTGTGTGTGTGTGTGTGTGTGTGTGTGTGTGTGTTTCTAATGTGTATGAAATCACATCAGTTAGAAACCCCTGTTTCTAACCTGAAACTGGAACAAGAATTTCCAGTGGGAAGTACTTATAAATATATATGACACACACACACACACACACACACACACATATACACACACACATATTTTAAAAAATCCTTTAAAAATGTTACTTAGCACTTATCACACTTTACCTTGATTTCATATTTAATGTGTTATGTATTATATCACCCTTGAAATCTATTATATAAATTTGAAAGTCTTTAAGGACATGATAGTGGGTTGAATGGTGGACCCAGAAAAATAAATCCTTGTCCTAATCTCTGGAAACTGTGAATGTCGCCTTAGTTTGAAAAAATAATCTTTCTGATATAATTAAGGATCTCAAGATGAGATCACCCTGGATTTAGGGTTCACCCTCAATCCAATGACAACTGCTCTTATAAGAGAAAAGTAGAGACACAGGGAAGCAGGGGAGAAGGTCATGTGTGATGGAGCCAGAGATTGGAGTTATGCGGTCCTACATGAAAGAAGGCCTCTAGCCCCTAGGAGCTGGAAGAGGTAAGGAGGTATTCTTCTCTAGAGGCTTTGGAGGAAGCACAGCCCTGCCTATATCTTGATTTCAGACTCCTGGCTTCCAGAACCATGAGAGAGTAATTTCTGTTGTTCTAAGCGTCTACTTTGCAGTCACTTGTTATGGCAGCCCTCAGAAGCCAGTACAGACATCATCGTTAAATCTCTCATGGCAATTTCTGATCATGTTATTATCATTACCGAATCTGAGTTACCCAGATACTATGATGAACAACAGTGGTTTTTCTTCCCTATCATCAAATCTTCATTTATCTGGTAATAGCTCTTACTTTTAGTTTGGGGAGCTACCTTTCCCCTTGGATGGGGTTGCCAGTCAAGTCTGTTGTCTTGGCTTCTTCCTGCATATGACCCAAATTTGGCCTATCAGATCCTATCTTCCTGGAGCATGAATCTTCAGAAACTGAGATGAGACTGAATAGAAGTGTAATTTAATTTTTTTAACTAATTCCTGATACTTAGATCACCTGAATTTATTAGTGCTTGTCCTTTATACAATCGAGTCCTTCAGTTTATTTAAAAATTCTATGAACTATTTCCAATCTGTCTAAAACTCTTTTTGTGCTTAGATTGGTAGAGTTGGTTCCTTTCTTTGTAAAAATACTACCGGAGATAGCAACTTTTTAATATAAACATTCCTGAGGTCATCCTAGACTCACTGATTCTAAATCTTTGAGGATCAAGTCCGGAAACCTTCATTTTCATAAGCTCCATAGGTGATTCTTTTCTCCTTTATTTATTTCCTTTAAAAATGTTAATAATTGATGCATCTTTTATTAAACAACATCTGTTGATTCAGATTACAATGTTTAGAGTGTACAAAATCTAAAATTCACTTTAAACTTAATCTTAAAGTGCTGCTGAATATATCAGAATTGGAGATAAAAAACTGTTGTCATGACAACTATTTATGGGTCTTATATATTTACATGAAAAGAATATAGCCCCACAGGAACTGGTAAACCCCATAGACAAACTAATCAATGTACTTTGGTCATGTTCCGACTTTACTTTTTATCTTAGACTTCAGGCTAGAAAATGGAGCAAGGAATAGTTAGGCTACAAATCTCAAACTCTATTATACCCCTGTTTCTAACCTGAAACTGGAACAAGAATTCCCAGTGAGAAGTGCTTATAAAAAATATTTTGGAAAAAATTCAGGTGTGAGAAGGAAACAGTCAATTCAGACTTTGTTTCTCACCTCTATTCTCTTCTCCTGGTCTCTGTAGAGGTACTTAATTTCCTGACAGCTTATTTATAGTAGCAATGACAGTACTAGCAAGTTAGCATCCCTGATCCACGTCTCATCTTCTTCTTCTTTTTTTTTTTTTTTTGAGACAGGATCTCACTCTATTGACCAGTCTGGAGTGCAGTGTCACAATCATGGCTCACTGTAGCCTCAACTTCCCAGATCCAAGTGATCCTCCCACCTAAGCCTCCTAAGTAGCTGGAACCACAGGCATATGCCTTCATGTCTGGCTAATTATTTTTTTCTTTTTTTGGTATAGACAGGTTCTCCCTATGTTGCCCAGGCTGGTCTCAAACTCCTGACCTCAGGTGATCCTCCCACCTCGGCCTCCCAGAGTGTTGGGATTACAGGCGTGAGCCACTGTACCCTGCCCCCAAGTCTCACCTTCTGTTCTTCCTGTGCTCCTCTGGGTGTATGTCAATGTCTCTAACAGATTCTCAGCACTGCAGTAGCCTCTGTTTGATAAGAATATGAATCTTGAATCTTTTTTCCCTACTACTAGGCTTCTTCTGGTCTGCAGGCTTTGACACTTCCTGTCTTCTTGAGGCTCAACAATCTATGAGGATGTCCTTAGATCCAGGCACTGGCATGGTTTCCTCAATCATTCCACCTTACTGCTCAGGGATTATGTTCAAAGCCTCCAGTAGTACCTTGAAGAAGCTTGTGGTCTTTTCTATTCTAAGAGACTCCCAAATATTTGTTGGGTTTCTATTACAGGATTTTGTTTTGTTTTGTTTGAGACAGAGTCTCTCTCTGTGGCCCAGGCTGGAATGTGGAGTGCAGTGATGTGATCTCCACTCACTGCAACCTCCGCCTGCTGGGTTCAAGCAATTCTCCCACCTTAGCCTCCCGAGTAGCTGGGATTACAGGCACGTGCCACCAGGGCTGGCTAATTTTTGTATTTTTAGTAGAGGTGGGGTTTCACCATGTTGGCCAGGCTGGTCTCAAACTCCTGACCTCAGGTGATCCACTCACCTCGGCCTCCCAAAGTGCTGGGACTACAGGGGTGAGCCACTGCACCCGGCCCCAACTATGACAGCTTACATCGTGCTGCTTCTCACTCCACCATCCCATTCCTGAAATATGGGACCCTTCAGCCTTCGTCAAGCCTCTAGCCATGTCTTTAAAGTGATTCTCCCTTACTAATAATTGTCAAACTTTCCTATCTTTTTGAGATGGGAAATTGCTCTTACATCATCATATATTTTCTTCGTTTTCTGATTAATGAATAAATACTGTGCTCTGATAACTTTAAGAATCTCAGACTTTGAAGATCATTAAAACCTTTTATCATTCAAAAAAACCTGGCTTCTATTGATATATTAGGAAGCCTTGCTTTCAAGACTATTGCTTATACCATGGACTTGGTCAAAGTCTAATTTGAACCTCAAAGATAAGCAATGACTTCTTCTCTGTTGTATTCTCTCTGGCCCTGAGGGCATTTATAAGCAGAACTGTTGTGGTTGCCTGGATGGTGTGAGATGAATAATCCACATAAGCAAAAAATGAAGAAACTGAAGTTGGTTTATATCAAAATATTAACCACAATACTCTACTCAAAGAATTGGTTAAAGGAAAGTTCTATTAATGATTTCTTCTGTATATTTTTCTTCACCTACTATGTCTAAAATTGTAATGAGAATTAACTCCTACTAGAAAACTGTAACTAATAACCAAAATCTAACAAAAACTACGTACTTAATGAGAAAGAGAGAGTGGGAGAAAAATATATAGAGAGAGATAGAGAGGAAAAAAGGGATTTATTATAAAGACACTCAGCTATTCAAATATTCCAAGGACAAAAATAGGGTTGCTGGGCTTCAGAGGCAACTAAAACCAAGCATGGATATTCCATCAGGACTATAGTTATGCAAGAACCAGCCCTACCAGCTCACCAGAGTCACTTGTTAAATTAATAAACTTTGTGAGCTGGTTGTAAGACACAGCCATTATTAAAAATTAAATCATACAAACTTACAGTTAAGTAAATAATATTATTTAGGTACTAAATAATCAAGGCTCACTGTTTCCTAATTATCTTCCTATTACTAACGTTAATCTTATCTATTTTATATTTACTATTATCTGTGTTCTGTGCTCTTCCCATTTATTTACATTTATTGCATTTGTGTGTTGGCAATGCCATATAATGATGTGCTAATGGGAATCTCTTCCCAAATTATGTTCAGTGACATCACGATAGTAGTTTCAAATTAGCCATGGTGGTAAAACTTCCACCAAAGAAATTGGCAAATGCAACAATCAGATCTTTTTTTTTTTTTTTTTTTTTAACTGGAGAACTGCTTGTTAAATATTTTCCAGAGCACCGTTGCTCAGGACTCTCTCTATTTTCTATGTCTTTCCTTTCACATTTTTATGCCTTTGCCCTTCTCTCTCAATCATTTGGCTATGTCTGTGTTTTCACACATGTAGCTAGAAACATGAGCACTGAGAAGTTTTAAGATTCACAATTTAAAGTTAAGGCACTCAAAGACAATACAATCATAATAGCTCCTGTGCTAGCCAAAATGGACTGAGATGAGAAGAAATTCCCAGAACAGGGATGCTGTGTAGACAGTCTCAAAATTATCCACTATATTATCACCCTCACATTCTGTTTTTAGAGTTTTCTCATGAAAGATCGTCCATGAAAATGCCCAGAGTACCTTGTCAGTTCCTCTCTTGGTGTCCTAATTGTCCTCTCTGTTTCTAGTTTCTTACCACTGTCCTCAAAGCAATTCAAAGTCTTTTTATGCCAAACACAAATGGCTAGCTCGGTCTCTCCCTCTGAAAGCAGGACTTTGATACAAGTTTAAGGGCATAAGTAGTCTTTCAGGCTGCTCATAGAAAGCCAGTAAAACAGAAATATTCCTTTTAAAGCAAATTAAACTCTCACTAACCCCAGGAAGTTCGAAGGAATTATTTTCCCAAACTCTCACGACTCCCATTTATTGGTTGTAAAATGTATTCTTTAAAACATGAAGAGTTCTTTTTCAGGTTATTTCAAAGGCTAGCAACTCTCCTGAGCTTTTTTTCCCAGCTAAGATGACAGAAAAATGCTTACTGTCCAGAGGATGCAACTAAAATTCCTCCACAAAAGTGATGCATGATTCTAATTACATTGCAAACCTGGATATATTCTCTGTGCTTGATATGGAAAAGGTAACCACTGCAGGGATTCCCAGTTAGATTTTGTCATATGAGAATAACATTGCAGAGCTTTCATTCTTCTTTTTAAAATTTTAAGAATCAACTGACTCACCTAAAAACTCATTGGTGACTGATTACACAAAATACGTATTGCTCTTCTGGCTGACTTTCATCCTAAAGTTAATTTTCTGCAACAGTGTTTTTTTTTAAGAAAACAGATTTGTAACATAAATATCTGCTAACCAAATCATAAAAAAGCAAAAAGTGAAGGTTTTTCTGATTTCAACAATTTTATATATATAAATATATATAATAAGTATATATATATACTTATATATATATACACATACACACACACACAATAAGTATATACTTGCTTTTCAAATTGAAGAAACCATGAGTAAATTGAGAATAAACCATATCAGGCAATCAAAAACTTACATTTTAATATGGCCCAGGATCATATCTAATACCTACTTTATCAGCTATTAGATGTTCAGCTAACAGGCCAGAGCTCTTTCTCCCTATTCCATTCCAAATATTTCTGCATAGTTACTTCATCTAAAAGAATGAAGCCCCAGTTTTTGAGGGAACTATGACAAAATCCAGAACAGAGACTCTAATGTGCATTTCTGAATCTATAGCACTAAATGCAGTGCTGGACTTACAGTAGATGGCCAATAAATCTTTGTGGAATAAGTGAATGAATGAACATCAGATACCCTTCCGGAGATCATTTTGAACTTTAGTGACACTGTGTTTGTAATCTTTGAGAATAACTGTTCACATGGTAGTTCAAACTAAATTTTTTTTACATGAAGTAAGAGAAAACAAATTTGGAATAGTTCAGTGTGGTGTTTCATTTTGTATTGTTGTTTAATGTGTGGTTCTCTAAATACTTGCTATAAAACTGGTAGTTAGATCACTAGGTTTAATTAAATTCACATTTTAAAAACTTTTTTTTGCAATAATATTTCATGTAGGTACTATGTAATTCCTATTGCATCACATCAGAAGAGGCATCAGGTCCAGTTGTTCCACTTTTACTCAGGAGAAGCTTAAGTAGTAGGTTCAAGGAATGTCAGCCCAATCTATCTATTATAAAGTTCCCCATCAACATTTTACTCAGTGGTTTTAGAAGCCACTGATGATCTTTGATCAGATCACTAAGGATTGCAAAATAATGACTTTCCTAATTTTACTATGTCTTTTAAATTATCTACTTATTAACTACTTTGTAGTTCTACTACAAAGATTTTTTTTCACATTAACTATTTGTTATCCTGACATACAGTTTGCATAAAAAAGAAAAAATTAAAAGCTTGATTATTTCCTTTACCAATTTTCAGGATCCTTTACCAATTTTCAGGATAAAATTGATATCACAATTTTAGAAGACATGAGTGTATCACACCGGGCAAGAATGAAAACAAGTATACGCATTTGGATCAAGGCAAGAATAATTTTCATTCATTCATTTATTCAAGAAATATTTGTGATACACTTATATTAGATGTATGTGATTCTCAAGTAAGAGATATATTCTAATTTCCAAATAGATTATTTCTACTGGCAAAACACATTTATGAATATGGGGATAACTTCTCATTCATGATGTACCTTTCTTTCACTTTAATTTTTGTAAAACTCTTCCCAGAACCTCTGTTCTGCTCTTATATCCAGGAGATACAAAACCTGAAGGCTGGCCTTCAAAGCTGGCAGCAGAGTTACAATCTCCTTTTCTTTAGCTAAGTGGTTTTTAAAAACTTCTTTGTCTGCCATGGTTGAGAAATGGCTGTTCATAACGAAGGCTGGAAACAATGCCAAAGGGAAAGTAATATTTTTCTTTTGATCTTTTTTCTCAATTTACTAAGCCATTGCAATCATTTTCTCATTTGTTTCTTGCGACTCAGGAGGTAAACAGAGCGCGTGTTTTTTCTTCATTGTGCATAAGAGGAAATTGAAACCCAAAGAGATTAACTTTCAGGCTCAGGGTTACTAAATACAAAATCAGGGTAGGAATCCTAGTCACATTTCCTGGCCATTTTTTTTCCAGTAACATTTTAATAAAGCTACAAAACCTAGGTAAGAGATAGAAAAATAGTAGTGTATAGTGATCTCACTGTGCCTTCTGTTTAGATCTACTTATGGATTCAGCTTGATCTCCATTAAGAGATCAATTTCAGAATTTCTGGAATCTAAGAGTGAAAGAACCAGGCTCAGGAGCAAGAGTGAGGTGGTGGCTCCAGGGGTCCAAGTAGCTCAGTCCTCTTGCAGATATTGTTCTGACAGCTTTCTACCCCAATCTACTAGTCCTCACTCTTGGGTTCTACTTTCTCTGCTGCTAGCTGATTAGACCCACCTATTGGGTCTCTGACATATATTGTGAGATCTCTTTATTCCCTTTCATTTGTATGCTCAACAATTGCTATCTCACCTCTGCCAAACAGAGTAGCTACTTTGTGAAAATGTATTAAATCAGACCATGAATGCCTAGATATGTGTCTCTAATCTGGAATTCTGCTTTAGTCTAAAAGGTCAGTTCTGTCATTTCCTTTTCTCTTTAACTGTTTTTTAAATTTTTTATCTCATGCCCTGATGTATTTGTATTCTTAAGAGCATAGTGGCAATTAGGGATTTTTTGGTTGTAAGCAAAAGAAATGATCGTTGCTAAGCAAAAAAATATTTAACAAAATAAATAAATGTGAATAATGTGAGGGTAATTTCAGAATGAAAGGAGAAATGAAAGAACCAGGCTTACCAGGAGCAAGCATGAGACAGCTCCAGGGATCCAAGAAGTTGAATTTAACTGATAGGCTTGTCAGCATGTTGCTGCTGCAATGATTCAGCTTCCTCAGTTTTCCTGTGCTAGAGTCAATGTGTTCAGGATCCAAAGTCTCAGAGAGTGAGTCTGATTTTTCTAGCATTTGGTCGCATAAAACTGTAGTCAAGCCCTAGCTGGGTAAGACCTTGACCAACAGTCCCACAAGACTGTGAGCAGTTGGCAAGAATAAATTTTCCCAAAAGTGTTTAGAGTGCTATGTCAAAAATAAAAAGAAATGAGTTATAATTATCCAATTTGAAGAGTATATTGGCAAGAGCAATGAATGGAAGTTAGGAAACCTGGATTCAAATTTCAGTGCTTCTGTTATTTAGCTGTGTGATCTCAGCATGCTATTTCATATTTCTATAGTTCAACTTCCTCATCTACAGAATAAAAAGCATGGAGTAGAAGATAGCTAATTCTTGTCTTGTTTTTGTTTGCTCTGAAATGGTATTTTTCTAACTTCAGGAGGTTCTCCCAGGTAAGTAAGTCCATGCCGATAAGTGAATACCTTCATTGTTTATAGACCTTAATCATTTCTCCTGCTTCTATTTGGAAGTCTCTTTCATGGATTAACAAGTCTTGTATCATACACACTTACAATGTTCTTCATTCTCATTCCTGCCCACCATTGTGTGCTGACCCCAGTACATCTCCTAGTCCTGGCTTTCCTTTGCTCAGTTCATTTCCTCCTGAAATATGATATTTGGTCTCTTTAATACTGCTCAGGAGGTGTGTTCTTAATTTCTTTTTCAGAACAAACAATACAGAAGCTATTTACTTCTTTCACTTTTTCCCTCTATGGAACTTAGTCAAATTGACAGCAGCATTTCAACCCTATTTTTCCCACCTACATTAATTAAGTCCTTAAAAATTTAAAAACAGTTTTATTTTCTTAATTCCATGCAAAACAAGCATTAAATTGGTCCTAAATAAAATGTCCAGACACCCCCTTTTCCATTTTCTTCACATTTCATTCATATTCATACCAACAGTCATTTATCCTTTAATTCATGTGACACTTACATGGGATGATTCTATGTATTGTCGCTGAGAAAAATAAATTCTTATTCCTGCATCCCCGTATAATATTCATTTTGTATTAGCCACTGATATGGCTTGGCTCTGTGTCCCCACCCAAATCTCATGTCAAATTGTAATCCCCACATGTCAGGGGAGGGGCCTGGTGGGAGGTGATTGAATCATGGGGGCTGATTTCCCCCTTGCTGTTCTTATGATAGTGAGTGAGTTCTCATGTGATCTGAGGGTTTAAAAGTGTGCCGCTTTCTTCACTCTCTCTCTCTCTCTATCTCTCTCTCTCTCTCTCTCTCTCTCTCTCTCTCTCGCACGCGCGCGCTCCACGATGTAAGACAATGCCTACTTCCCGGTAGCCTTCCACCATGTTTGTAAGTTTCCTGAGGCCTCCCCAGCTATGCAGAATTGTGAGTCAAATGAACCTCTTTTCTTTATAAATTACCCAGTCTCAGGTAGCTCTTTATAGCAGTGTAAGAATGAAGTAATACAGTCACAGAGTTAGGCTCTGTTACAAATGTACAGATATATAAAGTCTAATCCCTACCCTGTAGGATCTTACACAAAATTTTTGAAGGGAGAGAAAACATATCAGCTTCCCCAAATACAGACTGAATATAATGAATATCACAAAAGAGTAGCAACACATTGTTATCAAGTATAAAAAAAGAGACATTTATCTCCATTCATGTAAACAGAGAAGGTTTCATGGGACAAAGCAGTATTTGAACTAGGTTGGAAGTAGATAAAGAGAACTGGTCTACCATCACCTACTTTTGCTCCCCAACAACCTATTTACCAAATAGAAACAGTGACTAACAAATATTTGGTTCCTGACTTATTTGTGTCCAATCCTCCAATAACATCCCACTGAATTTGAAATAAAATATCTACCCTTTACTGTGGCTTACAAGGCCCTGCATGACCTGGTTTTTCCTCCCACCATTTTCACATTCAATTATTATTTTCCAGCCATGATGGCCTTTTTGCTACGTCTCAAATACAGCAAAGGACATTTGCTGTTGGACACTTGTCTTTTCTGGCTGTTTGTTGTTGTTGTTCCAGAATCTTCTTTCCCAAATCTTTACATAACTAGTGCTTTCTTGTCATGTAAGTTTCACTCTAAATATTATAGCTTCAGTGAAGACTTCCATGAACCTAATCTAAATTAATGTATCTCCAAGGCTCTTTTGCACTCCTCTACTTTGCTTCTCTCAAACTACCTGAAATTTTCCTTGCTTATTTACTTGTTTTCTTTATAAATTCCTGCCTTCTCATGACTAGAAATTTATTAATAGTTTTTAATGTATGATGAGCTTTTGTGTGATGAGTAATACTAATATCTGACTTATTATTGTCCAGTTTATTAATGTTATAATTTTATTAAACAATAAGCTTTAAAAATTCCTTTAAATAATCAATTGCACAAATTAACAAGAGAAAATTTATGACCCTAGCAAAGTAAATTCCCCCAAATATTTAAATATTATTATTTAATAAAAACTTTTTTTTTTTTTGAGATGGAGTTTCACTCTTGTTGCCCAGGCTAGAGTGCAATAGCATGATCTTGGCTCACTGCAACCTCCGCCTCTTGGGTTCAAACAATTCTCCTGCCTCAGCCTCCCAAGTAGCTGGGATTACAGGCACCTGCCACCACTCCCAGCTAATTTTTGTATTTTTAGTAGAGACAGGGTTTCACCGTGTTGCCCAGGCTAGTCTTGAACTTCTGACCTCATGATCCACCTGCCTCAGCCTCCCAAAGTGGCACGGGTGAGCCACCATGCCCAGCCTATCAAAAACATTTTAAAAACACTTTACATTTTAGGTTATTTTCAATGTTTGAAACGCCTTTTAGAAAGACAAGACACTGTTAAAAAGTTACAAAATTAATGAATATATATACTCTAAAGTCAAGAATGAAAGTGTTTTAGGTTATTCTTATCCAAATTTTTCCTTATTTCTCAGTTTGTCTTCCTAAATTTTTATTAAAACTCTGCCTGGGGTTTTAATAATCTTTCATCTTAAAGAAAAGGGTATCATTTCAGACTAACCAGATTTGGGGTATGATTTATTTAGAGTTCAAGTCTTTGTTGGGTCATGGCCCTAGTCGAGTCATCCAAGGTGTTTTCTAGGCTACTAATGGTTAGTAAATACCTTTTAATAGTAAAATTGTAATCATTACATCATGGGACTTTTATTGTTTTTTTTTCTTTAAAAAGGTTTTGATTTTTTGAGATTCAATAGCTTTCTAAGAAATGAAGGATTCTCTTAATTTTTACCTATCCATTGCCCTGTCGATTTGATGTGCTAGTTTGGTTTGTTAGTGCAATTAAAATCTTATGTAGTATCTTATTAGTATTTTATTATGATTAGTTGGACCATCAAGAATTGTCAACTCCTAGGAGATGAGAGATTGTGTTGTAGTCAGCTCTACTCTTTTGTACATTTGGTTAATTTTTCATTTTAAGACATGTGGTTGAACCATTCTTTAAAACTTGGTTATTGTGTGTGACCATTGAAGCTGATTAGCTGTAGATACCCTTTGAATCTGATTCATTATATGTGCTAATCAGACCTTCTTTTTCTTGCTAGTGAATCCACTTTTGCTGGGATAACATGGTTTCCTTATGTACTCTGTGTTCATCAAAGAAAGTAAATACCTAAACTTTACAGATAAATATTTAATGAATACTTTTATATATTAACAATCCCTTATATATTCAAATCAA
Organism: Homo sapiens; assembly: GCF_000001405.40. Lineage (NCBI taxonomy): Eukaryota > Metazoa > Chordata > Mammalia > Primates > Hominidae > Homo > Homo sapiens. The sequence continues at coordinate 82,562,458 of NC_000012.12, read as the reverse complement.
TAAACTATTAAATATATTCTATTATAATCACAATTTTTGTGTATTATAATACCTATTGGTAATCTTATATAAACTTTTCCTATTTGAGTATTATTAGAAACATATAGACTTTCTTAGATTTAGTCTGTTTAAGTAACTACTATAATGGTCATAATAATTATCATGAATCTTATTTTAATGCCCAAACTATATAAATTTGGCCAGTGAGGGCCCTGAAATTTGTCTCTCTTTATTTCAGCATTTTTTTCTGACTATTAAAGAAACATTCTTACATTTAGTAACAACTGCTTTTAGAGTTCAATGTTCTCATCTATAAAATAAGAAGCAACAATAGATGTTTCATATCCATAGTGATTTTTTTCTACCCTAAAGTTTGGACTCATTTACCTTTCAAGGAGTCCTTAGTGTGTGTGTGTGTGTGTGTGTGTGTAGATTAGAGACCAAAATATGCATACAAGAGGATTATAATGAGATTTGGCTTACATATAATAGTTATAAAGTTGGAATGCATGTTATAAATTTACAGTTTTTTCCACTCAACATGTCATATGGCTGCACCAACACACACACACAACTATATATGATAAAGCATATACATAAGAAAGAACAAAATATGTAAAAGTATAAACCTGGAAAACTTGATTTTTAAACATTCAAATATGGGGGACTCTGGGAAGATGGCATCAGAGTTATTAAATTTCTCCAAATTCCATATAAACAGGGAAAGGAACTAGGATAGCCAAACCTAAAACACATAGACAACATCTACCATTAAGCTAACACTAGGTTAACTTTAAACATCAAAATATGAACAGGTAGGGACCAACCAGTACCACCAAGAAGCACCATGTGGTGTCAGCAATAATGTGAGAGAAAGCAGAGGAAAGACATAAGGATTCTAATGTCTACAAGAGCTGAAAAGTACCTAAATCACTAGCAGGTAGTCACTGGTAAACTCATCAGGGCATTTTGAAGTTAGCAGGTGGACCTGGGAGTAACTGAGTTAGTCACTTTGTAGATTATTCGCAGTTAAGAGCTAATGGGTGATGGAAGCACAATGATGCTGGAAAAATCTGGGATTTATAATCTCTTACTAGTAACCAGTGAAAATTTTCTTCCAATATTAAATCATGTACTGCATAGAAAATACTGAGTAGAATCTCAATATGAACAAAGAAAAGAAATGGTTTATAGAAACACTGGGGAGAAGGAGCCAAAGTTAACAAACCTCAGGAAAATGCCAGCTTTTGTTTTTGAACACATTTTGATCGTGGCTCACTACAGCTTTGAACTCCTGGGCTCAAGGGATCTTCCTGCCTGTTTCTTGAACAGCTGGGACTACAGGTATGAACCACTGTGTCTGGCTTGAACACATTTTTAAAAGAACAGAAGGGAGAAATCTAGAACCAGTAAGCTAGGAAAGATATCCTGATTTACCTTTTTCTAATACAGAAAAATAAATACCATGAAAATCACAACAGAAAAGAATTTTTATCAAATCCCACCAATGTCTTTATAATAATAAAAAAATACTAGGAGCAAAATATTATCCTTTCAGACAATGAAAGCATGCCAGGACAATCTCCATAGGAAGATACATCATAACTGTAACCAAATTTCTTAAACTGAGACAAAAGGATTTAAGAAAATGTTAATAGCTATGAAACAACATAAATCATAATTTTTAAAATTCAAAAATAAGGTAATTGGAGAAGAGAGAAAAAGAGTATAGGAAGATTTGAAATTTGAGCTCATAGAATGTAGAAAATCATTACTAAAACAAAATGTTACTTCAGAGTTTAAAAATAAACCAGGAAGAACAAAACAGTGAATAAACAAATAGATAATGAATGCCTTTAGAGAAATAGAACATAAAAAGTAAAAAAAAAAATTAAAAAGAAAGTGTTAAAAGTATTTGAGAGACAGTGACAATTATAGATGACAGGAAAAGAAGACTCAGCATACACATAAAGGGACATCCTGAGCACAAAAACTAAAGCAATGAAAGAGAACAAATACTAGAAAGTATAAATCAAGAGAACTTCTCTGAAAAAAAGATGGCTTAAACCATGTGTTGAAAGGGCACACTGTATTCCTGCTGATGAGACAGCTAATTCTCTTCTGAATTTATTTCTTGTAATACAGGTGCTTCCTTGACTTACAATGGGGTTATGTCCCAATAAACCCGACATAAATGGAAAATATCATAAGTCAAACACGTATTTAATACACCCAACCTACCAAACATCATAACAGCTTAGCTTACCTTAAATGTGCTAAGAACACTTACATTAATGTACGGTTGAGCAAAATCATCTAACACAAAGCTTATTTTTATTATGAAGTATTGAATAGTTCACTTTATTTATTTATTGAATACTATACTGAAAGTGAAAAGCAGAATACATTCTCAAAGCACAGTTTCTACTGAATGTGATTTGCTCTGGCATCACTGTAAAGCCAGTGTGCACCTTCCCAAATGCAGTCAATAGAAACTAACACTTGCTATTAACATTTTGTCTTTTAATATCTTCCCCTAAAGGCTTCGGTTCTAACAGATACGTAAACTGATCTCTGATTTTTTTTTCTGGTGATAATTTTGCTATGTTTTTCTACTGAATGAAATGTGTCCCCATCTTTACAGCCTCAGGTGAAAGTTTTCTCCCTGAACAAACCCAACCTCTAACTCCATGGCACATATTCCTTGTTATTATATCACACAGTTCTGGTACTAATTCTTTATTAGTCAGGATAGAGCAAGTTACACCCTGGTTGCTAACAATCTTGTAATCGCAATAAACAATCGCAAAAAACAATAATGTTTTCATGCTATTTCTCTATTGCAGGTTGGGTGGAGTCCAACAATGTCTGCATCTATTGATTTACATTTCTTTCATTATTACCAAAGTTAAACATAGTTTTCATATTTTAAAGCCATTTTTGGCTTAAATTGAGATTATCTTTCCTTTTGATGTGTAAGAGCTCTTTAAACATTAAGATATGTCTTTGTGCATCAAAACTGTTACCAATGTATTGCCCTTTGTTACCTTATTTTTAAAAAAATTATGTCTCACATTAAAAAACTAGAAAGATCTCAAGTCAACAAACTAACAGGCTGGGTGCGGTGGCTCATGCCTGTAATCCCAGCACTTTGTGAGGCTGAGGCAGACGGATCACTTGAGGTCAGGAGTTCGAGACCAGCCTGGCCAACATGGTGAAACCTCGTCTCTACTAAAAATACAAAAACTTAGCCAAGCGTGGTGGCGCACACCTGTAATCTCAGCTACTTGGAAGGCTGAGGCAGGAGAATTGCTTGAACCCGGGAGGCAGAGGTTGCAGTGAGCTAAGATCACGAGATCATACAACTACACCACTACACTCCAGCCTAGGTGACAGGGCGAGACTCTGTCGCTAAAAAAAAGAAGAAGAAAAAAAACTAACAGCACAACTAAAAGAACTAGAGAACCAAGAGCAAACAAACCCTGATGCTAACAAAAGACAAGATGGATTAAAGACTTAAATGTAAAACCCAAAACTATAAAAAACCCAGAAGAAAACCTAGGCAATACCATTCAGGACATAGGCACAGACAAAGATTCCATGACAAAAGTGCCAAAAGCAATTGCAACAAAATAAAACAATTGACAAGTAAGATCTAATTAAACTAAAGAGCTTCTGCACAGCAAAAGAAACTATCAACAGAGTAAACAGACAACCTACAGAATGCGCAAAAAGTTTTGCAATCTATCCATCTGACAAGGTCTTATATCCAGCATCTGTAAGGAACTTAAACAAATTTACAAAGAAAAAAAACCCCAAAAAACAAATAACCTCATTAAAAAGGGGGAAAAGGACACTTCTCAAAAGAAGACATACATGTGGCCAACAAACATATGAAAAAAAGCTCAACAACACTGATCATTAGAGAAATGCAAATCAAAATCACAATTAGATACTATCTCATACCAGTCAGAATAGCTATTATTAAAAAGTCAAAAAAAAGAAAACAGTAGATGCTGGCGAGATTGTGGAGAAAAAGGAAAGCTTTTACACTGCTAATGGGAGTGTAAATTAGGTCAGCTCCATTGTGGAAGACAGTGTGGCGATTCCTCAAAGACCCAGAGGCAGAAATATTTGACTCAACAATCCTGTTACTGGGTATATACCCAAAGGAATATAAATCATTCTATTATAAAGATACATGCATGCCTATGTTCATTGCAGCATTATTTGTAATAGCAAAGACATGAAATCTACCTAAAAGCCCACCAATAATAGACTGGGTAAAGAAAATGTGGTACATATACACTCTGGAATAGTATACAGCCATAAAAAGAACGAGATTACGTCCTTCAGAGAGACACAGATGGAGCTAGAGACCGTTAGCAAACTAATGCAGGAAAAGAAAAACAAATACTGTGTGTTCTCACTTATAAGTGGGAGCTGAATGATGAGAATGCATGGCATTGCGGGGAACAACCACACTGGGGCCTGTTGGAAGGTGAGGGGTGGGAGGAGAGAGAGCATCAGGAAGAATAGCTAATGAATGCTGGGCTTAATACCCAGGTGATGGGATGATCTGTGCAGCAAACCACCATGGCGCACGTTTAGCTATGTAACAAACCTGCACGTCCTGCACATGTACTCCTGAACTTAAAATAAAAGTTGGAAAATTAAAAAAAAATTGTGTTATGGTAAACATGTAAAACTTTTAAGTTTTATGCCATCAAATTTATCTAGCTTATCCTCTATGGCTTCTGAGTTTTACATTTTAACTAAAAAGTTTTACTCCCTTTAAAATAATAAGAATAAAAATTATCCCATGTTTTCTTCTAGTACTTTTTTTTTTACAGTGGATATTTTCTGCTCTTGTACTTTATAATCTGCAATAATCTCTTTGATCCCCACACCCTAATTATTGAAATTTTTATATTTATTGGTACTTTACAAAAAACATTTTTCCCTAATTTTGTATTTTCAGTTTCACAATTTCCCCCAATCTGGTGTGTGTGTATATATGTGTGTGTGTGTGTGTGTGTGTGTGTGTGTGTGTGTGTGTGTGTGTGTATAGTGGCTGAGTCTATTTCCCCTTCTCTAATGCAGTAATTCCTAAAGGAAATATCATGAACCCACCTTCTCTCATTCTCAGTGGTGTATTATTGGGTGGGGTTGTTCCGAGGGAACCCCTGAAACTCTGAATGGCTTACATTAAATATGATACCATCTCCTGGTCCTTCCAGGGAAGGACTTAAACCTCACTGAAGGTAGTTACATACAATGAGAAAATTTTTTGCCCTATTGAAAAGAGAAATTTACTCTCTCTTCTGCAGGAACTAAAACACTTCTTTCTTTTCTTAGTAGGTATAGTGTGAAGATGTGGAGTCTGCAACATGGCAGCTACTTTTCAACTCTAATGGATCAGCCGAAATCTTCTGAGCGCCACCAAAGAGAGCCTGAGGATAAAGCAAGCATGCAGACACCTTGGAAGGTCAAGGGTAGGAATAAAGATAAATGATGCTGACTGAATTGCCAGATCTAGTCCTGCCTGAATTTAGACCTACATCTGGATTTTTCACTTACATGAAAGAGTAAATTTCTCCCCTCTTGAAAAGCCAATTGGAGTTGAATTTTCTGTCACTTGCAACCAAAGAATTCCTGATGCTTTTTTTTCTGTTATCCTTGCTATTTCCAACAGTTCTATCTTCTAATTTCATTTTACTCTGAGTCAGATGTAACTGAGTAGTATACGGGTTGATTCTGCCTTGTAGCTACTGTCTTTTTTTCCACACCAGAATAGACTTACAGAATTTATATAAATTGAATTAGTTTTCAACATTTAAAAATTGAAAAGAAGTTCCAAAAATATGTAGTTTTTTTTAGCAATGGGCCTAGAGTTGCAATAATTAGCTAGAGCTAAATAGCCATGACTATATGAAGATGAGTCATAGTGGCTCCAGTTTTCCACAGTCCCTATACCTCTATGGCCTTATACTAGGCACATGTCCTTTGCTTTCCTGTCTGGTATTCCTGAGTTTCGAGTGTGTGATCTCTGATGTCCAACCTGGTAGATAATGGGGATGGAGAAGAAGAGAGTGTCTAGGCTTATTTCACTGAGGAACGACAGAATGATGATTCCTAGAGGGTATCTTTATTACTTTATACTAATCTCTATTTATCTTTATCAAAGTATTTAGTGAATTGCCATTCCAACAGGGAGTATTTAAACATTTTTGGAAAAATAAGAATTACTTTTTCAAAAACTGAACTACAAAGGCAGTTAAAATAAGGCTTAAAGTTATTTTCTTCCGCTTAATTTGGTAAATTATATTTGCAAAAGCCCAATCTCATAATTGAATGCTACTTGAATGAATGTGCTAATGGTGACATAAACATTTTTAAATTAAAAAAGATCTAAAAATATCACTTAGATCAGTTCTTACCTTTAGCACATTCTACTTTATATAAATCCAGCTTGACTAAGTCTAAATGACACTCAGTGGCACACTTTAGTTCTTTGTAAAAGATTGCACTAACAAGCATATGTGACTGTAAGATGTTATCAGCTCCTCCACGTAAGAGAATGAAATCAGTCCAAGGCCAGTGATGTGTCAGGAAGGATTGTTTCTCCTTTCTAAGTCAAAGGGAACATGGATATTTTCCAAAGGAGTCTGAATTTTGTCCTTGTAAGTGACCAGGCACCCTGACTTCTAGTAGAATACAACTGGTAGCTATAAGGAGTAGCATTATACAAATCAGAGTGTTCCTTTTTAAAATAAAAATCTATGAAACTCAAAAGTTTGTTGTGCTATGATATAGGCATTTGAATAGTATGTAGATCTAGTAGGCACTTTTAACATATACACCTCTAACATTAAATGTGAACATGTGCTTTAATAAACATTCTATAAATATTTCATAAATGTCATTCATATATTATTTTCTTAGAAGAAAGGTATGTATTTATTTACTTGTGTTAATATTCAAGTTAATGACCCATAAAATCTGTTTAGTGTTCAAAATCTAATCTTTTCATTGGTGACTTTGAATATGGAGTTGGGAATGACAAAGGAGGAAAAGAGATATCAGCGTTTACTGAATCATGATAGGAGCTACCAATAGTGAGTAATTGCTATGTGCCAGACATAGTTTTGAAAACTCTATATACATTTCTCACATGTATATATTTTCATATATATATATATACATATATATATATTTTTTTCATGGAGTCTTCACAACACATCCTTTTTATTCTCATTTTACTTGTCCAAGGCCTCTGCAGGGTTTGAAATGTTCTCTTGTTGTAGGGGCAGGTGGTCATAGGGATCCTGGCCCAGGAAGAAATAGGGGGATATTTATGAGGAGAGTGCCAGTAGGAGATGTATTGCTGTGCTAGGATATTCTGTATGATATGTTACTTTCTCTAGCGTTTTATTTTGATTATCCCTTTAGTTAGGTGTTACGCAAATATTTCAGGCCAGGTGACCTTGTTGTCTTTTTGCAAATTAGAAAAAGGCTCTGCTCTGTGCAGGCAGTGCTTGGCCAGGGGAACATGAGCTGCATTTCCACCAACACGCCTTGTAACTCACTTTATCCAGATCCCTTGTTCATAACACAACCTGTAGCACCATTTCCTGTGTCTCTGACTGAGAAAAAATAAGTGAAAATGAGAATAATGTAACAAAGTTAAAGCAGCAGCTTCTGAGGTCATTACAGTAGCAGCAAAATGATCTCTTGTGGCATTCAAGAGGAAGCTGAGTCACAGGGTCAGCCTATGGTCCAGTAACCCCTTTTGCACGTAGAAACTGTTTGTCAGTTGGGAGATTTGGGAATTCTGATTTTATTTTTATTAAGGAAGTCACAAAGGTAATTTTAGTTAAGGAGACTGTCTTTTAGAAGATAAGGACCTCAAATAAACTTAGAGAAATAAAGAGCATTAATTTTTCAAAAAAGCAAAGAATATGTGAACTAAAAACTTGAAAATCACACTGATCTATTTGGAAGGCTTCCTAGAGAAGAGCTGATGAGGGAAGTCAAAGAAGAAATCTTTTCCTTACATTTCAAGGCAGGCGTTACATTTACAAGGAGTGTAAAGAGCTAAAGTGGTATGATGAGTGTTAGCGAGTTTTGAACAGATGCATTAAAGATATATGGAAGTGGTAAACTGGGTAAGCATACTGGGACAAAAAAGATATTAAGTGATATGGGAGCTCTGAATACAAAGTGCTTTAAAAAATCTTTATGCTGGAAATACAAAGGAGTGATGTCAGCAAGATGGCAGAATAGGATTTTCCAGCACTTATTCCCTTGCAGAACCATCAATTTGAAAACTATCTACAAGTGACAATACTACATAAGAGCTAAGGAATCCAGGTGAGAGATTATAGCATGTGAGTATGGCACAGAAATAAGAAAAGATACCTTGAAGACGGTAGGAAGGACAGTGTCACATTACTTGCTTCACCCTATCCCAAAGCCCAGGCAGCACAGGACAAAGAGAGACTCTGCTTGGAGTAAGCAAAGGGAAGTGAGCACCTGACTTTGCAATGGACACCAGCACTAGTGGAACCCAGCATGAGACACCCCTTCCAGTGGAACCCAGCATGAGGTCAGCACCTATAGCTATTGGCTCCAGGTTGGCCCTGCAGCTCCAGGGTTCAGGCCTGCCCTAGGGCTACGCCAGCTCCATAGCCCCAGGCTTCAGGCCTGTCCCAGCTCCCGCCCCCACAGTCCAGACTCTGGTCTGGCACCTGCAGCCCTAGGCTTCAGGGCCACCCCAATGCCAGACCAATACCTGAGGCCCCAGGGTCCAGATCAGCCCCCAGGGACCTAGTCTCCAGGCTAGAATCTGCAGAATCAGTCTCCAGGCTAGAACCTGAAGAGCAAGCCTCCAGGAAAGCCTCTGTGACACCAGGCATCAGGTTAGCACCCATGAACTCAAACTGCAGACCAGCCTTTATGGACCCTGGCTCTAGGCATGCCTTAGTACCAGACCCAAGCTTCAAGCCAGTCCCCATGAAACTAGGCTCTAGGATACCCAAGGTACAGATCTACTGCAGTAGAACAGATTTCATGCCTTCCCCAGTTTATCTCAGCACTGGGCTGGCCCCTGTTGACCTAGGCTCCAGAACTGCCCTGAGTATCCAGGCTCAAGGACAGCTTCTGCAGACTCAGGAGCCAGGCATGCCCTCATGGAGTGAGGCAACAGGCCCACCCCATTACTGGGCTAGCTCCCATGTTCTCAGGCTAAAGATCCACCTCAGCACCAGGCTGGTACCCATGGACCCAGACTCCAGTTCAGTTACCACAAACACAAGCTCCAGACCCATCCCCAGGGACCCAGGCCTCAAGCCCAGCCCCATGGACCCAGTCAACAGGTCCACCCCAGTGAACTCCAAAACCAGGCTGGCCCCCATAAACCCAGGATCCTGGCCCACCCTAGTAGACCCTAAAATCCAGGCTCATTCCAGTGGACCTAGTCTCTATGCCAGGCCCCATGAATCCAGGCTCCTGGCCAGGCACATTGGACCCAAGTATCAAGTCTGCCCACCTGCTGATCTAAGCACCCACCCAGATTGTCCGTGAACTCCAGTGTCAAGCCTTTCCATGAACCCAGGCAGATGACCTGCCCAGAATATGGACTGGCTGACTGGTAAAGAACTTTCTCTACCAAAGCCAGTCTATAAAGACTGGAAATGGTGCTTACTTCTTCAAATGCACACATACCAATGCAGGGCCACATGATCCCATGGGAAGGAAATGTGACACCACCAAAGGAATAAAATAAAGCAGTAGTAACTGATCCTAAAGAAACAGAGATTTACAAACTGCTGGACAAAAATTAAAAACAATAATCATAAAAATGCCCAGTGAGCTACAAGAGATACTGATCAGCAACTAAACAAAATCATGAAAACAATATACAAACAAAATTAGAAGCTCAATAAATACAGAAACCATACAAAAGAACTACACAGAAATTCTGAAGCTAAATAACATAATGACTATACTGAGAAATTTCATAGAAAGCTTAAGTAGCAAACTCAATCAAGCAGAAGAAAGAATTGATGAGCTTGAAGACAGATCATTTGAAGTTACCTGGTCAGAGGAACAAAAAGAAAACAGAAGGAAAAAGAGTAACGAAAGTCTACAGGAATTACGAGACACCATTAAGTGAACTAATATACGTATTATGGGAGCAAGCCAATACGTGGATTATTGGCATAGAGTTTATTTAAAGAAATTATGACATCTTGGCAGCTTTTCTGACCAAATAATAAGAAGAACAACAACAATAATAACAGAAAACTCCCTAAATCAGAAAGGGAAATGAACATCCACATCGACAAAGCCCGAACACTGTCAAATGGATTAAAAATAAGAAGATATACACCAAGACATATTATAATCATATTATCAAAAGTCAAAAACAGAGAGTTTTGAAAACAGCAAGAAAAAAAGCAACTTGCCACATATAAAGCCATGTTTGTAAGTCTACCAGTGGATTTCTCATTAGAAACTTTGCAGGCAAGATGAGAGTGGGATAATATATTTTAAATGTTGAAAGAAAAGTCTGCCAACTAAGAATACCATACATGGTAAGTCTGTCTTTCAAAGATAATAGAGAGATAAGGGCTTTTCCAGGCAAATAAAAGCTGAAGGAGTTCATTACCACTAGACCTGCCTTAAAAAAGAGAATTCTACAAGTTGAAATGAAAGAACACTAACTAATAGCTTAAAAACATGTGAAAATATGCTGTAATGATGAGAATACAGCCAAATTCTGAATACTCAAATACCATAATGGCTGTGCATAAATCACTTTTAACTCTAGTATAAAGGTCAAAACACAAAAGTGTTACAAATGAATATAGCTAAAATAATTTATTAATGGATGCATGATATGTAAAAAACAGAAACTGTGATATCAATAATATAAAGTATGGGGAAAGAAGAAGTTAAAATGTAGTGTTTTTGTATGCTATTAAAATTAAGTTTTATCAGGCTAAAATATACTGCTATAAGAATTTTATTTTGTAAATTTCATGGTAACCCCAAAGCAAAAACCAGTAGTAAATACACAAAGATAAAAAGAAATAAAAGAGAGGACCAGTTCCAAGATGGCCGAATAGGAACATCTCCAGTCTGCAGCTCCCAGCATGATCGACACAGAAGATGGGTGATTTCTGCATTTCCAACTAAGGTACCTGGTTAATCTCACTGGGACTGGTTGGACAGTGGGTGCAGCCCACGGAGGGTGAGCTGAAGCAAAGTGGGGCATTGCCTCATCCAGGAAGCACAAAAGGGTGGGGGATTTCCCTTTCCTAGCCAAGGGAAGCTGTGACAGACTGTAACTGGACAATAGGGACACTGCCACCCAAATACTGTGCTTTTCCAATGGTCTTAGCAAATGGCACACCAGGAGATTATATCTCGTGCCTGGCTCAGTGGGTCCCACGTCCTCAGAGTCTGGCTCACTGCTAGTGCAGCAGTCTGAGATTGAGCTGCCATTTGGCAGCGTGGCTGGGGGAGGGGCATCCGCCATTGCTGAGGCTTGAGTAGGTAAACAAAGCAGCCAGGAAGCTCGAACTGGGTGGAGCCCACTGCAGCTCAAGGAGGCCTGCCTGCCTCTGTAGACTCCACCTCTGGGGGTAGGGCATAGCTGAACAAAAGGCAGCAGAAACTTCTGCAGACTTAAACATCCCTGTCTGACAGCTTTGAAGAGAGCAGTGGTTCTCCCAGCACAGTGTTTGAGCTCTGAGAACGGACAGACTGCCTCCTCAAGTGGGTCCCTGACACCTGTGTAGCCTAACTGGGAGACACCTCCCAGTAGGGGCCAACTGAAACCTCATATAGCTGTGTGCCCCTCTGAGACGAAGCATCCAGAGGAAGGAACAGGCAGCAATATTTGCTGTTCTGCAATATTTGTTGTTCTGCAGCCTCTGCTGGTGGTACCCAGGAAAACAGGGTCTGGAGTGGACCTCCAGCAAACTCCAACAGATTTGCAGCTGAGGGACCTGACAGTTAGAAGGAAAACTAACAAACAGAAAGGAATAGCATCAACGTTAACAAAAAGGACATCCACACCAAAATCCCATCTGTAGGTCACCATCATCAAAGACCAAAGGTAGATGATACCACAAAGGTGGGGAGAAACTAGAGCAGAAGAGCTGAAAATTCTAAAAATCAGAGCACCTATTCTCCTCCAAAGGATCACAGCTCTGCCCCAGCAACAGAACAAAACTGGATGGAAAATGACTTTGAAGAGTTGACAGAAGTAGGCTTCAGAAGGTCAGTAATAACAAACTTCTCCGAGCTAAAGGAGGATGTTCGAACCCATCACAAGGAAGCTAAAAACCTTGAAAAAAGATTAGATGAATGGTTAACTAGAATACACAGTGTAGAGAAGACCATAAATGACCTGATGGAGCTGGAAATCATGGCACAAGAACTACGTGATGCATGCACAAGCTTCAGTAGCCAATTCGATCAACTGGAAGAAAGGGTATAAGTGATTGAAGATCAAATTAATGAAATGAAGTGAAAAGAGAAGTTTAGGGAAAAAAGAGTAAAAAGAAACAAACAAAGCCTCCAAGAAATATAGAACTATGTGAAAAGACCAAATCTACATTGGATTGGTGTACCTGAAAGTCACGGGGAGAATGAAACCAAGCAGGAAAACACTCTTCAGAATATTATCCAGGAGAACTTCCCCAACCTAGCAAGGCAGGCCAACATTCAAATTCAGGAAATACAGAGAATGCCACAAAGATACTCCTTGAGAATAGCAACCCCAAGACACATAATTGTCAGATTCACCAAAGTTGAAATGAAGGAAAAAATGTTAAGGGCAGCCAGACTGAAAGGTTGGGTTACCCACAAAGGGAAGCCCATCAGACTAATAGCAGATCTGTCAGCAGAAACTCTACAAGCCAGAAGACAGTGGGGGCTAATATTCAACATTCTTAAAGAAAAGAATTTTCAACCCAGAATTTCATACCCAGCCAAACTAAGCTTCATAAGTGAAGGAGAAATAAAATTCTTTGCAGACAAGCAAATGCTGAGAGATTTTGTCACTACCAGGCCTGCCATACAAGAGCTCCTGAAGAAAGCACCAAACATAGAAAGAAACAACCAGTACCAGCCACTGCAAAAACATGCCAAATTGTAAAGACCATTGATGCTAGGAAGAAACTGCATCAACTAATGAGCAAAATAACCAGCTAACATCATAATGACAGGATCTAATTCACACGTAACAATATTAACCTTAAATGTAAATGGACTAAATGCCCCAATTAAAAGACATAGACTGGCAAATTGGATAAAGTGTCAAGACCCATCAGTGTGCTGTATTCAGGAGACCCATCTCACGTATAGAGACACACATAGGCTCAAAATAAAGGGATGGAGGAAGATATACCAAGCAAATGGAAAACAAAAAAAAGCAGGGGTGGCAAGCCTAGTCTCTGATAAAACAGACTTTAAACCAACAAAGATCAAAAGAGGCAAAGAAGGCCATTACATAATGGTAAATGGAGCAATTCAACAAGAAGAGCTAACTATCCTAAACATGTATGCACCCAATACAGGAGCACCCAGATTCATAAAGCAAATCCATAGAGACTTACAAAGAGACCTACAAAGAGACTTAGGCTCCCACACAATAATAATGGGAGACTTTAACAACCCACTGTCAATATTAGACAGATCAACGAGACAGAAGGTTAAAAAGATATCTAGGACTTGAACTCAGCTCTGCACCAAGCAGACCTAATAGATATCTACAGAACTCCACCCCAAATCAACAAAATATATATTCTTGTCAGCACCACATCACACTTATTCTAAAATTGACCACATAGTTGGAAGTAAAGCACTCCGCAGCAAATGTAAAAGAACAGAAATCACAACAAACTGCCTCTCAAACCACAGTGCAATCAAACTGGAACTCAGGATTAAGAAACGCACTCAAAACCGCACAACTACATGGAAACTGAACAACCTGCTCAATGACTGAATGACCACTGGGTAAATAATGAAATGAAGGCAGAAATAAAGATGTTCTTTGAAACCAATGAGAACAAAGACACAACGTACCAGAATCTCTGGGACACATTTAAAGCAGTGTGTAGAGGGAAATTTATAGCACTAAATGCCCACAAGAGAAAGCAGGAAAGATCTAAAATCGACACCCTAACATCACAATTAAAAGAACTAGAGAAGAAAGAGCAACAAATTCAAGAGCTAGCAGAAGGCAAGAAATAACTAAGATCAGAGCAGAACTGAAGGAGATAGAGACACAAAAAACCCTTCAAAAAATCAATGAATCCAGGAGGTGGTTTTTGGAAAAGATTAACAAAATTGATAGATCATGAGCAAGACTAAGAAAAGAGAGAAGAATCAAATAGATGCAATAAAAAATGATAAAGGGTATATCACCACTGATCGCACAGAAATACAAACTACCATGAGAGAATACTATAAACACCTCTACACAAATAAACTAGAAAATCTAGAAGAAATGGATAAATTCCTGGACACATACACCCTCCCAAGACTAAACCAGGAAGGAGCTGAATCCCTGAAAAGACCAATAACAGGCTCTGAAATTGAGGCAGCAATTAATAGCCTACCAACCAAAAAAAAGTGCAGGACCAGACAGATTCACAGTCAAATTCTACCATAGGTAAAAAGAGGAGCTGGAACCATTCCTTCTGAAACTATTCCAATAAATAGAAAAAGAGGGAATCCTCCCTAACTCATTTTATGAGGCCAGGATCATCCTGATACCAAAGCCTGGCAGAGACACAACAAAAAAAGAGAATTTTAGACCAATATCCCTGATGAACATCAATGCAAAAATCCTCAATAAAATACTGGCAAAACAAAGCCAGCAGTACATCAAAAAGCTTATTATCCACCATGATCAAGTGGGCTTCATCCCTGGGATGCAAGTCTGGTTCAACATACACAAATCAATAAATGTAATCCATCCCATAAACAGAACCAATGACAAAAAACACATGATTATCTCAATAACTGCAGAAAAGGCCTTCGACAATATTCAAAAGCGCTTCATGCTAAAAACTCTCAATAAACTGGGGATCGATGGGACATATCTCAAAATAATGAGAACCCACAGCCAATATCATATTGAATGGGCAAAAACTGGAAGCATTCCCTTTGAAAACTTGAACAAGACAGGGATTCCCTCTCTCACCACTCCTCTTCAACATAGTGTTGGAAGTTCTGGCCAAGGCAATCAGGCAAGAGAAACAAATAAAGGGTATTCAATTAGGAAAAGAAGAAGTCAAATCGTCCCTGTTTGCAGATGACATGATTGTATATTTAGGAAACCCCATCGTCTCAGCCCAAAATCTCTTTCAGCCAATAAGCAACTTCAGCAAAGTCTCAGGATACAAAATCAATGTGCAAAAAATCACAGGCATTTCTATACACCAATAACAGACAAACAGAGAGCCAAATCATGAGTGAACTCCCATTCACAAATGCTACAAAGAGAATAAAATACCTAGAAATAAAACTTACAAGGGATGGGAAGGACCTCTTCAAGGAGAACTACAAACCACTGCTCAACAAAATAAAAGAGGACACAAACAAATCGAAGAACATTCCATGCTCATGGATAGGAAGAATCAATATTGTGAAAATGGCCATATTGCCCAAGGTAATTTATAGATTCAATGCCATCCCCATCAAGCTACCAATGACTTTATTCACAGAATTGGAAAAAACTACTTTAAAGTTCATATGGAACCAAAAAAGAGCTCTCATTGCCAAGATAATCCTAAGCAAAAAGAACGAAGCTGGAGGCATCACGCTACCTGACTTCAAACCATACTACAAGGCTACAGTAACCAAAACAGCATGGTACTGGTACCAAAACAGAGATATAGACCAATGGAACAGAACAGAGCCCTCAGAAATAATGCCACATATCTACAACTATCTGATCTTTGACAAACCTGACAAAAACAAGAAATGGGGAAAGGGTTCCCTATTTAACAAATGGTGCTGGGAAAACTGGCTAGCCACATGTAGAAAGCTGAAACTGGATCCCTTCCTTACACCTTATACAAAAATTAATTCAAGATGGATTAAAGACTTACATGTTAGACCTAAAACCATAAATCCCTAGAAGAAAACCTAGGCAGTACCATTGAGGACATAGGCATGGGCAAGGACTTCATGACTAAAACACCAAAAGCAATGGCAACAAAAGCCAAAATTGACAAATGGGATCTAATTAAACTAAAGAGCTTCTGCACAGCAAAAGAAACTACCATCAGAGTGAACAGGCAACCTACAGAATGAGAGAAAGTTTTTGCAATCTACCCATCTGACAAAGGGCTAATATCCAGTATCTACAAGGAACTGAAACAAATTTACAAGAAAAAAAATCAAACAACCCCACCAAAAAGTGGGCAAAGGATATGAACAGACACTTTTCAAAAGAAGACATTATTGCAGCCAACAGACACAGAAAAAATGCTCATCATCACTGGTCATTAGAGAAATGCAAATCAAAACCACAATGAGATACCATCTCATACCAGTTAGAATGGTGATCATTAAAAAGTCAGGAAACAAAAGGTGCTGGAGAGGATGTGGAGAAATAGGAATGCTTTTACACTATTGGTGGGACCATAAACTAGTTCAACCATTGTGGAAGACAGTATGGCGATTCCTTAAGGATCTAGAACTAGAAATACCATTTGACCCAGCCATCCCATTTCTGGGTATATACCCAAAGGATTATAAATCATGCTGCTATAAAGACACATGCACACGTATGTTTATTGCAGCGCTATTCACAATAGCAAAGACTTGGAACCAACTCAAATGCCCATCAATGATAGACTGGATTAAGAAAATGTGGCACATATACACCATGGAATACTATGCAGCCATAAAAAATGATGAGTTCATGTCCTTTGTAGGGACATGGGTGAAGCCGGAAACCATCATTCTGAGCAAACTATTGCAAGGACAGAAAATCAAACATTGCATATTCTCACTCATAGGTGGGAATTGAACAATGAGAACACCTGGACACAGGAAGGGGAACATCACACAGTGGAGCCTGTCATGGGGTGGGGGGATGGGGGAGGGATAGCATTAGGATAGATACCTAAAGTAAATGATGAGTTAATGGGTGCAGCAAATCAACATGGCACATGTATACATATGTAACAAACTTGCAGGTTGTTCACATGTACTCTAGAACTTCAAGTATAATAATAAAAAAATAAAAGAATAGCTTTACAGAAAATCATCAAATCACAAAAGACAGTAAAAGTGTAATAAAGAAATAGAAAAACCACAAAACAAAAAATTAATTTAAATGAGAGTAGTCCTTTCCTACTTATAATTACTTTAAAGTAAATGGGCTAAATTCTCTAATCAAAAGCCATATAGCAGAAGAATAGATAAAATCAGACAAATGAAAACACTATATACTACTTAAGGAGACTTACTTTCACTTTAAGAATACACACATGGGCATGGTGGCTCATGCCTGTAATCCCAGGACTTTGGGAGACCAAGGGGTGTGGATTGCTTGAGCCCAGGAGTTCAAGTCCAGGCTGGGCAACATGACAATACCCTGTCTCAACAAAACAAAAACAAACAAGAATACAAAATTAGCTGGGTGTGGTGCTGCATGTCTGTAGTCCCAACTACTCAGGAGGCTGAGGTGGGAGGATCACTTGAGTCCAGGAGGTTGAGGGTGCAGTGAGTCGTGACTGCATCATTGCCCTCCAGCCTGGATGACAGAGGGAGACTCTGTCAAAAAAAGAAAGAAAGAAGGAAATACAGAAAAAGGGGAAGAGAGGGAGAGAAAGGAAAGAAAGAAAGAAAAAGGAAGGAAGGAAGGAAGGAAGGAAGGAAGGAAGGAAGGAAGGAAGGAAGGAAGGAAAAGAATACATACAGGCTGAAAGTGAAGGAATGAAAACAGCTATTCCATGCAAATGGTAACCAAAATACAGCAAGAGTGATTACACTTATCAGATAAAATAGAATTTAAGTAAAAAACTATCACAAGAGACAAAGAAACTTATTATATAATAATAGAGGAGTGAATACATTAAGAGAATATAACAATAAAAATATATATGCACCCAACATTAGAACACCTAAATATATAAAGGAAAAATACATAAGATAACGGAAGAGAGAAATAGATAGCAGTAGAATAATAGCAGGGGACTTTAATGTCCTACTTTCATTAATGGCAATATCATCCTGACAGAAAATCAATAAGGAAACAGTAGAATTAAACAACAGTGTAGACCAAATGGATGTAATAGACATATGCAGAACATTCCACCCAAAATCAGCAGAACACACATTTTTGTTTCAAGTGCACATGGAACATTCTTCAGAATAGACCATGTGTTAGACCACAAAACAAATCTTAACAAATTTAAGAAGACTGAAATCATAGTAAGTATATTCTCAAATCACAGTAGTATAAAACTAGAAATAAACAACAGAAGAAATTTCAGAAAATTTACACACGTGTGGAAATTAAACAACATACTCTTGAACAACCAGTTGGTCAAATAAGAAATCAAAAGGGAAATAAAAAATATTTTGAGACAAATAGAGATGGAAAGACAGCATATAAAAAGTTATGAGATGCAGCAGAAACAGTTATAAGAGGGCAGTTTACAATGATAAATGCCTACATTAAGAAAGAAAGATCTCAAATGAACAAACTCTATACCTCAAGGAACTAGAAAAAAGCAGAATGTATCAAGCTCATGGTCAGCAAAAGGAAGAAAATGACAATGAGCACAGCAGAAGTAAATGAAACAGAGACTGGAAAAGCAATAGAAAAAAATTAATAACCAAAAATTGCTTTATTTAAAAGATAAACAATATTGACAAACCTTTAGCTAGACTAAGAAAAAAGAGAGAAGACTCAAATAAAAGAATTTTAAATAAAAAAGGAGAAATCACAGCTGATAGCACAGAAATATAAAAGATAAGAGACTAAGTGGACAATTATAAGCCAACAAAAAATGGATAACTTAAAAGAAGTACAGAAATTCCTAAAAATGTACAGCCTACTAAGATTGAATCATGAAGAAATAGAAAATCTGAACCGATAAATCAGGAGGCTGAATCAATAGCCAAAACCTTCCAACAAAAAAAAAGCTCAGAACATGAAGCCTTCACTGGTGAATTCTACCAGATATTTAAAGAAACATTAATGCCAATCCTTTTCAAACTCTTGAAAAATTGAAAAGAAGGCAACACTTCAGAATTCATTTTACAAGTTCAGCATTATCCTGATAAGGATTATGTCTGATCCAAAGACAGACAAACACTCCACAAGAAGAGAAATGTATAAGCCAATATCCCTGATGAACACAGATGCGACAATCCTCAACAAAATTAGCAAACTGAATTCAACAGCATACTAAAAGGATCAGAACTAGGCGTAGTGGTACGTGCCTATATCCCAGCTACTCAGGGAGGCTGAGCAGGAGGATCAATTGAGCCCAGGAGTCCAAGTCAAGCCTTGGCAACATAGCAAATTTCCATCTCTAAAACAATAATTAAATAAACAAACAAATAAAAATAATAGTATCATACCCCATTATAAAATAAGTTTTATCCCTGGGATGCCAGGATGATTCAACACATGCAAATCAATAACACGGTACAGCACATTAACAAAATAAAGGATAAAATTAGATGATCATCTAAACAGATGCAGTAAAAGCATTTGACAAAATTAACATTTCATAATAAATATCTCAATAAAATATGTATAGAAAGAATGTACCTCAACATAAATAAAGTCCATATATGACAATCTCACAGCTAACATCATACTCAATGTGAAAAGCTGAAAGCTTTTCCTCGAAAATCTGGAACAAGACAAGGATACCCACTCTCATCATTTCTTTTCTGAAGAATGAAAACTACTTCTACTTCTAGTACTAGAAGTCCTAGCCAAAGCAATTAATCAAGACAAATATATTAAAATGCTTTCAAATTGAAATGGAAGTAGTAAAATGATCTCTGTTTACAGATGACAGACATACATAGAAAACCTTAAAGACTTCACCAAAAAACAGTAATAATTAATAAACAAATTCACTAAAATTGCAGGATACAAAATTAACATATAAAAATTAGTGGCGTTTCTATATAACAATAAACTATCCAAAACAAAGAAATCAAAAAAATCTCACAACATCATGAAAAAATGCATAGAAATAAATTTAACCCAGAAGGTGAAATACCTGAACACTGAAAACTATAAAACATTGCTGAAAAAAATTGAAGAGGACACAAACACATGGAATAATAGTCCATGTTCATGGACCGGAAGAATTAATATTGTCAACACATTCATACTACACAAGCTATCTACACATTCAAGCAACTTCTATCAAAAACCAAATGATGTTTATCATAGAAATAGAAAAAAATTCATAAAATTTGTAGAGAATCATAAGAAATATTGAATTGCTGAAGCAATCTTGAGCAAAAAGAACAACACTAAAGGCATCAAACTCCCTGATTTCAAAGTATACTACAAAGCTATAGTAATTAAACCAGCATGGTACTGGCATAAAAACAGACACATAGAGCAATAGAACAGAATAGAGAGCCCAGGCATAAATCCACATATATACAGTCAAGTGATCTTCCAAAATGATACCAAGAATACACATACACAATGGGGAAAGAATTGTCTCTTCAGTAAATGATGACGAGAAAACAGCATATACACAACCATAATAATGAAACTGGATCCTGATCTCACATCACAAATAAATAAACTCAAAATGGATTAAAATACTTAAATGTAAGACCTGAAACTGAAACCTCAATAATTAGGTTTTTGGGAACACTAAAATAGAACATAGGAAAAAGGCTTTTTGACAGTGGTTTGAGCAATAATTTTTCTAGTATTAACCCAAAAAGGTCAGGCAACAAAAGCAAAAATAGACAAATAGAATTACATCAAACTAAAAAGCTTATGCATAGGGAAGGACACAATAGATTGAAGACACAACTTATGAAATGGGAGAAAACATTTGCAAACCACACATCTGATAAAAGAGTAATATCCAAATATATAAAGAACTCAACTTAATAGCAAGAAAACACTTTAATTAAAAATGGGTAAAGAATATCAATAGACATTTGTCAAAAGAAATGGCCAACAGGTAAATGAAAAAAAAATGCTCAACATCACTAACCATCAGTAAAATGCAAACTAAAACCAAAATGATTGGGAGGCCGAGGCGGGTGGATCACCTGAGGTTGGGAGTTTGAGATCAGCCTGACCAATATGGTGAAACCCCGTCTCTACTAAAAATGCAAAAATTAGCCGGGCATGGTGGCACATGCCTGTAATCCCAGCTGCTTAGGATGATGAGACAGGAGAATCACTTGAACCTGGGAGGCGGAGGTTGCCGTGAGCCGAGATCGTGCCATTGCACTCCAGCCTGGGCAACAACAGCGAAACTCCGTCTCAAAAACAAAACAAAACAAAAAAACCTCAAATGAATATCACTTCACTCCTTTTAGAATAGTTATTATCAAAATGACAAACTATAACAAGTGTTGGTGAGGATATGGAGAAAAGAGAGCCCTTATACACTGTCAGTGGGAAGGTAAATTAGTATGGCCATTATGGAAAACAGTACGAAGACTCCTCAAAAAATTAAACATAGAACTACTATATGATCCAGCAATCCCACCTCTGGGTATATATATTTAAAAACTTAAATCAGCATGTTAAAGAGATATCTGCACTCTCATGTTCACTGCAACATTATTCACAAAGGCCAAAATATGGAATCCACCTAAATGTCCATAAGTGGATAAATAGATAAGGAAAATGTCATGTATATACAGTTGCCCCTTGAACAACATGGTTTGAATGCATAGGTTAACTTTTTTTTTTTTTTGCTATTTTTTTTATTCATTATTATTATACTTTAAGTTTTAGGGTACATGTGCACGGGTTAACTTATACATGGATTTCCTTTTCATACTGCAACCTCTGAGACAGCAAGACTAACCACTCCTCTTCCTCCTCCCTCTCAGTCTACTCAATGTGAAGATGATGGGCATGAAGATCTTTATGATGACTTACTTCCACTTAAAAGAATAGTAAATTTATTTTCTCTTCCTTATGACCTTCTTAATAACATTTTCTTTACCCTAGCTTACTTTATTGTAAGACTACAGTATACAATACAAACAACACATAACATATATGTTAATCAACTGTTTATGTTGTCAGAAAGGCTTCCAGTCAACAGTAGGATATTAATAGTTAGGTTTTTAGGCAGTTAAAATTTATATGCAAATTTTTTATTACGTGTCAGCGCCCCAACACCTACATTGTTCAAGGACCAATGGTATTCACAATGAAATACTATTCGGTCTTAAAATCTTATCATTTGTGACATTATGAATGAACATGTAGGACATTATGTTAAGTGAAATAAGGCACGCCCAGAAAGGGAAATTCTGCATGATTTCACCTCCATGTGGGACCTAAAAAAGTCAAAATCGTAGAAGCAGAGTAAAATGGTGGTTATCAGAAGCTGAGGGGTGCATGGGGAGGGAGACGTTGGGGAAGGAGAGATGTTGGTTAAAAGGTACAAAATTTCAGTTACACAGGTTGGATAACTTCTAGAGATTTATTGTGTAACATGGTGACTATAATTCATAATAATGACTTGTATACTTGAAATTTGTTTATACAGTAGGTTTTAAATATTCTCACCATAACAAATAAGTATATGATGTGATAGAGATATTAATTAGTTCAATATAATCTTTTCACAAAATATATAAATATCAAAACATCAAGTTGTACATCATAATGTGCTTTATGAGTCTCATCTTGATTACCTGCTATTTGATCTTTACCAAGTCATTTGGTCTCTCTTAAATTCTGTTTATTATCCTATAAAAGGATGTTAAGGATTAATATAAGTATAATAATAATACCTACTTCAAATGGTTCTTTTGTTGATTAAACCAAGTGATATATGTCGAAGTTCTTTGTAACCTGTGATGCATGATAAACCATCAAGTGGTATATCTATTTAAAATTTATCATGTGTTTAAGCAGTCTCTGGCCATAAGGTTGTCAATTGCCAACTCTCCCACACATCCTGGATTCACCAGAATAATATGTTGATAGAGCAAAGTTGGGTTATTACTAACTGCTATTATTATCTTATTGTATTCTTACTGTTAGAAACAATATCCCTTTAGTAGTCTTAATAGTGTTTCTGAAGGAAAAAAATCAAGGGTACATATTGATATGATTGTGGGGGTGGGGTTCTAGTAATTTAATCCTGGTCTTGCTTGCAATGTAGGGATCTGTTCAAGAGTGGGAGAAGCTGTAATCCCAGGACTTCGGGAGGCCAAGGCGGGTGGATCACCTGAGGTCAGTAGCTTGAGACCAGCCTGGCCAACATGGTGAAACCCCATCTCTACTAAAAATACAAAAAATTAGCTGGGCGTGGTGGTGGACGCCTGTAGTCCCAGCTATTTGGGAGGCTGAGGCAGCAGAATCACTTGAACCTGGGAGGCAGAAGCTGCAGTGAGCTGAGATGGTGCCACTGCAGTCCAGCCTGGGCAACAAGAGCAAAACTCCATCTCTCTCTCTCTCTCTCTCTCTCTCTCTCTCTCTCACACACACACAAAAAAAAAAGATAAAATAAAAATAAAAATAAAATAAAATAAAAAAATAAAGTGGGAGAAGTTTGCAATATAAGTAATTCTATACTGGTGCTTACAGACAGATGAGGGTCTTGATGTGATTCTTGATAAGTAAACAATTGTTTTAATAGCAAACAGCTTGCCCAGATGAGTAACTTATTGTCTTGAGAAGGGGATCATTGGTTTATTTTCAGGAAGTTGCTGAAGTAAGCAATCAAGTAATTTACTGGCTTATAGGTTTATCTTCCAGAAAAAAAAAGTAGTAAAGTCAGGTTGATGTAGGCCACCTTAGTTCTTAGTTTTGAAATTAAAGCTGTGTAGCTGCATGTAGTCTTACTTTTCAGGGATATATAAAGATATTTGGTGAGAAAGTCTTGTGCTGTAGACCAAACTATGACTTTGGAGTTATAGAGTTCTAGATATAATTCTTAGAAAATTACTAACTTTCTTACAATGTCAGTTTCTTTATTTTTGAAATTTGAGACCAATGTGCCAACATGACAACTGTTAATTTCAGTGTCTTAGTTCATTTTGGGATTCTATAACAAAACATCCAAGGCTGGGTAATTTATAATTAAAATAAATTTATTTCTCACAGTTTTGGATGCTGGGAAGTCCAATATCATGGTGCCAGCATCTGGCAAT
The DNA here is from genome assembly GCF_000001405.40 of Homo sapiens. Classification (NCBI taxonomy): domain Eukaryota; kingdom Metazoa; phylum Chordata; class Mammalia; order Primates; family Hominidae; genus Homo; species Homo sapiens. The sequence continues at coordinate 82,538,077 of NC_000012.12, read as the reverse complement.
CACCTTCTTGCTGTTTTATCCCATGGCAGAACGTGGAAGAGTAAAGAGAGCTTGTGCATATGAGACAAGGTGAAAAGATCAAACTCAAAGCCTCAAGACCTTTTATAATCAGCATCATGTTATTCATGAGGGTGGATCTCCCATGACCTGAGCACCTCAGATTAGGCCCCACCTCTCAATATTGTTACACTGAGGGCTAAATTTTCAACACATGCTTTTGTGGGGAATATTTTCAGACCATAGTATTCTGGTAATTTTTGTCCAGGAAAAGAAGAATGTAAACTAATACATAATTTTACTTCTAGCTTGATAAAATTCTTGGAAACTAATTTTTCTGAGCAAACAGTTTGCTCATTTTGGCCAAGAGCACTTCTTTTGGAACAACAGATTACTCATCTGGGAAACAGTTCACTTACCAGAAAGCTTTACTTATCAAGACTCCTTTAAAATTTTACCTTGCTGTGTCTTCCAATTTTGAATTATTATGTCATGTATTTTCCCAATCCCAATAAGTTTCCTGCCAGGAAAGACTACATTACCCACTTAATCTCAGATTCCAAGCCCTATAAATAACCTTTTCTGACTCCTTCCCTACGCTTTTCAGATGGCACTAAGACCACGTTAAGGTCTTTCTACAGCAAGTCTACTCAATTTACCTTGCTTGATCAACAAGGTTTTATGGAAGTCTTTCTTGAGAGTCAATAACAGACATTTTAAGAAAAGGGAATAGAAATAATTACCTTCCAAGTTGGTTATAAAGTTTAGAATATGTACATATAAAAGTACCAAGCATTGCTTCTGGCATATGGTAGGGACTTCTTGACTGGTACTCATTATTATTATAGGTAAGTTTCAGGAAGATTATATTTCATTGAGAGATCTAGGACTAGCAAAGGTGTCTTTCCCCAAATGCAAAGGTTATATTTATGAAAATCCCTGTGCTAGAATGAAAGGGTTTAAGAATATAGACATTAATAAAAGAAGGGTGCAGTCTTGGGAGATGACATGTGAACATATGAAGGTCCTTAAAAATGCTTATTTACATTGCCAAAATAAAACAAGATAACATATGATACATGTACTAAATTGAGACAGTAATACTTATATTTGTACATTCCAAACAAAATTAATTTCCAATTACCATCCCTAGCTGCCTAGAAGTAAAACCAGATTTTTTTATCTTAGTTTCAGGGAAGTAATATTCACTTTACTTGGCTGGATATAATATGCTATGCAGAATTAGCCAAACTTGAGGTTAAGGGCACAGTCTTTCAGACTGCCAAGTGTACCCAAGATTTCAGACACCAACTGCGAGTCTGGGGGTTTCCCAAAACCACCATCAGTTTTGATAATTCACTAGAATGACTCATAGAATTCAGGAAAGGGCTATACTTATGCTTATGGTTTGATTATAGCAAAAGGATAAAATTAGAACCATCCAAAGGAAAAGATGCATAGAGCAAAATCTGGGACCCCAAGGGCTCCAAACATGAAGCTTCTGTATCCTCAGGGACACAGTACCCTATTGGCATCTGTACATGGCAATATATGCATGAAGTATTGCCACCCAGGCAGCTCACTTGAGCTTCAGTTTCCAGAGTTTTTATTGAGACTTCATTTCATAGGCGTGATTGATTGATTTGCTGCCCACATGGTTGAACTCAAAGTCCACTCCTCTCGAGAGGTCAGGGTAGTATAATGTGACTCAAAGCCCCGACTTCTATTCACATAATGATCTTTCTGGCATGGCCAGCCCCTATCCTGAGTTATCTTGTTAGCATAAACTATCTAGGGGCTCACCCTGAGTCACCTCATTACCATAAACTACAAATCTAGGGGATCCACTGTGAAAAACAAAGACATTCCTATCACTTAAGAATTTCCAGTTCAGATGTTTTCTCCCAAGAGTCAAGTGGAAACAAAGTCTAGCCCTCTCTTAAGGTAAAGTTAATTTATTTACTACTTACATGTGTAATGATAGTATCTATAAATTATTGAACATCTACAACATGGCAAGTACTTTACCTATTATCTCTAATTCTCATTAGAATTGGTATGAAGAATGTTATATATTACATTTTAAGATTAAGAAATAGTGATTTTGCTAAGGCCATAAGCTAGTAAACAGCTGACCTAGAATTAGCACCCTGGTCTGTCTAACTTCAAAGATTATGCTCTTTCTACTATTTTTAGCTTCTTTTTACTGTCAACAGATATGAACAAATACTATATGCTCCACCACTATCCCCACTCAGGCACCTCCTATGACTGTTCACTTATCCAAATGTTCAGTATCTTTTTGATTTTTTAAAAGTAAGAATTTTTAATTACATTCCTCAGATAAGAACTTAGAGTGAGAGTAACATTCTGCAAATTTTTGCAAGTGAGGAAAAATAAATATGTAGTAAAATGTAAGGGATATATATTTTATTGTTCTCCAATTTTAAGAGATAGAAAACATTTCCAATTGCTGGGCGAGGTGTCAGAACCCCGGCATCAGGAAGTGGTCGACTTGCCGGTTCGTAAGAATTTACCGACAACAGTATAGATTTGAAAAAGAAATGTTTAATAGGAAGAAAGAATGCTGCAAAGGGTGAAGTGGCACACCTCAGTTACAACCTCACCAACCTACCCCATAAGGTGGTCCTGCAGAATGAGGATGGGGACAAGGGCAAAGGCAAGGACAAACACCTCTAACTTTATTCCTGAAAAGAAGGAGGGGCAATTTCCTATAGAAAAATCAAAGTGCTGCTATTATAAAAAGGATGAATGTATAACTGATAGAAGAGAAAAGGGGAGAGAGGGAGAGGGAGAGAGAGAGAGAGAGAGAGAGAGAGAGAGGAGAGAGACAGAGAGAGAGAGAAATTCCATACCACCTCATTCACCAAATGGGACAATAACTCAAGCTGAAGCATTGGAGTAAGTGATGTGTTCCTGTACCTCCTCTCCCCTCTTGCATTCCCTTCATATGAAGCTTCCCTTTTTAAATGCTAGATTTCTGCCCCCAAATTTGAAATGATTTCTTTAAGGCAGGAAGCCTAGACCATTTCCCCACTGCTAGCTTGGGAAGTAAAGTCACTTGCCTTCTGCCGCATCTCTTCTTTGTTACTCAGTTTTACAAGCAGAGAGAAGTTGAAACTGCATTCGGTTACACAAGGACAATTAGTGATAGGGGTGTGCATATATACAAATAAGTCAAATAGGGACATTAATTATAATCTCCATGGAAAACTTGTTTAAAAGTCCTCACTTTTATGTACACAGAACAAATCGAAGGGAGGATTTCACGACATTAGGCTAGTGGTAAGTGGAGACACCTACTGAGGTAAATGAAGTTCTAAACCATTAAAATATACCAAAAACTTGAACTGGTTTATCTGATATTTCCACTGTGCTTTATGATACCAAATAGTGTCAACCGTGATAGCACTAAAAAGATAGCATCACACCACCATTCATATTATGTACAATCTAAATAAAAACAGAGTGCTTGCTGTGCAAAATGCAGCTTTAAGACATAGTCCCCCACAAAGATTGTTGGCCTAAGTTCTATATGGTGTACTGATTGCAAAAATATCCTAACTTCCAACCCTTTCTGTATCTACTCACTATGAGATGTGACATTCCAGTTCCTTCCATTAAGATATGGAGTGTGTTTCCCAGCCTTTAACTCTCTCTGGGGTAGCCTATGGCTTGTTTTGAACAAAAGAATATGTCACAAATAAAAGAAATTCAGTTCTGGTCCTAGACCTCAAATGGCCTTGTACACTTATAACTCACGCTCTTGGATTCTCGCCACCACCATGAAAACAAGTCTGGTTAGCCTGTTAAAGGGAAATGAGGAAAACTTGGTGGTGGGCAGAGTTTTCCCTGATGGGGCCATCCTAGATCACTTTACTTGGTTGGATGTAATATGCTATGCAGAAGCATAGCTGACCTTCCATTTGGCTATAGAAGCATAAGTGACGCAGTTGAGATCATCAGAGCCCAGCTCAGAACTTCAGAACCAACCAGTCAATCCGTATACTCATAAGTTCATGTTTATTATTGTATGTTCCACTGAAGTGCTGTGTTTTTTATGCAGCATTATTGTGACAATGGATAACTGATTTGCCCTTCTTCTGTATAACAGCCACTGAGAGGAAGGAATCAGAGACCTCTTCCTGATACGTCTTCCATATATTTATCTTGCAAATATCTACGGGTAAATAAGGAATGAGAATAAATGTATAATACTTGACCATTCTGTTTTCATGAAGCATTACGAGGTCTTAGACCACAACCAGAATTTGCATTCTGGTTGTGTATTTGCACAGGAAAGTGATTACAAAACCACAACCAGAACATAAATTCACTTGATAACCATCAAACTATCACTTCACTTTGTGTTTTCCTAGATCTAGACACTATGTTCAGTAAAAATACAAATACTCACTGGTAGTTATCTTTACAACATACAGCTATGAACAAATTTTTAAAAAGAAGCCTTCGCTAAAAATAATTTGTTTATATGCTAAGTATAAAAATGGCTCCTTTCCAACAGAGGAAATTGCCTAGATGTTATACTTCAGCCAAAAGTATCAGATCAAGCTTGGAAATTACTTTTCCTGAAATCAAGCAACCATATGAAGTACATAATTTGAAATCAGAGTTGAGAATGAACACTTTAAACTTTACAGATGATATTTATTAACACTTATTACATGCTAATGGAATATTCAGAACTTCACAAAAAACCCATGCCCTTATGCCTCATTTTTATAGATCTTGGAGGACTCACCTCCTTTTTTAGATACCTGCTAGAGTAAAAGTTGCTCAACACCTGGGTCTATGGCAGAATCAAATTGCATCCGTACTTATAATTCTTTTCTGGTTATATTTGCACAATTAAATCTCAGCAGAGATTTTTTTTTTATTATACTTTAAGTTCTAGGGTACATGTGCACAACGTGCAGGTTTGTTACATATGTATACATGTGCCATGTTGGTGTGCTGCACCATTAACTCCTCATTTACATTAGGTATATCTCCTAATGCTATCCCTCCCCCCTCCCCCCACCCCATGACAGGCCCCAGTGTGTGACATGCCCCTTCCTGTGTCCAGGTGTTCTCATTGTTCAATTCCCACTTACAAGTGAGAACACGCGTGTTTGGTTTTCTGTCCTTGCGATAGTTTGCTGAGAATGATGGTTTCCAGCCTCATCCATGTCCCTATGAAGGACATGAACTCATCATTTTTTATGGCTGCATAGTATTCCATGGTGTATATGAGCCACGTTTTCTTAATCCAGTCTATCATTGTTGGACATTTGGGTTGGTTCCAAGTCTTTGCTATTGTGAATAGTGCCACAATAAACATACATATGCATGTGTCTTTATAACAGCATGTTTTATAATCCTTTTGGTATATACCCAGTAATGGGATGGCTGGGTCAAATGGTATTTCTAGTTCTAGATCCTTGAGGAATTGCCACACTGTCTTCCACAATGGTTGAACTAGTTTACAGTCCCACCAACAGTGTAAAAGTGTTCCTATTTCCCCACATCCTCTCCAGCACCTGTTGTTTCCTGACTTTTTAATGATCGCCATTCTAACTGGTGTGAGATGGTATCTCATTGTGGTTTTGATTTGCATTTCAACCTAACAATGACTTTCTTCACAGAATTGGAAAAAACCACTTTAAAGTTCATATGGAACAAAAAAAGAGCCTGCATTGCCAAGACAATCCTAAGCCAAAAGAACAAAGCTGGAGGCATCATGCTACCTGACTTCAAACTATACTACAAGGCTACAGTAACCAAAACAGCATGTTACTGGTACCAAAACAGAGATATAGACCAATGGAACAGAACAGAGCCCTCAGAAATAATACCACACATCTACAACCATCTGATCTTTGACAAACCTGACAAAAACAATAAATGGGGAAAGAATTCCCTATTTAATAAATGGTGCTGGGAAAATTGGCTAGCCATATGTAGAAAGCTGAAACTGGATCCCTTCCTTACACCTTATACAAAAATTAATTCAAGATGGATTAAAGACTTAAATGTTAGACCTAAAATGGAGATTTTTAGTCTCTTCCATTCCCAAATCTCCTCTACCTCTATCTTATTCTTAAATAAGTTAATTCCCAAAGCAAATGAATAACCATTCCTCAAGTAAGTGAAAAGAATACACAGTTTCCAAATGCCTTTTACCTGTATACTTTATGGGATGCTATTTTTTTCCCTCTTTACTCAAAAGAATAGCAATTCTTTACCATAGGTTAATACATAATCATTTGAAATCAGATTATATTCTTGATGGGCTGAAATGAAAGAAGTCAGTTTCCTGAATACAAATAAATGGTATTTGTCTCTTTGAATACTGTGATAGGAAGCTTTTTAATTATAGGCTTTTTATTGAAGTTTGGCTTCCTTATCAAATATTTTTTTTCTACCAATTTCATAAAGCAACATGCCCAGAGGACTGAATTTATTAATCTATATTTTGATGGGGAGCTATTTAGTTTTGTCCACTTACTTGTTTTAAAGATGGGAAAGTAGTAGCAAAATACACCCTGTGTCCTAAAACGATGATGAAATTCGGGGGCTACTCCAGGTAAGAAGTGAGAATAAAAGACTGGCGTGCTGAAACATAACATTTAGGCAATTTTATAATAGGGCAATGGATACTTCCAAGAAAAAACTTATAATTGCTCTTTTAAAGGTATAAATATGCTGGGCACGGTGGCTCATGCCTGTAATCCTAGCACTTTGGGATGCCAAGGGTGGCTGATCACTTGAGGTCAGGAGTTTGAGACCAGCCTGGCCAACATGGTGAAACCCGTTTCTACTAAAAATACAAAAATTAGCCAGGCTTGGTGGCACGTGCCTGCATTCCCAGCTACTCAGGAGGCTGAGGCAGGAGAATCACTGGAACACAGGAGGTGGAGGCTGCAGTGAGCTGAGATTGTGCCATTGCACTCCAGCCTGGGTGACAGATCGAGATTCTGTCTTAAAATAAAATAAAATAAAGATATAAATATGACTCATGAGTACATAAATAAAAATTTGGGAAGGAGGCAATAATGAAAAGTAGATATACCCATTCGGTGTTGAAAAGGACCTCTTGGGTTGAGTAGGTTTTGCCTTCAGACAATTGATATCTAAAGGACTAGAATTATTGAATGGTAAAGGATGTTTTTAAGGAAGACCTAAAAGAAGAAAAGGACAAAAAGAATATCTAGGCTAGGTCGAAGAAATCAGAGCCTTGAGAACAATTGAGAACTGGACCTTAAAGTGTCAGCCAGAAAGATGAGACAAGGAGAAAAGACTGCACCAGGGCCTGGCAGGGGGATAGTAGTAAAGATAGTCAGGTTTGTGGGTAACTTGAAGAGGCAGAGAAGATAAGTCAGGTAAGGATATGTGTGTGGCATTACCTGGGTAGGATGAGGCTTCTACAGAAACCCGAAAGCAGGCCACTAAGTCAATACTTGGACCTAGAACGGGAATTAGAAGTTGCACAGTCTATCCAAAGTCCCTTAATTTTATTTGCAGAGTAAAGGGGAACAGATAAATAAAATATGAAATAATTCAATAGTGTGTCAAAAGACATAGTATTAACCAGTTTTGTAGCTTTGAATAACTGTTTGGGTGTACTTTTCTTCCTTACAAAGTGAAAATAGAAATATAAAATTTTATAAAATGAAAAGTTTGCACAAACTGATTCCTTATGTTCAGCTCTCATCTTCTAAGAATCTGACACGCAAAATCCTAGTTGTATTTAATTTGCCCATGTTTCTGAATGGAAGAGGGGATGAATATCACTCTAGGGGGTGATAATTGGCAACGTCCAGAGACATTTTTGTTTGCCACAACTGGGGCAATGTTACTGGAATCTAGTGGGTACAAGTCAGGGTTGCTACTGAATATAAACAGGCAAGACTCCCACAACAGATAATTATCTAGCCCAAACATCAATAGTGCTGAGGTTGTGAAACTCTGCTACAGGTAAGAATTTCTTTACATCCAATTCGTGTTTACTGATCAGTTCTGCAGATCCTTTAGTAGAAAATATTGGGGAAAGCATTTCATTAGAGAGAATAGGCATAATTCAGAGACTTCTGAAGGAGTAAATCTTAACCTTGAAAATATCCAGTAATGAGGTAAGAGTGTTATGATCATGTTTATCATACAATAGCTATGGAAAAACTGTTGTCTCCTTACTTCTCTAATGAAGGCCTATTCAGCAATGGGAGTACATTCTGGAAGGCAGGAGAGATGGATTCCAGTGTGTTTGATTTTCTTCTGTCATTAGCCAGTTGTAATTGGGGTAGTAACTTAGTCACTGAGATTTGGTAGTTAGGAATACAGGAATCTACTTTTCCTTCTATCAAAGTTGCTGTGAAAATCAAGTGAAAGGACATCTGAAAGTGGTTTGAAAAGTTAAAAGTGCTATAAAGATATAAAAATTAATTCATGCTTATGTTTCACAATATTTACAACATTTTATCTAGCTTAACCTTGCTACGTATTAAAATGAACTCAACAAAGTTTGCATTCCAGTATGAGAAAGTATAGCATTATATTTTATGTAGAAAATGAAACCAAGTAAATTTCTGCTCACTAAGAGTTGAGAGTCTTGTTTGGTACATGTATCAGTTATCTATGACCACAATAAGCCTGCATAATAAACAATTGCAAAACCCTAAGTGTCATACAACATTAAGCATTTATTGTTCACATGTCTAGAATCAGCTGGGGTTTAGCCAGGCAGCTCCATCTTGGCTTAGATCACTCATCTATCTGGAGGATGGCTGGCTGTCAACTAACCGAGGATGCCTTGGCTGAGGCAACTGGCTTTGCTTTGTATGTCTTTCATCCTTCTGTGGACTAGACATAAGCATGTTCTTATGTTGAAAGTAGAGGGCAAGCTTCTGCTTACATCTTATCTGCTAATATTCCTTTGATCAAAGCAAGTCACCTGGCTGAGACCAGAGTAAAAGGCTGGGGGAACACTGCTATATGCATAGGGAGTGGACACTGAGTTACATGGCAAAGAATGTGGATATAAGGAATGATTAAGGTTTTGGCCACTGGTGCAATATACTTTAGGAAATAGTCACTAGATTATAAGGTGTCACACCCAGACCTGATGGAGGGGATAGGTATCACCCAGATTTTCTGGACTTTTAGTTGGATCAAGTTACTAAATATAACTCTGAGTTGACTTCTTTGTAGAGATAATACATGTGTAAGAAAAAGGATGTGCACAAATGTTCAGTTGTCAGAGGGAGGACAGTGGTAAAGAAAGCAACTGAGTATCAATATTTGTGCTTTCTTTTCTCTCTCAATCCATGCGGGGTCATCTAACTAGCTTTCTGCAATGGAATATAAGCAGAAGTAAGTGTGTTATTTCCAGTTTAAGAATTAGATGTTCATTCTCTTTTGTTTCTTTCCCTTTCTGCTGGGTGGAGGCAAAGTACTTCAATGGCCTAGGAGATGGCAGAGCCACAAAACGGATAAAGACCAGGGTCCCTGAATCTCCGTATAAAGGAGAGTCATCCACCAACCATTAATAACAGCAAGGAATAGTGCATGAGTTTGAAATAAACAGTTGTGCTAATCCACTCTAATGTTTAGATGTATTTGTTAACGTAGCATTATCCTAATGCAACATAATTTTATCAATAACACTGTTATCAATTTAAAACAAAAAACCCTAAAAATTACACATGATCTTTCTTAGAAATCTAGTAAAGCTTCCCCCTCAAACCTGAGTATTCAAATTCCTAACACATTCTTACCAAGATTCTCACCACATCTCACTAATTATCCATCCATGCAAACATTTCTAGTGATGGTAAGCTCACCATCTGAACTTCTGAAATAACCATTTCTATTTTTAAAAACATTTTGTTTATTGGAAAAGCCTTCCGTTGTTTGAATCACCTATCACTACCCATTTGCACATTCTAAATTATCAAGCATACGTTTATTCCCTCTTCTAAAGGGAAGATATTTTCTTATGTCAAGATATACATAGATTCTCCCTCCAAACTATAAAAAAGAAGTCTTTTCTTCTCAGTTTAATTATGACTTAAAGAAAATAAGTTAAACTTTAAACTTCTTTTGGGAAACCAAGTAGCAGTAATTATATACTAAAGCTTCAATGTGCTCTTTTCAGTTGTGATAACCACAGGCCACTTTAACACTATGACAGGTTAATTTTCACTGTGCAGTAGATACAACTAATAAATTAAGAAAAATTAAAACACAGAATGAAAGTCACAGAATATGTGAGGTCAAAACCAAAAATTTGAGATGCTTAGGGGTTCCAAACACATACTAGTAGAAAGAGACCACAATGCCATTTTACAAATGTATACATTTTATTATGTTCAGATTTGATAACATTTTGAGGTTTCTTTCCAATGTTTTGACATGAAGAATAATTTGTATTAACTAAGTCAACTAGAAGAATTTTTATGTAATTTCTAAGAAATTCTGTTTTTTGAAGTTCTGTAACACCAACATCTTGGATCCATTATTTTTATTTATTCTTTTTTCCTCTCACTTGAATATTGGTTCAATTATGCAAAGCTTTCAAGAGGAAAGCTTCATATTGAAAACTTCTGACCTCTGTGCATTTTTACTAACCAAACATTCATAATTTTTTTTCCTCTCCCTGACTTGCTACAATGTGGTAGGTGGCGACCTCTACTGGTTGTCAGATAATGTAGCCAAAGCCGCATTGACAATTTCAGCAAATAACCTCTTCTCTAAGATGCGTAGGAGAAAATAACCAGAATGCATTGAAAATTAAATGTTTAAGAAAAATAACAAACTCTTGCTGGTTTTAACGCGGTTTGAAGGTCTACATTTAATAATTTCTTTAGTTCAAGAAATGTGTTTTGGTTTTTACCCTCATCTGTATTTATTTTTTGAGAATAAAATCATGGTTGCTATAGAGTCATCAGAACACGTATTTCAGATTTCAAAAGCAATGCCTGAAGTTGCAGTTATGCAAAGTAAATGAATTCTAGAGACCTTCGGTATATCATAGTGCCTATAGTTAACAATATGGTATTGTGTACTTAAAAATCTAAGAGGGTACATCTCATAGTAAGTATTCATTTCACAGTAAAATAAAAATAAACAATGTTTGGTAGGATTTTACTTATAATCAAAAGAAACACAAACCTGTTGTAAAAACATTCAAATACTCCAGAAGTGATATCAGTTAAAAAAAAAAGTGATTTTCTCCATCAGCACTTCCCCTAGTCTAACTTTACAGGATTCAGATTAATTTAACATGGGCAAAATTATTTTGATGTGTGTTTTACCTGTTTTAGGTCTTAGGCTAAATTCAGATGGATGGAATTTAAGCACGCATTAAGTTTCAGAGTAACAGGGTAAGGAGTAAAAAAATTAAAGACACCTCCTTCCATGCCCTTAAGGAATTGAATGCTGGAGAAGATTGCCTGATAGTTTTGCCAGAGGGAAGACTTAACTAATTCTTTCTCCTAAAAATGTCAGAGTATTAATATTAATTTTCAAAAGGATAGGAAAAAGAACAAAGTGTACTTGAATGTAAGTATCCTAAATCTAGGTTTTCCAAGTTCAGTAGAGGGAAAAAACTAAATTTTTAGCCTTTCATTTTCAGTGGAAAGCTGCTCAACCAGCAAAAATAAAACTAAGTTCTTTTTTCATAACAGACCAATCTCTTTTTAAAATATCAAAATCGCTGAATAAAAGGATTCTTAAGTGTCTGCTCAATGACCATTTATTATTAGACATTTAACTCAAGACGAAGCCAACAAAACAAGGAATCTTAGTAGTTTCATGGAGTTCATGGTTTGGTTTAACCTGTAAAAAAAAAATCTGATACTTAAGAGGTTTTTCATTCAGAATGAAAAAAAGGAAAGCTGGAATTAAGAGTGATCTCCACTTGTAAATTAGAAGTCTTGCTAACGTTTCAAAACATGTTAATATTTACGATACGAACTACTCAAAGCTTGGTAAAATCCTAGCTATGCCGGGTCCTTGAATGTAGTAAGAAAAAAATGAAATTTTATTCCAAAGAATTTATTAAATGGGTACAAAATAAAACACCATTTTCCAACAAATGCAAATATTCACTGAAAGATTTAATCATTTTGTCCTAAATTACAGGTATTTGCTGTTTAGTTAGACATTGGAAGCTTTTGAGTTAGATTTTAATGGCTGCTTAGGGTAGAGAACTAGCTCATGTTAACAAAGTGAATCAGGCTAGAGGTTTTCGGTTGTGGTTCTGCAGACCAGCGCTGGTTTGCCACAATATTTTCACTGGTCCACAGTGAAATTAGAACACTATGATAAATGAAGATAATTTTTCATGAAGCTAAGTACATTAAATTTAAAGACCTGCACTTTGAACTTCAAACTTTTGTACTGTCAATCATCTTTATGAAAAGAAAAATAGAGTAATATTAAAATTGATTTAAAAAATTAAAATTAAAACTGATCTTATTCAGCAAAAGAAAAACTTGACAATGTTTTCAGTCCCATCTCTCATACTTTTGAAATTTTACTTATTTTTAAAATCCTAAAGCCCATAGCCACTGCATTTCAGTCTTCCTCTCTTCTTTCAAAACAAAGATCTTACTCTAATATGTAAGGGATGAATCTTCTGATCTGAGCTTACTCAGGTTGTAAGTACAGTTGGCACAGTACTTAGAAAATTCCTCATTTAACCTGAGGAAAACTGCAAAAAGAACATGTGACTTACCATAATTCCAAAATAGTTATAGAACTGCATTTTGTGGAAAGGATTTTTTTTTTCCTTATAGTTTTTGAGAAACCCTGTGAAATCCACGTGTATATCAGTGGGATTTATCTTTCAGAATTGGGAAGATATGTTTTGTCAGTCATAAATGAACTGTAATCCCCATAGATTCAGGTTTAATTCAAAAACATTCTCTCTAGAGCTGCTAAATTTGGCAACTCACATTCTCCCCTCCATATGCTATCCTTAGAGAATTCTACATATATTGTCCATAATGGTTTCTACTTAGGATGTCTGGAAAAGTAGATATTATGGTCACAGAAGGGCCATTAAAGGGAATTTGAAAACAGATCCATTAAGTTGAAGTATTCAATTGTCAGAGTCTTCAACTTGGATGGACTATGCTAATTGATATTCAAGGAATAACTCCATCTGCCCGCTGCTTATATCATAGCTTCTAACTACTCATGCTTGTATCACTCACTAACCTGGTTTGGTATTCTCCCTGGAGAGAGAATTAGCAGAACACGGTGTGCATAAAAAGTACAGCAGATAAATAATGAATTGTCCCTAAATGTGGACTTCATTTCCATTCCATTCTGTTATTCAGAGCCTTCACTATTTCAAATAGCCATCTTTTTTTCATTAATTACATCAGCTCTGCTTTTGTTATGTCTTGTTGGAAAAGAGAAGAAAGTTTCCATTATTTCTCTTCTAGACTGTGGAATGAAGCAGATGGGGCATTTTGCAAACATTCAATCATATCTTGAAATCTCTGGTCAGTTTTTGAGTGGATTTAAAAAATACTTTTCTGTATTCTTACGCTAGCTTTCCCCAAATTCGTGTTTTTTTCTCTCTCTGCTCGTCTTTTGTGGCCTTATCCTTTTCCCCCAACCTGGCTCTCATTTTCAAACAGTTCTCAAGAGAAACAAAAGTTTCCCAAAGGTTCCCCAACTTGGCTCTGTCTCAGCAATGCAGAACTATTTTTGAGTTTCTCTTTTTTAATTCTAAAGTTGCTTTTCTTCTGTTTAAGTGATTTTTAGGAAACAGTCTCTCCTCTGGTGTGTATACTAGCTGCTCTCTGTTGGACAGCATTTCTGAGGTCCTTGTCATGTGGCACTCAGCTAAAGATTAACTTGTAGTTTTAGCTGCAAGTTTTAGATTAACCTTTCATGGGATGGTCGTCTCAGGAATAGCACAGTGATAATATTTGCTTGAATATGGGCAGTACGTACCCACTTGTTGTCTCATTTGACTCTCACAAGGATCCTGCAAAGCAAAGAAGACTGTTATTATTTTTCCCGTTTTACAGATGAGGAAAATATGGCCCTAAGGAGTTATGTGACTGGTCTAGCAAACTCTGTGTACCAGTAAATTGTGGAACAGAAAGAGGAATGCTGCTCTTCTGTCTTTGGTGTTTTCTCCCAGTGTTTTTCCTGGGACCTCCTTCTTTATCTTTAAGATGAGAAAACAACAACACAAACTGTCTTACTGTTGTTAAGAGGAAAGAGTGAAAGAATTTGGATAAAACAGATTAATGCATGGCAAGAATAATGCATGGCACTTAGTGAATGCTCACCAAATGTTAATTATTATACTTTATGTGTCATATAAATATAACAGATAAATTGGCAGAATGACATACAAATGTAGCTGCTTTCCTTCTGCTCACAAAAGGATATAACAATCTACAAGGGAGAGCTTTTAAGTAGCCATTGACTAAAACCCAAGGATTTTAATATTATGTTTGGTTCCAGTTGAACAGCAGCAACACCCTCCCCACACTGGCTTTACCCTCCCTTTTCTCAAGGAAAAGTAATAGATAGATTGATTCTTCTATACAATGAAACCAGCTAATCCAAACAATATGATGCACAGTCTGGAGAAAAGATTCTGGATTCGTATCATGTCTCAAATTTACAAGCTGTATGGCCACGCTTTGGGCAAATATTTAATCTCTCTGTGCCTCAGTTTTCCTATCTGTAAAATGTGGCTATTAAGGCCTATCAAATAGGTGGTTAAGAGGACTATAATAGGAATCAATATGAGTATAAAGGATGTTTAATTGGAATTCTTGACCATGGCACCAAGATATGATGGATATTGGATATAACAGACGCTCAAAATGAAATTTACAAAGAAAATATTTGGGTCCGTTGCTCTCATGAGCCCCATCCCCAGCTGTCTTTTACCCAGAGCAGGGATATGAAAGGACCAGAAGAGTGGGATTTGGGGAGGATTTATCAAAAGACTTTCTTAGTTGACAGCTGGAGGGGTGTAGTGGTGCTGTCTGCCAGTGCTAGGTCAGGTGAGAGGGGCTTGGCAAGAGCACTGAGAGTATAACAGGTGTTCCTGGGCCTGTGGACTGAGCCCTACCTCAGGATTGAACAAGTAAAACAGCTGATAACAACAGAGCTGAGAGCTGCTCCTGAGAAGTGACTGCACCTGTCTTGTCCAATAGCAGGTTAAAGGTAATTGGATCTCAGGGGCTAGAACTGGTTGTGATGTCAACCTGGAGTTGTTCTTAAAGGGATCCCCTCAAGTGCATGGTCTGCCAGGGAAAGGAGACTGCAGATACAGCGACTATACCAGCCAGGGCAGGAATGCTGGGGAGGACGATGGAGACCCACCAATGCTAAAGGCCTGCCCATGAAAAGGGAGTTACCATTGGAAAGTCTTGAGGGAGTTCCCAGAAATTAAAAGGATCCCATGAGAGAACATGTCAGCATCAAATAACTGCTCCACTCCTTCAGTAGCTCCCTGGAGAATATATCACCGTCTTACGAAAGTACCCATCGGGGAGAAATGTCCTTTGTACCTTACGTCTTTCCATGACCCTTCTTTCTTTTCTGGCTCTCTCCCACTGCAAACAGCTTAACAAAGACAGGCTCTGGCCAATGGAAGTGAGGAGGCAGGAGTGTTTCCACTTTAAATCAGGCTCAAACTTTTGATTATAACACAATCATGGATGTTTTACATTATAAATTAGATTGTGTTTGTGATTTAAAGTGACTGCAGGGCTACCATCTAAGTATAACCAGTGATGTTAGAGGCTGGCTCAAGATTTCATCCAAATAGGGAAAAGAATAGCTCCACCGCACTTTACTAAAGAGAAAAAGGGACAAAAATAGGCTATTTTGTAATAGTTTTCTATAATGCATGTTATATTAGATTTGCGGGCAACTCGGACCCCTCAAGTTATTTTCATAGGAAGTATCCTCACAAGTCAAGTCTTCCTCATCCTGCACTTACTTGTACAGGATGGGATAATTTTTTTTTTTTTTTTTTGAGACAGAGTCTCACTCTGTTGCCCAGGCTGGAGTGCAGTGGTGTGATCTCGGCTCACTGCAAGCTCCGCCTCCTGGGTTCATGCCATTCTCCTGCCTCAGCCTCCTGAGTAGCTGGGACTACAGGCACTCGCCACCATGCCTGGCTAACTTTTTGTATTTTTAGTAGAGATGGGGTTTCACCATGTTAGTCAGGATGGTCTCCATCTCCTGACTTCGTGATCTGCCCACCTTGGCCTCCCAAAGTGCTGGGATTACAGGCGTGAGCCACCATGCCCGGCCAGGATGGGATAAAATTTTAAAATAACCATTTTTTATCTCTCTCTTCACCTTTAGTACTTCTCAGTGGGGATATTCCTTTTGCTTTGTCCCATGGTTTCTAATTAAGATTAATTAGATGAAGAACCTTGAATGTAGTATTTTCTCAAAGCTATTGGTATTCTTTCTTCTTTAATCTGCAGGCCTATGTTCTTACCTAAAAAATAAAAATTTTGAATGAAAAAAATTAAGAAAATTTAAAATATTTAAAATCTCTCACCAAATATAGAATAGACAACCATCAAGTTTCTTCTTGATAACTTTAAGTAGTAACTTACTACTTCTCTAAACTATTGGAAACCTACAGATGCCAGAAAGTTATTTCTTAAACTAAAACAAAATCCATATTCATATAATTTTTATCAATTTGTTCATCTTTTACTCCCCAGAAGAATATATCTCATGCTTAACTGACATTCTATGGTTTTCAGTGTTATCTGTCTTCTACATAGTATTGGAAGACAGTTACATCTTCCTTAGTTGGACACAAGGCCCACATGTAACCTAAGAGCTGAGCCCATTCAGCTGTCATAACACGTATATTAGGTTTGTGTTCAACTCAAACCTATCAAGTTATTTTTATAAGAAAAATCCCACAAGTCAAGTCTTGCTCCTCCTGTACTTATACAGTTGGTTATTGAAAAATAAAAGAAAAAAATGTATCATTTTTGACTCTATTTTGTTGGTTTTATTCTACTGTTCCAGGCTTTTACAAATATTTGGAATCCCCTTTCTGATTCAGAAAAACTGATATTTATTTTTGTATTTATGTATTATTTACTTTTTATTTTAGAGACAGGATCTCGCTGTGTCACCTAGGCTACAGTGCAGTGGTATGATCTCAGCTCATTGAAGCCTTAACCTTCTGGGCTCAAGGAATCCTCCCACCTTAGCCTCCTGAGTAACTGGAACTACAGGTACATGCTACCACATCTGGCTAGTTTAAAAAAAATTGTAGAGACAGGGTCTCACTTGTTGCCCAGGATGGTCTCAAACTCTTGGGCTCAAACAATCCTTCACCTTGGCCTCCCAAAGTGCTGAGATTACAGGCATGGACCACTGCACTCAGCCTAATTTTTATAGTTATTTTTTTCTCTATCCCATCTTTTACCTTTGATAGTTTGTAGGAATTCTTTTAATTCCTCTTTTAAGCCACTGATAAAAAATTTGAACAGGAAAATTATTCTTCAATGAACATCCTTGGATATGTTGATTCTTGTGTATTCTGAGTGGATTTCACCAAGGCATATACTCCCAAAATGAATTACTGTATAAGTTGTGAACATTTTAATTTTTATTAGACATTGATAAATTTCACATTCTTTAAATAAGTTAAATATAAGCAGTATGGTTGCAATTGACTTTTCTTATATGAAGGAGTTGCTGTTCTAAAAATCACTGTCTGTAATGAATGTGCATAATGTGGTCCATGTAATGCATGTGACAATGGCCCATAGTGCCCAACGTGGGAGGAGCAGACTTCAAGGCGCAGATTCCCATGGTGAACCAGTGGTGTCATCATCAGATTGGCTTGTGGCATGATTTTGGCTCTGGTCTGACCTTGTTTCTTTTCACATTCTAAGCCTGGTGTTTCTATCATAAGGTCCTTCTATGAGCTAGCCTTTATTCTTTTAATAAACTCAATTTCTGTTTAAATATGAGGACAGAATTATTTTCTGTTGCTTCCAGCTAAGAGAATATTGTAACTATTTTCCCATCACTACTTAACCTCTCATTTCCATTTTTTCTCCTGACAGTTTCAGGGCAAGACTAACACCTCTGTAAATACCTATATTCATAGATGTTTAGGCACTCCTATGAGCTGAAGACCACTGTCCCAAATAAAACACACTCAGTTCCCTTTTCTTTGAAGGCCCCTGCAGTTTCTTCAGCTAGGAATTTAGCAGTGATGAAAAATGGGGATTCACAGTTCTTCTGAGGTCTACATTCTTTCTTTTTCTTGTTTCTTACTTCTTGTTTCAGTTAGATTTTTTTTCCATGTTTATTGCTTACACAAGCAAAAAACCAGAAATACAGAAATAAGATATCAATGGCAGTACTAAAATTAGCAAATTTGGCAATGATCAATACTTGGAGGAGAGAAGGCTGCACTGTAGCTCTTTTCCTGTTGGGAGTGCACATTATTGGCACCAAAGCTGACCATGAATTCATGAAAATTCACAAAATACAGTGATAAGAATGCATTGTGTGCTTGTTGTCCTGCTGGCCTTAAACTCCTTTCTGGCTCCTTTAGATTGCTTTGCATATTTATACTGTAATCCATTGATTATAGATCTTATAATTTGCTTCTCAAAGAATAATTTTCTTCTACTCCTTAATTTTTATGGGAAGGAATATTATCATTTTTGCTACATGGGTGCATTTGAGGAGCATTTTAAACAGATATTAAATAGTGGTTGAATTGGGACTCTTTCATTAGTTTCTAATAACCTATACCTGAAAAGGCTGAACCTCAGCATTAAGCTACTAAAAAAAAAAAAAAGTATCTTAGGGTCTTTGGTTTCTGTAGAAAGAGTTCTGAGGAAAAGCATCTAACCAGAATATCTGAAGGTAAGCCTTTGGCATAGTTTTTTGTTTTTGTTTTTGTTTTAACAAACTCCTGGATCATTTCAGCACATAGCTGTGATTGGGAATTAATGGCCTAGTAGGTTTGTAACACTGGTGGACTTGAGTGATATTGCCTTCTTGGCATCCCTTTCTCTCTCTCTCTCTCTCCCGGTACAGTCATTCTGATTTCCTTTTGGGAAGCCTCCCCACCCCATCCTCAGCCTGTTGTTCAGAAGGGGCTGACCAGAGGCTAGGGGTTGCAGGGATAGATAACTAGCCCAGGCTTAGCCAATCACTGCATACATTGCCTTTGCCATAATAATTGGTTGAAGGATAAATTTCTGACCTAAGCTAGGCCAGTAAGGCTCAACTGCAACTCTTTTTTAGAACTATGGGGAAAGAAGCATTCCTCCCCCTGAGATTTCACTATAATTATGCACTAGGATCCCATGTTAACGGGGAGTGTTTAATCCCAGGACTTTTCAGAGCCATGATATTTATATGGACAGGAGCCAGGGAAATACCGGGTAGAAGAGGGCAGTCCCTGGTGAGGGCCATACCTTCAAGCCTGGGACTGTGGCCCAAAGTGAGAACATGTATTCCTGTTTTTCCACTCAAATGTTGCCTTATGGCCTTCCCCACACCCCATCCTGTACCCATAAAAACCCCAGGCTTCACTGGCAGAACTGCAGTGTGGCAGAGCGGCAGAGAGGGAGAGATGAGGCAGGCAGACATCAGAGAGAAGCAGCTTGACTTCAAAGGCACAGCTTGATGGCAGGACTTTGGAGAAGAGTTTGGCCGGGGACAGAGGAACTCCAGGGGAAGACTACCTTCCCACTCGATCCACTTTCCAGCTCCCCATCCTGCTGAGAGCCACTTCCACCACTCAATAAAATCCTCCACATTCTCCACTCTTCAATTTGTTTGTGCAACCTGATTCTTCCTGGATACCAGACAAGAACTCAGGTACCAAGAGGGTACATGCAAAAGGATATCACCCTGACCCTCCACTGAGCTATTAAACACTTAAGCCATCCGTGAATGGCAAAGCTAAAAGAGCACATTGTAACACACCCACTCTGGGGCTCCGCAGGTTACAGGTACCCTACAAGATACCACCATGGGGCAGCACAGAGTTATACTCCTGTTGGCACCCAGGAGCACTCGATCTGGCCTCTGCACCTGCTCACCTGCATGCTCCCCCTCCTGTGAAGGCTTGAGAGCTGCAGGCTGAGTAAATGAGCCAACTTCTTCATGAGTCCTGTGAAGAGATCAAGGGAACTATCTCGTTTCAGTGAGTCTTTGTCTATTCGGGCTGCCATAACAAAATACCATAGACTGGATGGCTTAAACAACATAAATTTATTTCTCAACGTAATGGAGGCTGGAAATTTCCTATCATGATGCTGGGAAGGTAGGTTTAATTCTGAGGCCTCTTCTCTTGCCTTGTGGGAAGCTGCCATCTTACTGTGTGCTCACATGCCCTCTTCTTTGTGCATGCTGAGGCAGAGAGAGAGAGTGAACCAAAGTGCAAGCACTT
Organism: Homo sapiens; assembly: GCF_000001405.40. Classification (NCBI taxonomy): domain Eukaryota; kingdom Metazoa; phylum Chordata; class Mammalia; order Primates; family Hominidae; genus Homo; species Homo sapiens. Next base: position 82,517,613 of record NC_000012.12, on the reverse strand, counting down.
AAGTGAGCCTTCTGGTGTTAGTTCTTATAAGAACACTAATCGTGTCATATTGGGTCTCTACCCTTATTACCTCATTTAACCTTAATTACCTATTTATAAGCCTTATCTACAAATACTGTCTCATTAGGGGTTAGGGCTTCAGCATATAAATTTGGAGGGGACACCATTCAGTCCATAGCATGATAATTCCTTCCCCTCTTTTCTTCCTTAAGGCATTGCACTGAATTTTCATCACTAAATGTGACAGAGGTCCAAATGCTATAGCCACAGTGGTTGACCACCATACTTAATTCATTCTATTCTGTCCTCATGTGTCTGTTTGCCTTCCTAAGCAGACCAGTGCAATGGGACCAACAAGCCATTAGGATGGAAAAGGCCATCTAGTGGTGGTTCAAAGCAAGGCCTCTGGAGTCTGGCTGCCTGGGTTTGAATTCCAGCTCTGCCATTTACTTAGCCTCCCTCTGTGGGAATGAACCCACCTGCAAAATGGTATGTACACAAGTCTCTACCTTGGGAATCATTATGATGATCTGATGCATTAATATTTATAAAGTACCTAGAATAATTGCTGGCACTCTGCTGTAATAATTTTGCTCCACAGATCTGAGTTAAATCTCTACTTGTGCTCTTATTAGTATATGACTACGTAAGCTAACTTTTCCAAGCTTCTTTTTTCTACTGAGTAAAAAGAGGATGAGTAATCATTTTGGGCAATAGTACATATAAGTTTACTAGCACACGTCCTGCCATAGTAAACACTCAATAAATGATGTGTGAACAAATGAACAAATTGCAATTAGAGAATGAAGTTCTCCTTTTTGTCTAAAAATTTTTACTTTAAATTTAAGCATATTTAATTTTGGGTGCTTAATAGATTTATTAGATTGATCTATTTTTTTTTTACTTTAGAAAGCATGAGTCACCTAATGCTCATATATAATTACATAGAAATGACAATTGTGCCCAAATGAGACAGAATAATTTAGTTGAGCATTTGATAATCGTGCTCTCCACAACTCTTATGAAATCTGTTGTTAAAAAATATGAGGGCAAAGTGAAAGCCTAACATGAGCTGTGTAATTAGCAATTATTTGGATGGATTAGTTTTCTGAGAAACTTTCTGTAATGGAACAAATCATGGCCTATGAAAATTATACTCTGTGTATTGAAAATAAAGACCAAAATAGCAGAATGGATTGCCTCTTTCTGACTTATTTAGTCAAAGCAAGGCTTATTCTAAGTCAGGACTCTACTTGACGTTAGATGAGCTTTATATAAATATAACTCCCCTTTAGCAAAAAAATATGATGATGAAGTTATTTTGCAGGTGAATTCACATTATAAGTAAGTTAAATCTTTCTACTTTGCCTGAGTCTGTGAGTGTTAGAAGCTGAGTTCTCTTTCTTATCAGGGAAATGGATGTGTGTACCAAATAGACTATAAAGGATGAGGTTTTGTTCCCAATTGCACTTACAATTTTTCTATTTAAAAATAATTACTATAAAAGTTAATAAAGATGTGTTTAAAGAAAAAGTTAAATGCTTTTTTATCCCCCACCACTTCCCTATCTGGTCTTAACTGCCCGAGGTAACCAATATTATCCATGTATTTCCTTTTTTCATGAAAATGAAATTGTATTGTAAACTTTATTCTGCATTTTGCTTTTTTTGTTGTTGTTGTTATCAGTATGTGATGGACATCCCTCCCCGAGGGCAGTACATGTAGCTAAACACATTCTTTTACATACAGACATCATAATTTATGTAATTATGCACCACAATTTATTCACCAGGACAAAGTTATTTTCAGAGTTTATTTTACTTTTTGCCACCACAAAGAATGTCACTAAACATGCACATATTCCCACATTGATGAAAACATGAAATAGGATTTCTCTAATGTACAGTGATTTTAGGGTAAGTTCAAGGTGCTGTCACATTCCTTAAACATAGTAGAAGAAAATAATGACCTTTGTCTACAAGAAATTTTGATAATAAAAATAAGAGAATGTGAAGAGTAAATTTAAGTAATTTAAGACAAAAGTGATCATATTCATATTTGCAGTGTGGTACTTGTTATAACCAACCTTAATAAATCATTTTTAGATCTGTGAGGAGGGCCATAAAGTCTCCACACTTGGGTAGTTTCTTAAAGTGTGGTCCCTAGAGCCACACTGGTAGGGATCACACGCATGTTCACAGCACAGATTCCATTGCCCCACCACCCAGAGATTTTTATTCAATGGGTTTGGAGTGGGGCCCAGGTAGCTTCACTGTTCAACAAAAATCCCCAGGTGGAATTCCTGGGTGAAATCTTCCACCTGTTTTTTATAGCCCAGAGCTGAGAATGGTTTTTACATTTTTAAAAGGTTGAAAAAAAATCAAAAGAAGAATAATATTTAATGACATGTGAAAATTATATGCAATTCAAATTTCAGTGTCTATAAATAAAGTGTTATTGGAACACAGCCACACCTATTCATTCCATATAACCCATGGCTTCTTTTGCATTGCACCAGCAGAGTTGAGTAGTTGCCACAGAGACAATATGGCCACAAAGCCAAAATATTTACAGTCTGGTCCCATACAGAAAAAGCTTGCCAACTCCTGGACTAGATGATCTCTAAGGTCGCAGTCCTGAATTTCTGAATGTTATCTTATTCACTGTAGTTATTTACCTCCTTCAATATGTGCAAATACATCTCCAGGCCCTAAAACTGATGCAGACTGATGGAAGTGCTGAGTGTGGGTGAAGGTCAGATACCCTTGGGACAAGTTTCTTTCTACCAGTCACTTACAAATTAGGAGGTGACATGAGCAACACAGAATAAGTGAAATGTTAGTATAATCAGAAAATAAATGAGGACTGCAACAGTGAACACTTACATGGTACATTGTATTTACCAGGCACTATCTTCAGTGCTTTCCACACATTAACTCATGTAATTCTTTTGACAACTCTATGATATAGGTACTATTTTTATCCCCTATTTATGGTTGAGGAATGTGAGGCATAGAGAGGTCAAGAAACTTGCCCCAGGTCATATACTTAGAAGTAGCATAATTATAATTGTAGGTAATCGTAATAAGGGTAAAAATTGTATCTGAATTCCATTTGAAAGTCAGGGGAGGAGGACACCACAATTTGATGAACATGTATCACCTTATTACACATGGTCACAAGGTCAAATATCTTCAGGGCCCATTAGGAGCATCAATGGGTTAAGAACACAGCCTCTCAAACTATAGTTCCTTTTCTTACTTTTGATAGCACCATGGAAACGGAACTTCTTCACTGTAAGAAAACAGCTGCTTAAGGAGTGATGATAACTGGTAGTTGCCAGGTAGGGAAACTCTGGTGTGGTGGGTGCTGTGTATGTAGCTGGGAAGCACATGCCCCAGGGAAAAGGGGCCTGCTACTCATCTCTACTTTTTTAATGACATGCAGAAATGAGAGTAATTTAGATTCCTGTAGCATAATCTGCCAATATTCAAGAATTCAGAAATTAATTCAAATATGAAAAACAAATAAAATCCATTGTCTGTGTCTAACAAAATAGGACTACAGGCCACCAGTGTGTAACCCATGGTTTAGCAATTTTCTTTAGGCTAAATCACCTCTATTCCAAACCTTTCCATACAGCTCTCTAGGCCCAGACTTTAATCAGAAACATGGCTGCCTCCAGGAACTGGTGCCAAGCTTTACAGTCATCTTCAGTTGATGAGCATTACAAAATTACTTTCAGAAGCTGGAGTCCTACCTGGAAGAGAGTTATGCTAAGATCAAGGCTAATATCCTCTTCATATTTATTACAAGAAATGCCTGCTTTATATTATGTTAGAGTTGACAATCTTTACCAGGACTGGCAGCATTGATAAGTGCTTCCCCTTAACTGAAAAACATATTTTCATAGCTTTTCCAGGAATATCTTGGTGTTTTTGTTTTGTTTTGTTTTGTTTTTTTGAGACAAGAGTCTTGCTCTTGTCACCCAGGATGGAGTACAGTGGCATGATCTAGGCTCACTGGAACCTCCTCCTCCTGGGTTCAGGCAATTCTCCTGCCTCAGCCTCCCAAGTAGCTGGGACTACAGACGCCTGCCACCACGCTCGGCTAATTTTTGTATTTTTAGTAGAGACAGAGTTTCGCCATGTTAGCCAGGCTGGTCTCGAACTCCTAACCTCAGGTAATCTGCCTGCCTTGGTCTCTTAAAGTGCTGGGATTACAGGCATAAACCACTGCATCCCGCCTATCTTGGTGTTTTTAATTACACCATAATCCATTTTCTTAGTTAATCTTCAATCATATAATGCTTATTTCATTGACTATAATAGCTCATGCACATTCACTAATGGCCCTAGAATACAATACTGTTCTTTTTTTAATTTGAAAGTGCTTCAGAGCAGAGTATAAAACGAGGAAAAGAACATAACACAAAAATGCCAGTTATTTAGGTGAAGCGAAAAAAATTTTTCAAGTACTGTAAACTGGAGTGATAAATCATTATGAAAATAATTTAAAAACATTCATCATTCTGACAGTCTGAAATAGCATTTAAACTGTTCAAACATTTTACTAAAAGTCTACCTAAAGAACTTTTCAGATTCTATAGGAAACAATTTTTTAATACAACAATATTTTAAAATATTTTCCTTGGGCATCTATTCAGAAAAGTAGTGCCTCAAATGGAATTTTAAAATCAATCAAAATGTATTGCTCAAATTTGACATTTATGTATTTTGGTTAGAGTTCATGGACTCTGCACAAAGTAAGCATTATTTTGAATACTTTCAGTTACTTTAATATATAGTATTATAAATAAGGGACAAGTTGTCTTCGGAAGCCTTCCTGAGAGTTTGGAGTGTGAAAAACATGGTATTTTGGCACTCAAAAGCAATACTCAGATGAACACTGTTGCATTAAATGCTTATATAGAAGCACAAACAAGACACTGAATTAAAAAATGTGGAACCTTATAAAACATCCATTTTTTTAAAAAATCACAAAACACTATATACAATGTGGTATTCTGAATTAGGTCATGAAAGAGAAAGAAGACATTAATGGAAAACTGTTGAAATCCAAATAAAGTCTGGAGTTAAGTTAATATGGTAATAATCCAATGTTTCTTTTTTACTTTTGACACACACGCTGTGGGAATGTAAGGTGTAACATTAGAGAAAACTGGGGTAAGAGGTATATGAGAACTCTTTTTCCTACTTTTCTGTAAGTCTAAAATTATCTTGAAGTAAAAAGTATATTTAAAATATATAAAACAATTTGTAAGAATATTAATCTGTGCCTTAAAGCATTCAACAGAATAGAGTAAGCTGATAAAATTCACATGCCATTAAGTACCATTTATGTATATACATGCAGGTTGTGTGTGTATTGTTGGGGGATAAATGAGGGTGTATGAGCAGACTTAACACGCTTAGACGTTTTCCTCAGTTGTTACTCCTGATGCTCAAAAGTTAAAAGCACACATATGAAGGTGGGAAGTGGGTTCCTAAACATTTTATTAATAAAATGCATATGAATAGTTCTGTCTAAAATAAGAATGTAAATATATATACACAATAAATACACACACACATATATATATATATATATATATATATATATGCTTCCCAGGAATTCCTTTCTTTAGCACTATTTTTTAAAAAGATAGGTTACCAGTGAACAACTTTCAACTTTTGTTTCTTTGTGTGTGCTTGATTTTTTAAAAAAAGTTTTGTGCCTCTGTGGTAACTTCAAACATATACCAATAAAAATGATTATAGTTTGTTTCCAAACTCTAAGCAATACAACTCTGTACTAAGTTCTATCTCTTCATCGAATCAAATGCATTGTGGTAGGTTTTCCTTTTGCTCTGCAGAACAGAGCCATTGATGAGGTACAGTAGACATACGTCAGCATGTTGAAATGAAATTAGTAGGTCTGTTGTCAGGCAGGTCACCACAGGCCAACACACTGCAACAACCAGAAAAAGGCAAATAAACCACAAATAAACACATTTTTAAAGATATCAGAGTAAGAAAACAGAACGAACAAAAATTCCAAGGAAAGGAGAATCACTCTGAAACAAGCTGGCAATTTTTGGTTGTCATTTTCCCTAGTGGCTGAGGATTGATCTTAACCCAGCAGGGAGCTTCTGCTGGGGGAAAGGAGATGCTGGCAAAATTTTGAGCTTTCCTGTGGGGCTGATAGACTCAGTAAGAAAACTGAGGGGCCTCAATGACATAAGATATGGTGGAAATGCAAGTAGAAACTGTGCCAAACAACATTTGGATGTGGTGAGACCTCAAGAATCAGTATTAGGACATACTGATCTAACTGACGAAGATTCCATGTAGAAACAAAGGGTGGTGTAGGTACTAGACAGCCTAATGCATCTATATTATCACCTCTTATGGCCTCAGCAGCAGACTGTGTCCGTCTTCCACCTCTGCACCAACACCAATTCCTGTGTCAAGTTTCCAACAAATGGAAATCATCGGAAGAGTACCGCCAAGTTCAGTGGTGATGGTATTGTGTGAGCGAGTTGGAGCCTAGCCCCTTCCTAAAGATGAAGGAGGAAGATGGAGGATGCACAGGATAAAAGAATCTACGAATTTATCATCAGATGCTTAGAAGTTCCATGTTCCACAAGGAAAATGTACACCAGTGGTCAAAATCCCTTATGACTTCTCCCCAGATGACAGCAAGACCTTATTACTGTGGAAGGGCTTCAATCCTGTAAATTAAATGGCTATCACTTTTTTTTTCTCAATAAAGATAAACTGAGGACATTTACCTTGAGGGCACCAGAAGCTAATTTATATGTAAAAAGCTGTATTAAAGAACAACAGTAGCAGCTCTATGCTACGAATTGTGCAAAAGTGATCAAAAAGCAGTGCTGCAGCTAGCAATTCAGAGGCAGAATCTTTTTTTCTTGATGGACTCAGTCATTACTTTTTTTTATTTGGTTTTAAATTCCAATATTCTTGGCATCATTCCAACATGCATTGTTCTAAGAAAATATAAAGGGAATGTCAAATTATAATTTCTTGGAACACTTAATTTGTCACCAGGAAAGAACAATGTAACTCTGAGACAGTAGAAGGATTTACTTCTGGGCCTGTTAATTTTAGTGAAACTGAAGAATAAACATTCAATGTTATGACCTTGGGAAATATTTCATTCTCTTTATTTCATCCTCATCTTGATATATAAATGCCATAATTAACAGTTTGGGGTTTATTTATTGCAACAAAGCAGATATGTGGCACATGATTTAATCTCTAAAAGCAATTTCAATTTGGCCTATTTGTCATTTAGGGCGTGTGCCCAATTTAAAATGATTTCTGCTTGCTCAAGTCTCTCTTACACACACATGCTCAGTGATCAAATATTTAGATTTATATAAAGTTCTTGACACTAACAATAAAAAGGCAGCATTTAAGTAAACTGCAAAATGCCAGAAAGGCCTAAGAAACTCAAATATAATATTGAGGAACATTGCTAGTATAGGGATCATGGAGAATATATTTTTATTTTGCTTTGCTGACTATATGTACTGAGTTTTCATAAATAAAAAGAAGTCATGTGTCCTAAAAAAAGTCTGTCAAAGTTGGCTGGTTTTATGTGCATCACAATATTTTATTTAATGAGGAACTCAATTTGAATTTTGATTAAAGCAATTAATAGAAAGTACGGGCCCTATTAGGAGTAATCTGTGGCAAGTTTTTCTGATTACAAGGAAACATTCAATTCATACATTTTTATTCTTACAAAAGATTCTAGATAAAGAAAAGTAAAAGAAAATTATAAATATCAACAAATATTATTTTTTCAAACATCATTTTTATCATTAGATGTACCATTATTTCAGATTTATAGAACAGATGGTTTATGAGAACATTATACATCTGAACATTAATCCATTAAAAATATTAGCTGGATTCATTAATGTATACAGCATCTTTTTCACGTAGATCAGTTGGAAAGTTTAAAATAAACAGCACTTGGCACATATTAAAACATAATATTAGTTGCAGATAATTTTTAGGGTCAAGTTAATTTTTAGGCTGGTTTAGTTTTCCCTGCACATCTTCTACATTTCCTTCGTTGTACTTGTCAAATTATAACAATTGAATAATTGTCTAATTTTTGATATGTCTTTTCTGTTATGTTTTGAACCCCAGGAGAGTTGGAACTGTTTCTCTGTTCACTAAGCTTAATATTTAGGCCACTGCTTAAAAGATAGAGGCGCTCAATAAAGATGTGCTTAATGAATATAGGATTGAATGATCTATACCACGAGTAGGCAAATTATGGCTCGAATCCAGCCTATTGCCTGTTTTTTACAGCCTTCATGTGAAGAATGGTTTTTCCATATTTGAATGGGTTGATTTTTTCACATGGTTAAATAAGTACCTAAATGATAGATTCAATTTTGCCTCTTGTCCCATAAATCCTAAAATATTTACTATCTAATACTTTAAGAAAAGGTTTTCTGACCCTGGACTAGACAAGCAGTAAGTAATACAACGGCTGTGATGATAAAAATATTCTATATTTGTGCTGAGCAATAGGATAGCCACAAACCACATGTGGCTATTGAGCACATGAAATTTATCTAGGATCACCACACTTTTAATTTAATTTTAATTAATTTCAATAATTCTATGTGGCCAGTAGCTAGTGTGTCAGACATCAGCAGATCTAGATATGTAAAAGAATAGCTTCATGTAAAGACAGTAAACAATTACCTGAAGCTCAACTCTGTACAAGGAAAAATGTAAAAATATGTGCTAACTTGGTAGTTAGTTGGTCTTTCTCGCAATAAAAAAAATTGGAAATAACTAAACTATCTACCACCAGTTCATTAAAACAACTAATGTTATGACAAAATGTTGAAAAGGCCTAAAGGTAAGAATTAGTTCATTTAATTTGACAGTTACACAGGAACTCATTTAAAATAAGCAGTGGCTTTTCATTCCATAAACTGTACATGAGAAACAATTGTTTTGGATAAGGCGGATAATGTTAATGTTTTATTAACAAATAAATGAAAGAAATTTCCTTTATGAAGATTTTAACATTTTTCTTTGCATTATTGATTCAAATATCAATTATTTGCAAGGAAATTCTTAAAACACGTAGAGTCCTTATTGATTTAAATATCAATTATTTGCAAGGAAATTCTTAAAACACATAGAGTCCTATTAAAAGAAAGTGTGCTATGTAATGCAGTAGGCAAATATTAGAGCACATAAACATGCTAAAACAGTGCTATAATCTAGTAGTCTCCCCAAATCGTTAGAATTAATGCAGGTATTAAAATGAACTGAGAAGTAAAGATTCAAATTGAAGAGTGAAGTTTACAACACCCACAACCACATATGATTTCAAGTCTTTAAGATGATAAGCACTTAAAGGGAATTCTGAAGTATGTGCTATTTAGGATTGAAATTGTTTGGTGCTATTATTTACAACAAAGTAAGTAAAAAAGGGAACATTAGAATATATTTCCTTTTCATGCTTACACTGTTTCTGACATGTCTATGTATGAAATAATATCTTCCCAAGTAAAACTACTTTGGCTGCACTCTTTTATTTCAAATGATTTTATCATTAGGGAAAAATTTGAAATCATGGCGGACAAATAATCCCTTAATGCTCTTCTTGGCTAGCAAGTAATTTATCAAAGCAATCCAATTTCCAAATAGCATACAAACTCAGTAAGTTGCTGAGCCAATGCATCTGTTCCTCTCAGTATTTAGAGCATGAACAAATGCCTTTCCTTTGGGCGGGGGGAAAACCTGAGCTTGAATTCTCTAAAAGGGCAAGTTAGCTTTAGTAACACTAATAACTAGTAACTCATAATTTCTCTCTGATAAAACTTTAAGATTAAAAAAAACTCAGGCTTTATTGAAAAATAATTTACATGCAGTAATACTGACCCCTTTTAAGTATACAGTTCAGTGAGTTTTAACAAACATACAAGTTGTATATCTACAACCAAAATTAAGATTTGGGATATTTTCAATCACTGCAGAAAATTCCCGCATGTTTCTTTGTAGACAATGCCTCTCTTCCCTCACAGTCCACAGGCAACCAGTGATATGTTTTCTGTTTCCACAGTTTTTCTAGAATGTCATATAAATGAACCATATAACATGTAGTCTATTGTGCCTGGCTTATTTTACTTAGCCACTTAGTATAATGAGATTTTGAAATTCACCCGTGTTGTTGCATATATTGGTAGTTTGTCCATTTTTGCTGCTTAGCTGTATTCCATTGTATGAATATACCACAATATTTTTAGCCATTTTCCTGTTAATGGAATTTTGGCTACTGTGAATAAAACAACTATTAACATTTGCTGTGTGAACATATGTTTTCATTCCTCTTGAGTAAATATCTATGAGTGGAATTGTTGGGTCATAGGGTAAGTATATGTTTAACTTTATAAAAGTCTGTCACATTGTTCTCCAAAATAACCCTATTGTTCATATTCCCATCCACAACATATTAGTGCTCTGGTTGTTCTGTATTGTCTCCAATGATTAATGTTATCAATTCTTTTAATTTTAACCATTCTATTGGCAGTATAGTGATATCTCTTTGTACTTTTGATTTCTATTTCCCCTGATGACTAATGATATTGTGTATTTTTCCATGTGTTTATTGGCCATCTGTACATCTTCATTGATGGACATTTGTTCCAACTCTTTGCCTTTCTTTTTACTGAGTTGAATGTTTTGTTATTTATGTATTCTGCATGCAAGTTATCAGGTGCGTGCTTTGCAGTTTTTCTTTTATCAATGTGTGGCCTGTATTTCATTTTCTTAACAGTTCTTTTGAAGTGCAGACATTTACAATTTTGACTAAGTCCAATTTGTCAATTTTTTGGCTTATGGTTTGTGTTTTTGTGTCCTGAGAAAGATTTTCTTAACCAAAGGTCACAAAGATTTTCTACATTTTCGTCAAGAAATACTTTAGTTTGTCATATTACGTATTTTACTATGTATTTGAAACATTGTCAGAGAAGAAGTATAAAGGCATTTCCAGACTGTCAAAAGGTCCATGGTCCAGAAATAGTTTAGCTATGCCATTTTTATTCCCATTTTCCAGGCCTACTACTCCTTAGGTTGTCCTTTACCCTGGGAAGTACATTACAATATCTTTAATGCTTCCATTTTGAATATTGCATTATAACCAGCTTTGCCTTATCTTATATAGTTTAGTTCAATAAACCTTAATTGAATGAGAATCTCCATGTCAGAACCTGGAGATTCAAAGATGAATCAGATGATTTCTATCTATGAAGAATTCATATCCAATATTGTAGGTAGATACATAAATAGGCCATGGTACTATAATGTTTATGTGATCCAATAATCACATATGAGAGTGACCTAGATGATGTTCTTACCCCTATCTTAGGTGGTGGTAGAGGTGTGGGCAGAATATCAGGAAATGCTTCCCTCAGGAATTGATGTGCATGAGGAATCCTGGAGAATAAGAAGGCATGAAGTAGAGATGAAAGAGAATGTTTCACACAAAGGAAACATATGCAAGCATCAACTCAACTCTATGCCTACAGTTCTGGGGCAGAAGAACTGCCAAGGGAGAAATTATGCATTGCCTGCCCCCAGTTCCCTCAGGATACATTACATTAAGGAAGAAATCATTCTCAAAATGTGGAAGCCAAAGCAAACTCCCATTCTTGACTAGAATATTCAGCTTGCCATTTACCATTCCATTCTGAGAGGCAAAAGTTCTTTCTCTCAGTCCCTTTTCCCCAGAAACTGTGAGAAGGTGCAGAGTTGTTGGATGAAGAAGCCCGTTCATCAAGGGCTCCTCCCTGTTTCCTGTGCTCTTTCTCAACCCAAACTCAGTGTGCCTCCTTGGCCTTAGCAGTTTCCTTCACTCCTGGACTGATGGGTGGCACATGATTGTGCACTTAAATACCACAGTACAAACGGGAGGAACACCTGGCTAATAACTCACAGCCCCAATTTCTCATTCAGTACCTTAGCCCATGTAACCCAGACTAGCTAGAGCAGTGAAGGTCCTCTCTCATCCTTGATTACATGCATCATTTATTACATCCTAAACAGAGATGATTACATTCCAATTTCAACTGTCCTTAAAACATTTCTTTAGGCTCACAGAAACATCAGCAGCAGCTTTTCCTCAGCTAATTAGAGACTAATTGACTCTTTAGCACTGTTATCAGCTGTGACAGAGCCCTTCCTGCCTCCTGTCTGCCAGCGTACTTGGGACCATGCCTCTGTGAAGGACTTCAATTTCTCTTTACAAGAATCAACGTGGAGCAAACTCCAGTTGCCTACTGCCTAGCATTCTTGCTAAGATACGTATGTAAATAAAATGTCTTTATATACCTGAGAATTTATCTATGTAGTTCAAGAATTGTCTTCTTTGCTTAGTTATCCTACCTTTGAAGGTTTCTGCTTCCAATTGTTGAGGTGATGTTACATCTTTCTGAGGAAGAAGATGATACCCTTTTTTGTCCTCCGTAAAAAAGCTTTGTGTGGTGTGGGGTGTGTGTGTGTGTGTCTGTGTGAGCATTTTGAATTATGACCACTGCATTTCATGACTTCACTTACCTTGAATTATTCTTTTCTCTCAGAGGATGGACTAATTTATTTTCTCCATAGAGGATCAGTGTGTTAATTTCCTTCCTTTCCTCCAAAGCATATTCTGAATGCTTTCACTGCTAGGCATAGGACAAACAGTTAAAATGATATATTTTCTGCTCCTCCAGGTCAAATAGAGGGATGCAAAAGTTTTAAAATTAAGTGTAATAAAGTGCTATCGATGTTGTCATAGGCATCTGTACAGAGTATAGTTGGGACATAATAAAAAGATAGCGATTTCCTGTGGAGGCAGGATCATAAATATTAAAGGACAACATAGGAAAGTGTTGACAGGAAGAGAGAGGGAAGTTAGCTTTCCTGGAAGGGAGACTAGGGAGAGCAAAGTCCAGATGGAGGGAACAACTTGAGATGTTGTGGGAGTCACAGAAAGTCTGGATAACTTGAAACCTGGGGTTAGATGGAGTGCAGCAAAATATTATGTTGATGAAATAGCCAGGGGAAGCCTCATGGAGGATTTGAATGCCATGCGAAAATGTTGAGGGTTTCCTGTAAGAACATCGGATGGCCACAGAAGAGTTATGAGCAGGGTTAGGATACTGATGCCAGGAAACTAAAAGGGCAGCTCAGAGGCCCTGAGCTTAGACAGTAGCAGTGGGACTGGAAGAAGAGGGAGTCAAAAGAAATGAAAAAGGTAGAATGAATATAACAATGTTTAAGTGAATTAAAAGGAGAGAGCTTCCTAGGATGATTTTTGGTTTTCAGCTGAGGGTTTCCTTCACCAAAAAGAAGTACTAAAAAAAAGGGAAGTTTTGACAGGGAAGTTCCATTTTAGATAATTTCATTTTGAGGGCTAGTAAAATGTATTTGGGGAGCGGCAATATTCACCAGGCATCTGGATAAGCAGGACTCGAACTCAGGAGAGAGATCCTAGAAATTAATATCTGGGCCTCATCAGTATATTGGCAGTATGGGAAGCCATGGCCATGCCCCTTGGAAAGAGAATAGGTTGAAGAAAGCCCAAGGTCAGAGCTCTGAATGAAGAAGACTAATATTTAAAGGAAAAATAGAGAAGAATCTGCAAAGAAGGCTGGGAGACAATAGACAGTGAATGGAAAGGAAAAACCATAGGAATAGTGGTTCTTTGGCTTCCAGAAAGCAACTCAGGTATCAGGTGTTCCCTCTACCTCCTTGGATCTTATGACATTTCTGTCTTTCCGTCTGTATTGCCTTAATCTCTCCTCTCTCATGATCTCTTCATATATAGTTGTTAATTCCCCATAACATTGGCTTCACATGGTCAAACACTGTCTCTGGAGTTTCTTTATATACTGTGACCTTTCAGCTTCTATCCCCATGTTGTTTCTTCCCTCTCCCTTCTGCCATTTCCCCTCTCCCCTCTCCTCTCCTCTCTTCTCTTCTTTTGATGGAATCTCGCTCATGGTGCTCCACACCTGTAATCCAAGCACTTTGGGAGGCCGAGGTGGGCAGATCACCTGAGTTCAGGAGTTGGAGACCAGCCTGGCCAACATGGTGAAGCCCCGTCTCTACTAAAAATACAAAAATTAGCCAGGTGTGTTGGTGCGTGCCTGTAATCCCAGCTACTTAGGAGGCTGAGGCAGGAGAATCACTGGAACTGGGGAGGCGTAGATTGCAGTGAGCCAAGATTGTGCCACTACACTGCAGCCTGGGCGACAGAGTGAGACTCCAGCTCAAACAACAACAACAACAACAACAAAACAAAACAAACCCTAAAAACAGAATAACAATATTATCCAGCAATCCTATTATCCTATTTCTGGATATATATCCAAAGGAAATGAAATCAGTACATAGAAGAGACACCTGAATTCCCATGTTTGTTGCATCATTACTCACAAATAACCAAGATACAGAAACCACCTAAGTGTCCATCAGTGGATGAAGAGATAAAGTAAATGTGGTGCATATACACCATGGAATAACATGTAGGCTTAAAAAAGGAGGAAATTCTGTCATTTTCTGTAACATGGATGAACCTGGAAAACATTATGTTCAGTGAAATGACAGGCACAGAGGTGCAAATACAGCATTATCTCACTTATATGTGAAATCTAAAAAAGTTGAGCTCATAGAAGTAGAGTAGAATGGTTGCTACCAGAGGCTTGGGCAGTGGGAGGGTGAGGAAAGGGGAAATGCTCGTCAAAAGGTACAAAGTTTCATTTATAAAAAGTTTTAGTGGTCTATTGCACAGCATGGTAACCACAGGTAATAATATATATTTCAAAATTAATAAAAGAGTACATTTTAAATGTTCTCACCCCAAAATATAGTTGAAGTGATAAATGTTAGTTTGCTTTAATCATTCCACAGTGTATACATATATAAAAACATCACGTTGTACTCCATAAATATATATACTTATTATTTGTAAAGTAAAAATTAAAACAAAACAAGACATTGTAGGGGCTAAACAAAGATGTTGTGATCCTTTGAAAATGGCAAGTCATTTTATCCACAGAATGGATTGTCTGACAGAGAAATATCTTTCCAATCATGGAATTCGTAAGCATTTCACATGTGCCAAATGCGCACCTGATAGTTTTGTTACCTGAGCAGTGGTCCATTCATGAGTCCCTTTCCATGAGGAACATGTTCTCTGCATTCTTCCTACATGTCAGAAGCAAGGCAACATACCCCCTGCGTTGGAGCAAAAGCAAAGAATAGCCATCCTGGCAAACATGGAGCTATTTTCTATGAATCTAGAAGATTATTAGAGTTTGGTACCTTTCTGTTTTTAAAAGGCTAAGCCACCTGTGAGTGGCCTCATAAGCGTCTACATGTAACAAAACAAAACAAAACAAAGAACACTGGTCTTGGAGTCAGAAAATCTGGATCACCTTGGGCAAATCATGTACATCTTTTTGACTTCCACTGTAGAGTGGGAATATTTTACTTACAATGACATATGTACACCAAAAGCCATGGAAGCTTAAAGGAAGGAAAAATTATGCCTGCTAAGGTTAGTTGGGGAAGATTTCTAGAGAGAATGACATTTAAGATGGGTCTGGAAATGTGAGCACAGCATGCCAGGAAGAAGGTAAGGAAAAGGGTTTCACTTGAGATAAGTATGCAACAGCTACTACTTGGGCTGAGGAATTATCATACCACTTACCACAGAGACAGAAAGTGACCATCTGAGGTCCCTCAGGGGCTTTGTTTGAAAAACCAAAAATTCAGAAGTACATGTCTTCACCTTGTTGTCCTTCCCCAATGGACAAAACATGTCCCTCCAATCATCTAGCCTTCTTTATGCTCTAACTGTACTGCTCTGTTCTTCCTTCTTCTCACTCACTCCCTTACTGCTGCCATCCTTTCCACTGAGGTCCTCTGGAAGTCCCCATTTAGAGAAAACCAACTACCCTACACCATCTACCTTTTTACCATACATGTGCTTCCCTGAAGTGTGGCTAGCTCTCCAGGCACTTCTTCTCCTGCCACTCTCTCCAGTGCACAATGCTTATTTTTCTCACAAGACCTGGACCACAAGGAGAAGCTGGGAGGCTGAGGGGAAGAGAAAGGGGCTAGGCTTCTTCTTGGTCCCTATTGTTATTCCTCATCCTTAATCTCCACTGTTGAATAAAAGAACCCCATTTGAGGATGTTAGGCAGCTATAGAAGTTGCCATTATTTGTCTTCTACTAAATTCTCAATAAGATTCAGCATTTGTCTATTGTCAACTGCCATCATTTACCTAAATTAACTCTTCTGAATAACACATTTTTCAAGCATGTTTTCCTCTCTAGTCTTCCTCAGTAACTATTTGAACATTCATGTCTGAAACAATAATTATAAATCTTGAGCTCAAATTTTCCTATGGGTTCTAAGTTGTGTATCTTCATTTGGTGTCCCATATCCAATAGATACCACATATCCAAAACTGAGCATTCATCCTCCCAATTCCCAAGCAACCCCTTAGCCCTTTGTCCTTCCTGGATTTTCTGCCCCAGTAAATGGCTGCATTACTCAGCTAGCAGCCACTCAGCTTGGTGTGTATCCTAGACTTCATTTTGTCCCTCTCTTGCAATATCAATCAGAAACCAAGTCATAATAATAGTACCTCCTTGACTTTTCTCACAATTTTTTTTCCTTGTTCATTTCTGCTTCCTCTGTCTTAATCCAGGCATTATCACTTTTCCTTTAGGTTTTTGGAATAGGCTACTAATTGCTGTCCTAACCCCCACATCAGTTCTGCTCCAATCCATCATCTAGCCAACAGTCAGTGTGATTTTTCTAAAATAGAAATACAATCATATCACTCCTTTATTAAACTCCTTCAGTGGATCCTATGGCTTGAGAGGAGATCTACCTCATTAACATGGCAATCAAGGTCCTCTATGTCCACAACCCTGTCAATCTCTCAGGTCTTAGCACTACAACCACCATTCACATTGATCTATTTTCAAGCCCCTATGGGTGTTTTTGTAATATGTTTTTGTAATAATTGTTGCTAATATTCATTGAGAAATTTCTACATTCAAGACTCTGTATTAATGGATCTATTCCTTCTCACAACCCCATGTGGTCAGTTACTGTTTTACCCCCAGTTGACAAATGGAGAAACTGAGACACAAATAAGTTAAATAATTGACTAATGTCACACAGCTAGTAAGAGACAAATTTGGAATTTGAACTCTATCAGTCTCAATCTAGAGTCTATACATTTAACCACTACTTATAGTACTATCATGCTGTCCCTTTTTCTGGATGATCCTTCCTTCTTTCTTCACTTAGCTTGCCTCATACTTACTCCTATTCCATTTAATCTGGCTTCTGTTTCCATCATAACTCTGAAAAAATCTCTCACAAAAATACCAATGATGAACTCTGTATTAAATCAGGGTTCTCTAGAGGGACAGAATTAATAGGATAGATGTATATATAAAGGGAGTTTATTAAGGAGTATTGACTCACACAATCAGAAGGTGAAGTCCCATGATAAGCCTTCTGCAAGCTAAGGAGCAAGGGAAACCAGTCCAAGTCCCAAAACTTCAAAAGTAGGGAAGCAGACCATCTGTAGCAAAAAAAAAAAAAAAAAAAAAAAAACAAAAAACAAAAACCCTGAGAACCCCTGGCAAACCGTTGGTGTAAGGCCAAGAGTCCAAAAGCTGAATAACTGGGAGTCTGATTTTCCAGGGCGGGACACATCCAGCACAAGAGAAAGTTGAAGGCCAGAAGACTCAGCAAGTCAGCTTATCCCACCTTCTTCTGCTACCGCTGGCAGCCTATCAGATGGTGCCCACCCACATTGAGCGTGGGTCTGCCTCTCCCAGTCCACTGACTCAAATGTTACTCTCCTTTGGCAACACCCTCACAGACACACCCAGAAACAGTACTTTGCATACTTCAATCCAATCAAGTTGATACTTATATCACAAACTCCAAAGGGCATTTTTCAATTGTCTTCTTACTTGCTCTCTAAAATGTTTTCAAACATTGGTCACTCCATAGGCCCTGGCATATTCTCTTCTTTGGTTTATGTGATGATATGCTCTTGGTTTTTGTACTTGAATTTTGGATGAACTTTCTCAGCCTTTCTTGTCAGTCCTTCTCTACAGAACCTTCATACTGGAGTTATTCCAGATTCAGTGATAGTTTCTCATTCTTCCCTTCCTATGCTTTTTACTCTGAGTGATATCATCTATATCCTGACTTCCATTTCCATTTATATGTTGGTAACTTCTAAAGGTGTATCCAAGCTTCCCCTTTGTGATAGCACTACTTTAACATCGTTTGAATGTCTCAAAAGCATCCTAAACTCAACATACACAAAATAGGAAATTTGAAGTTTTTTCTCAAATATTACTTTTTAATATACCTTAGCACCACCTTGTATGTAGCCAAACAATCTAGAAGCTATTATAGGCCATCAACCAAAGAGCTCTAGGAACATATCTGTAAGTCCATGTTAGATTTATTTAGCTTACTGCTGCCAGTAAGAATGCACTCCAGAGAAACCATGGGTTGTCCTAGTAAAAGAGAGTTTGCAGGAACTTCTTACATATGATTTGGCTTTGAATTGCATGGTTGAAGGCTGGATTTTAAAACATGGAGTCCAGTTCTGTACTGGATGTTCTTAAGAAGCTGGGATAAGTCAGTAAGTGGACTTATTTTTTTTTTTTTTTTTAGTCTGGGAGGCAGGAGAATTAAAGTGGGCCCAGAGTAGTTACTAGTAAAAAAGTAGCAATCACTAATGTTAATCAGAAGAGAGGATGTTAATCAGATGAGAATAACGTCTGTCTTGTTTCAGACATGTCATTAAGTGGTCTTGTCTGAACATTTTCCATAATTGTTATTTATTTTGAGTTTTAGCATCTTCCGGTTTTAGCTAGGTAATTTTGGGAAAAAAATGACTTTAACTTTCCAATATAAAAATTAGAGCAAATATCTATTATTATTTCAAACAGAAAATTCAAAATCAACTTATATATGATTTTAGTTGTACACATTTTCCTAGTAAGACTTTTTTTAGGTTTCTATCTAAGAAAAAGTCAAATATTATTTTACCCATTTGTAAAATTCGTTCTATTCCTTGGCAGATTATGAGACCTACCTATTTGGAGGCAGGGCAACCAAGGCATCATCAAGTTCTTGAGGTCTGTAGGGCTATAGGTCCAGTAATATCTTGCTTTTCTCAAGAGGAAATGGAAAAAATAGAAGACCAACACAGAAGACCCTTAATTAAGTGGTAAGGGAGTATCTGTAGTGGTTAAGTGGTTAAACTCTCAAGACAGAATGCCTGAATTTAAATCTTGATTTTACCATTCAATTGTTCTCTCTAGCTACTCCTACTTGGAACAAGGTGCCTGACCTTCTCTGTATCTCAATTTCCTGCAGCAGAAACAAAATCATCCCTTCCTCTTAAGATTGTTGTGAGGATTAAATAAATTAATAAATATAAAGTGCTTAGAACAGCACCTAACACAGAATAGGCACTCAATAAATATTTAGTTGACATTATTATTATAATCCATCATGCCATTTGGAGTTTAAAAAACCTTTTAAAAATTGAGTCGTTGCCAAGGACACTGTGTATGAATGGTATGTATGTGTATAAGAGAAATATAAAGTTGGAGTCACCTCTAAAATTTTTAAAACAGATCTGGCCACTCAAGAAGACTCCTTCAGAGAAGGCTGCTCAGTTACCAGCACACTTGAGAATAGTGAATCTGGAATTATGTTAACATATTGGAACTTTCCATGGAGTCTGAAATGGTGAAACAGCAATTTAAATTGTAGACTTTCAAAACTGTCAAAAAAAATTGATGATGTACTCCTGCTTGCCAGGAAGGGGCTTATGCAACACCTTTGGGCTGAATATAAGAGGCCAATAAAAATGGAAATTCTGGGGGGAATTCCATGAAATCTGTAATTGAAGTGGTCCCATTCTTCTATTGCTGTCAAGCAGGCCATTTTGACATCTATTAACTAATATAGGTAAGTGGGGTACTTTTTTTTTTCACTATGACATTATTTTAAATTGAGCTTCTGTGTCTGTTCATGATTTCACTTAATCTATACGCTTTTTGCATTTACTAGATTAGAGGTGGATCCTTTGGGACAGAGTAAACACTTTGCAAGACAGATTAAGTTATGGAGTGTTTAAAAAATTATATATATGGGGTACATAGAAAATACTATGTATGTGTTTGGTTACTGGTCATTTGTGCATTTTGGGTAACATTTTTGAATTAAGTTTATTGGCACATTTATGTAAAAGACTTCATTTATTTGAATCAATTTCTGTCAAATCTTTAGTAGATTACTTGTCTATGATTTCTGGTATTTTTATGTACAAATATCTAAGCAGTAGAATATTCAAAGCTTGCATTTCGTTGTCATGAAGCTGTCTATGGATCCTGTGTTTAACCATTAATAATTTCCCAAGCTGGGAGCTGTTATGAAGAACAATATAATTAAATATTTTAAATATATATATTTAAAAATGGAAAATTTCTGGGAATATATGCTCTGGGACAGTAACTAATTGAAGAAAGGGAATAATGCTTTAAGCTCAAGGTATTCACAGCAGTCTTAGCATTCAACAGCAAGAAATCAGAAACAACCTAGAGATCTAACAACAAAATTATGGTAAACAGTGTATGTCTCATTAGGATGGAGTCTTAAAAATAATTATCATGAGGGTGATGTAGAATCATAAGAAAATGCTTTTTATATAATATTAAGTAAAAGATTATTTGTAAAAGAATATTAAGTAAAAGATTTGTAAAAGATCATTACGTAAAAGAATATTAAATGATATGTTCATTATTAAGGCAAATATAAATAATGAATGTATTTGAATCAAATGAAAAATATCTTTTCTTGGTGGTGGGACTATGAGTAATTTAAATATATTTTCTTCATTCTTTCAACAAAAAGAGAAAAAACGAAGAGTTTAAAATGGCATGACCATATTATTCAAGAACCAATTTCCTTACTCATTTTTCATGGATTTGTAAAAATGACAGCTTGTATGTTAAGGTAATTTGAGCTTTGGACCAGTAACCTGACTTCTTTGCCTCAGTAAATTCACTGTATCCTGATTTTCTTAAAATTCTGTGTAAATTCCAATGCCAATTGCTTTGCTACCTTTATTAATATAAAAAGAACCCATGAGTGAAAAGACAGCAGTAATCAGAGAGAAACAGAAAAAGCACAGAATTTGGTGTGCAGAGTCTACCAAAAAATTATAAAGTCCTTTTAAAGAGCTATGTTTTCCAAACTGCAATATATATTTATAGATGCTAGAGTTTTTGATATATAGATAATACAAAATTTTTTAAAAATTTATTTTTTTAATGACAGATGAAATTGTATGTATTTACTGCATGCAAGATGATGATTTAAAGTATATAAATGTTGCAAAGTGATGAAATATAGCAAATTAAAATATGCATTATGTAACATAGGTATCCATTTTTGTGGAATGAACACCTTACATCCACTGTCAGCATTTTTCAAGAATACAGTATCATGTAATTATATATGTCTTAAACATATTACACTTGACTTGTGCAATAGATGTCTTAAGCTTATAACTCCTACCTTCCTGAATTTTTCTGTGCTTTGACCAACATCTCCCCAACCAGCCTGCTGTCCCCACAAACCAGCCCAGCCCTGGTAGCCACCACTGTACTTTCTACTCCTATGAGATCAACCTTTTTAAGATTCCACCTATGAATGAAATCATGTGGTGTTTGTTTTTTGTATCTGTCTTATTTCACTTAACATAATATCCTCCAGACTCATCCATGTTGTTGCAAATCATCACCATTTTTCATGGCCGAATAGTATTCCATTATGTGTATTTACCATATTTTCTTTATTCATTCATCCATTGATGGACACTTAGGTTGATTCTGTATCTTGATTATTGTGGAAAATGCTGCAATAAACATGGAAGTGCAGATATCTCTTCAACACACTTATTTCTATTCCTTAGGATATATACTCAGTAGTGGGATAGTTGGATCACATGGTAGTTCTACTTTTAATATTTTTGAGAAAACTCCATATCGCTTTTCATAATGGCTGTACTAATTTACATTCCTGCTCACTGTGAGAGTTCCTTTTTTCCACATCCTACTCGATACTTGTTATTATTTTTAATAACCTTTCTAATAGGTGTAAGGTAATATATCATTATGGTTTTGATTTGTATTTATCTGATAATTTGTGAAGTTGAGCATTTTTTAATATACCTCTTGGCTATTTGTATGTCTTCTTTTAAGAAAATGTCTATTCAGGTCCTTTGCCCACTTTTAGATTGGGTTATTTGTTTTCTTGCTATTAAATTGAGCTCTTTATATATTTTCAGTGTTAATCCTTTATTGAATGTATAGTCTCCAAATTTCTGTAGGTGGTCTCTTCACTCTGTTGATTGTTTCCTTTACTGTGCAGAAGCTTTTTAGTGTGATGTTTCCATGTGTCTATTTTTGCTTTTATTACCCTTGAGATCATATCCAGATTATCATTGGGCAGACCAATGTCATGGAGCTTTCACCTCACATTTTCTTCTATTAGTTTCATAGATTTGGGTCTTACATTTAAGTCTCTAATCCATTTTCAGTTGATTTTTATATATAATGTGAGATAAGAGTCTAATTTCATTCTTCTGCATGTAAATATCCAATTTCCCCAGCATCATTTATTGAAGAAACTGTCCTTTCCTTACTCTGTGTTCTTTGCACCTTTGTTGAATATGAGTTGTCTGTAAATGTGCAGATTTATTTCTGGGCTCTGCATTCTGTTCCATTGGTCTATGTGCCCGTTTTTATGCAGCACCGTGATGTTTTGGTTACTGTAGCTTTGTAGTATATTTTGAAGTTGGGTTGTGTGATGCCTCTTGTTTCATCTTTTTTTTTTTTGGTCTTTTTTTATTTTATTATTATTATACTTTAAGTTTTAGGGTACATGTGCACAATGTGCAGGTTTGTTACATATGTATACATGTGCCATGTTGGTGTGCTGCACCCATTAACTCATCATTTAGCATTACGTATATCTCCTAATGCTATCCCTCCCCGCTCCCCCCACCCACAACAGTCCCCGGTGTGTGATGTTCCCCTTCCTGAGTCCATGTGCACAATGTGCAGGTTTGTTACATATGTATACATGTGCCATGTTGGTGTGCTGCAGCCATTAACTCGTCATTTAGCATTAGGTATATCTCCTAATGCTATCCCTCCCCCTTCCCACCACCCCACAACAGTTCCCAGCGTGTGATGTTCCCCTTCCTGTGTCCATGTGTTCTCATTGTTCAATTCCCACCTATGAGTGAGAACATGCGGTGTTTGGTTTTTTGTCCTTGCCATAGTTTGCTGAGAATGATGGTTTCCAGCTTCATCCATGTCCCCACAAAGGACATGAACTCATCATTTTTTTATGGCTGCAGAGTATTCCATGGTGTATATGTGCCACATTTTCTTAATCCAGTCTATCATTGTTGGACATTTGGCTTGGTTGCAAATCTTTGCTATTGTGAATAGTGCCACAATAAACATACATGTGCATGTGTCTTTATAGCAGCATGATTTATAATCCTTTTGGTATATACCCAGTAATGGGATGGCTGGGTCAAATGGTATTTCTAGTTCTAGATCCCTGAGGAATCGCCACACTGACTTCCACAATGGTTGAACTAGTTTACAGTCCCACCAACAGTGTAAAAGTGTTTCTATTGCTCCACATCCTCTCCAGCACCTGTTGTTTCCTGACTTTTTAATGATCGCCATTCTAACTGGTGTGAGATGATATCTCATTGTGGTTTTGATTTGCATTTCTCTGATGGCCAGTGATGATGAGCATTTTTTCATGTGTTTTTTGGCTGCATAAATGTCTTCTTTTGAGAAGTGTCTGTTCATATCCTTTGCCCACTTTTTGATGGGATTGTTTGTTTTTTTCTTGTAAATTTGTTTGAGTTCATTGTAGATTCTGGATATTAGCCCTTTGTCAGATGAGTAGGTTGCAAAAATTTTCTCCCATTTTGTAGGTTGCCTGTTCACTCTGATGGTAGTTTCTTTTGCTGTGCAGAAGCTCTTTGGTTTAATTAGATCCCATTTGTCAATTTTGGCTTTTGTTGCCATTGCTTTTGGTGTTTTAGACATGAAGTCCTTGCCCATGCCTATGTCCTGAATGGTATTGCCTAGGTTTTCTTCTAGGGTTTTTATGGTTTTAGGTCTAACATGTAAGTCTTTAATCCATGTTGAATTTATTTTTGTATAAGGTGTAAGGAAGGGATCCAGTTTCAGCTTTCTACATATGGCTAGCCAGTTTTCCCAGCACCATTTATTAAATAGGGAGTCCTTTCCCCATTTCTTGTTTTTGTCAGGTTTGTCAAAGATTAGATAGTCGTAGATATGCGGCATTATTTCTGAGGGCTCTGTTCTGTTCCATTGGTCTATATCTCTGTTTTGGTACCAGTACCATGCTGTTTTGGTTACTGTAGCCTTGTAGTATGGTTTGAAGTCAGGTAGCATGATGCCTCCAGCTTTGTTCTTTTGGCTGAGGACTGACTTGGCAATGAGGGCTCTTTTTTGGTTCCATATGAACTTTAAAGTAGTTTTTTCCAATTCTGTGAAGAAAGTCATTGGTAGCTTGATAGGGATGGCATTGAATCTATAAATTACCTTGGGCAGTATGGCCATTTTCATGATATTGATTCTTCCTACCCATGAGCATGGAATGTTCTTCCATTTGTTTGTATCCTCTTTTATTTCACTGAACAGTGGTTTCTAGTTCTCCTTGAAGAGGTCCTTCACATCCCTTGTAAGTTGGATTCTTCATCTTTTAGTTCAAGTTGACTTTGGCTATACAGGGTCTCTTGTGGTTACATAGACATTGTAGGATTGCTATTTTCTATTTCTGTGGAAATGTCATTGGCATTGTAATAGAGATTGCCTTAAATCTGTAGGATGCTTTGGGTAGTATGGGAACTTTAACAATATTAATTCTACTCATCCATGAACACAGAGTATCTTTCCATTAACGTGTGTCTCCTTCAATTTGTTTCATCAGTGGCTTATGCTTTTTAGTGTAAGGGTCTTTTAACTCCTTGGTTACATTTATTCCCAAGTATTTGATTTTATTTTGCTATTGTCAATGGGATTGTTTTCTGCATTTCTTCTTCATATGGTTCTTTGTTGGTATATATAAATAATACTGATTTTTGTATGTTAATTTTGTATACTACAACTTTATTGAATTTGAATTTATTTATTCTAATAGTTTTTTTGCAGAGTCTTTAGAGTTTTCTATATATAAGATCATGCTGTCTGGAAAGTGGGATAATTTACCTTCTTCCTTTCCAATTTGTATGCCTTTTATTTATTTTTCTGTTGCCTAATTGCTTTGGGTGGGACCTCCAGTATTATAATAAATAGGAGTGTTGAGACCGAACATCCTTGTCTTGTTTTGGATCTTAGAAAAAAGCTTTCAATTTTTTCCACTGAGTATGTTAGCTGTGAATTTGTCATATACAACTTTTATTGTATTGATGTACATTCCTTTTATACCTAATTTTGAGAGTTTTTATGATTAAAGGATGTTGAATTTTGTCAAGTGTTTTATCCATATCTATTACAATGATCATATGGATTTTGCCCTTTATTCTATTAATGTGATGTATCACATTTATTAATTTACATATATTGAATGATCCTTGCACCCCTGGGATGCATACCACTTGATCATGATGAATGATCTTTTTAATGGGATGATGAATTTGGTTTGCTAGTATTTTGTTGAGGATTTTTTGCATCTATGTTCATTAGAGATATTGATTTCTAGTTTTCTTTTTTATAGTATCCTTGCCTGGCTTTGACATCCGAGTGATACTGGCCTTGTAAAATGAGTTTGAAAGCTTTCCCTCCTCCTCGATTTTTTTCCAAGAAATTGAGAAGGATTGTATTAATTCTTCTTCATATGTTTGGTAGAATTCAGCTGTGAAACCATCACATTCTGGAATTTCTTTGATGGGACACTTCTTACTGATTCAATCTCCTTACTCATGTTTGTTCTATTCATATTTTCTATTTCTTCATAATTCAGTCTTGGCAGTTTGTATGTGAAAAGGAACTTATGCATTTGTCTTAGGCTTATATGATCTCATGTATTTTATTTCAGTTGTGATGCCTTTTTCATTTCTGAGCTTATTTATTTGAGTCTTCTCTCTTTTTACTAAGTCTAGCCAAAGGATTGTTGATTTTATCTTCTGAACTCTTAGTTTCATTGATATTTTCTACTGTTTTTCTAGTTTCTATTGTATTTATTTCTGCTCAGATATTTATTATTTTCTTCCTTTTACTAATTTTGGACCTAGTTTGTTCTTGTTTTTCTAGTATATTGAGGTATTAAATTAGGTTATTTATTTGAGATATTTCTATTAATGTAGGACTTTGTCACTATAAACTACCCTTGTAGACATTTTGCTCCATCCCATAAGTTTTGGTATGTTGTGTTTCAATTTTCATTTGTCTCAAGACATTTTTTAAAAAATTCCCCTTTTATTTCTTTTTTAACCCACTGATTATTTAGGATTATTTAATAAATATTAATTAAAATAAATTTTGATTATTTAATTTTCACATATTTGTGGATTTTCTGAGGTTCCTCCTTTACTAATTCTAGTTTTATACCATTGTGTTCAGAAAAGATGCTTGATATGATTTCAATTCCTTTGTAACCTAACATATGCACTAGCCTGGAGAATGTTCCATGTATGATTGGGTGGAACGTATATTCTGCACCCGTTGGAAGGAATGTTCTGTATATGTCTGTTAGATTCATTTGATCTAAAGTGCAGTTTAAGTCCAATATCCCCTTATTCATTTTACGTCTGGATGACCCGTTCATTACTGAAAGTGAGGTAATGAAGTGCCCTGCTATTTTTTGTGCTGTGGTCTCTCTTTTCAGATGTATTAATATTTGCTTTATATACTTCAGTGTTCTGATGTTAGGTTTATATATATTTACAAATTGTTATTTTTTTTTGCTGAATTGACTCATTGTATAATTACTTTCTTTGTTGCTTTTTAGTTTTGGACATAAAGTCTATGTTTTTGATATAAGTATAGCTACTTCTGTTATATTATGGTTTCATTTGCATGCGATATCTTTTTCACTTTCGGGCTATGTGTGTTCTTTTAGATAAAGCACGTCTCTTACAGGCAGTGTATACTTGAGACTTTTTTTTTTAAATCTATTCAGCCACTCTATGTCTTCTGATTGGAAAATTTAGTCCATTTATATTCAAAGTAATTACTGATAGGTAAGGACTTACTACTAGCATTTTGTTAATTGTTTTCTATTTGTTTTGCAGATGCGTTGTTCCTTACTTCCTTTCGTGCTACCTTCCTTTGTAGTTCAGTAATTTTCTCTAGTGGTATGTTCTGATTCCGTTTTACTTTTTGTGTATCTACTGCAGGTTTTTTGCTTTATGGGATAACATGAGATTTACCAAAAAATCTTATGACCGTGAAAGGTTATTTTAAGCTAACAACTTAACTTTGATCACAAAATACCTCTACATTTTTACCCCTCTCTCTGCCACCCATTTTGAATTTTTCATGTCAAAATTTATGTCTTTTCATACTGCATGTTCAGCATCCTTTTCATTCAGCTTGAAGAACTCACTTTAGCATTTCCTGTAAGACAGGCCTGTGGTAATACACTCCCTCAGCTTTTGTTTTTCTAGGAAAGTCTTTATCTCACCTTCATTCCTGAAGGACAGCTTTGCTAGGTACAGTACTCTTGGTTCAGTTTTTTGTTTTCTCCCTTCAGCACTTTGAATATATCATCACACTTTGTCCTGGCCTATAATGTTTCTGCTGAGAAGTCTGTTGATAGACATATTAGAACTCCCTTATATGTTACTCATTTCTTTTCTCTTGATACTTTTTGTCTTTGATTTTTGATAGTGTGGTTATGTCTTGTGGTAGTCTTATTTGGATTGGATCTGATTGGAGACTTCTGGCCTCCCAGTACCTGGATGTTTACAGCTTTCTCTAGGTTTAGAAACTGTTCCGTTACTATGTCTCTAAATAAGCTTTCTACCCCGTTTATCTTTTCTTCTGCTTTTATACTTCTATGACTTGAAGCTTTGCCCTTTTGAGGTTGTTTACAAGTTCTGTAAGTTTTCTTCATTCTTTTTTCTTTAAATACGTAAAACTGTCTTTATTTGGAAACAACATGATCATGTGTATAGAATAGCCCATGAAATGTATCATTATGCTTCAGAAAAAACAATTAAAACGCTAGAGTAAATGGGGAATGAATGAAATAGTTTAAGGTATTACTGCTCTTTCCCTAGGTGTAAATGAATGTTTTGATATTAATGATCTATAGCACCAATTTAATAATAAGTTTATCGTTCTGAGGGCGGAGATAAGTGTAAAAGCACCTAGTACAGTGTCCAGCTCATAGATTTTCAATGAAGTTTTGGTGGGATTGAATATGTGTTACTTGATCCGAAACACATACACCAATTTTTGAAAAGCTGTAGAGATTTAGTCTCCTGTTTCCTGTCTTTTGGAGATGGCATTTTTATTTTGGTGCCAACAAATAGCTATCCTATACACCTTATTAATTTGCATTTTGTACAGAAGTTAGAATCTAAAAATGAGGACATACATTAAATGTGTATATGATGGGACTTCACTAGTCTACTATAATCTTCAGAAGTTCTACAACAACAGGACATTTACCTAACTTTAAACGAAGCTTAAGAGACTTAATTTTATTTTAATAATAAAAGAAAGTTAAGGAAATTTATGTTGATTTACCCCTACTTTGTTAAAGTTAGAAGCTATGTTATTAATGGTAACAATATTAATTCTTCTCCAAGCATTTACTACCAATGTATTAGAATGAAAACACATTACCAATAACCACATTAAAAAAGTAGATATTAAAACTGTGCTAGATATCTAAAAGTATGAATCACATTTTTAAGAACTTCAAACCTGGCCAGGCGCGGTGGCTAATGCCTGTAATCCCAGCACTCTGGGAGGCCGAGGCAGGTGGATCACCTGAGGTCAGGAGTTCTAGACCAGCCTGGCCAACATGGTGAAACCCCGTCTCTACTAAAAATACAAAAATTAGCCAGGCGTGGTGGCAGGTGCCTGTAATACCAGCTACTTGGGTCAGGGGGCCGAGGCAGGAGAATCGCTTGAACCCAGGAGGCGGAGGTTGCAGTGAGCCGAGATCGCGCCATTGCACTCCAGCCTGGGAGACAAGAGCGAGACTTTGTCTAAAAAAAAAAAAAAAAAAAAAAAGGAACTTCAAACCTGTTTATCTGCAAGCTAAACAACTGTGCTTGCTATTAATGAGAGAGAAGTTACCTATGAAATAATTTATCTTGCAAAAGCCTTCAGTTCTTACACCCTAAATATTGATCCTCAAAATCTTTAAAAATCATTCTTTAGTTCAGTATAACATGCTATTAAGGATGGATTCCTAAACTTTCTAAATTAAGTATAAGCTAGTAATGTGAATGCAAATGTGGACTCTTTAAGGCATTACTTGTATACACAGAACAATGTCTAACATCCTACAACATTAACACTAAACCCTCCTTTGATTTCTATTTTTTTTTAGTTCAATCCTTTTAAGTGGAAGTAGAACACTAATACTTTTTTATGATTTAAATTCTGTCGTTTTTTCCTTTATTCAGTGGTCTACCTACACAGAATTATATTATCTACTAAAATTAGAAATATTCTGAAGCCACCAAAACACTAAATATTTCTGTTGTTATAATCCAGTGGTATCTGGAGTTGTTTTATCTTGCTCTTGAGACACACTATTTGAATATACTTTGCTTGATGGAAAAACCACCATTCAGATGAAGTATTTTTCTTAGAAAAGTTGAAGCAATATTAGAAGATTTTGCCTTTCCTGAGAGGGCAGCTAAATCACAATACATGTGCAGTTACTTCAACATGATCATCTGATGGACACAAAATCCCATGTTGACCAAATGGAAGGCAATGTGGTACATTTTAGGCTGGAACTTCATAATTTCTCTATTTTTCTAAAATTGACTATGTTTGATCATAACTTAATGCAAGTTAAGGGCTTTTCCTCCCATGAGATTTAAATACATGCTACTTTGTTCTATGCTGACATGTGTTAACTCTTTTTTGCTGGATTGTGCATTTGAGAATTCTAATGAAAACAGTATATTTTTTAAACAAGGCCTTCCAATGACAAAATATTTGCAAACTAAATAAGGCAAACTACTGAGATAAATACATCAACTAATAAATTATGATAAACATATAGCCAGTAGCCAAGTACAAGCCATCCAGGAAGGTGTGGGAGCTTGGAGTTCCTTTGGTCACAGGTTAACCACAGCACATATTTCATATAGAGGATTATTTCTTAAACAGTCCTTCTCCATGAAAATAAGCCATTGTACTGAACACACTGAAAAACAACATGAAGGAAACTATGAGTAATGCACCATACTCACAGTTGGCAACAGAAGTGAACAGTACTAGGACATAGTTCATTGTAAAAGATCGTGTGTTCATGTAGCAACTAATTTTTTTCTCTTCTCAAAGTCATTATCTAAATCTTAACTCTTCCATATACCTATCATATATGTTTCAATGACTAGATTATAAATGCTTGAAATTAGGAACTGTCAAAGTTCTTAAAACTTTCTCCCCACCTTTAGTGTCTAGCATGGTCTTTGTCACAGGGCAGCTAACTAACAGATGGTGATCGATTAAATTATATGCAACATCAGCAAAGTACTTTCATTGAAAGGTAGAGACTTAATAAAGAATTAATTGCAAATTCAATTAAACAGTCACATTTCTTGGGATTCACTTTCCTTCTTGAGGCAGTTTTGCTATATTGCATTTCTTTTAGAAATTTTTTCCATTTCATACAAATTTATACATCTACCATAAGAGTTGCTCTAATTTCTGTAGGATCTATAGTGATGTTCCCTTTTCAATTCCTGATATTGTTTAAATGTTCTATTTAAAAGAATTGTAAGTTTTGACAGAGTTGTTTCAATTTTGTTAGTTATCTAAGAAGTGATTTTTGAATGCATTCATCACCCCTGAATGTGTTTTTCTTTCATTAAAATCATTTGTCAGTACTTTTCTCATATTTGTGACAAAAGTAGTACTGCAATTATAGCATTTTAGCTCAGAATATAGGTTTTCATACATAATTTTCCATTATGATTCCATTCAATTATTTTCATTATTATTCACTTCAAAATATTTTGTGATGTCTACTGTGATCTCCTTGGCTCCCAAATTTCACTGTACAATTTTAAAATTGAAAGCAAATGAAGATTTTCTACTCATTTTAAAGCATTGTTTTTTCAGCTTCAATACATTGTGATCGAAGACTATACTGTACATGATGTCAATCTTTTGAAATGTATTGAAATTTGCTTTAAAGCCCAACACATAGTCAAATTCCTAAAAGTTCCATATGTGCTTAAAAAAATTATGTAGTCTGTAGTAATTGGGTACAGTGTACTGTATTGGTCCATTAGGCTACTTTTACTTATTTCATTGTTCAGATCTTATATGCTTATAATTTTGTTTGCTTTTTCCATATGATAGCTAGGAACATAAAGATACTTCTGGAATGACTGCAATTTATCTATTTCTCCTTGTAGTTGTGTTAATGTTTGCTTCACATATTTTGAGATTATGTTAACTGAATATGTTAACTAAATTTAGAATTATTATATCTTCCTGAAAAATTGAAACTGTTTTCATTATGAAGGCTGTCTCTTTAAGAGTTGCGTAAAGAGGAGAAGGCCTGCAACAGTTTGTAATCTGGACTAGGGCTGTGAGGGCTGCCCTGCCCAGATGGCACTGTCAAGCCAGATGGTCCCATGCCCCAGCGAGGACTCCAATGTTCAAGGATCTTTGATGTGTGGGGCTTAGAACAGGGGGCCCTGCTTGCCCACATCTAAGTGTGATAAAGATTCTCTGTCTCCCAAGAACAAAAAGAGCCATAAAAGACAAAAAGAAACATAGAACAGGCAGAACATATAGAAAACAAATAAAAGAATGGCAGACTTAAATTCATATATATCAGCAATTCCACTGAGTTTAAATTAAATCCTTCAATTAAAAAACAAAGACTGACCTGAAAAACTAAGGTCCAACAATATGTTGTTTAGACGAGACGTATATAATACATGTAAGTACAAAATATTCAAAATTAATAGAAAGGAAAAAGGCATATTTGCAAATATTCATCAAAAGGAAGCTACATCAAAATCAAAGTAGGCTTTAATATTTTAATTAATATTGGACAAAAGTATCCTTTTTTTGTATTTTTAAAAAATAATTTCAACTTTTATTTTAGATTCAGTGGGTACATGTGCAGATTTGTTACATGGGTTTAATGCCTAACACTGCGGTTTGGAGTGTGAGTGAGCCTGTCACCCAGGTAATGAGCATAGTACCCAATAGGTAGTTTTTCAACCCCTGCCCCCACCCTTTCTCACCCCTCTTGTAGTCCCCAGTGTCTGTGGTCCCCATCTTTATGTCCATGCATATCCAATGTTTAGGTCCCACTTATAAGAACATGTGGTATTTGGTTTTCTGTTCCTGCATTCATTTGCTTCAGATAATGGCCTCCAGTTGCATCCATATTGCTGCAAAGGACATGATTTTATTCTTTTTTATGGCTGTGTAGTATTTCATGGTGTTTAGGTACCACATTTTCCTTATGCAATCCACCATTGATGGGCACCTAGGTTGATTCCATGTCTCTACTATTATGAATAATGCTACAATGAACATATGAATACAGCTGTCCTTTTGGTAGAACAATTTACTTTCCTTTGGGTATATACCCAGTAATGGGATTGTTGGGGCAAATGGTAGTTCCAAGTTCTTTGAGAAATTTCCAAACTGCATTCCACAGTGGTTGAACTAACTTAAAGTCCCACCAACAATGTATAAGTGTTCTCTTTTTTCTGTAGCCTCACAAGCATCTGTTGCTTTTTGACTTTTTAGTAATAGCCTTTCTGACTGGTGTGAGATGGTATTTAATTGTGGTTTTGATGGACATTTCTCTGATGATCAGTGATGTTGAGCATTTTTAAATATGTTTGCTGTTGGCCACTTGTAAATCTTTTGGGAAGTGTCTGTTCGTGTGCTTTGCCCACTTTTTATATGGTTGTTTGTTTTTTGCTTGTTGCATTAAGTTCCTTATAGATTCTGGATATTAGACCTTGGTCAGATGCATAGTTTGCAAATATTTACTACCATTTTGTAGGCTGCCTGTTTATTGATAGTTTCTTCTGTTGTGCAGAAGCACTTTAGTGCAGTTAGGTTCCACCTGTCAAATCTTTTGTTGAAGTTGCTTTTGAGGGCATAGTCATTAATTCTTTCCCCAAACCAAAGTCTAGAATGGTATTTCCCGGGTTTTCTTATAGTATTCTTATAATTTAACGTCTTATATTTAAATATTTAATCTATTTTGAGTTCATTTTTATGGTGAAAGTTAGGGGTCTAGTCTCATTCTTCTGCATATGGCTAGCCAGTTATCCCAGCACCATTCACTGAATACGAAGTCTTTTCCTTATTACTTGTTTTTGACAACTTTCTCAAAGATCAGACAGTTACTGGTGTGTGGCTTTATTTCTGATTCTCTATTCTGTTCCGTTGGTCTATGTGTCTGTTTTTGAACTAGTATCATGCTCTTTTGGCGACTGTACCTTATAGTATAGTTTGAAGTCAGGTAGTGTGATGCCTCTGGCTTTGTTCCTTTTGCTTTGGATTTGTCTATTCAGGCCCTTTTTTTGGTTCCATATAAATTTTAGAATACATTTTTCTAATCCTGTGAAAAATGACATCGGTCATTTCACAAGGATAACATTGAATCTGTAGACTGCTTTGGGCAGTATAGCTGTTTTAATGATATTGATTCTTCCCATCCATGAGCATGGGATGTTTTTCCACTTGTTTGTATCATTTACAATTTCTTTCAGCAGTTTGTAGTTCTCCTTGTAGTGATCTTTTATCTCCTTGGTTAGATGTATTCCTAGGTGTTTTTATTTATTTAGGTGCCTATTGTAAATGGGATTGCACTCTTGATTTGGCTGTTAGTCAGCTTGAACATTATTGGTGTATAGAAATGCTACTGATTTTTGTACATTGATTTTGTATACTGAAACTTTCCTGAAGCCGTTTATCAGTTCTAGGCACCTTTTTGTAGCGTCTTTAGGGTGTTCTAGGTATAGAACCATATCATCAGTGAACATAGCTAACTTGACTTGTTCTTTTCCTATTTGGATACCTTTTCTTTCTTTCTCTTGACTGATTGCTCTTGCCAAGACTTTCAGTACTATTTTCAACAGGAGTGGTGAAAGTGGCCATCCTTGTCTTGTTCCTCTTCTTAGGGGAATGTTTCCAGCATTTGCCCATTCAGTATGATGTTGGCTGTGCAATTTCACTTTTAAATGTAAAGAATTCTCAGCTTTTAAATGGGGATACTAAAAATCCATTTGTAAGCTGTTTAATCAGAATTTACAACACTTTTTCCTATGAAACCAATGTTATAAATATGGTTAAGTTCACATTTTAGTCTCTCTAGAAAATTTAGCAAACACAACTATTACTTTTACACTATGCATTATGTAGAATTAAGTGCTTTACATTGAGAAATGTAAACATCTGCATCAGCATGACAGAGATACTAGGTTTAAGAACTGAAATCACCTGTGTTTATCTGATTTATTTGTTGTTGTTTTTCTTTTTTAACGGAAAACTTTGCATAGGAATAAGATTGTACCTCAATAAGTAATTTCATTGCTTCGGAAAATTCCTATACATTAATTTATCTCAATCCTCTCCACTTCTCAAAGAATTCACTTACCACGCAACAATTTACTTATCAACACTTGCTTCAAGACCCGTGCATTGCTATATATGCTAATCCTAATCTCTTCTGTCATAAACTTTTTCAAATCCCAGTTTGTTCTCTACCTTTGAACCCAGACCTCCAAATCCTATAAATATCTTCCCCTAATTTCCCCCTTGAGCTGCACTGTGAAGACTGCCAAGGCAATGCCCTCTGTTACTGCAGTGAGTTATAAAAAGCTTAGTTTTACTTCATTAGCAGCTTTTTCTGGAGGCATTTTCAGGTAGTTCAATAACATACACTTAATCTTCCTAACCATCTTAAGAGTGAGTTCTATTTATTGTTCTTTTTACAGATAAGAAAACTGGGGCACACTAAACAGTTAAGTGACTTACTCAATGATACAAAACAATTTAGCTCACATGAGTCAAAACTATACTACTACTATTACTGAGTCCCTGTTCCCTTTGGCTACTCGTTTGAAGATGCCCTTAAGAAACCTATATCCTGAACCCTTCAGTTCTGATCTTGACTATTGTAACTATTGTAATTAATACTTTTATTTTTTATCTTTCTCACTGGACTGTAGGCTCTTTGAAGACAGTGGAATACTGTTTGTCTCCATACTGTCAATGCCCAGCGTAATCTCTGACAAATGGTAGGCATTCAATAAATGTTTATAAAATAAAAGTAAATAAAACCCCACTTTACAAATGAGGCTCTGAGATGTTAAGCACTGTCATGATTTAGTTCACTCAGAATTTAATTATCAGAATTTGTGCTCATGCCTAGGCACCACATTCTTTGGCTAAACTGTAAACTAGTTCTCAAAGTGCAGTTTTTATGAGATGGGAGTCTACAACCATTGCAAAGGGATTCATGTGTACAAAGCTGCAGTCTGAAATACTCTGTTTCTTTGCTTTCTGTAGAAATGTTATCTCAGTGTGATGAATGCAGTTATGTCATGTTGATTTGATGCTTGCATTCCACATTTAACTGATTAATAAAAATGGAAACCATTAATGGATACACGTAATTTCTGACAACTGTTTAAAACATAGGGAAATTACAATCAAGTTGCCTTGCTAATGAAACTGTTGTAATTAACTTTTTTTTTTTTTCTTTTTTTTGAGACAGAATTTCGCTCTTGTCGCCCAGGCTGGAGTGCAATGATGCGATCTCGGCTCACTGCAACCTTCGCCTCCTCGGTTCAAGTGATTCTCCTGCCTCAGACTCCCGAGTACCTGGGATTACAGGCATGTGCCAGCACGCCTGTATTTTTGTATTTTTAGTAGAGACGGGGTTTCACCATGTTGGCTAGGCTGGTCTGGAACTCCTGACCTCAGGTGATCCGCCCGCCTTGGCCTCCCAAAGTGCTGGGATTACAGGCATGAGCCATCGTGCCCGGCCTGTTGTAATTTCCTTCTCTATACTAAAAGGTGTTTTATACATATAAAGTATTTTTCTTTATTATAATGAGAAATAAATCTTATAAAAATATTTGGGTACCAGGAAAGGATTTTAAATTTTTACATAGAAAATTATAAAAGAAAAAAGTTGGCTGAAAAGGTTTTCTGCTCCTGAAATAGTTACTCTTATAGTCAACAATATGAGGAAATCACAGCATGCTGAAACAAGGCGGCTACATTTAGAAGAATGCAATGGACAAATTGAAACTGAGGGGGATTCTTAGGCAGTCAGTATGAATATGACAAATGAACTCACAGTCTGGTTCTTTTCTTTCTTCCTGTTTTCCATCACTGCCATTGGCTGCTAAGACCATTTAGATGAAGGTTAATGGGAAAACTTTATATTGAATAAATAAAACAACTGAAGCTGCTGATCAATCTTAGTATCACTAAATATGGAACAGCCAAACAAGATGTGTCTCCTGATGTGATGCAATAGAAAGTACGT
Organism: Homo sapiens; assembly: GCF_000001405.40. NCBI lineage: Eukaryota > Metazoa > Chordata > Mammalia > Primates > Hominidae > Homo > Homo sapiens. The sequence continues at coordinate 82,480,700 of NC_000012.12, read as the reverse complement.
AACACTAACGATGAAGTATTTTTGCCAAAAGACAAAAATAAACAAACACATAATAATAACTTAACTCTCATAAATTTCTAGATCTACCAGCTTTTAGGAAATACTTGGGATGGGTGTATTAAATGGCTCTCTGAGGGTATCATCAGGTAAATCTAGAAATTTATCCTACAGAATCTATCTGTATTTTATAGGATAAATTACCTGGTTTCTTAAATAAATAAAAATGATATGAAATTTTAAAGCTGGAGGGGAAACCATCATATATTTAAAACAACCTAAGAGACACATCAAGCAAATGCAAATGTGTTAAATTTGTTTAGATTCTGAATTGAAGAAACTGATATAAAGAATTTTTCAGCCAACTGCAGATATATGAATGGGGACAATTATAGATGTTATTTTGAAAAAACAAAACAAAACCCCATAACTGTTAGAAATAACGAACTCCTGGAATTTGCTTTAAAATTCTCCAGCTAGGGTATGTGTGGGTGGGGTGTGCATGTTCATGTTTATGTGTGTATAGATGAAACAAAATTGGTAAAATGTTGATAATTATTCACTTTGTGATGAGTACATGGGGATTCCTTATACTCTACTCTCCACTTCTAGATATGTTTGAAATTTTGCAGGAAAAAAAAGCTTAAAAATGGCTTATTTTCTAAGCATTGTACTCTCTCTACAAAGAACCTGATTATCCAGGTTCTTTGTACTCTCTGTACAAAGAACCTGATCACCTGAGGCTGTAAACTCAATATTTATATTACAATACAAATAAATATAATTATTCTTCTTAATCGTGGATAGATGCCAACATTTAAAAAAGCAGTTCCTTTTTTTGCTTTGGAAAATTTTATAAAATCTCTCTAGTTGAGGATCAAGGAAGCTTTATCCCAGTTCTTCATCTCTTTGGTATGCATTAGAATCCTCAAGTTTTCTGCTAATGAAAGGAACTTGTTTCACAATGGGCAGAGTGTTGGCCTCATTCCATTGACTCTTGGTTTACTCAGATTGGCTTTTTACAGAGCATAAAGTAATTACATTAAGTGCCAACCCATCACTTTATTTTAGTAAGATAAATTGCCTCAAGAATCCCTAAAGAGAATATCTTACTTATAAGATACAACTTTCTTTAAGGGAATATCCCATGTACTTAGATTAAAACCCAGTGTAAAATGTGCTTTAAATGAGGCACTTTTAAATTTCTGACCTGGTTCCTGGGTATTTCTTCCCTTTAAGTGCAGATTTTTTCCCTCCTGGTAAAAACAGAAAAACCCTTCTAAAATGTGGAAGAAATTGCAAATGATCTTCCGCACCAGCTACCTTTACCTCTTATCTACGTTTAATTCAATACATCAAAATGTGATTTGTAGCAAATGTAAGGGGTCTTAAATATTGAACAGGAATTAAGACGTAGATTACAATGTTCTACTGATGTACTAACTCAGGAATGTAGGTCAACTGTTTTATATTATTATGACAGGTTCTTCTTTTATTAATGTATGCTTTGACAATGGAAAAATGGATTATAACCTTCTGTTGTTAGCCATTATTTTATTATTTAAAATACATAACAGTCATTTAAAAATTTTTGTATAACAGGACATATATGTTTAGAAAAGCAATCTCAGCAACAGGTCTCATAGAGAAATACATCTAATAATTTGCTTCAATGGAAATCACTGCTGCTTCTTCAGGGCAATAACAGCATAACATCTGGGAGATTTCACGGGATCAAACAACTTCACAAGAGCAGACCATGCAATATCTTCCTGTAAATTAATAAGTGATTTAGATATACAACCATTTGTTGAAGAAAAAAATTAGACGCGAGTTGGATTATATATTGTAATATAAAAAATACATAAAAACAAAGCTGTTTCACAGAAAATTCTTATGCTTTGTTAAACAAAATTAACATTCACAATTACACCTTCAAAAAAGTTTATGCTGAGGAAACAAGGATGTACATAGAGAGTGAATTACAAGTTTATTCTTTGCTACGGTTGTGAAAAACTGGAAGTGGCCAATCACAAATGAGTATTAGTTAAATAAATTATTTTATGATGAAATGTTCACTTTCTATAGTACATTTAATATGGTGGGAAATTCTGAATAAAATAAAACAAATTAGATGTAAAACTGCATTTATAATTTTATTCTAATATTAATTAAAGTACAAATAATATGCACTATATATGTTATAACCATATATATTTGAGAGATTCCTTAAATATACTAAAAATCTAATAGTTGAAGCTATTAAATAAAAGGTAGGATTATGACTACTCTTAATTTTCTTTATTATATATCCTGTATTTTAAATTTTCTAACATAAATGTGCATTACTTTATAAGATATTAATTGAAATATTAAAAATAACATTTCTATAATTTCTATCATTTCATTACAACCTATTAATCTTTGTGCACATTGTTTTGCTTACCTCTTGTACATAGGTCAATGGAGATTGTTTTGAAAAGGGATGTGAGAATCTAGTAAAATAGGTACTGATTTTATCACCCACTAACTTAGGAACCAAAGCTTTCCAGTGACTTGAAGTTAGCTGGCAGCTTAGGAAAGTACATCATTATTTACATATTTAAAAATTGCCTTTCTCCATAAAAATACAAATTAGAACAAAGCAAACATTTTTAAATATCCATTTGTTTCAATTAGCATTTGTTCCAATTAGGAAAATAAGAAAGTAAAGCTCCCCATATGACAAAATAAAACTGTTAAAGAGTTTATAGCGGAAACATTCGGTGAGTCCATGAATGGGTTTAATTTAAACAGTTCACCAAACTTTATTTTGAGCATAGCTCATAATAGAATCTGCAGAAAATATTTTCCTTAAAGACAACCCAAAAGACAGTATTTTTGTCATTTAACATAGATAAGTAAGATTGTGAAAAAAACAGAAGGAATCTTCCTTGATCAGAAAGAAGTTTCTATTCTGCAGAATCCATATGGCCAACACTCCAAAAGTGAATTAAAAGACAAATTCTTACAAAATGAAACGCTTATACAATATCTTTTATGTCTAGCCTTTATAAATTTCAGCTATACAATATTTCATATATAGCAGTTTATGTTCACTGCCTATGTATAGTAATTACCATACAATTAAAAGAATGTAAACTTTATTATAGCAGCTTTGCTGAAAACATCTGTTGTACATATGTTTATATGTTTAAAAAGGGATGGAATGAACATTTAAACTATGAAAATATAATGAGAAAAATTTTCTTACTAGTTTTATGTGAAAGACTCTTATCCTAGATATAAGTGGCTCTATATTACTGTATTTAATAAGATATTTGTTGTGTATTTTAAAATAACATAATTTACCTGCTCTTTCAGGTAACAAAGTCGATCCAGAAGAATCAAAGTCTCTATACAGGGAGCCAGTACAACTTTCAACTAAAATAAAAAAATTAGATAGGTAGGTTGGTGGTACTTAAAAAAAAAAGACTAGCTTATTTCCTTAAACTTATGTTTAAATAAATGTATCTACAGAAGTTTATATAGGCTGAATCTCCAAAATCCAGGTACATCTTCAGAAAATGAATATTTCAGAGATCAAAAGGTTTTCTTTAATAATAGGAAAAGAATGTCCTTTAAGTGACTGTGAGGTAGACTCCAACAAGCAGTCATATGTGATAGAAAGCTTTTAAAGGGGTACTAAGAATGAAGTTCATTAAAAGGAATGCTTGTGAAATAACTGCATTGGGACCAATATGTGTTCAAAGGACTCTGAAACTTTTTGTGCATTTATAATACTTTTTTAAGAGAAATCTACCATGTGTTCTCTTTATTACATTACTGACACCTAATATAGTCCTGAAATAGGAAATGATCCAAAACAGTTTTTCTACAGTAAGAGAAAAACAACATAGATTGCTTAGCCCATAATAAAATTTAATAGGACCCTATTCAAGTCTAGCAACATATCCAATTTAATATGCTTAACTCTGAGATTTACCATATTAAAAGCTTCCAGCTCATTCATTCGAGGCTTATACTTCTCGTAGTAGTTCATTATAATTTTTTCTGGCAGCTTCAAGATAAAAAACAACAATAAATTTAACGATAGTTTAAAAATATTTTTCCTTGTCAAACATATCCTAAAGTAAAATAAACATGACATCAATTTAATACAACCTTAGGTGTCTGAAGAACTCGCTCTAAGGATATTCATGAAGCAAGTCAAGATAACTCTAAATTACTTAAAATTTTTACACTGATATAGGTTATGCAGCACATCATAAATAAAACCACCAGCAACATCCCATTAATATTGTTTAATTTCAACAACTAAGAAGGAAATATTTACTTTCATTTGTTATTATGCTTTGGACACACAGGAGGAGATCAAACATTTTTTGACTAAAATTAAACTTTACAACACTGTATCTAAAACAAGACATTTTGAGCAAAATTCAAAGGCAAGAGGAACACAATGGCATATGTTCATACTTAAGGTAGTTTCTTCTAACATGCACTTCACAAATCCATCAGAGAGAATTACTTTTATTTCTTTTTCTTCTTTTTCTAAAACAAATACCTATAGTATGTTGAACTCTTGTATTTAGCAGGCCACTCTCTAGTTCAATTGTGCTTTTGCTCCTGCTAGATGAGCTTTGTTACTGAGTCAATTGTATTTATTTCTAAACTTGCTATGCCAGTTACATTATTGTCATAATATACAGGTTGAGTATCCCTAATCCAAAATCTGAAATGCTCCAAAATCTGAAACTTTTTGAGTGCCAACATGACATTCAAAGGAAATGCTCATTGGAGCATTTCAGATTTTGGATTTTTCAGATTAGGGATGCTCAAATGGTAAGTATATAAGGTAAATATTTCAAAAAAAATCTGAAATCTGAAACACTTCTGTCCCAAGCATTTCAGATAAGGAATACTCAACCTATCATATAAATAAGTATTACATAACAAATGAAATATGAAAGCAACAGGAAAAATTGATTCTATAATTTTTGCAAAAAAGCAGCCCTCCCCTGGACAGAAAAGCCTGATAAAGCAGAGTCACCAGAAGAAACTGCTGTCAATTAAATGTGGTCAGAACAAATGAAAGGCTGGATAAAATGAGTAAAAATCTGAAAAGACTTGTACTCAGATTTATCTGCAAATGTTTAAATAAATTTATTATTTTTTCAAAGTCCTTTTTTTTTTCACAATAGCACTAAATTTCTTCTGAATTTAAAAAACTATAAAGGGTAGTGGAAAGTAAGGCTCTGTCTCATTCAATTTCTTGTGAAGCCTTCCAGAAAAACTCTCCCACTTTGTACAGAACCCATGCAGATTACACACTCCCCATCCTTTTTAAAAGTTTGCCATTTTTTGAATCAAATGAGTCCCTGCTGGAGCAAACTTTTGTAGAAGAATATATTGGACTAAATCCAGGCCTGAACTTCAAGGTAGCAGAAACTCTCAACTCACAAAATTGCGTGTGTTGAATTACAGCCTTTAGTTCTCTCCTTTACCATCTGAAGATCAGCAGTTGTAAGATAACTCAGAACTCATAATCTTTCCTATCTTGCTCCCTGAAAACGTATTTCTTCAATATGATTTCTTGGGTGCTCCATTTTCTTTTTTTCTGTTGTGCCAAATTGGGAAGCACCATGCTGGTCACCAGTTGTATTTGTTTCAAACTAGAGACTGTTGATTTTGTTCCTCAGGATATGACACTTTAGAGAACTATGTTCTGTTGATTTTGTCTGAGATCTGTAACCGTGGGCATTTCCTCTTGGCATCTTTCTGCATCCCTCTTTTACCTTCATTATACTTTGTAATATACATAGTTTAAGATTTCAAATTCCTTCTGATATTGTCAAAGAGAGTTTTGTTTCTCTTTCTCATTCTGTTTGTTGCTTTTGAGTATATTCTGGAAAGAAAAGGTGAGAACACCTTTTTACTGTAAAATTAAAAAAAAAGTTTGTTGTTTTAAGAGATCCAAAACTGGATATCATAGACTATGCATTGTAAGTATGTTTGATGCAAAAAAGCCAAGGGAGAACCCCAAACAGTGAAACCATATGCAAACCTGTGTGTAAAAAAAACCAAACCAAATCAAACTAAAAATGTCCTTGTTCTTACAAGCGCATAAGAAGTATACAGCTGGCCTTCTCTAACTGCAGGTTCTGTACCCACAGACTTAATCATCTGCAGACCAGAAATACCTGGAAAAAAAAAATAACAACGCAAAGTGACATTAGCAAGATGACTGACTACAGATGCCTGATGCCAGTTCCCCCATACAAGAAAGAGACAAGGCAATGAATATACAGATGAGATTTGATTGGAGTGTTGAACAGAGAGCACTGGAGTGCAGCAGGGAAGTGCAGATGCACCTGTGGTGATTAGAAGTCCAGGTGGGCAGCTTGGAGACACCTAGCCTCTGTAACTCCATCTTCTCTGATTGGATGAGATCTGCCCCAAAGCAGCAGAAACTTCCTGTTACAGGGAAAAAGTAAGCAGAAGAACACTACCAGCCCCCATTGCTACCACAAACACTTACCATCCTTTCTACAAGAGAATGTCATAGTCCTCATAAATGGTGAGCCCAGTTTGGAGGGCTTCCAGGAACCCTCACAGCTGCATTGTCCCAGATTAGGAGAACAATGCGCGCACTCCCCACTCCCACCTAGCCTTGTATGCCAAGCTTCTACAGCACAGAGCCATCTTAAGACCAGAGTAACATCAGGAGTGCACCCTGCTCTGAAAGTCAGTAACACTACCTCTACACCACTGGGGTTCTATCTTCATTCCACCAAGCCCATATGGGTGGCTGACTGCCACAACCTAAGCTGCATGGGGCCTGGGTCCAGGATTGGCTGTCACTCTGGTCCTACACAGCAGAGAAACCAACTCACTTCCAGACACAAAAGCAGTCTGGCAGTCCTGTCTAGTGTAAACCTACCCTTGAACTGGCAAAATTGCTGCGTGCCCTCTCCTGAGGGCGAGAGGCCATGAAGCCTCCAAACAACTGACATGCTCTGAGGCCAGGTGAAGTATACACCCACAACCAACGATGTACAAACAGCCCTGTGGTGCTGCACCCGCTGAGCTACCCAAAGGCCCAATGCACTCAATCAGGGTTTGAGAAAAACAGCCCTACAGGCTGCCCCTGGAGGGCGATCACCCAGGCTGACTGAGCAGCTGTGGGCCTATGACACAGGCCTGAGAAATAGCTCTGGGGACCATCCCCAGTATACAAGCCTCCAAGCCAGCCAAGTAGCTGTGTGCCTACATCCCAGGCTTGAGAAGCAGCCCTCCCCTGGAGAGGCCTGGCCGACATGCCCTAGGTCAGCTGAAGAGCCTTGCGCTCCTGTTCCAGGCCTTGAGAAACATCCCTGTGGGCAGCTCTTGGCAGCCACACCCCAGGCTGGCTAAGCAACTGTGTATATGTACTCCCAGCCAGAGTAACTCCCCATAACCCCAGTGCCAGCTCCAAGCTGGCTGACCCATGATATGCAGGCATGCACCCTCAACCTGAGAAACAGCACAGTGAGGCCATGCCTAGCAAAGCTGCCCCACCACTATCCACAACTCTCTCAGCCTAGGCCACCGAGACACTCATGAATGCCACTAGCATGGACTGCATCTGAAGAATCTATGTGGACACTACACTACTGCATCCACCTAGGACCACAGCAAATGTACCCCACCCAACTAATATCCCAAAACTCATTCATATGAGTAAGCCTTTACTTACGAAACCTACTCCATAAAATTGGATGATGTGACTTTTCCACTGAGTGCATAGAAACCAATGTAGGGACACATCAAACATGAAAAAGCAAGGAAACATGATACCTCCGAAGGAACACAGTAATCCTCTAGTAGTGGAACCAAACTATAAGGAAAGACACAAAATGCCAGAGAAAATAATTCAAAAATAATAATCTTAAGAAAACTCAGTACAAATAGATAAGTCAATGAAATCCAGAATGAGAAATTAAAGAGATAGATACAAAAAAGAACCAAATTGAAATCCTACAGCTGAAGAATTCAAGGAATGAAATAAAAAATACAATTGAGAGCTTCAATAACAGAACAGACCAAGCAGAATAATTTTTTTTCGAGACGGAGTCTCACTCTATTGCCCAGGCTGGAGTGCAGTGGCAGGACCTCGGCTCACTGCAAACTCCGCCTCCCAGGTTCAAGCCATTCTCCTGCCTCAGCCTCCCAAGTAGCTGGGACTACAGGCACCCGCCACCACGCCTGGCTAATTTTTTGTATTTTTAGTAGAGATGGGGTTTCACCGTGTTAGCCAGGATGGGCTCGATCTCCTGACCTCGTGATCTGCCTGCTTTGGCCTCCCAAAGTGCTGGGATTACAGGCATGAGCCACTGCGCCAGGCCCAAGAATTTTTTTTCAAAACGAAAAAAACAAAAAAATGTTATTGATGAGTGCACATACAAATGAACCTAGACAACCACTAAGAGTTTCTCACACTTTTATGTACTCACAAAATTATTTCATCTTTATAGACATAAGTGAACAATTGGCTCTGCTACTTCTTAAAGATGTGAAAAACTTCTTAGGTTTAAATATACAGTCTTAATTACACCAATGTCCCAATGTCCCAAGACAGATTGTAGGTAATGGAATCTCAACTGCGTCTCAAAGAATCAAAAACAAAAAACAAAACTCAATGCAATCTATAAGATTAATATATTTATAGGAAAAATTCATATTAAGTAAATTCTATCCCTTTCTCCCTCTTATCTATTCTCTCTCTCAGTTATTGACAATTTTTTACGGTGTAAGAGGGCAGGAAAATTTCTCATCAACTTTTTCAAAAATAAACTATTAAAAAGATACCCAAGAGACTTATGAATATAACACCATTGAAATGATTTACTGAGAACTAATGCTAGATCTGCTATTATTATGAAATCTACTGAGAAAACACTTTGCATTTCTATAGTATTTTTAAATAAGTTCTCCAAACTGCTTCAGAATCTATAATGGTTTTCACAAGTAACATTTTATTGGAGTTACCATCATATGACATAGTTGGTATGGAAATGATTACATCTAATAGATGAAAAAGATTTAGACATAAAGAACAATGTGCCCTAATGTTACTGTTAAGAGTTAGGATTAGAACTCTCACCCTATTCTTAATCCTGTTTAGTACCCTAAGTCTCTATATATTCTGTTTCACAGAATGCTACTAGTCACTGTGCTCATGTGTTCAAACAAATTTGGGCAATGCTGTGTTAAACAAAGCCAACCATATTCCCAGAGGCTTTATCATGCATAATAAATATCCAGGAAAGGTATAGAGAATAGGGCAGGTGCCATAAACTGAAAGCCCTGTAGGCACCAGGCAGGTAACAAACATGAGGAGGCAGGGCTAGAGAATGTGGCCCCATCTAGTGGGGCCCTGACCACACAGGAATGCAGACTAATCTAGCCAAGTCTTTTCAGAGAAGCTACAAATCTGAGCTTTAATTTCAAATTCCCAGGTTTATGCATGTTGCATCAATTTAAGAAAACACTGTAGTATGAAAAAAATATTTAGGCCAGATCAGGCTGGTCTCATTTAGGAAATGTGAAATACCATGAGTCACAATTTTATTTTCCCATAGGACCTTCATTCAAAGGATCTATTAGTTTCTTAGACCTCTGCAGAACAGTGTTGAAAATGTTCACTTTGAAAGCAAGCATCTTGTCCTCCTAGACCATTATGATGGGAGCACCTCTAAACCCCAAGCATGAATTATTCAGGGTTTACTCAAATTGAAATAGAAATTAATGCCCAGCTTTAACTGTTCATGTAGAAATGTTTCTCTTCTGACAAACCTAGCCCTCGCAAATCTATACTTCTCAACAATTATACTGGTAACTGAAGGTATCTTTACAATAAGCCTCACAATTGAATTGTGAAAAATAACACCATAATTCATTAGATATGAAAAAGACCCTTCAACTTTCTGAAACAATTTTAAATATATAAGTGGTTTGAAGGCATTTACAAGTTTAGAATTTGGGTTGAAACTAGTGACAGTTTCAAACACTATAATACTTGCAATGTAACTTTTCTAAGGCAGAAAGGCTTTTTTTTTCCTATTCTTTCCTCTTTTCCCTTTCATTTCTGCCCTGTCTTCTTCATTTCTGCCCTGTAAAAATTAGTTGAGAGAGCCTGCTGGTTGTTTACTGTAGTGCCTAGTATTGTGGCACAAACATAGTAGAAACAGCATAAAAGTGTTTAATCACATGGCAAATGATTTTCTCCACCTAGTTTCTACTTGGTCCATACTCACTTCTTTTGACTGGTAAAATAGCTACCCTGATCCAGGGATCAAGTACTGAATGCATCATATTTCCAGAGCCATGAGAAAACAAATACACCTGTTACAGACAAATGAGACTACCTCCTATTTTATTTCCATGGATGAAATAAAAACCTGGGTTCACTGGGAACCCTTGCAGGAACCTAAGAAATGTAACATTTGGAGTTATAATATAGAAATAAGAAATAATCATGAATTTCTTTCAAATAAAGTCTCAAATCAGATTTGATTTTTAAATCCTATTTCTGTCTTCTCAGCAGCTTTGGTGGCCAAGATAGAAGTCATTTCCTACATTGTCAGTGATTATTGTCTTTGATGGACACAAGATTTGTGGAGTCTAAAGAGAACATACAATTCTAAAGCGTTCATGTTGGAGAGGGAACTCTGCAATGATCAGAAGGACTGAGTCAGTTTTAGCATAAAAAATGAGAACTATATTAACAATGAGGCTGACTACACAGAGTTTTGAGCTAGAGACTCACTCTACCCAATACCATTGACATCTTGAAATGTTAGATGAAACTGACATAGAAAAATAATCCTGGAGTTTAAAGTATGTCTTGTCAGACCAGATGGTAGTATCTGGTCACTGTCTTCTACAGTGATGGGCATAAAACCTCAAAGTGCACCATTTTAATCCATGACATAAAGATTAACCTCAATAATATAGATATCATCTTCTGCTTGCACTTGTCTTTCACCTGCACTCTGCAAAGCTCCAATTAGAAGGTGATATGGTTTGGCTGTGTCCCCACCCAAATCTCATCTTGAATTGCAGTCCCCATAATCCCCACGTGTCCTGGGAGGGACCTGGTGGGAGGTAATTGAATCATGGGGGCAGTTTCCCCCATGCTATTTTCATGATAGTAAGTTCTCATGAGATCTGATGGTTTTATAAAGGGCTCACCTCTTTGCTCACCTGTCATTCTTCTCCTTCCTATTGGGGTGTGAAGAAGGATGTGTTTGTTTCCCCTTCTGCAATGGATCTTAATTTTCCTGAAGACTCCCCAGCCCTAAGGAACTGTGAGTCAATTAAACCTCTTTCCTTTATAAATTACCCAGTCTCGGGCAGTTCTTTATAGCAGTGTGAGAACAGACTAACACAGAAGGTCTCTCAACAGAACCACATGCAGTTGCAGCATCTTGCAGATGATGTAGAAATACTTTATGTTAATGTTGACATCCAAAAAAGTGAGAAACACCAGGCAGAAATACAGATTTCCATAGACATCCCCTTAGTGATGGTGGCGATCTGTGGATTTTGTGCTGGGGACATGAGTTTGATTGTTATGTCAAAGGCAATTTGAAGAATGTGTCATGGTGCCATTCCCATGTGTTGTGTAAGAGTACAATGGGGTTGGTGGGTTTTGTCCTTGTTTGTAATGTTGTAATCTGGGTTTCTGTTGTTGTAATCTAGGTTTCTATTGGCTGAGTTGGAGAAGGTGAAATAACTACTGGTTCATGGCTCTGCAGGGGTGATGGCATTGGAGAAGCAGAGGTTAGAGACTCCAGATGACATGGGAATACTCGTGTTCCTGGCTGGTTTAATCTCCAATGACAGGGTGATTTTCATGTCACTGAACCACCCCCTGTGCACAACATAGCAACAATACAAGCCACTGTCAGTTTCGGTTGCATTTTCTATAGTTAAGAAGGCATTCCCTTTCAAAAGGTACGTAATTCCCGTTAACACATTTGCTTCTAAAAGGTGACATGGGATCTACTAATCCAGACAATTTCATCTGAGGATCCAAATATAGGGCACATCCTTCAGCCCCAGCACATAGATGACACCTCTCCATCATAGATGCAAGGTAGCATGACAGGCTAACCTATTGCTCTACTCACTTGTACCTAAAAAAACTACAGTATCTGCCACAAGTAGGATGAGGCTTAAGATGATCCCTTGAGGATGCATTATGGGGTGAGTTATTTAGGAGGCAGTTTTCCAGCTTCTTCTTTAGAGTGCCTCCTCATGCCTCCTTGTCCTTAGCTGACCCTTCCTCCAAAGGTCTTTGTAAATAAAGACAACTTTCTCCCAGAATTCCATTCTTTATCTCCTTGTTACATCTTTTTCATAAGAATACTTAGAAGTATATTTGAAAATCAAATTTTTCCAGTTGGCCAATCTTTTTGGTAGATTTGACCAACTTACAAATTTAAAGAGATTATAGGGAGATTATTAGTGGACTGGAACAGTACTTGTTTTCTGCTGGGTTATTTTAAAAAATTTAGCAAAGATCTTAATTTTAGTTGACACACTAGGTTAGAAAAATCATACAGACTTTGAGAATGCTGGTGTAGGAAAGGACTTTGAGAAGAAAAAATTTCTGAACCAGAAGACAGGTCTTCTGAAATAATACAGACAGACAAAAACAAATTTATAAAAACAAAAAAATAAAAAAAAGCCTATAGGCTTTCTGGGACACCCTTAAGACCACCAAGCAAATATTTGCATTATGGGTATTCCAGAAGGAAAAGAGAAGGAAAAGGGTATAGAAAACATACTTAATTAAATAATAGTTGAAAACTTCCCAAGTCTTGGCAGAAAAATGAACATCCATGTCCAGGAAGCTCAAAGACCCCAAATAGATTAAACCCAAACAGGTTCTATCCAAGGCATATTAAAGTCAAACTACTGTAAGTCAAGAACAAATAAAGAATTCTAAAATCATCAAGAGAAAAGCATCAAGCCACATATAAGGGAATCTCAATTAGACGAACAGTGGATTTTTTCAGCAGAAAGCTTATAGGACAGGAAAGAATGGCATGATATATTCAAAACATTGAAATATAAAACAAAAAAACTGCCAGCCAAGATAATGATACCCAGAAAAGCCATCTTTCAGAAATGAAGATGAAAGAAAATATTTCACAGATCACAGATAAGTAAAAACTAAGAGAATTCATCGCCCTTAGACTGGCCTTTAAAAGTACTCAAATGAGTCTTACATCTGGAAGTGAAAAAATAACAATCACCATTATCAAAGCATGAAAACTATAAAACTCACTGGTAAGGGTGATACACAAAAGAGAAAGGAATCAAACTTTATCATTGCAGAAAACCACCCAATCATAAAAATAAATAAGAGGTAAGCAAGACAAAAAAAGATTTAAAAAACAACCAGAAAACAATTTTTAAAATGCCAGAAGTAAGTATTCACCTGTCAATAATAACCCTGAATGTAAATGGTCTACATTCTCCACTTTAAACATATGAACTGGCAGAATGGATTTTTTTTTTTTTAAAGACCCAACTATATGCTGCCTGTAGGAAACTTACCTCACCTGAAAACACACTCACAGGCTTAAAGTGATGGGATTACAAAAAGATATTCTGGCCAGATGTGGTAGCCCACACCTGTTATCTCAGCACTTTGGGAGCCAAGATCATGCCATGGCTCTCCAGACTTTGAGACTCCATCTCAAAATAAAATAAAATAAAATAAAAGGTATTCTATGCTAACGGAAAAATTGAGCAGGAGTAGATTGGGCAAAATAGAATTCAAGCCAATAGCTATAAAGAGAGAAACTACATAATAATAAAGGGAATACTTTAGCAAAAGAATATGACAATTTTAAATACAGATGCACCTTATACTGGTGTACCTAGATATATAATGCAAATATTATTAGATCTAAAGAGACAGATGGACCTCAATCCAGTAATAGTTGGGGACTTCACCTCACTCTCAGCATTGGACAGATCATCTAGACAGATAATCAACAGAAAAAACCCATTAGATTTAAACTGCACATTAGATCAAACTAACAGAACAGACATTTATAAAACATTTCACCCAGCAGCTGCAGAATACACATTCTTTTCATCAGTACATGGAATATTCACCAGGATTAACCATACCTTAGGACACAAAAAAGTCTCAAAAATTTTAAAAAATCAAAATCATACCAAATATCTTATCTGACCACAATGGAATAAAACTAAACATCAATAACAAGAGGAAAATTCAAACCTATACATGGAAATTTAAAAACATGCTCCTGAATGACCAATGGGTGAAAAAAAGAAAAAAAAAAAACTAAGAATGAAGTTAAAAAATTCCTTGAAACAATGGAAAACAGAAACATAACATACCAAAACCTATTGAAGACACCAAAAGCAGTATTAAGGGGTAAGTTTACAGCAATAACTAACTACATCAAAAATCTAGAAAGATTTCAAATAAAGAACCTAATGATACATCTCAAGTAATTAGAAAGGCAAGAACAAGCCAAATCCGAAATTAGTAGAAGGAAAAAAATTAAGATCAGAGCAGAAATAAATGCAACTGAGAATTAAAAAGAGAACAAAACAAAAAATTGTTTTTTTGAAAAGATAAACAAAATCTACAATTAGTGAAACAAAGTAAAAAAAAAAAAACAGGCAAGAAGAATCAAATAAAGAAGATCCAAAACAAAAATATAGACATCACAACAGATACCACAGAATATAAAGACTCATTAGAAACTACTATGAACAGCTATACACCAAAAAATTAGAAAATGCAGTGCAAATAGACAAGTTCTTAGACACATACAACCTACCAGGATTGAACCAGGAAGAAATAGAAAACCTGAATAGACCAATAACAAGTAACAAGTTTGAATCAGTGATTAAAAGTCTTCCAACAAAGAAAGTTCCAGGATCGATGGCTTCATAGATGAGTTCTACTAAAGTTTAAAAAAGAATGAATACCAATTCATTTGAAACTATTGCAAAAAATTAAAGTGTAGGGAATTCTTACTAACTCATTATACGAGGTCAGCATAACGCTGAAACCAAAAGCAGATAAGGACACAACAACAAAAACATAAAACTACAGGCCAATACTTCTGACAAACATTACACACAAAAATTATCAACAAAATACTAGCAAACTGAATCCAACAGAATATCAAAGATAACACACTATGAAAGTGAGCTATATCTCAGGAATGCATGGCTGCTTCAACATACACAAAGCAATAAATGAGACATCACATCAACAGAATGAAGGACAAAAACTATAATATTATCTCAATAGATGTAGAAAAAGCATTTGATAAAATTCAACATCCCTTCATGATAAAAACTTTCAACAACCTAGACATGGAAGAAACATACCTCAACATAATAAAGGCCATATATGACAATTCCATAGCTAACATCATACTGAAAGGGGGAAAACTGAAAGCTTTTCCTCTAAGAACTTTAGCAAGACAAAGATGCCCAGTCTTACCACTCTCATGCAACACAGTACTGGAAGTTCTAATCAGAACAATTAGGCAAGAGAAAGAAATAAAGGACATCCAAATTGGAAAGGAGAAGGTAAAATTATCCCTCTTTCCAGATGACATGATCTTACATATAGAAAAACCTAAAGATTCTACCAAAAAAAGTCTTAGAACTAATAAACATATTTAGTAAAATTGCAGAACATAAAATCAACATACAAAAATTATTGCATTTCTATACAAAATGAACTAGATTAAAAAAAATCAAGAAGTCAATTCCATTTACAATAGCTATAAAGGAAATAAAATATATACGAATAAATTTAACGAAGGAGGTAAAAGACCTCTACAAGAAAAACTACAAAACACTGAAGAAACTGAAGTGGATAGAAACAAATGGAGAAACATCCCATGCTCATGGATCCAAAGCATTAATAATATTAAAATGACCATACTACCCAAAGCAATGTACAGGTTCAATGCAATCCCTATCAAAATACCAATGACATTCTACACAGAATTAGAAAAAAAAATCTTAAAATTTGTATGGAGTTACAAAAGATCCAGAATAGCCAAAGCAATCTTGAACCAAAAGAACAAAGCTGGAAGCATCATACTACTAGACTTCAAAATATTCTACAAAGCTGTAGTAACCAAAACAACATGATACTGGCATAAAAACAGAAACACAGACAAATGCAATAGAACAGAGAACCCAGAAATAAATCCATGTGTCTGCAGTCAACTAATTTTTGATAAAGATGTCAAGAATATACACTGGGGAAAGAATAATCACTTCCATAAATGTTGCTGGGAAAACTGAATATCCATATGCTGAGGAATTAAACTAGACACCTCACCTCTCATCCTATACAAAAATCAACTCAAAATGGATCCAAGACCTAAATATAAAACTCAAAACAACAAAACTACTAGGAGAAAACATAGGGGAAATGCTTCAGGATATTGCTCTGGGAAAATATTTTTGAGTAAGACCTCAAAAGCACCGGCAACTAAAGCAAAAATAAGCAAAGAGGATTATATCAAACTAAAAAAGCTTCTGCAGAGCAAACAAAACAATCATCAGAGTGAACAAGACAATCTACAGACTAGAAGAAAATATTTGTAAACTCTTCATCCAACTGGGAATTAATATCGAGAATATACAAGGAACTCAAATATCTCAATAGCAAAACAAGAACAACAACAACAACAACAAACCCAAACACCCAAGGAAAAAATGGGCAAATAATCTGCACTGATATTTCTCAAAAGAAGACATACAAATGGCCAGAAAATATAGAAAAAAAATGCTCAACATCACTAATCATTAGGGAAATACAAATCAGAACCACAATGAGGTATCATCTCCCCCAGTTAGAATGGCTACTATGAAAAAAGATAAAAAATAACAAATGTTGGCAAGGATGCAGAGAAAAAGGAACTCCTATAGACTGTTGGTGAGAATGTAAACTAGTATAGCCACTATGGAGAAGAGGATAGAGGTTCCAGAAAGAACTATAAATGGAACTATCATATGATCCAGCAATCCCACTACTTGGCATTTACTCAAAGGAAAAGAAATCAATATATCAAAGAGCTATCTGCATCCCTATGTTTACTTTAGCACTATCTATAATAGCCAAGATATTGAACCAACCTTGGTGTCCATCAACAGATTAACAGAGACAAAGAAAATGTGGTATGTATAAACAATGAAATATGATTTGGCCATAAATAATAATGAAATCCTTCATTCCTGGCAACATGTGTAGAACTGTAGATCATTAGGTTAAGTGAAATAAGCCAGGATTAGAACGTTAAAAACATAGTATATTCTCACTCAGATGCAGAAGCTGGAAAAAAAAAGTTAATCTCCTAGAAGTAAAATATAGTACAGAGGATCCCAGAGGCTTGGAAGGGTAGGGGGAAGTGCATTATAGACAGTGATTTGTTAAAGAATATAAAATTATGGCTAGATAAGAGGATTAAGTTCTAGTGGTCTATAGCATTGCAGGATGACTATAGTTAACAATAATATACTATATAGTTTCAAATAGCTAGAAGGAGGATCCTGAATGTCCCCAACACAAAGGAATGATAAATGTTTGAGATGATGGATATGCTAATAACCCTGGTCTAATCACTATACATAATATATATTGCAACATCACTATGTATATCATAAATATGTACAATTATTATGTGTCCATTTAAAAAATAAAAAATAAAAAAATACAGTACAACAACTACTTACATAGCATTTACACTGTATTAGGTATTATATGTAGTCTAGAGATTATCTAAAGTATACAGGAGGATATGCATAGGTTCTATACAAATACTATGACACTAGAGACTGGAGCATCCATGGATTTGGATATCCATGGGAGTCCTGGAACCAATCCCCTGAGGATAGCAAGGAACGACTGTATTCATGTGTTTTTCAGTGAAAAATTCAGTGCTTGAAGACTGCTTTCATGATAAACTTTTTAAATTAAATGCTTAAAAATTAGTCTCATTAGATCACAGAGATTTTAAGAAAATTTTAAAATGAAGAGAGTATCTCATTTAAGCTGTATATATACACCTTAAAGATAGATGTCAGAAGTATATTCATGGTCTCATGTTATAGACATGTATATTTATGTATATACATTATGATAAGTGAAATAAGCCAGGATCAGAACATTAAATACGGTATGTTCTCACATATGCAGAAGCTGGAAAAAACATTAATCTCATAGAAATAAAACATAGTACAGAGGATTCCAGAGGCTTGGAAGGGTAGGGTGAAGTGGGGAATAGGGAAATATTTGTTAAAGAATACAAAATTATAGCTAGATAAGAGAATTAAGTTCTAGCAGTCTATAGCACTGTATATTCATGGTCTTGTATCATAGACATCATTACTGAGTGTTAAAGCCAGTGAGAGCCTCTTCAACTTCCTGAAGATAAAAGGAAGGCATTGGAATGGAAGCATCGCCTGGTACAGATCATCCTTAGGCAAGAACAGACATGCAAACTTATAAATTGAGAGTGCACACTGAATGGCAGCTGAAAGTACTGGTTATGAATGCCATTGCTCCATACTGCTCAACTCCTAGTCTATAGAAAAAGGAACTAGCATGAATTAAGCTGTGCAGTAAGGCCCTAGTAGGGCCTACTTAGTGGGCTCTGAGTCATCTACAGGAAGATATGCAGTCCTAAAGAGAAACTAGAGTGGGAGACAATATATAAGAAATCATGCTCAGGTGCTTGTAGTTTGTTGACAGTGATTTTAACTCTAATCTATTCTATGCGTTAGATCGCATACATCTTAGTACCCAAAATGTTTCATACATTTGGTCAGTTTTGTCCCATCAGCCAGACTTTCATGAGTTAAAGTCCTGGATACAAGCAAATCTTTAACTCTTTAGTAAGATTCATCATTCCTTGATTTTTTTTTGCCTTTATTTCAAAGTTTAATTCCTTAATCTGTTTTAGAATTACATCTATTTTGTCTGTTGACAAGCATGAATTTTCTCTTTATTTTTTTTCTCGTAGGTTTATTGTTTGCCTGATGATTGCTAGTTTTGGAAAAATGCCAAACAAGCATTCTTGTGCTCCATGTCTGTTAATAAGTTATATAAGTATGACAAACAGAAGCATGAGTTCTAGAGTTAGACAGCCTGGATTAGAATTCTTCTTCCCCAGTTTCCTAGATTTTGGGCTAAAGAAATCCACTTAACTTATGTCTCAATTTCCTCATCTATAAAACAATAATAACATCACTTATTTCATAAGGCCATCCTTAGTATTCAATGAGATAATATAAACAAAGCTTTTAGCACAGTGCCTGGCACAAAGCAAAGGTTTGATAAACGTTAATTATCTCATGTTGTTTCTAAAAAATAAATATATAACAGTTTTGTATTATAGAAATTTTGAAAATAGGACAGAGAATTTCCATATACTGTATACTCTTTTCTTCTGTTAACATTTTACAATATGGTATATATATACATATTTTTTTGGAGACGGAGTCTTGCTCTGTCACCCAGGCTGGAGTGCAGTGGCACGATCTTGGCTCACTGCAAACTCTGCCTCCCGGGTTCATGCCATTGTCCTGCCTCAGCCTCCTGAGTAGCTGGGACCACAGGCGCCCGCCACCATGCCCGGCTAATTTTTTGTAGTTTTAGTAGAGATGGGGTTTCACTGTGTTAGCCAGGATGGTCTCCATCTCCTAACCTTGTGATCCGCCCGCCTTGGCCTCCCAAAGTGCTGGGATTACAGGCGTGAGCTACCGCGCCCGGCCTACAATATGGTATATTTGTTATAATTAGTGAACCAGTATTGATACATTATTAACTAAAGTCCCCATTATATTCAAATTTCTTTAGTTTTTATTTAATGTCCTTTTCCAGTCTAGAATCCCATCCAGGGAACCCACACTGCAATTAGTCCTCTTGGCTTTGACAGTTTCTCAAACTTGTCTTGATTTGCAGACCTTGACAGTTTTGAGAAGTACTGATCAGGTATTTTGTAGAATGTTTCTCCACTGGGATTTGTCAGATATTTTTCTCATAAATAGAGTGGGGATAGGCTTTTGAAAGAACTATCATAGGAATAAAGTACATATTCCTCACCTTATAACAAGAGTACATACTAGCAACATGAATTATCACTGTTCATGTTGAGCTTGATTACTTGGCTGAGATTCTGTTTGTCAGGTTCTTCACTGGAAAGTTCCTCTTTTTCTACCATTCACATACTATGCTCTTGGAAAAAAGTCACTATGCACAGGCCACACTTAAAGAATGGGGAGTTTTGCTCTATCTCCTTGAGGAGGAAATATCTATATAAATTATTTGGAACTCTTTTCCATAGGACATTTGTCTCTTCTCCTCCATGTATTTATTTATTCAATTTGTTTTTTACAGTAAATCTATATAAGGGGGGTCTAGACAAGCAAAGGTAGACCATATACTGTAACTTTTAGAGTGTGGGTTGGATGAGTGGATTACAGACACAGTTGTTCAGAGACCCTC